>NC_000012.12:64960128-66210128 GCF_000001405.40 Homo sapiens | reverse complement strand
ACTAAAGTAATTCCATTTCATACATCTAGAAAGAACAGAGCCTCAACACAAATCCAAAGCTCCCTGGGGACTATGCAGTGCAACAGAGTGCAACCTAATTTAAAAGAAAGCTAGCAGAAATCAAAGTTATTTCACTTTATTTAATAGCATTCATTGCCATATTTAAGGCTTTCACACCAACAGTAAAAACTCAAGTTTCAATGTCATAGTCAGTCAAAGTCAATTTTAAATTACTTTTAATGCTATAAAAATGATCACTGCTAGTTTGCTCTAATAAAAACTAACAGTGACATGCAAAACACCAACCAAAAAAGGAAAATTAAAAGCTGAGTTAAGACAAATGTATAAATCACAGCATCCTTAGTAGTTCTCAGTCTCATCTCTGACAGATCACTGAGAACAGAAAGCTCTTAATTTCTCAAATATTTATAAATCTCTAATTTCCTAAATCCTCAACTAAATAGAGAATAATGAGAGAACAAAGGCATTTCTGATTTTTAAAAAGTGCCGGCAAATCCAGCATTTTTCTGCCTGCTAATTTCATTCCTTATGCTCAATTATACATGCAACAAAGTTCAAGGCTCATTTTCTATGCACACATACTCTACCTTGAATAATATATTTGGAAATCCACCTTCCTGATAACTCTTCTCTGAAGGACTCAACACTGCTCCTGAAAGAGAAATATGGGAAGGTAGATACAAAAAAATTTTATGTCCCTAATGTTTTTCCTTTCTGAGACTCTGAAAATAAATGTCTTGCTAGCCATTGTTCATTTCTAAAGTTTCATTCCCATGCAACATTACGATAAATTTGTGAAAGTATTATTTGTGAAGTATTATATTTGTGAAATAGCTTTCTAATTAACAAATGTTATACAAACATACTTTTGTTCACTTAAAACATAAGTAGTTGCCTTAATCTATTATTAACTTTAAATAATTTAAATAATTAAATAATAAACAAGTAATAAGACAAATTGTTGTTAGACATTAAAAATATTAAAGCACAAAGAAGAAAATTTAAAAAAAATTATCAGCCTTTTTTTTTTTTTTTTTGAGATGGACTCTCACTCTCGCCCAGGCTGTAGTACAGTGGCATGATCTCGGCTCATTGCAATCTCTGCCTCCACTTGAGAATGTCAAGTGATTCTCCTGCCTCAGCCTCCCAAGTAGCCAGGATTACAGGCACCTATCAGCATGCCTGGCTAATTTTTTTTGTATTTTTAGTAGAGATGGGGTTTTACCATGTTGGCCAGGCTAGTCTCGAACTCCTGGCCTCAAGAGATCTGCCTGCCTCGGCCTCCCAAAGTGCTGGGATTACAGGCATGAGCCACCCACCACACTGGGCCTTTTTTCTTTTTTTTTTGAGACAGAGTCTCGCTCTGTCACCCAGGCTGGAGTGCAGTGGTGCAATCTTGGCTCACTGCAACCTCCGCCTCCTGGGTTCAAGTGATTCTCCTGCCTCAACCTCCTGAGTAGCTGGGATTACAAACCCCTGCCACCATGCACAGCTAATTTTTGTATTTTTAGTAGAGACAGGGTTTCACCATGTTGGCCAGGTTGGTCTCAAACTCCTGAGCTCAAGTGATCTGTCTGCCTCAGCCTCCCAAAGTGCTAGGATTACAGGCATGAGCCACAGCGCCCAGCTGTATTATCAGCATTTTTGCACATATATTTTTAAATGTTACAATTATGATATTATATCTTCCTGGGTTAGTTTATTTTTTTATATCATCTTGTGCCATAAAGTATTGGAGGTGGTGTGTGTGCGTGTGTGTGTGTTTGTGTGTGTGTGTGTGTGTATCAATGACAAATACTTACCACCCCAAATGTCGACTATAACTTCTATGTGGTAGAGTGCTGTCTGGACTGAGGTAATTTATGTAGCTTCCTACAAAAGAGTAAAACCCTGCCATATTTTGCTGTCATTTCTAACATTTTGTCTCAGACTAGAAAACTTTCATTTTCTAGTCTAGCTTTCTTCTTTCTAGATTATCTTCTAGTGTTTCTTAAATTATTTTGCTTAGAAAACTAGCAAGAAAGCATAACCAATCAATAACAAATTTCCTTGATAACACTATAAACCAGCTAGACTTAACAGACATCTATAGAACATTCCATCCAAAACCAAAATATACACATATTTCTCAAGTATAAATTGAACATTTTCCAGAACAGACCTGACCTTAGGCAATTAAATGAACCTCAAATACATGTGTAAGGATTAAAATCATACAAAGTCTATTTTCTGATCATATTGAAATACAAGCACAAATCAGCAGCAAAAGGAAATTTGGGAAATTCACAAGTATCTGGAAATTAAACAACAAAATCATAAATAACAAATGAATTAAAAAAGAAGTCATGAGAGAAATTAGAAAATACCTTGAGATGAATGAAAATGAAAACACAACATATCAAAAGTTATGAGATGCAGCAAAAGCCATGCTTAGAGGGAAATTTATAGCTGCAAATGCCTACCTTAAAAAAAGAAGAAAGGCATCAAATCAGTAAACTAAACTTTCACATTAAGGAACTAGAAAAAGAAGCACAACCTAAACTGAAGCAAGCAAAAGGAAGGAAATAATTAAGATTAGAAATAAATGAAATAGAGGAATTTTTTTGTTTGTTTGCTGTTTTTTGTTTTTTTTTTTGGAGATGGAGTCTCACTTTGTCAACCAGGCTGGAGTGCAGTGGTGCAATCTCAGATCACTGCAACCTCCACCTCCCAGGTTCAAGCAATTCTCCTGCTTCAGCCTCCTGAATAGCTGCAACTACAGGCGCATGCTGCCACGCCCAGCTAATTTTTTTGTATTTTAGTAGAGATAGGGTTTCACCGTTTTGCCCAGGCTGGTCTCGAACTCCTCAGCTCAGGCAATCTGCCTGCCTCGGCCTCCCAAAGTGCCAGGATTACAGGCTTGAGCTACCTCGCCTGGCCGAAATAGAAGATTTTTTAAAAAGAAAACTCGATAGAACCAAAATTGTTTTTTTGAAAAGATCATTAAAATTGACAATCTTTTAGCTTAACTGACCAAGAAAGAGATTCAAATTACTAAAATCAAGAATAAAAGGGGGGACATCAATACTGACCTCACAGAAATAAATGGAATTATAAAGGAATATTATGAACAATGATATGCCAAAAAACTAGATAACTTAGATGACATGGACAGGTTTCTAGGAAGACACAAACTATTGAAACTAACTCAAGCAAAAATAAACAATATACATGGACTCATAACAAGAGATTGAGCTAGTACTTTAAAACGTCCCACAAAGAAAAGCCGAGGCTTAGATGGCTTCACAGGTGAATTCTACCAAACATTTAAAGAAGATTAACACCAGTCCTTCACAAATTCTTCCAGAATAGAAAAAGATAGAACAATTCCCAAATCATTTTATGAGACCAGTATTATTGATACCAATGCCGGATAAAGACATTACAAGAAAACAACAGACCAATACCTCTTACAAATATAGATGCAAAAATCCTCAACAAAATACTGGCAAACTGAATCCAGAAGCATGTAAGGATTAGATACAATGACCAAATGGGATTTATCCCAGGAATCCAAGATTTGTTTAATATCTGAAAATCAATCAATGTAATACACCACATTAACAGAATGAAGGACAAAAAACACATGTTCATTTCAATAGATGACAAAAAAGCATCTGAAAAATCCAACACCCTATCATGATAAAAGCCCTACCAACAGAAGAAAATGTCCTCAATATGATAAGGGCCATCTACAAAAAACCGACAGTTAACATCACTAATCATGAAAGACTGAATGTTTTACCCTTAAGGTCAGGAACAAGATAAGGATGTCTGGTCTTGCCACTTCTACTCAACATGCTAAAGGTTCTAGCCAGGGCAACTAGGCAAGAAGAAAAAATAACAAACATACTGAATTTGTGTAGAAAAAAATGTGAAATCTGGGGGCTGTATGGGCACTAAAAGTCATTATTTCTTTTGCTGTTTGTGAAAAGAGAGAGAATCCTTCATTGTCATATAAAATGGAAGATTGAAAATGTCTCTCTTAAGAAGAAGCCAGTAGAAAGCTGCGAATTTTGTGTCAAAACTGGAAAACAATTGCTGAACATTGAATTATAAATACAAAATGTGATACATAAGGACATGCATGCCAGAAATATAATAACAAAAAATAGAGATTCTAGTTTCTTGAGCAATTTTGTTATGTCCTGAGATCTGAGAGAATGCTTTACTGATGTGAAGAAACCACCTAGCAGCAGCAACCTGAATTGTAGGCATAGTACCTGGGAGGAAATAAAAGGCCCATTTCAATATGACTAGGAAAATCCAAATCTACAAAGTGATGCCTGGAAGCTGGAATATAAAAGCCCCAAATTCTTCTAAAATAAAATCAGTTCCACAAAACAGAATAAAATTGCAAGGAAAGGTGGGCAATAACTGATTATTTAGATAACTGATAAATCTGTCCACGGTGGCAGCATAGAAGGACTAAATCATTTTATGCATCTTTAGTTAGGAGCTCCAACTCCTAATTTAATGAGTAGCTATGATAGGAAACGCCTGTTGAGCAAGCTACACTTATGCTTCCAACAAATCATCACATCTCACTTTTAACAACTACATAATTAACTTTTTCAAAATTGTTATTTAATTTGAAACATCAACTCAATCAATTACAATTAAATAATGCTATTTTCTTTAGTAAAGAAGTAAGGTGCTATCCTCCTCTTCACTTCAGATTTACCTATCTCTTTGTACTAGGGCAGTAAAGTCTTTTTACCAATCGGCTAATCTCACATCAAAAAAAGAAAAATAAATGTTGCATGTGCAACAGACTAAGAGTCAACCAAGAATGTGGAATTTTTGTCTACTTACAGTCCACATTATTCTCTGCTGCACAAATAAACAACATAGAGAGTGAAAATATACCCTAAAATTTATTCCAGAACACTGAAGTATAAAACATACCTGTGTGTCCTATTAAAGTGGCGTAAGTTTGTATTGTGAACAGCAAGCCATGTGGGTGGTTTCAGTGGCTGGGAAAGGCTCAGATAATGAAAAGGCATTGCATTTACAGTTCCCAGGGACTCACTGAATTTCACTTGCTCAGTCAACTTCACAGTGAAGTATTCTGCTGCCCTAAACTAAGTGAAGAAACAATGTGCAAAAGACAAAGGGAATTAGCCAAGTTATATGAATAATATCATGGTGGAAGTCTATTAGGAACTAATATCCCAATAATAGGAAAGATCAAAATAAAAGTCAATGTGAAGCTACAGTTTTCTGGTACAAATCTCTCAGGATTCCTTGTGTGTGTGTGTGTGTGTGTGTGTGTGTGTGTGTGTGTGTGCGCAAGGGCTCATGCGCACTAAATATATTACCAAAGAACATGTGTGCAAATACACAAAACTAAAAATGCGATCTATGAAAAGAGCCAAAGAATAAAGATGTTGATTCAAAAGAGTTTCCAATCTAAGAGCCTTGGGTCTATAACATAAGACCCAAGATCATTATTGTTGAAATGAATACATCTAAGTGGAACAAACAGAACAGGTGATGTTAGATTATTTCACTGACAAAGAATAAATGGAGAAAACTTCATGAACTTTATTGATCATGTTGTTCTAAATATAAGGCATGACACAGACCCAGAAATAGAGAAGACAAAGGGAAGAATTAGGCTACTGTGGAATGGGTAGTAACAAGTAAGGCAGGGTTAAACGCTGTGGTGTAAAAACAGCAGTGAAGATAAAAGAAACATCCCCAGATTATTCTGGAGGTAGGTACAATATAAAATATTAAATATGGGGGAAAATACAATTATATTTTTAACTTGTAATATATAGTAAAACAAAGAATAGCATGATCTGTATCTCAAATATTGTGATTCCAACTGTTTATGACTCAAAGAGTTTCAGAGTTTTTGACAGAGAGCTGATTCTATTAACTGCTAAAAATGAAACATTTTTAAAAGTGTAGTTTGTAAGTAAAAGTAAGTTAAAAAAACAAAACTATAAAGTGATAGAAAGAAATATGTTGTATAAGTTAGGTGATAAGGGAAGAAAGTGTCACAAGAAAATGTGAAGCTGGAAAGTCCCTTCCAGATAAAAGCCACAGGTAAGGAAACACTGACACAGAGCATGAGTCAATGTCTTGGATAAAATGCAATATTCGAATTTACAAATTACAGTTCCTATTACAGATTAAGAGCCACATTATAAGAATCAGCATTTACCATAGTTTGTAATTAAATGAATAGCTCGACGATGTCCCATCTCCTGGAGGACCTGTAAAAGGTCACCGATGGTCTTGTTTTTCTGTGCCCAGGACCAAAGTAATTCTCTTGTTCCACTTTTACCTTGGTCTACATACTTTTCAATATGACGAACATCCAGCCAGCTGCTTGAAAGTCTCTCTGCTGTGGAAATTGCAATATAAACAAAGAATTGTTTACTGTACTTTTATCAAAATACTTGTTTTTGTGTACCTAATGTTTTATTTCCTCTTATTTATAACTTTAACTTTCCTCTTATTTATAACTTTTATTTTGAACTAATTTGGAATATATTCACCTGCCTTCTGCTAATGTTGACATCTTACTAACCACAATACAATGATCAGAATCAGTGATAACTGCAAACCTTATTCTAATTTCACTAGTTTTTCCACTAATGCCTCTTTTCTGTTCTAAGATCCTATCCAGTTTTCCATATTATATTTAATTGTTCCTTCTCCTTAATCTCCTCCAATCTATGATGGTCCCTCAGTCTTTCCTTGTCTTTCAGGACAGTGAAATGATATTGTCCTTCTCAGTGCATAATATCAAGAGGTTTAAGATAGCAATGTCTTATCAATAATAATGTTTATTTTTATCATTCAGTGAAGGGACTGTCTGCAGAGCTTCTCTACTATAAAATTATCTTTCTCTTTATAATTAATAAATATTTCGGGGAAGATACTTTGAGATTATGGAAATACTCTGCTTCTCCTCAGATTTGGGCCACTAATATTTGCATCCACCAGTGGATCTTATTTATCACAATTATTACTACAATATTTGCTTAATGGTGATTTTTCTATTTTCCCTTTTTCCTTCATGAACTGTTTGGTAAGAAACAGCTGTCCCTTCTCCTACATTTATTTATTTATTTATCCAGTTGTTTATTTATATCTATGGGCTCATGGATATTTATTTTACCATACAGGTTAAAATCCAGTACTATCATTAATAATTTTGTTGCTAAAATTATTCTAGCTTTGTCCAATAGGTTGGTTGGCTCTTGTGTTCTTTTTTTTTTTCCTTTTATTTTTATTTTATTTTTTTGAGACAACATCTCACTCTGTCACCCAGGTTGGAGCACAGTGGGGCAATCTCAGCTCACTGCAGCCTCCATCTCCCAGGCTCAAGCAATCCTCCCACCTCAGCCTCCCAAGTAGCTGCAACTACAGGTGTGCACTGCACCACCATGCCCAGCACATTTTTGTATTTGTGTGGGTTTTTTTTTTCTTTTTTGGTAGAGATGGGGTTTTGCCACACTGCCCCAGCTGGTCTCAAACTCCTAGGATCAAGCTCAAGCAATCTGCCCGCCTTGGCCTTCCAAAGTGCTGGGATTACATGTGAGAACTACCACGGCAGGCCTTTTGTGTTCTTTTGACAAGCCCTATCTTTTTGTGAGTATCTCCTTATTTTCTGGCTCTACAAGGTGCTCCAGGCTCATTTTGTATTTTCCCCTTTCCAGGACTGGAATTATTTGTCTAATGATCTCTGGTTTCTTGATTGGACAATGGTGTATAGAAGCTCAATCCTGGTGCCAGAATTGCTCATTGTGGCCAGGGTTCCATTGCTTCTAGGCCCTCCAAGAGCACAGAGCAAGGAAATGTAGGTATGTACACTCATCCGTGGATCTCTATTCCTCTATCAGTAGGCGCTTATATTAAATACCAAGAATTTATTCTGATGCTTCTGATTCTAATCCAACATCACAGGGTATATTTCAGTCCTTCCTCATTTGTAACTTTATTCTTGAACAGTAATATTATTGATAATATATTTACTCATTTGTTTAATTCTACAATGCACATAAAGTGCTTTCAGAATTGCCAACCCATACCCCTGTGAGACACACATTAGCAAAATCAGAACACAATAATTATTTCTGTCCTTAGCATAAGCGCATCCAGTTAAGATGCTGTGTTCCAAAGTACTTAGATTAATTCTTTTCTTCCTCACCCCTTCAGTGTGGTTATTATTCATTCGTAATACAGTTAGATTCAGCTGTTGAAGGTTTGAGAAATGGTGTTTTGTTCCCCCTGTCTTCCCATTGAACACTTTTGAGCAATTAAAAGCTAATATCTGGGTAAAATCAGGGAAATGTTTTACTAGCATACTAGGCTTTAAATAATTCAATTAAGGTTTGGCATAAACATCTTAAAACTGTACAGAAAGTATATGAGTTTTTATGGTGCCCTGATTTAACAGGATTCTTCAAGCAAAAATTTATATTGCCTTTCTGCACAACTTCCAAATTTTAAAGTGTACTTTGAGGCAAAGCGGGGAGAAAGAAAGCAAATGACAGAAAAGGTGGTCTTGTTCCTATGATAATATTCCCAATCTGGAATATTGAGCACTAAAATTAACAATGTGTTTTGGGCTTTTGGTGGTGATGGCACCATCCTTTCATAACTTTACCTTCCAGAGAAACTAAAAAATTTAGGATCCTGGATGCAAGTCTCTGGATAAAATCCCACTGTTATCTGAAGGTGGTCACGGGGGACCCCTGACACACCACCATAACTGGCTTTAGGAGCTCAGCATCCTTTCATCCTGCCACACACCAATATGTGGAAGCTGCCCTCCAGCAGGAACCAAGGTGGTCTCATAGGAGATAGGACTCCCCTGTCCACCAATGGGAGACTTCAAAGGCAGATGTGCTTTTAAAAGGCAATGGTTGTTCAGATCTCAGAAAAATGATAAGTCTTGTGAAACTTTCTTCTGTTAAAAGTCTGTTTTGGGTCCAGGCGTGGTGGCTCACATCTGTAGTTCTAGCACTTTGAGAGGCCAAGGCGGGAGGATCACTTGAGGTCAGGAGTTTGAGACCAGCCTGGCCAACATGGTGAAACCCCATCTTGACTAAATACAAAAATACAAAAATTAGCCAGGTGTGATGGCGTGCACTTGTAGTCCCAGCTACTCAGGAGGGTGAGGTGGGAGAATCACTTGAACCCAGGAGGCAGAGGTTGCAGTGAGCTGAGATCACGCCATTGCACTCCAGCCTAGGCAACAGAGTGAGACTCTGTTTCCACACACAAACACACAAAAGTCTGTTTTAGAGTCCAAAGGTCATTAATTTCTTAGGGAGTTTCTACACCAGTTATAATATTTGAAATCAAGCCAGCAGAAAGGCAAATATCTTCTGCCTTAATATGGCATCCCCCCCATGCCCAATTTTTCGTTGTATAAGCCTTTGCTGGAATATTCAATTTACCTCAACTTTATGCTCCCACTGAGGCTGTGAGTAAATCCTGAAAATTGAAAGTGTTCACAATATGAAACCATGACTGGCCCTCTTTCTATGAGCTAAAAATTGACCCGGTAGACATTACTAGTGCTGCCAATACTTCCAACCCTCTATCCCATCATAGAGGATTCCATCTCCCTGCCCTTTCAGGTTAGGCATGCCTCTGTGTCTCTTCCAGCCAGAAACACTGAAGAACCAGGGCACAATTCACTACAAGTTGACAGGGGGCTGCCTCAAGATCAAAGCAGCCTGAAATGCTGAGTCACTACATGGAAGAGAGTTTGCTGGACTCTCAGTGTTCTTCCTGGGAGCAAAAAGTAAGCCTCTGCTATGTTAAACCACTGAGATTTTTGGTGCTGCTTGTTACTGCAGCATAACTTAGTTTATCCTGACTGATATACACAAGGTCATATCTTGAATTTTGTTACTCTGTTACAACTTGTACCAGAACAGAGTTAAATAGAGTGGCAGCATTTGCAATTACATATCAAACAAGAGAAGATAAAGTTGAGACATTCTATTTCAATGCATGTTTAGGCTGTAAGGAAAGAAAAATAGCTAGAATAAAATGTCTGACATCATTGAGTTAGAATGTCTTTGCCCTTCCTCCATATTTCAAGTTCTGGCAAGAATATATTCATTCCTCATCTCTTTGAAGAGATGATGTTTCACAGAGGCAAAGACTATCCAAATGCCAATATATGTTTTAGATAGCTTATCATTTTTAAAAGGAAGCCTTTAAAAAGCAAAAATATTAGCCAAATATGGTAATGTTATTTTAATATATTTCTTTCTGATGAGGTAATCTGCCTATATCATTGAGGCACATTTTTTATAAACACTTTATTTAGCTATTTCTAAAAACTCTTAAGAGAAATACTGCAAATCAGTGTAGTTCAAACATTTGTTGAGTATCTGCTATATGCCAGTAATACAGTAATTGTATGCACTAAGTGTGGTTTGAGCATGAAGACAGGCCTCTAACTAAAGATGAGAACAGCAGGGAAGGCTTTCTGGAGGGGTGGCTTCTGGAGCCTGAGCTATGCCATGTCTAAAACTGAGTACTTCCAAAGAGAGGCCAATTCTTAAAGAAGTATTGGATAGAGTACACTATCCTGGGGAGGAAAAAATAATCACTACAGTTTCAGATTGAAAACAAGACAAATAAATGAGTCTGAGCCCCGCAGACTATCCTGCTTTCCAAGGAAAAAAGTTCTTAGTGAAAACAGAGCATTCCCGTGGGCCTCTGGGTGAGTACAGGAACACATGTATTTAGTGGTGGCACTGCCATCGACCTATGACACAACTCCAGGCAAAACACAGCCTCACTGAACAATCTCAAACTTCTTAATAACAAATGTTCTTGTAGTCCCACCTAATACATATAATAAATCTTCTTGCTCTTCCCTGGCCTGTTAATTAATTATAACACCTCTTATCTTTAAAACACTTCCCACTCTCAAAATGAACATTCCAACAAGAGAACTCTAAATATCAAATTTCAGCAAAGGGAAAGTTTAGGTTTCCACATTTTCTATTAGAACATTAATCGAGGCTGGGTGTAGTGGCTCACGCCTGTAATCCCAGCACTTTGGGAGGCTAAGGCAAGAGCATCGCTTGAGCCCAGGAGTTTAAGACCAGTCTGGGCAACATGGCAAAACCCCATCTCTAAAAAAATTTAAAAATTAGCCAGGCTTGGTGGTGTGCATGCACCTATAGTCCTAACTACTCGGTAGCTGAGGTGGGAGGATAGCTTGAGCCCAGGAGGTTGAAGCTACAGTGAGCCAAGATTGCACCACTGCAGTCCAGCCTGGGTGACAGAGTGAGACTCTGCCTCCAAAAAACAAAAAAAAAAAAAAAAGGAGAAGGAAAAGAAAATTAATTGACTAATATTTACATAGTATTAGGCATCCTGTATCATATAAATTCATAGTAATGAATATTTAAATAATAGACTTCTTCATTTTTCTTTTGTAAGCTAAAATCGTTCCTGCTACCCTTTGAAACTTTGGGATAAGACATATGCACAAAATTTAACAAGACTGAAGGGAGAAAATGCTTTTGTGGACTACCACAGCCAGGAAAGGAAAGGAAGGGTAACCAAATACCACCTAGCTTTGCAATAGAAGTGTCGTGTCGTGGGGTAAGGTTTAACTAGGCTAAAGGAATAGAAAAGGGTATGTCAAATGGGGAATTGTTCCAGAAACAGTGAAGACAACACAAGAGGGCAGAGGGAAGGCCAGAATGCTTGGAGCAGAGTGTTCACGTTAAAGAAAAGGTGAACAAGCTCCATGAGGTCTCCATGTTACCTTGTATCTGCAGAAACATGCTTAGCCACATAGTACACGTTCAATATATTTTTGCTGATTGACAGACAGAGGCCCTGAGTGTTAGCATATGAACTTAACTTCATTCTGAAAGCAATGGGACCAATTCAGATTTCTGAGAAGGTGATGCAAAGATGGAAGCTTTACCTTTTGGAAGATGCATCGGGTGGCAATAGTAGCAGGAGTCTCAGATAAAATATTTATACATAAAAAGGTATAAACATGTTCTAGCTCACAACAATTGCCACAGTAGGAAAGGCACAGTTTATAGCTATTAAGGAAATCCAGAGTTAACATTTCAAGTCCCAGGGAATGTCAGCTTTTCATTCCATACTTTCCATAAATTCCATTCTCTGTTTGTTTTTTTTTTGATTCCTGAATTTCCCTTTTAAAAGTGCAGCAGGCCATGACTCTGGGATGTCCCGTCCTGTGACTTGGCTGAGAAACTGCTAATATCAGATGCTTTCCCTTAAGCACATTTCTGAGATTCAGCTGGAATATGAATGAACAGATGCCAAATGAGCTGGGGTTTTAGGGTCTCTAACATTGACCGGGGCATATAGTTCTGAGTTTGCATCACATCTAAGGAAAGCTAGATTAGACAAAGGCATTTTTTCTAATAGCAGAAGTTCATGGTAAAAAACTGATCCAGACTGTTAAAATGAATACTGCCTGCATGCATGGATTGCTTCCGGACTGGAAATGAAATATGTTTTCTCTTTTTCCAACTGGTGATTCACACTGCAACCTTAATAGCTTTTCTCTAATGATGATGCATTCTGAATAGAAACATTGCTAAAGAGTATTTTTAGCATCCATAAAATGTATACTTCATTTAGATCCAATTCTATAAAATAGCTCCAATCTGATACAACAGGAATGCAAACTCTCAACATGTTAATTACATTCTTCAATATTTATCATTTTCTTCAACTCTCCCTTACGTGTCCCCTTTCAGAATATAGGACTTTGTTTACTCGCAGTACATATCAAATAAAAATACAGAGAAAAGTTCTCAATGACTAATTATGTTGATAAAGTTAAAAGCATTCTAAACTGAAAATACAAATTAAGAAAAACATGCTGTTAGTTAAGCATTGTTTAAAACCATTTTTTGGAACACAAATCTTTGTTGAAAGTCGTATTGGAGTCACATAAGCCAAAAAGTCAACCTAAGAAGTTCAGAAATCAGATGCTCAAAAGTCCTTGAAGGCTGTTTTGAGAGTGCAGGACTGACTGTTTTCAGTTGCAGAAATCACGTCTCCATATGCAAATATGTCTCTGAAGGGGTTTTTTCAAATAATGCAACACATCCGTATTTGGAATCTTTGTATTTGCATACAACCACATGCCAAAACCCCTGCAAAATTAAGACTCCATTCTCACAAAGCTTGTTTTTAGACACTGTAAGGGAAAAAGGAAAGATGTCTCTTTCTTTCTACAAAGCATGCAAAAAATTAGACAATTTTTTAAAAGAACTTTTAAGGTTAAAGACATTTTTAATTCCAAAAGAGTAAAACAAAAGTCAAAATTATAAGTTAGATCTATTCTTCATACCAGACTGTTAGCATTAACACTTACTAGTTAATATATTTTATAAGAAATAGTTCTTATTCATACTTAAGCTCATGTGTATGTTTTACCCCATGCCTGAGTAGGACTCATAACTGCGGAGGGCTGTGTGTGACTTCTCAGGTGCCCCTCTGTCTGTCCTGCTCTCTTAATCCTAGACACAGGTAGGAACCTAACATTAACTACCTCTGGGAGATAATTCACCCTCAACACCAAGGTTTCAGTCAGAAGCTATGTAATTTCATTCCCAGGTGAATATCAATACTATTTCCCCACACATTCTTCCCTTGTTAAACTTTTATAGGTCTGTTGCCTACACTAAATTGGAAAATTCTTACAAGCAGGGACTAGGACATTGTATTTACAGTGCTTTATCAAAGATTCTGCCCAACAAGGTTTTTAATAGACAACCCAACAAGGTTTTTAATAGACATTTGTTGATTCATTAATTTATTCAGAATGTACATATTTACTGAGTGCCTGCTCTGTGCCAAGTACAATTTTCGATGCTAAGAGAGTCAGCAGGAAACAAAGGAAGGAAATATCCCTGCTCCCTTGAAGCTTATTTCTAGATGAAGAATAAACAAATAAACATATATATGTTTACATATATATATAGTTTATTTTATATATACATAGAGATACTTACATACATAAAGTATGTGAGAGGTGATAAATGATATAGAGAAAAATAAAGTGGAAAAGAGGCATAAGAGAGTGGTGGGGGGGGGTGTCAATTTTAAAAGAGTGGCCATGGCCAGGTGTGGTGGCTCACACCTGTAATCCCAGCACTTTGGGAGGCCGAGGTGGGTGGATCACCTAAGGCCAGAAGTTCGAGACCAGCCTGGCCCACATAGTTAAACCCCGTCTCTACTAAAAATACAAAAAATTAGCCTGGTTTTGTGGTAGGCGCCTGTAATCCCACTCGGGATGCTGAGGCAGGAGAATCTCTTGAACCCGGGAGGTAGAGGTTGCAGAGAGCCAAGATTGCACCATTGCACTCCAGGCTGTGCAACAAAAGCGAAACTCCGTCTTAAAAAAACAAAACAAAACAAAAGAGTGGTCAGAGTAGGTAATAGTTAAACAAAAACATGAAGGAAGTGAAGAAGCAAGCCTACAGGTTACTGGCAGGAAGAACGTTCCTTGCGTGTTCAAGGAACAAGGAGGCTAATGTGGTTGGAGTCAAGCAAACAAGAGGGAGAAGAAAGTGAGAAAAGCCACACAGGACTTCAGGGTTTGCTCTGACTGGCCTGGGAAGCCGCCAGAGGGTTCTGAATAGGGCAATGATAGCATATGCTTTACAGGCATCACAGGCTTGCCGACTGCTGGGCTGAAAAGACACTCAAGGAGGTCAAGGGCAGTAGCAGGGAGTCTGAGCCCAGTCAGCCAACTGCTAAAATAGTAGAGGTGGGAACCGATGGTGGTTGGTGCCAAGATGGTTACGGTGGCAGTGGTAAGAAATGGTCAGATTATTAGACAGATCCTGAAGGCACAGTCAGCAGCATTATTTACTGAGAGATAGGATGTGGTTTGTGAGAGAAAGTGACAAGTCACAAAAGGCTAATATTTTTGGCCTGAACAAATGAAGAATGGAACTGCCATTACTGAGATGGGAAAACTTTGGGAGGGCTGGGGGAGCATTTCTGAGCTGTTAAATTGGAGATGTCTGTCAAATAGGCAAATAGATGGATGAAGATGACATTCCAGAGGGAGACTTGGGCTAGAAATTTGGGAGTAGTATATAGATTGAATTTACGTGAATTTAGCAGATAAACAGAAGAGACAAGGTCCATGGACTAAGCCCAGGGGCACGCTAAGACATTGAGATAAATCTATAAGAAGAGAAGAAATCAAGGAGCATGTAATTTTTTTTTTTTTTTTTTTGAGAGGAGTCTCGCTCTGTCGCCCAGTCTGGAGTACGGTAGTGTGATCCCGGCTCACTGCAACCTTGGCCTCCCAGGTTCAAGGGATTCTCCTGCCTCAGCCTCCCAAGTAGCTGAGATTACAGGCACCTGCCACCACGCCCGGCTAATCTTTTGCATTTTTAGTAGAGACGGGGTTTCACCATGTTGTCCAGGCTGGTCTCGGACTCCTGACCACAAGCAATCCACCCGCCTCAGCCTCCCAAAGTGCTGGGATTACCGGCGTGAACCACCGCGTCCGGCAGGGGCATGTAACGTTCTAGAGCGGAGAAAGCACTTCAAGAAGAAAGGAGAAAGGAGTGATCAACTATATCAAATAAGATCAAAACTTTGAACCAACCATTGGATTTAGCTGTAGTGACTTCAGATGACAGGACTTTCAATGGAGCGGTGGGAGGTGAAACCCTGACTGGAGGGGTTCAAGGAAAAATGGAGGACCTGGAGTATAAATAGCCCTTTTGAGGAATATTACCACAAAGAGGAACAGAGCAGTGGGGTGTTAGCTTAGAGAAGTGAGAGCTAGACATAACATTGTCTAACTAACTTGTGACAGAAATAACACAGTGGTCAAAAAACCAGGCTTACCTGGGAGCGGTGGCTCACATCTGTAATCCCAGCACTTTGGGAGGCTGAAGCAGGAGGATTGCTAGAGCCCAGGAGTTTGAGACCAGCCTGGCCCCATCCATACAAAAACTTCGCCAGGTGTGGTGGCATGTGCCTGCAGTCCCAGCTATTTGGGAGTCTGAGGTGGGAAGGATCACTTGAGCCTGGGAGGTCGAGGCTGCAGTGAGTTGTGATTGTGCCACTGCACTTCACCCTGGATGACAGAGTGAGATCCCGTCTCCAAAACAACAACAGCAACACAAAAAAAGCAGGCTCTACTGCATATGGTGACTTCCTTCCAAAAAGTAAGAAACAGAAAGAGAGGGAAGTGAAGTAATTTTACAGGGCAGATATCTGACAGATGCCATCTCAGCCATGGTTAACATAAGCAGTGATAACTCCTGTAAATAGTACCGACCCTGGATACAGGTCAGTACTTTATGGTTTTCCTCCCCCAAATCCATAACCTCAGTCTGATCATGAGAAAAACATCAGACAAATCGCAGTTGAGGAACAGTCTACAAAATAGTGGATAAGTTCCAACCAATACTCCTCAAAACGAGGAAAGTCTGAGAAACCATCACAGCCAAGAAGAGCCAGAGGATACGACAAATAAATGTAATGTGGTATCCTGAATGGGATCCTGGAACAGAGAAAGGACATCGGGTAAAAGCAAAGGAAGTCTGAATAAAGCATGGACTTTAGTTAATAATAATGTGTCAATATTGTAATGAATGCAGCACACTCATGCAAGATGTTAATAATGGGAAACTGGGTGCGGAGTGTACTAAGGATGTAGAGTATCTGGGAACTCTTCCTACTATCTGCTAAACTTTTCCATAAATTTAAAACTGTTCTTAAAAAAATACATCTAGGCCAGGCGCGGTGGCTCACGCCTGTAATCCCAGCACTTTAGGAGGCTGAGGCAGGCAGATCACCTGAGGTCGGGAGTTCGAGACCAGCCTGACCAACATGGAGAAACCCTGTCTCTACTAAAAATACAAAAAAAAATTAAGCCGGGCATGGTGGTGCATGCCTGTAATCCCAGCTACTCGGGAGGCTGAGATAGGAGAATCATTTGAACCCGGGAGGCGGAGGTTGCGGTAAACTGAGATTGCGCCATTGCACTCCAGCCTAGGCAACAAGAGCGAAACTCCATCTCAAAAAAAAGATAATAATAACATAAAAAAACACATCTATTTAAAATTTAGAAAGAAAAGAAAAGAAAAAAAGAACATAGAATATGCAGTCTGATCATCTGGTTAGAATCTTAGTGTGCCATTTAGAAGACTGTGACTCAAGGCAAGTTACTTAAATTCTCTGAGAATCAGTTCACCTATCTATAAAATGGAAATAGGAAGAGTGTCTACCTGATAGAATTGTTGTAATAAGTAAATGAGATAATCCATGTAAAATGCTTACCACAATGGCCAATAGTAAGCCTTGACAGGAGGTAGCTTTATTATTATTACTACTATTATTTTGAATCTTTATTGAATATACAAATGCACACTTAATGTGATTTTACATTTAATTTTTAAAGTAATTATTAATGATTTATATAATAATTTCCCTTTTCTTTCTTGAGAGGAAGAAAATTGAATACAGCCTATTATATATCATTTGCAAAAAGCGTTTCTCAGTACATCGTAAGTGTTGAGAGGTTTTTACGGTGTCAGCTGCTCCAAATAATTTAATTTAAATACCAATCTATGGTAATGTAATCAGATGAGTTGTCTCCAGAGGTTCTGTATGTACTACGTTATCATGTCTGTAACGTAAACAACATATTTCATTTGGGCTTTTGGGCTCTTGCTTTCACTAAAAGCCATAAAGTCATCAATGATAACCACAGAATATATTATCTTGTGATTACATTATTTTTAATAACAATACTTGACAAAAGTGATTTGAAGAGTACTATGTAGAATATGTTTAAAAATAAAAGTAATTAAATGAAGTAATGAAAGAATGTAGTAAAATATCTGTTATATGAAGACACTATTAAAAAAGAGAATTTGGCCTAAGCAATGGCTTACCAATCAGGTTGTGCCTCAGACTCACTCCTGGGGCTTGACAAAAAATGAAAGAAGCTGGACCCTCAACCCAGACTTCCTGAATCAGCAGCTCTAGGAGTGGGACCTGCATCTGTGTATTTAAAAGACTGCATAGGTGATTTGTGTTTGTGAATGACTGGCTTACCTTATCCTGCACACACTGGTCATATCATATAGGCTGCTATATGAGCTGCCTTTGTAAACATAACCTGACACTCACCGTCATCAAGAATCACGATCGGCTCGAGAGAGCTTTACTTAGTATATTACAGTTGTTTTCTACATTTAAGCTTGGGCTGTCAGCTGTCCTGAGCATACAAAGGACTGCCTCTTTGATTCAGTCCTCTGTCACTCTCCTTCCCCTCTCGAAGGTCAAGTTTTCCCTACCTGCACCTCTTCCCCTCTTTCTCCCTTCGCTGTGCCCACAGGAAAACTCGGCATGTTTAGCACAGGCAGTTGCCTCAACACCCTGAACTGGGCTAGCCTTGCCTTCTTGCTGAGCCAAGAACTTGTGCAGCACCTGGTCAGGGCCAGCTCAGTAGTCCAGGCAGTCAGTAGGCATGACCACCTGCACAATGAATTACAGCTGAAGTATCATGGAGTAAACATTTTAGACCCTTTCCCTGTGAGAGAATGAATACACAAAGGGACAATGGCCAGCTTATATATAAAAATAGAACTCTGCAGGCAATGTACATCAACCAGTCCAAGAAACCAACCTACCGTCTACAGTATCTAACAAGTTAAACTATCAGTAACTGGGTTAAACTGTAGCAACTAGCCCAGGCAGCCAAACAAGAACCCCTGTAGCAACCTGTCTCAAATGGCCAGGACTTGAATAATTACTGACCACTTCCTCAATTTTTGCTCCTACTTCCAACTTAGGGCCAACCAGAGAAAGCCAATTATGTACCCCTAAACAAACACACAAAATACCCCCTTTTAGGTAGCTCAACTACAGCTTCCCCATATCAACAGCCTCCAATCAGGACACAGCTGAAGCCTTCTTCTCCCACCCTCCTCCATCCTCTGTCTGCTTTTGAGTCTCTGCCAAACACAAGCAATGGTGCTGGCTCCCTTGCTTTGAAAAAAATAGCTTTTGTTTGTTCTCATTTGGGTGGTCCTCATTCATTTTCACCACTAGGAAAATAGGGCTGCATGCTTGAAATGGATCACTGAATTGTTCTTTGATGCCAGAAATGTCTGTACTTTAGGGAGGCTGTTAGATGTGGCCAGAAAGAACACAGCAGTAAGGGGAGAAGTGTAGAGTAGCTGGGGTTAAGGACATAAGCCTTGGATCCAGACTACCATGGTTCAGATCCTGGCTCTTCCATTTCCAGCTGGTGAACCTGAACAAGTTACTTAACCAATTTGTACCAGTTTCCTGACCTGTTAAAAAAACACTGGCGATGATAATGACTCACAGAGTAATTGGAGAAGTTATATGAGACAAGCCATGTAAAGCATGAATATCTGGATTTCAATGCTATCAACAGAAAGAGAGAGAATAATCTGCCTCACTAATTTACCACACCCACCTGGCCCCATTCACCAACATTAAACTGGACTAAAAACACTTTTCTTTCTCAAAGTCAGTAACTCTAGGAAATCAACGGGTATAAATACTGTCCACGCCAAAATCCATCTCAAAAAGATCTGATGGGGAAGTGACCTTATCCCTCAAAATCCCTCAAATGCACACTGGAAATCTCGTTTTCTAGAAATCAGACTTTTTTTTTTTTCTTAAGGGCCATAACTTAAAATTACAGAGCTTAAAATATATAAACATTTTTTGTATAACCAGAAGCCCATTGCTACAATTCAAAGACTGTCACCATACTGTTCATCAGTAACAAAGAAAACTCTCCTCTTAGGCCTTCTGCTAGTCCTGGTAAGAAAAATCCTATTTCAGACCATTAAAGCTAAGTTATTTTGACATAATCATGATTCTTTTCAATAAACATTAAACATGACATTGTGGAATATCAAATCTAACCAAAAATGCCTGTACTTAACAAAACGAAGATTTTTGTCCGAATTATCTCTGGCTACACTCAACACTTCCAGCAGGCAGTTGCTCAACTTTCCAATGTCTGCATAAAATACAGTTCTGAAGCCAATTTTTTTAGATTAAAATAAAAAGCCACCCTTTAGCATAAACCTTCATTCAACGAAATTGGGTAAATAAGATTTAATTAAGAAAATTAGGAGCCGCGTTCATTGCAAACCGTAGTTTACTTTAGCATTTCACTTGTAATTAAGTTAGGGGCTTAGGGATGCATTGAAAACACCAAAGGATAAGTATCTCAAAGTTCTAAAAATGTCTCAATACTAAAATGATGTTCTGGGGTGATTTTGCAAGGACCAGAAGACATCATACATTGCGAACCCAGTGAGGGTGGCATCGCGGACGAACAGAAGATGCTTTCACGCTGGTTATCTGTCTTTCCCAGGCCTCGGCTCCCTTGACTTTGCAGCGATACCCAAAATTCTTTGAAAGAGAAGGGAGGGAAGGCATCTGGGTCCCAGGGAGTCTCTGCATCCAACCCAGGAAAGGAGGGGGCCGGCTCCCTGGCGGGAACTTCCCGGAGGCCGCGCCAGCCCCGCGAGGGACCCCAGCCATGCAGGGCGACGCCGAGCGGGCCCCGCGGCGCGCTGGGCTCCCCCGCCGCCCCCGGCCGGTCCCCGCCGACTCACCCAGGCCGCGCCAGCCCAGCGCGCCGTCGCAGCTGTCCAGAACAGCGCAGAGCTCTCCGAGCAGCGCGGGCGGCAGGTCGAACAGCAGCGTGTGCGCCGACAGCGCGCCGCGGGCCCCACAGTTCCCCGCCATGGCTCGGCTGCCCGAGCCCCGGGGACGAGGCGGAGTCCAGGTCCCTGCACGCCTGCGACAGGCCGTTACACAACCGCGGAAATCCTGCTTCCACGACGGCAGCAGAGCCCTAGGAACACGCCGTTCTCCGGTCACTGCAGGGGCGGTGCCCACGTGACGCAAGGCGCGCCTCGCCCGAGATGCCCCTGCGTCCGCCTGGCCAGGCCTGGGGGTTACCCGACCCGGGTTCTCCCTTCGCTGGCTTTGCGCCCCTTCACACCTCTGCGGTGGGGACGGAGCTGCCGAGACAAGCAGAGTGCGAACTGGAGAAAGCCCAGAGCTCAGAGCTCCCAGGAGCCCACCGTGCCCCACGGCTAGGCGGTCTCCTGGTGTGGACGGCTAGCGGTGTCATTACTTCTTACAAAAGTTTATTTTTGAAAGCTTCTCCCTTCCTTCCTTCTTCCCTTCCTTTCTTTTCTTCCTTTTTTCTTTGTTTTGAGTCAGGTTCTCACTCTGTCGCCCAGGCAGGAGCGCAGTGGCGCTATCTCAGCTCACGGAGCCTCCACCTATTGGGCTCAAGCGATCCTCCCACCTCAGCCTCCCGAGTAGCTGGGACCACAGTCGCACGCCACCACGTCCGGCTAATTATTTTTTTTCGTTTTTCGTAGAGAGGGAGTGTCGTTATGCTGCCCAGGCTGGTTTCAAACTCCTGGCCTCAAGCGATCCTCCCACCTCCGGCTTCCCAAAGTGCTGGGATTCGGGGTGTTAGCCACTGTCCCGGACTACTTCTTTTTTATCCTGTCAGAAAAACTATCCATGTTCATCGAGGAACACTTGGAAAACCCAGAAAAAAACTGAAAAAAGAAGATAATCACTCACAACCCCACTCAGCCCATCACACTCTAAAAGTTTTGACACATTTTCCTCCCAACTTTTACTGAATTTAAACAGATAAAAATGTACATATATGGGATTATTATTGGAAAAGATGAATGTAGATACCAACAAGAGAAAAACAGAAAAGACACCAAATCAGCGTAAAATTATGTTCGTTTTCTTCACGAGGCGGCCTCTCCTCCATACACCTACTTGGTTTTAATAAATTTTCTTCCTCATGGGCTTCCTTGATGAAATATCGTTCCATCATTTTTTCCTTCCTCAAAGTGCTTCACACAATCTTCCTTTTTGCCTTCAACATGGAGTTTAAGTAAAATTGTTGTTTTGAAATCTTCACGGAGTTTAAGTAAAATTGTTGTTTCAAAATCTTCTAGGTCACATGAGGCATGTTACCAGTGACAAAAAGTTGTTTTGAAAGTGGTGAGAAAAATCTCAGCCTTAGTGACTGGAAGAGTGGGCAGTGGCCATCAAGTGAAAACACCAGAGGTGTTTTGAAACCTCTCAGATTGTAGTCTTTGGAATAGCTGCCCCTAGAGATCACGAGTGATGAAACACTATCATTTCATGCCCCTACCTGAATGGTTTTGCCAGCGAAAATACTTCATAAAAATGTATCTGAAAACTGGCAAAGCCCATACTGTGTGGGCAAGAATTTCGATATCCCGTTGTTCAAGGTTTTATTGTCAATCTGTACACACTGTACACCTACCTACCTTCCTTCCTTCCTTCCTTCCTTCCCTCCTTTCTTCCTTCCTTCCCTCCTTTCTTTCTTATTTGTTTTTTTTAGTCGCTCTGATTGCCCAGGTTGGGGTGCAATGGTGCGATCTCGGCTCACTGCAACTTCCACCCCCTGGGCTCAAGCCATCCTCCCACCTCAGCCTCCAGTACAGCTGGGACTACAGGTGCATGCCACCATGCCTGGCTAACCTTTGTAGTTTTTGTAGAGACGGGGTTTTCCCATGTTGCTCAATCTGGTCTCAAACTCCTGGGCTCAAGTGATCCACCTCCCTAGGCCTCCCAAGGTTCTGGGATTACAGGCATGAGCCACCACACCCGGCCCTCTATACATCTCTTAAAGGGACTACCTGAACATGCTGAGCAACAGAGGCAAAAGGCCATTAATTATTTGGTAGCTTTTGAATTGCTACTACAGGGAGGCAAACTCACTCAGAGGAAACAGGAAATCACTGCAGATGAGGGAAGCAATCAGAAAGGCCTGCTTTACCAGATCTTGTAATTTACCAAGAAGCAAGGATCCTAAGTGAAAGCTAGAGTATGTGAAATTTCCTGTATTTTCAGTGTTGGCAGTCGTTCTCAGACCATGTTGCCTTCCTATTCCTAAAACTGTCTTGAGTTTTGATTTTTATATCATCAGGTTGTATCATCATGGTTGCTATCAACTGCTGATCTCCCCGACTCCAATTCCTTCTCCTCGTTTTTAGACTCTCTAGCTCCTGGCTCATTGTTGCTCTCTCCAGTACTAATCCTATCTTAGTTCTCAGTGATTTAAAATATATGTAGAATAACTATTCACAATAGCAAAGACATGGAATCAAGCCAAATGCCCATCAATGATAGACTGGATAAAGAAAACGTGGTATGTATACACCATGGAATACTATGCAGCCATAAAAAGGAATGAGATCATGTCCTTTGCAGGGATAGGGATAGAGCTGGAGGCCATTATCCTCAGCAAACTAACACAGGAACAGAAAATCAAATACTGCATGTTCTCACTTATAAGTGGGAGCTGAACCATGAGAACACATGGACACTTGGTGGGGAACAATGCATACTGGGGCCTGTCAGGGGAGGGGGTAGGGGGAGGCAGTGAATCAGAAGCAATAGCTAATAGATGCTGGGCTTAATACCTAGGTGGTGGGATCATCTGTGCAGCAAACCACAATGGCACATATTTACCTATGTAACAAACTGCACATCCTGCACATGTACCCTAGAACTTAAAATAAAAGTTGATGAAACAAAATTAAAACATACACACACACACACACACACACACACATATATATATATATATATGTAGAATAGATGGTGATCTTTCCAATGCCCTGGCCTCTCATTTCCTTGACTCCTCTTCTCTGGTGACATTGTACTCCACCCAATGCTCCATTTCAGACACTTACTCCCATGAGCGTCCCCTAGAATTTGTCATTATCAATAGCTGCATCCCATCTATAATTTCTTTCATGAATCCACTCTCTGATCATACCTCCTGTCTTTCTAGCACATTCCCTCTAGTACTCTGACCCCAACAATCCTGTCCCTTCACCAGATATCCAATCCAAAATCTTGCTGCCTCTTTTCTGGCTCCACCCTCTTGACATCCTGACTTTTCTGCTTATCCATTAAGTCTGTGGTCAATTATTTTATTCACTCCTTTGCATATGCTCTACATTCCCTTGCTCCTCTCTCACTTTGTTGAGCTCTCTTGGCAAGTTTGCAATTCTGATTAAATCCAATTTTCTAAGTTGGCTCCACACCCATGCACCTGAGTGTAGCTGGGGAACGGGGTGGAAAACCAAAATCCTGTTAATTGAACTCAATTTAAAATCAAGGCCAAGACTCTCAAGTGGGTCCTTTATGCCACTGGACAAGCATACTATGCACCTTTAGCCCATGCATTCTTCTGGTCTCCTTGAAAGCTATGCTATACTTTCTTTTTTCTCAACTCCCATCATCCTGTCCTCCACCAATTATCTTGAGAATATTTATTGAGAATACTGATGCATCAGGAAAAAACTTCCACGGAATCTCACTACTACATCGAACTATCTACTAGCATCTTTGCCAACATACTCTTTCTTCGTGTTTTCCATGGATGAATTATCTAGGGTCCTATGTAAATCATTATACTTCGTTTGTGCACTGGATCCTATCCCTATTACCATTTCAAAGGCATCAAGGGCACATGCTTTCCCTGGTCCCTGTTACATGATCAGTTTTTCACTCTTTACCACCTCAATTCCATCAGCATACAAATATGATGTTGTTTCTTTCAACTTAAACCAAAATTTTTTTAAATTTTATTATTATTATACTTTAAGTTTTAGGGTACATGTGCACAACGTGCAGGTTTGTTACATACATATACATGTGCCATGTTGGTGTGCTGCACCCATTAACTCATCATTTAGCATTAGGTATATCTCCTAATGCTATCTCTCCCCACTCCCCCCACCCCACAACAGGCCCTGGTGTGTGATGTTCCCCTTCCTGTGTCCATGTGTTCTCATTGTTCAATTCCCACCTATGAGTGAGAACACGTGGTGTTTGGTTTTTTGTCCTTGCGATAGTTTGCTGAGAATAATGGTTTCCAGTTTCATCCATGTCCCTACAAAGGACATGAACTCATCATTTTTTATGGCTGCATAGTATTCCATGCAAACCAAAATTTTTGATGCCACTTCCCCCTTCTGTCTTTGGCCCCAATTCTTTGCTCCCCTTTGCAGTGTCGAGCTGAATATTCTCACTGTGTCCAATGTTCTCCTCCCATCTTCTCTTAAACCAACTCTAATTAGAAGCACCCCTCCCACTTTACTCCACTAAAACTATTCTCTTCAGGGTCACACATGTCCACATCATTGCTACGTAAAATAATTAATTTCCAGTCCTCACTTACTTGACCTATTGGTAGTTTTGATACAGTTGATCACCCCCTCCTTGGAAACTTTCTTCATTTGACTTCTAGGACACCACATTCTCTTATATTTTTCACTTACCTCATTGATCACCCCACAGCTTCCTTTGCTGTTCCTCCTCTTCTCCCTGAACTCTAAATGTTGGAGCACCCCAGGACTCAATCCATGGTTCTTCTCTATCTGCACCCACTGCCTTGCTGATCTTAATCAGTTTCAAGGCTTTAGGTACCATCTATATACATCTATATACCACAGACTACCAAATTTATGTTTTTAGTCCAGACCTCTCTCTTAAATTCTAGAGTCATGTCCAAAATTGAATTCTTGATCATGCCTCTTAAACCTACTCTTCCTGCATTCCTCCCTGTCTAGGTTAACAGCAACTCCACCAGCTGGGTACAGTGGCTCAGGCCTGTAATACAAGCACTTTGGGAGACTGAGGCAGGCAAACTGCTTGAGCCCAGAAGCTCAAGACCAGCCTGGGCAACATGGCAAAACCCTGTCTCTACAAAATAATAATAATAATAATAATAATAATAATAATAATAATAATAATAAATTATTAGTAGCTGGGTGTGATGTTACACTCCTGTAGTCCCAGCTACCTGGGAAGCTGAGGTGGGAGGATCACTTGATCCCAGGAAGCTGAAGCTGCAGTGAGCCATGATTGTGCCGCTGCACTCTAGCCTAGGTGACAGAGTGAGACCCTGTCTCAAAACACACACACACACACCCCCTCCAAACAATGCTCCCCTGGCAACTGCACCCTTCCAGTTGCTTGAACTAAAAACTATAGAGTCATCCTTGACTCCTCTACTCATTTGCAGCTACCAGTGTGACCCCATGTTCAATCTACCAGCAAATCCTGTCAAGGCTATTCAAAATGTGTCTAGAATCTAATCAATTTTCCTCACCTCCACTGCTGCCATTCTGGTTTGAGACACCATCAAATATTGTCTGGATTGTTATACTAGCCTCTGAACTAAGGATAGCTTCCACTCTTGCTTCCAACACTGCAGTGAGATTGACTCTTTTAAATCCTATCTGTGTCTCTCCTTTGTTCAGAAGCCAGCAATGGCTCCTAATTTCAGTCAATAAAAGTCAAACTCTTTATATAATCTGCATTCTTTCTCCCCTTCCCACTCTGCTGCTTTGCCCTCTGATTTTGTTTCCTTGTTCATTGTTCATTCTGCTTTAGCCACAGTATCTCCTTGCTGGTCTTTGAACACACAAGAGAGAGCCCCACATTGGAGCCTTTGCACTTGCCACTCCCTTGCCTGGTATGCTCTTCCCACATGGCTAAGGTCTACTCAGACCCCCATAATTAAAATTGCCATGGTCCATGCACTCAGATTGGGGCTGAGACATGATTGAAATTGGTCCAATAATGTATGAGTTGGGGAATCATATTTCATTCAGATAGCTCTCTTCTGGATCAAAATAAGAACATGTAGCAGCTCTGGTCATGGCAGGGAACCGTTTTGCAACCACATGGACATCAATATTAGAATGAAACAAGCCCTGGGAATCATGACAGGAAAAACCTAGTGAGAGGAAAAACCAAGTCCTTGCTGATGTCATTGAGCAGTTCATTCATTCTATGCCTGGAGCCTGTCCTACTTGTGGTCTTATAACTATATGAGATAAATTTCCTTTTTAAGCCAGGAATCTTGTGATTTGAAGCCAAACGCATCCTAGCTGACGCACTAAGTGGGCACTTGGTAATACTCTCTGGTTTGTTGAGCACCTATAAAACCTATGGGAAGAAAACTAATCCCTGTCTAAACCTGGAGTTCAAATGTATACACTATATCTAGTGGGATGTGAGATGTATGTGAAAACCAGATTGCAGACAGAGGCAGCTGAGACCCTGAGATAAAATAAATGTTGGGAAAGAATGATTCTGGCAGTATGGGCAGAAGCAGTCTGAAGTCCTAGAAGTTCATGAAACTGGACTAGAACCCATGTAGACCCAGACACTTCAACCCCATCCTACCTTCCCAATGCCAGCATACATATTATCCGGAAAAGAGAGGACTATGGTTAAGTCACAAAACTGTTCCACTATGTGACATAGCCCTTTGCTGTGGGATCCTCTCCAACATCCCCCGCCCCCAAGTTTTGGATACCGGAAGAATAAAGTGTTTTCATCCCAGCTGGAAAGAAGAGAGCAGTGAACTGCAAAGACTAACAAATGGAGATGCCAAGGAAATCCTGAAGGACATGGTGACAATGGCACAGATACACAGTAATATCAGTGGCCAAGCCCCAGCTAAGCACAGGCACAAATCCTCAGAAATCTAGAAACAGGTGAGGGAGAAATGAGGTGAGGCAGACAACAGCTCTTAATATACATGAGACAAGTATCTTGGTAGTAGCTATTTTTACAGCCACCCTTAGGCATGGATGTTCAAAAGACTCTCAAGCTTGTGGGACCGAGGATATTTCTGGTTTGGGAAGTAATTTCAAAACAAAGATCAAGAACCTATCCCATATTTGAGCTTCATCACTTACCTATAACCTATGACCTTACCCTAGAGAGTTATATATACACTGGGGTTCAGGGATAGAGTAAAGATCGGGAATGGTGTGAAGACATTTGTGGTACACATTGCTTGGTTATTTTATTTTATTTAAATTTTTTTTTTTTGGTAGAGATGGGGGTCTTGCTATGTTGCTCAAGCTGGTCTCAAACTCCTGGGCTCAAGCAATCCTTCCACCTTAGCCTCACAAAGTGCTGAGATTATAGGCATAAACCACTGCACCTGGCTACTTGGTAATTTAAAAAAATAAACTGAACGTTTCTTAGGCTTTCATCACAATGACCTCATGAAAATAACCTGTAGCCAGGAGCCATGGCTCACATCTCTAATCCCAGCAATTTGGGAGGCTAAGCCGGGAGGATCACTTGAGCACAGGAGTTCGTGACCAGCCTGGGCAATGTGGAGAAACCCCGCCTCTACAAAAAAAAAAATACAAAAATTGGCTGAGCATGATGGTGTGTGCCTGTAGTCCCAGCTACTTCAGAGGTTAAGGGGCGAGGATTGCTTGAGCCCAGGAGGTTGAGGCTGCAGTGAGCCGTGATCATGCCACTGCACTCCAGCTTGGGTAACAGAGAGAGACCTTGTTTAAAAAAAAAAAAAGAAAGAAAGAAAAGAAAATAACATGTGCTCATTATTCCTCCAGTTCTATATGCATGTGTGTGTATATACGTATTTACATATTATATACACAGATAATATATAATATTTTAAAATAGCATTCGGTTTGTGTTCTCTTATAACTCAATCTTTTCCCATTTAATACATGAAAAACATTTTTCTAAAAATCGATTATGTCACAACATGATATATACTAAAATTTTAACAATTATCCTCTTAGGATTGATGGAGGAAAAGAGTATTCGGTACTTCATTTTCTTACTTGGGCTTTTTGTGTTTTCAAAACTTTCTACAGTTATTATGTATCATCTCTGTGATTAGAAAATCCTCAACTCTAAAAAATAATTTCCTCCAACACTTTGTGATTGATCTCATTTGATTGTTTTCTTTCTAAACCATTTTCATGGCATTTTTCAGTTTAGGGTATGTTGCTATGATAACATTTGCCTAGTCACCACTGACTTTTAAAAGTCTGATTTTTATGTTTGAATAACTTTCAGCCAAGGGCTTTTTATAATTTCAATATTAGCTAAAGTTTTTTTTTTTTTCTTTTTCTTTTTTTTTTGAGACAGAGTCTTGCTCTGTCGCCCAGGCTGGAGTGCAGTGGCGCCATCTCGGCTCACAGCAAGCTCCGCCTCCCGGGCTCACGCCATTCTCCTGCCTCAGCCTCCCAAGTAGCTGGGACTACAGGCGCCCGCCACCAAGCCTGGCTAATTTTTTTGTATTTTTAGTAGAGACGGGGTTTCACCGTGTTAGCCAGGATGGTCTCAATCTCCTGACCTCATGATCCGCCTGCCTCGGCCTCCCAAAGTGCTGGGATTACAGGCGTAAGCCACCGCGCCCAGCCTAAAGTTTTGTTTTTGAAGCAAACATTTATTTACCCCTAGGAACCCCAGACATGTGGGAAAAAAAAATCTGAGATTATGGCTAAACATTTTCTCTTTCATTAAAATACTCAGATTGCTTACAATTTGAGACTGGAAAACGACTTAGAGGACCTAGTCCAACTCCTACAGTTTACAAGTGACACAACTGCTGCTGGCCATAAGAACTCTGGGTGCAATATTTATTGGAAAAATACTTACAAAAATGTTTATACAATAAAAATATTATTTAAGATATCCAAAATTTCTTTGGCATATAATGAACATAAATCTTGTGTATTTTCACTCTGAAGGATTTGACTTTCTGTCCAGGTGTGGTGGCTCACGCCTATAATCTCAGCACTTTGGGAGGTTGAGGCAGGTGGATCACCTGAGGTCAGGAGTTTGAGACCAGCCTGACCAATATGGTGAAACCCTGTCTCTACTAAAAATACAAAAATTGGCCAGGCATGATGGCACACACCTGTAATCCCAGCTACTTGGGAGGCTGAGACAGGAGAATCGCTTGAACCCGGGAGGTGGAGGTTGCAGTGAGCCGAGTTCGCGCCACTGCACTCTAGCCTGGGCGACAGAGCCAGAGTCCGTCTGGAAAAAAAAAAAAAAAAAAAAAGGATTTGACTTTCTTTTCCTTGTCACTGAATAAATCTGCCAAATAAACCCTATCTTAGTCTGCTCAGGCTGCCATAACAAAATCCCACAGACTGCATAGCCTAAAAAACAAACATTTATTTTCTCACAGTTCTGGAGACTGGAGGTCTAAAATCAAGGTGTTGGCAGGGTCCAATTTCTGGGAAGGCTCTCCTTCCGGCTTGTAGATGGCCCCCTTCTTGCTACACCCTCACAAGGTCTTTCCTTGATGCATGCATATGGCAAGTGTGAACTAGCTCTCTGATGTCTCTTCTTATGAAGACATTTCATATAAAGACACTAATCCTATAGGATCAGGGCCCTACCCTTATGACCTTATTTAACCTTAATTACTTCCATAGATGTCCCATCTCCACGTACAGCCACTCCAGGGGTTTGGGCTTCCACATAAGAATTTGGGTTGGGTGATAGGGCTTGGGGGGGTGTTAGAAACATTCAGTCCATAACAAACTCTCTGTGCATAATTTCAAGAAATGATGTTACATCATCAGGTTTCAGAGTATACATCCTAACAACACTTGGTCATTCATTATCCACATCTTCCCGTCTTTCACAGCAGTTATTGTTCCTCTTGTTCTTCTTGTACAGAATTTATTACATTGTTCTGAAATTTTATGGAAGAGTAAAGCTTGGATGTAATCTGGTGCCTTTATAATGAAGACAATAACAAAGGTCTGTATGTGCAAATATTCAGCATATTTAGGTTTAAAAATCCTAGTAATTTTTCAGATCAAATGTCCTCAAGACTCATTCTGACAATTCCACATTTACCCTCTCATTACATAGCATCGTTCTTGAATTTTTGCCTTTTTTGTCCTCCATGATGATACTCAGTATTTTTTTTTCCTACATACTGACTGTTTCTTCTGTTTTCTTAACTAGCTCTTCTTCTGGCCTGTATAATGTACCCATAGGCTGAATTTGTTGATCTTCTTATTTTGTCTTAGAGGTTTCATATAATCTCATTCTTCATCTATCAATCTCTAAGTCAACTACTTTGATATTTGTGTCATCAGCCCTAACCTGCCCTGCAGATTCTCTTCTCACCTCCTGCATTTATTGAAAAATTTCATTTGGATTTCTTGCTTTCATCTCAAATCATCATGTCCCAAACTGATTGTTTCCTAGAAAATCAACTTCCTTGTTTCTGGTCACATGGGCCAAGGTAACTCTGAGTAATTTTGACTGACTGATTAATACTATCTTCAGAAGGATTTACTGAGCACCTCGTAGTAGGTACCTATATCTAATAAGTCACCAAATCTTGTTCTTCTGTAGTATTTCTGATATGTGTCTGGGTCTTTTCCAATTTGTTTGTTACTTCATGTTTGAGGTTTTGCAGTATCTCTTACCTGGTGAACCCCTACTTATCCTTTATTACTCAATTGAAAAGCCACCATTTCTGTGTTGCAGGTTGAATTGTTTACCCCCAAAATGTACGTTTAAGTCCTAACCCTGAGTACCTCTGAATGTGACCTTAATTGGAAATAGGGATGCTGCAAATGCAATCAAGTTAAGACAAGCTCATATTGGATTAGGGTAGCCCCTAATTCAATGACTAGTGACTTTATAAGAAGAGAGAAATTTGGACTTGGAGACACAGAGGAGGAAAAGGCCATGTAACAACTGAGGAAGAGATGGGAATGATGCAGCCACAGCCAAGGAACTCCAAAGATTGCTGGCAACCACCAGAAGCTGGGAGAGGTGTGGAACGGATTCTTCCTCAGAGCCTTTAGAAGGAATAAACCATACACAGACATCTTGATTTCAAACTCTGGCTTCCAGAACCGTGAGAGAAGAAACTTCTGTTGTTTCAAGTCACTCTTTGTGGTAACTGGTTACAGCAGCCCTAGGTAACTGAAACACTTTATAATCTCCATGAAATCATTTATAATCTCCCCAGAGTTAATCATTTCTTCTAGGTTCCATAACATTCAGTACTACTTTCCATCAGAACTCTTTTTTTGGTATTGTTTTCCTGTGGGCTTGTGGAGCATTGGTGTGTAGCAGAGGAGTCAGTCATCTCTGTGTACCTTGCATGCTGCTTGGCACAGAGTAACTTCCCAATAAATGTCTAATCAATGAAAGAAGTGATGACCTTGCCTTCAGCCAATAATAATTACAACTATCATTTAGTGAGCACTCACCGTTTGCTAGGCACCGTGTTACTACTTTACACGCTATGTTCTGACAACAATTCTCCAACACCAACTGGGTGTCCTGCAATTCATCCCAATTCTAACACTACTGACAGATTCCACAAGTTAAGGACAAGGTCCATAATTTCTAACACTAACTACCCAGAGTTAATGCAGACCCCACAAGTAAAGGTCTCAGTCCCATGAATCAGCCCCCACTTCAGATGCCAGCTACAAGACTCAGGTATCTCTAAGCTATCTGCATCTCTGCCTAGCTAAATACAAATTTGAGAGTCCCCATGATTCCCTCCAAGTTGGATAACTCACCAGAACAATTCACGGGATTCCAGAAAGTGCTATGCTTATTATTACCATTTTATTATAAAGGACACAAATGAACAGCAAGATAAAGAGATAGGGCTGCAAGGTCTGAAAGGGCACCCAGGATGCAGCTTCCATGCCCTTTCCAGATGCTCCACCCTCCCAGAACATCAATGTGTTCTAGTTTATTTGGCTGTAAATGCCCTTGCTCTTTTTAAGTAATCCACGAGCCTTACAAATCTCCACTACTCTGGCCACTAAAGTTGAGCTGTAAATAAAATTTTAAAGATAAAACAATTTTAAAGATAATTGCAACTCACATCTCCAGGACCTTTAATGTTGAATGTAGGTTAATATCCAAAAGCCAAAAACAAAAACGTTTTGTGTTGTCTGGCAATCCAGAAATAAGGACAGAATCATAGTTTGAGAATAGTCCAGAAGATGTTTTAGCTTGGGGTTTGAGAGCAAACACAAATGAAAAGGAGGTGAGAATGATGAAGAGATGGTTAGAGGGAAGAGGAAGCATGCAGATAGGTCTTTAAAAATCAATAAAATTTCCTTTGGATTAGTGATGTTATTTACAAAGCACTTTCCTTGAAATTGCAGCTTTAAAAGAAATAGAGAAGCATTAGATTACTGAGTTATTGGATTTCATGTCTATAAGTAAATGCTTTATTTTCATAAGATAGCTTTCTTATCTAAACTGAGAGGGAGCAAATACTTTTTCACTTTTTTACGACAATTTTTAAAATTTAAGTATAATATACAAATTTAAGTATAAAATATACACAAATCCTAAGTATAAACAGCTTGCCTCATTATCAAGAAGTGAAAGTTATGTAATCAGCCAGGAAACAGAACATTACTGAAATCCTGGAATTCCTTCTAAGTACCTCCTCCTGATGATTATGCCTTCCTCCTCCCCAAAGATAAACAGTTTCCTGATATGTAAGACCATAGATTACTTTTGTTTGCTTTTCAGCTTTACATTATTCTTTATACTATTCTATATATTCTTTGCATTTGATTTCTTTTGCTTAGCATTATGTTTGTAAGCTACATCCATGAACATGTCAATTTGTTCATTTTAATTGTATAAAGTATGTGATTATATGAATATAATTTATTCATTTTTTCCAATAGTGGACAATTTGAGTTGTTTCTAGATTTTAGCTATTAAGAATAATGTGGCTATGTATATTCTTGGTTATGTCTTTTGTAAACTTGTGCATGCATTTCTATTGGACACATACTCTACTTAGGAGTAGAACTGCCAAGTAATAGAACTTGCAGTGTGTGTTCAACTTTGGTAGATACTGCCAATTTTCCAAAGGAATTGCTTCATCTACATAATTTGTGGGGCCCAGCAAGAAGTAAAAATGTTGGACCTCTTGTTCAAAAAGCAGGAAAAAGCCCTATTAAAGATACTTAAATATTAAAGCTTGTTTCTTTTGAAATCTCTTGACTTGCCATGATGTTTTTTATTTGCTATTTAATGTAGTAAATAAAAAATCATTTAAAATTATTAGCACAAATTTTGCCATTGATATTTATATTTTGCAATGATAGTTTTTTTTTTTATTAAGCTCTTGGTATTTATTAGCTCATTTAGTCCTTACGGCACTCTGAGTTGGATATTATTTTCTTTACTTTTCTTTCTTTCTTTTTTTTTCTTTTTTTTTTTTTTTGAGACGGAGTGTCGCTTTTGTTGCCCAGGCTGGAGTGCAATGGTGCGGTCTCGGCTCACGGCAACCTCCGCCCCCAGAGTTCAAGCGATTCTCCTACCTCAGCCTCCAGAGTAGCTGGGACCACAGGCATGTGCCATTGCACCTGGCTAATTTTGTGTTTTTTTGTTTTGTTTTGTTTTTTCCTTTTTTTTTCTTTTTTTTTTTTTAGTATTTATTGATCATTCTTGGGTGTTTCTCATAGAGGGGGATGTGGCAGGGTCATAGGATAGTAGTGGAGAGAAGGTCAGCAGATAAACACGTGAATAAAGGTCTCTGGTTTTCCTAGGCAGAGGTCCCTGCGGCCTTCAGCCGTGTTTGTGTCCCTGGGTACTTGAGATTAGGGAGTGGTGATGACTCTTAACGAGCATGCGGCCTTCAAGCATCTGTTTAACAAAGCACATCTTGCACCGCCCTTAATCCATTTAACCCTGAGTTGACACAGCACGTGTTTCAGAGAGCAGGGGTTTGGGGGTAAGGTTATAGATTAACAGCATCCCAAGGCAGAAGACTTTTTCTTAGTACAGAACAAAATGGTGTCTCCTATGTCTACTTCTTTCTACACAGACATGGTAACAATCTGATCTCTCTTTCTTTTCCCCACATTTCCCCCTTTTCTTTAGGACAAAACCGCCATCGTCATCATGGCCCGTTCTTGATGGTGGCTGTCTCTTCGGAGCTGTTGGGTACACTTCCCAGACCAGGCGGCCGGGCAGAGGCGCTCCTCAATTCCCAGACGGGGCGGCCGGCCAGGCAGAGGCGCACCTCACTTCCCAGAAGGGGTGGCGGCCGGGCAGAGGCCCTCCTCACCTCCCAGACGATGGGCAGCCAGGCAGAGGCGCTCCTCACCTCCCAGATGGGGCGGCCGGGCATAGACGCCCCTCACCTCCCAGACGGGGCGGCCGGGCAGAGGCGCTCCCCACCTCCCAGACGAAGGGCCGCCAGGCAGAGGCGCTCCTCACTTCCCAGACGGGGCAGCCGGGCAGAGGGGCTCCCCACATCCCAGACGATGGGCGGCCAGGCAGAGATGCTCCCCAGTTCCCAGACGGGGTGGCGGCCGGGCAGAGGCTGTCATCTTAGCACTTTGGGAGGCCAAGGCAGGCGGCTGGAAGGTGGAGGTTGCAGCGAGCGGAGATCACGCCACTGCACTCCAGCTTGGGCAACACTGAGCACTGAGTGAGCGAGACTCCGTCTGCAATCCCAGCACCCCGGGAGGCCGAGGCGGGCAGACCACTCGAGGTCAGGAGCCGGAGACCAGCCTGGTCAACAGGGCAAAACCCCGTCTCCTCCAAAAATACAAAAACCAGTCAGGCGTGGTGGCGCGCACCGGCAATCCCAGGCACTTGGCAGGCCGAGGCAGGAGAACCACGGGAGCCTGGGGCAGGGAGGCTGCAGCGAGCCGAGACCACAGCAGCACAGTCCAGCCTCGGCAACAGAGGGAGACCAAAGGTGAGGGCGAGGGAGGAGGGAGGCAATGATAGTTTTAAATACAAATTTAAAAGGGCGTTTAATGCATATGTGGAATCACCAAAATGACACGATTTGTATTTCATAGCTTGTACATATTTATTTCATTCTTATAAGAACTGTGGAAAATTCACACAAAATTAAATCAATTATTTTTATTTCACTTCTTCATACATGCAAACTATATCAACACTCTCTACCTTCAGCTTATTGCAAAGGATAACCTGAAAAGAAAAGGAACTATGATTGCCATATCTTTCCCTTTCCTTCCGTGTCTTTGAGTGTAAGTGGTTGACATTTACAGGGAAAGAACACAAGTAAAAAACTATGTGGGCTGGGCACGGCGGCTCACGCCTGTAATCCCAGCACTTTGGGAACAGAGGCGGGCAGATCACGAGGTCAGGAGATCAAGACCATCCTGGCCAATATGGTGAAACTCCGTCTCTACTAAAATACAAAAAAATTAGCCGGGCATGGTGGCGGGTGCCTGTAGTCCCAGCTATTCGTGAGGCTGAGGCAGGGGAATCGCTTGAACCCAGGAGGCGGAGGTTGCAGTGAGCCGAGATCGCGCCACTGCACTCCAGACGGGCAATAGAGCAACACTCTATCTCAAAAAAAAAAAAAAAAAAAAAAAAAAGGATGTGACAGCCTGTAATCCCAGAGCTTTGTGAGGCCAAGGCTGGAGGATTGCTTGAGGCCAGGAGCTCAAGACCAGCCTGGGAAACACAGCAAGACCCTGTCTCATAAAATTTAAGAAATTAGGTCCGGGCACGGTGACTCACGTCTGTAATCCCAGCACTTGGGAGGCTGAGGTGGACGGATAACCTGAGGCCAGGAGCTTGAGACCAGCCTGGCCAACATGGTGAAACCCAGTCTCTACAAAAAATACAAAAAAGTTAGCCGGGAGTGGTGGCGGATGCCTATAATCCCAGGTACTTGGGAGGCTGAGGCAGGAGAATTGCTTGAACCCGGGAGGCGGAGGTTGCAGTGAGCTGAGACCTGCGCCATTGCACTCTAGTTTGGACAAGAGGGAAACTCCATCTCGGAAAAAAAAAATTAGTTGGGCATGGTGGCATGCATTTGTAGTCTTAGCTACTAAGGATGCTAAGATGGGGTGAGCCCTTAAGCCCAGGAGTTTGCAGAGAGCTATGATTGCACCACTGCCCTCCAACCTGGGCAACAGAACAAGACCCTATTAAGAAAAAAAAAAGGATGTGAAAAGATTCCTTGGTCATTCATGTTTCTTAAAACGTCATTGCTTTCCTTCTGCATTCAAAGTAAGTTCTCCTCGGTAAGGAAAGCTAGGCCTCTTGGGGCTGTCTGTGCCTTCTCTTCTCTTCCCTTTACTAAGTCACAAGTGTGACATGCTTATCTTTTACTAGCTTTGAGTCTAGCTTAACTCCCAAACATTGCAGGTCTAACAGAATTCTGAGCTCATGGGGCATGCTAAATGCTTAAATGCAAATGATTGGCAGGAAACAGTGGACATCCACATTGTGCATACCTCTTCTATTCATGTTCATGTTCCATTGTACTTTCAGACTTCACTTACAAAACACATGTTCAAAGGCAAAATTACTAAGTATTTCAAAATGGTGACAGCTGAGCATTAAACCAAGTGCAGAGTCCTTCGGAGTCCAGGGCTCTGTGCAATAGCATAGGTTGCACACCTTTTAAGTCAGCTCTTATTTGAGTTCTAGATAATCCAGTTTTGCCAACACTTGATATTATCAATCTCTTAATTTTAATCATTTGGTGGGTGCTTAGAGATATCTAATTTTGGCATTTATTTACATTTCTCTGATCAACTTTTCATATATTAGCCACTTGGCTGTGTGTGTGTGTGTGTGTTAGGTTCCTGTTTCAGTCTTTTTTCCTTCTTTTTTTTTGTTTTTGAGGTGGAGTTTCGCTCTTGTTGCCCAAGCCAGAGTGCAATGGCGCGATCTTGGTTCACCACAACCTCCACCTCCCAGGCTCAAGCAATTCTCCTGCCTCAGCCTCCCGAGTAGCTGGGATTACAGGCATGTACCACCATGCCTGGCTAATTTTGTATTTTTAGTAGAGACGGGATTTCTCCACGTTGAGGCTGGTCTCGAACTCCTGACCTCAGGTGATCCACCCGCCTCAGCTTCCCAAAGTGCTGGGATTACAGGCATGAGCCACTGCGCCCGCCTCCAGTCTTTTGTCTATTTTTCTATTGACTGTCTTTTTTTGGTCTGGATTTGTAACAATTGTTTTTATATTCTGAAAAGGAGCCTTAGGTAGGTTATATGTATAGCAGATATCTTCCCCTACTCTATGGCTTCCTTTTCACTCTCTTATGGTATATTTTGATTACTAGAAATTCCTAATTTTAATATAATTTAATTTGGCAATCTTTTCATTTGAAGTTAAGTGCTATTTTGTATCTGGTTTCAGAAATCTTTGCCTTCCTCCAAATCATATTCTCCTGTATCATTTTCTTTAAGTTTTATTGTTTTTGCCTTTCACATTTATATCCACAATCTATCTGGAATTTATTTTTTTTTGTAACTGGTAAGAGGTAAAGGATCAAACTTTGCTGATGCTGTTTTTAGTCAATACAAAGGTGGGTTCCCAATTTAGCTCCAGTTTGTCCTCTATAATAAATTCCATTATTACGGCGGGGCAGAGAAAGAGGGGATGGCTTCGGGTTAGGATGGGAGAGAAAACGGATTACATTCCCAGTGTCATCTGAAGTAAAACTTTTCTCAGATTTTTCTCAGCAAGCTTTTTAAGTCCTCTCACCTGGAGAGTGACTAAAGAGATAGAGGCCATATCCCATTCACCTATCCATTCAACAAACTAAACTAAAACGAGGGGCCGGACACAGTGGCTAACGCCTGTGATCTCAGCACTTTGGGAGGTCGAGGTAGGGGGATCACTTGAGCCCAAGTTCGAGACCAGCATGGGCAACATGGCGAAATTCCGTCACTACAAAAAATACAAAAAATTACCCGGGGGTGGTCACCTGACCTCAGGAGGTCAAGGCTGCTGTGAGCCGAGATAGAGCCACCGCACTCCAGCCTGGGTGACAGACTGAGACTCTATCTCAAAACAAACCAACAAAAACAAATTAAAATGATATGCTTGTAAAATGTTTGTAAAATCATAAAAGATAAAGTGTTTTTTTGTTTTGTTTTGTTTTTCTTGTCATTGTGGAAGTGACGTTAGTTCTTTTGGCAAAGGCTTCTGAGAACATCAAGTTTAAGGATTTAGTTTAGAATAGACTGTTCCACAACTGTTCTGAATTCCACTTGCTAAGTGTTCGGGTGTTGTGGTTAAGGTGAGGACTGGGCAATGTGGGTAGATCAGAGTAAACTCATCAAAACAATTCCAAGGGACCCTAGGATGACACTACTCTGGGTATGTCTACACCTCTTTATATTGGAATGACAACAATATCATGAATATTCACTCTAATCCATTGTATTTGCCACCATCATCTCTCTCTTACAGTAATACAACTTTATCCCCTTTTCTCTGCCTTTGGTAATGGCCCTCTTCAATGTATTCTACTTCTGGCCTAGGATGATCTGGCCTTTGTTTATCTATCCAGCCTCATTCTTTGCCACCTGTCCCCTACACCAGCTGAGCTTCACCGTCTCCCTCTTTGCAGACGTTGGTCCCTTGAGGCCCAGCCTACATCACTGCTCTTTCTCTGGTTGGCTCCTACTTGCCTTTCAGGATTAAATATTACTTCATTCAGAAAGCCTGGTTTATAGAAAGTGCTCAATAAATGTAGGTATTATTATTATTTTAAAATAATAGAAGTAAAAATGCATCCTCGGTGTGATTATTGAAAAAGTGGATGAATGAGATGGGTATTTGTTGAGTGGATGGGTGACTGGGACATGGGTTCTATCACTTTAGCAACTCTCCAAGGTGAAAGGACTTAAAGTGTGTTCAGGCTGGGCGCGGTGGCTCACGCCTGTAATCTCAGCACTTTGGGAGGCCGAGGCGGGCGGATCACGAGGTCAGCAGATCGAGACCATCCTGGCTAACATGGTGAAACCTCGTCTCTGCTAAAAATATAAAAAAATTAGCCTGGCGTGGTGGCAGGCGCCTGTAATCTCAGCTATTCGGGAGGCTGAGGCAGGAGAACCGCTTGAACCCGGGAGGCGGAGGTTGCGGTGAGCCGAGATCGTGCCATTGCACTCCAGCCTGGGCAACAAGAGTGAAACTCCATCTCAAAAAAAAAAAAAAAAGTGTGTTGAGAAAAGTTTCACTTCAGATGACGCCGGGAATGTAAACCGTTTTCTCTTCCATTCTAACTCGGAGCCATCCCCGCTTTCTCCGCCCAGCTGGAATTTTTGAAGCGAGAAAATCGACTCGCTCGGTGTTCGCCCGCCGACGCCGCACGGCTTGCTGGGGCTGGGCTCTTCCTCGCGGAAGTGGGGAGGAGGCGGTTGCGGTTAGTGGACCGGGACCGGTAGGGGTGCTGTTGCCATCATGGCTGACCCCGACCCCCGGTACCCTCGCTCCTCGATCGAGGACGACTTCAACTATGGCAGCAGCGTGGCCTCCGCCACCGTGCACATCCGAATGGGTACGTTGTCCCCTCTCCAGTGCCTCCCAGCCGCTTGTCTGCACTGCTCGGCCTCTAGAAGCCGACTTCCGGCTTCCGAGGGAGAGCGGCCATCTCCTGGGACTCACAGGGAGTGCTCACTGAGCTCCCGGCCCTCCTTCTCCGGGTACCAGAGGACTGGCGCCCTCCTCAGGGAGTCGGGGAGGCGCTTCCTCCCCTCCTAGCGGGTGTGGGAGGGCGCCAGGCCCAGAAGGCTTGCGGCTGTCCTGTGTGCGCCCCGGCTCCCCAGCGGGCGCCGCGGTGTAGGAAGGGACAGATGGAAACCGCCGCAGCCTGAATTTGGCATCTTGAAGTGAAAAGAAACGTCGTGGAAATGAGTCGGTTGATCACTGTGACTGACGTACACACGAGTGGAATCCACGGCCTGATGTTTTTGTTCTGTGGGGTTTCGCGTTACAGGCTTATATTTACCGTCCTGTGCTAGGCTGGAAGCTCCCTGACGGCACTATTTCCTCTCCGCAGGGCCCAGAATGCAACAGGTCTTTGAGGATTATTGAGGAAGTTGCTCAACACAGAAGCTTCCTAAGTCAGTCTAAATTGTGTTTTAAGTTATTACGTAGTAGCCAATGGGCAGAAATTTTTGAATTTAAAATGCTCAGCTTCATCTACGTGGAAGCCATTGCCTGCTCTAGTTTGGTCATTTGATCGCCGAAACAGCCCCAGACTTTCAGCCTGTTTAGGCAGCTGGAACTTGTTCTGGAAAAGGAAAGATGAAGATAGTTCTGATGTGCTAAGAATCTTAGTGCCTAGAACTTGTTCTGGAAAAGGAAAGATGAAGATAGTTCTGATGCACCAAGAATCTTGGTGCCTAGCATTTATATTTTTGGAATTGAATTTTGAAATTATTTTGGCCAGTGAACTCAGCTTTTTTTTAAAAAAAATTAATTGTGGTAAAATACAGGTAACATAAAATTTACCGTCTTAACTATTTTTAAGTGTATAGTTCAGTAGTGTTAAGTTATTCACATGGTTGTGCACTGTTAAAAGAAAAACTTTAGACACATTAAATCTAACGGAGTTTGAGCACAGAATGATTTGCGAATTGGGCAGGTCCCGGAACCAGAATAAGGTTCAGAGTGATGAGTCCTGCCGCTTGGTGGGAGAAAATTTATGGAGAGAGAAAGTAAAGTGAGGTACAGAAAATAGAAGTGAGGTACAGAAAGAGTTGATTGGTTACAGCTTGGTTTTTGCCCGTTTGAACATGGTTTGAACACGTGGCCATCTTTGGCTGAAACTCAGTGATTGGTTCAAGCGTAGGTTACAGCCTGTTTACTAGGTTATAGTTCACTATATACCGAGAACCCCTAGGCTGAACTTAAAATATCTAAAGGCATAGCTTTAGACTAAACTTATATACCATCCAATATCCAGAACTTTTTAATCTTGCAAAACTGAAACTCTATACCTATTAACTCCCCATTCCTTCCTTCCCCCAGTCCCTGGAACCACCATTTCACTTTCTCTCTCTGTGAATTTGGCTACTCTAGATACAATCAGTATTTGTTTTTTTGTGGTTGGCTTTTTTCAATTAGCATAATGTCTTCAAATACATCCATGTTGTGGCATATGTCAGAATTTCCTTTTTTTTTTTTTTTGAGACAGGGTCTCGCTTTGCCACCGAGGCTGGAGTGCAGTGGTGAGATCACTGCTCACTGCAGCCTCTACCTTCTGGGCTCAGGTGATCCTCCCGCCTCAGCCTCTCGAGTAGTTGGGATTACAAATGCAGGTCACCAGGCCTGGCTAATTTTTTTGTACTTTTGGTAGAGACGGGTTTCTCCATGTTGCCCCATCCGATCTTGAACTCCTGGACTCAAGCGATCCTCCCACCTCAGCCTCCCAAAGTCCTGGGATTACAGGCATGAGCCACTGCACCTGGCTGCAGAATTTCCTTTTTAAGACAGTAGTAGTACTTTGTATGTATATACCAAATTTTGTTTATTCATCCATTGATGGACATTTGTGTTGCTTCTACCTCTTGACTACTTTGAATAGTGCTGTCATGAATATAGGTGTGCACATACCTCTTCAAGACCGTGCTTTAATTCTTTTGAATATATACCCAGAAGTGGAATTGCTGGATTGTGTGGTAGTTCTATTTTTAATTATTTAAGGAACGGCCATACTGTTTTTGATAGGGGCTACATCATTTTACATTCTCAGCAACAGTGCACAAGGGTTCACCTTTTTCTACATCCTTGCCAACACATTCCGTTCTTTTCTTTCTTTTTAAAATGAAAATAGCCATCAAATGAGTGTGAGGTGGTATGTCCTTTTGGTTTTGATTTGCATTTCTCTAATGATTTAATGATGTTGCACATTTTAAAAGTATGCGTGTGGGGCATTTATACATTTTCCTTGGAGAAATGTTATTCAAGTCCTTTGCCCAATTAATTTTTTAAAAGCAATTTTAGGTTCATAGCAAAATTTAGCAGAAAGAACAGAGTTCTTATATACCCTTTCTGCTTTTCCCCAAGCCTCTTGCACTAATAACGTTCTGTACCAGAGTGGTATGTTTGTTACAATCAGTGAACCTAGACTGGACACCTCATTATCACCCAAGACCAAGGTTTACGTTAAGGTTCGCTCTTAGTGTTGTATATTCTATGAGTTTGACAAATGTTTAATGACATGTATCCACCATGATAGTATCATACAGAATAGTTTCACTGCCTTCCTCTGTGCTCTGCCTGTTCATCCCTCCCTTCCTGCTGATCTTCTATTGTCTCCATAGTTTTGTCTTTTCCCAAATGCTGTATAGTTGGAATTATCATGTAACCTTTCAAATTGGCCTTTTTCACTTATAATATGCGTTTAAGGTTTTCTACATGTCTTTGCATGGCTTGATAGCTCATTTTTCTTTAGTGCTGAATACTATTCCATTGTTTGGATGCATTACAGTTTATTCATTCACCTACTGAAGGAAATCTTGCCTGCTTCCAAGTTTTGTCAATAAAGCTGCTTTGTAAACATCCATGTGCAGGTTTTTGTGTGGACATAAGTTTTCAACTCATTTGGGTAAATACCAAGCAGCACAATTGCCGTGTTGTATAGTAAGAGAATGTTTAGTTTCATAAGACATCACCAAGCTGTCTTACAAAGTGGCTGTACTATTTTGCACTTCCACCAGCAATGAATGAGAGTTCTTGTTGGTTCCACATACTCGTCAGCATTTGATGATATCAGTGTTTTAGATTTTGACCATTTAATAGGTGTGTAGTGGCATCTCCTTGTTGCTTTAACTTGTAATTCTCTAATGACTTATAATGTTGAGCATCTTTTCATATACTTATTTGCCATTTGTGTTTCTTCTTCCTTTTTCTTTTTCTTTTTCTTTTTTTTTTTTTTTTTTTTGAGACAAAGTATCACTCTGTCTCTCAGACTGGAGTGCAGTGGTACAGTCACAACTCACTGCAGCCTCAATGTCCCAGGCTCAAGTGATCCTCCCATCTCGGCCTCCTGAGTAGCTGGAACTACAGGCACATGCCACCATGCCTAGCTAATTTTTTATATTTTTAGAAGAGACAGGTTTCGTCATGTTAGTCAGGCTGGTCTCAAACTCGTGGGCTCAAGTGATCCACCCACCTTGGCCTCCGAAAGTGCCGGGATTACAGGCATAAGCCACTGTGCCCAGCCAATCAAATGAGAAAAGGGCAGTCTCTTCAACAAATGGTGTTGGGAAAATTGAATATCCACATTCAAAAGAATGAAATTAGATGCTTACCTTAAACTGTATACAAAAATTACCTCAAAAAAGATCGAAGTCCTAAATGTAAGACCTAAAACTATAAAACTCTTAGATAAAAACATAGGAGGACATTGGATTTGGCAATGGATTTCTTGGGCGTGACACCAAAAACAGGCAACAGAAGTAAAAATAGATGGATGACATCAAAATTTAAAACTTCTGTGTATCAAAGAACACATTCAACAGAGTGAAAAGGCCCATAAAATGGGTGAAAATATTTGCAAATGATATATCCTGTAAGAGGCTAATATCCAGAATACATAAGGAAATCCTACCATTCAATAACAAAAAACAACCTGATTTTAAAGTGAAGAAGTCAAGAAAATAAGATAGACTACATACTGGGAGAAAATATTTGCAAAAGATATATCTAATAAAGGACTGTTATCCAAAATATACAAAAGAACTCTAAACGATAAGAAGACAAATAGCCTGAATAAAATACAGCAAAAGACTTGAACACATACCCCACTAAAGAAGATTCACAAGGTTGGGTGCAGTGGTTCACGCCTGTAATCCTAACACTTTTGGAGGCCAAGGTGGGAGAATCACTTGAGCCTGGGAGGTCGAGGCTGCAGCAAGCTGTGATTGTGCCACTGCACTCCAGCCTAGGCAACAGAGGGAGACCGTGTCTGAAAAAAAAAAAAAAAAGGATCATATATACCAGGATTTATTATTGGAGCTCTGTTGTATTCCATTGGTCTGTATGTCTCTGTCTTTATGTTAGTACCACACTGTTTTGATTACTGTGGCTTTGTAATAAGTTTTGAAATCAGGAATGTGAGATCTCCAACTTTGTTGTTTTTTTTAGATATTGTTTTGGCAATTTGGGGTCCCCTGACATTCCATATACATTTTAGAATGGATTTTCTATTTCTGTGAAAGATGCCATTGGGATTTTGATAGGGATTGCATTAAATCTACCCAAAGTAGGTTACTTTGGGTAGTATGAACATCGGTTTTCCAATGTATAATGATGGATGTGTTTCCATTTATTTTTGTCTTTAATTTCTTTCATCAGTGTTTTGTAGTTTTCAAATTTGTCTTCTTGGTTAGGTTTATTCCTAAGCATTTTATTCCTTTTGATGCTGTTGTAAATGGAATTGTTTTCTTAACTTTCTTTCCAACCTTCTCATTGTTAGTGTATAAAAATGTAACTAATTTTGCATTTTAATTTTGTATCTTGAATCTTTGCTGAATTCATTTATTCTAACAGTTTATGGAATCTTTAGGGTTTTCTACATGTAAGGTCATGTTTGTGAACAGAGATAATTTTACTCCTTTCTTTCCAATATGGATGCCTTTTATTTCTTTTTCTTGCCCAATTGTTCTGGCGAGGACTTCCTGTACTATGTTGAATAGAAATGGCAAAAGCAAACGTCCTTGTCTTATTCCTGATCTTAGATGAAAAGTTTTCAGCTTTTCACCACTGAGTAAGACATTAGTGCTGGGCTTTTCATATATGGCTGTGGAGGCCAAAGTAATTCCATCTTGGTTGCTAATCTGCCTTGTTGACTTCTGACTAACCCCAGTTCCAGGAAACCCTCTAAGATTTCCAATTTATCTGTGGTTCCTTGTATAAGAGCATGTACTTACCATAAATCCTGTCCTTAGGTCAAAACAACCTTGATGTTGTCTTCCTTCAGTTGTCCTACAATCCCTTCTGAATCACCCTTTCCCTCTGGTATATAAGCCCTAGGTCAGGGGATTTATGGCCCGTAGATCCACTATCTTTTCTCTGCCTGAGACAGAGACACAGAGATGGCTTCTGTTCTTATGTCCCTATTAAATGTTTTTTTCTAAGAAAATGGATTTGCCAGCCTCTCAGCTTTCTTGGAATTTGGGGGTCGGTTTGCATAGAACTACTACCGTGGAAAAATGGCCTTTAATATGTTGAGGTAGTTTCTTTCAATTCCTACTTTATTGAGTGTTTTTATCATGAAGGTTGTGGAATTTTGTCAAAAGCTTTTTCTGCATCAGTTGAGATGATCATGTTTCTTTTTCCCCCAACATTCTGTAAATGTGCTGATTACATTGATTAATTTTCATGTATTGAACCATCCTCACAGTCCAGGAATACTGGTTGGTGGTGATCTATAATCCTTTTAATGTGCTGTTGAATTCTGTTTGCTAGTATTTTGTCGAGGATTTTCACATCAGTACTCATCAGGGACATTGCTCTGCAGTTTTCTTGTAGTGTCTTTGGCTTTGGTATCAGGGTAATGCAGGCTCCATAAAATGAGTTTGAAGGGTTCCCTCCTCTTCAGTTTTTTGGAAGAGTTTGAGGATTTGTGTTGAAGCTCAGCTTTCTAAAGTATATGTCTCTTAAACCAATAAGACATTCTCAGATTCTGTCTGATAGGATTTGGCTCTGTGTCCGTATCCAAATCTCACCTTGAGTTGTCATTCCCATCATCCCCACGTGTTGTGGGAGGGACCAGGTGGGAGGTAATTTAATCACAGGGGCAGTTACCTTCATGCTGTTCTTGTGATAGTAAGTTCTCACAAGATCTGATGGTTTTATAAGGGCCCTTTCCCCCTTTTGCTTGGCATTTCCCCTTTCTGCCATCATGAGAAGAAGGACATGTTTGCTTCCCCTTCCACCATGATTGTAAGTTTCCTGAGGCCTTCCCCCGCTGTAGAAATGTGAGTCAATTAAACCTCTTCCTTTATAAATTACCCAGTCTCGGGGAGTTCTTTATAGTAGTGTGAGAATGGACTAATACACCATCCATCTGTAAAATGAACAGTGACGATGTGATATATTAGAGTAATTAAGAACTAGTACTGCAAGAAATAGGAGTGCATGAGAACTATTTAACTCATAGATACCCCAAGGAGAAAGAGTCCCTGCTAGTCCCAGGAATAAGGAAGACAGAGAATGGGTCACCTCAGGGAAGGATAGGGATAGAATATGGCAGCCATTGCAGCAAGTTAAATGAGTAGAGGTGGTATCTGGTGTGTGAATAGAAGGCATTCATTAGAGAGGCCTTGGTGACTCAAGGTACCACCATTAAGGAAACATTTGAACCATTAACATACATTTAATAAATAAAAATATTTTTTGGACAGCCCCTTTCTAATGTATGTAAAGACAGTGAGATAAATAAAAGTTTTGGAAGTCACAGTCACTGTTCTTAAGGCATTAGTTAGGTTGGCCACTAGCCAAACTATGATAGCAGCATAATTAAATTCTAAAGCGCCAAGTTTGGAGGGAGTTTGGGGAAGGAATCAAGAGTGTTTTGTTGAAAACAAAATAAAGAGACAAAGCTGTAAATTAAACATTTTGTTTGGGAATAACAAAATTGCAGCTTGGGATATACGTGCAGATTGGGGTGGTCTGCAGTATGTCTGAGGAACAAAGAGAAGGTTGGGGATTTTATTAGAAAGAACAATGTTATGTATCACTTTGCAAGAACCTTCATTGGCACTAGAGAAGCGTTTGGGAACTGGCAAACAACTATTTTGATAGTCACAGCAGATTGTTTCAGCAGCTGCTAGGTAAAACCAGGCTATTCACCCCAAATGAGTTTTCCCCCGGCCCCTCGACTGTGATTTAGTTGGGTATGACATATAATCACTTTTACAGTGTGAACTGGAATAATCTAGGAGAGCAGTAAAAGGAAGTGAAATGCCAGTGGAGGGCTGAGTTTGCATACAGTTGTCCCTCTTTATCTGTGGCAAATGCATTCCATGTTGTGTTAATTCAATAGCTATTAATAAGATAGAACAAATATAACAATATACTATAATAAAAGTTATATGAATTGGTCTCTCTTTCTCAGAATATCTCATTGTAGGTAATATTTCCAGACTGTAGTTGACTGTGGGGTAACTGAAACCTTGAAAAGCAAAACTGCAGACAAGAGAGATCTACTGTTTGTGAAGGGAATTCATGGGGTGGAGATGGGGGAGACAGAATTTGTGATGAGGCATGGAAAGGTGGGAATGGCATGCCATACATTATAGTGAGAAGAATGGCCTTTTTTTTTTAGTGATGTTGGGGAATAGTACAGTGTAGTAGAAAGAGCCCTGGATTTAAGGGTCTGAAAATTAAACACAGTCTTGGTTGACAGCAACGTAGAGAAGCAGGTTACTTTGCCTTTCTGATTCTTAGATTCCTTATCCGTAAAAGAGGCATAGTTGGCTGCTCTTCCAACTATATCAAGTGGTTTTAAGGGTCAAGCAATTATTTTATTTTAAATACTCCTCCAATGTTGGCCTCCCAAAGAGCTGTGATTACAGGCATGAGCTAATGTGCCTGGCCTATAGACTGTTTTAAGGAAAGAATTAATTTTATTCTTGATTTACTTCTACGTCCCTCACATCACTACAAAAGCTGATTGCAATAGCAGATACTCAGTATTTGTTCACCACAAATATTTAAATTATGCAGGAGCATTTTATTAGGAGTCCTTATCACTAGGTTGGTAACTTAAGCTGACTACACCAGTACTAAATAAGCGGTTCTCATTTGTCTTCGGTGCGTTACTACTTAAAAGGTTAAAAATGCTCCACCAAATAAAAATAAATGAAGTGGCTGGGTGTGGTGGCTCACACCTGTAATTCTAGAACTTTGGGAGGCCAAGGTGAGCAGATTGCGTAAGTTCGAGACTAGCCTATGCAACACGGTGAAACCCTGTCTCTATCTAAATACAAAAAATCAGCCAGGTGTGGTGGCATGTGTCTGTAATCCCAGCTACTCAGGAGGCTGAGACAGGAGAATCACTTGAAGCTGGGAGGCGGAGCTTGCAGTGAGCCGAGATCGCGCCACTGCACTCCACCCTGGGCGACAGAGCAAGACTCTGTCTCAAAACAAAACAAAGCAAATTAGCTGCTTGTAATGTGTACATTTCCTGAAAGATACTTTTTGAATAATATACATCTAAAATGTCAAGGTTCATTGGTGGAAAACAACAAATCATGAAGCTACTAAAAAATTATGTGAGAAGGCCCGTCGGGCAAGTGAGGAACGCCTCTGCCGGCCGCCGCCCTGTCTGGGAAGTGAGGAGTTCCTCTGCCCGGCCGTCCAACTGACTGGGATGTGAGGAGCGCCTCTGACCCGCCGCTGCCCGGTCTGGGAAGTGAGCAGCGCCTCTGCCCGGCCGCCACCCTGTCTGCGAAGTGAGCAGCGCCTCTGCCCGCCCCACCCCCTCACCGTCTGGGATGTTAGGAGCACCTCTGCCCGCCCGCCGCCCCATCTGGAATGTGAGGAGCGACTCTGCCAAGCTGCCGCCCTGTGTGGCAAGTGAGGAGCACCTCTGCCCGGCCGCCGCCCTGTCTGGGAAGTGAGGAGCGCCTCTGCTCGGCCGCTGTGCAACCCTCCAAGTGTGAGGTGACAGCCTTGTGTGTGATCTTTCTGCTCTCCCCAAGTTTGCATTTTCGACATTAAAGTTTACTTTTTAATTAAAAAAAATTATGTGAGAATGAATTTCTGAATATAGTCTCTTACTTGAGCACTTTTACAGTGCTGATTAAACTAGTATATATAACTAGTCTATTGTAATATATATGTGATATAGTCTGTTAAGCTAGTTTATTCTGCAGTAGTCTTTCATAGTTTCATAGTATGTATATACCATAATTTATTTAACCATCCCCACTTGATGATTGTTACCTTTTTTTTATTCCTTCAAATAGTGCCTCAGGGAACATCCTTTTATATCTTTGTAAATTTCTCCATTATGACTTTACTATAAATTTTTGGAAGTGAAATGATAGAGTCAAAAGAGTATGTGCATTTTAAATTTGATTGATTTAATCAGTTCTCCAGAGAGATTGTACCTTCAGCAAACAATATATGAGGATACCTTCTGCACCCTCAGCCACACTGAATATCATCAGATTTTTTCATCTCCGGCAATCTGGTAGATCAGGGATGGTGAACATTTTCTACAAAGGGCCAAGTAAGAAACATACTCAGCTTTCTGGGCCATAAGATATCTGTTGCAGCTCCTCAACTCTGCCATTGTGCAAAAGCAGTTGTAGAGGATATGTAAGTGAGTGTGATTGTGTCCCAATAAAACTTCAGTTACAAAACCAGGTAGTGGGCTGGCTTTGGCCCACGGGCCATACTTTGCTGACTCTTGTGGTTGGTAAAAAATGTAATCATGTGTTAATTTCTATGTCTTTTAGCTATGTGAGTGAAGGTGAGCATTTTCCTTTGTTTACAAAACTTGACTAGGCTGTGTCTTAGATGTTAGGGATCTAGTGGTGACCAGTGTCTCAGTCCTCCATAGTGGTCATTTGGATGGGGCAGTAGGAAAGACAGACCCTAAAGAGGTAAGCAATAAATAACCCTCTAGCGCTGAAGAAAAGAAACAGGTGTGAGTAGAAACTAGCGTTTAGGGTGGCAGCTATTTTAGTTAAGGAATGGCCAGAGGAAGAACTCTTAAGGGAGATGGCGGGTGGATTGTATGAGAAGGAGCTAGCCAGGCAGATTAGCTGTCTATTGCTTTGTAACAAATTGCCCCCAAATTTTGTAGCTTAACACAGCAAGTATTTATTATACACAGTTTCTGAGTGTCAGGAATTTGGGAGGGTCTTACCCAGGTAGTTCTGACTCAGGGTCTCTCATGAGGCTCCAGTCAAGATGCTGGACTGGAGGCTCCAGTCAAGATGACTGCAGGACTGCAGTCACATGAAGGCTTGACTGGGCTGGAGGATCTGCTTTTGGGAAATTTCATTCCCATGGCTACTGACTGGAGGCCTCAGTTCCTTGCCACATGAACCTCTCCATAGGGCTGCTTCAGTGTCCTCATGACATGGCAGCTGACTTCCTCTGGAGCAAGCAATCCATGGGAGAACAAGGAAGAAGCCTCAGTGCCTTTTATGACCTAGTCATGGAATCACACACATCATTACATCTTCCTTATTCTGTTAATCAGAAGCAAGTCACTAAGTCCAGTCCATACTCAAGGGGAGGGGATTTAGGTTCCACCTTTTGAAGCTAGTGCCAAATAATCTGTAGCTGTATTTTAAACCACCACAGTCTTCCCTCTGGTCACAAATTATTTGTCTTCTATATGCAGATTAAGATCCTCCAAAATACCCTAGTATAGCATCATCTCAAAGTTCAGAATCTCATCATCTAAATCAACCCCAGGTGTTGTTGAAGCTCACTGGGTGTAGCTCCCTAGGTGTAGTTCCTTAAATACAGCTCCCCTCAAAGACTTTTAACCTAAAAAGACAAATGATCTGTACTGCCATAGTCAACATCCAGTGGTGGATAATATGAGGTGGTATTTTTGCCAATATAATTCTTCAGAAAACTTAGTGGGTGTCTTGTGATTCTTACTGGGTTTCATTCCATTCAATAAAAGCCACACCCAAAAGTGTCTTAGCATGATCTTTGGCTGAGACTGCTGAGTGACAACTTCCTTAAGCTTCTCAAAAGCCCTATTGTTTGAATTTTTTTTTTTTTTTTGAGACAGAGTCTTGCTCTGTCACCAGGCTGCAGTGCAGTGGTGTGATCTCCGCTCACTGCAAGCTCTGACTCCCTCCGACTCCCTGGTTCAAGCGATTCTCCTGCCTCAGCCCGAGTAGCTGGGATTACAGGCACATGCCACCACACCCAGCTAATTTTTGTATTTTTAGTAGAGACGGGGTTTCACCATGTTGGCCAGGATGGTCTTGATCTCCTGACCTCGTGATCTGCCCGCCTTGGCCTCCCAAAGTGCTGGGATTACAGGCATGAGCCACTGCACCCGGCCTGAATGTTTTTTTGAGGCACAATTTTGGATATTTGTGAGGTCTTAACTAAGGATTTTACAATTATACTCTTTATGTATTTTTTTGATTACCTGAGTCAGAAGCCTTTCATTTTTTTGTTTTTTTTTTTTTTGTGAGACGGAGTCTCACTCTGTCGCCCAGGCTGGAGTGCAGTGGTGCAATCTCGGCTCACTGCAAGCTCCGCCTCCCGGGTTCATGCCATTCTCCTGCCTCAGCCTCCCGAGTAGCTGGGACTACAGGCGCCCGCCACCACGCCCAGCTAAGTTTTTGTACTTTTAGTAGGCACAGGATTTCACCGTGTTAGCGAGGATGGTCTTGATCTCCTAACCTCGTGATGTGCCCACCTTGGCCTCCCAAAGTGCTGGGATTACAGGCATGAGCCACCATGCCTGGCCCATCTTTTTGACATTTCTTCCTTTAGCTGTGTATCTCTTCTATTTTAGTATAAGCAGCAAGAAGCCAGCAGGTACATTCAACACTCTGGGAGTCTCCTTAGTTTGTTCACCTACTTCATTAAGCACATTTTCTACTTTTGATGTTACCATAGCTAACACTGTTGCTAAACTTTTTCTGAGTATATAAGCATTCTCTTTCCTCCAGTTTGCATAGAATTTTACCCACTTTCCTTTAAGCCCTCACCTGCAGGAGTCTCAAAGGCATTAACTTTCTACAAACAGTTTCTTCAAGGCTCTTTTAGCCTTCATCTCACAGATCTGCCAGCTTTCATCTATTGCCTGATTCCAAAGGCTCTCTCCCATATTTTAGGTGTTTGGTATGGCAGCGCCCCACTTCCAAGTACCAAGATATATATTCTGTTTGTGTCACAAATTACCCTAAACCTTATTGGTTTAAAAGAATAAACATTATCTCAGTTTCTGAGAGTCAGGAATATGGGTAGTTTTAGTTTAGAGTTTGTCCTAGGTTGTGGTCAAGATATTGGCTAGTGCTGGTCATCTGGAGGCTTGACTGGGGGTGAAGGATGTGCTCCCAGGCAGGCTACTCACAGGGCTATTCATAGGAGTCCCTAGTTTCTCACTGGCTGTTGGCAGGAGACCTCACTTTCCTCCCACATGTGTTTTTCCATAGGGTGCCCTTAGTTTCCTCACAACATAGCTGGCCTTCCCTGAGTATGCATTCTTAATGGGGTGCTATTGACCCCATTAGATGATAGTTGGATGTAAAGATCTAAAAAAAATCTTAAGATTTTATAATGGTGTATATCCTTCCAAAGGGCGATGGTACAACAGATATATAGTATATTTGTGGCATTAAAATTTTATTGAGGGGGCTATTAGGAAAAAAGTACCTAGAAGGCTACTTAGGCGGGGAATAATGAAAACAAGGTTGAGAAACACTGTCCCAGAGGAAATGATCCAAGAAAGAGCAGGAGGAAGCCATAATCCCTTTTATGACTTGGTCTTAGAAGTAGCACCCTGCCACTTTTGCATCATTCTTTTTGTTAGGACTCACTTGAAGGGAGTGTCAAAGAACTGTGACTTACCATAAACCACTACTTCATGTAAAGAATGATAAGGGCATTCCAAGTAGAGGAAAGAGCAAGTGCAAAGGCCCTGAAGCGGGAAAGTGACTAATGTGGGTAAAGCATGGTGAGGAAGAGAGAGAGTGCTGAGATGAGATTGGAAAGGTTCTACATCATGTGGGACCTTGTAGGTCCTATAAAATCTTTCACATTTTATTTTAAGTGGAACGATTATTTAAGTATTTAAGCAGAGTCACATGATATGGTTTACTTTACATAAAAATCACTTTGACAGAGTGTGTGGAGAAATAGGTGGGACAAGAGTGAAAGCATGGGGACCAATCAGAAGGTTCCTCCAGTGGTCCAGGTGAGAGATTAGGCACACTTTGACTAGGGAGGTAACAGAGGAGACCAAAAGAGGCAGATACGTTGTACTTTCAAAGGTAGAACTACAGTAGTTGCTGATAGATTGGGAACAGGGAGGGGGTAATCAAAGATGACTTCTATGTTTTTGGCTTGGATGATGTTGGTGCTGGTTATCGATGAGAACACTGGGAGAACAGCAAATTTGGATAAATGAAGAGCTCCAGTTTTGGCCATGTTAAGTTTTGAGATGTCAAATAGAAGGGAAGAAATCAGGACTCAACAAAAATTGGAAAATCTTGCTGTTTGACTAGTATTCTTTTCATATTGAATCTTTTATATTTTCCTGAAAGCTGTATATGCATGTCCTTTGCTACTTTTTATATTATTCACAATGGGTGTCAATACTGCTTTTGCCTGGGATTTGGCTTATGATACTAAAGTATAGAAAAAGTTATGGTCTGGAATATCTGCATAAGGAGAATTTTTTAGTATGAACTTAAAGGCTTAGCACGAGTTTCTTTAAAATGTTTTTAATTGCAATAGTAATACATACTGCTGGTATCTAAAAAATACAGATTAGTAAAGAACTGAATATGAAAATTATCCTTAGTACTACTGCCCAGGGTATACGAACACCTGGATGTATATTATTCTAGTCTTTTATTACATATGCACTTGTGTACATATATACAAATAAACATTAGATCTTAATGTGCACATTGTTTTGAACTGTAAATCAGTTTTACAAAATGGTAAGAAATAACACTAATTTCCACTGCTTGAGAGAATATATATCATATGGATTGGGTTTGAGTTATATGAGGTACATAATAGGGTATCAAAAGTAAAGAATACATTCCAGGGCCAGTCACGGTGGCTCCTGCCTGTAATCCCAACACTTTGGGAGGCCAAGGTGGGTGGATCACTTGAGCCCAGGGGTTCAAGACCAGCCCGGGAATGTGGTAAAACCCCATCTCTACAAAAAAATTAGCTGGGCGTAGTGGCATGCACCTGTAGTACTAGCTACTGGGCAGGCTGAGTTAGGAGAATTGCTTGAGCCCTGGAGATTGGGGCTGCAGTGAATCATGATCATGCCACTGCACTTAAGCCTGGGTGACAGAGTGAGACCCTGCCTCTCTCTCTCTCTCTCTCTCTCTCACACGTGTGCACACACACCCCATCCTGGTGTGGGCCTGTATTCCCAGCTGCTTGGGAGGCTGAGTCTAGAGGATGGCTTGAATCCAGGACATGGAGGCTGTAGTGTAAAGAATATGATTTTTTTTCTCATAGCCCAGAAAATCCCTTGCAGGTGTAATGGCTTGACCTTTGGTTTAATAATTAAATTTGCAGAAAGATATCCCAAATAACATTGTCCATGCCAGTAGTATATTCTTTACTCTGCTTTTATGAAAAAGATAGAAATGACCTCCCAAAGCATTCAGACATCAGGGCCTTTTTGAGAAAGTAAGTCATAGATCTGTTGTGGAGTTGAGAACTGTTTATCTCTAAGCCAAAATACAATGGACACTCAGTGTTCTTATGAGTCAGTGGTTAAATCATATGCCCAGTAAAATCTGTTTAGGACATCAGGAAAAACTCACTCTAGATTTTGGAAAGAGTGCCAGAGGGAAAAATTAAGTTTAATATTTAGGCATTTTGATTATTAAATCCTTAGTATTCATGAAAATTCCCTTATTCCTGTGAAAGATTTTGTTTTTTTAACTTGATATTTGGCTGACATGCCATCAAAGCACTTCACCCTTCCTTGGAAAGCCAGGTCTTTAGTAGGAATGTTTTTCAAAAGGAACATCCACCATCTAATGCTCATCTACCATGAGCATTGCCATGATAGGCAAGAGACAACATCACATTTTCTTTTGTTGGGTAAAAGTCATTCAACATGATTTTTATTGCCTGCCTAAGCACAGTCCTCTAAGCAGTGGCTCCATTATTCTGTTTCATTTCAGAATAATACTTTTTCTCTTCCCTGACTAGTAAAATTTACCCTTCATAAATTTAATGAAAGTTTATTTAAAAGCAAATAAAATTTAACGACTGTTTATGCAATGCCATCCACTAGGCTGAGTGGTGGGGGTAAGGAAATGAATTAGGCTTCTTCCCAATTATTAGGGAGCTTTCGGTCTTTACAGTCTAATGGGGGTGAAGGACAAGTAGACTTATCAATTATAAAGTGATTAATGGTATGTTTAGGGTTCCTCAGGAACATGAAGGAGAAACATCTAATTCAGAATGCGGAACTGAGAAAGGCTGCATCTTGAAAGATGATTTGTAGTTAGCCGGAAGTGTGAAGGGAGAGGGATATCACAGAGAGAAGGTGGGAACTGTTATTAATGTTTTATTTCTGAAGGTGGTAATGAGTTCTTGGAAGTTCATTGTATTATTTGTATCACTGTATATCAGAAGACTTTAATAATAAGCATTGAATCATTAAGCCTTAGAGGTGATTTCTGGGTATTGATAACAAAATATGAAAGGATTTTCTATTGTATAGAAACTAGAGGCAGGGGTACTATAAATGAGAAATAATAATAGATGAGTGAAAGTAAGTTTATATATTACTTGCCTTTTCAGGATAAGTTTCATTTGGGGGAAATAGTTTTACTATTTTTGAAATTAAGACATAAAAAAACTTAACGTTTATATGCTTTCTATTTCTCCTTTTCAGATTCAAGATATAATCATTCTTTTAAAATGTTCTGCTTTTAGTCTTTTGCTATGTTGTATCCTGCTGTGTACAACTAGGCATTTAATACATTTTTCATTTTGATGAAAACATTTACATTTTGGCCCACTAATTTTTTTTAGGCTCATGCTTTTTGGAGAGAGGTTTAGATATCTCTTACAATTTTTAAATTATTTTGGAAGCTTTGTATTCTTGTCTAGTTTTAGTTATACATTACATTATTAGGAGGAAAATTAGGAAAGAATACGTGTAAAAAACAATTTTTTAAAGAGGAAATTTGATTTTACTGTTCTATGATAAATGGTTAAGAAAATAGTAATGTAATTTTTTTTCTCTTTTAGCCTTTCTGAGAAAAGTCTACAGCATTCTTTCTCTGCAGGTTCTCTTAACTACAGTGACTTCAACAGTTTTTTTATACTTTGAGTCTGTACGGACATTTGTACATGAGAGGTAAGGTAATGAGATGGTAATGAATAATTTTCAGACATTGCATATGATCAAAAAGGCATATTATAAACAAAATCCACTTTTTTCTATTAACTTTTGAGGTTAAAATGTAAAAAAGGTTCATTTACTCTTATAAGCCTGATTAGTTTTGTTTTTGATGAAGAAAAATACTCCACAACATGGTATTTACCTCTGAACTTTTTAGCTTTAGTTTCTTAGGGTTAAACCCTTGGTAAAAATTAAGAATTTTTACTGCATGCCATTTTTAAAAGTCTTAAGTTTTAAAAACTTTATTAGACTATATTCCCTGTGCTCAAAGCCTAAGACAGTACTTGAAAAATAAATGTGCGTTCATTTTAGTTTTGGCTCATGACTAGCATAATTTCACCAAGAAGTTTTCAAAAGAGCTCCACATGATTCATCCCTGATCTTTAATCAGGGATGAATCATAATTATTTCCATGATACAGTTTTGTTATATTAAAGGAAAGGAGAACTAATGAATATTTTCATAGAAGTAGAGAATTTCTGTCCTCCCTTCCCTTCTCCCCACCAAAGGGGAGTCTTGAACTATTAGTTTGCTATGTGAGGTAAAATTCTTTAATTTAAATTACAGCCATATGGCAAATATCCTAAGAAAGTAGTTGTTATTTTTAAATTTCTTTATTGTATAATATTAGTATACTAATTGCAAACATTATTCAAATGTGATAGAAGTTTATATGGTAAAAAGAAAAAGTTTCCCCCATTCATTTTGGGCTCTTTTCTTTGTCTTGAGGCTCCTTTCTACCTTGTACTCCTCAAATTTTCCAGATATAAAATAATTTGATAGTTTGGTGTGGATCATTCCAGATTTTTTCCCCTGTACTTTCATAAACATATAAAATAGATAAATTTTATTAAATTTGATAATACTGCTCATGCTATTTTTTCTTTAACTTGAAACACTTAATATTATGTCTTTCAGTCCTGCCTTAATTTTGCTGTTTGCCCTCGGATCTCTGGGTTTGATTTTTGCGTTGATTTTAAACAGACATAAGTATCCCCTTAACCTGTACCTACTTTTTGGATTTGTGAGTACTCTGACTTTCTCTATTCCCTTAACAATTATTCCTGAGTTTTAAATAAATGCATATATAATACATATATAACAACGGCAGAACAAAATTAATGAGTTTTTTTTAGAGTACTTTAGGAAATTAATTGTAATTTTATAGTCTTTTAAAACTTTTAACAGTTTATTAGTTTCAAATATTAGTATGTAGTGGAAAAAATGCTGAATTGGAATAGATGACCTGGCTTTGCTGCTATCTGATTATGTGACACTTGGCAAGGCATTTATCCTTTCTGTGTCTAAGTTTTTTCATATGTAAAATGAGAATTTTAAAGTAGATAAATCCTTGTGATACCTTCTACCTCTAATATTCTATTATTTTCTTTGGAGAAAATTATGTTGTGGCTTTAATTTCATAAAATTCAAATTCTTTATTGTTAACTCTTCTTTGTTATTATCTTATCACTCTGATCTTTTAAAGAACCATTTTGCTCAAATTATGTGCATTAGTAACTTTTTTCAAAATTATAGTTGGGAGAACCCAACTTTAAGTCATGTATGTTGAGATATTTGTGAAAATTAAAACCCAAACTACCACTTATGAAAATTCAGTTTAGAATATGACCAGAATAAGGGGATAAGCCTCAAGTTATCTGTCTAAAAAATTATTTTGCCTCTTCTCATCCAGTATGACTAGATTCTAACCTAAAAATTTACTTCAGAACATTCCAAAGTAATATTAAGAATACTTGGGTGGGTGCAGTGGCTCATGCCTGTAATCCCAGCACTCTGGAAGGCTGACGTGGGCAGATTGCTGGAGTCCGAGAGTCTGAGACCAGCCTGGGCAACATAGTGAGACCCCACCTCTACAAAAAAATACAGAAATTAGCTGGGCATGGTGGTGTGCACCTATAGTCCCAGCTACTTGGGAGGCTGAGGTGGGAGGATCACTGTAACGGGGTTGCGGGGTGGAGGCTGCAGTGAGCTGAGATCACGTGACTAAACTCCAGCCTGAGTGACAGAGTGAGACCCCATCTCAGACAAACAAAAAAAGAATACTTGTAGTCAAATACGAGTGGGAAAAGCTATTGATTAGATTAAAATGCTTTAAACTAAAAAGTTTATGAATTCTGATAATGAGTTTGTGTTAAAATGAAAAGCTGATGACTTTGAAAGTTTCAGTAATAGGAAAGATTATTCATTTAAATCTTAAGCTCTTTTGTTTGCAAGATTGTCAATTCTAACTCAAGTTATTGCAAATAACAAGGAGTTTAAGGATGTAAGAGCTTGAGAACCCACCAACCCAAATCCTCTTCAAGAAGATGAACTGGAGAACTGGAGGAAGATTCCAGAAATGATGATATCATAGGAAATTCAGTGACAAATGTTTGTGTTCCCCTCTCCCTTGTTCTATTACATCTCTTCTCTACCTCAGTTGTCCTTATACATTGTTTTCCCTTTTTCTATCTTTAATTTTTATATGACCCATTGTTTGCCCCCAGAGTCATTTAACTTTAGCTCCCACTGCCATTGCTTCAATCTCTGAGTTCAGATTCCTGAGTCAGAAAGAATCTGGTCCAGGCGTGGTGGCTCACGCCTGTGTGATCCCCGCACTTTGGGAGGCCGGGGCAGGCATGTTGCTTGAGTTCAGGAGTTCGAGACCAGCCCGGGCAACATAGTGAGACCTTGTCTCTGCAAAAAATACAAAAATTAGCCAGATGTTATGGCACGTGCTTGTAGTCCCACTACTTGGGAGGCTGAGGCAGGAGGATCACTTAAACCGGGAGGTGGAGGTTGCAGTGAGCTGAGATTGCGCCACTGCCCTCCAGCCTCAGTGACAGAGTGAGACCCTGTCTTAAAAAGAAAGGGGGGTGGGAGGGAGGAAGAAAGGAAAAGGAAGGAAGGAAGGAAGAAAGGAGAGAGAAAGAATCTGATTGGTACACTTGGTTGTTGGCACAGGTCACATTGTAGGCTGTTAGTCAATATATGGGTTGCCAGGCCTTGGGTAAGAGCCAACTCCTGGCCTAGTCAGCTATGTCTCAGGAAAGAGGAAGTATAAAAAAAAAGACGGCCATATAGAATTCCTCTTCGCATCTACATGTAGCCTCCTCTCAGAAAGACTGATTTCTGTGTGGGAAGAGGGTGTGGTTCAACTTTTGCCCAGCAGGGAGAGGTCCCACTAGAAAAGTATCAACCAAATGCTTATAGGCAAGATAATCACTGATTGTTAAATCTATTCATCATGCCCATAGCTAAAAATGGTTTAACAAATAAGTATGTACAATACATTTCCTTAAATTACTCAGGGACCTTTAACGTTAGGAGTTTTTTGGTCCTGATCCACCAAGATAAGAAAGGAGGTGAATCTTATCTTGCCCTAGTAGGAGTGTGTGTGTGTGTGTATGCATGCACATAGACAGACAGACAGATAGATAGATAGTCCTCAACTTAGAATCATTCACCTTAATGTTTTCCACTTTTATGATGGTGTCAAAGCAATATGCAACCACGAAATTTCAGACTTTAAGCATTGGTGATTCTTTAACCAAAGACACTCTGAGCTACATTTTTTACTTACGATATTTTCAACTTACAGTGGGGTGTATTGGCATGTAACCCCATTGTAACTCGAGGAGCATGTGTGTATATGTTTTAAAGGGACATTATCATGTTTTCCTAGTCTTATCTTAACTCTTATTTATACCATCCTGTTTCCTTAGATACTTGAATGTGTATGGGATTTCTTTCCTAAAATCTTGTCATAAATAGCAAGAATATAGTATAATCATGTTGCCCTGCCCCCCCCAAAAAAATTTCTTTCTTTCTTTTTTTTTTTTTTTTTTTTGAGACAGGGTCTCTCTCTGTCACCCAGGCTGGAGTGCAGTGGCACGAACTTGGCTCACTGCAACCTCTGCCTCCTGGGCTTAAGCGATCCTCCCACCTCCCAGCCTCCCAAGTAGCTGGGACTACAGGCGCATGTCACCATCCTTGGCTAATTTTTTTGTGTTTTTCGTAGAGAGGGGGTTTTGCTGTGTCACCCAGGCTGGTCTCAAACTCCTGGACTCAAGCAATCCACCTGCCTCGGCCTCCCAGAGTACTGGGATTACACGTCTGAGCCACCATGCCCAGCCCAGAAAAAAATTTCTATCATCTTTTGCTACCATTTTTGCTGGCACTACTAAAAGCATTAAAATGTGACAGCAGTTCCATTGCCTCCACATCTATGTACAATTTCTAATACCATTTTTGCTCTGGTGCTGATGGTTTCCTGATATCAGGTAGGGTGGAGTACAGGGATGCTTCTACCAGGAGTGTGATTATACAGCCACTGCCTTTATTTCTGGCTTTGCCTTTGTGATATGGTCTATCAGATGATTGATAAAATCTATCTAGAGTAAGGATATAAGACAAAATAAAGATACTGTAATTAAGGGGAAAGGGAGGCTAGAGGACATGGCTCAGTATCCCCAAGTCTTTTATTTAGGATATGGGTTCAGCTACTTCTGACTTGACTTAAACAGTGACAAAATAACAATGGCTTAAACAAGATAGTTTATTTCTCTTCATGTAAAAATTTGAATGACAATTTAGTGAAGGTGACAAGGGCCCACGCTTCTGCTAAGGTCCAGGCATTCCTAGAGTGGTATATGATAGATCATATGGTATAAGATAGATCACTTCCATAGCCACAGAGTATCCAGTTATTAATACAAACAAATGAGAAGAGGAAGGGGAGAGCAAGTCTTTCTTTGTTTTTAGAGCACAATCCAGAAGTTGAATTCCTATCTTAGTCACATTAAATTGGCTAGAGTATCGTTACGTAGTCAGACCTAGAGTTGCAAAGGAGACTGAAAAAATGCAGTTTAATCTGAACAGCCATGTGTCCAGGTAAAAATTCTGTTATTAGGGAAGAAAGAGAGAATGAATATTGGGAAACACTTTCAAGACTCCCACACCAAAGTACTACCTAAATATTTTATTCTTCCTATGTTTGTGTGAGGTATTGAGGTTTTATAAATGTGCACATAATTTTGCAATTGTATTTTTATTTATATTACACAGTAAGAAAAACAGAATGTTCTATATTTATAGTCTTCCTGTTACAAATATGCGATTAGAGCTTAAAGAGTCATAGTATCAGAATTAGAATGTTAATATTCCCACTCAATATACTGAGGTCTCATTTTCATTATGGTGGGTTTACTAACTGCCCCATATACTTCGCAGGGCTGCTTTGAAGCTAAAATGAGATCATTCATATGGGATCACATTAAGCTGCTAGAAATTAGAAAATGTACATGAGATAGTATAAATTTTACAGTCACTAATTTAAGTTTCTTTTCATTAGACGCTGTTGGAAGCTCTGACTGTGGCAGTTGTTGGTAAGCCGTAACTGCATTTCTATATGTTATAATAACTTTTTAATGTAGATAGATCTTTCAGGTAAAAAGGTATTTGGGGCTAAAGTTTAACATCATGGAATATCATATTTCAGAAATATAGCATAGGACAAATAATTTCTAAAGTATAAGCAAAAGTTAGATATTTATCGTTTACATATTTCAGCTGAGCTTAGAAGTGGAAAAGAAAAATAAAAGGAATGGAGAACAGTATTTCATTTGTTTACCCATTTAGAAAAATAAGACAACTATAGCTAATCTTTTCCCTAATTTAAAGTTATCATCAAGTAACTGAGAACATGTGTTCTGAGCCACGTACTTTGATCATATGTATGAGCTTAACTCCTTTAACTGGCCTGTGCCAAACTGAACTGTGCTTTAACATTATATCCTCATATTTTATCAAATGGCACTGCAAGAAACAGTGGTAATTTCTGCTCTGTATTTCATGTTAAATATGTGTTTGAAGGCCGTTTCTGTTATAATTACTTGATGTACCCTATGTAATGCCTCAAATAAAAAATTTCAGTAAATTAAGAATAGAAATTCTGATTGTCTCAAAATGGTTAACCTTGAGTACCAAAAAGGTCAGAGTTAATTATTACTCTCCATAATAGCAAGTTGTTTATCCTTATAGTTAATATATTTAACTCTTCCTACTTTGTCATTAGTTTTTTTAACCTTTCTATGCCAGTTTTGTTTAATCTGTATGTTTTTGTAATCTCTTTTTAAAAGAATCAATATAAATAAATAGTAATAAATAATAAATAGGATTGAAGCTTCTTAACAGAGAAAGGAAGTATTATTAATATTTACTTATTATTAATGTTACTTACTATTAAGGTTATCAAATCCATCTCTCCCTTCTCCAGCCCCTACTATGTATAAAGAATGTAGGAGAGAGATTCATTTCAGGATTATTGGAATTGGGGGTAGAAAAACATAGATGAGGTAATCTGAGAACATTATTTTCCTCAGTAATTGCAATATCTTTTCAACCTAATCGTATACTTAAATTACTGACAAGAAGCAAAATGGACTTCATGTCTTATCTTTTCCATGTTCACCTTCCTAATCCTGTAATGGCATAAACAGAGAAATTCCAATCATGTAGCATTTAATGATAGAAAGAACATGAATAATTACTCCCCTGAAAAATTAAAAATTACTTAAATGGCTTTGGGTTCAAAGCAGTTAACCTCCAAGAGGTTATAACTTTGCAATTTATTAAAATGTTAAGGAGTTTTATTACAATAGCCATAATTGAATGGATGATTATTCTAAAATTACAGAAAGGAATTTGGCATATATTCAGTAAACCCCAAAATAATGTACTCCAAGATAATACACATTTGGATATAAAGCAGTTAGTGGTTGGTTTCTGTCCTCTGCAGGGTAAGTGAATGGTAGGCAACCCCAGACAGCCCCAATATTTTTCTTTCCCAATTTCCTTGATTTGGGCTGATAAACCAAGTATAACTAACTAGATGATTGCTGGATTTGCTGCTACTGTCCAGGAATTCCCAGCCAGGCAGGAGACCCAGAATCATCCCTATTGATATTTAAACCATAATGGACAATCACCACAGATGGTGGTAAACTGTGCCTGGGACAGAGATGGCTGAGAATCACTCCCATACCTGTAGAACTCCAAACTGGCTACAGGCGTGATAGCTCTCCAGTCATTTCATTAACTTGGTAATAATGTGACCTCTGATTTTGTATGAATGAATTTTTTGGAGACTGTTAATTGCATTATGGGTGTGGTTTCACTGTACCCATGTAGTCAAGGATGGATAAGAAATCTTTTCTAATTGTTTTTATTGGCATAAAGTACAGGAGAAAATGAAGCATTTCTATAAAATGCCAGAAAAAGCTGTTTTGTATTGAGCATGTTTATATGCATGTTAATCAGTGTTTTAATTTTACAGTTACTTTCTATGATGTATATATTATTCTGCAAGCTTTCATACTGACTACTACAGTATTTTTTGGTTTGACTGTGTATACTCTACAATCTAAGAAGGATTTCAGCAAATTTGGAGCAGGGTAAGTTGTATATATTCTTGGATATAATAGATAGATGTCTTTAATTATTATAGGTGGTTTTGAGGAATGTGCTACACTGTTATTTTTGGGTACTGTCTTTTAAAATGGAGGGTAATAAGAGATCATCTCTTTGAGTACTAGGGCCAGGTCCTACTCCTAGAACATACACAGAAATGGAAAGTGGCTTTGACTTATTTGCTTCTCTCCTATAGTGAAAGGGAAGTGAATTAAAAAAAAAAATAAGCTTTCCAGAGAGTTTAAGCTTGTATGCTTTATTAACATTATGGAATTTACTGAAATTACTTCAGTCTTTGTCTTAGCATAAATGTTACCAAGACCATCCACGTCTTCTTGGAAGAAGCGCTGTAATTAGTACAGGTATTGAAAGGGTCTGCATGAACTTTAAGACCTTTTGATCCATCTAGATTAACCTGTATCCTTCCTCAAACAAATATACGGAATGATCCTTTTTATATTAGGATTATGGTACAGCATTGCCCTCACCTGGTAGGAATGCATAGACTCTTTTCTAAGCTCACAGTGGCTTCCTGTTGGCACAGTCACCCAACCGTTTTCTTTTTCCTGTTACAACACTATTTACAAAACTCTGCTCTTGCTAAACTTTCTTTCCTCCCCCACCCCTTTTATTCTGGTAATCCAGAACACCAGAAGTCTCTATTGAGATAAAATATAGTTGGTCAGCCAACACTGACAATTGCGCGAGCTGCTTAAATAGTTTCATTAGAATGGAGTTTGATTTAGGGAGAGGTAACATTTTCTATTTTCTTTTCCTTCTTTGGAAGGATGTTTCATACATATTTGTGTGGCATATATGATGAAAGTTTTGTTCTACTTCCTCTTCTCAACCCAATCTCCAACTGTTCCCTCCCTTTCATTAATTCCAGTATCATCTCTCTTAAATCCTTTTCTGGTAAACTTGCCTTATATTTCAGCCTCTTCATAATAAATTTACATTGATTGATAGAAATGGTATTACAGTGATCATATATAGATCTGAGACCAGATATTTCTGAAGTGCGTCTGTCTGTGTCTGCTGTTTCTGATAATTCTTATGATATTTTCTTTCTTTAAGTGTTCAGTTATTTTTGACTATGTAATTGTCCTTGAAAAACTATTTGTTGAATTTCTTTGAGGCCTTGATTGAAGGTGCACTTTTCCATACAGTATTTGGGTTTTCGCCTAGCATCTGGGAAAACTATTGGATTGGGTCCACTTGAAACTAAATTCATGGCTTACGATGTTTTCCCAACCACACAAGTGTTCTTCAGTTAGACTACAAATCAGCAAAGGGATAGCTTGTGGTGACAATTTCCCAGGGATGGTTCTTCTCTGCCCCCACCCCGCAATTTACCCCTGCTTAGTGCATTGATGACTTTTCTTGTAGTTGGGCAAATTCAGCTACAGTACTATGATTACTTCTTTGGGTTTCCACTTTTACCTAGATTTTGATTTGATAATTCCATTCTACCTTGACAGTTATTTGATGTTTTTAAGAACGTATTCTTTGTTTTCTCTTTTATGCATCATTTCAGTAGTTTTTCGGGGTGGGACAGGGGCAGTAATTAGTCTGGAATAGTTCTTACTTGCTGTAGTACTGGAAACGGAACCCTTTCAAAATTGCCTCTTACCTGTATTACTACAACCAGCCTCTCTATTCTCCAGTCTTAACAGTTTCCAGCCTCTTTTCCACCAAGCAGTTGGGTGATACAAAAATGGAAACTTGATTACAGTATACCTATTTAAAACCCTAACACTTCACTACTGCTCTTGGTATACAGCCCAGTTCTCCACTGAATCACATCTACTGCTATTAGTTACTGGATATTGCCATGTAATGACTCTCTAGCAAAATCCTAATAATAATTATACTTTGGTCAGTATGCCATAGATTCAGCTACTTAAGAGTAGCACTTTATTGCATTTTAAATAAAACTTAATGGCACTACTTACTGTGACGCCTCAAAGCCAAAGTGGTTGTGGAAGCTGAGTGCCAAAATGGATATAAAGACCGAGGGAAAAGATTTTCTGTGAAAATATTTTCTAAAAAGTTTATAGGCTGTTCCTTCTGACCTGTTTATGGGACATAATAGGGACTGAAGAAGTGCGTTAAATGTTTGGATGTATGGTAGTATCAGGCAATGGTGGCAGTGCTTCATAGATTGACTTAAAGCTGTGATGTTTTTACAACATCATTATCCTGTGGTAATTCTGCCACAAAAGGAATTAAATCTCAGAACTACATATGATAACTGTGGCAACTGGTCATTGGTGTGCTAGAGTTGCCTTGTGCCAGCTTATGAGGCATCTTGCAAGTCAGTTGTTAAACTGCTGGAAGTTTAAAGTAGGCCATGAAGGATGTATGTACACCACAGAAATTAAGAAGCACTACAAATCAGGGCTCATTTTCTTTCCTAGAAAGTCAGTTTACTGGTACATCACTGTTTGTAAGTTATTTTTTATTCTGTGCTTCTTGTTGAGAGGGATGAGGGTAGGATTTGTCAGTCTTCTAGATGGAGTTGTTAGAATAGCAAAATCAGCACTATGTCCATGGTATATCTTATCTATATTCTCAGAAAATTTGCTCTCTTTGATGCTTAAATATTTAATGAGATGTGAGTCAGAGTAGAGTGAACTAACAACTTAGGCAGAATATTTGTAGGACATGACTTTCAAATCTTTACCTGTTACAGTATCTACAGAGAATGCTGTCATAAACTGACAAGTCTTAGGCTGAATTTCTTACCAGAAACTTACCAAATGGAGCCTGTGACCCTAAATAACTGTTTTAGTGTGTGTACACTTAGGTTGCTGGGTGGGGCATGCTGCTTAACCAGGGAGCCTAAGTGTGTCAGATTTCAACTTGGATGTTGTAGTGGAGAAAAGGTATCTGTTTTAATATGTATTGTCAATAGTGTCTGATCAGGCTCAAATGTAGGATCTTGTCCAGTTAGTGAATAAGAGTAAATTAATGTCCAGTGACCTCTGGCAGCCCTATCCTAATGTCTTATTAGAAGCCCACAAGAATTGGAGAGGATTTTTCATGGGTCTCGTGTTTCTGAATGTCTTGTGAATGATGTGCTGACTGCTCTTTGTTCCAGACAATCTTTTTAAGGGTTTTTTTTTTCCAATAGTGAACAGCCTGGAAAGATAGAAATAGTGCTCGCTAGAGCAGAGGGCAAGCATGTTTACTTTCCATTATAAAAAAGACTTGCTTCCCTAAATTCAAGGTTCCTCTCTTGTAACACAACCCACTGTGTGTGTAGGTGTCATGTGGCCCTCTTAGCATCACCTGGGCCCTGTCATAAAAATGCTGATACTACTGTTATTACTGTAAACTGTCCTTTATCTCAGACCTAGGAGCTTGATGCATCCATGAAACTGTGCCAGGCTAACTTGTTAGCCTGCAAGTAGGGTAATATCTCGGATGCTGTAAGTTCTTAATATCACCTTCCCCATACCCCATGGTGCAGGAACGTTGGAATTTCCCTAGGCTTTAAGAATGAAAAAGCAAATCCTAAGTCCCTTTCAGTCCTGAAGGATCTATGTTGTGAGGTAGCATGATACCTCATTCTCACTTAGGTATGCCAGATGTATCCTGAGAAATTTTAGGGCCATTTCAGAGAGACAGCTGAGGACTAGATTCTCATCATGCCTTCATTTCACCAAATAGCATTACAATAAATAACTCTGTTACTGTGAGAGAACTTATTTTGTATGAGTTCAGTCCTTTTGCATTTATTTATTTATTTATTTTTTAATGGTATCTTGGTAAATGTTCTTTGTGCACTAGACAAGAATGTGTATTTTGCTGCTGCTGTCGGATGATTTGATAAATGTCAATTAGGTAAAGTTGGTTCATAATGTTAAGTGTTCTATTTGCTTACTAATTTTCTGCCTACTTGTTTTATCAATGTGAGAGGGGTGTTGAAATTTCCAACTACAAGTATGGATTGGTCTATTTCTTATGTAAATTCTATAATTTTGCATCATATTATTTTAAACTTCATTTTTAGATGCAGAAACATTTAGGATTGTTACGTACTCTTGGTGAACTGACCCCTTTATCATTATGAAGTGACCTTCTTTAGCTCTAGTAATATCATTGCCCTAAAATCTATTTTGTTATTAATATAGCAACCCCAGCTTTCTTCTTAATTTGTGTTAGCATGTTAGCATCGTATATGTTTTTCTATCCTTTTATTTTTAATGTATTTGTGTCTTTATATTTACAAGGTTTTTTTTTTAGAAATCATAGTTGGATCTTGGTTTTTAAAAATCTAATCTGACCACCTCTGCTTTTAGTTAGTGTATTTAGTCCATTTACATTTATTGTGATTATTAAGATGGTTGTGTTTATCTTCTTTATTGGCTTATTAGCTATAGTTCTTTTAATTAGAGGTTGCTCTAGGTTTTATAATATATGACTTTAAATTATTAGTCTATCCTCAAATAATATACCATTTTATGTATCCTTGTATCTCCTTTTCCCTACCTTTGTGCCATTGTTGCCGTAACTTTTAGTTCTACATGTTATAAACTCCATAATACATTATTATTTTTGCACTAAAAATTATATTATCTTTTAAAGGGATTTTAAAAATAGAAGTCCTTTTATGTTCACCAATGTATTTGCCATTTCTACTCTTCTTCATCTCTTCATGTAAATCTAAATTTCCACCTAATATCATTTGACTAAGGGACTTCTTTTTAACATTTCTTATTGTCTGTTGGTCATCTTTTGTGTCTGAAAAAAACCTTTGTCTTTATTTTTGAAAGTTATTTTTGCTGGGTGTAAGATTCTAGGTTTTGGGTTTTTTTTCTTGCTTTCAGTATTTTAAAGATGTCATTCCATTGTCCTCTGACTTATGTAGTTTCTGACAAGAAGTCTGCCATCTTTCTTATATTTATTCCTCTGTATATGTTTCCTCCACACATACAGAGCTACTTTTACCATTTTTTCTTTATCACTGGTTTGCAGTAATTTGATTAAAATATTCCTTGGTGTGGTTCCCTCCCCCTCCACTTTTCTTCTGTTTCTTGGATCTGACAATGTAAAGTTTTCCTCAAATTTGGAAAAAAAAATTGTTTAAGAGATGGGGTCTTGCTGTGTTGCCTAGGCTGGACTCGAACTCCTGGGTTCAAGTGATCCCTCCACCTCCTGAGTAGCTGGGATTACAGGCACACACCACTGTGCACAGCTCAAATCTGGGAAATTTTTGGCCATTATTTCTTCAAACATTTATCTGTCTCCCCTTCTTTCTCCTTTGCTTGAGACTCCAGTTACATCTGTGTGAGACTTCTAGATGTTGTCCCCTAATTCACTGTTCTGTTTTTTTTGTTTGTTTGTTTTTCTTTGTCTTTTTCTCTCTGCGATTCATTTTGGTTAGTTTCTATTGCTGTTTTCAAATTTAGTAATCTTCTTCAGTGTCTAATCTGCTATTAATTCCAATCAGAATATTTGTGTTTCATATATTGTATTTTTAATCAATTAAAGTTCAGTTCAATTTGTGTCTTTTGAAAAAAAATAGTATCTTCCATTTCTCTCCTCCTCATGATCATTCTTTCCTCGATCTTGAACTAGGGAGTATATTTTTAATGTCATTGTCTATGCATTCTATCATTGTGTCATTTCTGGATTTGTTTCTATTGATTGTTTCTTCTCCTTGTTATGGGTCATATTTCCTTCATTCTTTTGCATGCCTTTATAATTTTTTATTGGATGCTGGTCATTATAAATTTTACATGGTTGGGTGCTGAATTTTGTTGTATTAACTTTAAATATATTTGGCATTGTTCTCCTAGGATGCAGTTAAGTTCCTTGGAAAGTAAACCTTTTGAGGCTCTGTTAGGAGGTCCAGAACAGCTTTTAGCTTAGGGGCTCATTTGGCCCTAAGGGTACTGCTGAGACAGTACCCTTCAGCATACTACTCAGTGCATGTCTTACGAGGTCTTTCTACTCCAGCTTGTGTGAATGCAAACTATTCCCAGTCCTGTGTGAACTCTGAGGATTGTTCTGCCTGCTTCTCTATTGTGGTTCTTTCTCCAGCCTTGGTCACCTCCTTAACATGCATGTATTAATCAGAATGTAGCTACAGACTCTAGGGGAATCCTGTGCATACACCAGAGTGCTCACTTTTGGTGGATAGTTCTCTTCTTTCTGATATTCTGCCCTGCAAATTCTAGCTACCTTGGCTTCCCTGACCTCTGAATTCTTGTCTGCTCAACTCAAGGAGACCGCAAGTGACTGTATGGGTTCTTATCCCTACACGCTGGCCTGGAAACCCTCTGTAGCTGGGGCAAATATAGACTTCACTTTCTTTGTATCCTTTATCTCAGGAATCCCTGTCCTGTGCTGTTTGCTGTCCAGTGTCCAAGAACTGTTGTTTCATATATTTTGTCTGGTTTTATTTAAGGAAGGAGGATAAATGTGGCCTCTGTAATTCCCTGTGACCTGAAGCAGCTGATAAGTCCCATATTTTATAACAAAAGACTGACTTCTTAGATGTCCTTTCTTATATAATTTATACTCTCTATATATAACAATTGAATTGTAACTCATAAAATTATAGCAGTGTCAGATGTGTCCATCAATTAAGTTCCATAATACATAAGAATAAAATGGAAAGTACATTGTGAACTTCGATAGACATGTTCACAGAATAACTTGTTATTACTTGGTTTAAAAGTGCAATCCTAGTTCATTTGTTTATATATTTTCTAAAAGTTTTTATAGATCTCTGAATTAAAATACTTGTAATGATATTTCTGCTTTTATCTGTATTTTATGTTCCAAAACTTCACAAATTATACTGTTAACTAGGTTTGTATACCATAAAGACAAATGTTGAATAAATAGCTGTTCTTTCAATTTCTTTAAAAAAAAGATCCAAGATGGGCATTATATTCATTGTATGTTTACAAATTCTTACATTTTAGTTATTCTTCAGCAAAAAATCCAGATGGATGTTTTTTTCAGAAAGTGTTGAATGGGTTTACAAAGTTTTTTTGTAAGGAACAATATTGCAAATTACTAAAATTGTATTTTTATAGGCTGTTTGCTCTTTTGTGGATATTGTGCCTGTCAGGATTCTTGAAGGTAAGTTATGTTATAATGGTTAATTTGAAATATAATTCTGGCTGTGTCAATATAAATAACCTCAAAAAGCTATAAGAGATACTCTTATGATAGGACACTTAGTTATAATTATCCAGAACATTTGTATATAGAATGATTATAGAATTATCCCTTTAGAAAATCAGGGTCTTGTGTTGGTCCTTATTATTGACTGAAAAAAAGATGAATGAATAAATGAATTAAATTACATAGAAAGAGGCCCTTGCTTACAACTGCCAAGCTCCAGTGGCACATTTAATTGTGAAAAACGAAATATATTTTTAAATAATTTATATGTGGAATGCTGTTTTTCAAAGTGGGTAATTTAGTTTAATGGAATATAACCACTCATTCATCCTTCCATCCAACAGAGGCAAGTTTGGACTTGCCTTGCCTTTTTCTGCTTTTAACATTTGTATTCAAAGTTGTACACCATTGTCAAATGTATAATGTAGCAGTAAATCATTAGAGGAAGTAAGTTAAGTCCTGTTAATACTGTTCTCAAATATAAACATATTTCTTTAATCTCTTCCCTATAGTTTTTTTTTTATAGTGAGATAATGGAGTTGGTCTTAGCCGCTGCAGGAGCCCTTCTTTTCTGTGGATTCATCATCTATGACACACACTCACTGATGCATAAACTGTCACCTGAAGAGTACGTATTAGCTGCCATCAGCCTCTACTTGGATATCATCAATCTATTCCTGCACCTGTTACGGTTTCTGGAAGCAGTTAATAAAAAGTAATTAAAAGTATCTCAGCTCAACTGAAGAACAACAAAAAAAATTTAATGAGAAAAAAGGATTAAAGTAATTGGAAGCAGTATATAGAAACTGTTTCATTAAGTAATAAAGTTTGAAACAATGATTAAATACTGTTACAATCTTTATTTGTATCATATGTAATTTTGAGAGCTTTAAAATCTTACTATTCTTTATGATACCTCATTTCTAAATCCTTGATTTAGGATCTCAGTTAAGAGCTATCAAAATTCTATTAAAAATGCTTTTCTGGCTGGGCACAGTGGCTCACGCCTGTAATCCCACCACTTTGGGAGACCGAGGCAGGTGGATCACGAGGTCAAGAGGTTGAGACCATCCTGGCCAACATGGTGAAACCCCGTCTCTACTAAAAATACAAAAATTAGCTGGATGTGGTGGCACACACCTGTAGTCCCAGCTAGTCAAGAGGCTGAGGCCAGAGAATCGCTTGAACCTGGGAGGTGGAGGTTGCATTGAGCCAAGATCACGCCACTGCATTCCAGCCTGGTGACAGAGCGAGACTCAGTCTCAAAAAAAAAAAAAAAATTTTTCTTCCTAAATTAGCCACGCATAGCAGTTCGTTTGCAATTCAAAAATAATTTTATGAGTAGATAAGAATATCAGTTTACCGTTGTCTAGTGATTTTATCTAAATTTTCCCTGAATTATTAAGTAATATTGATTTGGCTTTGATTCTGAAGTAGTAGAGTCTTTACCATTATAAACTGTAAATCTCTTTTTGCTTAAAAGGAAAAAAATGTAAAAGATAAATTCCACAGAGAATTATTCAGTATTACATTAAAATGTTAATGACTTTTTATTTTAAATTGTACTAACATTAAAAGTTGGCCTGAAAGTCAGATATTATGACAAAATTTGACATTAATTGTTTTTAAAGTATAGATTTCATTTGAAATTATAGAATGGTAATGTGGTTAGAGGACACCAAAGATACTGGGTCATCAGCCATTAAGTATATCTATTTCAAAATTAAAATATTTGGGAAGTATTGTCTTATGGTTTCATTTGTGTTGGTCCACACAGCATGTTAGGTCAGTGTACCAGTAACCAATGAAATTTTGTCAAATTCCCTCACTGTACTAGTTTGTTAGGCTGCCATAACAAAGTTCTACAGCTTGGGTGGCTTCAACAAGAAATTTGTTTTCCCACAGTTCTGGAGGCTAAAAGTCCAAGATCAAGGTGTTAGCAGGGTTGGTTTCCTTTGAGGCCTTTCTCTTTGATTTGTAGATGGCCATCTTCTCCCTGTGTCTTTAAATGGCCTTCCCTCTGTACTTGTCTGTGCCCAAATTTCTTCTTCTTATGAGGACACCAGTCATACTGGATTAGGGCCCACACTGAGGACCTCATTTTTCCTTAATTATCTCTTTCAAAACCTATCTCCAAATACAGTCACATTCTGAAGTGCTGGGATTAGGATTTCTTCATGTGAATTTTGGGGGGACTACAACTCAGCCCATAACACCCCCTAAGTATTTCCCAGCTATTAAGTTGAAATAAACTTGTAGTATCAATTTAAGCTTGCATGATTTGTAGATGTAAATTTGACTTTATTATCATTAACTGTTGAATTATCAAGTGTATGATGCAGTGCAATCAAGTTTAACAGCATGGTGGGTAAGAGCATCTAGATTAGAATCATTGCAGTCCAACCAGGTGCTTAAGTGACATTTGGCGAATTATTTATCCTTCCTTAGGTCTTCTGCCTCATCTTCATAATGGGAATAATGATGTCTAGCTTATTGGGCTGTTATAAGGATTAAATGAGATAGATAAATAAACTAAACTAAGTGCTTAATTAATGTCAGCTGATGGTATTAATACCATTTTCTTTTTTTTTTTTTTTTTTTTTTTTTAATTTATTTTTTTATTGATAATTCTTGGTTGTTTCTCACAGAGGGGGATTTGGCAGGGTCATGGGACAATAGTGGAGGGAAGGTCAGCAGATAAACAAGTGAACAAAGGTCTCTGGTTTTCCTAGGCAGAGGACCCTGCAGCCTTCCGCAGTGTTTGTGTCCCTGATTACTTGAGATTAGGGATTGGTGATGACTCTTAACGAGCATGCTGCCTTCAAGCATCTGTTTAACAAAGCACATCTTGCACCGCCCTTAATCCATTTAACCCTGAGTGGACACAGCACATGTTTCAGAGAGCACAGGGTTGGGGGTAAGGTCACAGATCAACAGGATCCCAAGGCAGAAGAATTTTTCTTAGTGCAGAACAAAATGAAAAGTCTCCCATGTCTACTTCTTTCTACACAGACACAGCAACCATCCGATTTCTCAATCTTTTCCCCACCTTTCCCCCTTTTCTATTCCACAAAACCGCCATTGTCATCATGGCCCGTTCTCAATGAGCTGTTGGGCACACCTCCCAGACGGGGTGGTGGCTGGGCAGAGGGGCTCCTCACTTCCCAGTAGGGGCGGCCGGGCAGAGGCGCCCCTCACCTCCCGGACGGGGCAGCTGGCCGGGCGGGGGGGCTGACCCCCCCCCACCTCCCTCCCAGACGGGGCAGCTGGCCGGGCAGAGGGGCTCCTCACTTCCCAGTAGGGGCGGCCGGGCAGAGGTGCCCCTCACCTCCCGGACGGGGCAGCTGGCCGGGCAGGGGGCTGACCCCCCCACCTCCCTCCCAGACTGGGCGGCTGGCCGGGCAAAGGGGCTCCTCACTTCCCAGTAGGGGCGGCCGGGCAGAGGCGCCCCTCACCTCCCAGACGGGGCAGCTGGCCGGGCGGAGGGCTGACCCCCCCACCTCCCTCCTGGACAGGGCGGCTGGCTGGGCAGGGGGCTGACCCCCCCACCTCCCTCCCGGACGGGGCGGCTGGCCGGGCAGAGGGGCTCCTCACTTCCCAGTAGGGGCGGCCGGGCAGAGGCGCCCCTCACCTCCCAGACGGGGCGGCTGGCCGGGCGGAGGGCTGACCCCCCCACCTCCCTCCCGGACAGGGCAGCTGGCCAGGCTGAGGGGCTCCTCACTTCCCAGTAGGGGTGGCCGGGCAGAGGCGCCCCTCACCTCCCGGACGGGGCGGCTGGCCGGGCGGGGGGCTGACCCCCGACCTCCCTCCCGGATGGGGCGGCTGGCCGGGCAGGGGCTGACCCCCCCACCTCCCTCCCGGACGGGGTGGCTGCCGGGCAGAGACGCTCCTCACTTCCCAGATGGGGTGGCTGCCGGGCGGAGAGGCTCCTCACTTCTCAGACGGGGCAGCTGCCGGGCGGAGGGGCTCCTCACTTCTCAGACGGGGTGGTTGCCAGGCAGAGGGTCTCCTCACTTCTCACACGGGGCGGCCGGGCAGAGACGCTCCTCACCTCCCAGACGGGGTCTCGGCCGGGCAGAGGCACTCCTCACATCCCAGATGGGGCGGCGGGGCAGAGGCGCTCCCCACATCTCAGACGATGGGCGGCCGGGCAGAGACGCTCCTCACTTCCTAGATGTGATGGCGGCTGGGAAGAGGCGCTCCTCACTTCCTAGATGGGATGGCGGCCGGGCGCAGACGCTCCTCACTTTCCAGACTGGGCAGCCAGGCAGAGAGGCTCCTCACATCCCAGACGATGGGCAGCCAGGCAGAGACGCTCCTCACTTCCCAGACGGGGTGGCGGCCGGGCAGAGGCTGCAATCTCGGCACCGTGGGAGGCCAAGGCAGGCGGCTGGGAGGTGTAGGCCGTAGCGAGCCGAGATCACGCCACTGCACTCCAGTCTGGGCACCATTGAGCACTGAGTGAACGAGACTCCGTCTGCAATCCTGGCACCTCGGGAGGCCAAGGCTGGCGGATCACTCGCGGTCAGGGGCTGGAGACCGGCCCGGCCAACACAGCGAAACCCCGTCTCCACCAAGACCAGTCAGGTGTGGCGGCGCGTGCCTGCAATCGCAGGCACTCGGCAGGCTGAGGCAGGAGAATCAGGCAGGGAGGTTGCAGTGAGCCGAGATGGCAGCAGTACAGTCCAGCTTCGGCTCCGCATGAGAGGGAGACCGTGGGGAGAGTGAGAGGGAGAGGGAGAGGGAGAGGGAGAGGGAGACGGAGAGGGAGAGGGAGAGGGAGAGGCCCCCTTACATTTTTGCACGCTATTAATACCATTTTCAGTTCAAAGGTGGAATGGACTGATTGTGACTAAAGATTCTGTATAAGCAAAAGTAGATCTGACATTTTTAAAATGTAAAACAATGCCATTCTTTTCACTAAATTATTTTTTATTTAGAAAATATAGTTATTTTCCATAAAAATGTTAACATGTAGTAAGTTTATCCTTTCTAAATGACTTAAATTTTCCAAAAAAAATTGTTTTAATTTCTGATAAGATCAATATAATAAGCGTGTAAAGGAATCCCAAGACCAAGAAGTTTGAAAACCTTTGGTACAAAATATTACATTTTATAAATCAACCATTGGTTTATTCCTGTGTTCTGTCAATGAATTTTATGTGGTATGTAAGTCCGTGTATGTGTCCCACTGTGTATAAGTATGAGTTCTTCTAGGTAGGGAATATACCTCGACCATTTTAAAGCATTGCATTAAGTAAAGGTGAAAATACACAGACTTCAGAAATATTAATAGAAAGTGGAATTAGGGCTGGGCATGGTGGCTCATACCTGTAATCCCAGCACTTTGGGAGACCGAGGCGGGCAGATCACCTGAGGTTGGGAGTTCGAGATCAGCCTGGCTAACACGGTGAAACCCCGTCTCTACTAAATATACAAAATTAGCTGGGCGTGTTGGCGCACGCCTGTAATCCCAGCTACTCAGGAGGCTGAGCCAGAAGAATCACTTGAATCCAGGAGGCAGAGGTTGCAGTGAGCCAGGATCGTGCCACTGCACTCCAGCCTGGTGACGAAGTGAGACTCCGTCTCAAAAAAAAAAAGAACATGGAATTAGCAGGACTTGGACAGAGCAACAGGCAACTCAGTGTGCAAGGGCCATAGGAAGAACAGCTAAGAGGTAGGAGGAAAATGAGGAAAGAGCAATATCTGAGAACTTCTGTATTTCTTGAACGTAATTTGGGAAAAGAGATGCAGTAGGCCGTATACACCTGCCTTGATTTCTTCTCAGACCTAGCTTCAGTCTACTTGATGCATTTCCAGGGATTAGTGGTCAACAGCCTGCAGCTGCAGGCCTTTTTTTTGGAGCAGCTAAGGACTTAGATACTTTTTGCTTTTTCCTTTCATTTTTCTAGAGCTTTGTCTTGAAGTCCCCATTATCTAGGGAATGGGCAACATGGGGTCACTATCTGAATCCCAGAAGTCTTCCTGTTCCTTACTGATTGTGCAGATCAGGGATTCCATGGGAGAGGCCTGACTGCAGGGGCCCCACTGACTGTTCTGCATCATGTAGCATGCCTTTTGGATGAGAAAATCAGTCTGCTTCCTGTAAGGTATTCAGGGCCACCCACTGTGCCTCTAGTTCTATATATAGGCTCCTTCCAGCTCTGTGATGAGCCACTGCAATGTTTAGTTGGACCCTTAAGCCTTGTTTGTCCATTAGGAGATAAAGTTTCCCAAAAACAGTAGTTTAGTTTCCTTCATCTTTGCAAATTCAGCATAGTGCCTATAATAGAGTGCATATTCAAAGGCATGAATGAAGGAATGAATTAGACTTTTAAATATACTAAGGCCACTTTTCTAGAACTGCTTTTATATAACTGGTGAGGGGACATAAGTAAAAAGGAGTAAAAGGGTGTTTTACTCAGCTGTTTAAAGCACTTGTAATGCTAAATCATGGCATGGTATTTTAACAACATGACATTTTCATAATAGGTAAATTATTTTTTCTGGTGCCAAGTGCCTATTCAAAAGTCTTGTCCTGGTATGTTAAACAAGATACAGTAAATATGGACTATCAGAATATAAGTTTTCTCTAAAATGCAATGTGCACTTATATTTTTGGGTGAGGTAGCTAACTTCTCATTTGAAAGATGAGGTACAGTATATGGTTAACTTGTAAAACAGAAATTCACTTGCTTTATAAGAACGAAATCTCATTTAAATAAACCAGGTTTCTTAGGCATGCTTCCTTTTTTTATATCAAATGTTCTAGGTTTTTTTCAGCCTCTTTAACCTTGCTATATTCTGAATTCAGTAATTTCCATACTATGCATGGTTTCATAAAGGACACAAATTTAAAGAAAAAAGGTACCCATAGATTGCCTCAGAACCCCTTTTTCTGGCAACCAGCAGGAGTTTACCAGGCCATCATTAAAGACATGTTTTTTGGGTATATGTCGTAAATCTCTAGAAACATTGCTTACAAATAGTACTGTGTAGCTATACTTTTGAAACTATAATGTAAAAAGGGTACCATTTGTTGAACTCTTACAGCATCAATTAGGTTGTATTATGTTCACTTTAGGGACAAGGAAATTCAGGCCCTTATGACATTAATTACTCACCCATATCGTTCACAAGTGTTGGAAGCAAGAGTACAACACAGACCTATATGGTTCCAAAGCCTATGCCAGTAGAAATAGTTGTACAGTAAGTGTTATTCGTGAGCTAAGACAATCGTCCTAGGCTTAGCATTGTGTCTGATACGTAAGTGATCAGACAGGTAAACATTGATAGAACTGAAATCCTTTGATCATTTTACCCTTTAAATTCTTCTCTGGGGTAGGAAAAGCTTGTTTTCTGTTTTTGGTAACCGCTTTGAGTATAACTGACATGCAATAAGTTGCACATATTTAAAGTGTGCAGTTTGATACGGTTTTACATATGTGTACATCTGTGAGGCCATCACCCGAGATGAGAAAATGCACAGGCTGCAAATAAAAATGATCTCAATACGGCCTCTGGAAGAACACCTGATCTAGGCTGACTTGATCTAAGGAAATACATGAGTATCATGTAAACGCTGAGGTCAGATCTAAAGGTCGGCTCGGAGCTCCCTATCTGACAAGTAGGGTCCCCTGGCCAGGTTCACTCCATAGGTTAGTCTCGGGGCTACCCTGCCCACGTCCGGAAAGCGGACCTACCTGGGGCCTAACCTTGACCGGACACCCGTCAGCATTCTCCAAATCCGACTTCTACACCTGTATGGGACGGACCAAGTTTCTAGGTCCGCGATCACACCAATGGCGGAAGCTCGTCAGCGCCCGGGTTCCAAAATCCCGCCTCTCAAGGCTTCTTGAGACATTTTGTCTCCCGGCGTGCAATGCGTCCGCCCCGGGTGGCCTCCGCCCGGAAGACGGAAGTGCAAAGACTTCCGGTCGGCGTGAGCGTGAGGTGTGGGTGTTCGTTTCTCAGGTGAGTTCGGTTCCTCACCGGTCCAGTGACACATGGGACTTGGGGCTTGATTCCGCCACCCTTGGAGAATTTCGTTTCTTGACACTCGCTGGGCTATACTTGAGCTCCAGTCCGGAGATGCAGGCCTTGTTGAGGGCGAGGGTTCCCCTTGCTCTTTTTGGTGGGGGCCCTCCGGCTTCCGAGTGCACTGGATAAAGTGGAGCCCACCCCTGTCGTTCACTCCCGCTGAAGTTAACTTCGGCCCTCAAGGTTGTTTGCCGCCCGCTTTCCTAGCCCCTCGCAAGGGTTGAGTTATGTAGACAAGGGAGCGGAATGACTGTGATTGCCGGCGTTCAAAAAATGTTAGTGGTTCGTTCAACAAGTATGCAAAAAGTGTGCGATTCAGCAGTGAACAAGACCTTTCCCTCTACCTTCGTGGAGTCTACAGTCTGGGGAGAGGGTCGGGGGGCGTGACAGAAAACAATGGTTTCAGGTTGTAACACTTAATAAGCAGGGAAGGGAGCTTACGGAGGTCAGAGGAGTCCTTTCTGAGGTAGCGAATGAAGGAGCAAGCCTTGAGAAGAGCAGTTGCCAGGCATAGGGACAGCAAATATGAAGGCACTGACGTAGAGATAGTTTGGACTCTTTACAGACGTAGTTGGTGCCTGCGGGGATGGGGATGGAGAATGAAATGAAATAGAGTTGAAGGAGGCAGGGGACAGATCACAAATGACCTTGTAGATCTTGAATATATATGAGGGAGGAGGTCTTTAAAGAACTCGAAGAAAGGCAGTGAATGCTTTTTTAAAAGATCACACTGAGCACCTTGTGGAGGATTTAGGGCGGAACTGAGTGGAAAGAAAACAAGAGTAGGAATAGATAAGTTTACAGTCGTTAAGTTGGCTTGAGAGGATGGATAATGAAGATGAGGTGAAGTGTTTATAAAAATCATTTGTAATTTGTAAGCTGTTGCATAAATGTAAGGTGATGACGCTGTTGCATTCTGGGGAAATTAAATTTCTGTATTTTGTAAAGAAATTCAGCCGGGCGCGGTGGCTCAAGCCTGTAATCCCAGCACTTTGGGAGGCCGAGGCGGGCGGATCACAATGTCAGGAGATCGAGACTATCCTGGCTAACACGGTGAAAACCCGTCTCTACTAAAAATACAAAAAATTAGCCAGGCGTGGTGGCGGGCGCCTGTAGTCCCAGCTGCTCGGGAGGCTGAGGCAGGAGAATGGCGTGAACCTGAGAGGTGGAGGTTGCAGTGAGCTGAGATCGCGCCACTGCACTCCAGCCTGGGACACAGAACAAGACTCTGTCTCAAAAAAAAAAAAAGAAAAAAGACATGCAAGGTGCTTTCAGAATTGGTTTGATTTGTAGTTTGCTTATGACCACAAGTTTGATTTGATATCTTGTTATTTAGTGACTGTGTATGTACCATGTTGATCTTCATATAAGTTGCATGTTAAGTCCTAAAAAGTGAACAGATTGAAGAGTTTTACTTTTCACTTGTTTTGTAGAGATACCTGTTGGCCTGGTTTTCTAAGGATTTGCCTGTTTTCTTTTTTATATTAAAGATTTGCTTTTGAATGTGTGTTTTTGTTAACTTCAGGTAAAACATGGCTAAAAGCTTACGGAGTAAGTGGAAAAGAAAGATGCGTGCTGAAAAGAGAAAAAAGAATGCCCCAAAGGAGGCCAGCAGGCTTAAAAGTATTCTCAAACTAGACGGTGATGTTTTAATGAAAGATGTTCAAGAGATAGCAACTGTGGTGGTACCCAAACCCAAACATTGCCAAGAGAAAATGCAATGTGAGGTAAAAGATGAAAAAGGTGAGTGTGCTTCTCCTTTTTCTTTCTCTTTTTTTTTTTTTTTTTTTGAGGCAGGGTCTCCTTCCTCTGTCACCTAGGCTAGAGTGCAGTGGTGTGATTATAGCTTCCTGCAGCCTTGAATTCCTGAGCTGAAGCGGATTCTTCCCACCTCAGCCTTCCAAAGCACTGGGTTACAGGCATGAACCACAGTGCCCAGCCCCTCTGCGCTTCATTTAAAAACAAAAAAAATTCTGTCAAGCCTGTTCATGTATATACATATGTTTTGGATTATTTAGAGTGGGTCTTTGGTGCTTATACAATAGCCTCCATGTCTCAGGAATAAACAGTTCTACAGGAGTAGACAAATCTAGGCATACTCTGGTTGGAAGGGTACACAGTTCACTCAGGGCCTAGGCAGCATAGGTCTTCATTTTACTCTTTGTAAGATCTAATTCCCATTCTATGAGTCCTATGCCCTTATACTATTATCCTGAAAATCACAGGGTTTCACTATTTCATTTTGACAGATTCTAGGAACCTTTGTGTCTTAATCATGAAGTTGGAGGATATATATATAATGCTGCTTTTTGCACATTTAATGCACCAATTTGGCAGCAAACTAAATTAAGTATTTGCAATACCCAGACTTTAAAATAGAAATACATGTATTTGATGTCTTATGCCCAAGGAAAAGAGCAGTATTTCTCAATCTCCCAACCTTAGGGGGTTTTTTCCCTTTAAAAATGGCTGTTTTTAACTTTTTCTTCTTCCCATTTCATCCTTCTCCCACTCTGTATGAATAAAAATTACAAAAAGCATTTTACTTCAACTTCTGTGAGAAAAAGGGGCCAACCAAGAAATATCCTCATCTTTCCACTACCCAAGTCTATAAGAATTCAAATGTTGTATAGTCTGTTTTCCCTTTTTTATTAATGTTCTCTCCAAGGCCAGTTTCTCCACTTGTGTTCTGAATCCTCTCCACCGTTAACATTCTCAGGGGTTGTACTCATGCATCTGCCTTATCAGTCTCCTCCACTGGGTCATTGCCAACAGCATAGATGTGTTCTGGGATGTTCAATGTCAAAAGAAAGAAAGAAAAATTTCTCCCTTGATCTCAAGTTCTCTCAATCTGCTGCTTTATTTCAGCTGTCCTTGAAACTTTTTGAAACACTTGCCTTCACTTGCTGTTTTCATTTCCTCACACACACATCACCCCTCCCTATTGGTTCTTTTTTGTTGTTGTTAAGGCAAAATCCACATAACATAAAATTAACCATTTTAAAGTGTACAGTTCAGTGGTATTTAGTACATTCATGTTGTGCAACCATCACCTCTAGTTCCAAAACACTTTCCTCACCCTAAAAGGAAACTTAATACCCATTAAGAAGTCTGTCTCTCCTCCTCCTACCCCCAGCCTCTGGCAACCACTAATATGCTCTTTTCATGTGTGAATTTACCTGTTTTGAATATTTCTTATAAATGGAATCATATATAATGAGACCTTTGTGCCTGGCTTATTTCCCTTAGCATGGTGCTTTTGAAGGTCACGCACATTGTAGCATATATCAGTACTTCCTTTCTTTTTAAGGCTAAATAATAGTCCATTGCATGTACCACGTTTCATATCCATTCAACGGTTGCTGGGCATTTGGATTTCTTTCCCCTTATGGGTGTTGTGAATAGTGCTGCTGTGAACATTCAGGTGCACAAGGTTTTGTTTGATAAGTGGAATTGCTGGGTCATATGGTAATTCTTTTTAATGTTCTCCACATCAGCCACACTATTTTACATTCCCACCTGCAGTGTTTGAGTATTTGAGTTTCTTCACATCCTCACTAATACTTGTTTTCCATTTTCGGATTATAGCCATCTTCGAGGGTATGAAATAGATTCTCATTGTAATTTTGATTTGAAGTTTCCTAATGACTAATGACATTGAATGAAGTGTTTTTTGGTTTTTGTTTGTTTGTTTTTTGTTTTTTTTTTTTGAGATGGAGTCTTACTGTTGCCCAGGCTGGAGTGCAGTGGCATGATCTCGGCTCACCACAACCTCTGCCTCCCAGGTTCAAGCAATTCTCCTGCCTCAGACTCCCAAGTAGCTGGGAATACAGGCGTGTGCCACCATGCCCAGCTGAATTTTGCATTTTTAGTAGGGTTGGGGTTTCACCATGTTGGCCAGGCTGGTCTTGAACTCCTGACCTCAAGTGATCCACCTGCCTCAGCCTCCCAAAGTGCTGGGATTACAGGTGTGAGCCACCACACCCGGCTGAACATTTTTTCATATGCTGATTGACCATTTGTATTATCTTTTTGGAGAAAGGTCTACTCAAGTCTTTTGCCTCGTTTTTCAATTACGTTGTTTGTCTTTTTATTATCGGGTTGTTAAGAGTTCTTTATATGTTCTAGATACCAGATGCCCACATCCACTCTTGATTCTTTTGGATTGATCCTGTTTTCTTTTCTCTCCTGTTTTCTATTTATTTTGTTATACCCTCTAATTTCCTTGACCTTGAATTCTGGTTCTTATTACTTGGTTTTCTCTTATATTTTTAATTTCTAAAAGTTTTTCTTTTTTTTTTTACTTTTTTTTTTTGAGATGAACTCTCACTCTGTCGCCCAGGCTGGAGTGCAGTGGCATGATCTCGGCTCACTGCAAGCTCCATCTCCCGGGTTCGCGCCATTCTCCTGCCTCAGCCTCCCTAGTAGCTGGGACTACAGGCGCCTGCGATCACACCCGGCTAATTTTTTGTATTTTTAGTGGAGACGGGGTTTCACCATGTTAGCCAGGATGGTCTCGATCTCCTGACCTCGTGATCCACCCGCCTCGGCCTCCCAAAGTGCTGGGATTACAGGCGTGAGCCACTGCGCCTGGCCTACTGTTCCTTTTTCATAGCTTTGTGTTCTTTGTGTTTTGTAAATGCCCCTTGAGTCATCAACTCTGTGTTCTTAATGGGCATATATCTTCTCCTAAGGGTATTAATTACAATTTGCTTTTGAAATTTTTATTTATGGTATGTATTATCTGTCTTTCCTCTTGGAATTCCCTCCCAAGCCCTTCCATTCCTTTACTTTTGTCTCTTTCTTTCATATTAGAAGCTTTTCTCAAATGTCTGGTGATCAGTGGTCATTGTTTGTATTTAAAAGTGTGGCACTACAATGATGATTGGAAGCTGGAGGGAGACAAGGTGTGGGAGAGGGTCTGTCAACTGCTAGATGTATAGAAGATTTGGAATGGCTCCAGGAGGTTTTATTCGGAGATCTCCTGTATCAGAATCTGTTAAGTCTTTTTTTTTCCTCATCATCCCCAGAGAGAAATTATCTTATGTCCTGCCTGGGGAATTCTGGATGCCCTTATTCTTAGATATTTTAGGAGCTAAAGGGTGGTGAGACTGAGACTGAGGGAGTCTCCCCATTTAGTAATCTATTTGTTATCAATTTGGCTCTCATCTCTACCCTCAAGTTCATGTTTTTCCTTATTTCTACTCTTTCAACTGCCTGCCTGATTTCTTAAGCCATAAACCTAGTAGTCATCCTTGATTCCTCTTTCCTTTATTCCCCACATCTAAACCATTAGCAAGTCTTACTGATTGTCCCAAAAATACATTAGAAATCTGTATCCATTTTTTTCCTGCTTTCACCTTGATTCAGAAGGCCGTCATCTCTTGCCTGTACTATTATAGGAGCCTTTTTACTTCTCTCTTCCGCTCTTGTTCCCTTCTCATTTATCTTCTACATATCCACCAGTGTGATCTTTTCAGAAGGTAAATCAGTTTATATCACTGCCATGCTTAAAAACCTCATTATCTTAACATGTTCTTACCAGCGCCTACCAGTTCTTTTTTTTGCGGGGAGACAGGATCTCACTTTGTTGCCCAGGCTGGAGTATAGTGGCTGTTCACAGGCGTGACCAAGCCCACAACATCCTTGAACTCCTGGCCTCAAATGATCCTCCCACCCCAGTCTCCCGAATAGCTGAGACTACAAATGCCTATAGATACTATACCTGGCTGAGGTTTTCTTTCTGTTTGCTGTGTTATTCTCCCGTCAACAGAACACTGTAAACTCCGTGAGGGCTAGGAGTTCATATGGACCACTATATCCCCATAAACTAGAACAGCACCTAAAATAATCATTCAACACCTAGTTATTGAGTGGCTGTTATATACCAGACACTATTCTAGATACTGTGGAAACAATGGCAAATATCTAATATAATGCCAGGTAGTCGAGATAATAGAAGACTTTGTGTATCCTGATAAGGAGGTCCCAGTGAGGGACTCTGAGCATGTCCTTCACAGTGGAGAAGGTGATAGGTGTACCACAGCATGTTTGCACTGAGCTTCCTGCCAAGTCTCCTATCAGTAGAGCTGGATCTCTGGGTGTTACCTAGCTAGGAAAAGTATGCCAGCCCCAGGATGTGTCCAGGTCTTCTCTGTTGAGTGCCTGTCTCTGCCATTACAACCCTGCTGCTGACTACTCCATCGAGTTCATTAGAAGTTCGTTCTCAGTTCATTATAATTTAGTTCAAGTTCTTAAGAAATGGCCAGTCATTCCTAATCAGTTCATTACATCTAAGGTGTATCCCTTAGAAGTGTAGGTATGCTTACTGAACTCAAGGAATCACTTAATATGAGAAATGTTGTTGTAACTCACATGTGCTCAGAACCATATATCTACTAATGTACTAACTCAGAGCCATGCATCCTAAATGTTTCCTATTTAACATTACTATTCTAAGGAAGGACAGTCATGCCAACATTCTTTATAAAGTTTTTTTCTTCTCTATTTTCGGTCTACCTTCAGTTCTAATGTTCTGATGTTCTCAGTGCATTAATATGCTTTCACAGGGTGGTTTTTTTCATACATGGTGTTAATAGTTTTTCCATCTTTTTATGCAGATGACATGAAAATGGAGACTGATATTAAGAGAAACAAAAAGACTCTTCTAGACCAGCATGGACAGTACCCAATATGGATGAACCAAAGGCAAAGAAAAAGGCTGAAGGCAAAGCGAGAGAAAAGAAAGGGGAAAAGCAAAGCAAAAGCAGTGAAAGTGGCAAAGGGTTTGGCCTGGTAGACTCTTAAAACCTTGGAAAATGCCACATGGGATAGATGACGGATTAGAATGTATACACATGTATACTTTGATTTCAACTGCCACCAAATGAAAACCATTTGTTTTCCTATTTTAACTTGGCCTTTTTTCTTCAATTCAAACCCAGCATAACTCCTCAAGTTTGTTTTGGGAACTTGAATAAAATATTTTCTTTGATACATCCAAGCTCTACTGATACTTTAACTGGATGCTACCCAATATCCAGTTATAATCAGGCCTCAACGTTCTGTCAGGTATTAATATGGTTAGAATTGTTCTTACAACTGGTAATTATAGTCAATAGAGATAAAACAGATGATGTACTGACAAATTTTTGTGAACTTAGATTTTAAAGAAAGTTGTTGTATAATCATATCATTTAAAAATACTACATTAGGGCTGGGCATGGTGGCTCACACCTGTAATCCCAGCACTTTGGGAGGCCGAGGCAGGTGGATCACGAGGTCAGTTCGAGACTAGCCTGGCTAATACAGTGAAACCCCATCTCTACTAAAAATACAAAATTAGCCGGGCATGGGGGCGCGCACCTGTAGTTCCAGCTACTCGGGAGGCTGAGGCAGGATAATTGCTTGAACCCAGGAGATGGAGGTTGCAGTGAGCCAAGATTGCCCCACTGCACTCCACCCTGGGCAATGGAGTAGGACTCTGTCTCAAAAAAAAAAAAAATAATGGATCTTATAAAGTACTTGTGTGGAGCTTTGATTCCACAGAATAAAAGATATTTTGTGTGTAGATCTTCAAGTCTGATTTTTTTTTCTTTCATGTATGCTTAAGGTTTTTTAGTCCTAGAGAAGACCAGATTTCAATTAAATGTTTTCTTATCTTAATTTTAGGTAGAATATTAACATATACAAATCAGTATGCTTTTTAGGAAATTAGAACATTTCAGGTTTTTCATGGAAACTGATTTAATGTTCTTTAGTGTTAATATTGTGTGGCCTAATATAGTATCATGCAGCATTCCCCGGAGTGTGTTCTTCAGTATCAGTTTCCTCTGGATGCTTGGTTAAAAAAAATAAATTGTGTTCACATCGATTTGGGAAATGCTACATACTTGAAGATTTACAAAAGATTTTAGTTTAGGATTAGAATAGTCCTACAGGGTTCCAGCAGCAAAGAAACCTGTTTAGCGTCTACTCTTTGAAACTAGTTTTCTGAGAAATGATTTTTAGTTAAATCTGTCTTACTACAGTTTGCTAAATTCATTTTTATTTTACTTTTAGTTAAGCAATCTAAACTTAGCATTCCCTCTGAATTTCACTATAATCAGATTAACCATCTCATATGTTAACTGGAACAACCAAATACTTACTGAGTGCCTAGTATGTGGGCCAGGGACTTTCCAGATGCTTGGGACAGATTGAATAAGATAAGATTTCTGCTCTCATAGGGCTGAGAGCTGTGTATCTGTTTAGAAGAAGATGTTAACTTCCCAGGAGAACTCAAGTAAAATGTGAAATAGAATAAGGCCACTTGGTCATGAGGTCACAAACTTTGTGCCAGGCACACTGCTAAATTGGGGCACAATACATGGACATGTATTGTAATAAAGAGGACATGACCCAAATGTTTCAGAAAATTTAAGCTTATAAAATTTGATGCCAGTAAACTCTTGGAATTGTTTAAATATAGTAGACTTTTCTTATTTTTCTCAATAGTTTATTGAAAAGTTGGTAGATAACTTTAAATGCTTAAAATTTCTTAACAGCTAAGAAAGATATGAATTGAAAGATGTCATTCATGATCTTTGTTGCCTTTGGTGTAGGTATGAATAACACTAGCATTTGTGAGGGAAAAGTGAATATGTACATTTTTATTCATAAAATAAAAAAAATTGCAAACAACCAGTTAAGCCACTGACAATATCAGCCTAAATACAGTAGCTGAATTATTTATGTTTTTTTTTTTTTTTTTTTTGAGATGGGGTCTCACTCTGTCACCCAGGCTGGAGTGATTGGCACAAGTGTGGCTCCGCTGCAACCTCCACCTCCCAGGCTGAAGCGATTCTCCCACCTCAGCCTCCCCAGTAGCTGGGACTACAGGTGGGTGCCACCACGCCCAGCTAATTTTTGTATTTTTGTAGAGACAGGGTTTCGCCATGTTGCCCAGGCTGGTCTCAAACTCCTGGACTCAAGTAATCCACCTGCCCCAGCCTCCCAAAGTGGTGGGATTACATGCGTGAGCCACCACACCCGGCCTAATGTAGACATTTTTTATGATTTTTGGAAAAGGGGGCCAGGCACCAAATTCTAACAATTTGGGAGGCTGAGGCAGATGGATCACCTGAGGTCAGGAGTTTGAGACCAGCCTGACCAACATGGTGAAACCCTGTCTCTACTAAAAATACAAAGTTAGCTGGGCATGGTGGCAGGTGCCTGTAATCCCAGCTACTTGGGAGGCTGAGGAAGGAGAATCGCTTGAACCTGGGAGGCAGAGGTTGCAGTGAGTCAAGACCACACCATTGCACTCCAGCCTGAGCAAGAAGAGCGAAACTCCATCTCAAAAAAAAAAAAAAAAAAAGTCTACATTCGTGATATTACACAGTTGGCACTTATTTACATTTTGGCAGCATTGTCAGGTAGAGACCAATGCCAGGGTTATGTTCATGTTTTCTGTGGCTGATAACCTCTAATTTGATTCTGTTGATAGTAGCTTTGAGCTTTCATCCAGAGCCTCTCTGATGTTAGGATTTTCACTTCATTGTGTCCAGTCATGAAGTTTGTCCATTCAGGATTTAACTTGAAAGTTAACAAAATCAAAAATCAAAGCACCATTACCAGAAAACATATTTGGGAATCATGTTCTCAAGTGTCACATGGCCTCTGGAAAGGCGACTGCTGAAGAGAAGTTTACTGACACAGTGTTGTCAGTACCCTCTAAGGCACTGAGTTCCTGAACACTACCAGCAAGATTCTCCCCACCTCCAAATATTGGCAGGAAATTTAGACTAGCATTTCAAAATTAGTGCAGGGGTATGGTCACATCTTTGGCACTTTATTTTTAAAGATTACAAATCGAGAAGTATAGCATAGTCCTTTTATCTTTTAAATAATTAGCTTATTTTTTTGAAATTTGTCATCTTTTTGACTGACATTTTCCAGAGAATTGCTGTAAAGCCACAAGATGGAGCTCAAGCTAAGCACCAAATCATTTTGGAATTAGATTGAGTGAGCTAAATCACATTAGGAATTGAATGTAACACTTTTTGTGTTTTAAGAAATTAAGTCTGAAATCAAAATATAATTTAAAGATGATCAAAACTGCTTCAAGTATTAACTCATTTAATCTGCCCAGCAATCTCATGAGTTTGGTACTAATGTTATCTGAGTTTGGTACTAATGTAATCTCTGTTTACACATGGGGAAACTGAGGCACACAGGCCATACAACTAAAACTGAAATCTGGGATTCAAATTTAGGCAGTGTGGCTCTAGAGCCTATACTCTTACAATGCCATTCTGCCTCTCAAGGATGTGCAAACTCTTGCTAAGAGAGAAAGGTGATTTTAGGATAGAATACCTATTTTTGGGTCAACCTGTGATAGATTGGGTTCATGTGGGCTCAGGATCAGATAAAGAGCAGGTTTAAGTAGAATAATGATGTACAGAACCCTCCTCAAATCTCTAGGCCTAAGGCAGACTGGATTTCCTCAGGTGACACTTCATTAGGAATGGGCTGACCAATCCAAAAGGGGAAGGTGTAGGCCATGATCAGTAGTTGCCCAAGGTACTAATCAGAGAAGAAATGCAAACTGCAGTTGAAGCTCTAAGGTAGAATCAAGTAGTGGTTTTGACCACATCCTATTTTCTACTGTCACATTAGTGTAGATATCTCTTCCCACTATGTAATTCACATGCTACATCAAATAAGGATGCAGCAGTATATATTTGCTTATTAGGAAATTCAGATATTTTCAAAATTTGGATCCGTGTTTCTGGAATATGGCTTAAGAGTTGGAGAAGAAAAATAGCTATAAATGACTTGAATCAAATATCTGAAATGGACTGGTGGTGATGGTGAGGGGCAGCAATGTGTAATTTAGGGAAGTGCTGACCACAACATAAAATTGGGAGGAATCTAAGGCATTGCCAAATTTATAAATACTACAATAGAAATGCAGATGCTAAGCTGTTGGCTAATCTTACTAGTTAAGTGACTAACTTCTGATGCCATCTGGCAGAGTGATTCAAATTTGTGCTAAACACAAAATATATGTCTTTTTCCCTCTATTTGCCTGCATGTATTAATAAAAACACTGTTGCAGTAGACACATACCAATTTTACAAGGAAATGTTTAGGGGTGAGGTGGGACTGTTAAATACTTACATCAGGTCAAAGGTCACTCTGCTGTTTCCAGAGGACTGTCAGGTAGCCAGGAGGCCCAGGGCCACTTTTGGGCCTGCTTACAAAACCCTAAATTTTCCGCAGTTGAATGCCAAGAGTCTTTTGCAGTTATTTTAGAGCAGGGGAGAAAATACAATGTGTTGCCAAATAAGCTTAATTTGGTAGGCAAGCAGTAAAAATAACCCAACAGCCAACATTTAGAGAATGCGTACTCTCTTAAATGCTTTATGTATATTATTTAATCTTTAAAACACTGTGGGATCAATACTTTAATTATCCCTATTTTCAGATGAGAAAACAGTTTGAAAGGTTAACTAAATTTACCCAAAGTCATGCAACTGCTAAGTAGTGAGCAAGCCGCCTGTCCCAGAGTATAGAATGAATACCTATGATGGAAAGCTACAGAGAGACAGACTTTTATTTGATTTAAGGAAGCGCCTTCTAACCAAGATTTTGGGAGCTGAAATGGGCACCTTGGGATCCTTGAGGTGTCAGTCTAAGGTGGACAGGCATTTGGTTGGAATGTAGCAAAATGGATTCAAACACTGTAGAGTTATCCTTCAGAATCTATCGGGGATTGGTGCCAGGATCTTCACAGATACCAAAATCCACAGATGCTCGAATCGCTTACATAAACTGGTGAAATATTTGCATATAACCCATGCCCATCCTCCCATATATAGTCATATGTCACTAAATGACTGGGATGTGTTCTGAGAAGTGTGTCACTAGGTAATATCGTTAATCATTGTGTGAATATCATAGACTGTACTTACACAAATCTAGAGGGTATCGTCTACTACACTTAGGCTATGTGATATAGCCTATTGCTTCTAGGCTACAAATTGGTCAAGCAAGTTACTGTACTGAGTACTGTAGGCAATTGTATCACAATGGGAAGTATTTGTGTATCTAAACATAGAAAAGGTACAGTAAAAATACAGTATAAAAGATAAAAAAATGGTACACCTGTACCACTTATGAATAGTGCTTGGAGGACTCGTGCTTGGGGTGAGTCAATGAGTAAGCCATGAGTGAATGTGAAGGCCTCAGACATGACTGTATACTGCTGTATATTTTTTTTTTTTTTTTTTGAGACGGAGTTTCACTCTTGTTGCCCAGGCTGGAGTACAATGGCGCAATCTCAGCTCACCTCAACCTCCACCTCCTGGGTTCAAGCAATTCTTCTGCCTCAACCTCCCGACTAGCTAGGATTACAGGCATGCACCACCACGGCCGGCTAATTTTGTATTTTTGGTAGAGATGAGGTTTCTCCATGTTGGTCAGGCTGGCCTTGAACTCCTGACCTCAGGTGATCCACCTGCCTCAGCCTCCCAAAGTGCTGCGATTACAGGCGTGAGCCACTGTACTCGGCCTGCTGTAGGCTTTATATACACTGTGCACTTAGGCTACATAAACTTATAAAAAACTTTCTTCAATAATAAATTAACTTTAGCTTCCTGTAACTTTTTTACCTTATAAACGTTTTAATTTTTTAAACTGTATAACCCTTTTATCATAACACTTACCTTAAAACACAAATACATTGTACAACTGTACACAAATATTTTATATTTTTATAAGCTTTTTTCTATTTCCACAATTTTTAATTTTTTAATTTCTTTTTTTACTTCTTAAGTTTTTTTGTTAAAAACTAAGACACAAACACATTAGCCTCCATCTACACTGTCTTCCACCTCCACAGCTTGTCCCACTGCAAGGCCTTCAGGGGCAATAACAGGCATGGAGTTGCCATCTCCTATGAGAGCAACACCTTCTTGTGCAATACCTTCTGGAGGACCTGCCTGAGGCTGTTCACAGTCAACTTTTTCTTTAAGTAGAAGGAGTACACTCTAAAATAAAAAGTATAGTAAAGCCATAAACCGTAGTCATTATTATCAAGTATTATGAACTGTACATAATTGTATGTGCTATACCTTTATATGACTGACAGCACAGTAGGTTTGTTTACACCAGCATCACCACAAACACGTGAGTAATGCATTGCACTGTGATGTTAAGATGGCTACAGTGTCACTGGGCCATAGGAATGTTTCAGCTCTACTGTAATCTTATGGGACCACTGCCTATATTGACTGAAATGTCATCATGCAATGCATGACTGTACTTTAAATCATCTCTAGATTACTTATAATACAATGAAAATGCTATGTAAATAGTTGTTATACTGTATTTAGGGAATAATGATAAGAAAAAAAGTCGGTACATGTTCAGTACAGATGCAACTGTAGTTTTCTTTTGAATATTTTTTATCTCAGGACGAAGCCCCAAATGCAGAATTCATAGATACAGAGGGCCAACTGTTCTTGGAATTTGGGTTGAAAGCTGTTAAAGTTCTTTTCAGCCAAAAAAAAATGCCTCGTAATAAATTGTCATGTTTGAAATGTATCATGCTTGTTTTGCTCTACATAGTTTTTTGGTACTACATAACTGTAGACTTAAGTATCTTTTTGGTGGAAATAAAATATGAAATCTCTTTAATTTTGTTAATGTTAGGTCTGGTATTCGTTCCATTAAGTTCCACTTTAAAGTATGGAAAAATGTTATAAACATCTGCTTTAAACAATGAATGGTACTGCAATAGTCCTGTAAAGAAAAATGAATGGAGTAAAGTCCTTCAAGTTTTCATTTAAAGAATGGCATAGCTTTATAATACATTAAGTTTTTAATATGCGGAATGTATTTAATATCCTAAAGCGATGAATTGTCTTGGCATTATGCTATCTTATGAAACACTTTCTTACTCTCACATTGTGTCTTTATAGTTTTCAATATCAGCAAAACCTTTAAATAGTCTTAGTTGGGTGTTGTGTATCATTGTACAGCAACTGTTAGTACATGTGGTATTTCTGATCCATGTAATAAAGTACATTTGTCATGTATCTTGTGATCTGCATACCTTTCAGCTGTTACTTCATAAATCTGTTCCATCAGAGAACTGCTTTGTACAGCAGTGGTTGAAGCTGCTTTTAAGAAAGTAATATTTTGTGTCTTTTATATGTAATCAACAGGGAGTATTACAGACTTGTGCCTCTGTGGAGAAACTTTCCACTAAACTAGTTTTCTCTTGACAATAATGGAAAAAAAATTGCATGGGAAAAGCACAGATGTTCAAGAACATATGTTGTTTGCTCCTAAAAGTCATCTTTTGTATTATTCTGGATATATTTTTTTTAATGCTTTAGAGAAGAAATGGTTTGAGATATGTGATCAGGAGAAGACAGTTACAAATCTTATTGAGAGACCAACATTGGGTGCTATTTGTTAAAATTCTAAAATGCCTCTCCTTGCTCTCACAAAGAGATAATGTTCTTGAGCAGAGCTGTAGGCAGTTGGCTAAGAATTGGTCATTCCCACATGCTTCCTTCCTTAGACATACACACTCTGCTTCAGTTTTAGTCTTTGTTCTGTCCCAAACTTCAAATTAGCAGTGTCTTCACAAAAGCAGGTATTTAATAATTCAAGTAAAAAGTGATTGCCTTTAGGCCCTTTTGCCCCTTGAGTTACTGGATATTGTCTTCCTTGAGCTGTAGAAATTTGCTCAATGAGTCAGATCTCTACAGACTGGGCAATTGATTATTGATAAATGCATAGGAAAATATTATTGGAAAATGCTTAAGGGAGCTGTATGCCTTACGTGGGGTTGGTATGGACATCCTTTATAAGCCTATGAATCTTTGAGAAGAGTTGCCATAAAGAGAATGGGAACCAGCTGTTCCAAATCTCCACTGAGGAAATAGGTATTAACTTAGCAGAAAGGATTTGGGTTAAATGTAAAAAAGAACTTCCTGAATGTGAGTGTTATTTAAAGCCAGGTGTGGATTGAAAAGAGGTCGTTTGAGTTGTCTCTAGAGGACAAATGGAGCATGCGAGAAAGAAATAGAAGGGGCAGGGAGAGAGATTAATGCCCATTTAATTGAGATGGCTTAAATGTAATTCTTCCCAATGGCTCCGAGGCCTTTTTTCTCCTTTCTGACACCCACACCCCAGGTTATGATGTTTACAAGGTCAGAACTGAAGAGTCTGCTTTAGTCATTAGAACCAAAGTGCTACAGGACCCCTAGGTCTGGAGGTCCTTTCCATGTAATTCTTACTTGAAAGGAAATGCTAAGGTGTGACCAATGGATGAGGAAACGGATCTATGCTTAATTTTCCACCCTTGTCAGTGTACACACTCACAGTGCCAGGAAGGGATTTGATATTTAGCCATTACTGGAAAGGCAAGTGACTGGTAGGCTGAGACCACTTGGGCTTGGGATGAGTGGAGGGCTGAGGAGGGATGGCTGCCAAGCCGTTGCTGGACATGTGTCAACTGGCCATTTTGAACAGGAAATTTCTAGAAGTTGCAGATCAGACTTGGCACCTGGAATTCCAGGAAGCAGAGACTGAGAGGACAGGAAAAATGACCCTTTGCTTTTTGTTTTCTCCTGCCTGTCACTGTGTCCTGCCCCTGCTCCCATTTGGTGCTTTCCTTTCAGGAATTGTTATAAATTCTTTTCTTTGGATTCCTTTACTTTTAGCCTTTCTCCTTCAGTCTGTTTTTCTTATAGGTTTTTAAATTTTTTAAAAAAAATAAATCTTGATTGATTTTTTTTGAGACAGGGGCTCACTCCGTCACCCAGACTGGAGTGCAGTGGCATAATCACAGCCCTCTACAGTCTTGACCTCCCAGGCTCAAGTGATCCTCCCACCTCAGCCTCCTGACTAGCTGGGACCACAGGGGCATGACGCCATACCTGGCTAATTTTTTTCATTTTTTTGTAGAGACGGAGTCTTGCGATGTTGCCCAAGGTGCCTGGGCTCCAGTGATCCTCCTGCCATGGCCTCTCAAAGTACTGGAATTACAGATAGAAGCCATTGCACAATAAAAGATTTAAGGCTGCAAGTCAAACATTAAAAAAAAAAAACACCAAATTTAGTTATAAGTGCTTTTTGTTTATAAATAACCCCTAGCATTTTTCTTTGTGGCCCAATGACAATAATAGAAACAGGTTTCATGCTTCTGTGCTGTTTCTCTTTATCACTTTTTCTCTTTCTTCCTCTTCATTTCCCTCTTTTTTTTTTTTTCTTTCTGCATTGGCCTCTTCCGTGTGAGTATTAACTCTAATTTCCTCCTTGGGCTCAAGTCACTACTCTTCTTGCATTTTCTCTCTATCTCCCTCCCACTCATTCCTCCCATACACCTCAGTCTTTCCACTCATTATGTTTTTCTTACTCTTCCTTTTCACCCTTATCTTCTAATAACTGGATTCAATGTGAACTGAAAAAATGCTTTACAACAGGTGTAGGTGCTATGGTTTGAGTGAGTCCCTCAGAATTCATGTGTTGGGAATTTTGTCCCCAGTTTGCTAGTGTTGGGATGTGGGGCATTGAAAAGGTGACTAGGTCATTAAGTGGGATTAATGCTGTTCTCGAGGGGCTGAGTTAATTCTCGAGTGAGTGAGTTTTCCCTCTCCTGAGACTGGATTAATTACTGCAAAAGCAGGTTGTTATAAAGCTAGCCCACCTCTTTGTACACAGGCTCACTTGCCCGTCCTCTTTTCTGCCATGCTATGGAGCAGCAAGAGGCCCTCACCAGATGCGCTAACCTGATCTTGGACTTTCCAGCCTCCAGAACTCTGAGCTAAGTAAATCACTTTTCTTTATAAATTATCCAGTCTCAGGTATTCTGTTATAGCAACAGAAAATAGACTAAGATAGTATGCAAATGGGCTGGCCCTTTGTTTTTGTAAAAAAGTTTTATTGGCACAAAGCCATGTCCACATGTCCATGAATTGTCTGTGAATAATTTGTGCTACAAAGGCAGAACTGAATAGTTGTGACAGAGATTCTTGTATAATCAGCAAAGCCTAAATTAAAATTTGGCCTTTTAAGAAAAAGTTTGCAGACTGCTGCTTTAAAATATTTTCTATAGCAAGAAGTACCACTACTGAAAAGAAAAATGAAAAGTAAAAAAATAAAATATTTTCTGTTTGTTAAATGAAGGCTTTTGTTCTTTATTTGAAAATTCAGGTGAGTTGGATCTGGTTTTATGTTTCCATCCTGTTGCATTTTATATTTGGAGAATCCCTCCAAGTTTCTTATTGGAAGGCAGTTGTATTAAAAAAAAAAAAAATAGACAAGCTTACCCTCACTCTGTATCAATGCAAGGCAGGTGGTACCAAAAGGTTGTTTGTATGTTTAGGTGTGTTCCCCATCTGCCACCTCAACTAAGCTTCTTTTAGTCTTTGGACTTAAAAAAAAAAAAAGATTGTCCCATTGTAGAGCTTTTTTCACAAATCTCATAACTCACTTTTCCCTTAAGTCTACAAACAATTTTTGAAAATGTTAAATGCTGGAGAAAGAACTCTGTTTTAATTTAATATGGCACCTAGAATACTGGCACATGTAAAGACATTCCAATTTAGTTTGATTTGGTGGGTGGTCTAGCTGAAAATACACTTACAGGTTGGTTTCATTAATAGGAAATTAATATGGACTAAAATAGTCATAGCATTTAAGGCTGGAAAACGTTTTAGAGATCATCTATTTTAACTTGTGCTTCTTAACAGATGAGGAAACTGAGGCCAATTTCCCCAAGAGGTTAGTAGTTCATGGCAGAGACCAGGAGCCCAAGAGTCTTTGTATTCACAGACCAATCTTTTTCAAAACCATAAATAGGTGACAATTAACCACACAAATAATAACATTTGGACTAATGTCAAAATTAATTGTATTCTTTTCTATAAAAGAGGGGTTGTTAAATAAAGCTATGGTGTGTGACTAGTGATCTTTTCTGTAGGTCTGTTTCTGCCGTAGTTAATAACCAATCCTTTCCCATTGGTGGCTGTGCCTCTTTGTTCCACAGGTAGTATAACATCTTTTACTTGAAACAAAACAAAACAGCAGTAACAAACTTCCCCCCTCCCCCATGCCCTCCATCAAAGGCCAGATTTTTTTTGTTTTTGTCTCTACTCTTTCCCTTCTAATTCATCTTGTGTGGTTGTCAACTTCTTTTTCTTTCCATAACTTTTGTTGTTTTTTCTCATAAAAGTAACACATGTATGTTGGAGAAAATTTTAAAACCCAAGAAAGTATAAATGAAATAAATAATTCATAATCCAACCACCCAGAGAATGTGTAGCTCTGTGTATATTTTCATAATTGTCTTAATACTGTATAATTTTATATTCTGCTTTCTTAACTTTATATCATGGGGATTTTTTTCCCATGCTGCTGGAAATTTTTTAAGAGTGTTGTTTGAAAAGTTCCCTCATTCTGTCTTGTGATAAACTATATATTTTTTTATTTGTCTACTTTTGGACATTTAATTTTTTTCTGAAAAAACTTTTTATTTTTGCTATTAAAATACTTCTCTGTAATATTAATGACCTTACATGTAAGTCTAATCCTTATCTGATTATATTCTTGAGGAAGGGTTCTAGAAGAGTATGAACTTTTCTTTAAGACTCCTTATCTGTATTGCCAAACTGCTCTCCTGAAAGGCTGAAACAATTAGTAATCCTTCCAGGAGTGAGTGAGTGCTTGTCTGGGGTACCCTTGAAGGGTTGTAAAATTTAAGCCTTTTAAAACATTCCTTTCAGTAAGTCATTCTCCTGCTAGGAAACTTCCCATGGCTGCAAGACCAAATTGAAGCTTCTTAGCATACTCTCTTCCATTTCTTCACTTCCAGTTGATTTCACAACCACTGCAATCTGGCAGGTCTAACATTATATTGATGTCTAATACCAGGAGTGACAAATTGGTACCCTTGCCCTGGAGAGACTTTGTACAGTGTTCTGCTTTGTTTTTTTGATGAGATTGTTGCCTTTAGATGGGTCAGACACTTCTAAAGTGATCTCTAGCTAGACAGTCCCTTTTGTTTGACACACACTGACCGGCCCTGGGAGGAAACTGCCTTAGGTAAACCCATGCCACTTACGCTCTGTAATCTCTTTTCCTCACACACTCCATGGCTGTCACTGCCAGGGCATCTTGGCTTCTACTGCTTTTTCCTGAGAGAAAACAGTAGATATTTTATTGTGGTAAAATATACAAACATAAACATTTATCTTTTTAACGATTTCTAAGTGTGCAATTCAGTGGCATTAAGTACCTTCACAGCGTGGTGCAATCATCACCACTGTCACTACTGTTTCCAGAATTTTTTATCATTTCAAACAGAAACTCTGCACCCATTAAACAATTACCCCCCATTCTCCCCTCCCTCCACCCCTAGTCTCCACTATTCTGCTTGCTCTCTCTGAATTTGACTACTCTAGATACCTCATATAAAGGGAATCATGGAATATTTGTCCTTGTGTGTCTGGCTTCTTTCACTCAGCATCACGTTTTCAAGGTTCTCTATTATCCATCTTGTAGTATGCATCAGTACTTCATTCCTTTTTAAGGCCAAGGAATATCTCATTGTATGCATATATCACACATTGTGTATCAGGTTATCTGTCAATGGACAGATATATATTCTTCTGATTATTCCTCTGAGATGATTTTGAGGCCCACAGTGCCAGCTCACTCAAATTTCCCATTCTGAGAACTCTTTTTTTGTTGGTCTACCTCAATGTCATATAACAAGTGACAAAAACATAAGGGGCTGGGAGCAGGAAGGAGCAAAGGGAGATTCACAGGCTGTATGAATGTGATAATGATAAATTTTTACTTTTTTTGTAAAAAAAGAATGATTTAAAAAAACTCTTGGTAAACAATTATGACATAGCATTCACATTTTTGGTAGCAGATTTCAGGTGTTTTCAATACTTTTCAACTGATACAAATAGCTTTTTTCATTTGGAGAGTTGGTGGTGGGAGATGCACAGAGACCCTCAATGCTTTACTTATGCTGACTTGTGACATCTATTATTATTATTATTATTATTATTATTATTATTATTATTATTTTTGAGATGGAGTCTTGCTCTGTCACCCAAGCTGGAGTGCAGTGGTGCAATCTCAGCTCACTGCAACCTCTGGATCCTGGGTTCAAGCAATTCTCCTGCCTCAGCCTCCTGAGTAGCTGGGACTACAGGCATGTGGCACCAAGCCCGGCTAATTTTTTTTGTATTTTTAGTAGAGATGGGGTTTTGCCATGTTGGTCAGGCTGGTCTCGAACTCCTAACTTCAGGTGATCTGCCCACCTCGGCCTCCCAAAGTGCTGGGATTACAGGCGTGAGCCACCACACTCGGCCATGACATCTATTATTTTGTTTGATGGTTTAACTTCTGAATTTTGGGGGGTTGTATATTTCATAACTTTGGCACTATATTTTAAGTTTCTCCAGGGAGGAGACCATTCTGTGGTTTGATACATCCTACATTAAAATCAGATAAAGAACATGCATTTCTTAAAGGACCTGATACATATTTGGAACTCCTTAAAATCTTTCTTTTTACTTTCTGTTTCTTCCAGCATTACCCAACATGATATCACACAGATAGCAGTCATCCCATAGTTTACTACTTAATAAATTGGTTAGTCTATTGATTCCAGCTTTCCAAAGGGCCTATTATTTTAAAATATTTGACACTAGAATATTTGAACTATTTATCTTCCCTATAACCACTGATATTCTAATTATGATATATTCGGTCCTGATCTTGAGCTATCACACAAAGTTATCAATTTCTAACAACCCTGCATAATGAAAAGATTTCAGGAGCAGAAGATGAAATTTTTTCTTGCCAAATTATATCTTTCTCTGTGGGCCTGTAGTAATTTGCATTGCTGGTTTACGTAGTACAATATTTTAGTGTGTGCTTATTATACTATCTTAACTCCCTGAGATTTACCAAGGACAAATGTGATTTTAATATTATATTGTATTTCATTTCACAGGTTTGTTTCATAACCTCAATAGTTATTTCTAGTTGTGATTCTGTTTCCTTTCTAAATGTGTTAATAAAATGCTTGCATTAAGATTGGCTTGACTCCAGAATCTGATATGGTCATGCTTCAAGTAAGTGATAAAACTCATGACAATATGGCACTTGGAGATGTTTGAATGCATCCTAACTATACAAGTGGGGAAATTCTTAGGTCCTTACAGAGTTAAATTAAGGTCAGACCTGGTTTCCGACACGAAGTTCAGATGTATTGGCAGATCCCCATGCTTGCATTTATTATACTGTAATTTGGGGCTTAAAGAGTTATATCCAGTCCATCCCCAACATCTGGATAGTGTTTATAACGATCACATTTGATCCTAATGTAATTTTGTTGGGGAATTCACTAGAATTCCTCTGTTGGCTACATTACAACTGAACATGAGATCTGCTAAAATATTACTAAAAAACTAGTGAATATCCATAGAGAATACAAAAATAGTTAGATTTCATCTCCCCTCCCCTTCCCTTCCCCGGCCAATAGCCACTAGCCCATCATACTCCCCTATCTGGGCTTCCTTGTTTCCATTGATAGAATGGGGGTGATGCTTTAATAGCAGCTAACATTTGTCAAGGGTTTTGAATCCTGAAAAGCAGAGCAGGCACAAAAATCTTTCAAGGATGATTATTGTATGTGTGCAACCTCAATGGCAGTGTCACAGACTCAACTGATGTAGATGACATGGGCATGATGGCAATTTTTCCTTTCATTTTCATTTTGATTTAGATGCTATTGCATAGAGTTAGGAAGACATTATTTGGGAAAGTAGAGCCAAAGGATTGGTTTTAACCACCCTTCCCCCATCAATGGAAGCCCCAAATGAATCAAACGGAACCTTTTAAGGTTGTAAAGGGAGCCTTTAATTATGTGAGATTGACAAGGGGGACATTTGGGAAGTTTGGCAATGCAGTTTCAGGGCCTCCCAGCCCTGCCAGCAGGAAGATTATTAACATATTTCATGTAATTTGTGCATTGCTATGTACCCTCCTCATGAAATAATTTTAGCATTCAAAAAGAGACAGCTGGGAAGAGGAAAAGACAGATAGGGAAGGACAGAGACTGTAAGAGTCTTTAGAAAGGGAAAATTATTTCATTAAATCTAAAGAGCATATGCTTTTCTGATGTATACCATATGCAAGTCTATGCAAATTATTTAATAGCACTGCACTCAGAGTAATTTCCATTTCCTCCCTAGCTTGTGACGGGACTATTCCTTTTAATCAGATTAGATGACATTCTCCGCAAACTTTTGGGGGTTTTAACTTAATTTGCCATGCTAAGTAGTTAGGGTAATTTGAAATAAAGCAATCAGTGGGCAGAAAAGAATGAAGCCAAACCTCGTTTCTGTCTTTGAGATGAGAGGCTGGCCGGCTGTGTGAGCCCCACAGGACTTCTTTCTCTTCTTCTCTCCTGCTCCTCAGCACCTGAGACCTCAGCAGAGTTTCCAATGGTCAGTTGTGTTGTTTTGATGGCACCTAATCAGGTCTGTTTCCCATCCATGGGGCTCGCGTGCGATGCTGCATTCCATTAGGCCTCCACTGTCACAATTTATGGTGCTGCCTCAAGTAATGATGGAAAAATGAATTCACATTCCTTAAAAAATTTTTCACCTGGGGAGGTCGTGGACACCTAAAGGGGTCTTTGAAATGGTCTGAAGGGGCCCTGCAGATATTCCATTCTAGAGGTTCTGGAGAAAGGGAGCTATAATCATCTAGTACCATGGATGGACAAGAGTTATCAAGGAAAGTCCTGGCAGGAAAGAATTCACATGGGACGCACGCCTGAAGGGACAGCAACCGATCAAGGGCGGCTGTGCTGCAGTAGTGCCAGCCCTTGGCAAAACTGTGAAGCTTGTTTTGGGGCATTGCTCACAGTTCTGCAAGCGGTGTGTTTGTTGCACAATCCCAGAGGGTCCATTGTCTTGTAGTCATAGGGCAATCTGTGTGTTAATACCAAATTTTTCCAGCAGATGGCAGTAAAGGGTCTTGAGGAAGGAGTGACTTCTAAAATCTTATCAGGTTGCAGTTTGGACTAGACTAGAGGGCCATCGGCCTTCCCTTTCACGGTTCTCTGTTTTACGGATGGCGGTGTTTGAGGAAAGGGAAGATTTTAATTGCTTAAACGAATTCCCTGCAAAGTGTTAGCAGATGAGGTTTAAATATCATCTATATTAGGGCTGTTAGGGATTTACTAGCCACCAAGATATAAAAGAGAGAACTTTAATGGTGAAATTTCATGCACTGAGACAAAGAGAAAAAATTGCTTTTTCCTTTCTTTCCTTTTTTTCTTCACACCCACCTTCCTTCCAAGACAATGCTTCAGCTGGGATCTTGGTTTTGAGGCACCGAGGTCGGCTCCCAGGATCTGTTCCTGTAGCACATGGAGGCACTTCTTATCAAAGATTTTTGAATGTAAACAGGCTGCAATCAATTAACTCTTTAAAAATTACTAAGGGCAGGCCGGGCGCCCAGCAATTTGGGAGGCTAGGGTGGGCGAATCACGTGAGGTCAGGAGTTCGAGGCCAGCCTGACCAATATGATGAAACCCGTCTTTACTAAAAATACAAAAAAATTAGCCAGACATGGTAGCATGTGCCTGTAATCCCAGCTACTGTCTCAGAGGCTGAGACAGGAGAATCACTTGAATCTGGGAGGCAGAGGTTGCAGTGAGCCGAGATGGCGCCATTGCACTCAAGTCTGGGCAACAAGAGTGAAACTCCGTCTCAAAAAAAAAAAAAAAAAAAAATTACTAACGACATCATATAACCAATCCAGGATCCTTCCTACATGCAGGGAGGAAAGAGGAATAAAGTTTTCTGAGTGCCTATTGGGTCTTTCCTTTCATTATTTTTCTTAATCCTGGATGCCATCCTTTTAGGTGGTTATCATTTTCCTCATTTTACATAGAAGTAAATGGGTAGTCAGAGAAGGTAAGGCACCTCCAGGAAGTCTCCCAGTTAACATGTGGATTCAAATCTTTTATTTATTTATTTTTATTTTATTTTATTATTATTATTTTTTAATAGAAATAAAGATGGATGTCTCACTATGTTGCCCAGGCTGGTCTCAAACTCCTGAGCTCAAGCGATCTTCCCCTCTTACCTCCCAAGGTGCTGGGATTACAGGCGTGAGCCACGGAGCCCTTCCTGGATCCAAATTTTCACCTGTCTGATCCCAAAGCCCAGCCTCATGTCAGTAGAGTGCTCTACCACATAACTACTAAAGATAGGACTAAAGATGACTTCTTTTTTATTATTTTGAGTTTTTTGTTGTTGTTGAATAGGCAAAATATATACATGTACGACAAATTCAAATACACAGTCGCAAATACATTTCTCTGGTTTCATGCCTTGTCTGGGGCCACCCTCCCACAGGCAACCACAGTTATAGTTTCCTATGTAGTCTTTCAGAAACGTTTTGGGCTTTTATAATATAAGCATATACATATATATCCTTTTTTTCCTTACATAAATGGTAGCTCACGAAACACACTGTTGCGTCTGTCTTTTTTCACTTAACAGCATATCTTGGAGGTGGGCTAAATAATTCTCTTTAAGAGCTTCAGAGTTGGAAATACTTTCCATCTTATGTATGTACCATAATTTTATTTAACTGAAATTGATCTATTTAACTGATATATTTATTCAAATGAGATTGATGACCCTTACAAAGATTACATTGTTAAATGACCATATTCCACTCAGTGTAGCCAGCCTTCAAAACCTTGCTGATGAATGAATGCCTCAAAATTGCAATAAGCATATGGCTTCCCAGAGTGACTTAATATCGGGTAAGCTTCTGAAAAGTTTATTTTGTGCTTTAAAAAGTATTCTCATTTCTAACATATGCATTTGCATGTGCACACACATACATTCTCACCACTTGAACCAGAATTAAAGGTTACCAATGAAAGAGACCAGGGTCTCAAGATGTTCAAGAAAAGTGAGCAGTGCTTATTGGATCTTTATCCCTCTTTTATAGTAGTGAGACAATAAAACAGAGTCTGTGGTCTGTCTAAACCTCAACTCAGCTTCTTTGGAGTAGGATGATTTGGATCAGTAAGAATCAAGTAGGAGTAGATCAGCCTTCCGGGAGAGACAGAGAAGGAAATCACAAAAGAAGCAATTCTATAATCTCTATAGATAAAGAAGGAAATTCCTTTTTAATCCAGTAAACTTTAAGCTATTTAGATAGAAAGAGTCTTTTCATGGCTAATGTGAATGCCAGTCTGCTTTCTATGTTGACACCTTATGAATTGTAACTCTAAAAGTGCTCATCATGGACGAGGTTCTCTACAAAATTTAAAAAAAAATTAGCCAGGTGTGGTTGTGCACACCTTTACTACCAGCTACTCAAGAGGCTGAGATTGGAGGATTGCTTGAATCAAGGAGTTTGAGGCTGCAGTGAGCTATGATCACGTCACTGCACTCCAGCCTGGGAGACAGAGAGAGACTCTCTCTAAAATTTTCTTTTTTTAAAAAAGGACCCAGGAGTTCCTTAAAAGATGGAATTTATATCCCATTAACTTTGTATGCTCCCCAGAAGTTATAGGAAGCTTCTCTGTGTATGTGTGTGTGTGCACGTGCACGCGCGCGTCTGTGTGTGTGTGAGAGAGAGAGAGACAGCGAGAGAGAGGAGAGAGAGAGAGAGACGGAAACAGAGACAGACAGAGAGAGCACACAGCACTTATTCTCCCAATATCCACCTGTATTTAATGACAGGCCCTGTCTAGGAATTTCCAAGATGTCAGTGGGATATCCATGATGATGAGACTTTCCAATATTCCACATAGTTACGTACATTTCTTCCTTTGTTGTATACTCTCTATTCAAATGGCAAATCTATTTGCCCTATTTCCCAGAGCTGACTTAACCCATTGCAAGCAGCAATTTGATTTGGAAGTCTAGGATCAAGGTTGGTATCCTCCAGCAACAACTGTTCCTACTGCTCCTCCCCACACCGTGGGATTATTCACACCACATGCACTCCATCTCTGTACTCGTCCCTTGCCCTCTTATCTTAAGGCTGTGATACAAACCTCTGGATGGGTGGAGGCCTCTTGCCTTTTCTGGTTGCAAAGGATCTCAGAAATAATGACACTAAAGCAGAGGGGGCAGACAATGACCTCCAATTAACTTGAAGCAGAAGCTGCCAGAATGGAGGAGATACAGGTGAAGCAGTGAACAAATGGCATGAACTGGATGATACAGAATCATGAAATTTTAGATTTGGAAGAAACCTTAGAGGTCATCTAATCTAGTGGCTCTAAAGCATGACCATGGGCGTGGACTGAGAAATATTCACACACACACACACACACACACACACACACACACGCATGCATCAGCAGGAACAAATTTTTGCCACATCATGCAGGTGGAAGAAATGTTACATCTATTTAAATCAAGTAAAGTCAGGTCGGATCAAGGTAGGGAGACTCTCCTTTTCTTTGGGTGGTATAAGTGTTTCTGGGGGACTTGTGTAACTGGGGACACAGTTAACTGAAATGATGTTGCATGAGGAGCTCAGTGGCTTATAATAATAAGCCAGCAAGCTTATTATTGTTATAACAATCAGCTCAAACTCAGTGGCTTATAAAAATAAGCATTGCTTTCTTATGCTCACAGGTCTGCTGGTTAGATGAGGGCAGATAGGTTTAAACTATACATTGGGTTCAGGTGTGCCCCATGAGTCTTTCATTCTCCCTCAATCAGCAGCTATCCAGGACATGTCCTTTTCAAGGAAAATGCCAGGAATGCAAGAGATAAAAGAAACAAGGCAAGTCCACTTCAAGCCTCTGTTTCATTCATACCTACCAACACAAGTCACATACCCAAGCCCAGTGCGGGGGTGGGAAAGTACCTTCACCCACAGTGGGAGGGCGCTGTGAAGCTGCATGGCAAGTGGCATGGATGTATAGCCTTCTTACAGGTTAATAAATGTCTTAGTCCATTTGTGCTGCTATAACAAAATACCTGGATGATTTATAGGGACTTGGTGATTTATAAATCCTAGAAATTTATTTCTCACACTTCTGGAGGCTGGGAAGCCAAAATCAAGGCACTGGCATCTGGTATCTGGTGAGGGCTGCATTATCTAGAGGGGAAGAGTGCTGTGTCCTCACATGGCAGAAGGTGGAAGTGCAAGAAGGAATGAACTCCTTCTGTCAAGCCTCTTTATAAGGGCACCTAATCCCACTGGAAGGGACACATTCCAACTATGCCAGTGGAGAGTTGGACTTATAATGCCACTCTTCATCTGGATTCCAAGACACTTCACTCATGGTTTTCTGCCTGTCTCACTGGAGCTTCCCTCTCAATTTCCTTTGTGGCTCCTTCTTCTCTCCACAAGCACTCACCATTGGAGAGTCCCAGGGCTCATTCCTTTCCATTGACTACTCTCATAGCTGTAAATACTGAGGACACCCATGGTTCCATCTCCGACCAGCTCTCCTGAGCTCCAGAGGCAAAATCCCCTTGAATGTCTAACAGATGTCTCAAACTCAAGTGTGTCCCTTCCAAAATTGCTCTACCTACAGCCTTCTCTCAAAGTGGAAAATCCATCCTCCAATCATTTAGGCCAACATCCTTGGAGTCATCATTGAATCTTCTCTTTCTCTCACATCTTTATACAATTTCTTGACAAATGTGATTGGTTCTACTTTCAGAACTGAATCAGCATCTTACCACTTTTTAGCATCCTCACTAATTACCATCTTTGTCTACGCCATGGTCATCTCTCATCTGGACCACTAAGATAGCCTCCAAATAGGTCTCCTTGTTCTTACTTTGCCGACCTATTGTCTACTCAGAGCGATCCTTTTGGAATGTAATTCATATCCAGTTATCTTCTGCTCAAAACCTCATTCCATCTAAACTAAAAGCCCAAATCCTTACAATGCCCTATCATTTTTCTACACTTTATTTCTCTGACAATCATCTCCTGCTGTTCTCTTCTTCACTTACTCTGCTCCAGCCATTCTGGACTCCTTGCTGTTTCTTAAACATATCAGCCATACTCTTGCTTTAGTGACATAGCTTTCTCTTTCTCAAGAACTTGTCCTCTAGGTATCTGCTGCTCTCAGATATTTGCCCCAGATATCTCTCTCACCTGCTAATCTTTGCTGAATGTTGCCTTCCTAATGGGACCAACTCTGGCCAATACATTTAATATTGCAACCTGACACCCCTCCCCAGTCCTGCTCTAGTACTCCTGATTCTCCTTAACCTATTCTGCCTTCTCTCTTTTCATAACACTTATCACCTTTAAGCAACATATAACTTACTACTTTATTAGGTTTATTGTTTATAGCAAGACAGTTTGTTTGAAAGGCAGAGGTAAGGCATATCTTTTTTGTAGTCATGCAAAGATTCCATATTTGTTAGCAGTGGCCTTCACTTGGTGCAAATGCACAATAACTTATAGAGTCTACTTCTTTTTCTCATTCACCCATGATAATAAAAGTAGAACTATTTGGTGTTTAGGCAATTGTAAATGTGGGCTCTGAAAATTTCAAAGACATTGCACATATGGACACTGACATCAGTCAATTAAATCTGATCATGCTAATAAGAGAATATTAATTTTATTATAGTTTAAATGAAAACACACAAAGATAACTCCAGAGAGCTCTCTGGACCTCCAAGAATACATCTATGGACCCTGATTTTGGAAAACACTGACCTATGAAATAATTCCTAAGCAGATTAAAAGGTCACCCAAAATAAAGCCCTGAGTGTGAAGTTTCTGGAATGTTTCTAACACTGACACTTGTTCACTTTGTGAAACAAAACATGTCATGCTATTCCTCCTGCCACCCACAGATCAAGTTCAGAGTATTAGATAAGCAGGTTGAAAAGAAAAAAGGAAACTAGTATTTATTAATCATCTAATAAATGCTAAGTGTTTTTGTATATACTGTCTCATTTTTATCATTTCAACAAAACTACTCAATTATTTTCCTATTTTCACAAAACAAAACAAACTCAAAGAAGTCCAATGACTTGCCAAAGGTCACGAAGAAAGTGGTTGGATTTACAAAAAAAGAAAAAGAAAAAGAAAATTTTTTTTTAAATTTTACAAGTTCTAAACTTAACAAGAAGTTGCAAGAATGGTACAAAGCACTCTCTCTGTCTTTATATATATATATATATTTGCTATATATATATATGCTATATATATGCTATATATATATGCTATATATATGCTCTCTCTCTCCCTCTCTCTCTCTCTATATATATATGCTCTCTCTCTCTCTCTATATATATATATATATATTTTTTTTTTTTTTTTCTCAGAGAACTCATTCAAACTTTTCCAGCAAATAATCCAATCTAGGGACACAAGTTGCACTCAGTGATGTCTCCACACCCTTTATACTGAAACAGATCCTCAATCTGTTCATGACTTTGACATTTTTGAAGATTATACATCTGTCATTTTGTAGAATGTCTCTTGATTTGTGCTTTTCTAATGTTTTCTCATGATGAGACCCTGGTATACATTTTTTTACAAGATATCATGAATGCTGTGTTCTTTTCAATGCATCTTACTGACAGGCATGTGATTTTTTTTCCCTCTTACTGGTGGTGTTAACCTTCACCTCTTAATTAAGACTGGTGTATCTTTCCGGCCTCTCTACTGTAAAGTTACTTTTCCCCTTGTTATTAATAAATATTGGGAGGGCAGTTCCAAGATGGCCGAATAGGAACAGCTCCAGTCTACAGCTCCCAGTGTGAGTGATGCAGAAGACAGGTGATTTCTGCATTTCCAACTGAGGTACCGGGTTCATCTCATGGGGCTTGTCAGACAGTGGGTGCAGGACAGTGGGTGCAGTGCACCAAGTGTGAGCGAAAGCAGGGCGAGGCATCGCCTCACCCAGGAAGCATAAGGGGTCAGGGAATTCCCTTTCCTAGCCAAGCAAAGCTGTGGCAGATGGTACCTGGAAAATCGGGTCACTCCCACCCTAATACTGTGCTTTTCCAATGGTCTTAGCAAACGGCACACCAGGAGATTATATCCCATGCCTAGCTCAGAGGGTCCCATGCCCATGGAGCCTTGCTCATTGCTAGCACAGCAGTCTGAGGTCAAACTGCTAGGTGGCAGTGAGGCTGGGGGAGGGGCGCCCACCATTGCTGAGGCTTGAGTAGGTAAACAAAGCAGCCGGGAAGCTTGAACTGGGTGGAGCCCTCCACAGCTCAAGGAGGCCTGCCTGCCTCTGTAGACTCCACCTCTGGGGGCAGGGCATAGCCAAACAAAAGGCAGCAGAATCCTCTGCAGACTTAAATGTCCCTGTCTGACAGTTTTGAAGAGAATAGTGGTTCTCCCAGCACGGAGTTTGAGATCTGAGAAAGGACAGACTGCCTCCTCAAGGGGGTCCCTGACCCCCGAGTAGCCTAACTGGGAGGCACCCCCCAGTAGGGGCAGACTGACACCTCACACGGCCGGGTACCCCTCTGAGATGAAACTTTCAGATGAAAGATCAGGCAGCAACATTTGCCATTCAGCAATATTCACTGTTCTGCAGCCTCCGCTGCTGATACCCAGGCAAACAGGGTCTGGAGTGGACCTCCAGCAAACTCCAACAGACCTGCAGCTGAGGGTCCTAACTGTTAGAAGGAAAACTAACAAACAGAAAGGACATCCACACCAAAACCCCATCTGTATGTCACCATCATCAAAGACCAAAAGTAGATAAAACCACAAAGATGGGAAAAAAACAGAGCAGAAAAGCTGAAAATTCTAAAAATCAGAGTGCCTTTCCCCCTCCAAAGGAATGCAGCTCCTCACCAGCAACAGAACAAAGCTGGACAGAGAATGACTTTGACAAGTGGAGAGAAGAAGGCTTCAGATGATCAAACTACTCTGAACTAAAGGAGGAAGTTTGAACCCATCGCAATGAAACTAAAAACCTTGAAAAAGGATTAGACGAATGGCTAACTAGAATAACCAGTGTAGAGAAGTCCTTAAATGACCTGATGGAGCTGAAAATCATGGCATGAGAACTACATGTTGAATGCACAAGCTTTAGTAGCCGATTTGATCAACTGGAAGAAAGTGTATCAGTGACTGAAGATCAAATGAATGAAATGAAGCAAGAAGAGAAGTTTAGAGAAAAAGAGTAAAAAGAAACAAACAAAGCCTCCAAGAAACATGGGACTATGTGAAAAGACCAAATCTACGTCTGATTGGTGTACCTGAAAGTGACAGGGAGAATGAAACCAAGTTGGAAAACACTCTGCAGGATATTATCCAGGAGAACTTCCCCAACCTAGCAAGGCAGAGCAACATTCAAATTCAGGAAATACAGAGAACGCCACAAAGATACTCCTCGAGAAGAGCAACTCCAAGACACATAATTGTCAGATTCACCAAAGTTGAAATGAAGGAAAAAATGTTAAGGGCAGCCAGAGAGAAATGTCGGGTTACCCACAAAGAGAAGCCCATCAGACGAACAGCGGATCTCTCGCAGAAACCTTATAAGCCAGAAGATAGTGGGGGCCAATATTCAACATTCTTAAAGAAAAGAATTTTCAACCCAGAATTTCATATCCAGCCAAACTAAGCTTCATAAGTGAAGGAGAAATAAAATCCTTTACAGACAAGCAAATGCTCTGAGATTTTGTCACCACCAGGCCTGCCCTACATGAGCTCCTGAAGGAAGCACTAAACATGGAAAGGAGCAACTGGTACCAGCCACTGCAAAAACATGCCAAATTGAAAAGACCATTGATGCTAGGAAGAAACTGCATCAACTAATGAGCAAAATAACCAGCTAACATCATAATGACAGGATCAAATTCACACATAACAATATTAACCTTAAATGTAAATGGGCTAAATGCTCCAATTAAAAGATACAGACTGGCAAATTGGATAAAGAGTCAAGACCCATCAGTGTGCTGTATTCAGGAGACCATCTCATGTGCAGAGACACACATAGGCTCAAAATAAAGGGATGGAGGAAGATCTACCAAGCAAATGGAAAACTAAAAAGGCAGGGGTTGCAATCCTAGTCTCTGAAAAAACAGATTTTAAACCAACAAAGATCAAAAGGGACAAAGAAGGCCATTACATAATGGTAAAGAGATCAATTCAACAAGAAGAGCTAACTATCCTAAATATATATGCACCCAATACAGGAGCACCCAGATTCATAAAGCAAGTCCTTAGAGATCCACGAAGAGACTTAGACTCCCACACAATAATAATGGGAGACTTTAACACCCCCTGTCCACATTAGACAGATCAACGAGACAGAAAGTTAAAAAGGATATCCAGGAATTGAATTCAGCTCAGCACCAAGTTGACCAATAGACATCTACAGAACTCTCCACCCCAAATCAACAGAATATACATTATTCTCAGCACCACACCGCACCTATTCCAAAATTGACCACATAGTTGGAAGTAAAGCCCTCCTCAGCAAATGTAAAAGAACAGAAATTGTAACAAACTGTCTCTCAGACCACAGTGCAATCAAAATAGAACTCAGGATTAAGAAACTCACTCAAAACCGCACAACTACATGGAAACTGAACAACCTGCTCCTGAATGACTACTGGGTACATAACGAAATGAAGGCAGAAATAAAGATGTTCTTTGAAACCAATGAGAACAAAGATACAACATACCAGAATCTCTGGGACACATTTAAAGCAGTGTGTAGAGGGAAATTTATAGCACTAAATGCCCACAAGAGAAAGCAGGAAAGGTCTAAAATTGACACCCTAACATCACAATTAAAAGAACTAGAGAAGCAAGAGCAAACACATTCAAAAGCTAGCAGAAGGCAAGAAATAACTGAGATCAGAGCAGAACTGAAGGAGATAGAGACACAAAAACCCTTCAAAAAATCATTGAATCCAGGAGCTGGTTTTTTGAAAAGATCAACACAGGCTGGACACAGTGGCTCATGCCTGTAATCCCAGCACTTTGGGAGGCCGAGGCGGGCAGATCACAAGGTCAGGAGATCAAGACCACCCTGGCTAACACGGTGAAACCCTGTCTCCACTAAAACTACAAAAAATTAGCCGGGCATGGTGGTGGGTGCCTGTGGTCCCAGCTACTCAGGAGGCTGAGGCAGGAGAATGGCGTGAACCTGGGAGGCAGAGCTTGCAGTGATCCAAGATCGTGCCACTGCACTCCAGCCTGGGAGACAGAGCAAGACTCTGTCTCAAAAAAAAAGAAAAGATCAACACAATTGATAGACCACTAGCAAGACTAATAAAGAAGAAAAGAGAGAAGAATCAAATAGATGCAATAAAAAATGATAAAGGGGATATCACCACCGATCCCACAGAAATACAAACTACCATCAGAGAATACTAGAAACACCTCTACACAAATAAACTAGAAAATCTAGAAGAAATGGATAAATTCCTCGACACATACACCCTCCCAAGACTAAACCAGGAAGAAGTTGAATCTCTGAATAGACCAATAACAGGCTCTGAAATTGAGGCAATAATTAATAGCTTACCAACCAAAAAAAGTCCAGGACCAGAGGGATTCACAGTCGAATTCTACCAGAGGTACAAGGAGGAGCTGGTACCATTCTTTCTGAAACTATTCCAATCAATAGAAAAAGAGGGAATCCTCCCTAACTCATTTTATGAGGCCAGCATCATCCTGATACCAAAGCCTGACAGAGACACAACAAAAAAAGAGAATTTTAGACCAATATCCCTGATGAACATCGATGCCAAAATCTGCAATAAAATACTGGCAAACCGAATCCAGCAGCACATCGAGAAGCTTATCCACCATGATCAAGTGGGCTTCATCCCTGGGATGCAAGGCTGGTTCAACATACGCAAATCAATAAATGTAATCCAGCATATAAACAGAACCAATGACAAAAACCACATGATTATCTCAATAGATGCAGAAAAGGCCTTTGACAAAATTCAATGGCCCTTCATGCCAAAAACTCTCAATAAATTAGGTATTGATGGGGCGTATCTCAAAATAATAAGAGCTGTTTATGACAAACCCACAGCCAATATCATACTGAATGGGCAAAAACTGGAAGCATTCCCTTTAAAAACTGGCACAAGACAGGGATGCCCTCTCTCACCACTCCTATTCAACATAGTGTTGGAAGTTCTGGCCAGGGCAATCAGGCAGGAGAAAGAAATAAAGAGTATTCAATTAGGAAAAGAGGAAGTCAAATTGTCCCTGTTTGCAGATGATGTGATTGTATATCTAGAAAACCCCATCGTCTCAGCCCAAAATCTCCTTAAGCTGATAAGCAACTTCAGCAAAGTCTCAGGATACAAAATCAATGTACAAAAATCACAAGCATTCTTATACACCAATAACAGACAAACAGAGAGCCAAATCATGAGTGAACTCCCATTCACAATTGCTTCAAAGAGAATAAAATGCCTAGGAATCCAACTTACAAGGGATATGAAGGACCTCTTCAAGGAGAACTACAAACCACTGCTCAATGAAATAAAAGAGGACACAAACAAATGGAAGAACATTCCATGCTCATGGATAGGAAGAATCAATATTGTGAAAATGGCCATACTGCCCAAGGTAATTTATAGATTCAATGACATCCCCATCAAGCTACCAATGACTTTCTTCACAGAATTGGAAAAAACTACTTTAAAGTTCATATGAAGCCAAAAATGAGCCCACATTGCCAAGAGAATCCTAAGCCAAAAGAACAAAGCTGGAGGCATCACGCTACCTGACTTCAAACTATACTACAAGGCTACCGTAACCAAAACAGCATGGTACTGGTACCAAAACAGAGATATAGAACAATGGAACAGGGTCCTCAGAAATAATACCACACATCTACAACCATCTGATCTTTGACAAACCTGACAAAAACAAGCAATGGGGAAAGGATTCCCTTTTTAACAAATGGTGCTGGGAAAACTGGTTAGCCATATGTAGAAAGCTGAAACTGGATCCTTTCCTGACACCTTATACAAAAATTAATTCAAGATGGATTAAAGACTTAAATGTTAGACCTAAAACAATAAAAACCCTAGAAGAAAACCTAGGCAATACCATCCAGGACATAGGCATGGGCAAGGACTTTGTGTCTAAAACACCAAAAGCAAAGGCAACAAAAGCCAAAATTGACAAACGGGATCTAATTAAACTAAAGAGCTTCTGCACAGCAAAAGAAACTACCATCAGAGTGAACAGCCAACCTACAGAATGGGAGAAAATTTTTGCAATCTACTCATCTGACAAGGCAGGCTAATATCCAGAATCTACAATGAACTCAAACAAATTTACAAGAAAAAAACAAACAACCCCATCAAAAAGTGGGCAAAGGATATGAACAGACACTTCTTAAAAGAAGACATTTATGCAGCCAACAGACACATGAAAAAATGTTCATCATCACTGGCCATTAGAGACATGCAAATCAAAACCACAATGAGATACCATCTCACACCAGTTAGAATGGCGATCATTAAAAAGTCAGGAAACAGCAGGTGCTGGGGAGGATGTGGAGAAATAGGAACACTTTTACACTGTTGGTGGGACTGTAAACTAGTTCAACCATTGTGGAAGACAATGTGGCGATTCTTCAAGGATCTAGAACTAGAAATACCATTTGCCCCAGCCATCCCATTACTGGGTATATACCCAAAGGACTATAAATCATGCTGCTATAAAGACACATGCACACGTATGTTTATTGCAGCACTATTCACCATAGCAAAGACTTGGAACCAGCCCAAATGTCCATCAATGGTAGACTGGATTAAGAAAATGTGGCACATATACACCATGGAATACTATGCAGCCATAAGAAAGGATGAGTTCATATCCTTTGTAGGGACATGGATGATGCTGGAAACTATCATTCTCAGCAAACTATTGCAAGGACAAAAAACCAAACACCACATGTTCTCACTCATAGGTGGGAATTGAACAATGAGGACAATTGGACAGGAAGGGGAACATCACACACTGGGACCTGTTGTGGGGTGGGAGGAGTGGGGAGGGATAGCATTAGGAGATATACCTAATGTAAATGATGAGTTAATGGGTGCAGCACACCAACATGGCACATGTATACATATGTAACAAACCTGCACGTTGTGCACATGTACCCTAGAACTTAAAGTATAATAATAATAAAAGAAACCAAAACAACAACAACAAACAAATAAATAAATAAATATTTTCTAGGGAGATACTTTTAGGTTATACAAAATCTAATTCCTCACTTTTCATTCACCAACTAGTTTTGCATTCATTGATGTTTTCTGCCAGAATTAATTATAACTTAGTGGTTGTCAAATGGTAGCTTTCTAATTTGATCATTCTTTCTGTATTTTTTGGCATGGTTTCTACTTTAAGGAAGAGGTTTCTCTTCTGCTTTATTCACTCATTCGCTCATCCATCCATTCATTCATATCAGTGTGGATTCAAAATAAGTTGTAATCTACTACTATCATTACTTATTTTGATGTTCAAATTGTCCAATATTTGGACAGCAGGATCCCTTCTAAATAGAGTTTGAATCCATGTCTTTCAGAGCTGGATATTCTTTCCTTATACCATTTAGATTCCTATAAATAAAGAAAAAGTAAAGCAAAATTAGAAAAGCAATGAAGTAGGTGTACTGCCTGGCATAGATTCCTCAGGCTTTGAAATCACCGGTTCTTAATTCAAATCCTGGCTCTCTCTTGTCTTAGTTGAATGATACTGGGCAAGTTGTCTGGCTTGCTCTGCCCTCATTTACTTATTTTAAAGTGAAGGGGATAAGATTTATCCTAGTAGGTTGTAAGAATTACAAAAGATTATGTGCTGTGTTTAAAAGATATGACACAGTGCCTGGCACACAATTAGTATGCAGTAAGTGGTAGCTATTGCAAACTATTAATAATTATAAGCCACACTTTCCTCACCTCTAAAATAGGGACACAAATCTATCTCCCAGAATTGTTTAAAAGATTCAATGAAGCAGCATATGTAAAACCACTTAGCACATATAAGTACTCAAAAAATGTAACTATTATGATTAATATTATTATTCTCTGAGCTTCGGTTTCATTATCTATAAAAGGGCAACAATTTGCATGTCACTGACTTGTTGTGAAGATTAAATGAAATTACATGTGTAACACTCCCAGCCCAGTGACTGGCCTTTAGAAAGTACACCATAAATAGGAATTAATGTTATTGAAAAGCGGACTTAAGACATCTGGAGAAGTTTTACAGAGGCAAAATAGCGCTTCAACTAAAGAAAATCACTCTTGTACTTATGTGCATGTGTGTGTGGATGCGAGCATCCATATGAAAAGCCAATGCCTCTTGCTTATCTCTCTGAGTTTGAATCTCTTTTTTTCCTGGATCACTATGTGCTGCTCTGGGTTGAAGAGAAGGCATACTTAAAAGTAATTTGTTTGGTCAAGTGCAGTGATTTAGAGATGCACTCACATTCCCTAACCTCATTTTTATCCACTTGCCTCTAACGGGGATTCTAATCAGCCTCCCCACTGATTTACTTCACTTCCTGTAATAAAAGAGCACTCAGAATTGACATGAAAGCCAGGGAAGCAGTCACCAAGGGATCAGCACCTCAGCTGAAATGGATAGAAGGCTATTTTAATAGTAAAAGCAACAGATCAACATGAATGTTTGTAAGTTAATAAGTTCTGCATTTGTTTAAACTTTCTGTTTTCATTTCAAGCAAATAGCATTCAGTGGGTCTGGAGCCAAGCAGGTCCAACACCAAAATAACTTTCTCCTTCATAACTAGGGCTGGTAACTGGTCTCAAAAATAGGGAAATAGTGCTGGGAAAACCCCACTGACAGGTTGTCTCAGAGAGAGGTTCAAGTGGCTTGATGCCAGCCTGGTAACTACCCCATCTTACTCATTCATAGCAAATGTCAAAGACATTTCATAACCAAACATTTTATAAAAATGGCATAGTAAATTCAATGCTTTAAACACAGCCTGGGAGGTGCTGAGGCTCAAATAACAATGAATCAGAAACTTTTTTTTTTTTTCCCTGATGACATGGCATATGTTGACTATTTTTTCCCCTTCTGTGTTTTTTTTTAAATTTTTTCTCGTCTTTCTAAATTTTTATTTATTGATTTATTTATTTATTTTTGAGACAAAGTCTCACTCTGTCATCCAGGCTGGACTGTACTGGCATGATCTTGGCTCACTGCAACCTCCATCTCCCGGGTTCAAGCGATTCTCATGCCTCAGCCTCCTGAGTAGCTGGGACTACAGGCATGTGCCACCATGCCTGGCTAATTTTTATATTTTTAGTAGAGACCATGTTGGCCAGGCTGGTCTCGAAGTCCTGACCTCAAATGATCTGCCCGCCTTGGCCTCCCAAAGTGCTGGATGACAGGCATGAGCCAACGCCCTAGCCTTTTTTTTTTTTAACTTTATTTATTTATTTATTTTGGCAGGGTCTCACTCTGTCACCAAGGCTGGAGTGCAGTGGCACTCTACCTCCTGGGCTCAAGCAATCGTTCTGCCTAATTTTCTTATTTTTATTTTTATTTTTTTGGTAGAGACGAGGTCTCACTATGTTGCCCAGGCTGGTCGCGAACTCCTGGCCTCAACTGGTCCTCTTGTCTTGGCCTCCCAAAGTGCTGGGATTACAGGAGTAAGCCACCATGCCCAGCCACAAGATTCGGGAACTATTTTTTTTGGGGGAGCCAGGCACTGTGCTTAACATACTACATGGGAGCTAAATGATAAGAATTTGGCATGGTGCAGTAGCTCATGCCTGTAATGCCAGCACTTCGGGAGGCCAAGGCAGTTGGATCACCTGAGGTCAGGAGCTCAAGACCAGCCTGGCCAACATGGCAAAACCCCATCTGTACTAAAAATACAAAAATTAGCCAGGTGTGGTGGCACACGCCTGTAATCCCAGCCACTTGGGAGGCTGAGGCAGGAGAATCACTTGAGCCTGGGAGGCAGAGGTTACAGTGAGCTGAGATCACACCACTGCACTCCAGCCTGGGCGACAGAGCAAGATTCCATCTCAAAAAAAAAAAAAAAGAAAAAGAAAAAGAAAAAAAGAATCTATGAACACAAAGAAGGCAACAACATACCTAGAGTCTACTTGAGGTGAGGTGGGAGGGTGGGAGGAGGGAGAGGAGCAGAAAAGATAGCTATTGGATCCTGGGCTTAATACCTTGGTGATGAAATAATCTGCACGACAAACCCCTGTGACACGTATTTATGTAACAGACCTTCACGTGTATCCCCAAATGTAAAATAAAAGTATAAAAAACACACACTACACAGATTATTTAATTCTCACAACAATATTGGGTGCCAAATACTACTAGGTTGGTGCAAAAGGAATTGTGGTTTTTGCCATTAAAAGTAATGCAAAATTGCAATTGCTTTTGCACCAACCTAATATTAAAACCTCAACTGCTTTTGCACCAACTTATTATTATATAGTAGAGAGGCCAGAAAGTCTCAATTTATGGACTAGGAAACTGAGGTAAAGAAAATGCTTTTGCAAGGTCACCCAGATGGTGATTCAGGGAGGTTTCACGGCGAGGCAGCCTAATCCTGGAGTTCAAGCTCTTACTCTCTTCTAAATACCAGACAGGTTCGATTTTTGTTATTACTGCTCTTTTATTTTTGTACTTCTCTTGGATTATGGAGCTGTCAGTTGCACTGGGAGTTGATTTCGAGCCAAGTAATGATACAGACAATGCTGAATAACAATTGCTTCTGAATTCTTTCAGGATATGGACCACTTACTGATACCCTGCGTCCATTCCCAGCTCTCAGACTAACATGCAACATCAGTACAAGGTGTGGAGGTACTGGTCAGACATTCAATTTTCAAAAAAGCTGCCTTTAAGGCACCTATTTCTTTTGTTACTAAGAATTTTTTTTTTCAAAAACAGTATTCATCTATGTGGCTTCCATTTTGTTTTTTAACCTCCCTGGGCCTCTTTTTATGAATCTGTATTCAGAAGGGTTGCACAAGATGTCTTATAATATTCCTTCCAGCTCTGACCTGCTGAGTTTCTCAATGACTGGATAATGATTTTATTATTTCGATTCCTCTCCAGGAATCTTCCTCTCCCAACCTGCCCTTTGGCATTTTCATTTTTTTCCCTCTTGAAATTGCGTCCCTTTCCCTCTTTCTCTATCTTTTCTCTGTTGATTTTTTTCCCTTATGGCTTTTCCTCACTTCCTTTTTTCCTTCCTCTTTCCTTCAACTTCCTTTCTCTGCCACTTTTTCTCTCTTGACTTCATCCCCTCACCTCCTCTCGTCTCTCTGATGATTTCTCTCTTTTCCCCTCTCTCTCTTCTCTGGATATTTTCTTCTCTCTTTCCCTTCATCACGCCTTTCTTTCTTTCATTGAACTCAACATGCCTTAATTTTCCTTTGCTGTACTCTTTAGATCCCAGCAGATCCTTGGAATATAACAGGAAATCAGTTACAGGAAATTCAGAACGTGTGGTACCTTTCTTTAGAAAAAGACCAATGAATGCTTGGAATAGCAGGAAGTTTAGGCACTGAATAGATTACCTTAGTTTCTCTGTGCTGTGCAGATAAGCTCATTGTTCTAACTCAATAGAGGCATTTTTTGTTTCCTGGATGTGCCATGTTTCTGGTGTTCTTCTAGAATCACTGGGCTCCTTCTTGTAGTAAAAACAGTACTTTCAAATTGTTAGCTTTATTTGGAAAACTTTAAAGATAATCTTTAAAAGCCCCAGGCTAAAACTCGCACCTCTATTATGTTCCTTTATCCAGTCAAATAGTTGCAAATTATATGAGCTGGATTTGGATCCTGAATGGACACAACAGAAGATGTCAATATTTTATCTTGTATTCTTTCTCTGAGCTTCACAAATCTGTTTTGTATCCCTTCATTTTTGGTTAAATTATTGAAGACATATCATTTTCTGAAAGTCTTCTTAGTCCAGATTTCTTAGGCAGAAAAACCGCCATCTTGTTTTGGATAATGAAACCTCCGTCTACCATACTGACATGTGAAGTATTAGTTGGTTTGTAGCAGTGTTTTCATCATCATCAAATCTTTCGGGACACATCCATTTTTTTCTATGTCTCTTTTCTGTGCCAACTGAAGTGAGACTGGCTCTTTAAGATAAAACAATGTTTGTGAACAACCTTTATTTTTTAAATCACTTATGCTTGTAGAATGTGTTGTTTAAAATTCTCTTTGGGGTCCAGGACTTTATGCTGTATGCTCTTGGAAACACCACGGTCTTTTCCAAGTTTCTATTCTTATTTCTCAGGGAGAGAGACTAATTGTTAAAATGATCAGTATGCTTCTGATATTGTTGCATAAGTCATGTGAATAGGGGCCCTGCTATGTTGCCCAATCTGCCCTCGAAATCCTGGGCTCAAGTGATCCTCCAGCCTCGGCCTCCCAAGTATCTGGGAAGACAGGCGCATGCCACTGTGCTGGGCTCATGTGAATATTTTTAAGGACATACAAATAAACCTGTGTTTGATGTAAAGGGTGAAGACATTATCTTTGATTCCCAATTTCTACCAATTTTTTTTTTTTTACATAAGCTTTTTTTAGCCACCTCAGGCAATCACAGCATTTCAAAGGGGCTAGCTTGATACTTGGTTGAAGAGGGACTCTATCCTCCTCTGAATCTTGGATTCTAGCCTCAACATACACATCAGGTTTGGAATTTAATTTAATTCTTGGAAAATGGTTTCTTCATAAATTTTTTTTAATAAAAAAGAGATTTTAGAAGTATGATCAGGTGGTCTCCACACAGAGACATACAGGACACTTCCTGATTTGTGGACAACCCCCTTGGGTAAAACGGCCATGATTGCTCAGTCCCCAGCTTCAACAACAACTGGGGCAGCTCTGAAACCCTCTGGCTGTGGCCGAGGTGGACTCACCTTCAAAAGCGTCAAGGCCGGTGGGAGCTCTGAACTCAGAGCAGCTCCACAGGGGGCTGGGCAGGATGATAAATGGATTCGTTATTGTTGTGTGGAATGTCCACAAGAACCCTTTTGCACCTGAGACACAGAAAACATTAAAGGGGCCGGGCGGCACAAGCTTGGCTTCTGAAAGATAAAATACCATAAAATGAGCATGCAGTCATTGGGCAGATCATGAAGGAGGAAGGCATTGGACCTGCTCTCCAGGAAGGGACCTCAAGAGAGAACTTGCCAAAAAATCTCTTGGGAAGGTGCACATCTTCTGCAGCCTGCAGTAACCTCCTGGCTTCTGCAGGGCAGAAAGGAGGCCTCTTTTTTCAGAGAGATGGCTGTGTTGGCACCAACACACAACCCCTTCCCTCGTTTCTCATGGGCATCACTTTACTGGGAATGCTGTATGCTCCCAGGATGGTATTTCCATGAAGACATAGTTGGCCAGTCGTGCTCCCTATCCTCAACCTGATACTCAGACAGTCCCAGACAGAGCAAGGCATCGGGTTGCAGTTACACAGCAATCTGATGTGACAGGGCAGTACGCAGCTCAGGCCTCGTGTCATTAGAAACATCGCTGTTCAACGAGGCTCGGTGGCTCACGCCTGTAATCCCAGCACTTTGGGAGGCTGAGGCGGGTGGATCACCTGAGGTCAGGAATTCAAGACCAGCCTGGCCAACATGGTGAAACCCGGTCTCTACTAAAAATACAAAAATTAGCCAGGCATGGTGGCACACGCCTGTAATCCCAACTACTCAGGAGGCTGAGGCAGGATAATCGCTTGAACCCAGGAGGCGGAGGTTGTCATGAGCAGAGATCACGCCATTGCACTCCAGCCTGGGGGACAGAGCAAGATTCTGTCAAAAAAAAAAAAAAAAAAAAGAAGAAAGAAAGATCGCTGTTCAAAAACAAAATGCCTTCTCATTCTAATAAAACTCAACAATCTGGATGTCCTTCTCTGAAAAAGGAAATCAACACAGATGGCATTATCTTAAAATTGGGCCACCATTGAAGCTGTGGATCAGTGGCAACATGGAGTTTGGTTCCTACCGAAAACAAAACTGTCCCAATCCAGAGTCGGCCAGTAGATGGCACCCTGAGCATCTGACATAAAATCTAAGGCTGAGAATATTTATCTTCACCAAAGCGCTTCTCAAAACATTAAGCAAAACTTTGACTGAAACGCAACCGTATTTGGACAAGCAGGTTTATTTTACTTTAGTGCTGTGTTATTAGAAACATACATATGTGTGTGTATATATTTTACTATCAAACCCTAAAGTTATGGAAAATATCCTTGATGGTTAGGATGGACTGTAAACTTTTACAGTATTATTTGCAGGCAGATTTTTCAATTTCTTATTTAAGCCAGCTTTTTCTTAATATGAGGTTTAGTGGTTATGTGTCATACCAATGCTCAGGAAAACTCAGGAGAATATTTTTGGTTATCTAAATACCCCTGTGAAAGAAACGCACTCATAGGAAGAAAGAGAAATGCAGTGCGATACTTTGTGTGTTTTTAAAGAACAACTGAAATAAATGTTTCTATTTTGCTATATGCATCTATGTGGAATTATGTACACAAACACGTACAGCAAGATCAAGATGAGAAGATATATGGATATAGTTTAGTATAGGAATGCCACTCTATCTCAGATTCCAGCCCACACTCAAACCTAAAGGTTTTAGAGTAGGGAATAACTCTTAGAATTTAGTGATAGATATAGTATTTGGAAGATAAGCAATCCTTTAACCAAAAAAAACCATTGCCTTGAGTGGAAAGTCTGAACAAAACCTTCCACTGTCTCTGTGTGGATATTTTCTCACTGGGTAAGTGGTCAAAGAAGATGTGGTGGAGTACAAACAAAAACTAAAGGACAGATTGGAAGATCAGAGACTCAAGTTGCATGACAAAACTATTTGAGACTGAAGCAAAACTGAGGACCAATAATCAGAAGAACATTAAGGAGAGACATGAAGCAAAATTGGGGACCAATAATCAGAAGAATATTAATGAGAGATAGCAAAGTTCCAGAGGTACACATAAGAGGAGAAACTGGGAACACTCAAGACTCAAAACTAAAGGCACACACAACTTGTGGGCAGAACAAGATGAGCTTCCTGGGATGAATGTGTTTTGCTTGTAATTTTGCTCCCTTTGAAGGTGCAAGGGCTCCCTCAAGGATGCCTCTTTGCCCTTCTCAAGGGCACTCTTTCTTTTTGTATGCAGCGACTGACAGACTTACTGATCTCTTTGTAATCACAAATATTGACTCCCATTATTTATTCAGAGTTTATTTCATTGCTAGCTTTGACACTTGACACAGAGTTATATCTTGCAGATGGTGAAATAAATACTCATTCTTTGAGGTAACTGGATATCAAAGGGAAGTAGAAGTCCTCGGAATGTCCAGAGAGGGTGAGCAGGTGTTGGGTGTCTGTGGGAATTTCAATTATTTGAGTTGCAAGTTGGTTTGGGAAACTCCTTCAAGAAGTTGAGTGGCAGGTAAGGACAGGCTGGTGAAATCCTGGTCAACAGATTTCACCCAAGTCCTGTTGTTAGCAGCGATGGAGTCTCTAGTGTCAGTAGGAGTGCTGACCTATGGGGGAAAGTGCCCTTGTATATGGCATTGGGACACAGATTCAAATGTCCTCAGCTTTAGGAGTCTGTATCATCCTTTCCTGGGGCAGCCATGTTTTCATGAGCTCATTGGCCTTCCTGGCGCACAAGGATGAAAATAGTAAAAAGGAGGCCAAAAACAAAGCCATATTGACCTCAGTTGAATTCCAAAAATGAGGAGAAAGAAGTGTTAAAGTTTGCCAAATGGAAACAGAAACTAGTCTGTGGGAAAAGCAGTTTTATTTTCAGACTTCCAAATAGATCTTTCAAATGGCAAACCATAAAAACTAAATATGAACACTATTGAGGAATTGCCTGAAATACACAAAAAGGGCCCACGCCATTGTTCCAGCAAACAGTTAATCATGAGACCAATATATTGCTGTAGTGTCCCCAGGAATGTTTAAGACTTTTAAAAGGAGAAAGCACAGGGAGAAAAATATGCCTAATGGCTGCTAAATGACAAAAACAAGCTAAGTCTGATTCTCCCCACCTCACAGGGGAGTTAAAAGTATTGGAAAGCCTGGGAGTTTCCTCAGTTCATTCAACAAGGAATATTATTGTCTAGTGCTATCTTGTATTCAAGCTGGTTTTGAGTTGTTGCTCCCATACGTCCTGTGTGATTTTCAGCAAGTTGCTTAACCTCTCTGAGCCTTAGTTTGACAACTGTATCTATCTTAAAGATTAAGGCATGTTAGTAATGAACATAGAAATATTATTAATATTACTAAATATTTATTGAATGCCTACTATATTCTAAACACAGCTCACTTTTTAAAAAGTCCATAAGTATTTACATCCTAGATGCTGATTCAGGGCTTTGTATCATAGGGAAGTTATTTTCCTCAAAGGCTGAGAAAACCAATATGCCAGAGTTAATTTGTAGGGTCCACTAATGACAGGTTATTCTTCCTTTGGTAAAAACATTTAAAAGTAAAGGGTTTGTTTGTTTGTTTGTTTGTTTGAGACAGGGTCTTGATGCATTGCCCTGGCTGGAGTGCAGTGGTGTGATCATAGCTCACTACAACCTGGAACTCCTGGACTCAAGTGATCTTCCCACCTCAGCTTCCTGAGTAGCTAGGATTACAGGTGTGCACCACCATGTGGCAGGCTAATTTTTTTATTGTAGAGATGGGGTCTTGCTATATTGCTCATGCTGGTCTCAAACTCCTGGCCTCAGGCCATCCTCTCACCCAAGCTTCCCAAAGTGTGGGGATTACAGGTGTTAGCCACTGCACCCAGCCTGGATTATTATTATTATTATTTTAAAGAGTAAGAAAGAGAGAGACATATTGTTGGACTTTCCTTATATGCTTTTTGTTATCTTCTAAATTTTCTTCTGGATCCATTCCTCCTACATTCTGAAACAAATTGCCTTATAGGCACAAATAGCTATTGGGGACTGTGGTCCAGCATCCTATAATGGAACTGCTCCTTAAAATGATTGTATTTGGCTGCTCAACATTTGCCAGCCACTGCCTTAAATCACAGAACAGATCAATGTCTGTTGTATTTTTTTGACTTGGCTTTCTACTCCAGTCAACAGAAATAATTCATTCTTTGAGAGACAAAGAGAGAGATTCAAACTAAAGTCAGATAAGATATTGCTACTTAACAGAGTGCATTCCATGTTGGCACATAGACAGCTTTTCCCTCATGCGGCCTTACTTGTACACCAACTATTAGAAATAGCTAGAAAAATTAAAATAATTATATGAATTCTCTTCTAACAGCCAGAATTATTGCTGCAGAAATTTGTCAACCTGGAAGAAGGGTAATATCATAGTCTGCCCTGCTGCATCTGATATAGATAGTTCCTTTTATTTGTCTAATATCTTGATTTTTTATATTTCTGAATGTGTAGAATTTTTTTTTCAAATATGCTCTGCCACTTTTCATAGTTTCTAGTTCTCCAATGATATATTTTGACTTGGTTTTTATTTCCTTGTAAAAAATAAGCATAATTATTTTATGGTCCTCATTTGATACTTTCTATGTCTTTGGTATTTGTGGGTCTGTTATCTGTTATTTCTTTTAGTGGTCATTTGCAGTGCCCTGTTTTCTTGTGTGCCTGGTTATTTTTGGCTGTGTGCTGGGCATCATATTTAGAAAAATATATTAGATATACAGACTTTAGTTTGAATTCTCTCTTTGATGCCTACAAATCAATTTTCCTCTACAGTACGTTATTTTGTTTCAACCATGAGCCTGGGAACAAGAACAATATGGGACCACCATAATACACCTTCAAGGCTTGAAGTTTCATGAACTACCCAGATGATGCTAGCTGTATATCCATGTGAAGGCTGGGTTACTCCCACATCATCCTTACTCTGATCTAAAAGTAAGAGAGAGTTTATCAGAGTCTTTGCCTTTGGTAGGCTCCAGGATTTTACTTTCATCCTGTCAAACTTTGAAGCCCACTCAAAGCATAGTTTAGTTTCAAAACTTGTTTCTAATGGATCAACAAATGCCCTCAGGGCAAAGCAGCTTTGAATGCTAGCCTTACCTCTCTAGGGTCTTGTCTTCAACTTGATTTTGGCCCAATAATACTACCCTATTTTGTTAGCTTCTTGATGCTTTTTAAGATGATACTTCCACTCTTTTAATTTGCATCAGTGGAAAGATTGGTTTAAGTGACTTAGTTCTGCCACGTTTGGAAGATTGCTGATGCTCTAGGGGTAAGTAATGGGATTCTAAAAATGGGTATGAACATGTGCTCAATTCAGAAAATGGTACCTATAAAATAAAAACAAAACTAAATAAAAATGAGGAGTAATATGAATGTCACATAGAAGGGAAAATAAAGCCTAAATATTTTTCTGTATATAGCTTCTAAGTAGTGTGAAATTTGGGAGGCCTTTCTTCAAATAGAATTTGGAAGCACGCTTGAAAAATCTGTAAGTTTATTAGTTACTTTTGCTGTGTGATAACCAACTGCAATACATACAGTAAGCATGTAGTTTTTTCTCATATGTCAATGGGTTGGCTAGGATGCAAATGGAATTCAGTTCTGCTTATCATGCCTGGTTCTAGTGTCCAAGCAGGAGGAACAACAGTGAATTGAGGCATGTTTTTCCCATGGCAGAAGCCAAAAGCTCCCAGAGAAGTGAGTGGAACAAGTGATGGTTTTTAAAGCCTAAGCTAGGAACTGGTGCCCTGTTACTTCAGCCCACATTCCATTGACCAAAACAAATCACTTGTTTGTGCCTAACATCAGTGGAATGGAGAGGAAATCCAAAAAGTAATCGAATCTACCAAGTAGGTCTTCCAATAAATTGACATGAAGTGGTGGTGATTGTAAAGTACCAAGTATTTGGTACAGATTTGGTGATATGAAACCATGCTTTCAAATGCTAAAATTCGATGAACTGTTTCTATAAGTTTTCTTTTTCTTTCTTTCTTTCTTTTTTTTTTTTTTCCTGAGACAGGGTCTCACTCTGTTGCCCAGGCTGGAGTGCAATGGTATGATCTCGGCTCACTGAAACCTCTGCCTTCTGGGTTAAAGCAATTTTCCTGCCTCAGCCTCCTGAGTAGCTGGGATAACAGGCGTGTACCACCATGCCTGGGGCTAATTTTTGTATTTTTGTATTTTTTTTTTTTTTCAGTAGAGACAAGGTTTCACCATGTTGGCCAGGCTGGTCTCGAACTCCTGCTCTCAGGTGATGCACCCTCCTCGGCCTCCCAAAGTGCTGGGATTACAGGTGTGAGTCACTGCACCTGGCCTCTATAAGTTTTCTTAAAGCTCCACATATTAATGGTAATCGTACACATCTAGAGCATTTCCACATGAACTCCTACTTGCTAATGCATGTCTCAAAATGACTAGATAATCATTTAAGGTATTCCCTACCCTAATAGACATGACAAATAGTAAATATGTTCTTAATGTTGACCTTTAAAAAGTGTAATTGAGGCTGGGCACGGTGGCTTTCGCCTGTAATCCCAGCACTTTGGGAGGCCAAGGCGGGCGGATCATGAGGTCAGGAGATCGAGACCAGCCTGGCTAACACAGTGAAACCCCGTTTCTACTAAAAATACAAAAAAAAAAAAAAAAATTAGCCAGGCATGGTGGTAGGCACCTGTAATCCCAGCTACTTGGGAGGCTGAGGCAGGAGAATGGCGTGAACCTGGGAGGCAGAGCTTGCAGTGAGCCGAGATCACGCCACTGCACTCCAGCCTAGGCGACAGAGTGAGACTCCATCTCAAAAAAATAAATTAATAAAAAATGTAATTGAATTCCTTCAATTCAGTTTTTATGTCTGCTATTCTATGTTTTAATATACAAGATCCCTGTTTTGTTCTCCGAACATTCTTTTTTTTTTTTTAATAGATTTCTATTCTTGTGTTACAACTGTTTTATCTTTCTTAGGCTTTCCAGGGCACTTTTTGACTTTTTTTTCTACTGTATAGTTTGTTTCCCCTGCATTGTTTTATTCTCCTTGTTTGCTTGGGCCTCTGTTTTTTGCATTAGAGGATTTCTTCAAAGGTCTAGTGATCCTTATTGTCTGCTTATATTAAATTTGAACTTTATCCTGCTGATTGGAAGCTCTGTGCATGTGGGAGTGGTTTGGAGTGTGTGGACTAGTAGCCGGCTGGGCCATTTTGTTGAGGATTTTTCTCAAAAGCTAATCACATGAACTGGAGAAGACTTTTCCAGTCTCTTGCTTACATTTCAGGGTTCTGGAAGCTCAATGGGAGAAGAAATCTGGGTAATCTCAACATAAAGAATGTCACTTCTCTCTTACTCCCTATGTCTTCAACATAACATCATTGCACTTGACTGAGCCTGGTGTCCTCCAGTCTGGAGACCCTCTGTTTTATTCTCTGGAGATTGAGCCTCCTGTCTTCTGCTGGGGTGGAAAAAGAGCAATTAATTAACTGCATGGAGTGGAATAGAAAGATCTGTTGAGGGATTAATTACTTCTTAAACAGATTTCCAACAGCTCTGTTTTCAGTCTCATCCTCATCCCTGCTACCAAAGATGTTGTGCCACCAATATTTAAGCCTTTTGTGGGTCCCCAGCGTAATTCAAGATGCTCGTCAGCATTCCTAGTTGTTGGCTTAAGTTTTAGCTCTCAAGTCTGCCAAATGCCTTTCCATTTGTCCAACAGCTTTCTCGCTTCCAAAATTTTGTTATTATTGTTTTCTCTTTCTCTTTATACTTGTGGGTATCCGCTTTGAAATTTTTTCTTTATTGTTGCTTTAGTTAAGTCTTGGGAGAGTGCAGAAGCTAATGCCATCTTCAGCCAGAAGCCTATCTGACTTTCCCAGGTGAAGTTTATTCTGCTTCAGTCTGTAACCTGTTTGACTGGATGTAAATTTCTTCTCAGTCGTTTAGGAGGCTTCTTTCCTGCTATGTTATCAGACAGGAATCATGGTTTAAAGCAATAACTCCATCACTTTCATATCAAGGGCTGCTCAGTTTGATCTTCGGTGTGCATGAACTACAGAAACTGCTACATATTACCCACCCTCAGTGAGTATTGGGAGTGGTATTGGGAAGTCCATATTATAAGGCCAATTTATGGGCTTAGAAATCCAGTATTGATTTCTCTTTCTGAGCTGAAAATGGCAAAGAAGATAGCAACACTACGTTTTTTTCTTTATAAATTAGCTCTCTGCCTCTCCTTTCCCATGGAGCCTCTCTTCCCACTTCTCCCTTGTTTCACTGTTTTTTTGTTTTTGTTTTTCTTGTTTTTATTTACTGAATGATGCCCTCTGTCCTGCCTGGGCCCAAAACACTGACCCTGTGTGAAGAGAGGCCTTTTGATGTTGGGGCCATCCATGGTCCTTCATGGTTGTATTTCCTTTCTATCACTGGGTCAGGGGAGGGGTGGGGAAACCAATCATTGGGTCAGCAAGTGTTAATGAGCCTTCTGTCTCTCACTGCACCACATCACTCTCCTATCACCCCAGTACTTGCTGGCTTTTGCTGCAGCTACAGGGGTAAGGGTAGAATTGAGTCTCTATATTGATAAGAAGTAGAGCAAGTGTATGACTGAGGTCGCATTTGAGGGGGACCTCCACACACACCCACTCTGTATTGCCTGTTTCTCAAATCCTCCAATCTTATGGACAGTCCAATCTCACATTCATAGATAGAAAAACCAGGATGATGAAAAGGTGTGGATATTTCTATGTTAAACCATTGATACAGTTGAATGTGTATGTTTATTTAGATGACTGATTCTTAACTGAATGAGGTAAGTCAAATGAGAGACTTATTCAAACCATGTATTTTCCAATTCTAGTATGACATCCAAGGGATATGGTCCTCAGGTGAAAAAAACTCTGCCATAAAGTGTCACTGTTGTGGATGAGATACATCCTATCCTTTGGGTATTTTTTGATTAGGAAAATCTTGGGAACAACCAATCCTAAGTGACCCTCTTCTTGAGGTTTGAAAGGATAGTGTCCTTTTAGTTCAGAACAACTGGTTTTGAAATACATGGGGAAAGTTTAATTTATTTAGTAATCAGAAAACTTCCAGTTAAAATGCCTTGTAGTACCATTTGAAATTGGTAAATTGTAAGATTGACAAATATAATGAAACATTCATTACAAATGTGATAATACTGGGTAGATTTCTGTGTAGATTAGTAAAATTTTCTAAGAAAGCAATATCACAATATGTCATCAAGAGTCATAGGACAACAGCCCCAATATTAACTATAATTATAATTGGAGGTGCTTACTGTGTGTCATATACTATGCTAAATACTTTATATGAATGATTCCATATGAGTCTGTCAACAATCTTAAGAAATAGATATCTTCATGCGTCTGTCAACAATCTTAAGAAATAGATATCTTCATGCCCATTTTACAGATAGGATATGGAAATTCAGAAAAGCAGGATCGGTGACATGTCTCAGGTCACATAGGTTACTGAGCTGGGATTCGAACTCAGGGATATCTGATTTCAAATCCCGTGTTTGTAACTCTTTTTGTGTATTTTACCTCTTTGTCCCAATAATCCTACTCTAGGAAATGTAATCTAAGGAAGTAATTTTTTAGAAAAAAACCCTGCATATACACAGATGTTTACTGCAGTGGATTGTATAATAGTAAATATTTGGAAACCACATATATTTGGAGATGGTTAAGGAAACCATAGGAGATTTGCTCAAGAGAATATTATGCCACCACTGGATCAGATAATTAGATTGTTTTTATAACAATAAGGAAAGATTTTTATAATTATATAACTTTTAAAAAATCGAACGCAAAATGTTGTTTACCACCAAGATTTCAACTATAAAAAATATATGTATGCATAAAAACAAAGACCTAAAGTCACAAAAATAAAATAGTTGTCAGGCATGAGATTTTTTTTTTCAAAATTAAAAGAATTTCTTATGGAATTGGATACAAAGAAATCAGTTTTAGTATTTCTCCCTCAAAACAGCAGCAATTCATAAAAATAGCAGTGAAGTAAAATAAACTCTTGGCAATACTTATTGTACAGATATACTTCTTTGGGAAATATGAAGACCTGCAGGATGGCACAAGATTGGTAATTATCTATTTGTGTATATATCTCCCTCACAAGACTTGACTTCTGGGGTAAGGAGGACCCTATCTTTGTAGTGCATATCATTTTTGTTTTATCCATTCAATGTTCATTCCCCCTTTTTCTGATGACAGCTGCCTAATTTCTTGTCTCCACTCTTACCCCATGCAGTTTGTGGGGAGCTGACTCTGCTCCTGGCTTTGGGGATGGGCCACGCCTGGCTTTAGGTGTGGACATGGAACCAATCAGATCTGTAAACCCAATTTCATAATTTTTGACAAACCAGCTTTAAGAAAAAAAAAACTCCCTTTCTACTAAAGTTGCTGAGAAGATGGGCTGTAAGCATGGAGTTCTGGCAGCTCTCTTGCCAACATGAGGGCAGAAATTGGGAGAATGGAGATAACACTGAGAAAACCAGAGTCAAAACGTAGAGAAAACAAATGTAATTGGTATTATCAGAGTCCCTGGATGCAACTATGTCTGATGATAGATTAGGCATCACTTTTATGAGCCAGTTAAATATCTTTTCTTTTTCCTGTGCTAAATTGAGTAAGTTTCTGTCGTTTGTATCTAAGAGATTTATATACTATATTATTCATCACATTTCCTTTTAGGAAGAAATGAAGCATAGGACAAAGTGCAAGAAGAGGAGGGGCAGAACAGAGGTTGAGCTTAGGCTGTCATCTGAAGACAGAAAGAAGGGGGGGATTCTAGAGTGTTTTGAAGGTCAAACTGTGGCATAGGCTATCAAGAATCAAAGGGACAAAGTGACCTCGCTGAGGCTTAGCCTTTCAATCAGGTCCATTGTAGGTATACTAACCAGGGGAAACCAATGACCCAGGTCTATTCTTAGCACAGCTGTTAACTTAAGAAAGCTTCTTGGAACTTGGAGCTCTCTTAGAACCAGACTTTACCAGGTTACTAATTTACCAGGTTACTAATAGTTTTGATCCTCTTTGAACTTGCCTTATGCTTGAATCAAATTGTCTTAATCAAGTAGCCACTCATCTGATGCTCTGAAGACCATCTTCATAAAAATCCTGTAGCTTAATAGGCTTTGTGTAGACAGTACAAGAACTGTAACCCATTGGAAACTAACCTCATCAAAAACAAAGCAGAGATATTGCAAAAGCAGAGGTGGAAGAGAACGTCTCAGGGCACAGATAAAATCACCTATTCGCCCATGGGTAAAATCAAATTCCTCTTGAAAATGAAAATTCTTTTCCCATCCAGAGTGCATTCTCTTATACCATGTACTCAAGACATTCAGAGAAATTCCGTTTCTTTTTCTCTAAGAAAAAAAAATTAGTTTCATCCTTCTGCACTGTGAATTTTGCCTCTTTTGAAGCAAATGGTACTGTTGAAGAATGGCGACTTGGTACGACTGGCAATACTTAAATAACAATAGTGCAAATATTTTAGAGGGGATTGTAAAGGATTCAACATTTTTATTTAAACTCAAGGTTTATTAAATACTTGCCTCAACTCATGATAAGGCATTTTCCTCCCTCTGCCTCAGCCTCACAAATCATATTTCATAAAGGACATCATTCTTAGAGTTTTCAATTCATGAAGATATGGATCCTTGAGTTGATTAGAACATGGGTTTTAGAGTGAGCTGGACTTCAGGTCTAGGTTCCACAAAACAGTACAGCGTGATCTTGCGGAAATTTCTCAGTCTTGATTTTTCTCAACTGTAAAATGAGGCTGCTACTACTTACTTCAGGGATTGCTGGAGGATTACACAAAACATTTTGGGTGCAACAGCACTTGCACAAATAAGCACTACACTAGTTGAAGGGTTAACTGATGCTATTATTATGTAATCAAAAGGCCAAACTTTTCTGTAGATTCTTCCCTCTACTGCAAGGACTCAAAGAAAAGGCAGCACATTTTTCGAAGCTCAGAAGTTCTTTTTGATTTCTCAGTTCTGAAAATAAGAGATGACTTCTACCTTCAAGAGAGAATTGAGCACATGTCCTAAAGATGCTGTTTTAGAGAAATTGGGTATAAGTTAAAATTTTTCTTGTAAAATTATATTTCAAATATGCCTTGGCCCACCAGTCAAAGGATCCTAATGCTAACTTCTATTGTAAATGGCAATAGATTGCCATTGTAATGGTTACAATGGTTACAATAAATAAATAAAATGTAACAATGGTTACAATGGTTACAAATGAGGTTACAATGGTAACCTCAATTGTAAATGGCAATTGATGGGCTATCTGGGGTCAAATCCTCACCTTTGCCACCCCAGCTTCCCCAGTCTCTTCTGCAACACATTTCCAAGAATCTCCCTCTTCACTTGTTTCTGGGCCTGAGTGGGCCAGTGCGAGATCCATGGTGAGACCTAGAAGGGAGAAGAGGAGAGACTATTACTCTCCAGAGGCATTTTCAGGCCAGCGTGTGGGCTGATCACACATGAATGGTCTATGGTTGCTACTGGGTGAGCTCCTGCTAATTACCTGCTTTGGTCCTGCAAGTGGCTGCTGTAGTTGGTAATGGCTTTTTGAGAGTCATTTGCTTTAGTGCAGGCTGAGAGCCTCCGGAAGAGCTCTTGAGAACCGCTCACATAGTCTTGCAGACTGGGATAATGGGTGATGGCTTCCCTGACCTTTGTTCCCCAACCCTACCAATGTTTGTGTAAGCCTCTACTTCCCTCCATTAAAGCCCTTCCTCCATAGAGTGACTTCTGTTTTCCTGACCCAACTTTAACCAAAATGGACAACATAGTGTATTGAACACTAAACTTAGAGTCAAAAGACCTTATATATTATGGTTATTCCATATCATCCCATATTGGCCTAAATCATTTTTTAAAGGAAATTTTCATTTTCCATTTGTGGATGTAACATAATTCATTTAACCAATCCTCTGTTGAAGGACACTCGGTTTCTCATTTCTGATTTTTCTCTGTTTTAACACCAATGAACATCCTTGTATACTTTGCACACTCATGTGAGCATATCTGTAGAATAAATTTCTGGAAGTGAATGCTGTGTCCCCAAATAGTAGTATCAATTCCAAAAATAGTATGTAGTTTTTACTTTTGTCCTTTAGAAACCACCTGTGTGATTAGGTAAATTAATTAATCTGGGCCGGGCATGGTGGCTTACGCCTGCGATCCCAGCACTTTGGGAGGCCAAGGCAGGTGTATCATCTGAGGACAGGAGTTCGAGACCAGCTTGGCCAACATGGTGAAACCCCATCTCTACTAAAAAGACAAAAATTAGCTGGGTGTGGTGGCGGATGCCTGTAATCGCAGCTACTCGGGAGACTGAGGCACGAGAATCGCTTGAACCCAGGAGGTCAAGGCTGCAGTGAGCCAAGATCGTACCACTGCAGTCTAGCCTGGGTGACAGAGCAAGATTCTGTCTCAAAAAAATAAAAAATAATAATAATCTGTGTTTCACTTTCTGTGTCAGAAACCCTCTGACTTTTTCTAAGAAAAATGTTTTCTGTTATTTATGTCTAAGGTAGTAACAGCAATAGTAATAGTGATAGTATAATCACTGAAATCTATTTTCTTTCTAGAGGATCAAATTTAAAATATCATAAAAGTATTTTCCTTTTCTTTGTATTTAAAAGTATGTATATCATTCAAGGATATCTGATTGAACTTTCACTAAAATGTATCAGGAAAGTCCTGTTACCGTGTGTGAGCTGGGATACAGAGGTCATGAGGTGAGATCTCCTTGTTTCATGCTTCTTTCTTTCTGCAATGCCAGGACTATGTGGGAGGACAGTGTTTACATTTGTGGCCGGATATATATTTGTGTGGAAAGCAAGAAATGCTTGAAGCATTATTTCAAGTTCATAAGAAGTGTGTGCTGTTATTCCTTGCAACTACTATCAACATGTATGGCTTCCACAACAAAATTTTTCCCCTTTTTTCTTTATCATCACTGGATGGAAATATACAGCTTACTGCTAAGATCATATTTCCAGGTTAGTGAGGTAAGAGTTCCTAAATCTTTATTTATTTCAGATCTCAATTATGAGGCTATATTGCAAGTTTGATAGTGTCTAATCCATCATAAGTACTCAATAAGTATTTGTTAAAGAACAAATGGTTTCATTAACTACAGAATGCATTGCAGTGTATTTTTCCACTATAAAATTTCTACCACCTTGAAGATATCAGAAAAGTTTCCTATATTCCTTGCCATTGCTTTTCTGCTCTCAGTTTAAGAGACAGCTTGCCTCTCATGATCAACTGCAGAAAACTTTGTGGTTTTTTGTTTGTTTTTGTTTTGTTTTGTTTTGAGACAGGGTCTTGTTCTGTTGCCCAGGCTGGAGTGTGCAGTGGCATGATCATAGTTCACTGCAGTTTTGAACTCCTGGACTTAAGCTCAGCTGGCACACATCACCATGCTCATTTAATTAAAAAAAATATATATATATATATTAGCAGAGACGAGGTCTTGCTATGTTGTCCAGGCTGGTGTCAAACTCCTGGCCTCAAGCAATCCTGCCACCTTGGCCTCCCAAAGCGTTGAGATTACAGGTGTAAGCCACCTCAACCAGTACCCTCCCTTCTTAAAAAATAGAGATAGGGTCTCATTCTGTTGCCTAGGCTGGAGTGCAGTGGCACGATCATAGCTCTCTGTAACCTAGAACTCCTGGCCTCTGCCTCAGCTTCCCCAAGTGCTGGGATTATAGGCATGAGTTGCCACACCTGGCAAGTGCAGGAGAACTTATAGAATCTTACAGAATTGGCCGGGTGAGTGGCTCACACCCGTAATCCCAGCACTTTGGGAGGCTGAGGTGGGAGGATCACTTGAGGCTAAGAGTTCGAGACTAGCCTAGTCAACATGGCAAAACCCTGACTTTTCTGATAATACAAAAAAAAAAATTGTCAGATGTGGTGGCATGCACCTGTACTCCCAGCTACTCAGAAGGCAGAGGCAGGAGAATCACTTGAACCAGGGAGGTGGAGGTTGCAGTAAGCCGAAATAGCGCCACTACACTCCTACACTCCAGCCTGGGTGACAGAGGGAGACTCTGTCTAAAATTTAAAAAAAAAAAAAGAATCTTATAGGATTTCTGGGTTAAACTTCTTTTTTAAAAATGCCAGAAGATATGCTAGCTGTTTTTTGAATGGAATGTTGTTGCACCTTGCACCTCATTTTTTTTTTTTTTTTTTTGAAATGGAGTCTCGCTCTGTTGCCCAGGCTGGAGTGCAGTGGCGCAATCTCCGCTCACTGCAAGCTCCGCCCCCCAGGTTCATGCCATTCTCCTGCCTCAGCCTCCCGAGTAGCTGGGACTACAGGCACCCGCCACCACACCCGGCTAATTTTTTTCTGTTTTTAGTAGAGACGGGTTTCACAGTGTTCACCGGGAAGGTCTCGATCTCCTGACCTCGTGATCCGCCCACCTCAGCCTCCCAAAGTGCTGGGATTACAGGCGTGAGCCACCATGCCTGGCCGCACCTCTATTTTTAAGCAGGACAAAATATCTTTGGAACAGCCAAATAAGTGAAGAGTGTTGAACTAATTGGAAGAAGATGAAACTTAATGGACTCCCCTCTGCTCACTTTTTTCTTATCCTTGGATTTGATTTTTGAATAATTTTATTTGGAGAATGATTTGGTGATACCCTGGAAGAGATTCGAGGGATTAACTGTAATGGCCAGTTGGTCGCAAGCCACGTAAGGAACCTCACATGATTCAGAGTGTGAACCATTCCTAAAACGGAAATTAGAACTGAAATTTTCACATGTAGACCTAGCGCTAATGGGAAATCAACATAGAAAAAGTTACGTTGCAACTGAAAACATTAGGCTTGGAAGCCAGACACATCACACTTTGATATCTTACAAGTTGAGTCACTTTAGCCAAACAAGTTTCCTCATCTTTACAACTAGGTGATAATGCCGTCCTCCCAGGGATGCTAATAGGCTGAAATAAGACAAACAGCTTGCAATAGACACATCCTGATATTCTTCTGTTATCATTGAGTGTGTTTGCAGGTTGAAGAACTCAGACAAGGAATGGATTTTTATATATTGGTCCCTCTCGCATTCAAATTTGTAGTTAGTAGATCAACAAAACATAGGCTTGATGAACCAACCCTTAAAACTATAGATACTGCCTTGTAATCTGTTCCTACACATTTATTTCTTATAACAGGGCTTAGGAAAATTTCTCTTTCAGTTTTAATGTTTCTCACTTGTTAAGTGAAGGTGTTCGCATAAGAGGAACTTCTAGGTTCCCACAACTCTCTAAGAGGAAGCTTATGCTGTTTTTGTTTCACTGTTGGTCCAACACAGGTCACAACTTTGGATTATTTTCCCTCCCAGTCCTGAACCCTCTTGGAAACACCCTTATTCTATGTCACCAGCCCCCATCCCTTATCTTGATAAAAAATTTGTTCAGATTGTATCTTTGGCCTGTCTATAATCTCAAAATAGGGGAGCCTCAAACACACATTCCTAGAATTTAGAGATAGCAATTTGTGAAATCATTAAAACTAGTCACAGTTTATGGCAAAAGTTTAAAAAACAAAACAAAACTTGTTGATTTCATTCACGTCTAAAAAATATTGTATTCATTTTTGTTTTAACCTCAGTGTTAGAAGTGAAATATGCAGACTGTGAAGCTGGTAAATGTTGGGGCATATATTTAAGGCAAAATACACTGTAGTCTCCTCAAAGCGCAGGAAAGAACAAAACTCTTATGCCCTGGATGTATGCACTGCACTGTTTGTAAAGGAAAACAGCTTCTCTCTGGGCCCAAGAGAAGCAAGAAGTGGAGGGACTGGAATCCCCCACAATGCAGTGATTTCCTCTTTTTCTATTCTTAGGCCACAGCAGTCTCTAAGGATATGCTAACATGTTCTTTCCTCACCAAACTCCCTGAGGAAAGGGTCCAGAGGAATGGCTCATATCAAGGGTCCTAGAACTTGGAATGAGGAAACCTAGAACTTGGAGCCAGACCTAGCAACTAGAGGGTAAATCCAGTTTCCCCAGTAACACCCCATCCCTCCCTGGGTGCAGTCCCTCAGCGATTAATCTAAGCTTCTGATACAGGTTATAGGGGCAAAGAGATAAAGGGCTAGAATTTCCAAGACTGGGTGGAGTTGAGGCTCAGAATTCTCAGCCTATTCCCCCCAGGGCGTACCATGCAGTTAGCCTGCCAGTGTGGGGGTGGTGGGCCGCAGGGAAAGTAGTGAGGGTGAGCTATGCCACTCACAGAAAGTCAAGTTGGTAACCAGTATGGGGTTACCTATGATATCGAGAAAGGGGCCCCCACTCCCACATCTTTTGCACCAGAGTCCCCCTCCCTGGTTAGCCTAGAAATGACCTGGACTCCAGCCTTCGGCTCTCTCATCTGCCTGGCACAGCCCTGCTACAGCAGCATCCTGAGGTGGAGGGCTCATCTCAGTAGCTCCCCCTTCAATAGCTAACTGCTTTTTGCTGAACAGTAATGCACTATCTCAGTTTGTTTTCTGTTCGTATTACAGAATACCTGAGGCTGGGTAATTTACAAATAAAAGAAATTTGTTCCTTACAATTCTAGAAGCTGAGCAGTCCAAGGTTGAGAGGCTGCATGTGGTCAGCTTCTGGCAAGGGCCTCATGCGGGGTCATAGCACGGCAGAGGCGCCACAGGGCAAGAGGGTAGGAGCCCGAGTGTCAGCCTGGGTCTCTCTTCCTCTTCTTAGAAAGCCTCCAGTCCCATCATGGGGGCCCCACCCTGAGGACTTTATCTAATCCCAACTACCTCCCAAAGGCCCCACCTCCAAATACCATCAACATATGAATTCTGGGATTCCGTTTCCGACATATAAAATTTGGGGGACACATTAAAACCATAGCCAATACTAATTTCTCAGAGCCCTCCAAAATATATTCCTAATTGACCTCTCCTTCTGTTTTCTTTTCCTTCCCAAACTATATCCTCTATTTCAAGAAACATCTTTATATAATTCCCAGAAATTACTCCGTGTTTTCCCACTTTCAGGCCCTTGCACTTACACCCTCTGCCTGTTTGCCCCCTGAATACTTGCTGGCAGAGCTTGTGGCCACAGTGTTTGGCCTTAGATAACTTTGCCACAAAATATCTCACTTTCATTGTTATTATTTTTGCATCGCTCTTGTATAGTGACCTTGGAAACAAAAGACATCATTCTATTTATAGCATTCTGGTTTTAGTAATCATATTTTCATTTTAAAAATATAGTAATTTTTGGCCAGGCACAGTGGCTCATGCCTGTAATCCCAGTACTTTGGGAGGCCGAGGCGGGCGGATCACCTGAGGTCGGGAGTTCAAGACCAGCCTGACCAACATGGAGAAACCCCGTCTCTACTAAAAATACAAAATAAGCCTGGCGTGGTGGCTCATGCCTGTAATCCCAGCTACTCGGGAGGCTGAGGCAGGAGAATCACTTGAATCCGGGAGGCGGAGGTTGTGGTAAGCTCAGATTGCACCATTGCACTCCAGCCTGGGCAACAGGAGCAAAACTCCCTATCCAAAAATATATATATATGTATATATATTTATTTTATATGTATATATATTTATTTTATATATACACACATACATATATATGTATATATGTGTATATATATGTGTATATATCTATATGTATTCAGGAGGCAAACAGGCAGAGGGTGTAAGTGCAAGGGCCTGAAAGTGGGAAAACACGGAGTAATTTCTGTGAATTATGTAAAGATGTTTCTTGAAATAGAAGATATAGTTAGGGAAGGAAAAGAAAACAGAAGGAACGGTCAATTCGGAATATACTGACTTTTGGGAGCCCGCCTCGGCCTCCCAAAGTACTGGGATTACGGGCATGAGCCACCACGCCGGGCCAAAAATTACTATATTTTTTAAATGAAAGTATGATTACTAAAACCAGAATGCTATAAATAGAATGATGTCTTTTGTTTCCAAGGTCACTATATAAGAGCAATGCAAAAATAATAACAATGAAAGTGAGATATTTTGTGGCAAAGTTATCTAATACATATATGTGTTTATATAACATATACATATATGTGTATATATAACATATACATATATGTGTTTATATAACATATACATATATGTGTATATATAATATACATATATGTGTATATATAATATATACATATGTGTATATATAATATAGACACATATGTGTATATATAATATAGACACATATGTGTATATATAATATAGACACATATGTGTATATATAATATAGACACATATGTGTATATGTAATATAGACATATATGTATATATTACATATTCACATATGTGTATATATTACATATACACATATGTATGTATAACATATACACATATATGTGTATATATTACATATACATCTGTGTATATATTACATATACATCTGTGTATATATAATATACACATCTGTGTATATATAATATACACATGTGTGTATATATGTGTATATAGAATATATACACATGTGTATATATTATATATGCATTATATATATTATATAATATATTATATATATTATATATACACACATGTATATATAATATATACACACATGTGTATATAATGTATACACACATGTGTATATATAATGTATACACACATGTGTATATATAATGTATACACACATGTGTATATATAATGTATACACACATGTGTATATATAATGTATACACACATGTGTATATATAATGTATACACACATGTGTATATATAATGTATACACATATGTGTATATATGTGTATATATAATGTATACATATTTATGTGTATATATGTGTATATATAATATATACATATTTATGTGTATATGTGTATATATAATATATACATATTTATGTGTATATATAATATATACATATTTATGTGTATATATATTATATACATATTTATGTGTATATATATTATATACATATTTATGTGTATATATATGATATACATATTTATGTGTATATATTGTATATATAATATATACATATTTATGTGTATATATTGTATATATAATATATACATATTTATGTGTATATATTGTATATATAATATATACATATTTGTGTGTATATTGTATATATAATATATACATATTTATGTGTATATATTGTATATATAATATATACATATTTGTGTGTATATTGTATATATAATATATACATATTTGTGTATATATTGTATATATAATATATACATATTTGTGTGTATATTGTATATATAATATATACATATTTGTGTGTATATTGTATATATAATATATACATATTTGTGTGTATATTGTATATATAATATATACATATTTGTGTGTATATTGTATATATAATATATACATATTTGTGTATATATTGTATATATAATATATACATATTTGTGTATATATTGTATATATAATATATACATATTTGTGTATATATTGTATATATAATATATACATATTTGTGTATATATTGTGTATATAATATATACATATTTGTGTATATATTGTATATATAATATATACATATTTGTGTATATATTGTATATATAATATATACATATTTGTGTATATATGTTTATATGTAATATATAAATACGCATATATAATATATGTGTATATATGTATATTTATGTGTGTGTATATATATAGAGAGAGAGAAAGAGAAAGTAATTCTTGATTGCTGAAAATGTCAAATCCTAGAAAATGTGACATTCCTACACGTGGTAACATTGTTCTCAAACAGTTGTTAGCTGAAGATTAATTTGATGAATCTGACTTTTTTCTGAAATAGACTATTTCAATGAATCAGACAATTCTGATGTTAGTTCTGTTTAGAAATAACTCCAAGAACAGTTTTTATATTTTATTTTCACATTGAAAATCAGTCAGATTTTCTTCAGCCTCAAGGAGTGTGTTTATGTAAAATTAAATGAGTGCTGGCAGAAAGCTGCACTTTTTTTTTTCTAAGTGGAGAAAGGGTTAAGGCTCTTTCCCTGTAAAATGTCTTCCCCTGACACGTTAACTTATTAAAAAATATGTTCTTCCTTCATAAAAATCTTTCCTGAACCTTCTAACTTGGTGGGATTTTTTTCTTTCTTTTATTTATCTGTTCTTTTATAATTTATGCCATACAGTTAGAAGTCACACTTGATGGCAGGTTTATCTTAGTCATCTTTGTACACCCAGCACACATGTCACAGGTTCTTAATAAACAGCTCCTGCAAAGGACTGAGTTGAATTTACTTTGCTTACCACTACTACAGATACGACCTATCAAGCATGGTGCCTGCTCTGGGAAGTCTTAGACACATGTTGAACGAGAGAAGACATTCAGAATTAATTAGATAGCCAATAAGAGCCTGTGAAAAGGTCCAAATTAGTGCTACAGACAGTGAGGACTAAATGAGTCCTTGGAGGACTGCATTTCATCTGATAGACTTGAATTTGGTCTTGGTGAATGGATTCCTTCCTTCCTTCCTTCCTTCCTTCCTTCCTTCCTTCCTTCCTTCCTTCCTTCCTTTTTAGCTAAACGCCCCAAGTTCCTTTAACCATCCCTCATATGACATCATTTCTAGATCCTTCCTCATTCTGATGGCCTCTGAGGACTTGCTCTACCTAGATGAGGTACCCTTTTTAAGTGCATCTCCAGAGTTGAGCACACTGCTCCAGATATATTTCCAGGCCAGAGGGCAATGGGACACAACCCTACCTCCCTTGTCCTGAATTTCTGCTTCTGTGAAGGCAGTCTGAGACCACACTGACTGCTGGCTTTTACAGACAGATGAACATGTGAACATTCCTGCCACTTTGCATACTGTGAGCACTTTGAAACTGTGGTTCTCCGCAGGCTTTTATGAGCACTAATTAATTAAGCATCACTACACCTTGGTGAGGATTGGGGAATCACTTCTTTTAGCATGGAATCACAGGCTGTTCCTGCATGGAATCCTAATATCATGCCCAGCTTTGAGACAGAGGGCTAAGACTATTGTATTCAATTGAAACTGCAGGGGGTATTTTAGGGAGGCAGAATGTAATTACTTTAGTTGGACTCCGGCCAGGATTCTGGAGTTAACACAACTGCTCTTAGAAAGTCTGCCATAAGATCTCTGGTGACCACAAATGGTTAGGTCTGTGGTTTTAAGTTTCATACAAAAGGTAAACAGCTCAGTGCAGACAGTGCCCCCTAACACCACGCGGGGCATCGATTCACATGGACCCGGAGAGGAGAGGCCACCTACTGAATGCGAAACACCATCTCCTGAAGTACCTACTTGTTCCTGGGAGGTCTCTCATCCTTGCACCAAAGCAGGCCAGCACTTACTTAGCTAGAAAGAACTGACAGGCTCACAGCACAGAGTGGTATGGCTGCCAGACTAAATTATGTGCTTGTCATTTTTCTCTGTGTTGTCCAAGATTCCAGCAACAAAACAGTAGGGAACTCCCCATACACATTTTTGCTCAAAACACATTGGTTTCTCCTCTCTGTAAAGTTCCTGGATCCCACAGTCCAAGTTAAACACAACTGGAATTTCCCTATAAGTCAAAAACAATATTAATTCTGAGCCCGCATATTTTTCTTTCTGTAGGGTATGTACACATTTAAACCCAGCACATGTTGCAGACAATCTGCAAATGGTAAAAAGCTCTGGAGGAACAAATAAAAAAGGAGAAATGCAAGAAAACATATTTTTAACAAGAGAGCAGAGGAGATTTGGTGGGATGTCTGACCCAGGAATGAGAATTTTCCTCTGTGGTCTGTTGAAGGAAGAGCAAAGGCTGGCATTATGCCACAGATTGATGGTTGGAGGTTTCTCTACTACACAAATCTTCAATGATGGTTCTTTCTCGGTGAGAAGCGAGGAGATTCTGGTAGACTATTAGCATGGCACATAGTTGAACTAATGAGTCCCTGACTCTGGCTATAAAGGAGATACTGACATCCCTGTTTATCTGAAGTCTCAAGACCACCATAGTCATCTTTTTCAAATTAAAATGGCAATACAAAGTTTTGTAAATGTTAGCTCTTCTAATTGACAGTGGCTTGTATAATTAAAATAAAGTCACTACTATTTTCTCTTGTTTTCTTTTTTATCACTGAAAGTTCATTTTTCAATAACTCAGACAAGGTCTTCATTTTTATGAAGACCCATGCTGACCCCTAAATATCTGATTTTTTTTTCAGTTAATGTTTGTGCCCATCTGGTTTGAATTTAGCATTCTTATGAGTCATTTCACTGTGATAGGAACACTCTGCTGTAGAAAACTTCTGTTAATATTTTAACATTTTAAATCAAACACCGCATAGAGCATTACCTAAGTCTCCTTGCAATTATGGAAAATCGTACCCTCTATTTGTTCGTGGTTCCTGCCTTTGCATTTATTTTCTTTAAATTGAACATAGTACATGGTAAATAAGTGCATATCCCATATGTGTGTTCAAATGCTTTACCATCTTGGGTCAACGTAGACTTTTGCAGCTTCCGAGCCTTCTGGAGGCAGCCTTTGCCTGAGGAAGGCTGAATAATTCTATAGGAAGTCAGATGGTCTTCACTTCTCATGGCTGACAACCTACTTAAAAGGGCTCGATTTATTTTTCGATCAACATTGACTTTATAACGTACATTTTATTACCCAAATTTCCTGATTTTGAAGCTTGAACTCATTTTCCTTTTACTGCTGGGCAACATTTCTCAAGGTAGTCTTTAAGGCGACACGAAGGAGGAAAAAAAATGCCAGAAATCTCTTTAAGAAAATACAGCAGTGTCTCCTCCACCTTCTTAAGCGAATGGATGGTTCCCAGGGAGGCTAGATTTGGTTGTGTACTTAGTCTGTAAATTGAATCTGCACATGGGATGGACATAATTTTACTTAAAAAAATAAAAAGAGGATTTTGAATTATTATTTGTCTATATTAAAAGTGAAGTAAGCATGCCTTAACTAGCCAAGCCATTTTGTCCTTTATTTGCTATATGTAAAATATTTCATCCTAACTTTGGAAGAAAAAAAATCTCCGTGGTTTAAATCAAGTGCTTCAGTAAGGAGCAGGTCATTTTTGAGGTATGTATGAGTTCTACACTTCACCAAAGATATAAATGAGCTCCTGCTCTGAATGAATAATAGGATTTCACTCCCCTGTTCCCCCATTAAAGTTTCTTGAGTTTATTTCCTAATCTGCAGGACTAAAGCTTAACAAAACAAAGTGCCTTACCTGGGCTCTGAGCACCAATTCCTTAAGACAACTTTATTCTAGTTCTCATTACATTTTAGTTCTCTGATGGCACTTGGAGAGGTTTAAATCAAAATAGGAAAAATAGTAACCGTTGACTCACAGAGGTGTAGCTCAGTTTTTCAGTCTTTGTTCAGGCAAAACATGTGTTAGAGGCTATGAAAGCTTTGCAAAATCCAAATCTGGGGATTTTAGCAGCCACATGCCATAACTGCAGATCCCAGGCTCTGGGCATGACAAATACGTTTGTACTTCCCATTAGCCATATTGTTGCAACCGAATAAAAAATGTAGTCTTTTTCACACAATTTAATTAGAAGTACCAGATGTGGTGTTGTATGACTGATGTCAAAATATGACACTTTTATGTAAACACTTTAACTTAATCAATCAAGTAAATAGCTTTCATTATTTTAAAGCATTTCAAATCTGCTTGGTACAAATGCATTATTTTTGTGTTATGCTAAATAGATCATGGCCAGCTGCAGCATTATTAAGAGATTAAGGGAATAAAGTTAGATTTTGCTATATTATTTTTCAAGGGCTGGCCTTTACAATTTCCTTCTCTGGGAAAGACGAAAAGAAGACAGGGTTAGAAAATCCTTTAATTTTGTGGTGCCAAAAAAAGTTCTTGAAAAAAAAGCTCTTTCTCCACCCCCATCAAATGTTATTAAATATATCTTTGCATTCTCCAACACTTTTGGGGGAAATTTGTTTTTTCTCTTGTTCTCTATATAGTAAACAGTTCATTGCTGAAGTAGCACACCCTCAGCAACATATTAAGTGTCCTAGAAGTTTGATACTCCCGGAAGTACAGCCTGGGAACAGAGCATTCAAAAACTAAGTCATTAGTTTCCAAGCACCTTTCCTTATCCTACCTAGTCTGAATTCTTTGTCAGTTCAAATTGCCCTATATCACTAGGGTCAATTTAACTTTATCAGCAAAAATTGTGCCACTGCCCAGAGATGTCCCTCTGTGAAGAGCAAAAGCTTGGGGGAAACAACAGGAAACTAAGTTGATGCAAGAAGCTCAAGATTACAAGCGTGAAATGAACTATAGTTATATGTTCCAAAAGTTATGTGAATCTTTGTGTGGTATTCACAATGAGGGGGGCTGAAATGGCACTCTGTGGAAAATACTTCAATTTAAGAAGATGCAAAAAGGAAATCGACTTTAGGCTTCTTCAGGGCAACAGTGGCTCAGAAGGATGTTTGAATGTGTGTTTCCAATAAACCTGTTTCTCACCCAGCCCTGCTTCCCCTAGTCCTCTTTTTCTCCCTTGCACTGGGATTTTGTGACAAAAAGAATTATTTTGGAGAGAGAGTGGTTGGGAGAAGCACAGTGGAAATGTAGAAGCTGACGTACGTAAGGCCAGTGTTCTAGAATATTCTACAACCTCCATCCTTGATATACTTTTGGAACAGTTATTCCACATTGTACCATTCACACTACGGTTTACAAAAAAACAAAAAAAAAAAACAAAAAAAACCATGTTTCCTGCAATTGGGCAAGGTAGTGGTTGTGCTTGTGGAAACTGAGTGAGGACAAAATGAAAATGAGAACATTAGCCTTGAGGCCCTGATTTTCCTTTAAGAACTATTGGCAGAGAGGAAATCTTCTGAAGAAAAGAGAATTCAATCTATAGCTTATATGGTTTTTTTTCTTATTTATTATGCTGAAGTCAAAACTTTTTTGTTTGGTTAAAACAATGGGATTGCTTTAAAACTCAAAACAGAACTCAGAATAAGCTGAATCAGTACATAATTTCTTCAGAATTCAGTTTTAAAAGCCAGTCATAAACTGTGAGTGATTTTGTGTGAGAGATGGGCAAAGTTAAATCCCTGCCTGGCGTCTTGAAAAAGGTTTGAGATTATTGAAAAGCCCATGTGCGCTGGGAGGCTCTTAGTTCATTTCCATGCCAAATTGGGACTGTTTTAGTCAGAGTAGCCTCCAGGGGTTCCAAATTAGGAAAATGCTGAGTGACCCGTGATTCAGCTTCATAATCATTTCTAAGTAAAAATTTAGTAATTTTAGCTCTTTGCTGCATTACCCAGAACCTGAAGCATCAGAAGGCTTTGATCAATCGCTTCCTAAGGTCCCAGTATGAAGGAGGCCTCCCAACTCCCTCTTCGGCACCTCCCTCTACCCGCTCCTTCCCTCCCTCCTTCCTATGTTTCCTGTGTTCCCTTTATCAAGGGCTACTTAATTTACTAATCCTACTTAGGTTGCAGGCATTACCTGAAGAAAACAATGAGTGAGGAAACCAAATGAACTTGCAAAGAAGAGGTGTAGGCTTTGTCCTCCAAATGGATTGATTTTCTGGACCACACACCTTGAATGCGATCAGTTGGGGGGCCTGCTTTTTAGGCCACTTAAGCTGGGGAACCGGGTTTTTCACGTGTTTTGAAAAGCTACAGGAGTCAGGTTGGCATTCAGATGATTTTGCTGTGTGAATCACGAAGTGCAAGAAGTCCTGGAGGGATTTATGATCCCCTTTCTCCGCATTTCCCTCCTATATATATATATATATTTTTTTAAGGCATCTCTGTTTACTTTGGCAAATGCATACGTCTAACTTTAAAGGTGGGTGGAGAAATTCAGGGAAGGAAGTGTGTGGGGTGGCGGGGCCAGGGAAGTGCAGTGGGCCAGCTGCCACCCTGCTTTGCTTTGCTGGAAGAGCAGAATCATCATCAAATGAATGTTTTGGAAATAATGTTTTTTAAACAGACAGAGACTGTAGAATTCTTTCTATTTCTCCCCCTTTCCCTCTGCCATCTTATGCTGGATTGGGGCAGGCAGATGCTGAGAGAGGACATAGGATCTTCATGGTGGATTCATGAATACTTCAGAGGTTGCTTCTAGAGCAAATAATTCCAAAAGATTTTCTATACCACTGCCAATGGTGATTGTTTAGGGTTTGAATACATTTTTGGGGTCTGTTTTGTAGCATCTTATTTTTTAGTGCTCAGCTTATATGGCAGTTTCCAGAAGATACTACTCTATTGCCAATCAATAAAGAGTTAATTTTTTTTTTTTTTTTTTTTTTTTTTTGAGACAGGGTCTTGCTCCATCGCCCAGGCTGGAATGTGACCTCTGGGGCTAAAGCAAACCTCCCACCTCCGCCTCCTGAGTAGCTAGAACCACAGGGGAGTGCCACCATGCCTGGTTAATTTTAAAATTTTTTTGTAGAGAAGAGGTCTTCCTATGTTACCTAGACTGGTTTTGAACTACTGGGTTCAAGTGATCCTCCCGCCTCAGCCTCCCCTGCTGGGATTACAGGCATGAGCCACTTGTTCATTATTTAATAATTAAAATGAACACTCATATTGCATCCAGCTCCTTCCTGTTTCAAAGTCTTTGCAAATGCTCTGTTTAGAATATTTTTACCTAACGCTACCTGATCCCCATGCCTCTCAACAAACATGCATTCATTTTCCATGGGTCTCAGCTTGAATGTCATGTCAATGAAGCCTTCCTTGACTCCTCCAGGCTGGGCTGACAACACTGTTACATCTTTCTGTGTGATGTACCTCTTTGTGATAACATGTATGTCAACTGTAATTTATTAACTCTTGGGCAATTAGTTATTTGTTTACCACTGGGCTTTCCTGCTAGATTGTAAGACTCTGAAAGCAGGACTGAATCTTGTTCACCACCATATCTTCAGGGCCTGACATTTGATAGATAGTCCATGAGTACTTGTAGAATAAATGAACAAACAAATGAGTGCCTGGCTTCCTACCAGATGACTGCTACTGTGAGAGAATTGCCACCATTTATGGGAGACCAATAAACTGCTAGCTCCAAACAAAACCACAGTCATAATGGTTACCCAGAACCGTGAAAAGCCAGTTTAAACATATTCATCGGAAATTCAACAGCAGAAGAAAAGATAAGGAAGAGGAGGAGGGTGTGTGATGGTCTCTATGTTTCTCTGCAGTATGCAATTAATGATTCTTTGCCATTCTGTTAAGGAATCTGAGTCATTTTCAAAGATCCTCACCCTTTTATGGTGTCCTTTCCCTTCAGATCTAGCAATATGTGAATACCTAGTGAATTTGTATGTTGAGAAACTAGATACTCTGAAATGCATTCACTCATTTATTCACTTACTCATTCAAGTGCATATTGAGTGTTGATTATGCAGTATCACAATTGCTAATGGGAGACATTGGGTAAAACACTTAACCTGCATGTGCCTCAGTTTCTTAAGTGTAAAATAGGGTTTATAGGATAAATGAGATAATACTTGCAGTAAAGCTTTTAGCACAGTGCCTGGCATACAGCAAGCTTTCACAGCTCGTGAATGACTGGCGCTGCAATGTTCAGGAGGATCTTTCCCTTTCTATAGTCAGCCAAGTTGATAAAATGACCATCAAGAAGAGTTTCCCACTGCACTCGTTCTGTGCTATGGCTCCCAGCTTTTCACGTGTTTTGGCAGAGCTACAGCATGTTCACATCACACCACTCCCAGCAGCATTTGTTTTTCTGCCTCTGTGGTCAAGTGCCACATGGAGTCCTCTCATTTATACCTTGGGGAGTTGGAGTGGCAGGACAGATGGTGTGTTGGCCATTTGCTGTCGTGCTCGGATTATATTGAGTTTAGGTGCTGCTGGATACATGGTTGAAGGTTTAGAGAAAATTGTTCACAATCTGTGAAGCATGTGAATTATATTCCTGTGACATTTAAAAAATTCTTGGCAGAGGAAAAAGTGTTGAGTGAAAGGTAATAATCCGCTGTTACCTTCCCCTTCATTTGACTGCTATAATAGCTGTTGGAAAGGCCTTTGAAAAATCTGCTGAATTAGACTCTTGCCATTGTGCCTCCCATTCATTAGATAGCCTCCTTATTCTTCTGTGCCATTTCCCACTGGCGGTCTGTGATTAAAAAATATTTTGAACACGGGCAAGCAATTGATGTTCAGTCCCCCAGTGATTCACTTCTTAACACAATAGGTTCTGCGTGAAATTGAGAACAAGTTTTGGTCATTACTTTTATGGGGGAACATGTTTCACAAGTGTCTGCTATTTCTTTAAAATTCTATCTCAGCCTTGTGGGAGATTATTTTTTGTTTATGGGAAAGTTTGGATGATGATATAGAAGTCTCTATTCAAATTTTTTGGAGACTTTCACCCAGATGGAAGAGGAAGAAAAAAAAAAAACCAACAAACCCTCTGAGACTTCATAACTTAGAACCATGCATATCATTTGTAATTTTTTCTAAGATGACTTTCATATCATTTGTAATTTTTTCTAAGACAATTTTCGGCAGTGCTCTTACTTCCTTCTTGATTTTTCTCTCACTTGTATCTTCACACTGACTGCGTTTATAAATACAGTTAATACTTACATTACACTTTTTTATGCATCAGGCATTGCCTGAAGAATTTTACATGAATTAACTTCACTGACACCTTACAACAACCTTATGATATAGTGATATTTTTAATATTATCCTCATCCATAGGCAAGGCAACAGAGGCAGAAATAACTAAAATAGGCCACTTAAGATCACAAGCTAGTAAGTAGGGGACCTGGGTATTTGAACACAAGCAGTCTGGCTGCAGAATAGTGCCAGCCCTTAACCATATGCTTCATTACCATTCACATCCCAGTATATGCAAAGCAAACCACAGACAGCCTAGCTCAGGCCCAAGGACTTCACCAGTAATTACAGAACCTTGCAGAGAAACCAGTGGCCTCTGGGTCTCAGTGCTGAACACTTTGCTCGTGTGCCCTTCAGTAGGCCATTCACTGAGCTGAACTTTGCTGCTTAAAGTAATACATCTTGGCTGGGCGCAGTGGCTCACGCCTGTAATCCCAGCACTTTGGGAGGCCGAGGCGGGCGGATCACAAGGTCAGGAGATCGAGACCATCCTGGCTAACATGGTGTGGTGAAAACCCGTCTCTACTAAAGATACAAAAAAAATTAGCCAGGTGTGGTGGCGGGTGCCTGTAGTCCCAGCTACTTGGGAGGCTGAGGCAGGAGAATGGCATGAACCTGGGAGGCGGAAGTTGCAGTGAGCCAAGATCACGCCACTGCACTCCAGCCTGGGTGACACGGCGGGACTCTGTCTCAAAAAAAAAAAATAAAAATAAAAAAATAAAGTAATACATCTTTAAAGATCAACCCAGTCTTTGTGGAAAAAGCTGTTAATGGAATAAAGTATTAAGAGAACTTTCTTCTCAGTGATGCACCCATTGAAGAAGGCAATTATCCAGAGTTGTATTTAAAATGTATAATTTCTTTTAGGCTTATAAATGCAGATCCTGTAAGTTAAAACAGATTGATGTGTGCATCTTTCTCTTTTTTCTGAGTAGTATTATTTTAAAGTACTATATGTCTTAAATTGTGTTTTTCAATGTTAAAGATTGTCATTAAGTGGAAACATAGAAATTCTATGTGACAGGCACGGTGGCTCATGCATGTAATCCCAACACTTCGGGAGGCCGAGGCAGGTGGATCATGAGGTCAGGAGTTTGAGACCAGCCTGGTCAACATGGTGAAACCCTGTCTCTACTAAAAATACAAAGATTAACTGTGCGTCGTGGTGGGCACCTGTAATCCCAGCTACTCGGGAGGCTGAGGCAGGAGAATTGTTTGCACCTGGGAGGCAGAGGTTGCAGTGAGCCAAGATTGTAGCATTGTACTCCAGTCTGGGCAACAGAGTGAGACTCCGTCTCAAAAAAAAAAAAAAAAAAAAAAAAAAAAAAAAAAAAAAAAAAAAAAAAAAAAAAAAAAAAAAAAAAAAAAAAAAAAAAAAAAAAAAAAAATTCTAGAATGAGTCCACTCAGGCCATTAGAAATGGAACTGGCCAGTTCTATCATTTGCCTTTTCATGTTTGTTTGCCTTTTCATGTTTGTTTGTTTGTTTGTTTTAACGAATTCAATTTCCTAAACTCTTATTTGGTCCAGTAGGATGATACGTTAGACAAAGACTGAGTTTACTGACTTCAACATCTGTTTTAAGAAATGTGCCACTCACCTTTAGTTGGAAGCTGCTAAGTTTTACCCCTAGAATGAGGTACACTTTGAGCAGTTAAGGTGAAGATTTTACCAGGCCCTCTTAAATGTTCATACCTTTTATACCTTCCTGAACAGAGCTCTGGGGATAGAGCAATGTGGTCTTGGCTATTAAAGATAGTGGGCCAGGAACACTTGGTCACAATAAATATAGGATCCTTCTTTCAGCTTTCTCTGTGGTCTTAAAATGAATCTACAAATTTAAAAATGTGTCATTTCCAGGATTATGATAATCCTAGGTAATGAGACACTTTCACAAACCCTACATTGTCAATCTGATGCTTGCTCATTTAAAAGGCCATATCCAAATGAGATTGAATTGTGTTAACTGTACAGTTTCCTGAATTCAATTCATGCCAACACCAAAAAGACTTAAATCAACAATATTTACAAGGTATCTAATTATAAAATCATAAAAGCAAATGAATTTATTGAATGTTATTTTAAGAAATTGTCCACCACTCTGAAATCCTGCAAAATCTTGGAGAGTAGAAATAAATTAGGGCAAAGTCCAAATATCTGTGGGCTTCAGCGAGTCTAAAATCTTCTTTCCAAATAATAACATTTATTGGTATGTTTCTAATTTATAAAAGTTATTCATGCTTATTTTAGAAAACTTGGAGGGAAAAGGAAGAAAACAAAACCATTTTCGATCTCTCTCATGCTTGAAATCTTGTCATCCAAGAAAAAAGCAACTGTGTGTATTCTGTTGAGGGTCCTTTTTCAAAGTGACTACATTATTGAATTTAACACGCGTTTGAATTTAAAATACAAACAAGAATATCTGATAACAGCAGCAATTACAATGACTCTATACTATAATTTCTAATGCTAGGACACTCCAATTTAAGATACACCTTTCCTTATTTACTTTTTAAAAGTTACTTTTTCCAATTGTGAAAGTTACATTTTAACTATGGAAAATTCGAAGAGCATGGGAAAAAAAGTCACACAGTCATCCTTACTTCTTCTCAGGACAAGCAGTAATATTGATCTATTTTTATCTAGCGCTAAAGCTTTTCTTTCTTTCTTCAGCAGGTGCTTTCTCAGAAATAGGTTGCTCAGGTCCTCTTAGAAAGGCAGGCAGATTTGGCAATGTCAGATCCTGGACCAGTATTTGGCAGACTAGCACTGTGTTAGCAAACAGTTTCGAACAACTGTGCTCTCTGGGTAGGACTGTGGGTGGAGTGTCTAGGAAGGGAACTGAAAATGATCTGTGATGAAAGCAAATTCAAATATGTTGGGAGCTGAGTGATCTGTCTATCCACAGCTCATATTTGCCACTGGTACTTCTTTGATTGAGATAAGTGTCATCTTGTCCTCATTCCAGCTTGTGCTTCACCACAATGTAGTTTTCATTTCCCAATCAGCTTGTGAAAATAACCAACCCAGCCTAATTGAATCAGGCACATAGTAGGTCCTATATAAATGCGTATTGAGCTCAACTGAAGAAAACTAAACTTAGAATCTGGATGGCAGTCTTATTTAAGAATATCAAATTGTTTTGTAGAAAGACCTATAACTGGGGCCAGGTGCCATGGCTCATGCCTGTAATCCCAGCATTTTGGGAGGCTGAGGCGGGTGGATCACAAGATCAGGAGTTCAAGACCAGCCTGGCCAATATGGTGAAACCCCATCTCTAATAAAAATATGAAAAAGTAGCCCGGTGTGGTGGCATGCGACTGTAACCCCAGCTTTTCAGGAGGTTGAGGCAGGAGAATTGCTTGAACCCGGAGGCGGAGATTGCAGTGAGCCGAGATCGCACCACTGCACTCCAGCCTGGCGAAAGAGTGACACTCTGTCTCAAAAAAAAAAAAAAAAAAAAAAAGAAAAAGAAAAAAAGAAAGACCTATAATTGGACTTAGTGAACGGATAGATCTTTTAAACAAATGTGGACATAATTTGATATGCACTGAGTGAGGTGCTGATGACGACAATGGAAAAGGAGAAAATGGAGGAAAATGTGAAGGCCAGAAAGAATTATTCATTCAGCAAAGCGTTATGCTTATTTCAGTATATACACATCTGCACCTGTATACCTGTAAATAAAATATTTTACAAAAATGTCTTGGCTGTGGTGCTGATAAGCTTATTTTTAGAGAAAAAGTAAGAACTGAAAATGCCAAAATATAGAGAACGTCAGATGCCAAGAAATATGCTCAAGGAATAGAAAACCATAATGAGAAAAATGTTACATTTATACATCAGCAGAAATCTTATTTTTGCTTTCATGAATTTTAAAGTTGCACTGATTTGACTCAACTCATTTCATTAACATCTAATTTCTGCTTAGGACTATTAATGACATGCAAATGACTTATCTGAAATGAAGGCCAGCCACTCATATGTTTGGAGAATTTTTTTTCATTCATTGGGAAATTCCTTTAATGTTTGGAAAGTATTAGCTGTGGATACTGTCTACTTAGCACAGAAAATCAAATCCGTGAAAATTCTTCTGGTTCAGCAGGTGCTCTTTATCATCTCTGAGGTCCCAAGACTCAGAGGGTCTACATTTCTGAATGGGTGACCTAGGGACTACCTATGTCAGAATCACCTGGGTACTGACTTCATGCACATTCTGCTTGATAGCATGGAGATTCCTGGGCCTCACCACAAGTCAACTAGAGGAGAATATTTAGGTATGAGGCACCAGAAATCTGGGTGATGTTTATGCACACCAAAATTGGAAAGCTGGTGTATAATAAATGCTAGGAGATATTTGTTTAAAGTTCCTAAGTTATGTAAATCCAGAAGAGAGAAGAAATGGAGTACACTGGTTCTTTCACCAAAGGGAGTCACTTACCCTTTAGTCTTAAAATTAGTTTGAACACACTGAGAGAGAGATTAAAAAAAACCTACAAGCAGAGGGTGAACTGATACTCAACAGAGGAGAAAACCAGGAGGTTTACTTCTCCAATGAGTGATTCTGCTTTTTGATCATTGCAATAATAATGATCAATGCCATTTTTTGATTCCTACTTTATGTTCAGCCCTTTCCATATACAACTGTAGGGGATCTCACCTGATCTTCTCAATAACTCAGTGAGGCTGATCCATCTAAATAAAGATGATGAGGCCACTGAGGTTCAGAGAGATTAAATAATTTGGACCAGGTCTCCCTGCTAGTAAATTGTAGAGATAGAATCTCTTTGATTCTAGAACCTGGGATCTTAGCCCCCAAAGCACAGTGCATTCACGACTTTTATAAACCATAGCTTTGGGTGCACCTCCTCGGGAAAGAGCTTTAATTGAAATGTTTTGTTCCCCTCTTCTCCGCCTTTCTTGAATAATCTACCTTGAGCAGTTGGTGTCACACACAACATTTTGGGACCTGGTAGCCCTGTCAAAACCACAAGCAGAGAGAACTCAACACTGGCTGTTGCCATCTCCCATTGCTTTCCAGATTTGGGGCTTTACTATTCTTTCTAATCATGATGTAGGACAAGATGTAAATGCTGACTGTGAGTAGCGAGACAGTGCTAAGTCAAAAAAAAATTGTAAGAATGCTGGTAATAGTCTGTATCATGGTCTAGGTGCTGCTTACATGGATAGATTCAGTTTGTGAAAATTCAATAAGGTGTCTACTCATGAAATATGCACTATTCTGTTTGTGTATTACACATAGATAAAAATTTTAAAAATAAACAAAATTTGTAGTCTTATTTTGAATTATGTAATTGGCTGCTGAAACTCACCACCTCTGGCCGTCTTCCACTGGTCCCAACTCCCCTTTTGTTACCAGATCAACAAACAATTTTCTGGTGAGAAAATGGTAAGGTAATTGTTCCAACAACTGCAAATATAAGTATTTGTTAGACCAAAGACTCAGAGTGGAAGTTAACCCTGGTGAAGGAAATGGGCTGCTTACCTGTTAAATTCTTTTCATCTCTTGGTTTCAGTAATCTTAAAAGTTTTGCACTTTTTTCTATTATGTTGACACATTGGGTACTGAGTGTGCAGACCTGAGGCATCTTGAGTGTGCTTTAAAATTTTTTGCTTAAGTAACCCACAAGACTCCTACATTCTTTAGTTTTGCCTGTATTGAGAATCAGCAGTTACTTTTAAGTTTTAATAAGTTTCACATGTTTTGTAGTGAAACTGTGTTTGGTTAATTCCAATCTTTAATTAGTAGCCTCTGGATTGGTGTATACCAGACACAGGGATGTTATTAGTGCGAACTGAAAGCTATGTGTGTTCCTCCATAACAGATCAAAACAAACCTTGTGTGCTCTGACAGCATTAAACCCCACTGAGACCTGACCAGGATATGGTTTTCAGTTGTAAAAGAAAATTGTAATTCACAAGTCCTTGCCAGATGTTGTACCCCAATATCTCAGCTTCATTACATCTACCCCAAAGTAGGTGGTGATATGAGGGTTACCCAAAAGGGACCTGTTTGGTTTTTAAAAAATCATTTAAAAATTAGGTCATTGAAAATATTTAAAGTGGGAAAATTGGTGCATCTTGTTTTTTTAAACTTTGTAATTAAAAATCTTTTGGGATGGCAAATTTTGGGGAATGTAAATATTACTTTACAGTTTAGAAGATAGCTTTGAAATCCTCATATATAAGGTACATTTTCTTGACAATGTTGAATCAAGAAGAAAATTTGCATCTACAAAATATAAAAAGATATTAAGATAAAATAAGTGGAAATGAGCAAACTTGAATGAAAACACAGATTAGGGATCTGGTGTCTGTTTCAAGAAGCAAACGAAAGAATTCTAAGATTTTTCTTATCTCAAACTTGTGCCACATTGTGGATGCTACCAAGTGCAAAATTACAAAAACTTTGATTAGCTTGACCAAGACAAAAAGAGCTAATGCATTTTAAAAAACTAGTTTGATTGGCAGTGGCCTCTGAAGTGTGGAAAGGTATCAGATAAAGTTCAAATGCTAATGTAAATGGTATATTTACAAGTGGTTCATGTGGTTATGTCAGGATGGTGAGATTCCACCTATCTTGGAGTTTAACACATGACTGTGAACGCCTAGACTCCTAGGCAATTTAGATGGTCTTTCCTTGATCATTCTGTTATACGACTTCGGCAAAATATACATTTTGTACCTTACATTTCTCCTTTCTGAAACTATTAGATTTCTGAATGTTTTCTTTGGTTAGACAATTGGTCTTCTTCTAGCACTTATTTCAATATAACTTTAATATAATTTCACAGTAATATATAATGCAGATGGTAAAATATAGTAGTAGCTTTCATCTTATAGGCAAATCATATTTTATCTGGTTGCAACTATAAAAAGTTATTCCTGAAGGAATGCCATGGTAAGAGTTTCCCCCTCCTTCCCCCACAGTGGGATTTTACTGTAGTAAAGATCAATGTTAAATCTTGGTGATTTAAAATTTAAGTTATATATATTCCCTATAAAGAAGTAACTACAGAAAGCAACTCCATGGGTAATCTGGTTATGAACATAACTTGACACTAAATTCCCTCTTGACTAATTTGAAAGATACCACTATGTTCCTTTGTTTTTAGAAGCCCCCAATTGCCTGTCATTGACAAAAGAGCAATGTTTTAAAATGTGGTGGAAGGATGTTCTTTTTTAAAGACACTCCCCTCTCTCTTTTCACGCATTTTGAACTTATGAGGAAGCAAATAATCACATACTGAATTTAAGAAAGAGTGTTTTCTTGTATCAACACCAGGAGCAAAAGATTTTTTTTTTTAAACAGGCTTTTAGGATCCCCAGTGCTAATTCCTATGTGTGAACTAAGCAATAAAACCACACAGGCGAACTCGAACTAGGCTCTGAGGTTGGAGAATAAATTTAAACCTTCTTTGGAATTTTTCCTTTTGACTTGTTTTATTCTCCAGATACAACCACAGAAGTGGAATTCATTGTTCTTCATGCTGTGTATAAATTGTTGTTGGCACCGAATTTTTGAATTATATCCTCTAAACATCCTTCAGAGGGATAGAGTTTTTTACTCTTTCCTCTCCATTTTAAATTTAAAAATTTCAACTTCAAGAATTAACGGGATTGAAAGGTCTCTTCGTGGTTTATTATCTGTTCAGAGTTTTCATTAACAATTCATTTTGGAAAATTTACCCGCTTTCATATTAAAACAGGTAGATAATGAGTTCCTCGTTTTATCTTGCTATGTTTTCCTACAGTGAAAAAGATTTAAAATCATTATCTGTAATTCTAAACAATCTCCAGCCCTTGAAAGGCTATTAAATACAGAAACCAAGAAAAATATGTTTTTTATAATCAGTAATACCTTAATATTTTATGAGGACTCTAAATATGTGATTCTGTTGGTATTTATTGTTAGGCTAATGAATTGTTTTAATTGCTGCTGAATTTTTGTAAAATTAAAATTGAGAGGCATTTTAATTCAAATTATTATTTTTATTAACACAAAGAGAAGTACTAGTACCTCCTTACTTGTGGAGTGCATGTGCACGTGTTTTGAAAGACAAACCTCCCATCACTTCTCCTTCTACCTCTTTGTAGTACAGAGTGGTACAGTTGCAACAGCAGAGGAGTTGTTCCTGACTTCTGGTCTTCATCCTGCCTCATGCTAGCAGTATGACTTTAGGTAAGTCCCTTAATTTCCTTAAGTCTCAATTTACTCAGCTCTAGAATAGAAGAGTTAATAAACACCTGCCTCAAGGGTTGTTGTTAGTGGCTACACATCTTGTACACTGTAAATGATGTGTTACCATGTTACCAACCAGGGATAAGTATCTCAATAAGTAGCTCTTCTTTTGGCTAATATATTACCTAAGGCAATGGGGAGATAGTGGTTAAGTGATAAGCCTTTGGAACTAGACATTCCAGAGTTCAAAACCTGGTTCTGTGTATTAGCTCTAACAAACTTTGACAAGTTTCTTTATCTCTCTGACTTTCAGATTCCTCACCTGTAAAAAGGGGTTAATGAAAATACCTCAAAGAGTTACCAAGAGGATTAAGTGAGATAATATATACATTTGGCACTTAGTATGTGCCTGATATTTAGTAATTGCTCAATATATGGTATTATGATTTTGTATTTGCCAACAGTAATCAGTCTTAAGTTCCCCTTGAGTAATTATAATCATTATTTGTTTTAAAAATGATGTATCAAGAATTTATATCTGTGTTTATGCAGATGAAGCAACTCAGTAAATATTTGCTGAGTGAATACATGACTTTCTTCAATGTGGATTTTTTTAAAAAGGTACTTTGTTACCCAGCAAATGCTCCACATTTAAAAAAATATTTTCATAGAGGCTGGGCTGTTTCAGCCTTCCAGCACTTTGGGAGGCTGAGACAGGAGGATTGCTTGAGGCCAGGAGTTTGAGAACAGTCTGGGTAACATAGGGAGGCCCTGTCCCTACAAAAAAATTTTTGAAAAATTAACTGGGCATGGTGGTGCATGCCTGTAGTTCCAGCTACTCAGGAGGCTGAGATGGGAGGACTGCTTGAGCCCAGGAGGTAGAGGCTGCATTGAGCTGTGATTGCACCACTGCACTCCAGCCTGGGTGACAGAGAGAGAGAGACCCTGTCTCAAAAAAAAAAAAAACAAAAAAAAAAAAAACATAGGATAGTTATCAATCAAGGCATATCTACATAAGCTGCCAATGATTATTTCACCACAAAACTTCAAACAAAGACATGCTTATCTGTTCTTTGTTCAAGGACTTTAGCCTAAGATAGTTCTTTAGCCACAACATAATTATCTTTATACAATACTTTCCCTTGCAAACAATTTCAAAACAGCAGACTGCTTGCTGTAGGGACTTCTCTTACTGCTTAAGAAATTCATCAGAAAAGTAGCCATTCAACAATTGTGGAGACTATTTAAAAATGTTTTTCACCAAAAAACACGGTAAAGGAACATTTTGAGAGTAAAGTTAGTTTTCCATAAAATAAAAACAAACATGTCAATTTTCTGTGAGATAGATCACACTAAAAAATAAAAGTCCACAGATTATTCCTGAATCTTATTGCACCCTCTGTTTTACCTTTCATCACCACAAGAACTAACAGCAGCTGAAAGAGTAGAATTGCACAACCAATTGTGTACATAAATGCTAACAAATAGTGAAATAGCCAAAGGGTAAACCCCGGAAAGAAGAGGTATCAGAGACGTGGCTAGTACACATATTAAGCAACTATACCCTGGAATGTTGATGATAATTTATTGTTTAAGGAGGCTCTTTCATGAGTCTGACAAAGATGACACTAACACTGCACTGCTGTTTATCTGGTCTTACTCACTGATGGAGCTCAAGGTCTTTTTCCACATGCTTGAGAAGTTGGAAGCAGACACTACCATTTTTTTTTGGAAGAGGAAGAAGGGAAGAAAGGCGAGAAGTTAGAGGTATCTCAGTGTTTGCAGGTTACAGCAGAAGATGCTGGCAGCAGATTTCGTTAGCTGAAGCAGTTTGGTGTTTGACTCAGCTTGCTGTGCGAAGCGCCCTGTAGACGCTGCTCCACTTATAGACCTTCTCAGGAGGTTTTCTCTTGACGGGTAGATCCCCAGGAGACTCCCAAATCACGCCATTTTGCCTCTCCTTTTGCCTGGAAAAGTCCTCATCCTCTTCTCACCTTGGGGACCTTCTGTTTTTTTCAGAGCCGCTCAAACATCACTTCCTCCATAAAGCCTTCCTTCGCCCGGTACACCTCCGTGCACCCCCATGTGCTAGCATGGCTGGTTTCCAGGCGCTGGTCATATATTGTAGGTGTGTCAACCAGCATTCGTCTCATTGTATTGCAATCAGAGGTTTCCATGTCATTCTTCCACTACACTACTGGGCAGGGCTAATGCTGGCTTCCTGTTTATATGTTCACCATACAGCATATAACTTGGCAGACGGGAAGCCCAAATTTAACATAAAATAATTGAATATAGATGGAAATTAAGAAGTCTTTATTTGCATCTTGATGATGTAATTGTTTTATAAGAAAGCTTAAGTACATGGTCTTTTAGGAAATTCTAAACCTGAATACTGATGGAGAGATTAAAAAATTAATTTTAAAGTGAAAAGTACTAATTATAGTGGCATTATTATTAGGTGCTTCTTGAAGAAAAATTCTGAATTCCAAAAGTTAAAGAAATATGGGGTTAAGCAAAATTAAAAATAACATATTTGAACTCTAGATTTTACCAGAGCCTGGTAGATATGTGTATTTTATTTTCTTACCTAAATCCTAAATTCTTCTAGGGGAAGGAGATTTTTACTTCTATTTTCCAACAAGTAGGCACAGTGCTTGATACACAGTTAATGTTCAGTAAATGTCTACTTGACATCACACACACACACACACACACACACACACACACACACACTTCACCACACATCTTGAGAATCATCAGGAAGCCTAGCATTATTTTTGGCTAGGGTACGCATAAAAAGACATCAGCTTTTCATTGAATACCAATATATAGTTAATTCATGAGTAAGAGAAGTGTCATGGTCTGTGAATGGTTTGGGGTCTGTGCTCTCAAATTCCTGGAAGCCCAATGACTACAATTAGAGAAACACAACCTCAAGGGTGTTTTTCCAATATGGATCTTACATTTGCTGTTATGTTTACATTTTTAGAAATGCTGTAGCTGTGACTGTTCTCAAAAACTAATGCCATGTGAATTTGCCTCTAGTTTCATGAATGATTTCAGATGTGAGAACTTCTCCAGAAAACCTGCTTTCTCTATCTGGGTGAGCAAAAGAGAGAGAAAATACAAGAATTTCTCTTGTGTAGTACTGACTTCCTCTGTGGCCCCAGAGAAGCCATTTGAACTTTCTTCTTTGGTTCCTCCAGCTGTAAAATGGAACTAATAATGACTAATAATGTATTTCACAAGGTAACAGTGAGGATTAGTCAGTGTTTCAAGGCAGTAGGCCCCAAGTATGAAATATTTGTATAATGTCAAACTCTGACCAATGTTTTTCTATTAGATTGGGTTTTGAAATCCCCTAACTTCATTTAAACAGCCAAGTCAAATGACTTGCAAGCAAGGTGCCATATTTCTCTGTTAATAATTCCATTTTTCTGACAGAGAAGTTTCTGGAAAACAATAGCATTTGGCATTAAGATAAACAATGTAAATTGTTATCCCAGCTATACTGCAACTGTAGGCAGACCCCACAATTTCTTTGCTTCTCTTTTTCCTTTCAGGTCTGAAGCAAAGTATCTGTGCCTGACTCTTACAGGATTGTGAAAAGTAAAGAGGTTAACATATGGCCAATGCTTTAAACTCTGTGGTGAAGATGCCAGAGAGTAATATTCTACAGATGGGAAAACTGAGTCCCCGAGAAGCAAACAGGCTTGACTTAAATCATGTGACAAGTGAGTATCAGGAAAAACATTCAATACTCTGGATTATAACCAGTTATTTTGGCCTTATGGCTTCCTAAAGAAACAATACCTATAGAGGCAGAGTTTTCCCTTCCCACTTTCACGAGAGTTGGCTTTCTTTCACCTGTTGAGATAGCTTTTGCTTCCTTCTAAACTGGCGCACCTTTTTTTTTTTTTTTTTTTTTTCTGAGTTTTCTCTCAGCAAAGAAGAGGAGGTGGCTAGAACTTGTTGCCAAGGAAAAGAGCCTGATTAGAGTGTCCAATTGAAGAGTTCTTATTGGCTGCCAAGAACACTGTTATATGGCTTGTAGAAATAAATCAAAGTCTCGAGAGGAGGCCAGAAAGTCAAAGAAATGCTGTTAAATCTTGAGTCCTGTATGATGCTGAAGAAATAAAGGGAAAATATAGGGTGTAAATTGAGTTGTAATTCCAACCAAGTCAAGGCAGTCAGTTGTGATGGCCAAACAACAGATGCATGAAGGCTTTAAAGGACAAAAAATGTTAGACTCTGGCTGCTACCCAAACACCCTTGCCGCTGAAATCAAAGAGTCCAATATTCTTGCAGAGACAAAATCTTAAAGACAAAGCAGCAGACACTCCTGGCTAAAAGGGTTTGCAATGGATATATTGCCAGTAATCTTAAACCCACTCAGCAGAGACTGAGTAGGCTTGGGAAGCAAACAGGTTTTGTAGAATGACGAATTTTGTATAATGCCTAACATATTATTGGCACTCAATGGCCTCATTATTATTCCTTCAAGTATTAGTTATGTAGCACAACAGTATATGAACACAGGACTCCCTGGGTGGGGAAGAAAAGAAACTGGCACGATTTCTTCAAGTTTCCCCTGCTGGTTCCACCTCTGGGGGTCTGGGCTGAAAGGACAGAGAAAGTCAAAAAATAATATCTGACATCTTTTTATTGCTTACTATACCCCAGGCCCTGTGCTAAATTTATATGCATTATCTCTTTTTTGTTGTTTTGTTTTGTTTTGAGACAGTGTTTCACTCTGCCACCCAGACTGGAGCGCAGTGGCATGATCTTGGGTTACTGCAACCTCCACCTCCTGGATTCAAGTGATTCTCCTGCCTCAGCCTCCCGAGTAGCTGGGATTATAGGTGTGAGCCACCACACCCGGCCTATATGCATTATCTCATTTAACCAACATAATAATTCTATGAGGCTTATAAGCTATATTTTTTAAGATGAGAAAATGGGCTTAGATAACTTGAAAGATAGCGTAGTCACTAGGAGCTTGTGCTCTGTGGCCAGACTTTGTGTGTTTGAATCCCAGGTCCTCCAGTTCTGAGCTGTATGACATTGCGCAAGTGACTTAATTGCTGTCTCATGTATAAAGTGGTGTGAAAATAAGTACTTATCATCATTGTGATAATTAACTAAATTAATAGACTCAAAGCCTTGAGAAGAGTGCCCAGCACACAGTAAGCACTTGATAAATTACTTGGTGAATACCCATCAAGATTATAAACACAATTAAAAACAGTGTAGTGGCAGACCTGGGCCTAGAACTCAGGTCTCTCTGAAGCCGGCGACTTTTCCCTCACCCTTTCACTCTACTGCCTATAGAAGGAAAAGAGAGAGGATGTGGCCGGGAAAGGCAGAAGCAATGTTCTGAAGCGATTTCTAGCTGCTCAGCAATAGGAGAGCACCAGAAAGGGAATTTCTTCCACATTCCACCCCTGGCCCATTCTCACCCTCACTGATTGTATTTATTTTATTTTGATTATTTCCAATTGCTATCACGGAAAGCCAAAAATAAGAGTAGCACAACAGTACATCCTTACTTTTGTGCTGTCTTGGTAATGCTGTCCGTTAGTGGTATATCCTCCCTACCAATTCTTGCCTGTCCTTTGCATCCAATGCTTCTCTTGTCAAAAAGAGAAAAGAAAGATGGTTTTCCTGATGTTTCTCATGAGCAAATAGCTTCAGAGGGAAATATCATCAATTCTATTCAGGGTTTTAAAGGCATGGGCATTTAAATGTTGAAAGGGCACTGTCTAATGCAATTTTCTTGACATAACCCTTTGGACTTGGCTTCAGTTTTGATGAAACCCACAGGAAAGCTCTCATCAGCGGCTTGGACAGACAGCTCTTCTCTCACAGCCCTGCCGGATCATCTGCACAGGGAGTGGAGGATGAATCACGTCCTCTTATGCTTGCAGCTACCAGCGGTACTCTGGTGGCAGCAAAGTCCAAGGCTCTCTGTAAGACTCCAAGTAAGTTGGAGGTCCCACATCTGTTACAGAGGGAGTTGTAAAACTCATGCTACCAGTTTAGAGGACTAAGGCAGCTATTAAGATTTTTATTTTAATAATGATTTAATTTTTTAAAACTCAGGACCATAAGAAAATGTTCACATGAATGTATTTAGAAGGTTTTCAAGTTTTAATGCAAGAAATTCAATGGATTCAGTCCTGCTGTCAGGCTTCAGCTGAGATCACATCCTCTTTGATTCTCCAGTATGGGCTGAGAAACACCCTTATGGGAGTATGGCTGTTAAAATGATACAGGCAAGGGCCTGCCCAGCAGTTGTTGGAATGTCTTTCCTGGGGCCAGAAGCATCTTGTTGTTCTGCTGCAGATGGTTACCACTTTGCCTCAGCCCCCACAGGTTAAAGACCCAGCAAAGACCTCCTACCTGTTGGGTAGGAAACCTGGACTTACAGATTTGAGTTGCCAAAGGGACACCAATTTGGACACACTGTGATTATTTCTATATTACAGCCAAGCCTCCAGAACGGGTGGGTAATGCTTCAATTTTCTGGAAGAGGATACATTCAAAAAGTGACCTCCTCAAGGACCTTCTTAGTTCAGCCAGTGGTCAGTTGTACTATCTAGTCTTTGTGTTTTTTGCAAAAGTATATATTGACTGGATATAAATTAATATGTGTTAATGATACAGGAAATAGAAATAAATTATTTAGGCAGATAGTGAGGGTAAGAGAGTCCTTGGCAAGGCTTCCCTTTTAACACAAAGCAACCCCCAAATCATTTCTTTTCTAACAAAGAGCAGCCTGAAAAATTGAGCTGCGGACATAGATAAGCAAGCTGGAAGCTTGCACAGGTAAATGCCAGCATCTGTGCCAACAAAGTAGGGCTACCTGGAAGCCAGGTATGTTCAGCATGGAGTCTTCATCTTCCCTTTTCTTTGTCACCACCTGTGCAGTAAAGAACCAGGCAACATGGCACCGGCCAGGTAGATAACCCATCTGCATAATAAAAGATTAGGGTGCGGCGGTCCACTTCTTTGTGCACTATGTAAATGGCACACCTGGTCCGACCAATCTTTTGTGCCCTATGTAAGTCAGACACGGCCTCCTCAAGCTCATCAATAAAACCTTCTGCATTTCACTACGGAAGGGGCAACCTGTTTTTCCAGGACCTCTCTTTCTGCAGCAGAGAGAGCTCTTCTCTTTCTTTTGCATATTAAACTTCCACTCTGAACCTCACTCTGTGTGTGTACGTATCCGTCCTAGTTTTCCGTGGCCATCAGACAATGAATCTTGGGTATTTACCCCAGACAAATGACACCGCTTCATTAATGTTGGAGCAAAGTGACCCCACATTTTATGCATGGAGTCCAAGAACTTAGCCTTCACTGGCAGACCACAGAGAACACTGAAAGAATCTGCGGCACAGTGTCCAGGGATGTTTAGACTCCATTACCCACCTGTCCCCAACATGGCCAATGTTTACTGGAACAAACCTGGGAGCTACTCAATGTTTTTACTTCAGAAGCTTTGTTGGAAGTGTTTCAATGGCTCGAGGTTGGCTGCACGATTTCCTCAGGCCTTGAACAGACCTGTTATCTACAAATTCAGCATGTTCTACCCAACATCTAGAATCATTTAGTCCAAACTCCTGCCCAGTGGGGAAATCTCTTCCACAATAATTCTGATACTGAATATACCCCAGGGCAGCACTCACTATGCACAGGGTTTGAGAGAATAAATAATCTTTACACTGGATCAAAGCTTCTTAAGTGAAAAATGATAAAAATGTGAGGTTGATTCATCAATCCACTGTTAATTCCAGGCTACTATCCAATTTGCTATTATGTTTGATCTGGCTTGCTTTTCTGCTGTCTTTATAAACGCCTCTTTAGAGCTGGGAGTGTGTGTGGAATTATATTTATGTTAATTTTCATACTTCATAGTAAGCTCAATCAAAGAGTTGTTTTTTGCTTGAGAGAAGTTAAAACTAACAATCTAAATGAAACAATGGAGTCATCTACGCATTTTTCTTATGCACGCTGTTGTCACTGCCAATGTTGCTGGTGGGCAAAATTTATGATCGGAGGCTACTAAGGTTTCCTAATCAGCAAGGCACTTCTTCCCGTACCTTTTTCTCCTAGAAGTGTGAAAAAGTCACTTTACATGCTGTTGGAAAAATGTCTATTTGTCCCGTAGAGAAGTTCGCCAAAACCTATTATCTGTTGAATAACCAAGACTTGTCTAAGGTAAAATTGCGTTCCAAAACATTTGGTCTCAATCAGAGACACACTTGTGCTCATTTGCTTAAAACTGGGTGCAAGTTTCCAGGATATTTGAATGGAGGCTTCTGTATTATCATCCAAGCTATTATTGGCTTCTCATGTCCCTAGATCTTTTAAGTATTCATCTTTGATTTAGACATTGGCAATTCTCACCCTAAAAAGAAAATGTTTTAAAACTGTTTTTCCTATCAATGGGTGAAATATCATGTAGCCCATTTCCCCATGAAAACAATGCTGCTAGTCAGAGTTTCTCTTTGTTCCAGGTTTTTCACGTTAACGTGGTCTGCGTAGTAAAATCGTTACTAGTGAAGGGGGTGCCAGATTTGTGGCACGGCCCTAACACACGTACATTAGTGAGACCACACACAGATCAAAAAGATAAAGGCACGCATTGCTTTTGAGCAATGACCCGTGTGCCAAAAATGAGGTTTCACATACAAGAGACCAGAAGAATGTAAAGGTTTTAGTCTCAGGGAATCAAGAGTTTCATTTTTTGTTCTAGTCTATGTTTTAAAAGGATGATAGGACATTATTTAGCCCCTTTGATTGTTCTTGTTTCACTATTTGTAACTGAAAAAGAAAAACAAAATGCCTTCTTCCTCCCTCCGGTAGCCACTATAAGAAGTGCAGCGACACAGTGAAGGGCTAGGAACTTTGGCTGGGGGGCCATACTGGCTGGGCTCACTTCTGCACTCCTCACTGTGTAACTTAGAGTCTCAGTTTTCTGTAAAACAGGAACAATAGCTGCAACTACTTCATGAGGTTGTTGTGAGAATTAACTGAAATAATACAGGTGCTCAGCACAGTACATGGACCCTAGTAGGGTTTCAATTGCTATTGTTACAGTAAAATGTTATTATAATAACATCATTATGCTCCGAAAATTAAATTGCATAAAATGTGGCATCAATTTGCCCCCAAATTAATAAATATTAATATATTCTTAGTCAATCTGTACTGTTGCAAAAAGCACAAAGAAGATTAGATAGTACAACTGACCACTCGCTCTATGAGGAGGTCACCTCTTGAAGACATCCTGTTCCAGAAAATCAAAGAGTCACCCACCCATTCTCCAGCTCTTTATAGGGGTTGGGCTGGAGTATAGGTACAATCACTGTGTGTGCAAATTGACTTAATTAGGGAGGGGAGGCATTATTCAAGGTGTTACTTGTTCAATTATTAAGGTTGTTGTCTCAAACCTGCTTTTAACCTTTCTAGTCAGTGACTGTTAACCCTGGATGCACATTAGAATTACCCAAGGAGCTTTAAAGACATAGTGATATCTGGCCCAAGATAGGAGCAGCAAAATATAATTACTCAGACTTGAGTTCAGATCTTGTTACCATCACTTTTTAGTCATGTGACCTTTGACAAACTATTAACCTCTCTGTTGGCTGATCTGTGGGATGAGTGGCGGGCGGGGGGCGTCATTGTAGGGACTAAACCATGTATTTAAAGCTCTGGGCACACATCTTGGCATGTAGCAGGTATCCAGTAAATACTTGGTATTAGAAACCTATTTTCTCTGAAGACCCCAGCCCAAAGGGTCCCCCCACCTCCACTGAACTCAGTTATGAAAATTTTACCTTGAAATATAGTCTTGGGCAAAAACTAAGGAAGGTTTCTTATTTTACGAATGAGAAAACTAAAGCACAAAAGAGTTGTTCAAAGTTACATGGCTAATAATAAACTAGAATCTGAACCCAGGTCTCCTAATTCTTTGACTATTGTTTTTCTTCCTATTCCATAGTTCTTAATCACATAACCCCAGAAGCCTCAAATTCTGGCCCTGGATGCCGGCATCAGCCTCATATTTTTCCAGTCCCTTCCAGCCTTAGCTTTGTGGTGCAGCAACACCAAATTGCTGTTTTCTGATACTCATAATTACTGTTTCTCACCTATTTGCCTTGGCTTATGTGATCATCCCTGCCCTGCCTGAAATGCTCTCCTTGCCTTGGTTTTCTAGCAACTACACTAACTTCTGCTGCTGACCATCAATGATTAACTGCTACAGCAATTGTCTTCCCATTTTAAACAGTTAGAAATGAGACAAAACGTCAGACATCGGACAACAAGATTTTAATCCCTGTGAGTAGGAAAATAAATGGGATGAGCCCTGTGATTGCCACACCTTATACCTGGAGGCAGTTTCCAGGATACTACCCATGGTGGAATAACCAAAACAGCCTAGTGGTCTTGCTAAGTTGAAGAGACAGAGTTTAAAGTCTGGGGAGACTGAGGAGGCTAGAATTTGCAGGGGAGTTTACCAGAAAGAGGAAACTAGATAGAAAGGAAGCTCTGGAGATCTGCAGAGCACTTACCCCATGTCTTTGGATGAGTTTTATTGATCTGCATGTGCTCGTGAAGACACTATGAAGACTGCGGTGAAGAACTCCCTGAAAGCACAGGCTGAACAATACCTAGAGCTTACAGAGGACCGGGAATACTTCGTGTTTCTACCAGCCTGAGTGGAGAAACCTCAAAATACATAGTGCATTGGGTGAAGTCCTCAGATGTGCCATGCCTTAGTAGTGGAGTAAATTAGTCCTATAATAAAAGCTGCTCTGGAACCACCATACAAAATGTAAAAATGAGCCTTTCATGAATCAAACTGATCTGCCACGAAATCCAATGTTCTTTAAAGAAGAGAACACAATCCAGCACCCAATAAAATAAAATTAACGATATCTGTAATTCAAATAGTAATTTGTAGATATACCAGAAAGTGTAAAAATGTGATTTATAACAAGAGAGAAATTAATCAGTAGAAATAGATCAAGAAATGACAGAGATAATGGAATTAGTAGGCAAGGACCTTAACAAAGTTTATCCTATGTTTAAGGATGTAAAAGAGAACATAAACACTATGAATAGGGAGTAAAACATATTAAAAAGACCCAAATGAAACTTATAGAGATGGAAATATGAAATAAAAAATAAGCTGGATAGGATTACCAGCATCTTATATGATGCAGAAGAAAAAGTCACTGTACCTGAAGACATAGCAATAGTAACTATCCAAAATGAATCACAGGTTGGAAAAAAAAAAAAAGGCCAGGCACGGTGGCTCATGCCTGTAATCCCAGCACTTTGGGAGCTGAGGAGGGTGGATCACTTGAGGTCAGGAGTTTGAGACTAGCCTGGCCAACATAGAGAAACCCCATCTCTACTAAAAATACAAAAATTAGCCAGGCATGGTGGTTGGTGCCTGTAATTTCAGCTATTTGGGAAACTGAGGAGGAGAATTGTTTAAATATGGGAGGTGGAGTTTGCAGTGAGCCGAGATTGTGCCACTGCACTCCAGCCTGGGTGACCAAGTGAGACTCCATCTCAAAAAAAAAAAAAAAAAAAAAGAACAAAAAAGACTAAAAGCAAACTCACACATACAGAGAGCCCCAGTGAACTCTGGGATCTTATAAAGCCATGCAACATATGTGTAACTGGAGTCTTACAAATGTGATGTGGGTGAAACAGAAACACTATTTGAAGAAGTGGCTGAAAATTATACAAATTTTATTAAAAATGTAAACTCATAGATTCAAAAGGCTCAACAAACTCCGAACAGCAGTAATATAAAAAAATCACACTAAGGCACATCATAGTTAAATTTCTGAAATTAATGCCAAAAAGAAAATCTAAATCACAGCCAGGGAGAAAAAGATACGTTATGTACAGAGATATAAACTTGAGAATTATAGCAGGCTTCTCGTCATAAACCATGCAGGCCTAAAGACAATGGAAGGTCATCTTTTAAGTGCTGGAGAAAAACAAAAATCTGCCAGCCTGGAATTCTATACCTACTGAAGATTTTTTTAAAAGATAAAGGCAAAATAAAATTTTTTTCAGGTCAATAAAAGGCGTGTGATCGTTAAGAAATGTTAAATGTTCTTTTAGCAGAAAGAAAATGATACTAGATGGGAATTTGGACCTACAGAAAGAGATGAAGAGCACTTAAATGGTAAATATGTGAGTAAATATTTTAAAAATGGGGTTTCCCCTCATTTTTCATCTCTTTTGCATTTATTCATCCTTCTAGGAAGAAATCCCATGCTTCTTTACCACCTCTTCTTAGGTCAGGAGTGACAAACTCAACTCTCTACACAGGCTTAGATTGATAAGGTAAATGAGTAAAGTCTGTGTATGCTTATAAGGAATAGTGGAAACAGTCGCAAACTGTAGAGTGCATGTCTCATTTAAAAGGAGTATCCATTACTCAACTTCAGCTTCTAGTTGCTGGGAGGGAATTGAGCCAAACTCTTCCTTTATTTAAATGTAGCAATTAATTTAAATCAACCAAAACCCAAAACTCCATGGACTATAGTCAGCTGTTGGGCCACTAGGGTGCAATTACAATTTTAGGTATTCTTCACTTGTGCCCCTCGTAATCTCAGAGCACTGGAGAAAGGTTTAAGAGTTAAGCACTTTGACCAAAATTTTGGTGGAGTACTCTGTATTTGCATCAAAAATAATTTGGTTTACTTTGTTTAATTCAGTTGATAAGTTTATGCTATTATCCCTAATGTAAAAAAGTTCTGTAAGAGTCACATGTGTGTTAAAGCAATGTGGTACTTTGGTAGCTACAGCCTTACTTCAGTGCCTTTATTTTCGTAATAGATGAAGAAACCACAAAGCATGTCCCGCAGCTTCCCTAGGAATACCTCTCTTAATGTAATTTCACAGCGATGCATCTGTCACTGGGAAATTTTCTGTCTGAACATGAATGATGAAGGTATAGGTAGGGATCTTTCTTTTTTTTTTCTTACAGTCCTTACAGGTCTTTTTTTTTTTTTTTTAAACACCTATTATGCCATGAATTCATAGGGAATAGTTTCCAGCAGCTCAGGCTCCTTCCCATTGGTTCTCACAAAGTGTGCTTCTCTGGGTGGAGCAGACTGGGGCTTCAGTCGAACCCAGGTACCTTTCTCTTTGTCTTCTTTCTTTTTCTGATCATTTTCCTTCTCGCGTTTCAGGAAGCCATCTCGGCTTTTAGAGTGCTTAATGTGCTCAATATGCACGTTAATTCTCTTGACAAGAATCTTGCCCTTAACTTGTTTGTTTACAACAATGCCAACAGCATGCTGGGTAACTGTAGACTCTTCCAGTTTTGCCATGGTGACACTTGTGGGGCATTCCTTTTTGAAAAGTACCCATTCTCTTACATCTACAATATCACCTTTCTTATAGATTCGCATATATGTGGCCAAAGGAACAACTCCATGTTTTCTAAAAGGCCTAGAGAACATATATTGGGTGCCTGTCTTCTTTCCCTTTGTATTCGTCATTTTGGTGAATTACTGGAAGATGGTGGTTCCGGCCGAAAGGGGGATCTTTCTTTTTATTCCTTCCCAGGCTTACTTTTCTTCCCACTTCCTCCACCTACTCCTATCCCTCCACCCTGGACTTCACTTCATTCTGCGCACCTCGTCTCACCATTAAAAAATCAAATCGACAGATCAATGTTTTGGAAGCTGCCCCAATGCTCAAATGAGTAAAAATAAAATATTGATGGCGATCAACATATTGAATTCTTTATTATGTCCCAGGTAAATGACATCATGTCACTTAATGCTCACAATAATCTGATACAAGAGTACTTAAAACAATCTCCATTTCACAGATAAAAACACTGAAGCTCAAGGTTTCACAGCTCATAGGTTCTGAAATCGGACTTTGTGTTCTTACTTTCTACATCCTTGCTCCTCAAAGTATTGTCAACTGAAAGTTTACTAGAAAGGTAGTATCTCAGGCCTCACCCCAGACAACTGAGTCAGAACCTGCATTTCAGCAAGATCTCCAGGTTATTCATGGGCACATTCAAGTTTGAGAAGTCCTGTTCCACACTGCACCACCTCTTTCTGGGTGTGCCTCCTGATAGTGCCCATCCACCACTTGCCTGGAAGCCCCAACACACTTCCCAGTGTGCCCAACTTTCTCTCAAGAGTGATTTATGCAGCAAGCCTTTGCTGGTGGAATTCCATTGTGTTGACTTAAACACTCACCCCGAGATCCCTCCCTTCTTCCTACTCTCAATCCATCATCATGTCTCATTTTCTATTTTTGGACACAGCTCAGGGACATGAAGAGGGAGGGCCGGGCTTGCGGCACTGGAGGGTTGCCTGACCAATAATTTCTCCTAGTGGCTGCTTCTGGCCCCGTGTGGGCCATAGAACAGTGCTATGGGTGGGAAAGCAGGAGAAGCTTCATAGGAAATACCCGTCAAGCAAAACCTTTGGCAGAACTGAAGCCATGGAAGTTGTTATGGGTACAGAGGTCCATGGATGCTGGCAACTTTATTAAAGCTTATTTTCACACTGATATCACTCACAAGCAAAAGTCTGACCACTACATGCACTTTCGAATGAGTCCAAAAGTCTGTGGAACTGAGTTATTATAAAAATGGGTTCTCAAAATACTGTATAAAGTCAAAGTTGTTGGATAGTCAATGAAAAATAATTTTTTCAGTTAAAATAGCTCATACGCATTGGCTTTGAAATGGCAGAGGTGACAAAGGATGGTCTTATGATGTCATTCCAAGGCCCATGATGATAATAAACTATTTACTTATTTTTTCTTCTTTTCAAGAGGTACGGTGTCTCCAAGCTCTCTCCTTGCCATTTCTCTCTTTAGAAACCTTTTGTATTCATCACCCGGCTTTGGTGGGGGTCTAAGTTAAGCAGAAAAGGCTGCTGTAGAGAGATGAGAGGAATTCTTTTCTCCTGAGACATGGCCAGTTGGGGCAGAATGCTGGTGCAGAGACCAAGCTTTCTGCCAACAGAATAGAGCGTGGAACTGTAACATACTCTTTAATGTTGTTGTAACTTTATTTTCCACTTTAAAGTAATAGAAATTCTTCCTAGAAATAATGCTGTTTAGTAAAGACAGCATGGCATAGCTGACTAAAGCCATATCTTTGAGCACTTGCCAACCTTTGTAGTAAAGGGACATTTTTCATGAGCCTCCTGCATTCACAACATCAGGAAATGATGGAAATGTCTTTATCATAGAATCAAAGTGCTCAAAGGGGGCGCTGTAAGATCATTCATTTTACATATTTTGTTCTTCAAAGACAGGCAGACATCCTAATTTTTTACAGAGATGAGAGGCAGTGAGGTATAATGAAAAGAATAAGGCTTTAGGCTGATGCCAATCTTGAAATGCATCTTAATTCTATTATTTATTAACAAGACTTTGGGGGAATTGTTCAACTTTTCTGATTTTTAATATTCTTATATTTAAAAATAAGAAAAAGGACACTTTTGTCTTTTGATCCTGAAAACATGCCTGCAAGTTGATTGTAAGATAGTGAAACAATGGATTTAATATAAAAGGGGCAAGGGATCCTGTTTTGATATAAGTCTTGCTTTTTAGACACAATAGTTGAATGATTAGAATTCTAGCATCTCCCACACATTCTCTAATTTTATTTTTCTTTGTAACCGAATGTGTAGTCAACATGCTTAAGTGAGCGCCTGGCTGAGGTTAGAGACATCACTTTTAATATGTCTAATAATTATTATTCTTTTCTGTATTATATTAAGTTCATGATACTCCTGTTACTAGTATTTAAACCTTTATTATTCTATTTTCATAATTTTTAATAGAAAAATTATGACAAATTACAGTAAAATATTCAAATAATTGCACCAATATTAATCTTTGTTTGGATCACTGAATTCATAGAAGTTATTTCATAAGGGTAGTTATTGTTAATTACTGTTGTTACAAACAAATTCCAAATTTCACTGATTTAGTTTAATTTTTTTTCTCATAAAAAGTCCAGTCCAGTGGACTTTGGGAGGCTGAGGCAGGAGGATCACTTGAGTCCAGGAGTTCAAGGCCAGCCTGGACAACATAGCAAGACCCTGTCTCTACAAAAAATTAAAACATTTCCCAGCCATGGTGGCACACACCTGTAGTCCCTGCTACTTGAGGCTGAGGTGGGAGGATCACTTGAGGCCAGGAGGTAGAGGCTGCAGTGAACCATGACCATGCCACTGTACTCCAGCCTGGGCAGCAGAGGAAGACCCTGTCTCTAATCTATAGATTAGATAGATAGATAGAGAGATAGAGAGATGATAGATAGATAGATAGATAGATAGATAGATAGATAGATAGATAGAGAGATAGAGAGAGAGAGAGATAGATAATGAGAGAGAGAGAGTCCACTGGGGCTGATCTTGCTTGGGCAGCTCTTCTTTAAGTTGCCAGACTCAGGTGTCCTGGCATCTTCCCTCAGAGACTCTGTTATCCATCAGAGCCTCCCTGGGAGGCCTGTGCTGGGTCTGCTTTATTCAGCAGCCAATGAGCAAAGAGAGGGATTCTCACATCCCCTCCCCATCCCCTTCCTCCTCTTCCCTCTCCCTCCCCCTCCCCGTATCCTCCTCCTCCTCCTCCTTCTTCTTCTTCTTCTTCCTTTTGAGACAGGGTCTGACTCTGTCACCCAAGCTAGAGTGCAATGGCACAATCAGGGCTCACTGCAGCCTCCATCTCCTGTACTCAAGAAATCCTCCCACCTCAGCCTCCCCAGTAGCTGGGACTGCAAGTGCATGCCACCATGCCTGGCTAATTTTTGTATTTTTTGTAAAGATGGGGTTTTGTCACATTGCCCAGGCTGGTCTTGAACTCCTGGGCTCAAAGGATCCGCTCACCTCAGCCTCCCAAAGTGCTGGGATTACAGGTGTGAGCCACCATGCCGGCCTCTCATGGGTCTTTTTAAGGGCCAGGGCTAGAAGTACACACTTGACACTTTCTTACACTTCATTGGCCATCAATTGTCACAATATGCCATCTAGATGCAAAATGACTGGGAGATGTAGTTTTTCCATGTGCCCAGGGGAGAAACTAAATGGTTTGGTGAATCCACAGCATTGTCTGTCTAGAAGCAAGGCTGTCAAACTGAATTATTAGCCAGCCAGCAGCCACCAGGGCCCTCAAAAAGTTTATTCATCAAAACTGATGTATAAAAGCGTGGTTTTAGTATGTAGTAAGCAGTGTATAGCTGTCCACACATGATATATGGAAGTTGAATGCATGACAATTGGAGATTATCTGTACGTCTTGTTGCACAGAGTTAATGCCTATTGCTGAGTTGCTGCAAAGAGTCAGTAAGATATTTATGTGAAAATGCCTAGCACAGAGTTAGTATTAACATGCTGTTCCCTGAGCTTTTTTTAAAAAAACTAGATTCTTGGCTGGGCATGGTGGCTTATGCTTGTAATCCCAGAGCTTTGGGAGGCTGAGGCAGGAGGATCACTTGAGCCCTGGAGTTCAAAGCTGCCGTGAGCTAAGATTGCACCATTGTACTCTAGCATAGGTGACAGAGCAAGACTTTGTGTCTAAAAAAAAAAAAGAAAACCCAGAAAAGGATTCTTCCACAGTATCCTTTAATAAACTCATCTGGTGATGAATGGGTTCCAGCTAGAGTCTGCAACTTCTTATACATTGCCAAAATTGATTTTTCTACAGTTTAATCACATTTATTTTGAATGATTCTCATAGAAACGGTAAAACATCTGATCATCACTCTTCTTATACTACTCCATCAATGTCAAAGCCATCTGGCCATCTGTAAGCCTTTTCTTCTTTTGACTCATTTAAAACTTTTTTGATATGTCTATCAGTTTTCACATATGACTCAACGTACATTAACTGCTATTTTCTTGAGGCTTTTTATGTGTGAAAACTGGGAGATTATAGTAGTTTCCTACCTGAGAAACTTGCCATTGACTTTTATTTCCCATTCAAAAATGAATATTTATTTCTCCATTGCTCTCCATCAGTTAAGAATGTGTTTGTGTGAAAATACCTCAGGAAAACAAAGATTGCTTCACAAAATTCAGAATGTTAATTTATCCCAGTGGGCTACTGCTATTGGAAAGTTATCAGCCATATCATCAGAACCAAAGGTTTTAAAAGAAGTAATTTTATATCAAGAACGTATGAGTGTTACCTTATCCTTCCCTTTAATCTTGTTTTCATCTTAAAAGTAGAGTTTTCCAAAACCTACTGTCTTCTGGGCATAAATCAGAATTTTCCTGAGCCTTCCTTCCTGATGTGCACCTAGAATTCAGATCCTCATGAATCAGCAGCCACCTCATAATGTGAATGCTCAAGAACAGAATGAGGAACAATGTTCTCCCAGGTCTGGTCTGAATTTGGGAGGGCTGACTTGCCTAATTTTAGAGGTGTTGTGCCCAAGAGGAATGGAGGCCGGGTTTCCTTGCTTCTTTACCAATCTACTTATCGGTTTCCTGTTCAACTCCCTTCCTTTGCTTAGTAGGTTTCTAGGTATTCTCATTTATTAATGTTAAAAATACCTTTTCAGATGAATTACTCATTTACACATCCAAATTAAGGTTTTCATTTCCCAGTTTTATCACAGCTGGCATAATGAACCATGTCAAGTTTTTAAACTATATTGTGACAACATTTAAACTCGTTATGCTTTGCCTGTGGATGTAATTAAGACAGTGTGTTTGGTATCAGTTTATTCTTAAAAAGCAAAGTAAAAGCAGATGAGGTGTATTTATAGACTCATCAGCCAATGAATGGATGAAAGAGAAAAAGAAATTAATGGGGAAATGTCAGCCAGAATAGAGGAGGGACCCACTGAGAAGTTCATTTCCAGACCAACTATTTGGAATTTAGTCCAAAGACAGCTGTCCCTTGATTTACAGTAGGGGAAAAAAATGACATTGTAAGACTATTGGGCCTCAAGTTAAGAAGCAGGCAAAGAGTAACATACTTCAAATAAACTTCTGCAGTTGGGATGGGGGCCCAAGCACAATGCTTACAGTCAGGACCCTATCTGGAGGTGCATGCCTTCCTACAAAGAGTGGGGCTTAGAAAAATCTGGGAAAGAAGGAAAATCTGTAGGAAACATAGAAGATTTGGAACTTGGTCCTGGCCACTTGAAAGCTGTTTTGATTTGAAGCCAAAGCCCCTAGGGAGTGGGGGGATAGCGGGGGTAGAGTGAAGGGGGAAGTAAAGAAAAGTGTAGAAGATAAAATTGTAGTATAAAACCCCAACCCAGGGAATTCAGTTTCGAGAACCAACAAAGAAGAAAAATGAATTGCAAAGCTTAAGGGATACAGATTCATTTCTTTGTGCTTTCTTGAGAGCTTGGGTAGTACATTTCTTTTATTGTAAAATGAAACACAAAAGTTTTCCGACATTCTGGGGCATGCGTCTAACATTAGACACAGGTGAGGCAGAATAAATCTGCATTGTCTTGAGTACATGTAAAAAGGCAGCATGAGGGGAGGAAATATGGTTGTTTTGGCATCCTGTTTTTAACCACCCATATTTCAGAGTCTGGGCGAAATGATTTGGGCACAAGCAAAGTCCTGTGGTCTGCAACACTTCAGCTAGGGTGAAGGGGGAGCAGAGGGGAAATGGCTTCACCAGTTCTCTTCCCCAAAACATCTAAAGGAATGTTCATTATGACTTTTAGAAGAAATTCCTTTGGATTTTCATGGGGGAGCAACCAAGAAGAGTTCTTCAGAAACTCAGATTTAAAAATTCCTTTTCTAGAGAATTAAAATATATTAATAACAGGTAAGTTTAATTCAGAAAAAAATATATTCTCTGGGAATTCATAAAGCAATATTTCTTTTGTTTGATATAGGTACTTGTCTCTAGATCCTAATGTACCTGCATTTCTGAGCCATAGTTTTCCTTCTCCATATATCCCTAACCTCTTTTTCTCCTTCCTCTTCCTCAGTGAATTTGACTCATGTAGTTTGTTGATGTGTGTGATTGTGGGCTCTTGGTTTAACTCTCTCTTTAGAGACGGAGAATAAGATAATATAGGAAAGGAAAAAGAAGAAAAGAAGGGAGGGAAGGAAGGAAAAGAGGAAGGGAGGAAAGAAGGGAAGAAAGAAAGGGAGGAGGGAGGGAAGAGATGGAGAGGAAGGAAGGGAGAAGGAAAGGAGAGGGGAAGGAAGGAAGAAAAAGGATCAAGACATAACAAATCCATTCGCTTCAATCATGTAATCAAACCATTCCTATTTCTGAACACTCCCTCAGCTGTGGCACATCTGGAGATACTGAGGAAATGAGTTTACAGAGCTTTGAGCTTTGTTTCTGCTGAGTTGGCTGTTCTGTTATATAGATAATGTGTGTGTGTGTATGTGTGTGTGTGTGTGTGTGTGTGTGTGTGTGATGTACATTTAATTCACAAAACAGTTACCTGACCATCCAGATCACTTTATAGTTTAGACTCAAGCTTCTCAAACTATCTGTGGCAAAGGACCAGTTTTTAAGTGTCCAATCAGCCACAAACTGGTGTTTTAATCAAATGTAACAAAAATGTATTTCTAGAAAAATTAAATTTAAAAACACCCCAAATCGTACAAAATGCAAGCCTCTCATATTTAATATCAGATTCAAAAGACAGGCCAGGCACAGTGGCTCACGCCTGTAATCCCAGCACTTTGGGAGGCCGAGGCAGGTGGATCACCTGAGGTCAGGAGTTCAAGACCAGCCTGACCAATATGGTGAAACCCCATCTCCAGTAAAAATACAAAAATTAGCCAGGCGTGAGGGTGTCTGCCTGTAGTCCCAGCTACTCAGAAGGCTGGGACAGGAGAATCACTTGAACCTGGGAGGCCGAGGTTGCAGTGGGCAGAGATCATGCCACTGTACTCTGGCCTGGGTGACAGAGCAAGACTGCATCTCAAAAAAAAAAAAAAAAAAAAAAAAGACAAAAAAATTTCATGTCAGATGACTAGAAAAGTTTCTAAGTGCTCACTCACAGTTTTGCTCAACTCATTGCAGTGTGGTGCCAATCCACCCAGGGCCAGCACTGTCCAGGGAACACCGTTTGCATAGTACCAGTGTAGACTATAAAGAAAAGGTCTCTAAACAAAAGGAAAGGGATAACAGTTTATATTTTTTAAGTTCAAAGTTATTAACTTACTATTGATGTACAGACAACAAGATAAATTCCAGTATTTTTCAAATAATTTCTTTTAAAGAAAACATTTAATTGCCTGGACAGTGTTGATTTTTAAAAAATCACTGAAGTGTTTGCTTAAGTAAAATAAACTATATACATGGATTATCTCTGTTATCATATGGGCCCTATTTGTATTCAAGCACTGGAAGAATGAATTGATTTTAACACAAATAGTTTTAAGAATGAAACCGTTTCTAAAATGTAAATAAGGGTATGGTATTCTGAAATGCATATTCAGCTGGTTGACATGACATACACATTCTTGCATGCCATGTTATTTTTTTTTCAGCTCATCTTTCTTTACTTAAATGTAATGAATTAATGTAGACTATTGCCTAATTTAATGTTGACTGAAGTAGTTTGAATTCACATATTGGGTTGAAATGGCCAGGAATATTGTAGAGCACTGAAAAGACTCTAAGTGAATTGCATGTTTTCATCTTAAACCATAAGACTTTTACCAATTCCCACTGATCTCAAGTTGCCCTAACGAACTTTCCACACAGAGGCTAATAGAATTTATGTCCCTAAAAGCAGTAAGTTAAAGAAATGAAAGCTTAAGTCATAAAGAAATTCCCTGGCTATAAATTTATTATTTGTGAGAAAGAATTTATTTTTTAACAAAAAAAAAATGCAGAGCAGAGCTATTGCATATCATCCCCACATGGAACAGGTGGTGAAAGGACTGTTGGGTTATGGAAATCATATTATTGTTATCATATGTTTTCCTTAGCTGCGGCTATCACAGAGAACCTTTTGGGGAGGGTATTATTTACAATGCTCTATTGTTTAACATCTCATGTTAGGATTCTGTTTCAATAGTAGTTTATCACCATCACATATATTTTTTTCTTTCTAGATTTGACTTTAGATAAATGTCACACTCCAGTAAAGAGACTTTAAGAATTACTCAGTAATCAAACCATGTGAATTCAATGGTCTGCACGCTTGGAATCTTAAGAAACTGCTGAGTAAGTAAATTCTGGGTAGTGAATATGGAAAGCATTCACATACATAAACATGTAATTAAAAAATGGAACTAACATCCATTGAAGAGCAATAAACTGACATGAATTGGCTTTATTGTGGCCAGCGAGAGGAGCTGGCTCTCTGATGGCTGAATTAGAGGCTGGGACAGAATGTGAGAGATTAGTAGGGGACCTTTTTGGGTGGCATGTAGCATCCAGGTGCACAAAGGTTTGGTGTTGGTGTGTGACTTTGGACACCTTGGGATGCTGAAACTTCTTAAAAGTTGGGTGCAGCACACCAACATGGCACATGTATACATATGTAACAAACCTGCACGTTGTGCACACGTACCCTAAAACTTAAAGTATAATAATAATAAAATTTTTTAAAAAGTTGACCTATTTAAATTGTTTGCCTCCCAATGGGACCCTTCCAGTGTTCCTAGATGATAGAAACCATCCAGTTTTGTCAAAACACATGCATAAATCTAAAGGGTTCTGTGCTCTGTGAGAGGCAGTTTTGTGGAGAAGACAATCATTCTCTCTGTCTCTCAGTTGGATCTGTTTTGGACCCCAGGGGGTGAGTTGCCATCTTTTGGCACATTCTGGGTCTCTGTACACTGTTTCTGCTCCCATTCTTGCACTTGTTAATATATAGCCCCCAGCTGGTTGCTATCTAAGTGCCACTCACAATCCATATTTCCACAGTGATGACATTGGCTGCCTCGGTTTTAGGAACTGCCAGAAATAGCCACTAACCAAGAGAAAGAGAGCAAGGACTAGCCCTGAATAATTGGTCAACGATGCTGATTTCGTTGGTTTCCTGTTCCTTTTGCTTCCTGGAAAATACAGACCTACAAAGCAAACATTGTGTGTGGGTTGATGCTACAGCATCGTCTGAACTTGGAAGGACGATCGTGGATTCTGATGCCTCGTGGTCTCACTACAGGTCTAATTTTCATGTGTTTTAGGAGTCTTGGGATTAGGTTATGTACTCTGACTCTGGGCAAATGGAAACATCAGGCGAGAATTATTTATCTCATAACATTTCTTACAAGGTATTAACTTTTGGACCATTTTGGAGAAGATGAGCAAATTCATTTCTCAAGACCAGCAGGGTTGGTTGCTATGAGCAGGCCTGGGTCAGCACATAAGACCTGCCCTTGCTGACCTGGGAAGTTTCTATATATGATGAAAATCTTTTTCGTAATCGGATGATGGTAACTGGCAGGGTGTCATTAGATCATGTAGATGATGGCTTATGTTAACAACAACTATTTTGTTAAAAAGTATTTGTTGAACTTCTACTTTGTGAGAGGTCTTCTTCCAGGTGCTGGGCAGTAGTACCTCTTCATTGTACTTTGAACTCTTTCTTTGTTATTTTATTTCATTCACATTTGTAAGTTCAGCCAGAGTAAAATCTTTTCTTAACTCAAATTTTTATTTTGAATTGAGAAATAATAATTGTATATATTTATGGGGTACAATGTGATGTTTTGATATATAAAAACATTGTAGCATGATTATATCAAGCTAATTAACATTTTTATCACCTTACATAGTTACCATTTTTATGTAGTGAGAACATTTACAATCTACTTTTTAAAGCAATTTTGAAACATGTGATACATTATTAACTGGTTACCATGCTGTGTAACAGATCTCGAAACTTATTGCTCCTGTATAACTGAAACTTTGTCTCCTTTCACCAACATCTCCCCATTCTATTCTCCCCACCCTGCCCCTCAGCCTCTGGTAATCACCATTCTACCCTCTATGTCCATGAGTTTGATTTTTTCAGATTCCACATATAAGTGAGATCTTGTGGTATTTGTTTTTTTTGCACCTGGCTGATTTCACTTAGCACAATGTTCTCCAAATTCATCCATGTTATTGAAAATGACAGAATTTTCTTCTTTTTAAAAGTTGAATAGTATTCCACTACATTTTTTAATTCATTCATCTGTTGATGGACATTTATGTTTATTCCGTATCTTGGCTATTGTGAATACTGCTGCAATGAACATGAGGGCACAGATATCACTCTGAGGTGCTGATTTCACTTCCTTTGGGTATATACCCAGAAGTGAGATTGCTGGATGATATGCAAATTCTATTTTTGTTTTTTTGAGGTGCCTCCACACTATTTTCCACAATGGCTATACTAACTTACATTTCTACCAACAGTGTAGAAGCGTTCCCTTTTCTCTACATCTTTGCCAACATTTTTTATCTTTTGTCTTTTTGATAATAGCTGTTCTAACAGGGATGAGATGGGAGCTCATTGTCATTTTAATTTTCATTTCCCTGATAATTACTGATGTTGAGCATTTTTCATAAGCCTACTGGCTATTTGTATGTTTTCAAGTAGCAAAATATTGATCTGACTGACTCTCTCTCTTTTTTTTTCTCCCTCTCTCCCTCTACACCCCACCCCACACACACTCCATTATAAATATTTATTGAGGTTGCAGTGGGAAAGACAATCATATAACTCTACCATTACTTGCGTATATTTTAAATTATTATCTGCAAGACTTCTTGAATCCATGTCCCGATAAACAGAAATGTTTTGATCTAGACTTTGCTGAAGTATATTTCAAGGTGGGAAATATTGGTTATTCATTTCAAAAATAGTAATAAGTAACACATTATGTTATATTGCTGAGGTGTATAAGATACAGAACTGTAGAAATCCAAAGAAGGAAATACCTTTAAAGGAAGCTCTCCATGGAAACCTATCAAGCTATGAATTTAAAGCATGCTAAGTGGCTTCTGGCAAAGCCACATCAATGGAAAGGTTTATCACTTAACAATGTCCACACACGGAATGCCATAGTTCTGTAGGAACTACAGCCAACAACTCATAGGTTTTCTGGACAGCTACACAAATGTTTTCTTTTAGTGTGATACTTAAAGTATTTGACTTTAATTCTGATATTTTCTCTCATGCCTCCACATCTGAAAGAATTCAACGCTATCTTTATTTGAAGTCTGTCCTGGTTAGCAAGCTGGCTGGTGGTGATGTATCACATACAGTGGTTTCTGTGATGTGGGCTGCTGACTATGGAAAGATGAATGAAGATCACAATCACATTAAGTTTGAGGACTATGGTCAGACTTAAACCATTATCCTTGAGGTGTATGGCTGTTGATTTATCAATGTTCTCATTTTTATGAAGGAAATCTTCTCAAGGTTGCTGTATGCTCTGTGTGTGTTGTATGTCAAATAAGGTATAATGTTATGTTCTCTCATAACTTCATAAATAAGAATGTATTGCTTTGAGAGATGGAATAAAATGACAAGTTTTATTTGGCATCTATATATTTAAGAGTTCATGAAGAGATTAATGGTTGTTGGCCGCTGGTCAAATTTCTTTGATGTACACTATTTTTTTCCACTAAAATTCTGCACTTGCCACTCCCTGGATGAGTTACCCACACATTTATGTACATAAATTATGGTGCATTTATTACATCATTTCCAACCTAGCTGGATAAAAGCACAGTGGGATTTTTTTCCCTGTGTGCAATTTCCATTTTGGTGGCATTTCTGCTTCCTAACAAATTCCAGACAGTCAAAGTAGACACCCAAATTCTGTTTTTATGTATTTCAGCTTTCTGTGTTCACCTACACTTTGTTTGGGAGATGTCCTACTGGGAAGTTACTTAGATTTATGAATATTTGATGAGCTTTTTGCAGAAATGGGGGTCTGGAGACTCATATAATCTCATTGTATGTAGTATACTTTTTCCTTTTTTACTCTGTACTTCAATTTTTGATAACTTGGATGTGGTATTTAATAACCTATTGACTTAATTTTATTATTTACTAATAGTTTCAACTTTGATCTCTTTCGGAAGGATGTTGTCGGAAGGATGTTGAAAAAAATCCAAAATGAGTTCTGGAGCAGATATAAAATGTATCTCCTCTATTCATATATCTATATATATACGTTGATCTTCAAAGATAGGCCAACTTTCTAACTTCTGTCACTTTATTAGCATGGAATGCAAAGGTGCTCAAATGCCCTCAAGTGGTCTCAGCCCACATTAACCTCTTTCTGTTACTTCTTTTCCTTATTTCTCTGCATACTGAACGCAGAATTTGGCTTTTTCTGCTGCTTAAAATTAACATCTAACGGAGGAGTGTCTACGTATTTTTGTCCTGGTGTTTCTCATATTTTAATACTAACACAGCGCTGAATAATGTTTGCTGTGCAAATAAAAATTTAAACAAATGCCAGACCGATAAGGTTAGTTTTTTGACTTTGCCTAAACAATAAACAAAACAAGAAACACATTAAAACCTAAACATGTAATCTCTCAAAGTAAAAAAATATTTTAAAGTTGTACTCAACATACCCACTTATGGGTTAAGGATATAGTAATATAAATTTTATTAGATTGAGGAAGAAATCACTCTACCCTCTGAAAAGATGTAGATAGTCATATAATTCAGGTAGTCAGTTTAATGGGCTAGGCTCCCGGGTTCATGCAAATTCACAGAGAAATCTCAGAGCATAAAAATTTTGGTCAATAGCTTTATTGTTATTATTGTTAGATGGAGTCTCGCTCTGTTGCCCAGGCTGGAGTGCGGTGGCGTGATCTCGGCTCACTGCAACCTCCGCCTCCCAGGTTCAAGTGATTCTCCTGCTTCAGTCTCCTGAGTAGCTGGGACTACAGGCACCCGCCACCATGCCCAGCTAGTTATTTTTTGTATTTTTAGTAGATACAGGGTTTTACCATATTGGCCAGGCTGGTCTCAAACTCCTGACCTCAGGTGATCTGCCCGCCTCAGCCTCCCAAAGTGCTGGGATTACAGGCATGAGCCACCATGCCCAGCCTGGTCAATAGTTTTAACTACCAACCCCATGGAATTTTTACTCACCTTCAGTCAACTGATTTGCTCTTTGGTGGAGATATTCAGAGGCTAGGTGGAGATAGAGGTAGCCTTGAGGGTGGGTGTGGAGAAAGAGCCCCTAAACCAACAGACAGGAAAATATCTGAAAAGTGACTACCATATATACAACACAGCCAATTCTGATACTAAACTTTCTACTCTAAGAAAATCACTTCCATTAAAAAACAAAAAAAAAAGCTAATAAACAAAGGAAAGCTACCCCAGCTCTTAGGATTAAGGAATAATTATTTGCAGATAGAGTTTTTGTTTATGCAAAGCTCCTTCTCAATCCTTCTCAATCTTTTTTTTAACTCAGTAATCTCGACTGCATTGAAAACTAGCTCACTTAAAAAATTGTTTTAGAACAAAGTTTTAGTAGATGTACTTTGTGTGTTTTATACAGTTTGTGCGATGCATATTGTAAAATGCTATAATTACATTTTGTAGTGACGTTTTTCCTTTCTACCATGTAAGAAATTCTGTTTTCTTATTCCCAAGGATAAAAATATGGTGGCTTTTTTTATTTGAACCAATCTGAACATTATGCTCAGAGCCAAGCAGAATAAGCAAAGCTTATTTACTGAAAGGAATATTAGGATAATGGGCAGTATTGAAAAGTTACTTAAAATTAACATCTAAAGGAGTAGTGTCTACGTATTTTTGTCCTGTCAGATTTTCTGCTATGTTAGCAAAGGCGGAAAAGTTTAGGTATAAATGAAGAGAAGGAGAAATAGTATATGAGGTTAAAGAAATGAATAATATCTTCAAATAAGGTCATATAAAAAAGTAATGAATAAATGGTATGTAATAAGAGAAATCCAATATTATATCAACACTTCCAAAGAGGCTCAGAGCAAGAGATGACATTGTCTTTCAGCTCAACTATGCCAGATGCCAGAAAGGGTAAAGCTCTATGTTTGCTGAGACTACTCTTGCTCTTGGACCCTGACAAGATTGAATGAGAAGGCTGCAAACCTGAGTGGCCTTGCTCTGAGAGACATATTCACATGACATAAGAGTGGACTGGACTAATTATTAAAGATTAAATGGGATTCCAATAATTTGCCAGTACCATTTGAGTTGTACATTTTTTTAATGTAAGGGATCTGTGTTGGAGGATAGGGAGTGAACTGTTATTTTATGGGATATATATTGGGTCCTTGTTTCCTGGCATTCAGCTTCTAAAGTCCTTGGAATCTCCAAAGTAATAAGTGTGTTTTTGAATGCTAATGAGATTACTGGTGACTGGCAACCTTTAGATGGCTTCAGGATGAGGGCTGGTCACAGGAAAGACCAAGGCAGGATTAGAGGGTTGGGACTTCAGCCCCACCCTTCAACCTCTGGGAAGGAGAGAGGGACTGAAAGTCAAGTTGATCACCAACAGCCAATTATTTAATCAATCATGCCTATGTAATGAAGCCACTGTAAAAACCGCAAAGGACGGAGATCGGATGCACTTCTGGATAACTGAACATGCGGAGGTTCTTGGCACGGGGCACACCCAGACAAGGCATGGGAGCTCTGTGTCCCTTTCCACATGCCTTGCCCTATGCATCTTTTCATCTGATTCTTTGCAATTTCTTTTATGTTAAACCGATAAATGTAAAAAAAAAAATTCGATTAATTCCACAAATATTTACCGGGAGTCTACCACAAGTCAGGCACTATGCTGGTCACTGTCAGCACATAAGACACTGCTCCCAATGACCTGTGACATTTCCAAATGATGAAACCCTTTCTCATAATCAGATGATAATAATGGGGGCAGGTCACTAGATTATGGAGATTCTGGTCATGGTGACAATAACCATTCGGTTCAAAAAATAATCACTGAACCTCTCCTTTGTAACAGGCCCTCTGCCAGGTATTGGGCATAGTACCTCCTCATTGCACTGTGAACTATTTATAGTATTTTTTGTTATGTTATTAGCATTTATAAGTCCATATCTAGTAAATTTGGGTCAAAGAGCTCAAAAGAACTGCCTCCAGTGGGCAAAATCTTGATCTGACTGGTCATCTTTTCCCTCTCTCTTTCCCTCTCTCTCTCTCTCAGTCTCTCTCTCTTTCCCATATACACTTGCACACTCCTCTACTCTGTCCTCATCTGACAGGATACAGGACGGCAACACTCCCTGCCCTCATGGAGCTTATATCATAGTGGGAGGAGGCAAACAATGCACCCAAATAAATAAATTACGTGGCTATTATTTATTGACAGGGGATAAGTACCGTGAAGAGTAATAGAGGAGGGAAATGGAATGAGCTGTGGAGGAGGGGAGGTTTCATGATTTTAAATACAGGTGGTGAGAGAAAGTCTCGCTGGGAAGGGACGTTTGAGCAAAGCCCTGAAGAGGGAGAAAGGGAGATCCCCGTGGGTATTCTGGGAGGAATCCTTCAGGCACAGGGAACAGGGCCACCAGCGTGTCTGGAATGAGTGGGCGAGGGGAGCAAAGCAGGAGAGAGGCAGAGGAAAGTGAGGTGAGTAGATGGTCAACAACCACGCATGTGTTTGCCAGGGGACCATAACAATGCAACAGACTGGGCGGCTTAAACAACAGACATTTATTTTCCCGCAATTCTAGGGGCTAGAAGTGCTAGATAAGGTGCTATCGGAGTTGATGTCCAGTGAGGCAGCTCTTTCTGACTTTCAGACGGCCACCCTCTCGCTGTGTTTTCCCACGACCTTTTCTCTATGAGCATGTAGAGAAAGATCTCTGGTGTCTCTTCTTTTCATAAAGACACTTGTCCTATTGGATAGGAACCCTCCCTTTTGACCTCATTTAGCCTTAATTATCTCCTTAAAGGCCCTAATCTCCCAATATAGTCACGTTAGGGTTTAGGGCCTTGATATGGTTTGGCTGTGTCCCCACCAAAAATCTCACCTTGAGTTGTAATAATCCCCACGTGTCAAGGGCGGGGCCAGGTGGAGATAATTGAATCATGTGGGCGGTTTCCCCCGTCCTGTTCTTGTGATAGTGAATAAGTCTCACGAGATCTGATGATTTTATAAACGGGAGTTCCCGTATACAAGCTCTCTTACCGGCCGCCACCTAAGATGTAACTTTGCTCCTCACTCGCCTTCCTCCATGATTGTGAGGCCTCCCCAGCCATGTGGAAGTGTGAGTCAATTAAACCTCTTAACTTTATAAATTACCCAGTCTCAGATATGTCTTTATTAGCAGCGTGAGAATAGACTAATACAGGCCTCAATGTTTGAATTTTGGGGGGATGTAATTCAGCCCATAACAATCCACAATTGCAGAATGTTGTAATTTAGAGTGAGGTTAGCGGTGGAGAGACATGATTGCAGTTTCTTTTTGAAAGGATCACCTTGTTTGCTGGAGATCTGGGAGGCCGGTTAGAATAAAATGGGGCAAGGTAGTGACGGTGGTGGACCACATAATGTGTAGTATCTATTGTGCAGATGAATTTGAGCATAATCTGGATGAAACATTTGTCATGCCCTTGAGCTCTTCAGTGAGCCTCTTAATTCCTTTGTGTACTAACCTCTGATAAGACTGCTGTGTCTTAATCTGTTGTAAAATGAGTAGGGAATTTCAGATTAATAAAAATTAATAGTCAAAATATCAAAGCTTGCTAATGAAACTTTAAAATTTAGAATAAAATGTGTTGCTTTATTCCTCATAGGATGACACTTTCATTCACTGGCAATCTAATAAGTTATCTTGAGTAGCTGAAAAAACAGGTTACAGAGTGCGTAACTGGGAAATCTATACGTGTGTATTTTGACTGAAAAATCTGCTTTTCTCCCATCTTCATGTGGCTGGCTTTTTGGGGGCATTCAGGTCTCAGCTCAAAATCTCCTCCCCTAAGAGGCCATTCTTGACCACTCAATCTAAGTTATTTCCTGCTGTTACTTTCCATCCCATCACTCTGCTCTGTTTTCTGTCTAACACTTTTATTCTGATATTTTCTTGTTTGTTGTTCATTGTCTGCCTGCCCCTCCCAGAATCAGCATTAGAGGAAAGCAAGATCTCTGTCTTGTTCACCACTGTGTTCCCAGCGTCTAGAACAGTGCCTTGTGCATAGTAAAAATTCAATAAATATTTGTAGAATGAATGAAAGAATAAAAGAAAAAATGCAGAAACCCAGTCATGTAGCTAACCAAGACTTAGAAACCGTGTAAGGGGAAAGAAATCCCTTCTGTGTAGTACAATGTTGAAGGTTGACAGGGACCACACAGTAGAAAAAGGGCTGGGCAGATTTCAGGGCTAGAAGGTTTGTATTTTTGATAGTTTATGCGCAGATCTGGGAGTCCAGAGATTGGGGGTTTACATCTGCTCTATCTCCGACTCACCGAGTGACTACGGTACAAATCATTAACTTCCGCAAGCATTAGTTTCTCCATCTGTGCGGTGTTACCAGCTAGTTTAAACATTTAGAAACCTTCATTGGCAAATATGACTCTATTTATGCTTTTTCTTTTGGGAGATTGAGTGCTTTGTGGGAGCGAGCCCTGCTTTTCCCTTTGGTTTCTGAACTGCATCTCCTTGGCAGGCAAGTGATTAATTCCCCTGGATTCCTCTTTTGCTCCCTTTCCCAGCCTCTCCCAGATAGTGTCCGCATGCAGTGATCACCTTGAGACATGCTTTGGATTGTCATTCTTTGCCTTCATTCCTTTTTACTTGCCATCTGAGCTAGATGAATCCACCAGCTTTCCACCACGCAGTTGCTTAAGCCTGTGTCAGTACCAGAGGGAGGCATATAGCTTTTCCTCCTCTCCCACTTGATAGTACTCAGACTTTAGGTCTTTTTCCCAGATCCAAGATGCTCCTCATGCAACTCCAATTTTCCTTCCCTGCCAACCAGATCTACTCTGCCAGGAGGAGGCCTTGGCCCTGTGAACAGATGTTGGATAACTTTCTTCTTGACGTGACTGCATTTTCACCCCTTAAAAGTCAACCTTCCTTTTAGGTTTGGCTCTGGGCTCTGTCCTCTAGCCCTGCCTGACTCTGAAGCTAGAGGGATATTGGGCATGACAGTTAAGAACTTACGCTTTGGACTCAGCCAGACTTGGGTTAAAATCCTAGGTACACTACTAACTCTGTGACCTTGGGAAAGTTACTCAACCTCTCTGAGTCTCAATTTCCTCATCTGTAAAACAAAGATCAGGAGGGGTTGTAAGAATTAAATGATATGATATGGGCCAACAATTCGGCACAGAGCCTGGCATGCAAGTCTGGTAGTTGCTATTATCAATTACTCGTGCCTTCTTCATCAAGTCAGGAAAATCCACCTGATAACATTCCATGCTTACTCTTCTTGGTTCCAGGGGTTGTTATTGAGGGCTTAACATTTTGGTTTAAAAAATTAATCTCCACCATCCTGAGACCTCTAAATTGGTACCATTAGATAATCAAACAGTTTCACCTTAGGTATATAATCTACTCATCATCTTGCCTTTGACAGCTAGTGTTGTTGAGGTACTTTGGCTGATGCTTAGAAATGCAGTCCTGGAAAAAGAAAGTGTGCTATCTAATGCAGTGCCTACACAGGCAAAATCAAAGATAAATTGATGTAATTTCCTGGAGAATGAGGACCATAAAGGCAGCTGATCTGGACAATTCCAATTGGATTATAATGTGAGAATATATGATGGACTACTTAAATTTTCCTCAAATGTTTGGTATTAGGAATATCTTTAAAAATTATTTCATTCTGAAACTGGCCTGATCTAATCTTTTCCATGAAAAGAATGTTGTATTGGCTTCTTACACAGCCCAGATTGATGAAATATTTGCTTAGTCCCATGGATGGAATTTCCTCTAAATAAGGAAATATCTCAACAGGGACATTTAGTGTATGTTTTCCAACTTATCATGTAGTGCGGCAGGTTTTCTTCAGTGGCATGTAATGGTACTTTCTGATTTTAAGCTCTAATTTATCTCGCAGATTAAAGCAATGAAAGGGGTCAGAATCTATTGGTGTTAAGAAGTCAGCCTCAGCACTAAGAGAAAGAAGGAAAGAATGAAGGAAAGAAAGAAAGAACAATGAAAGCATTGTAAGAAATATTTATACAGCAAATGTTACAGAGAAAACCCCAAACCAAAATGTATTTCAAAAAATGTTGGAGGAAATGTTATATCTTTTTATGTGCTTAAGAAAACAGTTAAAAAGAACTTCACAGCATTGGGTCTATTAAGCACATTTATTCCAGTGATTTCCCAGATATTTCCAAGTTCCATTTAAAACAGAAGTCTCCTATCAAGGAATCCTTTGAAATTATTTACTCTTTTATGGTTGTAAAGTATGGAAATGTAATGCTTTTAATGGAAACCCTAATAAACGGCACATGCTACAAAGTGTCTACTGATGTACTTTATAGGTTAGGATTCTTACATCACACTGACTTGCCAGTCTACATTCCTGGTCCAGTGAATGCTCCAGTGATGTAGAAGTGGATACGTGGAAGGGAAAGTTCAAGCAAGAATGGCATGGACCATTTATGCTGACCAGAAAGATATGGCAGCCAGAGTGTATCTGATAGGCAGCAAACTGTGCCAGTAGCCTGAAACAGAATTATTTGGATTAAGGACTTTGTTTTGTTTAAGAGATGGTAAATTGGTGAGCACCATAACTTGAAAACAATTTTTCTTATGTTCAATATAAAGGAGTGTTTTGTAAAAAACCTGGCTGTGAATCTCAGGAATAAAATAGTATGTAATATTTTAGCACATATTTAATTGGCAACAGAAAAAGTAAAACCACTTGACTTATAAGGTTAAAATGGTTTTCTGAATAAAATCAACTCCCAATCAAGAATTTTTTTTTTTGGGGGGGACGGAGTCTTGCTCTGTCGCCAGGCTGGAGTGCAGTGGCACAATCTCAGCTCACTGCAACCTCCGACTCCCTAGTTCAAGCAATTCTCCTGTCTCAGCCTCCCAAGTAGCTGGGATTACAGGCACGTGCCACCGTGCCCAGCTAATTTTTGTATTTTTAGTAGAGAAGGGGTTTCACCACGTTGGCCAGGATGGTCTCGATCTCTTGACCTCGTGATCTGCCTGCATCAGCCTCCCAAAGTGCTGAGATTATAGACATGAGCCACCGTGCCCAGCCCAATCAAGAAAAATTAATGTTCTCCTTCAAATGCATATTTTTATATAAAATAAATATATTATAAAGTTATATATCTTTAATTTTATTCTGAAATAATACTAGGAGTTCACAAATAGATATTGTCCCCCTGGCAAATCTTTTTTTCATTAAAATGTTTTTAAAATATTCTAAGTTGGGATATATTTTGACTTAACAATTCAGGCATTCTGCATTAAATAGGAATTGATTTATTGACATTTGGTAGATTCATACTCACATTCCATGGTTTAAAACTCTTGTTAAAATGTCGTTAATAATCTGTGGGTATATATTTCAAATAACTGTCATTATATTGAGAATAACTGTCATTAAACAGAGAGAATTAAATTTAATAGAGTAGTTACTAGATCTTTAAATACCAATGGGTGATTGCAAGCAGATTTATTGAGGCTTTAATCATGGATGAATAGATTCATGCCTTTTCAGCAATACATTTATTTTGTTTCCTTTGTTTTATTTTTCTATGTAAAGTAAATGGTTAGTAGGCATTTAAACTGGTATTGTATGAAAAGCTAAATGCCAATTATGTAGTATTCAAAATATATGGAATACATTAGACACTTCAAGACAGTTCAAGACTGTACATTAATCCTTTGTGAGCTTGGAAAAGTCCACCCTTGGCAGAAACTCAGAGAATCCTAGAAATGAATGGCTGTTAGGAACAGAGGGATAAGAAATTCACCTGATTTTGTTCATATTTGCTACTTGGTACAACAGTTGACTAACTTCCTTTAAGATGTTTTTGATACTATGGGTAAAATATCAAAGGCGGATACTTTAACAACATTGTTCAGAAACCTTAGCTTGAGTCACTCAAACTCTCATTAGTCTGATACACTCAAACTCTCATGCTTTCCGTTTTGTTTCATTTTAAGTAAAAAGACATATCTCTCAAACTATCTGGAGGGGCTGATTTCTTTTCACCGCCCTTCAGCCCACCCCAACCCAAGTTTGGAGCATTTTGTTAGATCACTTTGATCTTCTGTTTGACTTCTGCTTCATGGAAAAATGCTCATAAACCTTCAGAGAAAGGCTTTCTTTACTTTTAGCTTTATTCAAGAATTATAAACAGTGGACAGATCTATAGCAAAACGATTTTAAGAGCACTTAGGACCCACATGCTAATTTATTTGCTCACCACCAAAAAGAGGCTTGTTTGGTAAAAAGTTTAAAAAGTTCAGCTCTGCTTAGTGAAAAAGAACTCCACTTTTAAGTGGCTAAAAGTATTGTGTTTCAGGTTCCTTTTTTTAATATTAAGATCTCTAAAGCAACAATCTTCTTAAAGATGTTATGCACAAGCATTGACATGACATTTGAAATGGCTTCAAGAGTCCTGTTACTCTTGACATGCTGGCAAACACTTCACAGATGTGCATTCTTGTTGCAGCCATGTCAAGAGAGGATACAAAATCTGCGACTACAAACAAGTCTCTGCATGTCTTAATCCCAGGGTAGTGGTAGGCCACGAGACATTAGGGTGAGGGCAACCTATTCCTTCTAATCCATCATTATTCCAGCCTTATTGCAGCTTCTCCACAAATTATGGGATTGACCCATTGAGCTCTACATTCTTAGATGTTGAATAACAACTGTGGTTTCAGATAAAAACAAACAAATGAACAAAATGATAAACCATTGCCATTTGGCATTTTGCAATTCTGAGAGTGTCTTTCCATGTAGCAAGTGAAAAAGGATTAAACACTGTTTACACTACTGATTTTTAAAAACGTAGTCCTCTAAACCTCTGTTGGGCTTGTAAATTTATGTCTCCTGGGCTGAATAAGTACTATTGAGAGGTTTTATTTGGAAAATCACTTAATTTTATGTAAAAATTCAGATTTCAGCTTCTCTTAAAAAGTCAGATCTGACCACACTAGCATTTTCTCTGGCAATATCAACTGACAGTAGTAGTGGCTGCGCATTTTATAGAGACAGTTTAATTTTTATAATTTTCCTCACTAACCATGACACTGGGCTTCTTGACTCATTTACCCATGGCCCCCCAGATGGCATTTGAGTCTTTGGCCCCTGTAGCATATGATTACTTTGAAATACCAATACCGGTACAGATGTATGAGGGAGTCTGCAAAGTTTACGTTGCTATTCTGAATAGATGTTATTCCATTCTGCAGAACTGGACCTTTTCTTTAGCAGGATATTATTAGATGAGGCAGAAGGTATCAGGGAAATCTACAGAATGTCTTTCCAATAGGTGTAATTCGGTAACCTTAGTTGTTACCAGTGGAGTGAAGTGAGGTGAAGAATTACATTCTGGGTTCAGTGGAAGAAGCATCTTTTGCTGTGTTGGCATATAGTATACAAACCCTCAATAGAAGGCCAGTTCCAGGTGGACAGAGACTGGGGTTTCTTGTTGAATCCCATGTACCTATAAGAGTATTTGTTGCACATAGTAGGTGCTCAATAAATATTTGTTGAATAAACTAGATGGATTATTTATGGAATGTCCAAGATTCAGTTTAAACAAGACATATAAAATAATCATTATTATTACTTTTTATCAAGTGCCTTCTATGTATTAGGTACTTTGCAAATATCATTTCATTTATCTCTCACAAGAGGTAGACATTGTTGATCCCATGTTATATATGGGGACATTGAAATTTAGAGATTTCTAATTGTCTAAAGTCTTGTGCCCAAAAACAGCAGTGATTTTTATTCAAGTCATTTTGACTTCAAAACTTGTTCTTTCTGTTGCTACTCCACATTTTCTTTTAAATGTAAGATCATACTTTAAAACATTAAGCAAGAGTGATTATGAATAAGCTCTGTCCAAAGGACACCAAAACATCTAACGAATTGCTGACATTCATTCAATCAACTGTCTTGGCTTTTTTTATTTCACAAAATCCACTGTTCAGCTGAGTTTACTGATCAGTTCTGGACCTTGTGGGGGAGCAGGGTGAGTGAATTGAGCATGCAAAAGTTAATCTGTGAACCAGATCAGAAAGGGTATAAGACACACACCCCAGGTAGAACGAGATATTCAGCCTCAGGCTCTCTTCTCTAAGCTGCCAATTGGCCTCCCTGACCCCATCCTATTTCAGCAGAAAGCCTGAAGGGTTGAATTTCCTCTAGGCCTCCCCTTTGACCTCTGGTTTGTCCTACTATGGCTTGAAAGCCTAATTCAGACTTGCAAAGCTCTCAGTCGTCCTTGCTTCCTGCTGACTGTGTCTGCTTTGTCTCAGATCTTCATTTTTGTGTGTCTAGCTCTGGCGTGGTAATCTTACTCCAACTCTTGATTTCTCCCTTAGCTTGACAGTTTTTGGTTGTGTATTTTTGACCTTGCACAGTAGCCAGACCGAGTTAGTCCAGTCACAGGGGTGCAGCAGACAAGACTCAAGGCCCTTGACTTATAGTTGAACTCATTTGAACTGATCAATTTAGCATGAGGCTGGAAGAGTTGTTTAACTTCTGTTCCCCATGATTCTATTTGCCTCCTCTTTTCATGGAGTTGTGGGGATAGCTTTAATGGTGCTTATAAAGTCATTAATTGAAAAATGATCATGAATCTAAGATAGTGTACTAATAACATTTTGAACTAAATTTCTATGAACTTAATATCTAAAAAATAATTCTGTAGGTATAACACAAACAGTATTCACACACAAAGGCCAAGTAATCAACCAGTTGCAGTGGCTTACACCTGTAATCTCAGTGCTTTGGGAAGCTGAGTCAGGAGGATTGTTTGAGCTTAGGAGTTCAAGACCAGCCTGGACAACAGAGTGAAACCTTATCTCTGCAGAAAAATTAAAAATTAGCTGGGCATGGTTCTGTGTGGCTGTAGTCCCAGCTACTCAGGTGGCTGAAGTGGGAGAATTGCTTGAGCCCAGGAGGTTGAGACTGCAGTTAGCCATAGTCATACCACTGCACTCCAGCCTGGGTGATGGAGTGAGACCTTGCTTTGAAAAAATAAAAATCTAATAATTATGAAGCTCAGAGTGGAGAATCAAAACCGAAGCAAATGTAGAAAATGATAGAGCTGTGAAGTCATCTGGGCCTGGAATTTTCTTTGTTGGAAGGTTTTTCATTAAAAATGAATTTTTAAAAAAGATATAAGACTAATCTATTTCTTCTTGAAGGAAATTTGGAAGCTTGTGTCTCAAGAGATGTGTCCATTTCATCTAAGTTGTCAAATCTATGGATACATAATTGATTTTCTATTATTCTGTAAATAGCTGTAGGTTACATAGTGATATTTATTCATCCATTTCTGATATTTGTAATTTGTGTCTTCTCTCTCTTTTTTGTCAGTTTATTAATTAATTATATTAATTAGTAATATTTCCCATAATTTTTCTGCTATCAGTTTCATTGACTTCTGCTCTGATCTTTATGATTTTCTTCCTTTGGGTTTACTTTGTTCTCTTTATCAAGTTTCTTAAGGCAAAAGCTTACATCACTGATTTGAAATATTTCTTCTCTTCTAATATGAGCATTTCAGTTCTATAAATTTTCCCAAAAGCACTGCTTTGACCACATCTTGCAAATTTTGTTGTTTTGTGTTTTTATTTTTTATTCAATTCAGAATATTTTCCAAATCTCCTTATAACTTCCTTTTTGATCTGTGAGTCATTTAGAAATTGGCTGGAATGCAGAACAACCACCAAGATTTGTGCACTGGTCACTGTGAGGTTCACTCCTGTTTTTTGTTTCTAACTGACCCCACATGTTCTAGCCCTGTCAGTACTCCCAATGTTCTCTATGTGATAAGAGAAACAATCCTCCTGCAAAGAAGGATTTTTATTTGCCCAGCAGTAGGAAATCTCTAATGATCTCTAATGGTCTAAACTTAGGATATATTCCTGCCCTTCCCCAGAAGGTTTTTCTATTCCTTTCCCCAGCTATAATGGGTCTCTATCAGAGCCCTGATGGTGACATAGTTTTTGTTGTTGTTGTTGTTTTTCCCTCAGCGGGATAAGGCTTTCTTTTTTTTTTTTTTTTCCTGAGGAAAGAAAAAGAGAGAATGGTGGGGAAGTTGACTATCCATCTCCAACTCATTTTTTTTCTACTACAGAAATTGTGGGTCTGGGGAAATTATCTCTGTGTGGCACTATGCTGGCTTGAGGAAGGTGCAGTGTGGTTCAAAAGAATTTCTCCTCTTGTCATTTGATTGCAGCTTTTCTAGGTTCTTCAGTCCAAGGGGGTGTCACATTTACTCCCAGTATTCAGGATGGTATTTTTGCCTGTGGATAATTGCTAGTTAGATTTCTTGAGGGTGAGAGGGAATGAAGCCAGACAATGCCTATTCATCATCATGCTTTCATCATTCTCCAGTATTCTTCATCTCTTTTATCATGCTTTTCATTCTAGCATTTTTCTTATAGTTTCCATCTTTTTGCTGATCCTTTCCTTGTGATCATGCAAATTAATGACGTTTTTCACTAGATCCTTTAACATATTAATTATAGTTGTTTTAAAGTTACTGTTTGATAGTTCCAAATTATCTCTCATAATTGAATGTAGTTGTGTTAATTACTTTGTCTCTTAATGATATATTCTCTTTATGTGCTGCTTTGTGTATCTTGCAATTTTTGGTTGAAAACTGGACACTTTTTTGTAGACAGCAAAGACTGAAGAAAATATTTATGGCTTTTTGCTAGGCTTCTAGTGTATGGGATTGATTCAATCAAGTCAGGAGTTAGACTGGGTGTATGCTATCTTCCTGTTATGGTTACTCTCAATGTGTCACAGGCTTCAACTTCTAGCATTACCTTGTGCTTAGGTGGAGAGTAGTTTGTCAGAGGGTTTTTCTCAATGTCTGCTTCATCCTCAGATTTAGGTCTTCCCTTTGTGCCTATGCTTTGTTAAGTTCTCTTTCAATGCTCTTGAAGACTGCTATTACTTGTTTATTGAGCTTGCTAGCCTGGTGTTGGGAGTGGAATGGAGGCGTTGTTTGCTGTTCTGGTTCAGTCTCAGTCTCAGATAGGTGCTCTGTCCTTGGGTCTTAGAGGTGAGGCTTTCTCTGTGATATTTTTATTTGCCCAGGAGTAGGAAATCTCTAATGATCTCTAATGGTCTAGACTTAGGATATATTCCTGCCCTTCCCCAGAAGGTTTTTCTGTTCATTTCCCCAGCTACAATGGGTCTCTACCAGTGCCCTGATGGTGACATAGTTTGTTGTTGTTGTTGTTGTTTTTCCCTCAGTGGGATAAGGCTTTTTTGTTTGTTTTGTTTGTTTGTTTGTTTGTTTGTTTTTTTCCTGAGGAGAGAAAGAAATGGGTATATCTTCAAGCCTTTGCCTCGGTGGCTGCTCTTCTCCTCTGCAAGTCTGTACCACAGTGATGTTTTCTCTGGAATCTCATCCTGTCTTTAATTTTTCTCATGAGCACTCAGCATCTGTGGAGAAGAGCCTGCAAGTGGATGTGAATTCCCCTTATGTTTGTGGCTCTCAGTAGTTCTATACTGTCACTCTAAACTCTATACCCTATACTATCCCATTTGACCTTTAACAGTCTGTTAAAAATTTTGGCCGATTTTTTTCTTACCAGCTTGGATGGTATCTGGTGTTTGCTGCAGGCAAGCAGGTACTCTCCTTGAAGGCACCTGTCTTTCTTTGAATTTCTTAAGTTAGTTGTGTCTGCCTTGTGACCATAGCCCTGTGACAGATTCAAGAGAAGTTATAATTTTGTAAATTAACTTTTTTTTCTTATTGGTTATAAGTGTGGGATGATATTCTTTCCTGCTTTCTACATCCAATAAAGGATCCAGAAATACTGTTTCTTGATTTACAAGAAAATTTATTTCTAGGTTTTTAAAACATCTACAGGTAATAAATCTCATTTTATAGACCAAGTGTCAGCAAGGTCATTTTGGACCTCAAGGAACAGACAACCCAATCAAAATACCCAAACCAAAAGTTTTAAATTATCTCATTTGAAGAGAACAGTGGAGGTACAAGGTTTAGTTAAACTTTTCAGCAATTTTGTTAGGGATCTAGGTTCTTTATATTTTTCCATTCTGGTATTCTCAGGATATTGTTGTGTTCCCTTAGTGTAATTTCCCCCAATGTCGCAAGATGACTACCAATGTTCTGTGCATCACATCCCTGCAAACATATCCAGAGCAACAAAAAAGCAAAAATAAATACAAATAAATCAATAAAATAAAAACATAAGAAAAATCAATGGACTCGTGTCATTATATTTTAAGGAAAGAAATGTCCCAAGAAGTCTCTCAGCAAACTTTCTACGTGTCTTATTTGAAAGGGTTGGGTCACATGTCCACTGCTCAATCAATAGCTAGAAAAGGGATGGAACTATCAAATTTGATTTGACCTCATCAAAGGTCACTTCTGGGCTGGGAAGAGAACAAATTTCTGTGAAGCACCCGGCCACCTGACAGCTGAACAAAATCAGGATTCTATTTTTAGCAAAAAAGAATGTGGGTAATGACTGTTCAGTGATTAGTGTTGCCTGGTAAAGTCCATAGGCATAAAGATGACAAGCTTTGGAGTCAGATGTATCTTGGTTCAAATTCTGGCCCTTTGAACTTTGGGAAGTACAAAAGGGACAATACTTTGTAAATACTAAATATTTGGTATTTGTCTTTTTTCCTCATTTAATTATGTTTCTTGGCATTTATTTTGCTATTATAGCCCAGGAAGGGGAAATACCTTGTTATTATAGCCCAGGAAGGGGAAAGCTGCCTCAGGAAAACAGAAGAAATGATTTTGGTTATGGTAGGTGCACAGAACATAGCAGCTATTGTTATCCTGCCAATAAATTGTAATAATACATTTAGCTGATGGCTTATTCTAATTACAGGTACTTTGTTATAGCTGCACTTTCCATTTTGAGTAAAGATGGGGAAGAATTTCCTAGCTCAAGTGCAGAGTGGCAGGCCTTTAGCTGACCACGTTTTATGCAATAGCAAGAGACAGGGACATATGGCAGATATAACAATTTATGGCTCTGCCATTAATGGAGAGGATTCTACATTCCTCTGTGTTCCAGGTGGACATAGCTATGGAGCATGGTGGTCTAAAGAGGTACAACAAAAGTAAGAGAGCTCTTCAGGAACTCATGTTTATCTTTTCAGCCACAGTGATGGGACTATACAATGAATAGGAAAAATAATAGCACCAGCCGTGTAATAAACAGTTTAGATAAATCTACAAAGACTCCTATTTATCTCTCATTGTATCATAAGAATAAGATGGTGGTCAGGTTAAAGTACATTGCATTTACAACAAGACTCAAAACCAAATGAGTCTTATTTATTTATTTATTTATTTAGACAGAGCCTTACTCTGTTGCCCAGGCTGGAGTGCAGTAGTGTGATTTTGGCTCACTACAACCTCTGCCTCCCAGGTTCAAGCGATTTTCATGCCTCAGCCTCCCCAGTAGCTGGGATTACAGACATGCACCCCCACACCCGGCTAATTTTTGTATGTTTAATGGAAATGGGGTTTCACCATGTTGGTCAGGCTGGTTTTGAACTCCTGACCTCAAGTGATCTGCCAGCCTCAGCCTCCCAAAGTGCTGGGATTACAGGCGTGAGCCACCACACCTGGACAAATGAGTCTTTTTTGCAGATCAGTCACCAAATATGTTATTTTGCTTTGATTTTTCAAAAGTGTATGCTTAGTTTTATTAATCTCTCAATGTTTATTTCCCCCAAGACCTTAGATCATGTCACTTAGTTCTTAATCCTGGAATAGTTTTTCTATATTGAAAGTGTAATAGTCCTTCTGCAAAAATACAATGGAACCCCCACCCATAATTTGGCTTGGATGCAGAGACTGATGATGCCACATATATACCGAGAGGACATGAAAAGTTGTGATACTTACATGACTGAGGCATTTCTGGAAGGAGCAGAAAAGGAATACCCGTGGAATCTGAAAATGGCTTAAAAGACAAGGAAAGGAGATGGGTTTGGTGCTTTTACAGTGTTTAGGTGGTGGGTCTGGGCTGAGGGTTCCTGTGCAGGCAAAGGACTTAGGTGGTTTGAATCTCTCACCAGTGCCAAAGGAGAGAACATCCAGAATTTCTTATCAGCTTACTGACTTGTGGGACAGGGGAAGGAGGGAGGGGTGAGGCCTAAAAGCTGACAGAAGTCAAACATCAGAAATGGAGTCAGACTTATTGTGAAAATGAGATATCTAGAAATGTACATCCTTGAATAGGGATGCACCAGATATTTGGGTCCCTTGATAGTTGGGTGAGAAAGTTATAGAAAGCAGGATGAAGAGGGGAGAGAGAAGGGAATGAGTAATCTAACAAAATCTTTTGCCAGCATGAGTTAATTATTTTGGTTCTGAATAAAATTCAAATGTATTCCTTTTGCCTACTGCCTCTTCACGATCAGACACCTGCTTCTCTGCCTGCCCCCTCAGTCTGCCCCCTCAGTCTCTCTGTCATACACTAAGCTTTGGCATCAATGAATGCCCTTTTATTTTTTAAAATGGTTTAAAATTATGATATATTTTACACATACAAAAGAAGTCTTGTGTTTTTTTATGAACCGTTTTAAAAAATACATTCAGATACCCACCCACAACTTAGATTTTTAAACATACAGTTGACTTTCTTTCTTTCCTTCTTTCTTTTTTCTTTTCTTTTCTCTTTTCTTTTGTCTTTTCCTTTCCTTTCCTTTCTCTCTCTCTCTTTCTTTCTTCTTTCTTTCTTTCTCTTTCTTTCTCTTTCTTTCTTTCTTTCTTTCTTTCTTTCTTTCTTTCTTTCTTTCTTTCTTTCTTTCTTTCTTTCTTTCTCTCTTTCTTCTTTTTTCAGACATAGTCTCACTCTGTCACCCAGGCTGGAGTGTAGTGGCATGATGGCTCATTTTAGTCTTGACCTCCTGGGCTCAGACTATCCTCCCACTTCAGCCTCCCAAGTAGCTGGGACCACAGGCATGTACCATCATACCTAGCTAATATCTTTTATTATTTTTGAGGGACGAGGTCTCTATATGCTTTCCAGGCCGGTCTCAAACTCCTGGGATCAAGCAGTCCTCCCGTCTTGGCCCCCCAACATGCTGGGATTATAGGTGTAAGCCATTGCACCTGGCGGTTGATTTTCATTATTTGCAGTAGCAATGTCCTGCAAAGTCACTGTGAACACTGAGTTACTGAATACTGAACCACTGCTCTTAGGAGAAACACAGGGTTAGATTCCTGTGAGCCTCAGATCAGTCACATTTTTATCAACCAATCGACACCTAACCTTGCTTTGTATGTGTTTCTGTTTAAAACACTGTATTTCATATATATGGTTAATTCATTAACATTGAACTCACAGCAACAGCACTATAACTTGACTGAATGAAGCTTAAATGTACAGTTATTTTCTCCAAAAGGGAAAGCACAGCTTTCTTCACTTAGGAACACTAGACACTAGTACTTGAGCAAAACATTTGGGGGCTATTTTAAACAGTAAAATCACCAAGAAAAAGCACAAAAATGCAAAAAAAAAAAAAATGTCACTGGATAGACCACAAAAAGAACACTTGTTTAGAGTATGATAGATAAAAAGAAGGTAGAGTGTGGCCTCGTTTCACTTCAGCTGGGAAAGTGTGCATCAGGTGATTCAAATTCTTCACCACTCAATGCTTGTCCACAAAGAACCGTGAAAGTGCTGCTTGTTCTGATTTGGAGGCTACACACAAATCTTAGCAAGTAGGCAAATTTGCAAATGTGGAATCTCCAAATAATAAATATTGACTGTTAAGTAGTTATTAAATATATATTAAATATATGTTAAATATAACAACTTGCCATTATTAAAGAAAAAATACAGACGAAGAGAATAAAGAGTGTGGAGGAAAAGTTTTGCTACCCAACAGGAAGCCCAATCCAGCAATGAGTCTAAGCTTTGGGGGATGAGTTTCGGAGGAAGAGAAATGGGGTAGATCTTTTAATACCAAAAAAATTGATGTATTAATGAGAGTTCTCCAGAGAAGCAGCGCCAACAGGGTATATATATCAAAAGAGATTTAGTATAAGAAATTGGCTCATGTGATTATGAAGGCTGGCAAGTCCCCAAATCTGCAGAACCAGTTAGCAAGCTGGAGACCCAGCAGAGCCAATGATGTCATTTCAGTTCAAAGGGCATCAGGGTGAAACTCAGAAAGAATTGGTGTTTCAGTTCAAGTGCAAAGGCAGGAAAAAGGTGATGGCCCTGTTCAAAGGCTGTTAAAAAGACTTTTACTTGGAGGAGGGTCAGCCTTTTTGTTCTATCCAAGCATTTGATTGATAAGATGAGTCCCACACACTTTATAAAGGGCAACCTGCTTTTCTCAAAGTCCACTGCTTTAAATGTGAATCTCATCCAAAAACACCTCACAGAGACACCCAAAATAATGTTTGATCAAATATCTGAGCATCTTGCAACCCAGTCAGTTTGACACATAAAATTAACCATCATAGCTGGGGACTGTTTCTGTCCCATATTAGGAAAGTCATGTCTCTGAGTGTGGCTGACAGGCTGGAGACAGGAGAATCTGGCTTGGCTGGAGGTGGCAAGCTGAGCCTGTAGGATACCTACCTAGGGCTCAGGTGCCAGCTGCTATGCATGGGGTGTGTCAAGATTTTGTTTTCAGTCATGCCTCCACTGTTCAGAGTCTAGGTAGCCAGGTCAGTGTCACCATATTTGCCTCAGATTTATTGCTTTAGGAATAAAATGTTATAGATTTGGAGGTACTCTCTTCCAATTTTCTTTCCTCCCTCATCCAAAAGTGCTCTAACCATGTTTCTATATTTTTACTACACATGTATATACCCACAAATAACATGTTATTTTATATAATAAAAATTTTCACTGTTAAATCTATTATACATATCTTTTTCAGTTTCTTTAAAAACTCAATATTGTGTTTATGGGATTTATCTATATTTTATATGGTGATCTGGTTCATTTTATAAATTACATTATATATACATATGTATATATATTTTTTGAGATAGATTCTTGCTCTGTTGCCCAGGCTGGAGTTCAGTGGCGGGATCTTGGCTCGCTGCAGCCTCTGCCTCCCACGTTCCAGTGATTCTCCTGCCTCAGCCTCTTGGGTAGCTGGGATTACAGGCGCATGCCACTACGCCTGGCCAATTTTTATATTTTTAGTAGACACCGGGTTTTGCCATGTTGGCCAGGCTGGCTTCAAACTCATGACCTCAGGTGATCCACCCTCCTCGGCTTCCCAAAGTGTTGGGATTATAGGCGTGAGCCACTGCATCTGGCTTACTTTATATTTTTACTAATCGACATAAAATTTTTTTCTCCCAATTGTTCTACTACTATTACAAAATGCTACAGTGAATATTCTTATGCATGTATGCAAACACCTCTAGCATTCAGCAAGAGAAGTGCTGAGTACAAGCATTTTCACTTTTAGCAGAAATTATTTCCCAAATGGTTGTACAAATGTACACTGCCACTATCAGTGAACACTGCTTTCTGTTGTTTCACTTCCTCATTAACACAAATGTCGTGAGACTTCTTAGATTTGCCAATTTGCTTGGTATAAAGTGTTATCTCATTTTTGTCTAATTTGTATTTTCCTAATCACTAGGGAAGTTGAAAACTTTTCCATGTGGTTATTGGCCATTCACCTTCCTTTTGTTGTAAATTGCCTGTTCATGTCATTTACCAATTTTTCTATCTGATTTTTTTATATTTATTTATAGATTTTTAAAATGTATACCTTGTATAGTAATATTTTCTTGGGGATTTCTTCTACATCTCCTTCCAATAGTGTGCCTTTAAATTTTGTTCAGACACAGTGTCATCTCTTCCTTTGTTGATAAATTGCCAAAGAGTGGGAGCAGGTGGGGTCAGGGGCCAGAGTGCAGGGGAGGGGGCAATGGTGGAGGTGGCGGGGGGAAGCAGAGGGAGGTGGGCTGAGGCCTCGGTGGGGCCAGTGCGACGCTGGCTTAAGGAGCTGGAGGGGTTCCTAATACACATTTAATTCAGTTTCTCTTCCCTAAGAGGCTGCCGGAGTTGGGGCCTCCTCCAGCAGAGACCCTCGGACCCCTGCAGGGCCTGGACTTGGGGTGAACAGGGCTTCAGTCAGCGCAAGTATTCCATTTGCATTTGGTAATTTTTCATGCCACCTATTTATGAATATATAAATCTTTATACCAAATCTATTTTTTAAAACATGGAAAAGTTGCCTTTATGGAAACTTGGCAGAGCCAGAGTGTACACATTCCTAAACCATTAAACAGATTTCTATAACAAAAAAAAAAAAAAAAAAAAAAATTTTGTTCAGACAGTCTTTGCCATCTAAAAATTTTTAATTGCTTTAATAAGGTAAATTTTATGTTTTATTTAGGAAATTCTTCCCTACTTCAAGATCATAAAGATTTTCCTATGTTTATATCCTCAATATTGTTATCTCATAATATGGAACATTTGCATTTCATACTTAGGGCCTTAATTAACCAGGAATTCTTTTTCATATAAAGGTTTCGTAGGATTTTTTTTTAAACCATAAGTATAGCCAGTGTTCTCAGCCTCATTTATTAGATAGCTCATTCTTTTCCCACTATTTATTTTGCCTCTTTCAAGGGCCCCCGACACCAGAACTACATGTACCGCATTCTCTAAATGTGAATGTTTGTTTCTGTTGCATGAGTCCATCTGTTTATCCTCAAGATAGTATCACATTGTTTTAAACACTAAAACTCTATAACAAATCCTGATATTTGAGAGGGCAAGGTGTCTCCCTTCTTTTTTTATTTTTCAAAGTTTTCTTGATGACTCTTGATCTTTTATTCTTCTATGTGAATTTTAGGATTAGCTTGTCAAGTTCAGCAAAAATCCTGTTGAACTTTAATTAGATTTATAGGTTAATTTGGGAAAAATTATCATGTTTACGGCATTGAGTCTTTCTAACTATTAGCATTCTATAATTTTTCATTTATTTGTTGTTTAAGTATTTTAATACATATTTATATTTTTATTACAATGTTGTACATCTTTTTAAAAATTTATATGTTCCTTTTTTTGCCGTCATTGTGAATGGGAGCTTTTCTTTAGTTTCATTTTCTAAATGTATGTTTATTAGGTATAGCAAAGCTATTGTTTTTGTATATTGCTTTTCTATCCAGAAACTTTGAGGAGCCATCATTACTTTGATTAATCCAATTGTGGAATATCTTCAATTTTTTATGTAGACAACAATATCACCAGCTAATATTGAACATATTGTTTCACTTTTTCAGTTCTTATCACTCTCTTATTTTTTTCTGTTTCTGTATTTTTGTCCTGAATAGAAGCAGTAATAGTTTCTTTACTATGTTCCTAACTTTAAAGGTAACGCTTTTGATTTTCACGTTTAGTATGACATCTGCTTTAGGTTGTTGACAGGTACTTATATCAGATTAAGAAAATGTCTTTTTATTGCAAATTTATTAAATTTTTTTTCTTGCTTGCTTTTTTCCTTCTTTCTCTTTTTATCTTTCTCTCTCTCTCTTTTTCTCTCTTCTCCCTCTCTTTTGCTTCCTTACTTTCTTTGGTTAAAAAGTAACAGATATTAGGTGTTATGAAAAGTTTGTGTACCTATGTTCATAGCTATGTCTATTATACATTTTTTCTCATACTATACTGCCCTTATGCACTTTTAATATCAAAGTTTTTCTAGCTTCATAAAAAGGATATGGAGAGCATCTCCCTTTTATAGTTTCTATAACTGTTGTGTAAAATAAGTTATTTGTTCTTTGAGGGCTTGGTATACTCTATGAATCTGTTCCTTGTTTTGTAGTTAGATTATTGACAATGATCTATCTACGAAATTTTAAAATGTGTATTAGTATTTTTTAGCTTAATATTTCTCTTGGAGTCAAGTTTAGTAATTTATATTTGACTCAGGATATTTAACATGCAAATAATATTGCACCCCATCAGAAACTGATTTGAGCAATACAGGTAGTTAGTATGTCAGATATTAAGAAGTCTAGAGTGGGGAATTCTGCAAAGTTGGATGATTGAGAGACTCAACAGTGTCATCAAGGACGTAAGTTCTTTCAACACCTCCTCTTCAAGGAGTCTTCAAGGGGTTGACTCTCATATCCAGACATAGCAATGGTCAGAAGATGGACAGGGCTCTCTTTTCCTGTTCTGTCTTTTTAGGAAACTGTAGCAGACATCTCATCATACTTGGTTGGCCTGAAATAGCTCATGTTGTCACTTCTAAATCTGTCTCTGAGCAAAAAGACTTAGACCAGGATTCACAAGCACTTTCTATAAAAAGCTAAACAATAAATATTTTATGTTTTCTGGACCATATCATATGTTGCAACTACTCAACTCTGCTGATGTAGTGCAAAAACTGCCATAGGTAATGTGTACATGAAAGAGCATGACTGTGTTCCAATAAAACTTTATTTTCAAAAACAAGTGGCAGATTGGATTTGGCCCAAGGGCCATAGTTTGCCAACATCTGGCTTAGACACTTACTTTGATATAGGGATGGAGTCAGCCATCACTCAGATACATGGCTATGTAGATAAGGTTAGATACCTAGAAAAAAACTGGAATGGTGGAATTCTTGGGAAGCTGGGAACAGGAGAAAGAGGCCTGATTCTCAGAGATGCTATGCATTGGACTTTGTATTCTGGGGAGTGGGGAAGCACCTTTAAGCAAGAGAAGACTTCGTAGGCAGCATGAAGACTTCTCTGCAGGGGGTGAAATATTTGATCCAATATCTTTAATATCTCCCTTTTACCACGGAGTTGAGGCAGCAGCTGCATTACAGCTACTCAGGTAATGGCTCTAGTTTTCCACCTGAAGACCTCTTGAGCTTGTCTGCCGTCTCTGGGAATTAAACACACACACACACACACACACACACACACACACACACACACACACACACACACAAAACCAAAAAAAAAAACAAAAACAAAAAAACAAAAAAACAAAAAAAACCTCCCTGGAGATCTTACTATACAATCAAGGTTGAGAGACACAGGCCTAGACTTCTGACTGATTCTCAGAGAAACTCTCTCCCTGGCTTCTCTTGTCTCTCCAGTGGTCACTGGGGTGACCTGAAAATTACCTAACTTTGGGATTAGGACCTTATTTCCAACATTGGGAGCAAGGGGCCTCTATCTGAAAACAGGTTTTACACTTTTGTAGTTGATTCCTACCCATTCGCAATGGTCTCTGAATAAACCTCACTCATAATTAAAATTAAAGGGAAGTTAGTTCTGGTTTTAATAAACCAATGTGATGCAATATCATAAGCCATTAATCTATGCCAAAATAAGAAAATAGAGGAGATATCAAGCATCCAGTTGTCTACCATTTGGAGGCTTCATGCAGATGTTTTTAGGCCACTGTGAAGGCTTCAAACATAAGAGACCTGACCTGTGTGGGGTTGGTCAATCCTTTGGTTCCCTTTGTGAGATCTGGGACTAACCATGACATCTCTGATGTGCTTGGGTGCTCTTTCTTCTAGCCAGTGATCTGAGCACTCCTTTTATTAAAAATACCTTCTAGATATGAAGCCACCATGGACAGCACAAGCTTAAAATCCTCATGTTGGATCCTCTTTTCATCAACGAAAGAGTACTAAGCTTAATCAGGCCAGAGAAAAGAAAGGCTACTTTATCTTTCATTTTCATTTGTGAGCTTAATTTTCCCTTCACTTTCACCTTTATTCCCTGAAAGCAGTATTGCCTAGAAATTCTTCCTACCACTATCATACTGCTTTCCCAGGAACTCTGGAGCTGGCAGCAAGAAGTGTTCCAGCCCACACCTGGGCCCCTGCATGCCACCATCCTTACTCACAGCTCCTGTGGGTTTTTCCAGGACAAAAAGACTCAAAACATACTCTTTGAGGCAAAATGGCCCTAGGAGGAGATTCATGCTGACATAACAGAGTCTGACAAGGATCTCATTCTGTCTCCTCACCCATATCAGAATGCATATTTGGGAAGAATTGCCAAGTATTTTTAAAAAAAACCACAACTTCATTCTTGTGGTTTCCATACCCCTATTTCAGACAGGCTTGGACAAATTCTACAAACTCTATTCCTATGTGGGGGCTCTGAAGGCATTTCCAGCAACTCAAGGTAGAAAGGCACCAGGGTGGGTGGAGATAAAGAAAGGTAGGTAAGGTAAGTTTGATGGGCCCTGGTGGGACCACCCAAACTGCTATAGGAAGCTGCTGCCACTCACCTTTCAAACCTTTTGAAACTTTGCTTTATGTTGAGTCAGCTTGGTGGAGAATTGGAGAAAGCTCTGCTATTTTCTTAAGCCAGTGCACAGTGAAGAAGACAGAAGGTGAAGCAACATGAGGGCAGTTCAGTTCTGCAGTCCTGTGTGAAGCAGCTGTTGTATACAGCAGTGTGCAATGCCCAACTACTGGACTGCAAATAGGACCTCGGCTCTGGAAGTGGTCCAGGTACCAGGATTGATCCAAGCAGGCCCCAGGTGGTATGTTTTGGGTGTCCAGTGCAAAGCCTGAGGGTGGAAATGTGGAAGGGTTGAAAATATTAAGTCCAAAGCATTTAACAGAGAATAAAACCAAAAGTTAGAAGCAAAGCATGGGCAACAGGTTTGGGAGACAACAGGTTTGGAGGCAAGGTCTGGAAACTCAGAGGGTGCTTTTGAAGGAGACATCACAATCACCCCATGGTGGAGGAAGAACTGTACAGGCCCTGCCCCTGATAACAGAAGTGAATCACACGTTTCCATTCTCAAAGAACATACACACTGGAAGAGGAGCAGCCACGTAAACAGGTAATGTATACTAGGTCATATGTGCAGCCATGGATGTAGTCTTTAAAATGCTAAGGTAAAGGAGAGGGGAACCTCATTGGATCAGTGCCACAGGAAGTTTTGCAAAGGAGGCCATGATGAAACAGGGTTTTGAGTGATGCTGGCAGATAAGGATCTGGAGAGGCCAAGGGAATGAGTGCAAAGACACGAAGGTATGAAACAAAGTGATGTGTAGGAAGCTGAAGGAGTGAGAGAATTCTGGAGATGAGGAAGAAAGAGTGATGGTGAGGTCAAGACTGGAGAGGGGGACTTGTAGGTTTTCATAGGAAGAGTCTCGCATTCTGTGCTAAATAGTTGGGTTTGTTTTGTTTTTCATTAGGGAGTGTGGAGCCATGGATGTGTTATAACTGGGGCTGTGTAACTTGATCAGTTTTGAGTTATTAAAGGATTCATTCCTGGAGGCAGTGGCTGTAATAGATTAGATTCATTTGAGGGCTCTAAGAATGAAAGGACTTGGTCAGTTAGAGAGCTACTGCAATGGTTCAGGTAAAGGCTAATAAGCCTGGAACCAAAGTGGTGGCTGTGGGGCTGACAAGGGCAGGGCAGAGGGAAGAGATCCAAGAGATCATTAGGATTTGATGATGAGTTAGACATAAACGATGAGGTAGTGATAAGCATCAAAGATGACCAGCTCAAATGCTGTTCATCTACTGTCATCTCACACGCCTCTGACTTCACGTCACACTTGATCTTAACATATACCACATGCAGACCATAAAGCCCTCCTCTGTTATGCCCACCAACCTTTCCAAATTCATTTCCTACCACTCTCCTCCATTCACATTGTGCTTTGGCCACACTGGTCTCATCACACATTGCAAGCATGCTCCTGTCTCAGGACATTTGTGCTTGCCTATTTATCTGCCTGAGATGTTCTTCAGCCAGAAATCCTCATGGCTGGCACTCTGATTTCTTTCATATCTCTGCCCAAATATTAATTTATCAGAGAGGACCTCCCTAACCACCCTATTTGATATAGGAACCACTTCCTCTCACCCCATTCCTTTATATCCTTAACCCTGCTTGGTTTTTCTGCAGAGTACTTAGCCAACCCATCTTCTCAGAAAAGATCTATGTTGTGGGTAACTGATAATCCTCAAATGTGAGTGGCTAAAAAAGCAAACATTTGTCTTGCTCACACTACATGTCTACTGAAGGTCAGCAGGAGCCTCTGATCATGGTAATGGCCCAGGGTTGAAGAGTGACGAGGCATCATTTAACACGTGTTTCTGCAATTACCGCAGCAGTGGTGATGGGATATGTGGTGGGTTGTGCACTGACTCTTAAAGCCTCTGCCTGCAAGTGATATATGTGATTTCTGCTCCTGTGTCATTGGTCATAACAAGTCACACCTAACTTCAAAAAGGGAAGGGAAGAGTGATGTCACCATGTGCCCAGCAAGGGGGAGAGCCAGAATTATTTGGTGAACAGCACTAAGTTGGTACTATAATATCAGGCACATTATAGTTATTTCTTTACTGTTTGTCTCCTTCTTCCAGAGTATGAGCCACATGATAGCAATGTCTTTGCTTTGTTCCCGATACTGAGAACATGCTTGGCATGTAGTAAGCCAAGTAAGCATTTAATAAATGTTTGTGGGTGATTAAATATACATCTAAGCTCTTCCTCTAGACTGAAATGCCGTGAAGGCACATGCAACATTCATTTATCTTTGCATCTCCTTTCATTTCGTGTCGTGAGCCTACCAAACATTCATTCAACATTTTCCCAATGAAAATCAACCTATGGCTTGGAGACCATGCCTCTCTGTTTTCAGAACTCAAAAATAAAATTTCCCAGCTAGTGAAATACTGGAAACAGAATGGAATCGTGAAGGGGCAAAAAGAAACAGGAACAGGGCAGAAACCTTTTGACTAAATATTTTTATGGTGCAAAACTGACAACGATCATGATGGTCAGTTGAGTCCAGATTTCTTAAATAAATGATATTCATCACTTGCCTTTTATTCTAACTTCCTGTCCCCACAATCTTCAGCACAAAGCTTAACAGTTTGTGCTGATTTGGGTTGGAAAATTTTAAAACTCAGAAAAGTGCATGGCTCTCTGGGTGCAGATCCAATCAGCAGACAGTGACACCCTCCTCTTGTTTTCATTACTATTTCTTTTCCTTATTTTTATTTTTTCTTTTTGTCATCTTCAAGCATAGGCTATTGCTGCTTTCTTTATCAGTAAGTTTTGAGTGTATCAGTTAGTTAGAAGCCTTGTTTATGTGGGGAACTCTGCAGCTGTGGCATTCCAGGGACAAGCCTTAGCGGGAAAGTGAACGAACAAATGACTGAGCCACCTAAGGTTGGGGTTGAGAGAAAAATGACAGTTGTGATCAAAGGAATTGACTCAGGTTGCAACTTGTGCGCCCCTGGAAATCTGGTGTGAACCCCTCTGAAATGTAGAATGAGTAGATGAACGAATATTCAGTCTTGTTCAGAAGCTGAGCATTCAGATTAACACATCTGTCCTCGCTTCCTCATTTATGAATCGAAACGTTGTCAATGTGCCCACAAAGAAACATGTCTGGACCAAGGATTTATACAGATCTTTGAGGCTTTTGCAAAAATGAAAACTATGAACATTCCCTCCTACCTTTACCTGTCCAAGAACAAGCTGGATACACACGTAGCAGTGAGTATTGTGGTTGCAGAGCAGCTTGTTGGGTTTTGTTTGTTTGTTTTCTTTTCAGTCTCCTACGAGGGGAAAAGGGCAGTATGTTTACAAACAAAAAACAGTGCTCCTGAAAACACATCACCTAGAACTGAGCCCCAGTGTAGAGCCTAGTGAAGAAAACAGAGCTACATCACTGCCCTGAGCACCTTACCATGTAGGGCCCCATGGGGCAGAGTGGCATAGATAGGTGGCTCCAGATGACTCCAGCAAGAATGCTTCCTTAGAGTCCTTAGAGAGCAGGCTTCTAGGGAACAAAGGCAGGATTTCTGAAAAGAGAAAAACAGGCCTATAATCCCAGCACTTTGGGAGGCCGAGGCAGGTGGATCACTTCAGGTCAGGAGTTCAAGACCAGCCTGGCCAACATGGTGAAACCCCTTCTCTACTAAAAATACAAAAAATTAGCTGGACGTGGTGGCACGTGCCTAGTGTCTCAGCTACTTGGGAGGCTGAGGCAGGAGAATCACTTGAACCCAGGAGGCAGAGGTTGCAGTGAGCTGAGATGGTGCCACTGCACTCCAGCCTGTGTAACAGAGCGAGACTCCATCTCAAACAAAACAAAACAACAACAAAAAACAGTGCTCAAAGGTAAGGCCCTTTGCAAGATCTCCTTCCTTGTATAAAGGCTATGGCTTGATTCTGGTCCTCAATTTGTACCTGTGCATTGGAATGCTGGGAGTATCCACTTGTGTCTCCTGTCCCTCTCTTTGGGGGAACTGTGACCGGAACACTTTAATAATAATGTTTACGTGCTAGTGCAGTGTCAGGATGCATGCATTACCTCATTTAATCTTTAGAACAACTCTGTAAGTTTATGAAGTCATGTTTACAGAAAATAAACACTTAAGAAACTTGCCTGAAGGCCGAGCACGGTGGTTCATGCCTGTAATCCCAGCACTTTGGGAGGACAAGGAGGGTGGATCACTAGAGGTCAGGAGTTTGAAACCAGCCTGGCCCACATGGCGAAACCCCATCTCTACTGAAAATACAAAAATTAGCCAGGTGTGTTGGTGTGCACATGTAGTCCCAGCTACTTGAGAGGCTGAGGCAGGAGAATCGCTTCAACCCGGGAGGCAGAGGTTGCAGTGAACTGAGATCACGCCACTGCACTCCAGTCTGCACTCCAGACAGAGTGAGACTCTGTCTTGAGAAACCAACAAACAAACAAACAAAGAAACTTGCCTGAAGAAGCAGTGCTGATAAGTGGATGGGTGGGGGTTTAAACCACCTCTGCCTGACTCTAGTGCGATGTTGTCCAAGTGAAATGCAGTTGACCCTCAAACAACGTGGGGGTTAGGGGCACCAAGGTACCCCCACCCTGCAGAGTTGAAAACCATATGTAACTTCTGACCCCCCAAAACCTAATTACTAATAGCCTACTGTTGACCAGAAGCCTTATAATAATAAAAACAGTTGATGGACACATATTTTATATGTTATATGTATTATGTACTGTATTCTTAGGGTAAAGTAAGCTAGAGAAAAGAAAATGTCATTAAAAAAATCATAAGGAAAAGAAAATATATTTACTATTCATTAAGTGAAAGTGGATCACCATAAAGGTCTTCATCTTCATTGTCTTCACACTGAGTAACCTGAGGAGGAGGAGGAGGGGGAGGAAGAGGAGGGATTGGTCTTGCTGTCTGAGGGGCGGCAGAGGTGGAAGAAAATCTATGCATGAGTGAGCCTGAGTAACTCAAACTTGTGTTGTTTAAAGGTCAACTGTATAATGTAAGCCAAATAGAGAATTTCAAAATTTCTAATAGCTGCATTTAAAAAGTAAAAAGATGTGAAATTAATTTTAATAATGTTTAATCTAATATATAAAAATATTTCATTTTAACATGTAATCAAATTATTAATGAATACTTTTTATTCTTTTTTCATATAAAGTCTTTAAAATCTGGTGTGTATTTTACATTTTACATACGTGGTGTGTATTTTATATCTCAATTTGCAACAGCCACATTCCAACTGTTCAAAAGCCACACGTGACTAGTGGCTACTGAACTTGGTAGTGCACTGCTAGAGGCTACTACTCTATATAGTCTCTCAAATGCTCCAAGTCGTGGTGGAGATTTGGAAGACTGAGGAGGAATGCATAATGTCACCACTGGCACCCTTAAAGAGGAGGCACTCTAGGGCTGGGCTGCCACTAGTACATTTGGTGAATATATACATATTCAAGCAAAGTTTCCCTTCTCCTGGGCAGATGAAACCCTGCACCAGTGTGGATGAGTTGGCAAGCAGAGTGCTTGCTGGGTTTTGGTCTCACTTGCTATTCCAGCCAGGTACCCTTGTGCAGTGTACAACCTGCAAAACCATAGCTGGTGGCCCAGCTCCCTCATCTTTCTTCAGCAAACTCTCCTATCATCTGGCTCCAAGTAACTGAGATTCACCTGTAAGGAAATCTCTTCATCAAATTTTTGTATACCATGAAGTAATTCTTTCCCTTCTCTTAATAGTTACATTCTTCTAAACATTTCTAATAGATTCCAGTACTTCCAGTTTGGGGGAAAAGGTGTCTCTCAACTGATCCCTTGATGGGGCAAATAGATTCTTACTGACAGCACTTAGGAATCCTGCAAAAGGAAACCCTTGTCCCCTAGCTCTGTCAGTTGAATATCTGTGTTCTCTTATTGGCTGGCGAGTCCCTTCACCTCCCACAGAAACCCCAGTACCAATCCATTGTGTGTTTCACCGATGGAAACAGTGCATGCTCCATCTGTTTATCATATAGATGTGGCCATTGTGCAAACCTTGTAAAGTTGCCAGGAGAAAAAAAAACCCCACAAAGTGGTGCATTTTGAGGGCGATTACAATCCTTTGAACTATTTTAAAAGCACTGCCTGTTCCTTGTGGGGAGGGAGTGGGAGGAGGGGGGACACCTTCCAAATCTTTCTAGATCCAAGCCAACCTGAGTTTAGACTTCTGGTCTGTCACTTATTAGCTGTATCAGGGCAGGTGAATTCATCTCACTGTCCCTTGATAGCCCATCTATATCAGCATTCATGTGAGAATTAAGAGATATTTCATGTATTTGTGATCATTTTATTAGCTGGGAAAAAAAAGAAAGATAATTCATCTAGAGCATGTAATATACTGATCATCATGTGCTAGTTTATTGACAAGGCTGTTATTAATATTATTGGTGATAATCATAATTTATTATGTTAATTTTAATTAATATTTTATTGTTTGCAAGGCTTCAACTATCTCATAGCATTTCTAACAAGTAGCCTTAAGAATAAATTCGGCTGGGCGTGGTGGCTCACGCCTATAATCCCAGCACTTTGGGAGGCCAAGGTGGGCGGATCACCTGAGGTTGGGAGTTCAAGACCAGCCTGACCAACATGGAGAAACTCCGTCTCTACTAAAAATACAAAATTAGCCGGGCGTGGTGGCGCATGCCTGTAATCCCAGCTACCTGGGAGGCTGAAGCAGAAGAATTGCTTGAACCCAGGAGGCAGAGGTTGCAGTGAGCCAAGGTCATGCCATTGCACTCCAACCTGGGCAACAAGAATGAAACTCCATCTCAAAAAAAAAAAAAAAAGAATAAATTCAAATATGTAATTTTTTTCACTTCAATTCAGCAAATATTCCAAGAATTTACTTGGTTTAAGATCCTGGGCTATGGAAAACGGAGGTTGCAGTGAGCAGAAATCATGCCACTGCACTCCAGCCTGGGCAACAGAGCAAGACCCTGTCTCAAAAAATACACAAAACGAAAGATCCTAGGCTGGGTAGAATAGCAAAGATCTGTATCAGGATCTGTCACTCAAAGTATTTCCTAAGATATGCACCATGACTGCCACCAGACTCCTTTCAAACTCCTGGAGAGCAAAAGATGTCTTTCTCTGAGTCGTATTTCTAGCTCCATGCCCAACCATTCCCCTAGCCCCACATAACTTTATATCCAACTAGGTCAAACGTACTGCATTTCACAGAACATGGCCACCCAGCTTTGCATGTGCTGTTCTTGTGCTCTGAATGCCCTTCTTCCATAGTCTGATGGAGAGCTCACCTACTGATGAGCTCCTAACTGCCCTTCATGACCCTATCCTCGGTGAAGCTTTCTCTGAACCTCCAGACTGACAGCACCTCCTGAGTGAAGCTTTCTCTGACCCTCCAGACAGAGTTAATCACAGTCTTCTCTGTGAACAACGAAGCTGTCTGGAATATTTATAGGGTCTAGGCAAGAGCACCAATACCCAAATACCAAATGTTTAAGAAGTTATAAATCAAGCTAACCCTGGTCAAATAAAAGATGTTCTCTCCTACTTCCTTGTCAAAAATACTATTATAATATCAGACAGAATAAAAATATGAGTAAATGCATTGCTGATTTCATTGGCAAAATAACAAAGATTATTAAATGGAATTGAACAAGTATTATTAAACATTATTTAACTTACAGGTTGAAAATAATATATATATATAATTCATACATTGTTATATGTTAGTATGTACATTTTTATATAGTCATTCTATAAAATAGATTTTTCTTGACTTTGCAAAATCATTTGTTATGTTATAATGAGTTTTTCATCGAATGTGTGTTACATTGCCATTAATGATCTAAAGAATTAATAAAATATATTTAGTGGATATAAAATTGAATGTATCTTATAAAAATATATTAGAGTAAATGTCAAAATTATAAAATTAAAATTATTTTGGTGTGTTTTCAAAAAAGTTATTTCTTCTATTTAAAATAACCTACAAAATTGAAAGGCAAAATATAAATACATGTGATTATCATAACAAAATATATAACAAAATTTTAAAATTATTTAAATAAAACTTGTCCCTCTCCAAAAACATTCACACCAGTGGATTGATGCCCAGGTGTCTGAGGTAGGCTGATTCCCTACCAGTAAGAAAATGCAACTGATCCCTTAACAGAGCTCGTGTTCAAAACTTCATTCTGCATGACTCTGCCTTCATCTCCTAATTTTCATGTATTTAAATTTAGTTTTTTGAAAAGTTAATCACATTTATCAAATATTTTATAGAAGTAAAGCTTTTTGCAAATCTAATGTTCAGTGTTCATCTTATTATCAGTGTTAAGAATCAATATTACATTTCACACATTAGTTAGACTGAGACCTACATATATAAATTTAAAAGTAATGTGATTTTTTTAAGTTACAAATTGTTTTCTTCAGAAGCCATATGCTTTTTGAATTGTTATCTCATTGAATTATTAAGTCGAATAGTTATATCATTATCTTGAATAGCTCATTGGTAAGCATCTCCAAGGTCACAAATTGGAATATCATGAGAAGCAAGAAACTTGATGCTCAGTACTACTGGGAAATGATGTCATTTATGTAGAAAAAAGGTGTGACATGCTCATTTGGTTTTCTGTCTCACCCAAGTGTTTCTACTGCTCAAATCATCTTCTTACTCAAAGCAGTGTTAATCTCCAGTGTTGGCAATGGTGCAACCTGTACTGGGGTGTCCAATCTTTTGGCTTCCCTGGGCCACATTAGAAGAAGAATTATCTTGGGTCACATATAAAATACGTGAAACACTAACAATAGCTGATAAGGTAAAAAAAAAACACAAAAAATTTCATAATATTTCAGGAAAGTTTATGAATTTGTGTTGGGCTGCATTCAAAACCATCCTGGGCTACTTGTGGCCCATGGGCTGCAGGTTGGACATGACAGTCAGAAACTTACAAGGATATGGGGCAAGTGATATAGAGAAGTGTTTCCCTGGGAGCTGGAAGGATGATGTTAGCCTTTAGAGCAGAAGGATCCTAAGTTAACAGAATTCATGAACTCTTTAATAAAATATGTGTGGGTTGCAACATGCTGCTATTACATATTGTTACCTAAATGGAACCTTCTCCTTCTTCCCGTGACATAAAACCTTGACATTATCCTGGACTCCTTTCTTTCTACCACAGCCTGTATCAAACCCATCTCCTAATCCTATTGGCATTAACTTCAAAACTAATTATTGAATCTGACCATGTATTCACCTTCTCCCACTACCATTGTAGTCCAAGCCACTGTTACCTTTCATCTCTTGTTGCTGCACTGTGCCTCCTGATTCATCTGTTTCTTCTCTTCCCTCAACTCCCTGCTTCCTCCTAAAGTCATAACAGTGACAGTCATCCTCTTAAAATATAAGTAGTATCATGTTGATCCTGTGCTCAAATCTTTTCAATACCTTTATGTCACATTTAGAATAAAATCCATGGTCTTTGCAGTGGTCACAAGGCTGTCTCTGACTAGTCTCCTGGCTACCTCTCTTTCTTCATCTCTGACAGTTTACTCCTGGCTTACTGTATTCTAGCCACCTGACAGTTCCCTCTCAAAAATCTAAGGCTCTGTTCTCTTTTGCGTGGCATTATCTGACATTTTTGACTTTGGGGGGTATCAGAAATTACTTTGCATTATAAGAGAGGTTTGGTATGTAGTAACTAGGTTGGAAATATACTTTTGGGGTTAGCTAATGGCGATTATGGGGAGATACTTAGCTCTGCATGTTTGGATAAGAGAAGCATGCTCTTGGCCACCTAGAAATTATGGAAATGTCCCCACCCCCAACTGAGAGATAAGAATCCCATGGGAGATGAGCTGATCCCCTCTTTTGGGGATCCAGGATCTGTTATAAAAATGGGAATGGGACCCTTACTTTCTGGAGATCTGATTTGCCTTCCAGCTGTGTCTGTTTATTATATTGGGCTGTAGAAACTGCATGCTTTCCTGGTCCTGTCTCTCCAAGGACTCCACCCTAAAGCCAGTAATCCAGTTAAAAAACTTAAAAACTGGCAAAGGAAAAATCTTACAACTACTGGATCTTCTTCTGTCTATCTGTATAGTTATATATATGTTGTATGTGTGATGTTTATATAAAAGAGCTCTAACGAATTGGCTTAAAGAAAAATAAGCATTTAAAGAAAATTTTTTGAAAGAAAAATAAAAATTTTAAGGCTTTTTAGTTCATGTAACCTTAGTAATCTTTGGGAAATAAAAAGTTTAAAAGATTATTGGTAAAATAAAGACTTTTGTTCTAAATTAGGCAGGTCAGATATTAGGTTTGCTAAATGCTTTAAGGTCATAAACTGCTTTGACTTTTGAAAATTGTTCAATTTACCTACCTTGGAGACATTAGATTCTAGATAAGGCCTGGGAACATGTGGAATTAGCCATGCCCCTTAGCTATGCAAAGAAGATTATAAAGAAAAGAAATTTTATGAAAGAAAGGATCTTGTATGGTAAATTCTTGTCCTAAAGTAAAATAACTAGTTTAAAAAAGGGATGTTTAGGACAAGTGAGAAAGTCCAAGGATGTTGTAGATGATCTGTGCAAGTCATGAAAAGACTTGTGAAAGGAAATTTATGCACCAAAAATAAAAGTTGCTAAGAGTTACCATTATCACATGTAATTGAGATACTGAAAAAACAGTTTTATATTCAAGGTGTGTAAGGAAAGTGAAATATGCTTTTGGTAAAAAAAAATTATAAGAAGGCATAGGAATGTAAATTTTTACCCAGTTTAGAGGGTTAAAGGATTGTTTTAAATTAAATAAGACAAAGCTAAAGGTTTGGGCCAGGTGCGGTGGCTCATGCCTATAATCCTAACACTTTAAGAAGCCAAGGCATGCAGATCACTTGAGGTCAGGAATTCAAAGACCAGTCTGGCCAACATGGTGAAACCCCATCTCTACTAAAAATACAAAAAATTAGCTGGGTATGGTGGCATACACGTGCTATTGTGGAGGCTGAGGTGGGAGAATTGCTGGGAGGTGGGAGAATTGCTGGAACCTGGGAGGCAGAGGTTGCAGTGAGCCAAAATTGTGCCGTTGCACTTCAGCCTGGGTAACAGAGTGAAACTCTGCCTCAAAAAAAAAAAAAAAATGCTAAAGCTTTGAGCAAGTTGTGGAAGGTGTGTAAAATTAATTGTAAAACGTTCTGTTTGTAACCATATTGGCTAAAGTTAAAGGGGGTATTATCCAGTTTTTCTGTAAATTGAACATTAAAATAAAAGCATAACAGGTTTTTCTTAGAGTACTGATCTGGTCTTTAACAAAAATTGTAAAGGGTTATAAAGGTTTATGAGAATCTCACCTTTTGGCCAAACTGATTAAATTGATAAATTTGTCTATAAGTGTTATTAAAAATTGGGGTTGACATTAATAGTAGATTAATGGAAGTGTGAAGTTTGGTTCCCTCTCAAACAAAATTTTCAGGTAATATCAAAGGATAATGAAAGACTTTTGTTTGCCTTTTGAATAAGGCAAACAAATAAACTACTGAATAACTACTGAATAAACTACTGAAAAAAGAAGGGAAAGACAAGGGACAGATTATTTGGAAAGCTAAATCTTCCCTCTATCAATATGTAAAGGTTTTTGCCTTAAAAATTTTTTTAAACTCATTATTTTGGCTAAATGAATGGCTTGTGGTGACCTGCAATTCTATCTCATAATATCAAGTGTTTTAAAGCTTTAACATATTGAAAGACTTCCCAAAATCAAATTTCAGCTGCAAAATTGTCTTTTCTGACCTCTAACTTTGGGATGCTACATAGGGCCCCTGAAGCAACTGAAAAAGAGGTAAACAAGATTATTTGGTATGTTAAGTTACATAGGAAGTATTGTCAAAATAAGAAATAATGTTTATAGGTTTTAGGTTATACATCTTTAGGTTACATTCTAGTGTATATCATCAATATGTCCCAAAATTGCATGGGATTTCTAAAATTCTAATATGTCTATATGCTATCAATTATAATTATGGTTATTATGTTGTTATTGTAGACCACAGAAAGAACCAAATTTCCTTGTCAATTGTATTTTTTACTATGACTATTTAAAGTTATTTCCAGTTAATTGGTTAATGCTGGTGCAGTTTCTGAAAACTTCATAAGCATACAAAATCCTAGAATATGCTGATGTTTTTTAGGAGGTTCATGAAAGGATAGAAAGAACCTTGAAAAGCACTCCTGAATACAGGTTTCTGATAACTTTAGAATCATATCATTTGGACTGGGTAAAAATTCCTGGAATGTTACAGAAAAGACTGACTGGGTTATAAAACTACTAACCCATGTAGAACAAAAATTAATTAAATACCAAGAAAATACTTTGCCAGATTTTCATCCTAAATCAGCCAATACTGAAATTGTTTATATATGCAATTTGAATGAGCTCCGTGGTCTAAGTCAAATTACCTGTGGTAACCTATCAGTTATCAGTGCTATGCACCTAAATTGGAAAAACAACTGGTGTTCAAGAGAACATAAGTCCAATGTTAAGGATGGATACTTGGAGGACCAGGACAGCTGCCTTGTCCTTCCTGAGCCCTTAAAGCTTTTGTTATTAAAAGTCCTGCATTCCATAACTCATCATGGAAAAGATAAAATAATCAAAATTAAATATATTGGTGTGGTAACTTATAAATTGATAAATAGTGTATAACCAGTGTTTGGTTTGTCAAACCCATATTCCTGGGAAAACAATCAAAACTTCAGGTACATTTGGTTACCTGATGGTCCATTTAAACATTTTATAAAGGGATTTCATTCAATTGTCATTTTCAATGCATGTTTTCTGGTTATAGAAAAGTTCTCTCATGCAAGAGGACTGATGTTGTAACAGTACGTTATTATGCTACATTGTAATTTCACCAGCTAAAGAAAGCTTTTTATGTTTTACTGAGGACAGTCAACTCCTTCACAAACTAGAACCTGAAAACGGGATCTTCTGAAAATATCAGGGAAAGACTGCCCTTGCCATTTACACTACAACAAGACTTTGGACACTTGAACTTTGGGTTCATAATGTCACAACTGAGAAGGGTCCCTCCACACTCTTGGAACTGTACACCCGCTGGAATCCTTAAGGTAAAGCTAACCAGGAAAGTTTCTCTCCAGAAGATGGCATCCTTGATGTGAGCAGCTTTTCCCGAGATCATGGATCAAGACTTCTCTACTCTCATGAGACTCTTATCTTTGAATTTTTTCTCCTTGTTTATGTGTCTATGAACAATAGAAATGAAAAGGGGGTCTGTTGTGTGCACTTATGGGTTATGCTTTTATTTGTGAAGGGTTTTGCAACCAGCCGTATACATGGATAACCTTATACTTTGATAGATAAAAAAATGAAGGCCTGGCTGGGGCAATGGCTCACGCCTGTAATCCCAGCAGTTTGGGGGCCAAGGTGGGTAAATCACAAGGTCAGGGGATCAAGACCATCCTGGCCAACATGGTGAAACTCCATCTCTACTAAAAATACAAAAATTAGCTGGGCGTGGTGGTGCACCTGTAGTCCCAGCTACTTGGGAGGCTGAGGCAGGAGAATCACTTGAACCCGGGAGGCAGAGGCTGCAGTGAGCCAAGATTGCACCAGTGCACTCCAGCCTGGGCAACAGAGTAAGACTGTATCTCAAAAAAAAAAGAAAAAAAAAGTCCTAATGTAGATAAGAAACTTTAGTTGTACATATGTTGCCTCATAATCACTCAAAAACAGAACATTGGTTCACTCTTCTTAACCCACATCATGGGTTAAAGAGAACATTGCCAGGAGGCCTTCACTCTTCAAGAGAGGCATCATTTGTTAGGTTCTTTTTTCATGGCTTGGAATAAAACAGACAATGATTAGAAATGTATCCCTCATGACAGGCTCTGTAGCAGATTCTACTATAAAGGCTATGGTTACACAACAGACTTAAATTCTCTTCTGAAAGTTATGCTAAATAATAGAATTGCTCTAGATTATTTAGTGGCTGAACAGAAAAGTATCTGTGCAGCTGCTGGCCCTCGTGGCCTATGGAGAAATACATCAAATGTAGATTATAGAGATTCACTTGTAGGGGATTAACGAAGAGACTGCTTAGTTAAGTGAGTAGACTCTTTGTCTAGCTCATTCTCTAATCTATTTGATTTTAGGTGGTTTGGTTTGTGGGGACCCTAGTAAGGAGCATACTCCAAATTCTTGGTATTATCCTCCCCAAAGTCATAATAACAGTCTCCCTGGCATACTGTATTCTCTCGAAGGTTTTAAATGTTTGCATGCAGCCATCTCTAGAATGTCAAATGGTCTGTCTTCACTGCAATGACAAGAGCTGAAAGAAGTGTTCAACCGTAAGGACACTGTAACCTATGAATGACATGCTGAGACTGGAAACCCAAAATGATGGTAACTGAGTGTGGCACTAAGACCCTAAGTTTTGGTCACACTCTCACCTAAGTGAGAACCTGACGCAAAAAGGGAGATTTTTTAAAGCAAAATTACAGGAGGCCATTGTTTTGGACTGAGTTCATGCACTAGGCCCCAGCAGACCAAAGCAAACAAAAATGGAGTCGCTCATGCTACATGTGATATAATCAAACTAAGATTTTAAGCAAACACATACATCTTAGAATAGACCAGGTTTCATTTTTCTCCTGTAAACAGAATATTCCAGCAAAAGGAGGTAACTTGTACTCAAGCCCTTGTTCCTACCTTTGCAAAACTCACTGTTCTACTGTTTCCTAGTGGGTTTCAAGACCAAATAAGTACATTTACAATGGTGATAGTGACATCAATGACTAATGTTTTGGTTAATGCCTCAAAATTGAGAAAAATGACCAAAAGTGGGGATTTGTTAAAGCAAACTAAATATTGCCTGAGAAGGACTCTGTACTTCTTTATTTAAGTCCTTGTGGGTGAACTGCAACCTAACTTAATAGGCCGACAAGATTGAAAACCTAACTTAGGAATATGCCCTGAAACTATAGCTGAGACTTGGCCAATCCCAGCAGCCATACTTCAACCACTTGTACACTGCTGAGTGTTCAAACTGTGTTCAAATAAGGCAAACAGCAATCTGTAACCAATCCAGCAGTTTCTGTACCTCACCTCTGATTTCTGTACATCACTTCCTTTTTTTTTCTCTATATATTTGTTCTGACCATAGGCATTCCTGGAGTATCTGTGAATCTGCTGTGATCTTGGGGGCTGCCCGATTCATGAATTGCTCATTGCTCAATTAGACTCCTTTAAATTTAATTCAGCGGAAGTTTTTGTTTTAACATAGGTAGTCAATAAATAGGTCTTAAATTCATGAAAGAAGACTGCCATGGTTGTATACATGGATTCATCCCTCATGAATTTGGTAATTGGCTTGGTTTATATACATATTACTAAACAGAAATGGATTGAAGTCTTTACTTTGGGGCTAGTTCTTGTTTTTCCAGAAATTGCCAATTAAGATAGAAATACAGACAAAGAAGGAAAATAGGTTAGCCCTTAATCATCCATTAAAATAGCATCAGGAAAAAAAAAGATCAGTTCCCATATTGACCAGAAGAGGGCAGAGTCCCAGTGGTAATGTGACATAGGACAGGTGTTTGATGCTGCAGGAAGGTTTCAGAACATATGACACTGCCTAGGGAAGGTAAGCATAAGTGTCAAAGATAGCCACGTGGAAGAAAGAGAAAGAAATAATCTCCAGGAGGGGATGGGATAGGAGATCTTAATAAATCTTAATAAATTCTATTTCCTTTACTGAAATTCATCTTCCTTCCTCAAACATTATTGAGCACCTACTATGTGTCGGGCAATGTGCCTGGGACTCACAATACAGAGACAGATATACTTCATGTGGTGTCTGCCCCAGGAGCTTACATACTAGTAAGGGTTACAGAAAATTTTTTTTTTCCTTATGTGTTAGACTTCTTTTTTCTTTTCTTTTTTTTTTTTTTTTTGCCACATTTTCTTTAAATATATATATATATATATATATATATATATATATATATATATATATATATATATATATTTTTAAATTATACTTTAAGTTTTAGGGTACATGTGCACAACGTGCAAGTTTGTTACGTATGTATACATGTGCCATGTTGGTGTGCTGCACCCATTAAATTGTCATTTAACATTAGGTATATCTCCTAATGCTATCCCTCCCCACTCCCCCCACCCCACAACAGGCCCCGGTAGGTGATGTTCCCCTTCCTGTGTCCATGTGTTCTCATTGTTCAATTCCCACCTATGAGTGAGAACATACAGTGTTTGGTTTTTTGTCCTTGCAATAGTTTGCTCAGAATGATGGTTTCCAGCTTCATCCATGTCCCTGCAAAGGACATGAACTCATCCTTTTTTATGGCTGCATAGTATTCCATGGTGTATATGTGCCACATTTTCTTAATCCAGTCTATCATTGATGGACAGTTGGGTTGGTTCCAAGTCTTTGCTATTGTGAATAGTGCTGCAAGAAACATATGTGTGCTGTGTCTTTATAGCAGCATGATTTATAATCCTTTGGGTATATACCCAGTAATGGGATGGCTGGGTCAAATGGTATTTCTAGTTCTAGATCCTTGAGGAATTGCCACACTGTCTTCCACAATGGTTGAACTAGTTTACAGTCCCACCAACAGTGTAAAATTGTTCCTGTTTCTCCACATCCTTTCCAGCACCTGTTGTTTCCTGACTTTTTAATGATTGCCATTCTAACTGGTGTGAGGTGATATCTCATTGTGGTTTTGATTTGCATGTCTCTGATGGCCAGTGATGATGAGCATTTTTTCATGTGTCTGTTGGCTGCATAAATGTCTTCTTTTGAGAAGTGTCTGTTCATATCCTTTGCCCACTTTTTGATGGGGTTGTTTGTTTCTTTCTTGTAAATTTGTTTGAGTTCTTTGTAGATTCTGGATATTAGCCCTTTGTCAGATGAGTACATTGCAAAAATTTTCTCCCATTCTGTAGGTTGCCTGTTCACTCTGATGGTAGTTTCTTTTGCTGTGCAGAAGCTCTTTAGTTTAATTAGATCCAATTGGTCAATTTTGGCTTTGGTTGTCTTTGCTTTTGGTGTTTTAGACACAAAGTCCTTGCCCATGCCTATGTCCTGAATGGTATTGCCTAGGTTTTCTTCTAGGGTTTTTATTGTTTTAGGCCTAACATTTAAGTCTTTAATCCATCCTGAATTAATTTTTGTATAAGGTGTGAGGAAGGGATCCAGTTTTAGCTTTCTATATATGGCTAGCTAGTTTTCCCAGCACCATTTGTTAAAAAGGGAATCCTTTCCCCATTGCTTGTTTTTGTCAAGTTTGTCAAAGATCAGATGGTTGTAGATATGTGGTATTATTTCTGAGGGCCCTGTTCTGTTCCATTGGTCCATATCTCTGTTTTGGTACCAGCACCATGCTGTTTTGGTTACCTTGTAGTGTAGTTTGAAGTCAGGTAGCGTGATGCCTCCAGCTTTGTTCTTTTGGCTTAGGATTCTCTTGGCAATGCAGGCTCTTTTTTGGTTCCATATGAACTTTAAAGTAGTTTTTTCCAATTCTGTGAAGAAAGTCATTGGTAGCTTGATGGGGATGGCATTGAATCTATAAATTACCTTGGGCAGTATGGCCATTTTCATGATATTGATTCTTCCTATCCATGAGCATGGAATGTTCTTCCATTTGTTTGTGTCCTCTTTTATGTCATTGAGCAGTGGTTTGTAGTTCTCCTTGAAGAGGTCCTTCACATCCCTTGTAAGTTGGATTCCTAGGTATTTTATTCTCTTTGAAGCAATTGTGAATGGGAGTTCACTCATGATTTGGCTCTCTGTTTGTCTGTTATTGGTGTATAAGAATGCTTGTGATTTTTGCACATTGATTTTGTATCCTGAGACTTTGCTAAAGTTGCTTATCAGCTTAGGAGATTTTGGGCTGAGACGAAGGGGTTTTCTAGATATACAATCCTGTCATCTGCAGACAGGGACAATTTGACTTCCTCTTTTCCTAATTGAATACCCTTTATTTCTTTCTCCTGCCTGATTGCCCTGGCCAGAACTTCCAACACTATGTTGAATAGGAGTGGTGAGAGAGGGCATCCCTGTCTTGTGCCAGTTTTTAAAGAGAATGCTTCCAGTTTTTGCCCATTCAGTATGATATTGGCTGTGGGTTTGTCATAAATAGCTCTTATTATTTTGAGATACGTCCCATCAATACCTAATTTATTGAGAGTTTTTAGCATGAAGGGCTGTTGAATTTTGTCAAAGGCCTTTTCTGCGTCTATTGAGATAACCATGTGGTTTTTGTCTTTGGTTCTGTTTATATGCTGGATTACGTTTATTGATTTGCATATGTTGAACCAGCCTTGCATCCCAGGGATAAAGCCCACTTGATCATGGTGGATAAGGTTTTTGATGTGCTACTGGATTCAGTTTGCCAGTATTTTATTGAGGATTTTTGCATTGATGTTCATCAGGGATATTGGTCTAAAATTTTTTTGTTGTTGTGTCTCTGCCAGGCTTTGGTATCAGGATGATGCTGGCCTCATAAAATGAGTTAGGGAAGATTCCCTTTTATTCTGTTGATTGGAATAGTTTCAGAAGGAATAGAACCAGCTCTTCCTTGTACCTCTGGCAGAATTCGGCTGTGAATCCATCTGGTCCTGGACTTTTTTTGGTTGCTAAGCTATTAATTATTGCCTCAATTTCAGAGCCTGTTATTGGTCTATTAAGAGATTCAACTTCTTCCTGGTTTAGTCTTGGGAGGGTATATGTGTTGAGGAATTTATCCATTTCTTCTAGATTTTGTAATTTATTTGCATAGAGGTGTTTATAGTATTCTCTGATGGTAGTTTGTATTTCTGTGGGATCGGTGGTGATATCCCCTTTATCATTTTTATTGCATCTATTTGATTCTTCTCTCTTTTCTTCTTTATTAGTCTTGCTAGTGGTCTATCAATTTTTTTGATCTTTTCAAAAAACCAGCTCCTGAATTCATTGATTTTTTTGAACAGCTTTTTGTGTGTCTATCTCCTTCAGTTCTGCTCTGATCTTAGTTATTTTTTGCCTTCTGCTAGCTTTTGAATGTGTTTGTTCTTCCTTCTCTAGTTCTTTTAATTGTGATGTTAGGGTGTCAATTTTAGATCTTTCCTGCTTTCTCTTGTGGGCATTTAGTGCTATAAATTTCCCTCTACACACTGCTTTAAATGTGTCCCAGAGATTCTGGTATGTTTTGTCTTTGTTCTCATTGGTTTCAAAGACACCTTTATTTCTGCCTTCATTTCGTTATGTACGCAGTAGTCATTCAGGAGCAGGTTGTTCAGTTTCCATGTAGTTGAGTGGTTTTGAGTGAGTTTCTTAATCCTGAGTTCTAGTTTGATTCTACTGTGGTCTGAGAGACAGTTCGTTATAATTTCTGTTCTTTTACATTTGCTGAGGAGTGCTTTACTTCCAACTATGTGGTCAGTTTTGGAATAGGTGCAATGTGGTGCTGAGAAGAAGGTATATTCTGTTGATTTGGAGTGGAGAGTTCTGTAGATGTCTATTAGGTCCACTTGGTGCAGAGCTGAATTCAATTCCTGGATATCCTTGTTGACTTTCTGTCTCGTTGATCTGTCTAATGTTGACAGTGGGGTGTTAAAGTCTCCCATTATTATTGTGTGGGAGTCTAAGTCTCTTTGTAGGTCTCTAAGGAATTGCTTTATGAATCTGGGTGCTCCTGTATTGGGTGCATATATATTTAGGATAGTTAGCTCTTTTTGTTGAAATGATCCCTTTACCATTATGTAATGACCTTCTTTGTCTCTTTTGATCTTTGTTGATTTAACGTTTTTTTTTTTTTTTTATCAGAGACTAGGATTGCGACCCCTGCCTTTTTCTGTTTTCCATTTGCTTGGTAGATCTTCCTCCATCCCTTTATTTTGAGCCTATGTGTGTCTGCACATGAGATAGTCTCCTGAATACAGCACACTGATGGGTCAAGAAAATCTCCCAGAGAATAGAACAAAAACTCAAAGACAGAGAAAGATAGAAAAGAAAATCCAAGCATTGTAGAGGATTAAACCAGCAAGTTCAACATTTGATTAATAGGGTATCCAAAAAAGTAGAAGAGAGAAAATGAAGGCAATGAAGCTAAAAACCTTGAAAAAGGATTAGACGAATGGCTAACTAGAATAACCAGTGTAGAGAAGTCCTTAAATGACCTGATGGAGCTTATCAAAGAAACAACATCAGAAAATTCCCAAAGTTAGAGTCTTGTCAAATATCAACTTCTCAGAGAGGCATTTCATGACCAAAGTATTTAAGCTGTAGTCCTCTCTAGCCAGTGCTCCATATCCTCCTCACCAACTAAATTTTTCTCCATTGAACATGTAACCCTCTGACATGTTTAATGTCTCTCTTCCCCACTAGAATGTAAACTTCTTGCAGGCAATGAATTTTTGTCAGTTTTGTTCACTGCTGTATCCTCAGTGCCTAGATAAGTGCTTGGCACTCTAGGTGTTCAATAATTATTTGTTGAGTTGGCCAGGCATAGTGGATCATGCCTGTAATTCTAGCACTTTGGGAGGCCAAGGTGGGCAGATCTTTTGAGCTCAGGTGTTTGAGACTAGCCTGGGCAACATAGTGAGACCCCGTCTCTACAAAAAATACAAAAAATTAGCCTGGTGTGATTGTGTGTTCCTGTATAGTCCCAGCTACTTGGGAGGCTGAGGTGGGAGATTGGCTTGAGCCCAGGAGGTGGAGGTTGCAGTGAGCCAAGATTGATCATGCCATTGCACCACAGCCACAGAGAGAGACCCTGTCTCAAAATAATAATATTAGCTATTATTATTTCTTGAGTGAATGACTAAAGGAAATGATGCAAGAGACCTAAATCCTCATCTGCCATGGAAAGATGTCAATTGATAATGCCTGGAATGAGTTAATCAATAAAAAGGTATAGTCTATAATTTAAAAATAGGAAAGCAAACACCTGATGGAACAGCTGAAAAAGTGAAAGGCAATTATTTGTGTCTGAGGAATAAGAAGAGAGGCTGTGGGCAGGAGGAAGCAAGTCACCATTGTTTTTCATTATAAGATTTTGTGAACTACTTGTTTTTTTCATCATGTGCTTGTATTGTTGATTTTAAAAGAGTGTACATGTCTCAGAAAACATTTTCTGTTTATTTTCTGTAAAGAGGTCATATCAACAATAATAATAGCTAACATTTATTGAGCATTGAACACTTCTTACATGCCAGGCATTGTGCTAAGCTTTATGTGGATTATTGAAGGATGTATTATATCTCTGTTGTCATCTTGCATGGATTGAAAACCTCTGGATTTAGCCTAAAAGTAGAGAAAAACTCAATCCAAAAATATAAATATTTAGTAACATAAACTCAATTGGATAAATTCTGCTTATCAATCTTCATAACAGGTATGAATTTGATATGCCTATTCATGTCCTTAAAATGCAAGGAAAAAGCATCATACAATACTTTTAAGAATATCATTTGTATTTACTAGGGCATTCTTGTAGAACTGCAACAGTGCTTGTCAACAGGATTTGTTGCAACAGGAGCTATAGAAAGTGAAGGAAAAGTTGTGTATACACTCTTTTGGAAACATCTGTTGGTGTCCTCTGCTTGCTTTCCCACCACCCTTCTTCCTACATTTATCTTCCTGTCTGTTCATCTGGAGTATAAATGACCTGTTTCAGGAAATTCATGAGATTTTCACAACATGAAATGGCTTCTGACAGTCATTTCTGAGCCTCAGCTCTGATCCGTGCCACTCTATCTGTGCCCGGAGTTGTGCTGGAACATTGTCATCCGCCAGTTAGTTGTTCAAGAGCACACGGAACCAGATACCATGCCAACTCATTCTTCAGTTATTTCAGTGATGTAATTTAAACATGGATAGTTGTTTTAAAAAATCTTTTTAGCACAATTCTTTTGTTTGCATGGTGCTGGTGTGTAGACTATATTATGGATCTATTGGGAACATCCTCCACTTCCCTTTTCCTTTTTGCTTGGCTAACTCCTTCTCATCTTTCAGGTTCAGTTTAGCTGTGCCTTCCTTAGAGATGCCATTCTCAACAATGACGCCACCTAAATGGGGGATGCTCTAACTCCCACAGTTCCGGGTGCATCCCTCTGGCATTTTCCTTCATATACTCTATTATCACTGCTGTTTGTTTTCTTTAAATTTTTTTATTTTGAATTTTTGTGGGTACATAGTAGGTGTATACATTTACAGCGTACATGAGATACTTTGTTACAGGCATGCAATGTGAAAGAATCACTTTATGGAGATGGAGTATCTATTCCCTCAACCATGACATTTGTTTTCAGCTTCTCCTGCTGGACTTTATTCTTCATGGGTGCAGAGATCGGACTATTTCTCTTGGTAGTTCCAATACATGGCATAGTGCCTGGAACATAGTAGGTGCTCAGTAAACATGTTGAATGAATGAAAGAAAGCCACTGTCACTGTGTACAGTTCCACTTTAGTTTGCACACACTGATTATGTGAAAAATGACAACCTAAACAACCCTCAGATGTGTTAAACAACTGCTCAGTTAAAGGCTAATGAGTTAAAAAATATTGGCCTAAACCCAAAAGTTAAGGGAAAGAGATAGAGAGAAGGTTATGCAGATTTCCTGTGTTCCATAGGAAATGAATATTTCCTAAGCTTTTTTCCTCCAGCCATTTCCTAAGTAAATTGAGAATGCACCATATAATTTTACAGCCCCATGAAAGAAGAAAGTAAGATGATTTCAGAATGGTTGGTGCCACATGCTATAACCTAGCCTCTTATTTATGGCTTGACAAATAGGTGAGGGAAAGTTGTTATATTTTCCTATTTCTTCAGAGCCTTTGAATAATAGTTAACAAAGACCACATTGAAAAGTTAACTTGCCTTGTCACTCATGAGATCAGGTTCTGGATTATGTGAAGCAAAAATGTTTTCAATACAGTTCCTTCTCCCTGCCGTCCACTACCCTCTCCACTGGGGCAGAAGAGGCCATAGGAAGCACCATAGCTTCTCCACGCCTTTTTTTTGTTTGTTTTTTTGAGAGAGAGTCTCGTTCTGTCACCCAGGCTGGAGTGCAATGGCGTGACCTCGGCTCACTGCAAACTCCGCCTCCCAGGTTCAAGCGATTCTCCTGCCTCAGCCTCCCGAGTAGCTGGGATTACAGGCATGCACCACCAGGCCTGGCTAATTTTTATATTTTTAGTAGAGATAGGGTTTTGCCGTGTTGGCCAGCCTGGTCTCAGGTGATCTGCCTGCCTCGACCTCCCAAATTGCTAGGATTACAGGCATGAGCCACCGTGCCCAGCCTCCTCCATGCTTAGTTCCTATCTCTCTTCATTGGACCAGAGCTAATATGCACTGAATGCCCTCACAAATGATATTAAAAACTTTAAAGGAAATTTTATTATTATTATTATTATTATACTTTAAGTTCTGGGATACATTTGCAGAACATGCAGGTCCGTTACATAAGTATACATGTAATTCTAATGCTATCCCTCCCCTGGCCCCCACCCATTGACAGGCCCCAGTGTGTGATGTTCCCCTCCCTGCGTCCATGTGTTCTCATTGTTCAACTCCCACTTATGAGTGAGAACATGCAGTGCTTGGTTTTCTGTTCCTGTGTTAGTTTGCTGAGAATGATGGTTTCCAGCTTCATCCATGTCCCTGCAAAGGACATGAACTCATCCTTTTTTATGGCTGCATAGTATTCCATGGTGTATATGTGCCACATTTCCTTTATCCAGTCTATCATTGATTGGCATTTTGGTTGGTTCCAAGTCTTTGCTGTTGTGAACAGTGCTACAACAAACATACGTGTGCATGTGTCTTTATAGTAGAATGATTTATAATCCTTTGGGTATGTACCCAGTAATGGTATTGCTGAGTCAAATGGTATTTCTGGTTCTAGATCCTTGAGGAATCGCCACACTGTCTTCCATAATGGTTGAACTAATTTACACTTCCACCAACAGTGTAAAAGCGTTCCTATTTCTCCACATCCTCTCCAGCATCTGTTGTTTCCTGACTTTTTAATGATAGCCATCCTAACTGTCATGAGATGGTATCTCATTGTGGTTTTCATTTGCATTTCTCTAATGACCAGTGATGATGAGCTTTTTTTCATATGTTTGTTGGCTGCGTAAGTATCTTCTTTTGAGAAGTGTCTGTTCCTATCCTTTGCTCACTTGTTGATGGGGTTGTTTGTTTCTTGTAAATTTGTTTTAGTTCCTTGTAGATTCTGGATATTAGCCCTTTGTCAGATGGATAGATTGCAAAAATTTTCTCCCATTCTGTAGGTTGCCTGTTCACTCTGATGGTAGTTTCTTTCGCTGTACATAAGCTCTTTAGTTTAATTAGATCCCATTTGTCAGTTTTGGCTTTTGTTGCCATTGCTTCTGGTGTTTTATGACATGATTGTATATTTAGAAAACCCCATCATCTCAGCCCAAAATCTCCTTAAGCTGATAAGCAAATTCAGTAAAGTCTCAGGATACAAAATCAATGTGCAAAGATCACAAGCATTCTTATACACCAATAACAGACAAACAGAGAGCCAAATCATGAGTGAACACCCATTCACAATTGCTACAAAGAGAATAAAATACCTAGGAATACAACTTATAAGGGATGTGAAGGACCTCTTCAAGGAGAACTGCAAACTACTGCTGAAGGAAATAAGACACAAACAAATGGAAAAACATTCCATGCTCATAGATAGGAAGAATCAAGATCGTGAAAATGGCCATACTGCCCAAAGTAATTTGTAGATTCAATGCTATCCCTATCAAGCTACCATTGACTTTCTTCACAGAATTAGAAAAAACTACTTTAAATTTCATATGGAACCAAAAAAGAGCCCATATAGACAAGACAATCCTAACCAAAAAGAACAAAGCTGGAGGCATCATGCTACCTGACTTCAAACTATACTACAAGACTACAGTAACCAAAACAGCATGGTACTGGTACCAAAACAGATATATAGAACAATGGAACAGAACAGAGGACTCAGATATAATGCCATACATCTACAATCATCTGATCTTTGGCAAACATAGGAAAAACAAGCAATGGGGAAAGGATTCCCTATTTAACAAATGGTTTTGGGAAAACTGGCTAGCCTTATGCAGAAAACTGAAACTGGACCCTTTCCTTACACCTTATACAAAAATTAACACAAGATGAATTAAAGACTTAAGCGTAAGACCTAAAACAATAAAAACCCTAGAAGAAAACCTAGGCAATACCATTCAGGACATTGGCATGAAAAGAAATTTTAAAGGTGGTTCTAAAATTTTAATCTGAGGCTAGTTGAAAGATAATTGTTTAAGGAGGTGTGACTGTCTGTGATCATTGAGAAATTGGGCAAGATTTCATTTTTTTATTTCAAGTTATGTGACAGGCTCAGAAACAACAAATCAAATAGAAAAGAATTCCTTGGAATGGACTCAAGGATATACAAATGAATAGTAAGAAGAAATAGAGAATGATTCTAGTTTGATGGTTTTATGTGTGAAGCTAGATTTTCAGTTAACATAACTCTAATGGAAAATGCATAAATCAGGATGCTATTAATCATGATTGTAGGAGGATTTTCATTGAATGATGTAAGATTAGACTCTGGCTCAATGTCCATTTCCATATGGCAGTTCTTCCTTCTGTAGGAAGAATACTTCTATGCAGAATGTCCTTTTGATTCAAATGGAGCTCCAGAGAAATATTTAGTTAAAAGCTGAAACCATGTCAGTTACAAATCTATATCTTGTTTTCCATTATGACCAGAATAATAGCACATTTTCTTACACTGATCCATGTGTCATGATACCTGATGTTTCATTTACTTTCTTCACTAGCTCTACTTTCTTTACTAGTCTCTGGCTAGGATTTTTAATTGTTATCACTGTTATTATTATTATTACTATATATGGTTAATTATGAATGACTTTGTATTATCTTAAATTTAAGAAAAGACATATCCTGCATATATGTAACTTAAAGTAATATTATACATATATATGCATATATATGGATATATGCATATATACACATCTACATGTATATATGTGTGTGTATGTATATGTGTGTGTATATATATATATATACACACACACACACACACACACATACTGAAATAAACAAGCTGTCTCATGAAACTCCACTGCTGCCTATGGGGTTGCTATTTTGTTATTTGTGGGTTTCAAACTTCAGTAGGTTCTGTTATCAGCCCAGGAGTTTCCTCATTTCTCTAACTTGGAAATATACTAGGAAGCTGTGCACACGTGAGATATGGCAGACCCTGAAAGGTCCCTCGATTCAGTACTCTTTCCTCTACAGGCTCTTAATCTAAATTCTCACCTCTGTGAACTAGTTCTGTTGTGTTTAAGCTTTGTGGACATCTTAGTATTACAGAATTATAGAATTTTAAATCTAGAAACAATATTAAAGGTCAGTCTATAGATAAGGAGATAAAGGTCAACCACCAAGCTCAGTCTATAGGTAAGGAGATGGGAACTCAGAGTTTGTCCAAGGTCTCAGCCTCTGAGAGTTGTAGAACCATGGCTAGAATAGGGTCTTCTGAAGGTCATTTTTATCGACTTTCACTGCGTTCCTGTATTTATTGATGCTTTAGTTTACGGCGTCATCAGGATTCTTCTGGGTGAAAGTGAGAGAAACCCAAATCTGACAAACTTCAAGAAAAGAAGGAACTTTATTAGCTCGTGTAACTGAAAACCTCCAGGCACAAAGAAATCCGGTGGCTTAAATAATGTCTTCAACACTTGGTCTGTCTCCAAATTTTGTCTCTGCTTTCCTCTGTGCTGGATTCATTGTCTGACAAGCTCATCCAATGCTGTGGCCACAGGCCTTCCTCCTCACCACCCTTCCTTCAGAAGCTACAGGCATGCAGTCTACCAGCTTCAAGTCTACCAGAGTGAGAAAGGCTGACTTTCCTACCAGTCCCAGAAAAGTGTGACATTAAACATCATGGGCTTGCCTTGGGTTGTGTGCCTCTGTTTGAACCAATCAGAGGGTCAAAATATATCCACTGGTCTGAACTAAGTCACATACCCTCCCCTGCCACCAGGGATTGGATGTCAGCTCCAGCTGAATCTTACAGGCTGAGAGTGAAGAGAGAAATCTCCTGAAGAAAAAAAAATTTCTGTTAGCAGAGGTAAAATAGATGCCGAGTAGTTCAGAGAAACAACTCTCTGTTCCCAGGGCACACTATACCTGAGACACTGTGTTAGGTGTTTGTCTATGGAGCATCTGTTGTCAATTCATTTGTTAAGCAGATACTTTTTCAGGGTGAACATGCTGGTAGAAAGTTGAACTCATACAAATGGGGCAGAGGAGGGATTACATTGGCTGTGTTGAAGAAGTGATGGGGTGGCAACAGAGAGAGGCTTGGAGTGCAGAGCTTTGCACAGGGGAGGGAAAGTAAGTTCTGAGTGAAGGTAAATAGGGTGTTGAAGGACAGGAGGGCTCTAGGAAAAGGCCAGGTGAGAGGATGCTAGAAAGAATCTGTCTGCTAAGTGCAGAGGAAACTGGGTATGGTTCATTTCATTCAAGCAGTTTTGGAAGAGCAACTGTGTTCCACCACTGTGCCAGGTGCTAGAAAGACAAAGGTGGCAAGACAGACCAGCTCTCATGCTCCACAGGGGCACATCACACAATTGGTTAATGACAACTGCAGTAATTGCTACCAGGGAGAATTCTAGGGTGTTACAAGAGAATATATTCAATATATTTTTGAATATATTCAGTATTCAACAATAGCAAAAATGGGATCAACTGAAGCATCTATCAACAGATGATTAAAGAAAATGCAGTGTATATATACAACCATAAAAAAGAATGAAATCATGTCTTTTGCACTAACATGAATGGAGCTTGAGGCCATTATTTTAAGTGAAACAACTCAGAAATAGGAAGTCAAATACCACATATTCTCACTTATAAGTGGGAGCTAAATAATGTGTACACGTGAACATAGAGTGTGGAATGATAGGCATAGGAGACTATAAAGGGTGGGGGGTGGATGATGAGAAACTACCTAATGGGTAAAATGTACATTATTCGGGTGATGGCTACACTAAAAGCTCAGACTTCACCACTATGTAACAAAATTGCACTTGTACCTCTTAAATTATACAAATGAAAAAAGAGAGAATATACACTAGGGCAGGGTCTCCAAACTTTTTGGCACTAGGAACTGGTTTCATGGAAGACAACTTTTCCACGGACCGGGATGTTGGGAGTGAGGGATGGTTTCTGGATGAAACTCTTCCATCTTAGATTCTCATAAGGAACGCACAACCTAGATCCCTTGCATGCATAGTTCATGATAGGGTTTGTGCTCCTGTGAGAATCTAATGCCACCGCTGATCTGACAGGAGGTGAAGCATGGGTGGAAGTGCTCCCTTGCCTGCCGCTCGCCTCCTGCTGTGCAGACCAGTTCTTAACAGGCCACAAACTACAAACTGGTAAAGGTTTGGTAATGGGGTCTGGCGACCCTTGTACTAGAGGACCCCACTGTATGTCAGAGTGGGGAGTAAGAAGGCAGAGAGGCTACCCTAGAGGGAGCAACATTTCAACTGAGATCTGAAGACTGAGGAGGAGGTTGGCCAGAGTGGAAGAGAGGCCGAGGAGGAAAAGAATTCCAAACAGGGGATACTAGAGCCTGGGAAAAAGTGCTCAAGTTTATTGGAAAGAGAAAGGTACATTCCAAGCCACTGTAAGGCAAGTGAGCACAAAGTAAGGAAGACTGAGAGAGCTCGGGCTCAAAAAGGAAGAAGGAGCCAGACTGTGTCAGGCCATTTGGGCCATAGGAAAGATTTTGAATTTTACTGAGACCATTAATTTTGTGATTGGATTTCTGTTGTTCAAAAGATGACACTGGCTATGGATAGAGAAAAAATTGAAGTGGGTAAGAGCACACGGAGCATAAAAATGCAGTGGTGCTTGAACTGTAGTAGTGGCAATGGTGACGAAGAGAAAGCAGACACATTCACGAGATATTTGAGGACCTTTTCTTGTAAAGATGACTTCTGTAATAGTTGGACGGGCAGTACAATATATCTTATGGATTTAGATAAGTTTCACATTTTCATTAGCTGGTTGAAATATAGGTTTTATTTTTCATGACGTGATTAAGTTGGCTGGGATTAGGCTAAACGTAATTGTTTTATGGCTAAATGTATCCCGTTGTAATAAATAATTACCATGTATCAGCCCACCTAATGCCTGATTTCAGAGACGAGGCCACAGGGAACTTCGACAAGCCTACAGATCTGAGGACTGGACTAAAGATAGAGGAATGGGACCTTAAACGTTACTGGTTTTGCAGAATGTTCTGAGTCTTACGGCCAGCTTATTTGCTGCAATTTCGAGAATCCCCTAAACACGATAGAGCTCATAGTCTCTTGATATGTATTCTTAGATTGCTAAATGGGATGAATAGCTAGGTTTAGGTGTTCCACAGTGCAACAGAATCATTCCAACTGAAGAGTACTGAAGACTTGGAGACTGCGCGTGCTGCTATTTCAGTGTTCCCTTTGAAAATATAACTTTGGAAAATCTGACTGAAGCTTGGGAAGCTAGGATTAACTATGTTAGGGATGTGTACCCAAGAGAAGGTTCATCCTGAGCAGCAATTGCATGCAATACTCTGTGGGTGTACACCAGTATAGAGGAGAGTGTGGGATCTGAGATTACATTATGGCTTTGCCATTTACTAGCTGTCTTCCCAAGTCAGTCACTTATGCTCTCTGAGCCTCAGTTAACCCATCTGTAAAATAAATAATAATAATACCTGCTATATTACTCACCATGGTGCTGAAGATGAAAAGAAAGAAAATTTGTGAAAGTGGTTTGTAAGCAAAAAACTGATGATGCAAAAAGAGTTGTCATTACTTGTCCCAGTCAAGATAGGCTAAATTGTTTCATGGTAAGAAACAGCAAACTCTCAGTGGCTCTAAATGAGGTGTCTTTATCCCCCTGCAAAGTCCACTGCCAGACCAACAATTCGCAGGGTATTTTATTTCCATTCACGTTCATGGTAAAGTCTGTGACATTCTTCAGCCTTGCTCACATTTGTCTCACCTCAGTTTCCGGCTGTTAAGTGAGAGTTGTTGGCTGTGCCATTGTAACAGGCAGCTGCTATCCTTCCTGTCTCCTGTATCTGTTTTCCCTTCTCCTGGATGTAGGCTTGGGCTTGTCTTTGGGGAGTCTCTCATTTCATATTTCACTTGGGGCTGGGCCTCCTCTCTTCCCTCCCTCTCACTTACTGAGGTCCGCCTTTATGGACTGGCTCTGGGGACAGACATGTGACCCACATCTGATCTAACCAATCACTGTTTTCTCCCCACTCCCACCCACTTCTGGCCAGAATGATTTTATAGTGATTGGCCTGAGATCCAAATTGGCCCAACAGTATTCAACTCCAAGATTTTGTTAGAAATATTGGAAAAAAATAAGGATCTTTCTTCAGAGTTTGCTAGACCAAGACGATGTGGGTCTGGGGCTTCCAGCAGCTACCCTGTCATCACTAGAAGATAACCTATCCAAGAATGAAGGCAAGATAGAGAAAAGCTGAACTATAGGTTATACACAGACTATAGTTCTGGCCACATCCTTGGGTCCCTGGATCAAGCCATACCTAAAGATCCACATCCTGGACTTCCTAGTTTATCAGCTACTACATATTTTGTTTTGTTTTGTTTTGTTTGGCTTAAGCCATTCTGCATTGGGTTTATGTCTTGTGCAACTGAAGGGATCCTGGCTAACACAGCCATTCATTTCTAGGGCAGGAGCTGCTAGCCTGCACTAGACTAAACTATCTGTATTTTAATATCAACTTTTTCTTTGTTTCATTGCATCCCTTGGAGCATTGCCACTTAAATGGCAGCTCCTGTTCCTTAGGTTCCTCTAAAACCTGGCCAATGTGCCCAGCGGAACAGCAGACATCAGTTAGAGATCTGACTTAGGAGGACATTGACGCTTTTGAGATCTCCAGGATTTGGGGAGAACATGGCAGTGTGTTAAAGGGCTCCTCTTTTCTCCAACCTCTCTATATTCTCAGCAGCAGCACACTACTAGAGCTAGATCTGTGTCTACCATTTTCCTCACATAGCAAGTTTCTTTCAAGGTGGATACCCCACAGTCTGGGTTCTGGCAGTGCAGCATTCTCAAATGTTGCTATTTCACATCCTCAAGAATGTATGCTTAAACTAGGACTAAGGAAGCCACAGGACAAGCAATTTCCAAGAGTGAGAAAATAGGTAATTGAATAGAAGAAAGGGAGATGGGACTAACAGGTCACAAGGGGTCAACCTTAGGGTGGGTGGCAGTACAGGGGAAGAATTTAGGGCCCTGGGAAGGCTGAGATGGGCTTACTCATGGGGTGGAGGCAGATCATCAAGGTGTTGAGTTAGGCTCAAAGGCAAAAACAAGAACCTAACTATCGCAAACTAGGTACAAAGTGGAGTATTGCTCACTGACATGAGGCATTTTCCCATGGGCCGCAACTGGGTCTTGGTATGAGAGTGGAACCAAGGCATGACTGGCTTAGCTTGGGTGGAGTCCCAAATACAGAGGCTGAGGATGGAGGAGAGAGGGTCATATCTGCAGCCATTTCCCTCCTACTTCAGAAGAAAAATTGCCAAGTTTTACAGACGGCTGAACTCAGACCAGGGGTGTAGACCCCTGTTGTTGCCTTTTGACTCCCCCCTCCGGTTGTTGTCTATCTGAATTATGTATTTCAAAAAAATTTTGATTCTTTTCAACTTTTCGTCCACTTTTAGGCCAGAATTCCTAGATCTGAAGAGTACTTGCTCAAGAATGACCTTACCTAACTCTAGAAATTAGTCTTGCTCAATAAAAAGTCATTTCACAGAAATAAAACTAACTTGAAAAGAAGAGCATCAAATCTGCCGTCTTCTCTCTGCCCTTGGGCTTTTTATTTTTAATTTGAGAAACAGAGTTTTGCTGTGTTGCTCAGACTGAAGTGCAGTGGCTATTCAGAGGTGTGATCACAGTGTACTGCAGCCTCCAACTCCTGGACTCAAGTGACCCTCCTGCTTTAGCCTCCTGAGTAGCTGAAACTATAGGAGTGCGCCACTGTGCTGGTCTTGGGCTTCTTATGTTTCACTTCTCTGAAGTTTTGTTACAGTTGGAGTTTGCCTCATATGCCTCCTAGCTGGATGGTATTCATTCCTAAATTCTATTTTTATTTCTGCCTAGACTCCTAAACCATTTACTATTCCTGAATTCACCAGAGAGTTGAGCATCCTCAGCCCATTAAAAGATACATACCCTCCCCACGCTCCCATGTGAAATGCTACATTGGTTGAAACTCATTCTCCCTCTCTGATGGTGACCATAAAGGCTTTTTGTGAGAGGGCCTGTGATTTGTCCTTGGTATTGGCAGGGGCTTCAGGATGCAACCACTTTTCAGGACAACTCAGTAAGGTACTCACAGAATATTGGCTGTGAGAATAAGTGAATGAATTTAGGAATGAAATAATACGTTTAACAAATTTCCTGACAGTAGATGTCTTAAAATTGGCAAGCTTTTCCTAGAAACAAATTTCTCCTTCTAAGAAGCTAAATGAAGAAAATTTGAGTAACAACGGTGATAGTAAAAACCGAAAGTTTTAGCTTTTTAAAAATCCTAGATTTATTCATAATTAGCAACTTAAGTGTCAAGTTGACCTTGAACTTGGTAGAATCATTCTGACTCTGCTAGTAGTTTTTAGAGTTAAAAGGCTCCTATCTAGGAGACTCTTCGTGGCTTTCATTTCTTATTCATCAATCTTCCGGATCTCTTTCCAATGTTACTTCAAAGACGACTAGTGCATTAGTTACTTCCCTTACAAACTTTGTAGGTGCTAGCCTGAAGTAAAAATTCTGTAGTTTGGAGCTACAGCTTGTTCTTCATGTTTCTTCTAAGATTGTCTCTGTAGAATTAAATGTCAAAATCTGAAAGGCGAGCTCAGGGCAGTTGATTGAAGGAGTATGATATGTAAAACACACTTTATGTACATGTGTGCCAAGATGTGTGCAAGGGGTGCAACAAAATGACTTGTGAGTGTCTCCCTCCTTGATCTGTTTTGACCAAACTTTATTACTCATTTAATGGAACTGTAACAAAGAGCAGGAATCAAAACACATGGGGATCACAGAGGCTGTTATGTTTATTGTGCAGAACAGACAGTGATAATACACTAGAGAAATATTTTCAACAAGCAAGCGATTCAAAGTACAATCATAGACAGCAATTCTACATAAAGAACAAAGAATAAAGTTAGAAGACACTCAAAGGAACAGGGAGAAAGTCAACTGCAGTTAAACGTCTTGATACTTTTCTCCTGCAAACATACCTAACTTGCAGAAATGGTAGAAAAGTTAAATGTCCAGTCTTATGTAGCTGCGACCAACAACAGCAAAGAACAGTCCTATAAAATTTATCTCCCACAAAAATAAACTATATATATAAAAATTTTATGATGTTCTTACTGTTCCATTGGCCACAAGCTTTTTTTTTCAGTATGAAAAATGAGGTATACTGGGACTTAAGAGGTAGTAGTGTGTTTTGATTGTACAACATACAGGAAATAAAAGTGTAACTTTACCAGAGATGGAAATCACTCGGTGCACCATGTTTGGCCAACATGAGCAATTGCTTCCATTTTATGAGCTGGCCAATGAGGTTTCTAAAAGGCCCATCCAAAGATATGGAATGCGACTTTTATTTTTATGAGCCACTGTTTATTTGCTTATTTAACGCACAGTTAACAGTAATGTTGAGTTTTAATTCTCTCCATAGCTCCTTTGGTGATTCACAACAGTGAGCGATCTGCCAGTCTCAGAGAGGTATGTGGCCTTTGAAACTACCTCCCTGAAGCAGCTGGAAGAGAGATGGTTTTGAGTTTCATTTGGCTTCAGTACTAAAAGCCATACTGACAAAAGCCGTCATGAGAAACTACCTCCTGGCCCAGTTGATAATACCATGTTAAAAAGTCAGCACACTCACTAGGAGAGAAAGGCATAAAAACTCTACATAAGAAGCGTTTAAAATAAATCTGGTTGAGACATATTACAAAAATCACATTTGTGTAAAATACATGAAAATATTTGTCAAGCATTTTCTTATATTCAACTAATCTTAAAAACACATATTTTTGATTGCATTATGCAAAAGCAGGGCTTGTTGCATCTCACCTACAAAGCTTCAAGTTTCTTTGAAGGTTGGCTTTTATTTTATTTATTATTTACTTATTTTGCAAAAGTATGTAAAAACGTGTTCCTTTCTATCAAATGTCTTTTACAAAAATAGTTTTGACTAGGGTTAGCTGCAGTTTGAACTATTTCAAACATTGAAAAAACAAATGAATGCTGCAAGTAACAAGTTCATTCCTTTTGAAGTCTGGAGGTAGGTCTTTGCAAGTCAATTAGTCCATCTCCTTAAAGAATTCATTTGAGGTACAGACTTGGAGGGTAATATTTAAATATTACAGTCAAATCTTGTGTGATGTGTAGTGTGATTGAGGAAAATTATCCTTAAGAACCTAGGAGCGACTTGGTTAAAAAATTTTCAAGTTAATGTAGAAATCTAGCAGAGAAGCTGAAACAAGTATTTTAAAAATTTTTAATTAAAAAAACATAGAAAAATACATAGTCATGCTGAAACACAGTAAGGAGATTGCTTCTTTAACTGTAATTAAGTGTACAAAAAGAACTGCAGATGATTAGAATCACCTACCCAGTAAGTTTTTTTCTTGCATTGCTTGTGTATAGCAGCATGTAATAAGTACTAGACTGTAAATTCGTTGTAACATTCAGAGGTAGTATTGAGTAGTGGGGATATATTGCATCTCTGGCTAAAAGTGCAGTTTGAATGAAGAGATGGTGAACTCAAGCCGAAGAAAAGCACCTTGGTCAACCATCTTATGTCAAAACGTATTACTTGAAGTAACACATATGCTTAATTTGAGGTAAGTGGTATTCAGGTCTTTCATGGAAACTGATACACAATGAAAAGAGAGAGGGAGAGGAAGAGAGAGAGAGAAAGACACAGAGAGAGATTGCCCCCCCCTTTTTTTTTTTTGCTTTTTAAATTGATGTATAACTATAGCAAAAGAAATTTAGATTTCGCTCCTCCCACCTCATAATTAGGTGAGTTCATCATGCATTATTCTGTTGTACCTTTTCATTAAATTACAAAGAGGATAATTTTACTTGTCTAGTTTCCTTAAATGCTCTGAGGCTGACAAGTGTTATTTATTGCTAAATGGCATTTTGGCTCTGTAGGAAGTAGATTTCCTGAAAATGAAGTGTTGTCCTGAAAACAAGTGCTGTGAGTAAATTTATTACTCCTGCTGATATGTGTGATATCCATAAATAGAAGAGTTGGCAATATTTGTTTGCTTACTTCCCTTTTTGAAAAATGAACATAACCTTTTCTAGTTTGTTAGCTGAATGAAAGGATACATCAGCATTTCGTCTCATTTAGAAATAAAAAGTTAAAAATCATCAAGTAAGTGTCTACAAGATTATACGAAAAAGAGAAAGTAGTATCTAGTCCTTATCTTTGGTGTTCTAAACAGAGGATTCACTACAGGGAGTGGGTTGGGGTGGTATTTGAGGTGTACACAGTGTTACACACCGCGTTCTTCCTATATGAATGCCCGACGTCACAAGTGTGACACGTTTCTTGTTTGCATGCAGTGCAGTGATTGACTAAACCCAATTCGGTTTTTCTCACCCGCCCACTCTTGCTTATCAGATCAACAAACTATTAGTAGGTTAAGAAAAAAGAAAACAGTAATTAAAAGTTGCATTGTTAAGCTGTGTCCCCTGTGTTTACAGCAGTTTTTCACTAAACCTGGGACTGTGAAGGGATTACAAAGAAGGTGATTAATATAGTCCTTTTTAAGGTTATGTGATTTCTCCCCACCCCACCCCCCCCTCCCCCACCCCACCCCACCCCACCCCAGATGAAAGTGGAAAGACCATGGCAATACAGAATAAGTGGTCACTGCAGTGTCTTCTCCCTTCAAAAGATCCAACTGCTGCTGAGGTAGAAATCGAACGTTGGCGCCCCCTAGTCCTCTTCGGCAGACTCTTGTGAGGATGTCTCTTCAGTTTCCTCCTGGAACACACAAAGGGCACAGCCATGACGCTCAATCGTTATACTGTGTGGGCTGCTCTTGCCAACAGTGCAGAGGTAACCTGTTTCCACAGCACATTATGCTTGCCTCAAAAGAGGATGACGATGACTGGCGAGCCCTCATTCCCAGGGCTTCTTAAACCGTAATTGAGGAATCAAGGTGTTGTTTTTTCCCAGAGCGGTCATTAGCCACTGTTGACTTAAGGCTTGACATCATGGCGGCTGGTCAGCAAATTCAATTGTTTGCTGTCCAGAGAATGTCAGGGCAATGCACGCTTACTCACCAATTAGAAAAAAAGTAGGAATGGATAAATTTTTCCCGACAGCATGCCATTCATCAGTTTTAAAAACCGGCACACAAGAAAAATAGAGTTAGGGGGATCCTTTCTTAAGGTATAAATGAACCCACCCTCCAGATACTGGTAATAATAGCTGGTATTTTTAGAGTGCTTACCAGATGCTTAGGCACCTTCTGTTAATATTCCTGTTTTACATCTGAGAAAACCAAGGCACAGACAAGTAATGTGCCCAAAATTACAGGGTGTGTGGGACCAGGATTTGGGTCGGGTTGGTACTGGTGCCAACACCTGTGTGTGACCCCTACACCACTGTGCAGAGGCAGTGTGAGAGCAGGGGCAGAGCTGACAACGAGCCTTCCCAAATCCATTTCCTCCCCCTTGTATTTATTAAAGCACATTTTGAGACAGTGACCCAAGTTCGGCGTTAACTGCTCAATCTCAATACTAATCCGCATCGACCAAACATTTGATGGTGGGCTAGCCAAGCAGAGAAAATCTAATATATATGTTTTTGCAAGGCCCCCTCTTCATATAAATCTAACTCCTCCTTCCCTTTTCCTTTTTCTGATTCCTTATGGCTCTGGAATTTGTTGGGGTTTCTGCGAGCCGGCTTGAGCCGCAAAGTTCTCTTTCCTTTTGCTTATTTAACAAATGTGCAGTACCTTTCAGGACATGGGTGGTAAAGCGGAGACAATAAACATTTCCGATAAAAGCGTCGTTAGTGAGAGGATGATTTTTATCAAATGCTGCACATTGTCTCATAAGACGGCATGTGAAAAAGATCTGGGGGAAGAGGTAAACATTTACTCCTGCAGCAGACCGAGCCCCTTTAAGAATGGCCAGCTTAAAACAGCTTATAACAGTCTTCATACTTTAATAGATTTGATTTTCCACATGGCTTCATTTTGTCTGGGTGGCTAACCGACACAATTTATACCTCTCTTCCTTTCCCAGGTCACTACAGTACACCATTCAGTAAAGCATGCCTTAAAGCTTGTCTGCATTATATGACCAAACTTCCATTCATTAGTGTTTGAAACACTTCAGCTGTGAAGGGGCTCCTAAATGCTACCATGTGTGATGCTTTTGCGTAAAAGCAGCAAATGGGAGAAAAAAACCCCACAAGAATGGGCACTCACACATTCACATGAATGCACACACACACACATACACACACACACACACACACTCTATCCTGGGCTTTAATCACAGGCCACTGCATACTTCAAACCCTTTGCAAAAGGTTTCAAATATTCTCTTTCCCCCCGAAGACTGAGCGAGCTGTAAATCCTGGGAATAAACACACATACAAATGAATGGATTACAGCTTGAAAAATATAACCACGGCAGCATCAAGTCATGAGATTTCACACCGGTTTTGTTTAGTCTGCTTTGGGTTTTGTGGGAAAAGTGGAACGTATGAGGCTACCTCCCCTTTAACTCCCAACCCCCAAACTGTGGGCTTCACATATTTAAGCAGCAGGTTTATACCTCTTGACTAGGCAACAGGCCATGACCCTGAGATTCTCTGTGGAGCCCTGGCCACAAAGGAGGATGTAGCATGATCAAAGCCATGGGCAGACGAAAGAGAGACGAGCCAAAGATCAGCTGCCCTGTGACCCTGTCCTTTCACTTAATATTTAAATTCCAGAAAGTCACTAAGCTGTTAGGCAGATACACACCTCGTTTGTCCCCAGATGATTCACTTCTCATTCTGACATGAGGTGTGGACTTAGGTGACTACTCTGAAACAGACCACGGCATAAAAGCCAGCAAGTATATTTTATTCCTTCTTACGGTTAAAAAATTGATAGAACTCAGTCAAGCTGGCAAACCTCCTGGATTGTGCTGTAATTATTCAATTTCTAACTGTTTGATTTTTCTATACTATCCGGAAACCAAGGTACTTTCAAATCCGGAAGGAAACAGAATTTTCAGGCCATGAACTTAACAAAGACCTTGTACTAGATGGAATGTGATCAGCTTTTCAAAACATTCCCAGAAACTTTGCTTGATGTGAGCTGCTGAAACTCCTGAATTCCAACCCTTTAGACACAATTCAGATGAAAATGGTGGTAGGTCATATTGTTTCCTTAACTGTCCTTAAGACAATGTGGATAAGACAATGTGGATAGTTGTTTTATTAATGTATCTTTCTGCTGACCTTAGAATTCTACTAGTAACTATCAGTTAGTACTGGGAACATGACTAGGATGTCAGAGGGTGGAAGTCTCACTTCATTAAAGGTTTGGAGGCAATGTGGCTCTCACATGCTCAGAATGATGGTTTTCTCAAATGTCTAGTTAGTGGAGAGCTCTCTCTTCTTGGCATAGCCCTGGCTGGCCACCCTTCAAAGGAAGGAATGGTTCCCAAAGGGTTGATGTGGTGGGGCAGGTGGCTTTTCCCACCTCTGCAAACCTCAGCTCTCACCTTCCCAGTGACTTGGTCTTTGGTTACATGTGCGGATTCTGTACGACAAGTGTGCATTCAATGAAGAGAAGAAAAATCCTCCCTGTCAGGAATGAGGTTGGAAAACCCATTCTCAGCTCTCCTAAGTGTCATGGTTCGGCCAGACTTAACACAGGGTGCTTCTGTGGTGCAAAGAGGGAACAGAAACAGGTGACATGGAGAATAAGCAGCTGGCTCCGACATCCCCAAAGAGTCCTGTTTCTGTAACTGAGGAGTTGGTAGGGACCCCTGAGCTTCGATCATCTTTAATAACTTAAAAGACATGGATGGGGCCAGGTATGGTGGCTTACGCCTGTAATCCCAGCACTTTGGGAGGCCTAGGCAGGCGGATCACGAGGTCAGGAGATCGAGACCATCCTGGCTAACACGGTGAAACCCCATCTCTACTAAAAATACAAAAAATTAGCCAGGCGTGGTGGCGGGCACCTGAAGTCCCAGCTACTTGGGAGGCTGCGGCAGGAGAATGCTGTGAACCCAGGAAGCAGAGCTTGCAGTGAGCCGAGATGGTGCCACTGCACTCCAGCCTGGGCGACAGAGCAAGACTCCGTCTCAAATAAAAAGAAAAAAAAAGAAAAAAAGACATGGCCGTGTGTTATAGACAATAGCTTTTACCTTGACATGTTTTTAAAAAATTGCTTCTCATTTGTCACCTAATGGTCAAAGGACCTTTGAGCTTGTGTAGCTCCCAAGAGGAGCCTTGAAGTAATAAGGAGATGAAAACTGTAGCCAAGAGTTGCACACATCTCATTAGGGTCTAGTGGCAGGGTGGGAAGGCTAAACAGCCACTCTTTGGTCAAGAAGGCTTACCTGTTGGAATGGGGCTTCAGGAATGTTCAGATGAAAGGACTTTTCAAAGTGCAAGTGCACGGTGACATTTTTATGAGCACCAGCCACTAAGGCCTCTAAACACCGAAAAGCTCCCAGCCATCATGCAGCTACTTTACAAAGACAAGTGAGGTACCGGGCCGAAACATGTGAGGTTTCTTGGCAGAAAACTGATGAGTGGGGAACAGGGGTGGGCAGAGTTGGAAAACTATATTTTTATTATAACTACTGGAAAAGTGCACTTACTTTGCCTTAGTTTTTCTTTTGTTCATGAAAAAAGGAATTTGATAAATGTAACTCATTGTTTTAGCTAAGTTTGGAAAAAAACTCCACTAAAACCCAGAAATATAGTTTGCACATATCACTGTTCTTTTAATTTGGTTCAACATGATGCATGTGGTATATATACCTTTGGGTACACTTCTTCTAATAGATTAAAAAGGAGGAGGAAGACAGCCCAATATCCAAACTTAACTCCTAAGGCTGATGGAATTTTAAAATGTCTTGAGTTTAATCAGACTTACTATACAGGCATGGATGAGGGTGTGTGCTGGAAGAAAGTTCAATATTTAATGCTAAGAGCTGAAGCTCTGGGTTTAATTTCCAGATGCAGACTAAACAGCAGGTCTGCAGTAGAAGAGGCCAGTGAATTCTAAATGGAACCAAGAAATACAAACACAGGGGTGGTGTCACCACGATGCCCTCCTTTGTGTGTGGTACGGAGTGCAAAAATCACAGTCCATGTCAGCTTTAATAAGTCCTTATCTTTTTTTTTTTTTCTTAACTGCAAAGAATTCTGCAACTCTTCTATTACATGATGTTGCAGGCCAGAAATACATACGTAATTTAAGCTATCTTGCCAATAAACCTACAAATACTTGGTAATCTAGAAAGGGTAGTTATGGCTAAATGGCATTCTTTTTTGTCATCTGTGTATGTTCAACTTCTCAGGAACTCAGAATGACACATTTAGGAGTTTTCCACGTTCATGAGTATCTTGAGTCAGTCCTGTCACAACAGAAATAAAGGGCTCTCTTCAGCAGCAATGACCAGGAACCAGTTTTTCAAGTTCCATCTGTAGCTAAGTGACCGGCAAGACCACAAGGCTGAGTTTTTCTATTTCTCTGTCAGATATTTTCATTTAAAATTTATCGGGACTGTTTAACTTAATGGAAAGTGATTATTTCCTCCAACTAGGAAAACTCTACAGCAGATTTTTAAAAAACATGTTAAATGGAACATATATAAACAATATAACCTGGCAAGAGCAAGGGATTCTGGTGGAAATGCTAGGCGGGAATTATGTTTTTCAAAAGGAGACAATAAGTTGAGATATTGACAGCAATTGTACCTGATCTTGTCTTTATTTTTGCATTATGTATATAAAAACATAGAATTGTTAGGACTTCTTTGTGTGCGTTAGCATCAGCTTAATAAAGTTGGGTTGAAGGTCTTGCTAGGGCATGTTTAATGTAAAGAAGGTTGATCTTGGACCTCACTAATCATAGATGCCAACCACGGCACTAGCAGGTCTCAGTCCCACCGTGTCAGCCCAGTAATGACTATACATGTCTATCTACACTGCAGAGTTGTGTAAGAAATGTGACCACCACTTGGGGAAACCCTGAAAAACGTAAAAATCCAGTAAGACTATAGTGTGAAGCTGTGATTATTAATGTCAGTTACTCATTCTGTGATTATTTCTTTACCTATGATTCAAGGATAGGTTCTTAAGAAAGAAAAAAACTATTAAAGAAGGTCCCCAGAGGAAAGTAAAATAAAAAATCTTAGATTCCTAAAATGCTCTCCTGCTTTTCTTGTCTGTAGCCTCAACAGAGTTCCATCACTGAAAATACTGCAACAGAAGTAATGCTGGTCTCTGGGATACAATGAATTTCTCCTTTCTGGGATAAAGGGCCATTTTTTTAAAATCTGGAAATGGTAGGCACATTTTTCAAATAGGGAAATCATTTTAGGTATAAACTAATTGCAAGTTTCAGGAGTGATGATTTCTGAGGACTACCGGTTTGATCAGTTTTCCATGCCAGGTTCAATTCTTACTGCAGGAACACTGCATTTAAAAAAATAGCTAAAGAAAGCAAAAGGATTTTTGCATAAACAAAGTATTCAAAAGAAGGTAATTTTTTTTTTTTTTAAATAGAGATGGGGTCTCACTATGTTGCTCAGGCTGGTCTCAAACTCCTGGGCTCAAGGAATACTTCTGCCTGGGCCTCCCAAAGTGCTGGGATAACAGGCATGAGCCACCGTGCCCGGCCCAGAAGAAGAAAATTTATTTCAATGTTTCCACAGCTGTTGTGGAATGTTCTTATTTTTATGCAAAGTAGCTTTAAATTATGATTAAAGACTGCTTAAGGGTTATATTCCAGATGTGCTTATTAATGGCATAGACTAGGAAAAACCTTTTCCCTTTGTTTTGTAGATGTGTAAAATTTTGCATAGGTGTTGTATTTGCGGCCAGGGAACAGAATATTTGTGGATTTTAATCATTATTGCACCAAACATTTTTCATTATCCTGAGTTATGACTTTTGAGTAAGATTATAAAAATATCAATAACAGTAAGTTAACAATTTCTCTGTAGACATCTGAGTGTCCAGCAAACATTTCCTGAATGTAAGTGTCTGAGGCAATGCAACATATTTCTATGCAACCATTAAGGATTTTCTTAGAAAGACCAGGTTTTAAAGCCAGTTGCTATTTGTTCCACATTAATTTGGGTCAGCAAGTTTGGAGAGTAAGAAGAAAGATTATATATTGAGTAAACAATTGGTTTTTATCCAGTACACATCAAAATGTAGAGGAAAATTCTGCAATATGAAGAGGAAATGCAGGCAGCCACTGCCATTTTGTTTTGAGCCTAATCCACAGACTTCCCCACACAGAAACAGTCATACTTAAAAAAAAAACTCTCACAGCAAATTTGTCAAGTCCAGAAACACTAAATTTTGCTTTTTGGAGTTTTATAAGTTGCCCTAAATTGATTGATGTTCTTTCACTTCTGTTAGAAGTTGTCATCTCTATAAAACATTTCCTGCCAAGAACCGCTGACTTCATCCTGCCAATATTCCTGTATTACAACTGTTAGCTAAGCTAATTACTTCATCTGTTTACAGTTAATAATCATTTTGATACGCTTCCTCTGCCCTCCAATTTCCCTGTGCTTCTATGTCCTTGAGCTACTTTATTAAGGGTTAAACCTTGGTTTCTACTTTGCTCTCTCCTTTTCCCTTGACCTTGGTGATGTCAGAGGTCAGAGGTTAAGTCAAAAAGTATTTCCTATACAACAAAACCGTGCAACTTAGGGCAACCTTTGATATGATTCTTCATGTTTTGCCAGTTGGTACTAAACATTTACTGGCCCACAAGATGTTTTACTAGCTTGAAAGTGCATAAGCAAGAAAATAAATACATCGGTAATCTTTGTGACTTAGGCAGTATAAATCATTATGCTCCTTGAGTGAGTAGACGAGTGAGTATTTGTAAGTCTGATTTATTATGAACTATTTACTGCACTGGCCAAGGTACCATGTAAAAGACGAGTGTTAGAGTGAGAATGCTTTCCCCTTTCCTCCTTCCCTCTTTGTATGTCTAGACTAAAAGCCCCCAGTAAAAATGCCTTCTTTGAGAACGAGATGCTGACTGCAATTCATCAACTTGCTTGTCCCAAAATGAAATCTCTCATTTTGCTCCAAACAATGTTTAGGTTGTCTGAAATATAAACATCCTTAAAACTGCCCTTGAAGTCTCTGTAAAAACATTCAACATTTTATTTTGAGGGGGAAGAAATCCCGTGATAATCAAGGCTTACTGAGATTTCTTTGCCCGGGTGCACACCACCCACAGAAGATGTTACTTGCAAGTAAAAACTCTTTTTTTGAAACAGAAAGCTTTGTTTCCAGTCTTTTAGAAACTGAAAACTTTGCAATTCTCTCATTGGGAAATTGAAAAGGAGCAGGTTTATACCTGTCCTAATTGCCAGAGGCATCGTTTGCCAGGGCTGTACAACAATGGGGAAAGTGGATTGAAAGGGTGGAGAGCTGTTAGGATTTTAAAAACCTGTTTTCCCTTTGGGTAGAAGAAAGGTGAGAGAAAAATGTCTGAATTACATTTAGGGAGTCCCTTCAAGTCTCAGATTAAAGCCTTAAAAGGGAAATAGCAATAAACGATCAAATACCTGATAAACTAGCGAAACTTTTTTAGACATCTCAGTTGGAGAGACACTTATTTTTATCAAAGTAAAAACTTGAGTAACAAAGCACCCTCTAATAATAATAATAATCTGGTACTTTTATGGTGTTTCTTTTTTTAAAAAAAGAAAAAGAAAAACCTACCACCATTTCCTACTGAAGAATGTAATTCATATGACTGAGAATTCAACTGCTCAAATTGCTAAAAAACGAGCTGCTTTCTATTTCTTTCTTTCTTTCTTTTGAGATGGAGTCTCGCTGTCACCCAGGCTGGGGTGCAGTGGCACAATCTCTGCTCACGGCAACCCTCCCCCGCCAACCAGGTTCAAGTGATTCTCCTGCCTCAGCCTCCCGAGTAGCTGGGATTATAGATGGCCGCCGCCACGCCCGGCTAATTTTTGTGTATTTAGTAGAGATGGGGCTTCACCATGTTGGCCAGGCTGGTCTCGAACTCCTGACCTCCCAAAGTGTTGGGATTACAGGTGTGAGCCACTGCACCCAGCCTCATTTCTATTTATTTGTAATTAGCTGATTTCAATTTATTGTTTATCACTTGAAGTGGAAATATAGTAGAGTTATTTTGTAAGCTGTTTTCATTGGTTTTGGAATTTTAGAAAAAAGTTAACGTACATATTACAGATTTTCCCCTTTAGATTTTTAAGAGACTATTAACTCTCCCATTAGGATTATGGGACACACTTGATGTTTGCAGCTGATGACACCTGGTGGATTTCGCAAACACAAACCCCTGCAACAGGGTGGTCCTTCACTTTTCATTTCTCTCTAGATGCATGTACTTGTATACACAAACACAAGTGCGTATGCAGGTGCTGAGATTTATCATAATTCTGAATTTGTCTCCTCAGAATAAACTCTGCTGCTTTGTACCCCAGGTTCAACAAGGGCCATTCTTGAAGTTCTGAGGAGACTTCAGCATTGGGCAGTATGAGGATACTTCACCACAGAGCCTTTGTAATTCTGTATACGTGTGACATAAATGCTAGGAAGATGATTCTGAATGCTTTAGCCCTAACAGTAGGATGGAGCAATTACTAGAAAATTTCCTCCAGCTAAAAAATTCCTGCCTTAAAAAACATTCAATGAAAACACTTGACGTCAAAGAGGAAGTACTTTGGAATAAATCAGGATTCTAGAATTTTTGAGACTATAAATCTCTGGAAATGAAAAACTTAACAGTCAAAAATAAGTCAGAATGTAATAATGCTACCTGGAATTTATATAATTATGCATCTCTTGTAATGTTCTTGGGAGTAAGGGAAAAGGCATTATTATTATCCCATTTCCTAGATGGATAAATAGAGCAAAGAGAAATTAATTAGCCCAGTGATGGGGCCAGAAAGAAAAACGTAGGTCTGTTTACACACTGCTGAGCCCTTTTCTTTAGATGTAAAATATTTAGTTGTGCTAAAATTTTTACCACCTCAAAAGCGATTCTGAATGTAACCCCTCAAAGTGCTGTTGAAGGAAGGATATGAGGCTGAGTTAATCCAGATTGCCTCATGGGAAAGCCATCTGGGAGGGTATTTTGAAAGAAACAGATGGAAAAGGAAGAGATTCTTTTGAATGTAGTGTAAAATTTACATTATCCTCCACGAACTTTCACGTAGTTTTCATGTTTATATAATTCATCACTGTGTCATTACACAATATAAATTAGGTAGCCCAATGAGCTCATGTTCTTTTTTATAATTCTGAGTCTGAACTCTCCTATAAAGGGCAAATCTGGAACAGGGTCTGTAAGATAGCCAGATTGATCCTTGAAGATCAACTCAATCCACTTGTGGCTTCTTTGAGATTCTGAATTCTCTTGGGAAAAACAACTGTGATTTCACTTATATTATTTCTTGATGTATTAATGTCCAACTTGCAATCAGTTCTAGCCATATTAATAATCTCCACCTATGATGTATTTGTTCTTGCCTCTCTACCTTTCTATATGCCATTCATCTCATCTGTAATTTCTTTCCCTTAATTTATGTTTCAGTTTTCCCTTCTGCAACTCAACAACAACAAAATCAAACAAAACAAGAAAATTCCAGTCTTATCATCCCCTTGATAACCTGAGGCATTCCACTCATTCATCTGTATCCCCCGTGTGTCCCATACACATTGACATTCTGTGGTCATTTGCTCAACAAATGTTCAGACATCTTCTCATGTGTTTTCATGGAGTGTCTTCATCTCTAGTTGCATATTAAACTCACTTAGGGAGTTCATAAAAAATATGATGGATCTCCAGACCAAATAAACAGAATCGCTGAAGGGTGGGGCCATGCTGGGGAGGTAAATGTTTAACTACTTGCTCCTCAGGAAAAAAAAAAGTCCTGATTTGTAGTATTTGTCACTTTCCATGGTGTAAATACTCCCACCATAGTGGATTTCAAGCTACCTACTTGACATCACTGAACACAGAATTCAGAAGAGATGTTCACTATTTGCTCACAAGGGCTGGTTCCAGCATACCACTGGATAGGACACAGGCATATACATATAAATACATTTCTCAGATGCAGTGACTGTTTTTCTTTGTTTGACTCATCTTCCCTATGACACTAAGCACAAGGGCTGAATCAATATTAACAAACCACATAAAGTGATTAATCTATAGTTCACAGCCTGTGATGCAAATGTGAACTCTGCCTCATCCTTTGACTCAAATGCACAGAATTATCAATTTACTTTCTCTTGATTTTTGTACAGTTAAAGGATGAGAGGCTAAATATATTTGGGTTCTCCTAATGAAAATGTCAAGTTTTTGTTTATATGTATATATTTTTAAATATTGCTTAAAGACGCACAAACACTGGGTTTTTTTTAGCACCCCTCTCCCACTCTTAGCTTTTAGGTATGGGAGCAGCAATGAAAATGATTTTTTTCATGGTAACTCTGTTTTTATTCCACTTAAAGCTCATATGTAATTGTTTGAAGACACTTTCCTTGGATCCTTTCATGTGTTTGGAAGTTTCAATTCTCTTCTAAGTGGCATTTTTAGAGAACAGTAGATATATAAGATTGCCCGGGTGGTCCTTCCCAGGCAAGGCAACATTGACCTAAGAAAACAGGATGCAAGGTAGATTTGTAAAGACTTCTAGGGAAAAAAATTTCATGGATACTTAAAATTACATGAAAGAGTTCTACTTAATTTGATAGCTCATGACACTGCTTACTACTTATTTTAGCAGGTTCAGCATGATACCACCTGGATCTCCAATGACTATTTACATACAGAAGGGAAGAGAACAGCAGGACGTTCTTATACTTTAATACTGGCTCACATTATTAGCAATCCTGGTTAATTTATACTTCAGTTTTGTTTTCTTCAAGATATGCTTCCTCAATAAATATGTTTTTTTAATGTTTCTATGTACAGATTATAGTGAGGACAAGGTGCTCCAGGAATATGGGGCAAGAGACGTAGAGCTATTTTCCAATTTGATGTTGCCAAAAACTTCAGAGACTGTGATTCAGTTATTTAAATAAGATCTAAGAATGCATCAGTCTGCACGTTAGTATAACTTAATTTCCAAGTATTCTAGCATTCTTTGGAGTGTTTTGGGATCATCAAATATTATGAAATTGTTCAATGAAGAAATATGTTTCCAGTCATGAATCATTAAATATAAGTCTGGTGTCAACAGAATATAGACAGTCAGTTGGAAGGACAAAATTTGATGTTTAAGAATTGGTAAAATATAGGATAAGATTAAATATTTGTTTTACATATGAGGCAATGTAATAAAATAGTTTTATTTTTAAAAGAATTTATATTTGCTTTGTACACTTAAGACCTTACATTTTGGGAGGTTTTCATGGTACGATTGCAGACTATATATTCCTAACTTTGAAGGCTACAACACATTTTCAGGAATACTGCAGGACGATAACCAAAAGTAAGAAAATGCGAAATAAGGTTTAGTTTGGGGACATTTTTCAGTACATATTTCACTTTTTATATTAATTGGGAGAAAAAAATTAATGACTATGTCTTACCTGAGCAGGCTTCTTCTGAACAACTTGTTGTGGCTAAGGAGGAAAAGAAAAAGATATATTTTAAAAGAAAATATACATTATAGAAAAAATTAGGTGTACATATTTTAAATACAGATACTTGTCTGCAAAGGAAAGAGGAAAGTATAAAGTTCAACTGGTATATCCAATGTTAAAAGTGTTTATACTTGGCCAGGCATGGTGGCTCACGCTTATAATCCCAGCGCTTTGGGAGGCAGAGGCGGACGGATGGCTTGAGCCCAGGAGTTGTAGACCAGGCTGGGCAACATGGTGAAACCCTCTCTCTACAAACATACAAAAATTAACAGGGTGTGGTGGCGTTGCAACTGTAGTCCCAGCTACTCAGAGGCCTAAATGGAAGGATCACCTGGGCCAAGAAAGGTCAAGGCTGCAGTGAGCCGTGATCATGCCACTGCACTCCAGCCTGGGTGACAGAGCAACACCCTATCTCAAAAAAAACAAAAATGTCTATTCATGATCTCTCTATATTAAGGAAATACAACATAGGTTATCTCAGTGAAAACAATTCCAATTCCCAATTAAATTCTGGCATACAAGCCAACTAGCTTGAAAGAAACTTAACTGTTTGATTCACTTTGTTTTTAGCCTATATATCACAAAACTGAGGAGTGAAGGTACCTAATTTGTTAATATTTTATTTTTTTAAAACACCTTCACTGAGACATAATTTACATACCACATAATTCACTCATTTAAAGTATATTTTAGTATATTCAGAGGGTTGTGCAACCATCACCACAGTCTAATTTAGAACACTTTCATCTCCTCTAAAAGAAATCTTGTACCCATTAGTGGTTACTCCCCACTACCCTCCACGTCCCTAGCCACCTCCCATGCCTAAGTGACCATGAATCTACTTTCTGTCTCTATGAATTTACCTATCCTGACATTTCATGTAAGTGGAATCATACTATATATGTAGAGTCTTTTGTGTGTGGCTTCTTTCACTGGCCTAGGGTTTTCTAGGGTCATCCATGTGGTAGCATCAGCAGTTCATTCCTTTTCATGCTAAATAATTTTCCCTTGTATGGGTATACCACATTTTACCTATCCATTCATTAGTTGGTGGACATCTGGGGTGTTTCCACCCTTTGGCTATTATGAATAATGCTACTATGAACATTTATATACACGTTTTCGTGCGAACATGTTTTCATTCTTGGGTATGTACCTGGGAGTGGAATCGCTGGTTCATATTGTAATTCTTTGTTTCACTTTTTGAGGAGCTGCCAGACAGCTTTCTAAAGCAGCTGTACCATTTTGCAGTCCGTCCCACCAGCAATGAATCTGGAGTTCCAATTGCTCCGTATACATGCCAATGCTTGTTATTGCCTGTCTTTTTGCTTGTAGACATCCAAGTGGATGTGAAGTTAAACATCATTGCTGTTTCAATTTGAACTTCTCTCACAACTAATGATGTTGAGCATCTTTTCATGTGCTTATTGGCCATTTATATGTCTCCTGGGAAGAAATGTTTATTTAAATCCTTTGCCCATTTAAAAAAAATTTGCTATCTCTTCATAACAAAGTTGTAAGAGTTCTTTTAATGTTTTGCATTCAAGTCCCTTATGATTTGCAAATAATTCTGTGAGTTTGTTCAGTTTCTTCGTGGTATCATGGGAAGAATATTGTGTTATATTGTGTTATATCTGTATCTATTGTATGTGTAGAGCAAAACTCTCCTCTTTTGAGTGAAACATCCGAGGGAATGTTTTTCTGCCTGCCTAACTTTCCAATCGAGTATTAGAGAATACTTCTTATTTCTTTGGCATTATAAAAGATGGATTTGAAGCCTGAGCTTTTCGATGGATTATTTGCTTCCAGTCCTCACTCTCATGTCTGAATATAGGCATGTATTATTCTATCTACACATCGCTGAGATTTGTGAGTACACCTGAGGTACTCTGATGTGGATAGCGACATGCTTTCTTGCACCAGTTCTCCCAAATAACAGCACTTAGGATACGTTCACTATTCACTAGCCCCTGTTCATTCATTCTGAGAGCCCCTTCCTCTCAGAGTTCCTCTCAGTGGTACAGTGGTTTATTGCTGGTACATTAAAAATTCCATATAAAAATCATTAGAGCTTTTTTTTTTTAGATGGACAGAATAAAAATAAAATAAATGGCAAGGTACTTTTGCTCAAAGGAAAAGACGTTCTTCCATTTGACTTTAAATCACAGTAAAGATGACGTCATCACAAAAGCCCAAGTTTTGAGATGATGTTTTCTCCAGGGAAAATCGAACCAAGAACGATGAGGACTTCTTGCCTCTTAGGACACAAAAGCGTGGGCTAATAGAGGATTCATTTCCAAAGGGTCATTTGGAAGAAGAGAGCACTCATCTTCCTCCCATTTTTCCCTGTTGATTACACCTGTACACATGTTTACTCCCAAACCGTTTCAAATCCACATACATTCTTGCAGGCTGACTGGTTCCTACTGCTCAGAAATCCCCCTCCTTTTTTGGCAGAGGCTCCCGCATTCATGTGACTCCTGCACACTGCAGCTCAATGAAATCCTCTGAAAGAGCTGCCAGCTCACCCAATTTTCCATGAATTAGGTCCTGACACTTCAATGAGGGGAAAGACAATGTCTGAATCTCTGCCAGCCCTGGCTCCCGGCCTAGTCCGTGTCACGGAACTTCTACCAGCTACCCTCAGACACAGCACTTCATACTTTTCAGACCACCAAACAAACAGACCCTTGAATACTTTCAATGTTGGTTGGGGTTATGGCTGCCAGGATGTTTTCCCAGCCTCTGGCACCCAATGGCTCCAGACTGTGCCGAGAAAGTTTTTGTTGTTGTTATTTTGTTTTGTTTTTATTTTTATGAATGGCTTTGGTAGAAAACGCAGACTGAAGCATAATACTACCACCATTCATAAAAAGGGAAAGGAAACAAACTGCTGTCTGGAAAGCTTTTTGGACGCCAAACAAACTGTAAGTCTCTTATCTTCCTTGGGGCATCTCTCGGCTCAGAACTAAGTGTTGATTCTTAGAAACCAGTTGCTCCTCGGGGTTCTTGGCATTAAAAACACGACTGGCCACTAGAGTTTTATAAGACCTGAATAACATCAATGATACATATTAGTCTTCTGTGTTGTTAACAGTAAATTTTCATGCACCTTAATAAATGAGTAATATTTTGCACATGCATTTCCTATATGAAAGCTAGAATCCTTTATATTTTTAACATCTGCCCCTTTGTTACTGGGAGGGTCCAGGCCTTACTGTTTTCATTTTCTCACAGGGAAACCAAGGCATAGGGAATTTAAATAATCGTCTGAGATCTTTTTCTAAAACCAAAACAACCCGAGTCTACTGATTCTCTTAATCCCTGATATAATGCTCTGAAGAAACCCAGTCTGTTCCTTGAAAAAAAGAAAAAAGAAAAAAGTCAAATCGAGATCCAATCCAGGAGAAGCTGTACTTCCCGGCTTTGATTTTCATCTCCAGATTGTTCAGCAGGGCCTAGTTCTGATTCCTCCAGGTTGCTGATGAAAAGTGAATCGCAGGGGACAAGAGTCAGACCTGCAAAGTCCAGCTGCCTCACCTCACTTGGAGATTCTTCCTTCATTATCAGTTGTGGAGGGGCTGAGTCCCTCTTAAAGGTGTGTACATCATAATGACTGTTCAGTGAACAGATAGCAAAGCCTTTCAAGTTGTTTAGACAAATCTGATGATCCAATTCTAAGTGTGCACATAGGGAGTTTATACAGTTTAGGCACTTGGTCAACTTGGCATGCAAACCCTTCAATGCACTGAGATTTTGAGTTCATTATGTTGAGACTATTGCACCTTTCAAAAAGCTTGTAATGAAAATCCTCATTCCATGGTTGCATTGAAACTTCTAAAATACAATGGGGTGAAAGAGAGCTTCCTCCCAGAACAAAACATCAATAGCAGCATTGACAAAATCACCAAAGGACTTTGAAGAAATTTTTTGGATTAACAGATGTTAAAACGAAACTGTGGCCGGGTGTGGTGGCTCATGCCGGTAATCTCAGCACTTTGAGAGGATTGTTTGAGCTCACGAGTTCGAGACCAGCTTGGGCAACCTAGCAAGACTTCATCTCTATTAAAAATAATTAGCCAGGTATAGTGGCGCATGCCTGTACTCCCAGCTACTCGGGAGACTGAGGTGGGAGGATTGCTTGAGCCTAGGAGGTTATGGCTGCAGTAAGCTATGATCACACCATTGCACTCCCGCCTGGGTGACGGAGCAAGACTCTGCCTCAAAAAAAAAAAAAAGTGGTGAGAATTCAAAGACCCCATGAGTTGAACATACCACGTGAAGCTTAAAAGGGCTCTTTCTAACCACATGGATTTCAGTGAGTAGTTCTCTGCAGTCTAGCCCTTAGAATGGACTAGCTCAGCCACAATTGAAAGTATAATGCTTAAGCAAATAAATATCATTGTTAAAGTATATACAAATAGCTTAGGGTACAACATGCTAAGAAACTGTAGAAGATAAGCAAAAGGAAAGGACATATTTTTGGATTTCTGAGGTCATACAGCAAATGAACATTTCTCCAAATGGAAGAAAAAAAGTTACTGAATTTTTAAAATCCACAGAGTATTTGGATTTTTAAGATTTTGTAGAGAGACACTTGTGTAGGAAATGGTCTGCCATTCCACCTATTTCAGAATAATTAAGAAGTTCCTCAGCCCTCCTAAGAATACAATCTATGGTTCCAGGAAGTCTAGGTATTTTAAAGCTGATACTCAGACAGCTAAGCCACTCCTTCTGGTAGGTATTGAAAGAAAATCCTTGCTAACAAAGGACCCAGACATTAGTAGTTCATTTTAGTACTAATCTAAACATTAAATAAAAAGAGGCTTGAATTGAGCTTACAAACTTAATTTTTAAAAAAAAATTAGGCACAATGTATGGTAAAGCAAACATGATTATTATGTAAAGGGTCTCAAGTTGACCTTAGAAAGAAAGAAGCCCTTCACATGGCTGTCTGTGCAGATGAGTCTCTGGGTTTAATGTAAGCAGCAGAATTTTAATATAATTAGATCCTTTGCTTCTTGCCAGGCAGTAGTAGGTGATTTTGCCCACTTTGTTTTAAAATCATATGATTTTGTTTTAAAATCATATGACCATTGTTCAACCAATAGGTACTTCTGTGCCATAGCATAATCTTTTTTCATGTAGATTGTTTTCCATTCTCATAGCAATATAGTATAAGACAGATCTTCTAGCTATTTACTAATAAAGAATGTAAAAACCCTAATTTCTATAAAAATTCCTCAATGAGAGTTACATTTTGGGGGCCTTTCACACCTCACAAAATAGCATCTCACAGGATCATCTGTTATTTAAAATTTTAAGTTAAATATGGTGTCATATTAAAAATGTTTACGCAAAAGATATTTGTTTTTCAACTTCCAAAAGAGTCCTTTAGATGTAAGCCAGCTCATTGAACTAGTGAGGTTTATGATCATGTTTGTATCCACACAAGTGTAGCCAGTTTTATCTGCCTGAACTGACAGATGAATATATCCCTACCATATAGACAACATTTCAATAAATACATAGACCTATTACTTAATCACTTCACTGATTTCTAGACAAAATTGACCGGTTATTTATAGAAAAAATGTTCCAAAATATTGAATAAGTAGACACAGCTCAAATTCTAGACAAGTAATCATCCAATCTCTCTGCAAACACTCCAAATGGCCATGAACCATCAAGGCCAGCAGCAGCCTCGACTTGTGTGGTTGGGCACATTGATGGGAGTGGCTTTTGACTTGTGGTGTGAACAATATCCTTCTTCACCCTTTGTCCAAAGTTATTTAAAGGTTCAAAACACAACCTTTCTCTCTGTATAGAACATTCACCGAGATCCACTTTCATTTATGTGCTGTGAAATATGCTCTTATCCTCAGAAATTTCACAGTGCTGTCCTGAATATATTTTCTTTGAATTTGACATTTACCTGGCTGAAGGAGGATGACCATTATCAAGAATTTGCCTTTCACGAAATTATGTGATCGACATACTTGTTCATGGCCCTCCGGATTTAGTTTTAAAACTTCAATATTCCAGAATGTCAAGATTTGTGTTTGGGTCACTTTTCAAAAAATGAACTTCAGGCTTTGGAGGCTTTGAATCATTTTTTTTTTTTTTAAAGCATAAGAACCTCCCCCACACCTTTTATGTTAGATCTTATGTGGAACCCTACAACAGAAAGCAGACAAAATGGTATTTCTGAGACTCATTCACGTGGCCTCCACTCCAATCCATCTCTGCCCTCCCAGGATGCCCCTGAGGCCCCTCAACGAAAAACTGGAGCTCCAGGGGAGGTTAAGTAAAAAAAAAAAAATCTTAGGGCTAAGCATGTTGGCACATGCTTTTAGTCCCAGCTACTTGGGAGACTGAGGCAAGAGGACTCGAGTCCAGAAGTTCGAGGCTGCAGTGTGCTATGATCGCACCTGTGAGTAGTCACTGCATTCCAATATGGGCAACATAGCAAGACTCTGACTCTTAAAAAACAAAAATCTCTGATTTCTAGATGCAAACCCTCCTGCAGACCTGTATCACCAGGATAGGTGGAGGCAGAGCGTCTTCATAGCATTCACCCCGTGTGACTCATACTATCAGGTTGAGCTAGCTGAACTGGCATTTTTGTAGGTCAGAACCAATCAATTATCAGCAATTTCATATGGTTTAATCCCATACAATCAAGATAAGGTCTTTCTAATTCAGTAAGGTAATTTTTGTGACTTGTCATTAGGCTGTATTAGGCAACAGATTTTTGTACCTTCTGCGTAGCTTTTTGTACCTTCTGAGATCCTGTACTCAATTTTTCTGCTCACTCCTCTCCAGCCTGGATCCTTCCCCTTACACTTATTTTACCAAAGACTGCCAGATTGTGGTGAAAAGAGGGATTGGCCTATACCAGGTGTGGTGTTCCAGTTTCTTGCTTATGCTGTGGTTGTTCTTCCAGAGCACCAGGACTGTCTTTGTGGCCATCTGGCTAGATTCTCATACCCACTCCAAATCCACCTGAACTCTACCTCTTCATTGAAACTGGATGACTGAAATAATTTGTACATAACACATCTCTGTGGCTATCCAAGGAAGGTCTAGAATGAAAACTGTCACTTTGAATTAAATTTAAAATTAATGGTCAACTCAGGTATTGATCAGATATAGGGGAGTTCAGTTTGAGGTATTCTACAATAGTAAGTGATCAAAAAGTTTTAATGTACCTAAGGAATGTATTTTGATAATTAGATAGGAATATGATATATCTGAAGTTTGAAGGATTTATTTCAGATCAAATGTTGATGCAACATTGTGAGGATGAGACTCAGCTACAGCTAGCTATACAAATCACACCTCTAGGTACCACTTTTCTGGGGTTGAAAGCTTTTCTGTTTTAGTGCTTCCTAAGTTGGGAATGAACCTGCCCCCTAGTGATGGGAGGCTTTGGTAAAGAGGAGAAACCATCTACCAGGAGTAGCTAGTCAGGGTTTTCTCTGAACCTAGAAAAAGCCTAGGTTAGGTCTTAACTTCCATTCATTGTGCCTCCTGTGTGCATTTAGAGATGACTGTGAAATGTGTGTACACATGTAGCTATGGGTGGTTACAATTCAACAGTAACATCTGGCCCTTATGGTGCAAAGGAGATTTTGTAGTTCTCTGTACAAAGTCTCCTAAGAAGCGATAAATCTATGGGGGAGTTTTGGCAAAATCTCTGGAATTTCTGCTTGGTATTGTGGAAGAGGGGAAGTGTTCTTTATTTTCTATTCTACTTGGCTTTGCGCTTAGACTTTAATGCAAAAGACAAAAGTAAGCATCATTTCAAAAGTATTTATTGGATTATTATAGCAAAGTGCCCTCACTGCTGCTGGCCTTGTTTCATCTGCTCAAGGATGAGAATAGCCACAAGCTGCTCTAGTTAGTGTTGATTAACATCAGACTGCGTATGTGTGGCAATGAGCCATAGCAGCTCTCATGAGAACAGACTGGGGGGCTGATACTTTGGAGTTTTTGCCTTCCCTCTGGTGCCTTTCAGACACCTTTGGAATGGAGTGAAAAGATCAATGGGAAGCCCTTTAAAAATCACAGTGTCATGATTAGTTTCAAAATGTATCCTTCTGGATTCTGACCTGATGAAGTGGTTCATTGGCTCATCGAATACTAATTGATATTTGAACTATATGACAGGCAGGAACTGGGTGTAGAAAACAAAGAAGAAATCTTTCAAGAAGCCTAGAGTCTAATGGGGGAGACAAATGAAAAACAGATATTAGAGTACAATGTACAATTTTAGATTAATATTTTTTTCCTACAATGTTTTCTTAAGTGCGGGGAGGCGTGCTCATCAAATATGGAAAAGATAAATGTATGAAAGAAGAGATGACTATTTTCTTTATAATAGGGAAAATGAAAAAGTAGAGATAAGGTCACTGAAAAAAAATTCCAGAAGAAATTTGAAGACGAAGTAGAAGAAAAGTATCACTTTTTCCCTATCACAAAGAAATACATTAAGAAAATTTCTTTGCCTTCACTTTGGAAAGTTAAAGATTACAGTTAAGCTTAACAAATTAGAAAGCAAAAGATGTGGTTTGGGGATAGTGTTGTCAAACCATGGTTAGTGTTAAGGGGATGCTCCGGTGTGCTCCCGAGTTATAGCAGTTTAATAGGCATTTTTGTTTTACAGGAGATGGTTGTGCTCTGAGGAACATAAAGCAGTCTGAAGTAAACAGTCGCACACAGGTGGGGTAAAGGAATACACAGTCTCAGAAGTTGACTTTTCATCTCATTTTTTATGATTCTCTAAGATTTTAGGGGAAAAATCCACCCTTAGTCAAAAAGTGGAGTGAAAATTGTGAGATTAATGTTACTTCATAGAAAATAATGAATGTTTCAGTCCTATTTCCTTATGCTACAAGTTTTCAAAAAAGGAACGCTATACATATATATGTATACACACACACACATATATACATATTTTTTAAGGCCCAAATTATTTATTCTATATGTATTTCTTTTTCTCTGTGTATGACCATTCACAAAGCTAGGTCACTTTGCATATGCACATGTGCTTAAGAGCCAGCACAGGAAAATGAATAAATATTTGAACTGCCATGCTGCTGGGTTTTCACAAATCAAACATGTATGCACAGATGCTATAGCCTAAGTTCAAACTTTAGCTAATGTTAACTCCAGCCAAATAAAGACTAATTAATGCTCAATATTAGATGAAAAGGAGGCATCTATGAAATAATGGAAATGAAATTAGATGCTATTGGAGATTACCAAGAATTAATATCCAAATTTGTTGTTAATACTCCAATCACGTTGGCAATATACTTGAAAGTCCCTTTAAGATATGCATCTTCTTGACATTTGGCCAATTATTCAGATAGAGATTATATGAAATCGGATCAGGACTTGAACTAGATACACACAATTTGACATGTAACATGTATATCTTTTCTTGTATGCTTGCCCATAAGCTTACAGAAAAATATGATTTTTAAAACAGTTCTTAGTACTTTCATTCTGACTAAAGAGATTTAGAATCAATACTCAGAAAATTTATTTGGTTCCAAGAACATTTGCCCAATCTTAGACTAAACATTTGGAAATGGTTTTACAAAATGATTTGACTATCAAGTATTTCCCAGCAGCTATAACAGTTACACATGGAAACTGAATTTAAAAAGCTGAATCATGATTTTAGGCATTTCTTTTCCTTAAGGAAAGAGTCAGTACATTTATTTGTAATCTCTTATGTTCTCAAGGACTACAAATGGATAGTTTATGGGTTGAGTGCTCTATGATACTTAACTGAGTCATATCTCTCCTAGAAGCCTAATTTAGCACTATTTTCTTGGCACTAGTTTAGGGCTGACTTTAGGAGTTGAGTTGTTTTTCTTGGAGGAAGCTTAATATTCACTCCGAGAAACATTAACTATTCCCGAACATTAGCTTATATCCTTAACGTTTTTAAACAGTTGTGAAGTGAGTTCTTTCTGCTACATGCCCACACTTCCACAGTGGCCCTGACACCCTGGCCTTTCCAGAGGATACCTTCTTCCTGGACCTTCCTTCACGGTCTTCTCTGGATTGATGACCTTTCCTCAGAAGCTGTAAATTAAAATGTCTCCATTCCCTTTTTTAGAAAATCAAATACTTCATTCGTCTTGTCTTCCGAATCTACTCCATCTCAAACCTAAGTGGAGCTTCAGGCAACTGTCTTGAACTACCTTACTCAGCTCAACTTCCCTAAAATGGATGATTCTGGGTTCAGCATTCCGTTAACTTAAAAACTGCTTATCTTTGTTTAGCATTGTATAGAATATTCCAGAAATGTCTCTCTGAACTCGGCTTCACGATCACATTCATGGAATCAAACATTCTTTCATTTCAAGATGAGATGACACGAGTTTTCATTTTGTTGATATCGATCATATGATGATAATGCATAATTTGTATGTGTCACATAACAGTGACACATAGTTTGTAACGTGATTTAAAAGTGCACTGACTGATTTTAACCCTTACAACAACCATGTACAGAAGTATAGCCATTCAGATTCATGCATGCAGAAGCTAAATCCAAAAGACAGTAATTGACTTGCAAAACATTGCAAGGCCAGCATATAATGAAACTATAACACCCACCCAGGTTGTATAGCTCCACATCTTTTTCCCTTCTCACTATTCTACACTGCCCCAGAAAAGTATTTTGGGCAATTATTCAGCATATTCTGTGCTTCTTATTTTTTTTACGAAGAAAATCAGTGTTATAGGCAACCATCCTCTTTTATCTATAAAAATAGCATCTGTTTTTAAAAACATAATAAAAATCTAGCTTCCTTGGACTATGATTTCACTAAGAAGAAAAATGACCAAATAAGGAGAAAAACTGCATTTTAATATAACAATTTAAAAGATCTTAGTTCAAAAGAATGTTTCTAATATATTTAAAGGACAAATCAGCACTAGAATACTATTTTTATAGTAACAGCTTTGCTCTGAAAAAAGTTTTCTCATCAAAAAGTTCAAGATGTTTTAGAAATATAAAGAGCATCTTGTTTCTCACTAGATTTCTATAAAAGTAGAAATCCTATCCTGCTATTCTTATTTATAGCTATATCTATCTATCTATACTTTCTTTAATCTTTTATTTCTATTATTCCTCTTGAAAACTCTATAGAAAAGAAATTCAGTTAAGGCTATGAAGGCTAAAATATCCGTGATAAATGTTAATGACTTATTTTTGTTTTTTTTTCTCTCTTGTTTATCACCTGCTATAATATTTGATTATGTTACAAATGTTAGCTATAAATTCTGTGGTATCTATGATATAGAAAATATACAGGCACAGTTCCTGTACCTCTGGACTTTACAATCTCATGTATTATGTGTTATTGTCTGTGACCAAAATATGGAGAAGAATAAAAATGCTTGTTCCCCATACAGATGCCATACGAGTCTTTCCCATAATGATGTAGGCCCATCTACATAATCACATCTCTCCCCTTCCCATCCACATGGCTTTCTACTGAAGAAATCTCCACGTCTCTTGCCTTTAATCCCTTGTCCAGTATGGTCTCTGTGTTCCCTGGCTGGTGCTCCCGTGCATGTGTTCATTTCTGTAGAATGTTACCATCCATGACATTATTTTTTACTTATGATACATAAATACAGAGGAAGTCATTTAAAAGACTTCATTTAAAGCTTGTATGTGGCCGGGCGTGGTGTCTCACACCTATAATCCCAGCACTTTGGGAGGCCAAGGCAGGGGGATCACCTGAGGTCAGGAGTTCAAGACCAGCCTGGCCAACATGGTGAAACCCCATCTCTACTAAAAGTACAAAAATTAGCCAGGTGTGGTGGTGGGTGCCTGTATTCACAGCTGCTCAGGAGGCTGAGGCAAAAGAATAGCTTGACTCTGGGAAGTGGAGGTTGCAGTGAGCCGAGATCACGCCACTGTGCTCTAGCCTGGGTGACAGAGCGAGACTCGGTCTCAAAAAGAAAAAAAAAAAGCTTGTATGTGTGCATGTGTGTGTGTACATATAATATTTATACATATTTACATTAAGACACATTACTAGTCAAAGCTACCGACACACTGCTTCATGCTCCAGTATCAGAGAAGCTGTGTTTACAAACATTGAGCAGAGCATAACACCAATGGAAAATTTCAGGGAGAATCTTCCCAAAGCAGGGAAATTGGCCATCTACCTGACTCACTCAGTCCCTACTATGTTTCTAGTCTTCTGGAAGAAGTAAATATTCAAAAAAGGTTTCCAACTAATTTCTAAGCCTCTCATTGCCTGGAAGAAGTCCTCTTCCTCTTGTAGCTCTTCTTCCTCAAGCGCTGAGTCATACCTTCCATATATCTCATAAAAGAGTGCTTGTTAGAAATGCTGATTCCTGGACATGACTCTTAGATTTGGGGGGCCCAGTGACTTGCTTGGGAGGATGAGGTGAGAGGATGGCTTGAACCTAGGAGTTCGAGGCCGGCATGGGCAACATGGCAAACTCTATCTCTAAAAAAAAGTACAAAAATCAGCCGGGTGTGATGGTACATGCTACCCATTTGATAGTAGTAGTCTCAACTACTCAGGAGGCTGAGGTAGTAGGATCACCTGAGCCTGGGGAGGTCGAGGCTGCCATGAGCTGTAATCGTGCCACTGCACTCCAGCCTGGGTGACAAAGTGAGACCCTGTCTCTAAATAAATAAATAATTAAAAAAAAACGTTGTCATGGGAAAACAATGCTTACACACCTACAATTCTTTTCTCTAATAAGGGAGTTGTTAGCATGAGAGAGTTACTTTTTTGGAGTTCCAAAAGTGGATAGAAGAAAATGAGTGTATTTTAAAAGACATATTAAATATAATTTGATCTCCCTGTATTTCCTGCTGATCAGTGTATGTAAGGAGGTAATGGAAATCCAACCAATTTGTAAGACTGTAGATAAAGAATTCTGATGAGTCTCAAATAGCCCACCAAAGATAATTCCTACTGTATGCTTTTGGGTATAACAGTGAACCCCAACTCAAACTGATTTAATAATAAGGATATTATTTACTTAACATAACAAAAAGCCTGGAGATGATGCACATTTAAAGTTGGTAAATTCAGTAGGTCAAGAAATGTCGGAGCTTCAGATTCTTTCTTTCTGCTCTTCCAGTTGACATTTATTCTCAGTCTATTTCCTTCAGAGTCAAAAAATGGGTACAGCCATTTGCAGTGTCCATTCATAGTGGCACTTCCAGAAATGTCAAGGTCCAGCAGGAGAGTCTCTTCCGACAGTCCCTGCAGATTTCATGGCCCTTTTTAACAGGCCAGACCTGCTTTGCAAGGGGAATGGGACCAGCATCACCACCATGAACAAATCAGATTTACCCCAGGGCCATGGAGAGGGTCACTTTCTGTGAACAAAGGAAATTGGGGAATGGATAGAGAGTAGCAACTGGTTTGGCTTTGCACATTTTACTATTCTCTGTGCTGGTTTGTCTTTGAGGGTTGGTAAGAAGCGCCCTCTTGACCCTGAAATCAGCTGCACAAGATTTTTCTTTGCATTGTTTGTCCAGGGCTAGTGCATAAAGTGTTTGCCTTTGTCAAATTGTTCCTGAGGAGGTAGAAGAACAGCCCTCTTTGTAGAACGTGTATGTTTCAGTTTTACAGTTATTATGGAGATGGTGTCAGTGGTTTTTGCTTTCCTGGTCTGTTTGGAATTTTCCTCTGGCAAATCCAGATTTGTGGACCAAAGGGTGTAGCTGTTCCTGACAGCTAGTTAATGAGTGTGCCATACTGCCTAAAGACCAGCTGTAACTCATTGGTCATGTCCAAAAGGAATTCCAGAGATGGGTAGTAAATAACTAACATGAGCTTCTGCCCACATTCTGGAAGCCGACTAAATGTCTACTGACTTTTAATGGGAGTCAACTGCAGTTCTGCTTGGTTAAGTTGAAGAAGAGCAGAACCTGGGGTTGTGCTTGGGGCCGTCTGCTGCCCAGTCATAACTATTCTCTTTGTTCAATGCCGCTCTTCCGGCTCCCTGTCAGTTCAGCAGGGGAGTATCCCACTCTAGGAACAAGTTGTCTATTGAAATGAGATGCTTGTCTCTCTGCAGATGCAGTGGTATTCAAGTCCCTGGCTCTAGATAATACACAGTTTGGTATGTCTGGGCTTATTGCCAGATGTGCAGGTATCTCTGATCTTGGGAAGAACTGTTGGTGGTGGTAGCTTTTAAAAAAAAATTAATTTTTTTAAATAAAAGAAGGATGTTTGTAAGGTGCTATCTTTGATTGTAGTTGCTCTTTCCAGGATATGGAAGTTACTTTGGAGTATTACACGGGCAGCTTTTTGGCCTTGGGAAAAATTCTCCTCCAAATAACTCACTGGGCTTTGTAAGGGTTAGGAGGTGACATCTTGGTACCTGGTGAGTTCCATTCCCTTCACATACAGGGAAAGGAAGTTCAAGATAGTGGGGGAAGAACAGGGCTTTGGGGCCAGAAAGACCTCTGAGATCAAGTATGAGACCAGGTATGCGTAAGCTGTGTGACCTGGTAGCAATTTAAACTTCAATTTCCTTAATTCTATAAAGTGGATTCCTCATTGGGTTGCTGGGGTGATTAAATATGATGAATGACACTAAAGTACATAGCACAGTTGCTGGCTGAAAGAACTTAATAAGCATTATTCAATAGCACTAGGGAGGGTGGCGGTGATGGCAGTAGTAGTCACCGTAGCAGCAGTGGTCATGTAATCCTTATTGTTTATGATTTGCAGTGCTCAGTATCAATAAATGTAGTACCACTGTGATGAATGATTACAGGTCTCTCTGTATTATCAATGTAAAACCTGCACTCTCTGATTTGCAAGTTAGTCACTTAAGCCTGGCCGTTTCTGTGGCGTTTGGAATTCTAGTTTCAGCTGCACAGGAATATGTATGGCAACCAGAACAGGATTTTTTATGTGCTTTGTTCACCTAACTTGTGCAGGACAATGGCAATTTCCTTTGTATTGTGTGACGCAGAGTTCATAGGCATACATTTCACAAAGATGTTATCTAGACTGATTTCCTTCATTCAGCTCTAGCCTGGCTATTTAAAGTACTTGATTTGTGGATAGGGATATCCTCCCCCCACATTCTTGTAAGGCCAAAAAAAAAAAAAATGAATGGAACAAAAGATTTACAGAGAGAGCAAAGAACACACGCATTCATAATATTAACAAGGAACAACATTACTTAATAGTAAAAGGAAAACAGCTTAATAATAGTGGCTTGCAAACTACATCTGACCCACAGATTCCATTTGTGAATGGGTCCAGCCATGTGAACATTAAAGCTATATGTATTAGACATGTATGAGAATTCCCTGTAGCTTTTTTTCATAATATTACTGTAACAGGACGCTGCATCAAGAATGCAGTGCCTTAAGCACTTAACTGCTACCCTGCAAGACTTTACAGCTTAAAGTACTTCCCTTGTTCTCCTATCTTCAAAACACCCTGGGCTGCTGGGAAAGAGATCCAGACTTTAAAATGTACTATTGTTTGAGATTGCTTTTGAAAGGAACATCTATTTTATAAAATTTAATTAATGACTACCAATTACATTTCAGGATTTGAAAGAAAAAAAAAGCTTCTTTTTCTTCAACAGTTACCACTCTCTAAAAATAACTCTCAGCAAGTTACAAAATTAGAATTTCATTAAAAGCAAACTTAATTTTTCCATGTTCAAAGTTATGTGTTGCTTACAAACTACCTTTAGTATGCTTAGGCTGTTAAAGAGTTGACAGATACACTTTTCTCCAAGATCATAACAGTAAGTATTCACACTATGATGTCTGCATGTGTGTTATGCAGACAGAAAAAAAAAAAGAAAAACCCAAATTCAAACAGACGTGTAGTTAGGCTATAACGAGCATGTATAACACACTGCAATTATGCAGATATTTCTGTCAAAGAGATGTCATTTACTCAACAAATTTTCAAATAGCTGCTTTGTGCTTAGATGACTAATAGATTATTCTCGAGCAAATGTTAAGCAGCCATCTAATAGATCACATTCAACTATAAGTTCACTGTTTAACAAGTTATAATGGTGCTAATAATTGATAAAATTCCCTATATACATATAAGCTTAGAATTAAGCTAATTTTTCAACCTATTGTTTGACATCAAATGGAACACAAAGCTAATATGGAAGAGCTTGAATGTTGGAACAATCTAATTTTCTTGATGCTTCCCCAACAGACGCAACAACTACAGTATCTTCAGGATGCAAAGCCATACAGGCGCTGTCAGTTCCCTTCTACTGGGGGGCAAGAAAACCTCCCTTTGAGCTGTGGTGACAGGGTTACATGGGAGGGTTTGGTTGCTCTTCAGTTCAGAAGCCATCACTGCCAGCACCTGCAACTTGCTGCTCTGCACCTTCTGCTCTGACCACTGGTGAGAGAAGTCACTCCTTCCTTCTCTTGCTCTTAAGATCCCTCTTAAGTCCTGCAGGGTAACACCTGCTTGGCTGCCACAGAGGTGTCTGGGTCTCCTGGTGCCTTTATGGATACTCACCACTCATGCAGGGTCTTCAGGGAGAAGATGAAGAAATCAACAGCCAGCAGCATGAAGAATGCCAGCCTCTAGGTTGAGTGATTTCATTCACAGTTCCTCAACCTATGTGCAAATCACTTTCAAGTGAGGAACTTCTATTCATGTGAACAAATGTAAGCATCAGAACAAAAGTGCCTCAGTTCTGCTCATCACAAACAGATGACATTTGTGGGTGTACCAACAGCCTTTATAGAGAAAATGGAGGTATGATTTGGTAGAAAACATAGAGGCCAAGGCTCTCAGGAAGACAGATTTTGCATTCTCTGGTTATAGCCACAACATATTAGATAGTAAAATCACAGGAATGTCGTTGAACAAGTGGGCTGGGGTATAAAAGGAACCATTCTACAGCATGAATTCCAGTATTCTCCTAATGAAAAGGAAAAAGACCAAAGCATAAAAGTATGCTGATGTTATTAGAGAATATGGTCATTGCTACACAACTGGAAAAAGTGAGCATGGGAAAATGTCACTGGATCCAGGCAATACTGGTTTTATCCCCCCAGCCCCTGTATTTTATCAATGGTTGCACAGTGCCACTGTTGAAAATCTGTATAAATTCACAATTACTCCAATTATATGGAATAATATCTCGCAATGTAGCCATTTAAATCTGAATTAAAGCACTTAGAATGTATTTTCTTTAAGTGGCTCTTTTTGAAAAGATGTGAGAATTCCCTATTCTTTGAGGGCTACTGTTCAGTGAATATACAAACACATGTAAACTTTTTCTGCTACTGCAAGCTGAGGCAGAAGAGAAGGTAGGATATAGTTGATATAGGAGTTTACAGAAGAGTTCTGTGGCTTTTTCTGAGAACTCATATCTGGGCATACTCTGTCCCAGGGCAGTTCTATATTAGTGATAAAATTGGTCTACGTTGGCATTGCTTTCTTCACTCTATTATGGTGTTTGTTCATGGCCCTATGGGTTCAAACAAATTAAGGACAGGTTAACTCTTCTTACAAATGGTTAATAATCATTTAGTGATTAGGGAAAAATTGTCACTGTTGCTTACTCCTTATAGAGTGCATACCAGTGTTTAAAAAGATAAAGACATTTTTGATGGATACCTCCCACTATCTTTTATATTTATTCTTTCAGTCAACCATAATTTCAGAATAACAGACTTACCTATGCATAGCTACTGAGGAAGCAAGGTATAGTTTGGTAAATTTTTTAAATAATCTTTTTATCCTTTAGCATTAATTACCTCATTCACTGAATGCATCATTCTGTATACAAAATGTTATTACAAAGTGGATTTCATAAGAAATGCAATCTATTTTGCAGACTATAGTGATTGTTTACACAGGATAAATTAAAGGGGTGCTTTGCAACATCGCTTATGCTTAAAGGACAAAATATTAAGGAGGTTTAAAGAAAACTTACAGCTTAGTTTTGTGTCTGGTCAGGTATATGTAATTTTTAGTACAATAATAAAAAACAAACTTTCATGGAGTTCTGCAAAGGTCTTTCCTGTATATCAGCATGTATATGAAGAGACCATGTTTACGAAGCACGGAATCGTCCCCAGGTTACTCTTGGCAGCTGATAATGAATGAAGGAAACATTTCAAACCTATGCTAGTCTACCTCCAAAGGCCCTACTTTATCTTCAAATTATACTAGATAGGAGTGTAATCATGATAAAGAATTCGTAAGAATGCAGTTCATCCCCTAAATATCCTAGCTGAACTTCTCAAAGTGATAAGGAATGCTCCTCTGTCACAGCCCAAGAATAAACTTAGCATATATAGGACAGAGGTGTGGGAAAGAAAAAACAAGTTGGTGTCTGTGGTATGTGCCCAAGATGCCAAAATCACTGATGTTTTGAATGGCAGTGGCAAGAACAACCTCATTGGCTATAGTCATTGCAATAATTGTTTTTTATAAAGTGAGGACATCCTTTTGAAAGATGGCTGCTTTAGATTTTGCCTTGAACACAAATTTTGTAGACAGTAGACCTGTCACAATGCCCAGAGAGTCCTGTTGCTGCACAGTTTCCCTCCAATTTCTAGAGAAAGTGGCCAATGATTAAAAATTTAAAAAAGCACTCTCATATCTGTAGTACTATTCAAGGAGGGACAGGGCATTACTGCCTGGTGGTAAATACATTCCACACTATTTATCACCAAATAGCTCTATCTGTCATGGTACTGTGACTGGTCCTACACCCAAATTAAGGTTTATAGAATTGAAACTATCCTTTTAACTATCCATTGAACTTGTTTATTCATTTATTTTTTTCATTTATTCAACATACATTCATTGAGTGCCTTCTATACACCAAGCACCAGGGTGGGTACATAGTTCCTGGCATATAGCCAGCATTCAAGAAATGAGAAAGGAAGAAAGAATGAAAGAATATGATCTTTGCCACTTGACAAGTCTAGTGATGCTTATGTTAACAATCAAACATTATCAAGAGAAACATAAAATTACAGTGAATTCATAAATGTAGTTTGAGACACACATATCATGCACATTGGCTGAATTTGCATATACAACCACATTAACAAAATTTGAAGTTAAAATTTGAAGGCAATAACTCAACTATCTGGAAAATTAATATCCCCTGAGATTCCAAGATTAGATGAGCATTTACAGTACCCAGTTTTGACTCCAGCTCTCACTTCCCTCTTCCTTCTGGGAAGAAGAGGTGCAATGACAATTAATGTGAACCTTACATGAAGTATAACTATCTTGTTTTATACTTCTTAGAATGAAAATGCAGATTTCTCGTGCTCGAAAACCTGGACATTGAAGCCAAATATATGCTATGGAAAAATTAAAGAATGAAGGTAACCGGATTATCCAAGTTTACATAGCTTACACTACTCAAATTTATTTTATTTTTTTGAGAGACAGGGTCTTGCTCTATCGCCCAGGCTGGAGTGCAGGGGCATGATCATAGAGCTGCCTGTAGCCTCGAACTCCTAGGCTTAAGTGATCCTCTTGTCTCAGCCTCCTGTCAAGTTTAAACTATTCAAACAAACCTTCATTTCTTGGGTTTGGTAAATATTTCAGTCCTGCATTGACTGTGTCGTTCTGGCGCCCATCCACTAATAGATCCATGCACTTAGAGGTTTTAGAGGAGAAAGGGACATAGATGCCTAATCAGCAATTTGTATGCTAAAAATACCGTGTACATTTGGACACATCTGGATATATTGATACGCACACAAACACACACACACACACACACACACACACACACACACACAAACATCTATAAACTTAGCTCCTGGGTTCCATTCTTGTTGCCCTTGATAAGTAGAGCAGTTATAAGTATATAAAGGATATTTATGTGTGTGAAAATCTCTTAAGTCTTTCAACATTTGATTGCTTTACATAGTTGTGAGATGATGGTTTCGGGAGGGGGTAAAGAAGGAAGTTCCAAAATGTGAATGGTATTTAAATCTCTTAAATTTTTTTCTTCAAAGGAAGAGAAAAAGAATGAAATTATGTTTTCCCTCTTCAACAAGATGGCTTGCAGAATGGCTGTGGGCAGAAAAATAACTTAAAAGAATATAAAGACCCAGTGACTTGAGTCCCTTTCATGAAATATGTGGGTTAAAAAAAATCCAATAACCATAAAACAACCTTTTCTTTGATGCTGAACAAAAAACAAGCTTGAAATTTAGTGCTGCTGAGCAAATGAATGAAAAATACAGATGTCTTTTACCTTCAGCTCAACGCAGATTTGCCATCTGAACAGCTCCATGCTTAATTTAACTCTTTGTATGACTGATCATATCAAAGCATTTAGTTAACAGCAAAGGTTTAAATTGAAACTTAAAAATATACATTTTTTCCTTCCTTTTTTCCTGTCTTAGTGAATTAGAAAGTTCAGCTGCACCATATCCCTTTTCTTGTCCTCCCTGAATTACAAAACTTTAACACATAAAAGCAAAATATGTATGTCTTTTCCTGGTATCGTAATCTAGTCTGATTTTAAAAATTAAGATATCGATTGTTTTATTTAAAATGTAGGACCTTGATGCTATTTTAATTTTCCAAAGTCAGCTCGTAATACCAATTTCCCCAAAGGTCAAAAACAATATATTAAGGAAATACCACCTGCTACTTAGAGCTTGCACAGGAAATTTGCATTTCCACTTTGTAATGCATTATTTAGGGGGAGGAAATGACAGCCTGCTTCATTATCCCAAGGCGCAGAATCCCAATAGCTGCAAAGCAGCAGACAAAAAGCAAAAGAGGCCGGTGTCCATTTTCCCACCAAATATCATGGAAATTACAAATTCAGTAGGAGAAGCCAAAAAGCATGTGTTGAAAAATGCCAAGCTCCCCGCAAACTCTCTCTTCTGTCCCCATGAAAGCCAGGCTTGCCTGCCAGCCCACTTGAGTTGGGCTAGTTCCACAGAGGGGCAGGTACGGGCCCTGGGCACATTTTTCAATCTTTTGTAAATAGTCCCTGAAGGATTAAGGTGGTGGTCATGGCCGTACCCTTTAACCTGCCTCAAAGAGTGAGGGAGAGCTCATGGAGCTTGCCTGTCCAAAGTTCAATAGACCCTTTCTAAAGTTTTATTTACACACCAAACAAGGTTGAAGATAGATTACTTCCTACTGTCTAGCTCACAGGAAAGAAGCATTCTGTTCAGATATAATATATACATTAAGAAACAAAGGAGTTGCTAAAAGCTTCTCCTCTTGTAAGCATTCAACTATACTGGGGCTTACAATATATTCTACTCTGAAATAGGCAGCTTTTCTTGAGTGTATCATCTCTGTCCTCTTTCTTCTCATCTTTTTCTATCTTTCATGGTTTCCCCCCTCTACAGTTCTTACTTCTGTATATAAAAACCTCTATTCCTCGCCACATATCCCATACTTAATATGTGTGACTATTAAAGCCATCTGTCTTGACACATTACAAAAATGCATTCAACTTATCAGTGATTTTATCTCGGTAAGGGCAAACAACCAGTTTATCCAATTGTTTTTCCCCAGTGAGTCAACTGAATATCCTCTTTAAAATGAGGTATTTTCAGTTGAATTTAGTTTAAAATTGAGTAGAAATGAGCATTCACCAAAGTGTTTCGTGTAAGGTGCTTCCTGTGCTTGAAGAGTTGGTGTAAGGTTTTGTCATCTACCTGTGTAAATTAGCTCCTTAAATATACATCTCTTTATAGATGAGATCACCTCTCAAGTGCCCTTCTAGCTTAAGAATTCTGGGATTCGGGGTTTAGGGATAGGTCTTCTGCAATCTAAACACTCCCTTTTTAAATTTGCAGATTTCTAAAATATATATATGATATATATTACATATATACATACATATGTATGTATATAAATATCTAATACATATATACATAGGTCTCTTTAGACATATCAAGTCGATACTTTTTTTTCAATTTTTTAAAACAAGTAAGTGTTTAAAATTAGGATTACTTCCTTTTATCTTCAAAGAGGAAAGGTTTTTACATTTTATAGTCATAATGCACTAAGAACAAACAAAACAAAACTCCGCTTTAAAAATCAAGTATGGGAAGGCTGCAACACTGAACTATAGAGTATGGAAAACATGAGGAAGTCTTGTTACTCAGAGAAATGGTTTGACAAACTTTGGCCAGAGAACAGTCCTCAGTATTTATGTAGGAAGGAGTTTTGAGAACAGAGAAATGTAGAACTTGTCTGCACAGTATCCAAACACCTATACAAAAACTTGGCCACTTCTCTGAATATTTTAATTGCGATTCTAAAAGTTTGCTGTGCATAGACCAATTCTTAAAATGGTAAGAAGGTTAGAAAAAAGGAAATCCCAAAGTAAGATACATACATACATACATACATACATGCATATATACAGTACACTACATATATAAATATATATGTACTCTTTGTCTTTGCATCCTTTATATATGTGTAATCTTTATACGGATATAAATACAGCCATGCACCACATAATGACGTTTCACTCAACAATGAACTGCATATATGGTGGTGGTCCCAGAAGATTATAATGGAGTTGAAAAATTCCTATTGCCTACTGACATTTTGATCATCCACACCCTATGTGTGCCTAGGCAAATGTGTGTGCTATGTCTTAGTTGTTAGCCAAAAAGTTTGAAAATTAAAAAAAATTAAAATTTTCAAAATAGAGAAAAGCTTATAAAGATATAAAGAAAAATATTTCTGTACAGCTACATAATGTGTTTGTGTTTTAAGTGAAGTTTTATTACAAAGAGTAAAAAAGTTAAAAAAATTTAAAGGTTATAAAGTAAAAAAGTTACAGTAAGCTAAGGTTAATTTATTATTGAAGAAAGAAAAATATTTTTTATAAATTTAGTGTAGCCCAAGTGTACTGTGTTTACAAAGTCTGCATAGTGTACAGTAATGTTCTAGGCTGTCACATTCACTCACCACTCACTCACTGACTCACCCAGAGCAACCACAACTTCCAGTCTGGCAATTTCCATCCATGGTAAGTGCCCTATACAGGTGTACCATTTTAAAATCTTTTATGCTGTATTTTTACTGTACCTTTTCTATGTTTAGATATGTTTTGATACACAAATACTTACTATTGTGTTACAATTGCCTACAGTTTCAGTACAGTAACATGCTGTACAGGTTTGTAGCTTAGGAGCAATGGGATGCACCATTTAGCCTAGATGTGCAGTAGGCTGTACTATCTAGGTTTGTGTAAATACACTCTTTGATGCTAACACAACAATGAAATTGCCTAAAGATGCATTTCTCAGAATGTACCCCTATTGTTAAGCAATGTATGATTGAATATATATCTTTATAAAATATATAATATATACACATATATACATACATACATATATATATATATATACTCACATACATATTTTGGGTGACAGAAATATGTATGTATATACATACATATATACATACATATTTTATATATACATACATATATAAAAAATATATATACACACACACACACACACACAGATACAAAGAGAGAGAGAGACAGAGAGAAAGAGACAGACCAATAAGCCTTTATTTTCTATGAGGACAGGTATTTGTATTACCTGAGGACAAGAGAAGTTTGTATTAATCCAGTAAAGATATTTGGATAGCCGAAAATACAATTAGCTGTAAATCAGGGTTCTGGTTTCTAACCCATTTCCTGCTTCTAATAATTAGCTACAAGATCTTGGGCAAGTCTCTGGAACTTGCTAGGTTTCCATTTCTCCATCTCAAATGGAGATCACTGTGATAATTTGTGATTTTATAAAACGTAAAGAAGAGTTTGTCCCTGTCTTCCTCAAAACTGAACTAATTACCAATTTTCTATCACACAGCCACTTAAAAGTGAAGAACTGTCTTTTCCAGTGTGGTTTTTATATTTGGCAGCAAAACCAAACATCTAGTGGAGGCAGAATATGGAATCAAAAGGCACACGTAGCCTTTGTTAAAGCAGCAATTCATCTCTTCAGAAAGTTGTGATCCCTTCCTGGAGCCTGGTATGGCCGTGGATGGTAGCTCACAGGATTAAGTTTCAGAAAATAGGCTTGGTTTTTCTACCATGAAGGGAATAAATTCAGTTCCTATAAGTGTAGCAATTAATGGGCACCCATGGCCATCCCACTATGAGGGGAAAGGGGCCATTTTGTAAAAAAACAATCCAGGGCTGGAACTCAGTTTGAAAATGGTGTTAAGTTGTGCGTTTAAAATGAGTGATAAAACTCCCGTGTGTTGAAAGAAGGCCATGAAACACTGCAACTCCTCCTTGCTTTGCAAAAGAGTAACATCCACGCCATTCACCTAGGAGTCTCCAATGATATACCCTCCTCCCATTACACTTAAGTGGCAAAAAGACCCCTGATTACTGCATGGTAACAGTGATCAACATGGTCACGCAGAAAAGCACTTTTTTTTTCCTTTCCTGGAATGAACAGCGTGCTGCTTCTGGAACTGGAGGCTGCATTTCTGTCACCCAAACCTCTCTCAGAGCTGTGTGTGTTGTGAGACAGCTGAATGTCTCACTGAATGTTTCCTGTGACAATGAGGGTGCTTCAGAGCTTCCCACTGCTGCCACAACCTTTCCTTTGTGATCTTCATGGTTAATGAGACTGTAAACCAGCATCCAAATCAGCATTTGCTGATTGAAAGCAGGTTTAAAGGGCGAAAGAAAATGGTAGTGGTTTAATGATTAAACAACTTTTTACTGCTAAACATTTAAGTTGTTTTAATGTCTAAATCAATACACTTGCAGGATGCAAACTGCAATTAGGTGGAAACAGAACTTCACACTCTTGCAGTTAGAGAAAAACTTGCTACTATCACTTTAAGTGTCAAACTTGTGAACTGGCCTTGAAAGCCTCTCCTCTGCCTCCCTCTCCCCACCTCCGAGGCATTAATTCTATAGAGACGAAGTTAAACACTTAATTTGCAAAACTACTGAGAAGTAAATTTCTTGTTCCAAGGTAACTGGAGTAATTGCCAAATGCAGATAAATCCTCCCCCTGAGTAGGAAGCCCCACACTGTTTTGAAAACAATTCCTAGACTTTGCCCCTGTTGAAGCTGATTGAATGCTCAACCACAAGACTCCACTGTTGTTATCTCTCGCTTACTGCTTTTAGGGGCGGAGTTAACACTTTTCAAAAATCCGAGCTTCCCTAATAAATACAGGGATTTAGTGAAGATTTTGATTGTCTGGGGTTGGCATTCCTGAGGACAGAATAATTTATTTTGCTCTAAGCAGGTGTGTTATGAGAACAGAGGCTATGTTGATAAGAGATCCCTGGGAGCTGGTAATATATTATCTTCTGTAATTTCTTCCAAAAATAGACTTAATGGAAAGAGGATGCATAATATACCCCCTCTCAAAGGAAGCGTTCCCCAATACAACAGAAGCAGTCATTCTAAAAACAGCTTTATGGCTCTGCAGTCAATAGCTCTATTTTCTCCCCTTTCACAACTTCCTTCCTTCTGCTATGTAAGAACTTATGTGAGGGCACACACACATTCACGTGTCAGTGCACACAACTGAAAATGCCCGAGATCCGCATTCTCTCAAAGATCTGCAAGATCATCGAAAACTTAATGATCGCTTGACATGACTTAACCTGATTAATTGATAGTGCTTTTCATTTTATTTCATTTTTTACTCCAACTCTGATCATGTACAACCATGAATTAACCTTGCATTTAATTCAGTTCAGGGAGCAATTTCCAAATGCCTACTATGTTTGAAGTGCCGTATTAGACACAAAGATATACAGGAAACGATGTTCACAAAATATAGGCTGTAAGCAGAACACTTCCCCAAAGAAAAAGATGGCACCAAGAGCAGAATCGGAACTCTGGTGTCCAAATTGCTCCTAATTAAACGCCTAAGCTGCAAGTCAGGTTACTTGGTCAGGCTAAGTTCTTGGAACTAAAAATTGCCTAAGATGTTTTCCTTAGCTACTTCACAAACTAGAAGTTCCTCCTGCTCAGGACCACCCAAATGCTTATTAGAAATTGTCCAAAAGTCAATTTTTTTCAAATTTGGGACACGTTTGAGCGAACAAAAGATATGAAGAATAGTTAGAGTCACACCTGGTGGCAAAAACTTATAACCTAAAATGTAGCATCTTTACTTTAGAAATTGTAGAAAAGATACTTTTGAGCTACTCAAAATTAATTGAGTTTTTTTATTTATAAAAATATTTTAACAATTCAGAAAGGAATTTCACATTTGAGGAATACCAGGGTTTAATAAAAGACAGTAGATGGAAACTTTTAAGGAGGGTCTGCTTGGAAGCTTCTGGGCATTTTCAAGGGCTGGAAATTTCTTTATTCTGTTAAATTTTACCTCAGAACATATGGTTTCTCTCTTCTCTGATAGTTTTATTGCCAGCCCCACTCTAGAAATATGACAGAACGGCAGAAGAGGGATGGAAGAAAATAGGAAGACCTGTTCTGAAAGGCTGGGAGAGAGTTGGAAGGCCTCAGGAAGTTGCCAAAGACTTCACAATTACTTTTTTTGTTTTTTTGGAGACGGAGTCTTGCTCTACTGCCAGGCTGGAGTGCAGTGGCAGGATCTCGGCTCACTGCAACCGGTGCCTCCTGGGTTCAAGTGATTCTCCTGTCTCAGCCTCCTGAGTAGGTGGGACTACAGGCACGCCCCACAACGCCCAGCTAATTTTTGCGTTTTTAGTAGAGATGGGTTTTCACCATGTTGGCCAGGATGGTCTCGATCTCTTGACCTCAAGCCATCCACCTGCCTCAGTCTCCCAAAGTGCTGGGATTACAGGCGTGAGCCACTGTGCCTGGCCAACTTCATAATTACTGATATTTAGAGTGACTTCAGGGATGTGTGTGTCTGTGTGTGTGTGTGTGTAGGGAGGTCTTGCGGTAGGCTGAGGCAACACAGAGGCAGAGGACAATTGGTGATTTGTAACCCCACAGCATTTACAAAATTTGAGTCCCTCTTCCATATTCATTTTACAGCCCAGAAATTAATAACATATTTGAGAAGTTGGGACTATCTTCAGATACAGCAAAAAGAACAATGGGATTAGAAGTCAGATGAAGAAATATTAAAATAATTTTATATTCTAAGTTGGTTCATTTTAACTGGGCTTCAATAACATGAAGAAGAGTAGGAAGTGGGTAAAGCTTCCACTGCCCTGAATAAGCCAAGACAAGATGGACCTTCCCTACCCTAAGAGGAATTTAAGTCACTATTAAATAGTATCCTTCCCAAGGTGGGCTGGGGGTGGGTCAGAGAATGACTTTCCTGGTTTTTTTGTTTGTTCTTTTGTTTTGTTTTGTTTTTTTGAGATGGGGTTTTGCTCTTGTTGCCCAGGCTGGAGTGCAATGGCGTGCTCTTGGCTCACTGCAACCTCCGCCCCGCCAGGTGCAAGCGATTCTCTTACCTCAGCCCCCGAGTAGCTGGGATTACAGGCATGTGCCACCACACCCAGCTAATTTTGTATTTTTTAGTAGAGACGGGGTTTCTCCATGTCGGTCAGGCTGGTCTCGAGCTCCCGACCCCAGGTGATCCACTCGCCTCTGCCTCCCAAAGTGCTGGGATTACAGGCATGAGCTGCCGCACCCGGCGAGAATGACTTTCTTACGGGTGATAAAGTCTGGCATCTCCAATCAGAGCCCTAGAGCTCCCATTTGAAGCCAGAAAATGGCTCTTATGTTGCTGTCCTACCATACTCTTCTAGGTTCCCACAGGGTACAGGAGCCTACAGGAGCTTCCATTATTCACTAAGTTGTTTGATCTTCAGCCTCAAAATATATTTTGTTGGACTGGTCCAGTGCTGTAGCTGGCAAGGGGAGCTCACTACTGTACCAGCTTAGTCCCTGAAAGCCCAGGAACTGACAATAGTCTGAATGTAACACAGGGAAGCCCCTAGTGGGTGGTGAGTGTTCCTTCATCAAAGAAACATTCCACTTCCTCATTCTCTCCCCTAACCCCCAGTCTTCAGAACATCATTTTATATAAATCATAAAAATGGAGCTGCTCTCCTTTGGGAGTGGGAAAGGACCCAGAACCATGTTCTTTTATTTCTTGAGGGGTCTTCTTTAAGAATAGCCATAGGGATTTTTTTTTCTTCTTTTTTTTACTTGATTGGGCCCAAGTTTACCAACTAAATTAGCAGGAGGACCACGCTGCCCTTCTTTGGGGCACAACAATTGGTGGGGATGAGCAGCTTCCCCTCGTTTCCAATTGAAGAAACTAGGGAAATGGTCAGGCAATGAAGTTTCCCAAGGTTGGTGTATTAGTCCATTTTCATGCTGCTGATAAAGACATACCCAAGACTGGGAAGAAAAATGTTTAGTTGGACTTACAGTTCCACATGGCTGGGGAGGCCTCAGAATCATGGTGGTAGGCGAAAGACACTTCTTACATGGTGGTGGCAAGAGAAAATGAGGAAGAGGCAAAAGCGGAAACTCCTGAAAAACCTATCAGATCTCATAAGACTTATTCACTATCATGAGAATAGCACAGGAAAGACCGGCCCCCATGATTCAATTATCTCCCCTGGGTCCTTCTCACAACACATGGAAATTCTAGGAGCTACAATTTGAGTTGACATTGGGTGGGGACACAGCCAAACCATATCATACTGCCCCTGGCCCCTCCAAATCTCATATCTACACATTTCAAAACCAATCATGCCTTCCCAACAGTCCCCCAAAGTCTTAGCTCATTTCAGCATTAACCCAAAAATTCACAGTCCAAAGTCTAATCTGAGACAAGGCAAGTCCCTTCTGTGTATGAGCCTGTAAAATTAAAAGCAAGCTAGTTACTTCCTAGATACAATGGGGGTACAGGTATTGGGTAAATACAGCCATTCCAAATGGGAGAAATTGGCCAAAATAAAGGGGTTACAGGGCCCATGGAAGTCCGAAATCCTGTGGGGCAGTCACATTTTAAAGCTCCAAAGCGATCTCCTTTGACTCCAGGTCTCACATCCAGGTCATACTGATGTAAGAGGTTGGTTCCTACGGTCTTAGGCAGCTCCGCCCCTGTGGCTTTGCTGGGTACAGCCTCCCTCCCAGCTGCTTTCATGGGCTGGTGTTGAGTGTCTGTGGCTTTTCCAGACACATAGTGAAAGCTGTCAGTAGATCTACCATTCTGGGGCCTGGGGGATGGTGACCCTCTTCTCACAGCTCCACTAGGCAGTGTCCCAGTTGGGACTCTGTGTGGGGGCTCCAACCCCACATTTCCCTTCCCCATGGCCCTACCAGAGGTTCTTCACGAGAGCCATTCCCCTGCAGCAAACTTCTGCCTGGGCATCCAGGTGTTTTCATACATCTTCTGAAATCTAGGTGGAGGTTGGCAAACCTCAATTCTTGACTTCCGTGCACCCACAGATTCAACACCACTTGGAAGCTGCCAAGGCTTGGGTTTTCCACTCGCCAAAGCCACAGCCCAAGCTGTACGTTGGTTCCTTGCAGCCACAGCTGGAGCTGCTGGGACACAGGGCACCAAGTCCGTAGGCTGCACACAGCATGGGGACCCTGGGCCTGGCCCACAAAACCACTTTTTCTCCTGGATCTCCAGGCCTGTGATGGGAGGGGCTGCCGTGAAGGTCTCTGACATGGTCTGGAGACATTTCCCCCATGGTCTTGGGGATTAACATTAGGCTCCTTGCTACTTATGCAAATTTCTGCAGCTGGCTTGAATTTCTCCTCAGAAAATGAGATTTTTTTCTTTTCTATCACATAGTCAGGCTGCAAATCTTCCAAACTTTTATGCTCTGCTTCCCTTATAAAACTTAATGCCTGCCGGGCGCAGTGGCTCACGCCTGTAATCCCAGCACTTTGGGAGGCCAAGGCGGGCGGGTCATGAGGTCAGGAGATCGAGACCATCGTGGCTAACATGGTGAAACCCCGTCTCTACTAAAAATAAAAAAATTAGCCAGGCATGGTGACGGGCACCTGTAGTCCCAGGCTGAGGCAGGAGAATGGCGTGAACCCGGGAGGCGGAGCTTGCAGTGAGCCGAGATCCTGCCACTGCACTCCAGCCTGGGTGACAGAGCAAGACTCCGTCTCAAAAAACAAAAACAAAAACAAAAACTGAATGCCTTTAACAGTACCCAAGTCACCTCTTGAATGCTTTGCTGCTTAGAAATTTCTTCTGCAAGATACTCTAAATCATCTCTCTCAAGTTCAAAGTTCCACAAATCTCTAGGGCAGTGGCAAAATGCCACCAGTCTCTTTGCTAAAAATATAACAAAAGTCACCTTTGTGCCAGTTCCCAACAAGGTCCTCATCTCCATCTGAGAACACCTCAACCTGGATTTTATTGTCCATATCACTATCAGCACTTTGGGCAAAGCTATTCAACAAGTCTCTAGGAAGTTCCAAACATTCCCACATTTTCCTGTCTTCTTGTGAGCCCTTCAAACTGTTCCAATCTCTGCTTGTTGCCCAGTTCCAAAGTCGCTTCCACATTTTCAGGTAGCTTTTCAGCAATGCCCCACTCTCCTGGTACCAATTTACTGTATTAGTTAGTCTGTTTTCACGCTGCTGATAAAGACATACCTGAGACTGGGAAGAAAAAGAGGTTTAATTGGACTTACAGTTCCACATGGCTTGGGAGGCCCCAGAATCATAGCGGGAGGCGAACGGCACTTCTTACATGGCAGTGGCAAGAGAAAATGAGGAAGAAGCAAAAGTGGAAACCCCTGATAAACCCATCAGATCTTGTGAGACTTATTCACTATCACGAGAATAGCATGGGAAAGACTGGCCCCCATGATTCAGTTACCTCCTGCTGAGTCCCTCCCCTAACACATGGGAATTCTGGGAGATACAATTCGAGTTGACATTTGGGTGGGGACACAGGCAAACCATATCAGTTGGTAATAGGAGAATTGCACCTAAAATACGCATTCTAAACAAATCTACATGTTCCTTGTCTTTTTCTCTTTTTTTATTCTAGATTTTCTATTATATTTTAGTAGGCCCTTGATGTTTTTGAGGACTTGGCAAGCCCCCAGATTCACAGTCTCTAAACTTAAGAATCCAGGAAATAGTTCACTCAGGTTTGGAGATCTCTCCTGAAACTGTATTACTATCTAGAGGCAAGCGTTTCCTGTGCACATCCTCAGACTGCAAGTTAACTCCTTTTCCAGCTTCTACCCCGGACTCATCTCTCACTTCACGGCTATTTTCACAAAGAACTCCCCCACCACTAAAAAATGGTTTTGTTTCTTTAAAAGAGTTACTATGTAAACTCAAATTAGGAAACAAACAAGTCATATTGGGACTACCAGCTATGTATTGGCTCACTTCATCCACAACTAAATGATTTTCTCCCAAACATCAGCTTCCCGGAGCCAGAATTCAACTTTGTGCACAAGAAAAGTGACAAATTACTAAATGTCATGGACTTCAGAGTCCATCTTTCGTCATTAAAAACTGGTTGCCTGAGGCCCAAGGTGTTCTTTGTAAGAAGCTTTGAATCCTTTGTGGATTGAGGAAAAGCAGGATAATATTAAATAAGCCACAAATAAACAGCAAATCTGAACACCATCTGGTGAAAAGATTTGTTATATTATGTGATTCATATAGCTATTCTGCCACCTATTTGATTCCACTGCATGTCCTTCAGTGGTATTGATGGATTCACAGACATTGTAATTCTTATCAATTTAATGGCAAGTAATAGAACATGCTATATCTTCTCACGTGGTTCTCTTTATCTGTCTTCCAGAGTGAGAAAATGGCAGATTTACATAAATGTTTAAGAATTATTGGATTAGCCTTTGAAATAACATTACATGAATTTAACATTTTTCTTAAATTCTTATTTCATTGGCAAAAATCTGCCCTGGCATCACCTGCACTTACTACTAAAGCATCTCTGCATTCACCCACTGTTATGAAAATCAGGCAAGAGCAGAATAGGAAAGTGGGTCCAATGGGACTACTACCATTTTTTTTTTAAAGTAGATATTTTGCTTAATTTACTTTTGCTTTCTTTTGAGCCAAGAGCTCATGGACTACTGCTGTATTTTCATTAGTGATACGGTTTTATGTATCATTTAACAAGTACACCAAAATGCCAAATGTATATGTTAGGGTGAGTAATAAAGACTGGTTTTTCAGGGCGCCAGTCCATATTTTTTATAGTGCTTTCTGTCTTCCATTTTCAGGACTTAGCAAGTCTATGCTGCGCAATGTTCCCAAAGGGATATGGCTGTAAAATGTGTGAGGTCTGATAAATGTTCTTATCTGATGTTTGCCCATCTTCTGTGGGAAAATTCTATTAGATGAAACAAGACTGTCTAGACCTCCCTTTTCTTTTTCATCCTGCTGAGAGATTTATCAGAACCGTACCCCTTCCCTCCTACAGAAACATTTTTTTACATCTCAAGGTGCTTTGAAAATTGTAGTCAGCCCACTGGTATCTCCAGCTCTACAACATCATTCACCTCACTCCTAAAAATAGGAAATACTGCCAGGAAATGGATGCAAACAATTCTTACGTATTTAATAAAATAAGTAACATTGTTACCTTTTCCAGCTATTTCTCTGTTGCCCTTATGGGAGCATCTGTGGTAGAGCATTAAAAAGTTACATACAGATGTCATCCATAAGACTATTTTCAGACTCTCCAGCCTCCTGAAATTTGTCAACACCATTCATCTTGATCTTTACCAAAATCTGAGTTTTGTTTCTTTTCTTAAAAGTTTGAGAAAAGTGCATTCAGGTGTTTTTAAAGCATAAGAAGGTGAAAATTACATTTTTGATGTTTTCAAGGCCATTTTTCTTATTTATGTCATCACTGCATACAAAGTGTCTGAAAATAAAAAAGTTGAAATTTTCCAAGCATTCAACATAAAAAAACTTACAGATTAACTGTAGAACTATTTCCCAGTTTCAAAATTAATTAAACGCCACCACCAAGTTTTCTCACCAGCCCTGCTTACATTTCCTATGTGCACATCTCCCCTTTCTAACCAAGCTCCACTTCTCTTTATAAGTCCTTCCATCACAAAATTAAAGGAACATGTGATTTCCCTCCAGAACGACACTGCCTTTAATTCTTCTGCAAATGCTGACAGGTACTCTTACGAAAATGAAACCAAAAAGAGGTGAAGGAAGAGACAGAGAAGCATATTTCAAATCATTTTGACCCATTTCTTCATTTTGCTAAGATTAGGAAGGACATTTTGTGGAGCTAACTCAAAAGGCCATTTCACAAGCACTTCACAAGGGCATTTCACAAGAGGGTCTTTGAGAGAGAGGGCTTTGAGTAAATTACTTAGAAAATCCAAGTTTAAAAGCCTACTCTGAGTGAAGAATGGATGTTTTAGTTTGACTTATCAAAACTGGATGTTTTCACTGACTACATTTCTAGATAATTCTTCACTTTTATAAATTACTGAAAACCTGCTTTCTTTCTCTCCACCTGTTATCAAGAATAAAGTAAATGCTTGTAGAATTGTATTAGGTACTAAAGAGATACACAATAGTAGTTCTTGTCTTTACTAAGAAACTTAAAGTTTCATCACAGACACAAGATGAATGTCAAAGAAACAACTAGAGATACGAGCAAAGTAAGGGCCAAACCCACAGATCTAGGGCTCCACAACTGCACACTCCAGGAAACTCCAGCCTTTTTCAGTTCTTACTGCTCTTTCCTTCCCCCTTCTGTCTCTTCCTTGTCCTTCTTTTTCTCAATTCCTTTTCTCCCTTCTGCCTGTTTTATGTGTTTGGCCTGTCAGTGATGCTCACAGGCACTGTTGAGTACTCTGCTTTATGAAAACGCCCATGTTTCTATATCTGCTTACTTGCTTGATTCAGTCATTCCCTCATTCCCTCCCTCATTCGTTAAACCAACACTGTCTTATAAAGCTCTGTGCTAGAGAGCATGGAGGAAACAATCCAGACCAGATCCAGATTAGGCCCTGGTTTCACCTCTCTGCAGTCCTAGCTTTTGTCATTTGCTTTTATGGAAGCTGTCAAACACCATGGCTTCTTACTTAACTTCTTAGCGGCAATCCCGTTCCAGGGATCTGTGCTGCCTTCTCAACATTCTCACGGCCTCAGTGGCAGGGACCTTAGGCCCTGGGACTCCTCAGATATTTCTGTCTGCTTTTTCTTCCTTCTTTTAACTTCTCCCCCTCCCTCCATGCATTACCACTTAGTGCCCCTGGGGTTCAGCCAGGGGCTCCTAGCCCATCTTTTCCTTCTCTACTTATTCCCTTAGTGCAGCCATAAGGATTCAATTACCACCTATACTCAGATGAGCCCCAGATTTCCATCTTCAGCCCTGACACCTCTTCCTCTTTTCAGTCCCTTATTTCTCAGTGTCTACAAAATATATAGGCTAGACATTTCATTGCCATCTAAAACAAACGTGTCAAAACCAGATTTTATTCTCTCTCCACCCAAAGGTGCCTCTGCGGGCTACCTCACATAAGCGGCCCAAGTGCCGCTGCCCCAGCTGCCAAAGTCTACCTTCACCAGCTTCCTCTTTCTATTTATTGTCCGCTTTTCCCTGCATCCTTCCCTCAATTCTTCTACTAAGCCCTAGTAACTCTTTCTCTCTATTATTTTCCCAGACCCAAGCCTTCAAGGCTATTTCCATAGCCAAAGAACTCTTCTGGATATTAACTATCTCAAAGTCAAAAAACATATATTCATACACTCAAAAAAGTAGTAAACAGGAAAAGCTTCTTGGGGCATCCTGCACATCCTAAGACTGATCAGGAATAGTTCCTGTCACGTGTTTTCTAGTGATTTATAAAGCATTAAAAAATGCTTCAAGCTGGAGTTATATGCGTATTGTTTAAGCTTTTCTATTTACTTAATAGTTGTTTTTATATTATGTTCCCAGAGAGGTACTGGCCTAGCAGACACATTAGAAATAAATGCAGAAAAATGCAGACAAGATAAATGTAACAATGGAATTTCAAGCATATCCATCAAAAGACCTATCTGCAGTCCAGTACATCATGCTGTCAGGAAATTTTGCCTCTGGCTTATCTTCAAGTTTTCCACTTCTTAATCTTCATCCCTTTTTACACACTTTTTTATATTAAAGTATTCTTCTACCTCCTTGAGATGAATGTAAGAATACCTATCAGTTACTGAACATGGAACCAGCTGCCTCAGACTTGCAGCTTCATTGATCACCAGAACCAATTTGGTTGAGCCCTGGAAAATGTAATGGTCCACTGCACTCCCTTACTGTTCTGTGGGGGACTTGTTCAAAGTTGTGGGCCTAGTATAAAAGGATCTTCTTTTCTGGCAAGGATGACAGCACGGTACTCCTCTTAGAACGACTGGACTCTCACCTCCTAGGAAGGTTATTAGTGTGTAGATTATTTAAGACTGATGGTCACCCATTCCCCCTTTCCCTCCAGTACCCTGGGTTAGGTCATTTGGATGCTCAGTTAAGTCATCTCTAGAGGCGTGGTAGAGAAGAGGGGGAAGCAACGTTAATATGAATTAACTATCTTGATTTTGCCAATTTGCTATTACTAAGAATCTGTTAATAGAATGTGGACATTTTAAGCAAAATCTATTTGGGTTAATACCCAAATGTCCAAAATTTAAACCCAAAGAGTAACTCCACAAAACAAAAAAATGTAAGTCAAGGTAGGTATTCAAAGGTGCATCCAAAGAAATAGCTGGAACTGGCAGAAGTCATGGCAGCCCATCTGAAGCTGGGAATGAAATGTTACTGACAAACTGCACAGAGGATAAAAGACACAGGAAAATACCAATGGAATGAGAAAGGAAAGTCATGTGATATTACATGGCACTGAAGAGACAGAGACAGTGAATACTTTTTAAGCATCTGTTTTATGAAATCAAACCACACCATAGCCACACTGTGATTTCTGCAAAAAGGTGGATCCCTGTACGAGAGTAACTGGAGTTCAGCCCACCCTCTACTCTCTAAGCTGTCCCCGCAGGCATGGCTCTGCATGTGCCTAGAGTGAGTACTTTTTTCAAATTCGTACAAGGGTGCCATATGGGGTAGCAGTGAAACTACATCTTGGGATGCAGACTTCAGTTGGAAACATAAGAAAGAATAAGCCAGTGTTTTGAAATGATCTAAAAGACACCTGATAGGTTTCTATATCGGAGAAAGCCACACATAAGGCTCATAGATGTAATGGACAATTCCTCAAGGTGAAAATAACATGAAGAGCTATCCTGGACTCCTCCAATGACAATTCAGTGACTCCTTTTGGTACTGTTTCCCAGAGATGTTTTCTTCTTGGAGCTGGTTCTTGGTAGTAGATTGTCCTGTGGATATGACATCAGGATGGGGCATATGGCATGAATACCTCAGAAGAGATCTAGTGATGGAACACTAATAGACATTTTTTAGACCAGGCACGATGGCTCACGCCTGTATTCCCAGCACTTTGAGAGGCCAAGGTGGGTGGCTCACCTGAGGTCAGGAGTTCGAGACCAGCCTGGCCAACATGGTGAAACCCTGTCTCTACTAAAAATACAAAAATTAGCTGGGTGTGGTGGTGGGTGCCTGTAATCCCAACTACTCAGGAGCCTGAGGCAGGAGAATTGCTTGAACCTGGGAGGTGGAGGTTGCAATGAGCCGAGATTGTACCACTGCACTCCAGCCTGAGCAACAAAAACAAGACTCCGTCTCAAAAACAACAACAATAACAACAACAAACAACCAAAACATTTTTTTTTAATTATACTTTAAGTTTTAGGGTACATGTGCACATTGTGCAGGTTAGTTACATATGTATACATGTGCCGTGCTGGTGCGCTGCACCCACTAACTCGTCATCTAGCATTAGGTATCTCTCCCAATGCTATCCCTCCCCCCTCCCCCCACCCCACAACAGTCCCCAGAGTGTGATATTCCCCTTCCTGTGTCCATGTGATCTCATTGTTCAATTCCCACCTATGAGTGAGAATATGCGGTGTTTGGTTTTTTGTTCTTGCGATAGTTTACTGAGAATGATGATTTCCAATTTCATCCTTGTCCCTACAAAGGACGTGAACTCATCATTTTTTATGGCTGCATAGTATTCCATGGTGTATATGTGCCACATTTTCTTAATCCAGTCTAACATTGTTGGACATTTGGGTTGGTTCCAAGTCTTTGCTATTGTGAATAATGCCGCAATAAACATACGTGTGCATGTGTCTTTATAGCAGCATGATTCATAGTCATTTGGGTATATAGCCAGTAATGGGATGGCTGGGTCAAATGGTATTTCTAGTTCTAGATCCCTGAGGAATCGCCACACTGACTTCCACAATGGTTGAACTAGTTTATAGTCCCACCAACAGTGTAAAAGTGTTCCTGTTTCTCCACATCCTCTCCAAAACATTTTTTAAAAAGCATGTTGCAGGGGGATGAATAAAGACAATTATTTCAAATTCTCAACATTGTGTTCAACCCTAGGCTCCATAAGTGCCAGGAAATAGTGAACTGATGTAGAGGAGAGTATAACGAAAGGGAAGAGCAAGGGTAACCAACACTTCTTAGAGCACTGGTGACACATCAGGAACACTACACACATCAGCTGTGATGGGGACCCTGAGAGACAGGTCCCATGAACCCCACCTGACAGATGAGGGAACTTACGTTCAGAGAAGTCATGAGCTCTGAGTGGGGTCAAACAGCTAGTGAGTAACACGGCCCAGATTCAAACCTAGGTCTAACTACACAGTCCATATTCTTTCAATTACACCCTGCTGCTTATTAAAAGGCTGAATAATACACCTTATGAGAAAAGGATAAAGGAAGTTCTATAACTCATGCTTGATAAAAATGACTGAAAAGTGATATAATGTTTTTGAAGTACTGTCTAGGAAGGACTAACCTAAAGGATGGTAACCAGCTGTTTTGAAATGGGCTCTGAAGAAATAAGATTAGAAAATGGGCTTCAACTGCAACAAGAAGGCAAGTTTCCTTACCAGAAGGATTGCACTTATTGGACTCAGTGGCTGAGGAAGACTGGGGGATCTTCTTCCTGTGCAGAAGTCAAGATGACTGACCCCGGAGAAAAGCGGAGAAGTGAAGTTTGTTTAAAATGGGGAAGACCACTGAAGGAGTTGACCAGAGAAAAGGAAGGAGAGGCAAACTGCCGCAGAATGGTACAAAATGGCAGAAGGAAAAAATAGCACAAAATGGTGGAAGGAATGGAGGAACAGAAGAACTGTTGTGTGGAGAACTACACAGAAAACAAGAGACTCATGATTATAAGTAATTAATTAAAACCTTTTTGTTTTAATAACGTCTAGTGTAACTGTGCTTGTGAAGCAAATTCCTACCACATCTCCTCTGAAGGTGTTTTCAAACAATAGAGATTTTTTATCTGAATGGAAGAATTTAAGAGTGGTCCTGCCTCAGAGCAGGGGCACAGAAGTGCTAAAGGACTGCTTTGAGAGTTTTTGTCAACCCTAAAACAGTTTCTATTTTAACTTTATATTTATATAGATGAATAACGTTCTCATTTTAGAAACTAAAATGCCCCATTTGGCATGATCATCCTATGAGAATCCACATTTTAGACTTGTGAAAACTGTGGGCCAGAGAGGAAGAGGGACTCATCCAGTAAATAGCTGATGGAGCTATGGCATGACGTTAAATCCAGGAATAGATTCCAAATCCAGGATTCTTTCCAGAATCAAAACCTATGCTTTCAATCACATTCTGAGTGTTGGCTGTCTGTGAACAATACCTCCTCAGGTTGTTCCTTTAACTTCAATGTGAATCACTTATAACTGCTAAATAAAACTGATAATTCAGCATGAACAGGACAATGCAAAGGACCCAAGTATCTAAGACTCCCCTGACACTCTACAGATTGGAGGAAATGATTTTCAGAAGGGTTCTAGACAGAGCAGGAGCAGGAAGCAAGGTCTAGAAGCTTTTGTTCTTTATTTTGCTGAGGCCCACCATGAAGAGTGCTCCCAGGGGACATTCTTTCTTTCATTTGCATATTCATTCATTTATTTAAATTTAAAATAGATGAGGTCACACTTTTTGGCCTATTTTTGCAGCACTGAAAATTTTTAAAGCTGTGCACTTAATGGAGAAATAAATGACAGAATATAAAAATATATCAAGTTCACTTTAACATAAAAAATTTGATTAGCTTACCAAAATAATATGCATAAATTTAAAAATTTAATATTTATCATTTACCTGAAGAATCATTCTGTGAAGTATGGTAAGGGTTGCAAACTATTGGGTGTTTGGGGATTGTAAAGAGAACATAAACAGAAAGACTAGTGGAAAGATATAGTTAATACAGTATCTAAATCAGGGATCACCAGCCTGAAGCTCTGACACTAGAACTTCCATACAACGTATTATCTATAAGTGTAGATATGGCCAGATCCATAGAGAGTAGACTTTTAGTATAGAGATGCCACTATCATAGTTTCATTTCTGTTTGGCCATGCTTGTAACATAATTTTTAGAATGGAATTGTTAATAAACATACAGTTAAATGTGGTGAACCCCACATCTTGGAGATTCAACAATACTGATCATTTACCATGGTAAGTTCTTATTTCTACACGGATGCTCTGGTTCTGTGTGTGCATAAGGGGCACTTAGAGAATAAAGGATCTCATCATCTCAGGTATGACAAGAAAGACCAAAAGGGGCCCCAAATGTAATTCCGTTTGGTATTGATGAAAATTCTAATGACCGAATGCTCATTAGGAGGATTGGCTTTTGGAATAAGCCGTGTTTGTGGAATCGAACATGCTAAGAGAATAGAAGGAATGGACAACTTAGAGCATATGACCCGGCTTTGCTTCCTGGATCTTAATCTTGCTGTCATCACACAGCTTTCCCTGGAGTCCTGCCAAGCAATGTGCCAGCAGAGAAGCTGCTCTGTTGAGTAGAGGATGTGGATGCTAATTACCCTATCACCTGTTTCCAGGGAAGACTGAAAGCATATTAAGGTTTTTAGAAGGCTGATCCTCTCAACAACCAGCCCATTATTAAGCTATCTTCTTATCTAAAAACTAACTTTAAAGTCAAGTGGTAGAGATGGTTCATCTGTTATCCCAAACTTTGAATATCTGTTTTTCTAACAACAAAGACCAGCTGCTCCCTACCTCCAACACTTGAGTCTAGAGGCATCTTCTAAAATTTGCTTGTACTTTAAATGCTAATGTAAGTCATCAAAGTATACCAATTGAGTTGGATACATGGAGTGTCGTTTTGAAATAAATAGTTCTATTGTTCGATATCAGCTTTTAAGCTTAGAAAATGTCCTCTGCATATCTGAAGGCTTATTTCTTAATATTGTTCCTCTCAAAGATCTTGCCCATTGCTGCAGAATCTGTGGGGGCTCTAGTGCTGAAAGGATAAAGGTGAATAGAGAATGGGGTGGAAGGAAGCTAAACACCACCTCTCTTAACCACTGGCATTCAGTGACTACTAATTGCTACTACTAACTGGTCTATACAGTTCAAAAACTTGAGTTGAATTTGCGCCTTTGAATTCAGTCAACGCTTGGAACAAAGGGTATTTAGCCCCCTTTTTTTTATAAGTCAAAAGGACACATATAAGAAACCAAAAGAAAACTATGGATATGTGCATTTCAGTTTCAGTTGGACAGTACTCCAAGAACTAATAAGATGTTTTAAAAAGAAAAAAAGGAGAAAACTGTAAAAAGTGTCTGAGGACCTAGTACCCCAAGTTCCTACCAGAAGATGTCATGAAAACTCAGGGACCACAGACACCGAACAGAGAGAAATGCATGCAGGAGCAAAGGAAAAACAGCAAAATCTTATGTAGAATTATCAACTACATGCGTTCATATTCATGGCTAAAGATACAGAACATCTTACTCAATAATCTATAACATTGGGACAACAGAATCTATGTGGTAGGTGTGAGGAGTGAGTACGGTGTAAAGATTTTTAAGTGAGATATAAAAGATTTAATGCAGTACCTCGGTCAGCAGTGACTATTGTTCATGACTGCAATATTAGTCTTTGAGAGAATACTTGGATTATTGAACAAAAAAGAAAAAGACCTGGAGAAGGTATCTGCTCTTGGTGATGGGGACCTGTTTCATGAGAATGGTTAGGCAATGACTGAATTAAGAGACTGAGCAGAGGCCTCTTCCCCTGACTAAGGGCAGAGAAAGGAGCATGTTTTCAGCTGTGGCTGAGTAAAAATGAGTGTAAGAACCACCTGGAACACAAAGAGGGGAGGTGGACAGGAGCCTCGTCTTCATTGCTTTGGTCTTTAGCTCCTCTAGTTTTCTTCTCTAGTGTATGCTCTCTCTCCTTCCTTCCTCTCTACCTCTTTTCAATATATCCTCTTTTGTGCTGTTAGCTTTATTTGCCCTTTTTACTGGTCCTAGTGAAAGTATTCTGTACATTCAACATCCAAGACGATGTGCATGCAGCCATCTCCTAAGAGAGGACTACGTGAGCCAAATAGGTCACCGAGGGTGTGAATGTGGAAGCCAGAGGTCTCCACCTGAACAGCTGGGTTTGCATGTGTTTACTCCTACAGGCTTAAAATGTAACATCTTGGTCCTCTAAGCAGGGTATAAAACTATGTTCAATGGATTTACAGAGATGAGGTTATATCTCCATATTCATGCCCGTGGATGTGCTACTCCTACATTCACATCTATATAGGCAAAAAAGAGGCAAAGACATCAGGTTTGAGGCTTGATGGTTTTTGGTTAAATTAGGTCAAAGTTCCCTGTTTTTCTTCATCATCCCTTTTTTTTCTTTGTTGGTTGGTTGGTTTCTAAATAGACTCCTTCAGATAATGACATCTCTTTCCCACTTCACCCTTAGCTTTAGATATTTTTCATTCTCAAGTTAGCCTGAGAGAATAATAGCATTTCTAACTTTGTCTTCCCTATGACTGAAAAATTCAAAATATGCCTGTAAAAAGATTAAATGGAAATTAGGGATGCTAAATATTCCACATTACAGGAATAAATCAGAGATTAAAAAAAAAAGAAGGCAATCCATAGTTTAAATTTCCTGCCTGCAGGGCACACTACACCTTATATCCTTTTAAATTCCACAGGTAATATAATTTATATTAAATGGGGCAGTTCCCAGCAGAAATTTGTGCTGGCGCCAGACAAAACAATTACTTTGATGTGCACTTTTGAAAGTATTGTGGCTCCCAGGTATGGGACTTACATACAAACAGTAGAGATTTAGATGTACTTTCTGTTATTAAAATTATTACATTGCTAATGTGTGATTATTGAGCATAATAAGCAAATTAAAGGTAATCTATTTACTTTAAAAAAATTAGATCAACAGTTAGAAAGTAAGAAAAATTAAAGTCAGACAGTCTCATAGTTTGCTAAGCTACAATTTCCTAGAAAAGAAAGCAAAACAAATCTTCTGCCAGCGGATGTGTTCAGAAGTAAGCCTTTTTAAGATGATGGTAGGATATATGTTGTAAAGGTAATTATAGTGGAATTCAGGTCGGGCCAAAGTAGATGAAGATTAGAGTTTTGTAACAAAAAAAGCCTTTTGCTGTAGTTGACCACATTGCAGAAACTCCTCAGTCTATATGGGAGTTGGGTTGCAAAAGTCTGTTTGTGAATTGACTATCAGGAAAGCAGAATAAACGTTCTTACTAAAATTACAATGGTTAAAAACATAGGCATCTATTAAGTCCCCATTAGATGCCAAGGAAGACATTAAGGATGAAAGTTCCTTCAAGGAAGAAATAGATGCATAAACAAATAATTTTAACACTGTGCACTAAAATGGCTGTGGATGAACGAAGAGAGGACCATCTAATTCTACTTCCCAGCAACAACTGGAGACATATGAAACTCATTTTGAAAATGTAGAAAGGGTAATAACAAAGAGAAAGGCAAAGGAAAAAAAAGAAAGGATGTGAAGGGAAATATCTGGAAGACAACTGAATGAGACTTTGAAGAGATTAGGAAAAATCTAGAGATGTTGGAATGTATGAGTAAGAAATCACACTGAGTAGAACAGACAGACTGGAGAATAGAACTACAATATGTGTGTGAGATATGCCGAGCTAAGGAGAACAACTCATGCCAACAGTTCCCCGTACCTGTTCCCAAGCAGGAAGGGGAAACCCAGCCTGTATACAGGCTGCCCTTCGCATGTAATGGCTGTTTGACAGTCAGGTACAAGTAAAGTAAAGTGTGCTTTTCATGCAATACCATAACTCACCATGAAAATAAATTAATCTTCAACAAAATTATACCAAATTTAGGCAAATTCTTGGTACACTTGATTGTCTAATTTGGCCTTCTTTTCTCCACAAAGAGTGTGTGGTTTCCTCTAAATGCTTAATTGGCAGACTCTACGGATATCTCAATTTTATTTAAAGGACAAAGATTTGAGTAATTAAGTGTAAAAAGAGAGTCAAGCTACCTTTGTAATGGTTGAAAAGCAATGGTACAGCTGAAATGGACTGCCAAAATGAAACTTAGGTCACACAGTCGTTGAAACCACCCAGAAGCAGTAGAAGGACTGGAAATTATGTTGGAAACCCAATTACATCATTACTATCCAGTGCAGCTGCTTAATCCCATGTCTACCACTTCCCAGAACCATGCGGCCACAACAGGATTGTTACCTAGAAACATCCTTACTTGAAAAATTAAGCACTTGTCCAATAATTTCCTGTTAATCACCAATTTCCCTAAACGTTGGCTTGTGTGCCTTGTAAGTGGCCACCCTATCTTTCGGTTCCCTATTCTCAAATCGCTGTCATTGATGAAGAACTCCCCAAAGAATAGGCCTCCTAGGTCCCTCCAAAGAGGGGCATAGACTCCTCTCTGAATTGCTCTTTTATGCTAGTTAATTGATTGTTGAGTGATCCCCTAACTTTGCACAAACGCTGAGAGGCCCAGAACTCTCAGCATATGACTATCAGAGCACTTTACCCCCCACCTTTTTTTTTTTTTTTTTTTTGAGACGGAATCTCTCACTCTGTTGTCCAGGCTGGAGTGTAGTGGCATGATCTTGGTTCGCTGCAACCTCTGCCTCCCTGGTTCAAGCTATTCTCCTGCCTCAGCTTCCTGAGTAGCTGGGATTACAGGCATGCATCACCACACCTGGCTCATTTTTGTATTTTTTGTTTGTTTGTTTTTAGTAGAGATGGGTTTTCACCATGTTGGCCAGGCTGGTCTCGAACTCCTGACCTCGTGATCCGCCTGCCTCGGCCTCCCAAAGTGCTGGGATTACAGGTGTGAGCCACCGCACCCAGCAACCCCTTTTAATTGAAGTTAACAGTTCACATGCTTGGCTCCCACTCGTTTTCAGGTACAGGGAATGCCCATACACCTTTGGAGTCAAATGCTAGCCTTGCACAGGTCCTGGCACACTGGAGGTGATCAGTAATTGGAAAAGAAACCCATTTCCACAGGGTCTTGATCTTTAATGTTTGTAGCAATTAGGACACTATATTTGACGTTGAACCTCCAGAATAACTATTAGACAATAACATCAGCTTCTAGACTTGTAATATCTTATAAGCATGGTTTCTGCCCTCAAAGAACGTACAATCTAAACAAAGAATAATAAAAAAACTTAAAATCCTTACTCTACAGAACTTAATGTTTAGCATAATTTGTTATTTTTAACCTTTTTCTTTATGATCTTCTTCTCTAATGCCCTGTTTCTTTCCCCCTCTACCCTTCTAGTGGGTACCACCAGCCCTAATCAGCATCAAACAAAAATATCCCCAAGAGTATTCTATGAGTTGAACTAACTCACCACCCGGATTCTAAATGCTGATGATAGGGAAGACTAGAGAGTCACCTTCTTGCTGAAGTATGGGAAGTGAAACAACATACTAGCAAGACACTTGTGCTTAGCTTTTTCCTTCTAAAGCTACAGAGCCCATGAATAAACACAAAGATGTACCTACACACTTATTAATGAATGTTGCTGGGCTACTGTGGACCCATTTCTGTAGAAATCAACCTTCAAGAGCTCACATAAAATGGCAACAAATCTGTATGCCCATAAGATGCTATCATCGGAGGCACTGACCCCCCAAGTGACCCCTGACAGTCCCCTCACCTCTCCCACAAGACTTCCAAAGGATCGCCCCTCCAAGCCATTGTTATGTGTGACCTCATGGCAACTTCCCGACATGAGTTTAGCTGCAGGCTGATGTCTAAAAGTTCACGCACTATAAAAACTGGTTTATTGGATGCAAAAGAGAATTAGGACTTCAAAGACTCTTACTCTGTCAAATTAAATTAACATATGGAACAGCAACTAAGCTATGATTGGTATTCATAGCATCAGCTCTTTGGTAAGGCTCTGGCTGGTTTTTAATGCAGCTTGTTCGCTGTTTTAAGTGAACTATTGCTGATCTAATCTGGTTACTTAGAAGAATATTTAATGACTTGGGAAACAATATCATGTGAAGTGTAAAGAATACAAAATTACACAAGGTATAATACATATTTTCTAAATGAGACTCTATATTTAGCTTTTAAAATTGTTTACTTCATAGATAAAAAATTTACACTAAAATATTAACTCTGATTTCTTCTGAGTAGTAAGATTCAACAATTTTATTTTATTCCTTCAGCTTTTATGAGTCATCTAAAATTTCTAAAGAGAATGTATTAGTTTAAGAATATATGTGTTTTTAAGGAAAGTATTTTTTAAAGAAAAATATTCCTTATGTAAGTAGAAGCGTGCAAAGAGTACTGTGCATATACAGGGCAGGCATTGTCATGCACACTGTGTCGCTATTCTCAGAAGAAGTGGAGTTGAGTGATGACATGTCTGTGCTGTGGAGTTAGTGTCCACACACAGGTTTGGACATGAGGTATTTTATTTGTCTTCTGCTTTTTCTTTCTATTCCTCAACCTATAAAACTGTAATAATGAACAATCAAAATATTTGAATATTGGTAATTTTTTTTTCCATTTTCTTTTTCTTCTGGAAGAGAGCTTGGTTTCAAAATACAATGGAATCCCATACAAGAAGCTTGATAAACACGTAAACAAAATTAAGCAGAATAAAGCATGAGAAATAGACAATATTCAATTTTTTTACCTACAAAAACGGCAATTTCATTTGGTTTAACTGACTATATCAATATTGTTAATTATACAGAAAAATGCCCATTTTAGTATTTATCCTTATTTTCTATTATGTGTGTGTGTGTGTGTGTGTGTGATAAAGTCAATTCATTATAACCTACTCCCAAAATAATCAGAAAGCCACACCTCTAAGAAATAAAAATTAGGACATGCATTTCAAAGACTGATATAAATGACTTTCTATTTATCTGCAATTAAAATAAACTTTTTTTTTTTTGAGATGGAGTCTTGCTCTGTTGTCCAGGCTGGAGTGCAGTGGCGCGATCTTGACTCACTGCAACCTCTGCCTCTCAGGTTCAAGCAATTCTCGTGCCTCAGCCTCCCAAGTAGCTGGGATTACAGGCACCCACCACCATGCCCAGCTAAATTTTGTATTTTTAGTAGAGATGGGGTTTCACCATGTTGGCCAGGCTGCTTTTGAACTCCTGACCTCAGGTGATCTGCCCACCTCGGCCTCCCAAAGTGAAAAAAATTTTCACTCTATACAGTTTCACTCTATAATTTACCTAACCAAAAGCTGACTTGGCTGTAGAGTTATATATATGTAGGATGTTTAAGAGTTTTAAAATAAGTAATTAGTATCATCAAACTAGCCAGAAATTTAATCCTCAAAATGTCAAAAACAATTATTTGAATCAATTAATAAACACATCATTCAGAATCATCAAATCAACCAGTTGTGCATATCAGAACCATTCTCTTGCACCTTGTTTTATTCATTTATAAAACAGTAATTCTTTAGTTGTAAAGTTGCAGCAAAAAAATCAGTTAAAGAACAATTGCTAAGGAACTGGAGAAGGTGGCTTGCACTGTCTTGATTCTGAATGCTTTCTACTGTGGAAAAACAAGATAGGTCCCAGTTCTATGTGGTAAGGGCATACTGATAATTGTGTAGTGCTTCATATTAGAAGTCATTTAAAAATGAATTGCTCTGCAGCTTCAATTGTTTGATGAGTCTATAATCTAGAGGTAGACTGGGTGACTGCGGTGCTTTGGTCACTCAACGAGCCAAGGAACACACTGGGTGGAAGCAGTATGCCCAGATTCTAGGCCCAGCCTCTCAACCCATGAGTTAATTCTATGACGTTGAACAGATCTGTCAGACGTCCCTGGCCCAGGGCCTCTGGAAAATGAAGCTAATGATTTAAAGTTCTCTCTGATTAACTAGTGCTTTACAAATTACTGTACAAATTCAAGATATTATCATTACTGCTCATGGATCGCTACGCGATGTGTTTGGTTTTGTTATTTACTACTATATACTGACAAATATAACCCCACTTCCCCCAAATAAAACATTACCTCTTTATCTCCACTAGGAAATCAAGTGGCTCTAGGCCGTTATCATGAATGTAAATTTGCCAGTGTTGGGTCTTATTTCATTCCAGCAACAAAAATGGATGTTATCTGTTATCTGCTAGTTATTCACAGAAGCCTTACTTCTCACCAATCAAAAAGCCAAAAGACGTGGCATAACTCTGAGTTCAGAAATTCTGTGATCAAATCCCTATTCTTCCTCAGAATGAAGAAGCACTACTCTTGGAACACAAACAGCCTCTGTAGGTCCACGGATACAGTGTTTGACACGCCTGTCAGAAGCATTTTGCTAACATTTAACCTAAAAAAAAATACTCACTGTGATTTCTCGAACCTTTTACCTTGGATCCTTCTCACAGTGGCTCCTGTTTACCAGAGACCCTTGCTCTGCCCCCACCTCCCCGGCGATGTCTCAGTATGTTCATTCTGCTCTTGTGACTACAGTCTTTTTGGCTTTCCCTAGAAGGTAATTTTTTCCCCACTCAGATCCTTTTACTGTGAGCCTATGCATTTCTCCAAAGTTTCCTAATAGTCTGCAATTTATGTTACTCAAACTGATGGCTGAAAAATCAATTGATTTAAAATCCTACATGTCCCTTTATTTTCTAGCATACATTGGCCATATATACATTTAACTTTATGGCATTTGTTTTTAGGAAATGCTTTAGTGAAGTGACACAAGTTTCAGTCTTTTCAATCAGCAAAGCCATTAGTTCCAAATTGTATATTTGGTGGAGAATATATTTATGTGTATATAAACACATTCTAAACCAAGAGACAATGAAATATAAAGCAGCTGAAGGGAAATGGTATTCCCAGTGACATCTCATATCCTGGTGCTTGTTTCTTTAAAAAAACAAACAAACCAAAACAAACAAACAAACAAACTAGGGCAACATTTAGACCAATATATACGAATAATGTATTCTCTTTCTTCTTTTAGATCCTACTTCAGCTTGCTTTATTTTCTTTCTAATACTACTACTTGGTTTATATAACTATCTCACTCTACAAAATTTAGATATAAAATTTTGAATTAGTACTGGTAAGTACTAATTAGTACATTGATATTTTGTATGGGACAAGAGGAGAGTGAGGAAGTTGGAATTATCTTAGGCCACACCGTGAGTTTCACAATTAAATCCTGTAGTATCAGCAGGTCAAAAATTTGGTTGTATCAGAGATGACTAATGACATCAGAATATAGTTCTCTACTTTCTTCTGAATGTAAAAAGATACCAAAACATACTGTCTGTTCCATTTCCTCATTTCTGGGCAGCTGTTTTCTCAGACTCTGCTATCTATTGCAGAAAATGGATCTGGCCATCCAGCTGTCACTTAGTTTTATTCTCACACTTGATGAAAGCATTTCCCCAGGCTCAGTGTGTGTCCAGTAATTTAAAGGAATATAATTTTTGGTTGTTTTCTTTTTCAAGGGCTCTTGGGGTAAAACATTTTTTCAGAAAAGACAGAGAATTTTTGAGTCAGAAAAACCTGAACTCAAATCTCATCTTCATCATTTATTACCAGTATAATGTCTCATTTTTGTGTAAAATGAAGATATTATAATTGAGCTCACAGAGATTTTCAAAAGATTAGTTTTGAGGAATGTGCCTGGTATAGAATGTAGCACATAACAGGTGTTCGATATTGTTTGTTTATTACTATCTATGGAAGACAAATTAAGATGATCAACGGTCTTCACAAATTCACGTCAGTTCTCTTAAGAAACTGAAAATGGCTCTTTAGCTATTTATTTGGAAAGAAAAAAAAAACTCTTAAAAGTAGGATGATCCATATTACAGCAAACATTTAAGCTCAACCTGGGAAACAGGAACCAAGTCCTCCTTATATTGGTGCAGAGCCCAGGACAAAGTTTGCTACATAGTCGTTTCTCAGAGAATAAACTAAGGAAAGTCTTTACAAAGTAAGTTAATCAACACCATCCATTTTTATTATATTTGAAAAACATTCCTATGGTTCTCACATAAAACACTTCGTTTTCACATACTTCAGAATATTAAGTTGGTGGAGATCGTGTTTCTTAGGTTTGTGTGTGTGTGTTTTATTTTGTTTGAAAAGTTCTGCTTGTGTCCTTCGAATAACAAGGATCTAAAAATAGGACTCAACAGAAAATTGTGGGGGATTTATAGATTCATGTCATAAGGCATCCATTGTCTTCCATTATCTAGTAAATGTTTAACGTCAGGATCTCTGGGAGAAAAAACAATGTGTGCATATATACATATTCATAAGTGTATTATAAAATTAGTGATTTAAGGAATGTTTAGTAAATAATTGACAAGTGATAATAAAATATGTAATACTCTGTTTTCAAATTCCATACACCTGTAATTTGTTTCACTTGCTATTTCTTGCAAAATTCAGTATCAGTTTTTGTAATTCTATCACCAACAACAGTGTCACAAAATCAGACAACAAATAAACGCTTGGTGACTATTCATTTCAGCAAAGAAACAGCTCATGTCATTAACAAATAAGTGCAGTTTCAACATGAACATTGGTTGATATTTTTCTTTATATCAATAAGTAAAACCAAAGTGAAACAGTGAAGTCAAAGGTTTACTCATTCATCAATAATGTGAGTGACTTCTTTGTTAAACCGGATGATAGTTTTTGAATATCCAAAGAATATTTCCTTAAATGTTTTATGCTATTTATAATGTAAAGGCTGCCGAAATTATTGTTTAACCTGCATTATTAAAATGTTCTCAATAATTTTTTAAAGTCTAGTTAATAATCAAAACAACCTGTCAAGTCCTGCTTGTAGCATTTGCCAATTTCTGTGGTGTAAATGCTCCTACCATGGTCAATTTCAGCTGCCAACGTGTCATCACTAAACACAGAGCTGGAAAGAAATGGGAGGTGGCATACCACACATAATATGTGGAGTATTTCTCCACATAGATACAACAAACATAAATAACATCAAGAGCATAAATAATAGTAAAGTCCAGAAGAATAACTTGGAAATGATGAGCTTTACACATTGCCTGTTTTTAAACATAATTTATTTAATTATACATTTATATATGTTAATTTTTAGTAAGGGCTATGTTTAACAACCAGCTCTCAAACTTTCTAAAAATGTAACAGTTGGCTCCAACGTGCCTCCAGCACACCACAAAATCTCCCTTCAAAACAATGGCCTGTTTGGGTATATTTAGCTTTATTAACCGAATTGAGTGAGTGTTCAGTAATTACCAGCGCTTGTACTACAAAAATTGGGCTCATTTTGTTCCTAGTGGTCTTTTAGAGAACAAGAAAAAATAAAATTGTCCCTGTGGTCTCCATACCCCGCTCTATGCATTCACTGCAGTCCACAGTGCTGGTCAGTCTCCTTTGATATACTTGGTCCTTGGCTAGAGGCTGCTGTGAGCTTGCTGTGGCTACTAAGAGGAAAACTTAATGACACTTGTCTGGTTTCTACCTGAACCAGGTTCAAGATTTAGGTCTGGTTAAGTTCTGCTCTCTGGCATTCAGCTATGCTGTGACCTAGGAACAGATTCTACCTTGCTTGAAAACACCCTGAAAAGGAGTCCAGGGGAGAAGTAAAACTAAAAACAAGCTCCTTGGAATAGTAGCGTGCCATTTAGTCATGTAAGATCTAGTATTTTCTTAACAAAATCTTCATGTACAAATTTAGAGTGCATTAAGGCCCTCCTAGAGAATGCAGAGAGGCTGATAATTAGTGGCCTTTCTCTCTAATAGAGATGTAGCTATGACTGAAATAATCCAAGGAGACCTCAATTCGAACAAATCGTTTTCACTGACTACAGAGTAAACATGACCTAATTTGCTTACAGCAGTTAGAAGAGTAATGTAAATTACATATACAAGATAATCTAAAATAATGAAGTCGTTATAAGTATTAAAATATTACCCTATCCGTAAAGATTTTAAAAGTACAAAATATTCAGATGATTGAGACGAAAGGTTTCCCTCCTCTTTTGATTTTATTATTTGCTTAAATTCCCTGCATAGTTGCCTTAGTGTCTAACTTGAATAGTAGAAAAACCCCAAGTGTCAGGAAACTACTCAGGTAGCAAAAGTGCCAGCAGGTAAAATGTGATCCAGTAGTTTGGAACTAAAAATATCAGCTTTCCTAAGATGCAGTGGGATATCTATAAATTAAAATGAAAACTATCCAGAGATAAAAGAGCTTCAATTATCTTCATAAAAATAACACAACCTGGGAAATAATCACTTTCTTCCTCAGAATATAAGATCCTGAAGGGTGCAGACCATGATAAAATGTCTAGAATGCAGAGCACAGTCTAGAGTGAGTTAGGCTTTTCCTTAACCAGCATTCGGAAAGCTGGTCAGAACGTTTCCAGTTCCTTTCCCAGGCCAAAATTCCTCTCATCCAGAGATAAACTTGATTCAAACCCTCATCCCCCTCTACTCCAGCCTTCTGCAATTCAGAAAACATCCTGCAATTATCATATCACAAGGCAGATTTTTCCAAAGTGCGTGTGTCCTGTGACAGATAATAAGGAAGAGAGCCAGTGAAGTAATGGAGTGAATACTGAATCAGGGAGAAGTAGGATCGGAAGTCATTATGGGAGAAAAAAGTTAAATGTAGGTACTATAGAGAATAAATAAACATTGGAAAGGACTTGCTCCCAAATGTGTCATAAACTACAAGCTATGAAATATAAGGATATTTGGAAACATTTGGATATTCAACTAAACTTTTAAGTTTTCATCTGTTCGGAAGCACGAGTTATAAACTGACCAGAAGGCAAAATAGGATGAACACAGTCAGTGCCACTTGCTAGGCATCGTTGGAAATTGACTCCATTGTCTTTTAACACCAGAACCTCCCTAAGCCCCAGTTTCCTCATCTTTTTTTTTTTTTTTTTTTTTTTTTTTTTGAGACGGAGTCTCGCTCTGTTGCCCAGGCTGGAGTGCCGTGGCACGATCTCCGCTTACTGCAAGCTCAGCCTCCCGGGTTCATGCCATTCTCCTGCCTCAGCCTCTCGAGTAGCTGGGATTACAGGCGCCCGCCACCACGCCCGGCTAATTTTTTGTATTTTTAGTAGAGACGGAGTTTCACTGTGTTATCCAGGATGGTCTCGATCTCCTGACCTTGTGACCTGCCTGCCTCGGCCTCCCAAAGTGCTGGGATTAAAGGCGTGAGCCACTGCGCCCGGCCTCCTCATCTTTAAAATGGGAATAATCGTAACATGATTTGGCAGGGAGGCTAGGAGGATTAAGGATAATGTGAATCATGCGCTGGACATAGTAGGTGCTCATTGTATAGTGGCTACCACCAGGATTATAGTACATACAAAGGATATTTAAGCCCTTAAGGGCTGTTGAATATGTACTATAACCATATGTTTGAAACATGTGAATATCAGATAACACCGATATTTTAAAATGCATGATGTTTTCTTCACTGGGAAAAAAAAAGATGCCTCGTTAGCACCTTTCCAGGACTGGGTAATGGGGCCCTGTGGGAAACACTAGCCACTGCAGATTTCCTTGAGGCTGGGAAGCTCCACCTTTCAAGTTGCAAAAGTCTCTGAAAGATCTGAACCCTGAGTTTATGATTTACAATATGTTATACTGAACAGATGATAACAAAAAGCATTAATCAAAAAGCAAAACCTGAAAAAAAAAATGAATAAAGTGCTGCTCTACCGAAGGTAATGACTTTCTCTCCTCAAACTTTTTCCCATCCGACTTACAGCACCTGGATATTTTAAAATGTATTGAGGTAGGGATTTGGGGGCTGTTAAACAGCATCACGACACCTTGGCTAGACAGAAGCCTGGTGTCCTGTTTGTTATTTAGTTGGAGGCTGAAACTCATATTAAAATACATACACTTAGCCAGGAAGTCAAGGCAAAATTAAAATGAAGAATTAGCATCAGTGGCTGGTGGAAACACGAGGGCACTGTGCTATCCCTTCCGATGGATGAATCATTTAACTTTTTTTTTTTTTTTTGAGATGGAGTTTTGCTCTTGTCATCCAGGCTGGAGTGCAATGGCGCGATCTCAGCTCACCGCAACCTCCACATCCCGGGTTCAAGTGATTTCTCCTGCCTCAGCCTCTCAAGTAGCTGGGATTACAACAGGGGCGTGCCACCATGCCCAGTCAATTTTTGTAATTTTAGTAGAGACAGGGTTTTACCACGTTGGCCAGGGTGGTCTCAAACACCTGACCTCAGGTGATCTGCCTGCCTTGGCCTCCCACAGTGCTGGGATTACAGGCGTGAGCCACCACGCCCGGCCTTTCTTCTTGCTTTAGGACAAATAATAAGCATTGCTTTTCACCCATCCTCCCTTAACCTAACATTCCTTTTGACTTTTAAATCGCTGCTCTGCATGCTTGCTCACTCTGTGCTCTCCCTGACCACTCCTTTTTGTCCTTTTGCCTAAGCCCCAGTATTCAGATGGAACATAAGAAAATGCATGGCAAGTAAGTAGAATTACCTCTATCAGGATGCCTAATGTACTATTTATTTCCAAATTACATCAGAGATTTCCATTTAAAATAAGAAACTTTTTCCTTAATTTTCTCAGAAACTTAAAAATAATGCCGTTAATATGATCACAAGTTCTCTAGTTTGTACTGTCAGTTTCTTTTCATCAAAAAAACAGTGTTATGCCACAGGGTGACTATGGTCAATAATAATTTAAGTGTACATTAAAAAATAACTAAGAGTGTAACTGAATTGTTTGCAACACAAAGGATAAATGCTTGAGGTGATGAATACCTCATTTACCCTGATGTGATTATTAAGCATTGTATGCCCGCATCAAAATCTCTCACATACACCACAAATATGCACACCTACATACCCACAAAAATAAAAACTTTAAAAAAATAGTGTTCATCACCTAAAATAATTCTAATTTCACTTCTTCACTATTGCAGGAATCAGGTTTCAACTAACCATTTTTGCATTCTTTTGAGAAGCAAATAGGATACAACAACAGTGACGAGTTACCCCATTCAGTCTGGCATTGATAACACAGCCAGGGATATACCACCACAGCAGCCACATGAAGTTGAATTCTTGTGTTAAGTATTTATTCCCCCAGACTCATTCATCTCAACTACCAGATACTTTCAGTAATTAAATGCCAGCATGTAAGAAAGATCTCAAAATCAGATTCTTCATGCAGTATTCTTCCAACGTTTAATCAATTAAGAAAACACAGACCTCCCCGCAGGCTGTGAAGCTACTGTAGATCAGATCAGTATATAGAATCATCTTATGTTCAACAAAGGCCTTGCCATTGGCCATTGACTTACGAGTAGCAGCAAAGGTCAGAAGATCTGCTTCTAGAAATGGCCATGCTGCACACGCACACAAATGTGCGTTCATAAAAAGAACAGGGAGAAGAGGAGGAAGAAGGAAAAAGCAGAGAGAGAGAAAGAGAAAGAGAGAGAAAGCACCACACTCCCCCTACAACAGCAGCTTTGTGATCCCTCTGGTAATGTTACCCAGTTTTGTTTATCATGAAAAGATCCCATTAATGCCTCAGCCCCATCAAACAGCAGACCAAGTCCATGAATGGCACCTATCAGAGCCCAGGGCAAATCCAATGATTAGAGGGAATTCGCCAAAGGGCCTTTGTAGCTGAGAAAAATGCCTACTCCAGAGAGGAATGCAGAAAATTCCTGGGAGCACAAGCCCTTCTTTGTTGGCAGTTGGGCGGTATTCTGGAGCAAATAAAGGGACAAAAATGGGATCTCAGATGCAATGAACATTTGAAGAAAATGGTTTTCAAAGACCTCCTTGAAACATTCCTTTTCAAAAACCCCAAAACCATTAGTCTGATAAGGATGAACTACAGAACTTCTACTCAAACCACCATTTTATAGTATTGCATAACCTTGGAGATTCTCAACAGGAATATAGTTTTATTTAGATCTCCTTTGTCCTGCTGAGTTTCCTGGTTAAACAGTAAGCCAAAGTTAAAACTTTACAGATAAGAAAACACACACATGCAAACGCACTCCTCACTCACTCTCCTCAACTTTACTGACAGAATAAACTGAGATTTAGCATAACACAGAAGCATCAGGCAAGGAAATAGGAAAGCATATAATACTGAATCGAGTGTACTAGCTGTCCTCAGAGCGGAACAAAGCATAAAGAATATGCTGAGCTATCACCATTATCCAAATATGCATACAACCAACCAGAAAGAAGTCTGCTAGGCAGACTATGTAGGACAAAGAAGGTAAGTTAAGGCATAGTAGACATCAGTAAGCTTTGCTTTCATCTACTTCTGTGCACAAGGAGGTATTTGTTTGCTGAAACCCCCTAACTAACATATGGCAAATATAACATGCCTATATTGTTTTTATTATACAAGAGCCGGGGTCTACCAGAGCATGCAAAAGGAATGCCAGGTCTACTATACTTCTTTAAGTATGTTTCCTAGAGAAACAAAATCTTTCAGTTTTGTCTGGTAGGAAAAAGTTGCCACAATAGAGAATGAATCAGAACCTTTAGGTACAAAGGCTTTTAAAAACCTAAAGCCTCAGGTAATCATAAGGAAGGCATTTTGATACATCTGAGTTTCTCATTTTTCTCAAAAGGTTTTTTTTTTCCCCTTCTTAAGGCCCAAACAATTTTAATGACTTTTCTGCACAATGTGCCCCTAAGTGTAATACCTTTCCTCATAAATCTTGTTATAGACTTGCTTTATGTTCCATTTTAATGTTTGCTGGGTTGAGGGAGGAGCAAAGCAATAATCATGTAATTCTAGTTGAAGGTTTTCCTCCCCTTTCTCCTAGGCTGAAATCTAATAAAATATTATTTACTTGCATCTTTGGAGAGCTATTCACTAACATTTTTCAAAACTGTAGTAAAGTGATTGCAAAGGTGGTTTCTTTATTGCTTTGCAAATGTTGTTCATTTTACAATTTGTTTTAAATGCTGTTTTACTGGTACCGGTGGATTTACATTATAAAGCTGTATTAGGGTGCTATTTGGGATATACACAACAAATGCAAACCTTTGGACCGTGCTTCTCCACACTCACTTCTTATTTGCCCATGTAATCATATAAAACACTTCTCCCAGACTTCCCTTCCAAATAATTGAGCATACATAATTGTGGGGTTATTGCATCACTGTTTATGGCCAACTTTGCCCTTTCTAAGAGTTACTCCAATAAGTCTCTACCTTGGGGTGTACTTCCATAAAGTTTATACATCTGTGCACCAAAAGGGAGAGGTCAGCTTTACTTTTGCACCATTAAAGGTAGTTTTGCAAACACTAATGAATGCAATACTTTCTCAAATACAAGATGGCTTGAAAAGCAATTGCCATACTTTCCTGATGCATTTTGCAAATTTCCACCTATGTCTGGACTGAAAAAGCTTTATTATTAGAGTTCTTATGAATAAAATGCTTAGATTTGACCATGTAAAAATGATCCATTTGAAAGAAATGTCCAGAGCAGAAATAAATTTAAGCGCAAAACAAAATAAATGCTCTCAATGACCCTGATTCAGGATTCCCTATAAATGGAGTGTACATCTCCACCACTATAGAGTTCTCTGAAATCTTGCCAGATGCATAAATCCTTGAAACATCTTCTAAAAGATAAGAATGAGCTTGGAAAATAGATCATCAAAGAAATATGCAGTGCCTATAAAATAAACCACACACATACACACACAATTTTCATTTACCAGATCCTCTTCCACAAATCTAGCAGATGGTAGAGTTTTAAAACTAAGTTTTTCAAACTGCAATCTGATTTTCTATTTAAAATAGAATCCTTAACACGTTAGAAAAAAATGCAGTGAATATCATACAAACACCAGAGGCATACAACCAGGCTCACGATAAGTTGGCCAACGGAAGAAATGTATAAAATTTAATCAGAACTGTGCATTCAAAACCATTATAATACCAATTGTTAGCTAGACAAGTTTTTACTCCCCTCTATGTATCATTTCTTTATAGTACTAAAGTCTACAAAAAAAGTGAATTAAAAAATATCATCACAAGCACTCTTCTTCAGCCAGTGACATTTTCAAGTGCTCTGAGCCATACCAAACACAAGAAGAAACAGCTACCCCATGAAGGCTATACTCTAAATACAGTGGGAAAGTCAAATATCAGTTTTGCCTTTTCTCCTCTTAGAGGATTCAAACTATCCTAACATCCTTCCCTTTCCATCCTTATCTCCCAAAATTACACCAATTAAACTTTGCAACTTCATTGCTTAACTCTTGGAATAAAGCTCATTTTGACCTCTTTACCAGTAGCCATTCACCCCCTGAAATGCAGGACAGCTCTAAACCTCGAAGGCTGCAGTCAAACACAAGAGGGTTCTCACCAGCCGCTACCTCTGAAACCCTACAATGTTTGCAAAGGATGAAAAATCTCTAACAAGGAGGTGGTTTCAAAAACCAGTCCTGTTCTGCATCCATTTGCAAATACTAATAGAGAGGTGGATTCAAATGCTACCTTAAAAAATTTCCACATTTGAAACTTGTACCCTCAGGAAGAAAAAGAAAACCACTTTGAAGAAACAAAAATTATAACAAATGAGGTGGTTTGTTCTTTTCGCATGTATCCATTTGGCCTTGTTGAATTCTGGAGTACCCTGTCATGGCATATCTTGTCATGAAACTAAATGCCTTAGGTTTTAGCTGTGACCACACTGGGGTGAGGAGACAGTAGATGTTGCTATGAACAAAATGGGTCTTGCTGCAGCCCTTAAAGGTCCTCCTGTACTAACAGCAATTCGAGAGTTGAGCTGTAATTTCACCCTCCTTCATGCAGGACCTTGTCTCCCCTTCCACAGGAAATGGGGGCTGAGTCAGTGGGGCATGACTATAATAGGAGCCTGTGACCGGGGTGCAGTGTAGCCATCAGTATAAATCTGTCATAGACACACTCGCAGAGGAAGAGGGACTTCCATACACTGCCGTCTTTACACTTTTTGATGCAGATACAGATTTATGACACACGGGAAGCAGAGAGTCTTTGAGCCAGAGGGGCCCTGTGAATCAAGGCCATTTTGTAGGTTTCCGCCGCTTGAAAGAGCTACACATTTATAATTGTGCTTGAAGTCAGCCCCCTTCCAGCCCCAGGAGGCAGCATCATTTGGTTGAAATAAAACTGAGGACTTTTCTCAACAGCTGGCCAGCTCTAGTTTTAAGTTTTAACAACAGGATGAATGGATTGAGGACGGCTGAAGGCATCAAAAAGTGCTATGCCAGACTTTTAGGGACCGTTTTCCTGACGACCCCATTCCCATGGATCAGATTCTCTCGGAGATGACAAACTCTACTTTGAAGGGTCCCCTCGCTTTGGTCACCCAACACAGATGACTCTTTCACCAGGATACTTAAAAGCGATCCAACTGAGACCTTACAAAAATGTCTAACAAGTTTCAGGCAAAAAAAGAAAAGACAAAAAAGAGTCAGCTAGGAGTAAATGAAAAACCTGTCCAGAGTTGGTGTTAATTAATTAAAAACACAATTTCAAAGCATCCCTAATAGAAGACTTCCTCCGTGCAGCCAGTATCTGATTCAGGGAGTGACTCAAGCAATAAAATCACAGTTGGGACGACTCTCGTGGTGCTGGCAGGCCAAGTTCAATATTTTCCCTGTGAGGCATGCCTGTACTATAAAAAGAATGTGATGTTTGAAAATGAGTGTCTCTGCTCTGTGTGCTGGCATTAAAAGTCTCTCCTAGCCCTCCTGCCACATTTTGAGAGTACAGTATGAATCACAATCATGTGACGAGCACCTCCTTGCCAAATTCTTTCATGCTGCTACCACGGTATGTTCCCTCTTAGGTTTTTGCCAGCAGCCTCTGTCCTCCAGCCAAGACCATCAGAGTGAGTGTCGGCGCAGAGGCAGAGCACTCCGGTCCAGATTCACCAGCGAGAAGACAAGGCAGCGCATTATTGTACAAACTGTAATCTCTGAATTGACTAAGTGAGCAGGAAGGGACAAAAGTCAGCTGAGAGATGCAGCAAACAGGCTGCCAAGAGAGGATGAAACACACAGAAAAAGGGACTGACCTTTGGAGGGTAGCCTCCGTTGTGCTGGGCACGGGACTGGGCTCTTTAAACTCATGCTCTTATTTAATACTCCTGAGAAATGATCATTAATACTATGAGTGAGGAAACTGAGACCCACAGTTATTAGATAAGTCACTTGCTGCAGCCACGCAGCACAGGGCAGCAGAGTTGGGGCTGGAACCCAAGCTAGTGTCCTGTCTCTTCTCTCTCTATTCTACTGCTTCTGATTCTGCAGCTCAAACTTGGAGAAGCCAGGAAAACTGCTCTTCTCCCATCTTGGGCATTTTATTATTTACGCGACTCTTAACCAGCACTGTGCATCATGTCACTTTCAACAATGCATGTTGATGAAACATTTGTCAGCCAGATTAACAGCCGTAGGACCAATCTTCCACAGCCATGACCACAGAACGCACCCCCAAGCCTAACTGTCTTCCCTAAATGCTGCTCCAGTGTCACAATGGGAACTGGGAGAGTGTGTGGAGGAAAATATTATTGTAGTTCAACATCATGAATCACTACTGATGGAACCACTCAAAGTTTATCCCCTACTTACATCTGCATTTCCTTTGTGTTCATTTATTGCTGTGGTTAACTACAGATTTTGAGTCTCCTGTAAGCCTAGCACTGTCTGGCCCCTAAGAAACAGAAATGGATCATGAAATCAGAAAGCTCCCTGGAGTTATAATGCTTATTTATCCCAGTCTTCCTAAATGGTCTGGTAGGTACAAGGGTTTGGAATCAAAACAGGGTCAGAGCGGCTGAGTTTCTATACTTTACATTAAAAAGTCAACTGGTTCCAATGGATGAAAGAGGAGGTAAAGGAAGAAATGGAAGGCTCAATTCACATATACGAATATATTGAAGAAGTCGGCTGGGCGCTATGGCTCATGCCTATAATCCCAGCACTTTGGGAGGCCGAGGCAGGCAGATCACTTGAGGTCAGGAGTTCGAGATCAGCCTGGCCAACATGGTGACACAGTGAAACCCCGTCTCTACAAAAAATGCAAAAAAAGCCGGGCACGGTGATGCACACCAGGGATCCCAGCTACTCAGGAGGCTGAGGCAGGAGAATCGCTTGTACTGGGAGGCAGAGGTTGCAGTGAGCCAAGATCGCGCCCCTGCACTTCAGCCTGGGTGACAGAGTGAGACTCCATCTCAAAAAAAAAAAAAAAGAATATACTGAAGAAGCGGTAAAATAGTCCTCTCAATCTCAGCTTAATCCAAGAAGGACTTCCCTTTCATGGAGTTCAGGTCTATCTGAAAGCTGAGTACGTGTGCATGGGGGTTGTGAGGGAGAACAATGCTGATTTTCATGGTATATGTAGCTTGCTTGAGTCAATTGTGTAGTATAGCTTCCAAAACAACAAAACAAAAGATATATACCTTAGGCAACGTTATAGAAATATATTAAATAGTATTCAGGATAATGCTAGATGATGATCTTGCTCTTCTTTGCATTGATCAAATCACAAGAATATATTAATGAATAAGTAAGCATGATTTTGAAAAAACTAAAAGCTAACACCTATTAATTTATTCAGTCCATCATTCATCCAACAAGCATAAATTGTTGAGGAATATGCCTCAGGTGCTGTGCTAAGGGCTGGACGTGCAAAGAGACATAAAACATGGTCTCTGTACTATTGAGTTGAGTATATGAGGATAACACAATGTTTTAAATAGTGGCCTATTTAAATGACTATACTTAAATAGTGGGCTGAACTTGGTAACCACTAACTTTGTGGCATAATGATTTTCAGGACTTGGGCAACTCTCATTTTGCTGAGTGTTTTGCTGATAAAATTAGCCCAGAGGAATTTGTAAGGTTCTTTGCTTTTTTTCTACTCTGTGAGTTGACGATGTTGTTGTTGTATAGGACCATTTTGTAGCAATTATAGAAGAAATACAAGTGGGTAAGAATTAGGAGGAAGATGGCTGGACTGTCTTTAGGGAATAAGACAGAAGAATTTTTCAGAGTGATTTCCATGTGAGTGGGGCTAGGATGTAGGGAGAAATAGGAAGCAAAACAGTACAATTCTGAAGCCAGTCTGCCCTGCCTGGCTCTTTCATTCATCAGCTATTGAGTCCTACAGCAGATGCCTTTACCTCATTGTGCCTTGGTTTGTTCATCAGTGAAATGAGGATGATAACAGAGTCTACCGCACTGAGTTGCTGTGAGAAAGAAAGAAGATAATCCTCGCAACAGCCCTGATACGTACTTTCCCATGACATAAACCACTTTCAAACAGGTTTGTCAGCAACTCCTCACCTACATACCTCTTTAAAGTCAAAGCCCAATTCACTCACCATTCTGCAAAGCTGGAATATTCTATCCTATTCCTTGTTGGCCTTTTGTGTACTGTGTTTTCAATGAGCATTCTTGGAATGGAAACTCTCTAGAATATTCACTTTTTAAAAATCTGTGGGTATATATACATATACACGTATATTTACCTATTAGATATGTATTTACAATATATTTACTACAAAGGGTCCTCTGTGCACATCTACATCTAAGCATTCCTGATTCAGTGCTAAGGTCACTTTGTTGGAAAAGACAAGGAACAAATAGCAAATAACACTGGCAGCTCGTGGTATGCTGAAGTTTGATTTGTAGGAAAAAGTCCCTTTTTCTTTTCTGGGACTTGAGGAGAACAAACAGTGATCCTGTATTAATTCCAAAAATGAGTCTTACCAAAAGCCAAATGAAAGAAATCTTAAATGTCTAGTTGAACATTGGACAAGGGTCATAAAGTTCAGGAGATTAAAATGGGCACAACTAATATTTCTTTTAAGAAACATTTAAGACTTTGGGTATTTTTTGTGGGTAAGAGTAGGGTGATGATGAAATTCAACAGTATAATAAAACAAGATATCAAGCATATATCCTTCCTCCTAGTGTGGACACAGAAGGCAGCTGATTATTGGTGGAAAGAGCAGGCTCGAAGTTAGACGGGCTGAGCATGGTGCATCTCTAACGGGAGGGTGGTCCCTGGGTCCCTATGTCATCATTGTCATAAGAGTTAGCACACCACGGGGCCGGGCGCCGTGGCTCACACCTGTAATCCCAGCACTTTGGAAGGCCGAGGCGGGCGGATCACGAGGTCAGGAGGTCGAGACCATCCTGGCTAACACGGTGAAACCCCGTCTCTACTAAAAATACAAAAAGTTAGCCGGGCGTGGTGGCGGGCGCCTGTAGTCCCAGCTACTCAGGAGGCTGAGGCAGGAGAATGGCATGAACCCGGGAGGCGGAGCTTGCAGTGAGCAGAGATCGCGCCACTGCACTCCAGCCTGGGCGACAGAGTGAGACTCTGTCTCAAAAAAAAAAAAAAAAAAAAAAAAAAAGAGCACACCACGGGCACTCTATTCCTATTGGATGAATGAGTCTATGAGTCAAAGGTAGTTTTATTCTAAGGTTTCTTTTCTTTTCTTTCTTTTTTTGGGGGGGACTGAGTCTCACTCTGCCGCCCAGGCTGGAGTGCAGTGGCGCCATCTTGGCTAGCTGCAACCTCCACCTACCGGGTTCAAGCAATTCTCGTGCCTCAGCCTCCGAGTAGCTGGGATCATAGGCGCACACCACTGCGCCCGGCTAACTTTTATATTTTTAGTAGAGACAGGGTTTCACCGTGTTGGCCAGGCTGGTCTCAAACTCCTGACCTCAAGTGATCCACCCGCCTCGGCCTCCTAAAGTGCTGGGATTACAGGTGTGTGCCACTGCACTCAGTCGGTTTGAAGGTTTCCTTTTAAGAACATATTTGTGCCTCCCTAACTCATAAACTATATCCTATGTTCCCAAACCGCTATGGAAAGGGGATTCATAACCTCAGGAACACCAATGGCTAGGGGGTTTGTGTGTGTCTGTGTGTGTGAGTGTGTGTGTATGAGAGAGATGGAGAGGAAATTCTAATAGAAAACTTAATGCAATCATCTAAAAGACACATTAATGCCTTGGAGTGATGGCAAGGAAGGGGCAATTAGATTAACAAACTCAAATGTTGTTGTCATTGCTTTTTTTTTTTTTTAATTTGCCTGTGGCAGGCTAATATTGGCTAGTAAGATATCTTACTGTAAAGCTCCTAATGACGCAACTCCAAAGAATCCTTAATATTTAATTATTTTAATTATAGAAGGTAAGATTTAACTATTGTTCTTTAAGATTTTTAAAATTTTACAAATCCTAACTGTAAATTTTTTTTCTTTTTGAGATGGAGTGCAAAGGCGTGATCTCGGCTCACTGCAATCTCTGCCTCCTGGGTTCAAGTGATTCTCCTGCCTCAGCCTCCTGAGTTGCTGGGACTACAGGCTCGCACCACCATGCCCAGCCAATTTTTGTATATTTTTAGTAGAGATGGAGTTTCACTGTGTTGGCCAGGCTGGTCTCGAACTCCTGACCTCAAGTGATCCACCGGCCTCAGCCTCCCAAAGTACTGGGATTATGGTACACGCCACCACACCAGGCTAATTTTCATATTTTTAGTAGAGACGGGGTTTTGCCATGTTGCCAGGCTGGTTTTGAACTCCTGACCTCAGGTGATCGACCCATCTCAGCCTCCCAAAGTGCTGGGATTACAGGGATGAAGCACTGTGCCTAGCCTAAGTATAAAATATTTTCCTTAATCCTCTTCCATATGGTGACTCATTGGAATGCCAGCTTGAAAAAGAATAGCCAAGATAAGGTTTTCATTGCCTTCATTGAACTGGCCTTAAACCAAGTCATCAAACTCTTTTGTCTTTGAAACGCCTCACTAAAATATCATCCATTTTATGAGGGGGGGAGTCAGCGTTTGTGTAATGAACTCTTTATAGAAAACGCATCATTTAAATTGTCAAATAGATAGGAGTTAGGTAATTGGCTTTCTATATTTTTGAGCCATGGGGAACATGCATTTCTTTCTAAATTAGCTCAGTCATTAATCCCAAGAATTTCATAACCTGTAGTTCAAGTCTTGCTTACTTATTAAGGGAAACTGAGGAAGGCAATGAATAAAACAGAAAATGTGGAATTCTATAGACTGTGCCTTGAAAAAGCAAGAGTATGTTCAAGATAAGATAGAGTGAAAGTGACCGCTGTGGGTTGGGTCTTGGCTGGTGGGTTGAGAAGCTTTGTCTGGAAATTTCTCTGGAAGTCAATGGTCTGGCCTGGTTGGATTCACACCTCCTTCCTCGAACACCTCTGTGTTGTCTTTTAGCTCACGTCCTTCTCAGTAATTCCCTGCAAGAATGATGAATCAAAAGAAGCTCCCCGCCGGGCGTTGTGTCTCATGCCTGTAATCCCAGCACTTTGGGAGGCCGAGACGGGCAGATCACATGGTCAGGAGTTCGAGACCAGCCTGGCCAATATGGTGAAACTCCATCTCTACCAAAACTACAAATATTAGCCGGGCATGGGGAGGACGCCTGTAGTCCCAGCTACTCAGGAGGCTGAGGCAGGAGAATCGCTTGAACCTGGGAGGTAGAGGTTGCAGTGAGCAGAGATTGCGCCACTGCACTCCAGCCTGGGCGATAGAGGGAGACTCGGTCTCAAAAAAAAAAAAAAGAGAGAAAAAGAAAGAAGCTCCCCGCGAGGAGGAAACAGGGACTAAGGGTGACAGGGAGTCCCTACCCTTAAGTGAAATGTGAGCTTGAAAGCAGCTTAAGAACAGTCTGGTCTAAATTCCACTCAGTCTCTTAACCTCTTAAATCTGTGTATCATTTAGTCAATGAACAGTTTTTAAGAATGGTGAAAATAAACCAACATATATAATATATATGTAAACCAAGTTTTCAAAGTCTGATCTTTTTCTTGATTCAGTTTAACCTAGTAATTTTTTTGTAAGTGAAAGTAAGTTTATTAGGAAAGTAAAGGAATACAAGAATGGCTACTCCATAGGCAGAGCAGCAGCTTGGGCTGCTGGACTAAGGATACCTAAAGTTATTTCTTGATTATATGCTAAACAAGGGGGTGGCTTATTCATGTGTTTTCCAGGAAAGGGGTGGGCAGTTCCCGGAACTAAGGGTTCCTCCCCATTTAACTGAGTAATTTCCCTCAAAACAAAACAAAATTTCATGGCATAGTTGATATCATCAGCTCAAATATTAAAATAATTTTGAAAATCTGACTCTCAAAGTCATTGGTTATAAAAATCTTTTCTTATCATTGTTGTTATTATTTGGACAAAAATTTGGGGAGAGGCAGCCTATCTTAAAACTACTTTTACCAAAGGCAAATGGCTTGAGATACGTGGCATGTGCTGTCAGGTGCATGAGCGATCCTGCTGCCACCAAGTAAACCATTTTCCAACATGTTATTTGTTCCCAGGGACTGCACACATTCCAGATGCTATCACCAGGGCTGCTAGTGCACAAGAAAATAAGCAAATGAGACACACATTGGCTCATGTGGCAAATCACCGGGTTTGCCAAATGGAAAAGAACAAAAACTTAGAGGGAAAACATTTTGTTTTTAATCTACAAGGATATTAATAAAACTAAAACCCAGCATTTTGTGGCTACATTTCCCAGGAAGACGAGTGTCTTCTGGCCAAAAGAACATAACAACAATCCTTTGTATCTGAGAAATATGTATCTCGTGATGTCATTTAAAAAACCCACTATTTATCATGATCAGGGCTGAAAACATGTTTCTCTAAGACTTGGGCACCAGAAAAAAAAGGAAGATAAATTCTACCTAAAATAATCTGTAATTCAGAGAAAATAAATTCAATGACTGTAATTTCATCTGTTATATGTCACAGCTTAATATCAAAAGCTTCTCTAGATAAAGTTCTAAGGAATAAATAAACAGAAACTACTTACTACAGAGCTAAAGAGAGGGTGAAGTACAAGAATGAAAATTTCTTAGAAGAGAAGACTTTCTATACAAATTTAATTTGTATACATGAGAGATGAAGGAAGCAAATTATATTATAGAATATCAATTAAAATAGAATCAATTGGAAGTCACAAGTGATTAATACAATTAATTAACACATATAGCACTATGTGCCAGGCGCAATTTGAAGCACTTTACATAATTAGCTCATTTAATATTCTCAACAACCATTATAATATGATGATACCATTTTCATTCCCAATTTGCAGCTGAGGCAACTAAGGCCCAGATAGATTAAGAAACGCGTCCAAGTTCATACAGGTAATGATTCTAGTACATATTAATCCAGATGAATCTAATTCACAAAATTTCAACAATACTAATAAATATTGAGAATTTAGAAGCATAATTCCATTAGGATATGAAAAATCTTAATAGAGAAATTTCACTTAGTAAATAATGCTATTTGGACTTTTTACCTTGAGGATACCAAATTACATGCATAAATGTACAAGTTTCCTTAGAGATAAAGACTAGTGCAAGTAAAGTTTAAATTTTGCCCTTGACAGCAAAAGTAGATATACTTGTGCATTAATATTGATCAGTCATTATCAATTGACCAGGCACAATTTGGTGAATATGTTAATTTTTCCCAACAGCCATGAGCATGCAAATACAGGCTGAGTGTCTGAAATGCTTGAGACCAGAACTGTTTTGCATTTCTGATTTTCTTCAGATTTTGGAATATTTGTCTTATACTTACCTCTTCAGCATCTCTAATCTGGAAATCTGAAATCCAAAATGTTCTTATGAGCAGTTCATTCAAATATCATGTAACTGCTCAAAAAGTTTTGGATTTTGGAAGATTTCAGATTTCAGGTTTTCAAATTAGGGATATTCAATCTGTATATAAAAAATATGAGAGCCAGATACGGTGGCTCACACCTGTAATCCCAGCACTTTGGGAGGCCGAGGTGGGTGGATCACTTGAGGTCAGGAGTTCAAGACCAACCTGGCCAACATGGCAAAATCTCATCTCTACTAAAAACACAAAAATTAGCTGGGCGTGGTGGTGCGCGCCTGTAATCCCAGTTACCCGGGAGGCTGAGGCAAGAGAATTGCTTGAACCTGGGAGGTTGGAGGTTGCAGTGAGCTGAGATTGGGCCACCGTACTCTAGCCTGGGCGACAGAGTGAGACTGCGTCTCAAACTAACAAACCGAACCACGAGATTATTTTTCCCAGTTTTCAATTGTGTCCTGAACTCTCTATCTTAAACAATGCATAGGTATGAAAATAACAACTGGTACATTGATTTTAATAGGGGAGAATTTATTTGGAAAGCAAGAATGTTTATTGTAAACTGTGCCTCTTTCTGGAAATATTTACAATTTTCAAAGAAGTGGCCTTAGCAAAACTGTTAGTACAGCCCTTGATTTGCAGGTGAAAAAAAAGCAGTGCATAGACATTAACCTAAATTCAAGTTAGGATTAAGGTCAACATTAAGGGGTAAGCAGGACATAGCACAGTGACTAAGTGCATAGGAGCATTTATTAGCTGAGTGATCTTGAACAAGTTATTTAACTTCTCTCTAAGTCTCACTTTCCTCATCACAAAAGGAAGAAATATTTCATAAGGTTGTTGTGGAAACTGAGGTAATATATAGACAGTACTTTGCACAATACCAGACACCCAGTAAGGGCTCAAGAAATGGTATTGTTGTTATCCTTATCTTTAACAAGTGATTCACAACCAGTTAGTGTCAGAACAGGATGCAAAGCACTTTTGGAGTATCTGTTGCTATAAACCGAGTTCCTTATCCTTTGCATCTATCTGGGTCTAAGGAGGCAAGATCACATAGCATTAACATTTTCCACAAATGTGGTGTGATCCATCGCCTTTCCTCTTCTTTCACCCCTAGAGTAAGCCTTCAGCCTCTTAGGAAGTGTTTTCCATCAGAATTTAGCTTTGAAGTTGAACATTTTAAACTCTGTTGGGAAGGTTCAGACGCACATTGACAAAGAAGATAAACAAAGAGTCAGGAAATCTAAACGGGGAAGATGCCATGGCTCACATTACCTGCTTCCTCCTAGTTGGAGTTGAGCTCTTCCTGGAAGCGGGGCAGAGTCTGCCATTTGATTAAACAATTCAACATCAAAGCTGAACAAAAACATATAATCAATCTGATCTTAATTCAAGTGTGCCTACCCCTCCTTGTGAAAAGCAGCCTTGTTTTAAAAAATATTTCCCTAGCAGATCAGGTATTTTTGAACAACTCCCTATCGTTTCTGCTTCACTTCCATCTCAAGTTCTGGTTCACATAACTAGCCAACATTTACTGAGGGCCCATTAAGTGGCCAGGCATTGTGCCAAGTGCTTTGTTTATGCTTTCTCATTTAATTGTCACAACAACCCTTAGAGGTATTTTCTCATCCCCATTTTACAGATGAGATGGAGGCTGGGGAGAGTAAGTCACTTGTCCAGGGTTACACTATTAAGAGCTGAGCGATTAAAACCAAACAGCAGTGGGGACAGGCCCTCAGGAGACATTTCTACTCCTGGCTTGGTCACTGCTCAGATACGTCACATGTCTTCTAGGCCTCAGTTTCCCGGCTTGGAGAGGATGCAGCCTCTCTAGAAGTTCCCTTCCACAGCCTGCGGCAGCTTCCCAGGGCGGGCGGGCTGCTTTGTTTCCACACTCAGCTGCTGTGGCTGGGGCCTCCCTGGGCTCTGCCCTGTTTTGTTTTTGCTGCTGGACCTGCTACAGACGCAACCCTGGCAGCGCAGCCCGGAGCACAGCCGAGGCTTCCTCTTTCTCTCAGTTCCTGGCTGCTTCAGTATGAACAGAAAAGGTGGGCAGGGGCCAACTGGCAGGAGCCTCCGAAATAGCAGCACATGATCCTCCTACCAGCAGCAGAAAGGCCAGCCCGCAAGACCTCGCCGCCTGCCCAGCTCTGTCATTGACTAAGGTTGCTTTTGTCAGTACAGCCGCCAGGGGTTTCCACGCTCATTCCCCTCCGGACAAGGTGGACAGCTTTGGTGATAGACAACTGGGAGGTAAAACTCCACAGAGCCATGCCAGCGACTGACCGCCCAGGGACAGGAGATGGAGACGTTCAGCTGCAAAGGCTACGGAGGAACCCCCGCAATTGGAATCTCTCCATGCCTTCTGCAGCATGGAAACATACTCCGGGACCTACCGGGGCTCTCTCGGGCCACCTCTGAGTGCAAGGGAAAAGAGTGCAGTTCAAGGAAGGGAATGTGTCTGTCATCCCACCACTTGCGCGCAAGGCCAGTTCCGGGATCAGCAGGCTTCCTTCACCAGCACGGGCTCTTCATTAGCAACCACTGGGAGGGAATGTGTGCGGAGTCAGTGAGTGAAGCTCTCCTTCAGCAATTTCTCTCCTCCTCTCATATTTCTCCCCTCTCTCTCTCTCTTTCTCCCTCCCTCCCTCCCTCCCTCCTTCGCTCCCTCTGGGTCCAGGACAATACTCAGGCCAGGACAGTTCCAGTCATAACTGGATCTTTCCATTACTTGGTAGCACACAGGAGGATTTGTTGGAGTGGTTTTTTGTTTTGTTTTGTTCTGCTACTATTAAGCAAGATTGCTTCATAATCCTTTAAGGGTTTTTTTTAGCCAAGTCTTATTTACATATCCTGGCCAGCAAGCACGTGATTAACCCAAGGATGTTGGAGGGAAGGCAGATGCTACATCTGAAAAAAATCTGATTATGTTTCATTCTGGAGATACAAACAGCCGAGCTGTCAAAAGGACAACAGTCTCTTGGGCCAACATGACACCAAACTCTCAAACTCTGGAGACCCTCAGAGACAAGGAGGAGGAGCTGCTGAGGTAGGGGCACAGATGCGAGGAGTTCTTCTCCCTCTCTCCTTCTCTTTCACTATCTCCACTTTGGGGGCAAAGTGTCAGGATAGCCAGAGGTACACATAATCTAATACATGGAAATGGTGGTAAACTGCCTGTCAATTCACCGCACCACCATAATATGTCTAAAATGTGGTGCCTGTCTACAACTTACATGCCACCCAGAAAACAAGCTGCACTGGCATTTCTGCATTGACAGAAAGGACATTTGAAAATTTTCCCTACAGGCATTATTTCAACTGATATTTACGAGTGGTTTTATGGGATAGAATCGTGCCAGTCATATCAAGGAACTTTTCATATCTTTCAACCCATGCTAAGATAAATAGAGCCAGTTATGATTATTCTCATTTCTTGAAAGGTACCTAATGATCCACCAGAAAGTTAAATGAATCCTCACTTATCAGAGGAATTTTTTTTTTAAGTAAAAGAAACCTAAACCCCAAGACCTAGACTCCTGGAATAAGAATCTCTTTACCAGTGAAAATTCTTAAACATTAAATAAGCATTTACCGGGAGATATCGATGAGGTCTTAACTGTACATTGTCTGATTCTGAGGCAAAACATACAAATACAAACACTGAACTAGTACTTCTAACTCATCCTTCCATGCTACCTGCTGTGTGACCTTAAGCAAGTCATTTATCTTCCCTAAGTATACATTTTGTTATCTTTAATATACAGGGACTGTGTTTGAGGTCTCTAATTTCCCATATAGCTCTAAAATGAAATATTTGTTTAATGAAAGAATCTATTAACATTGTCAACAGCAGTTTTTATTTTAATCTTTAAATACAAAGGGCAACACGTGTTTCATGGCACAAAAATCCTTCATTGCCATAACCTCTGAGAGAAATATTTTTGCAAAGTTTTCTTGCTCTTCTTGGGAAAAAACAATCATGCCATTAGGTTCTGTGAGTGAGGAGATGCCAGTGATACAGGATGAGGGATAGAGGTTTTATTTATTTGCTTTGACCTGAAATGCTTTCAAAGTGCTAGGATTTTCCCCGTGAAAAATGCTTTGCTTCTAATATTATCTCCAGTGATCAAGAGTTAGTGTCAAAGGTTTGTGAATGGATTTCAGAATGTGCAAGTGGCACCTCCCATCGTTAGCTGTCTACATTTTTTTATAACCACTTGCATACTTTTGGTCAACCACTGTAAAATAAACAGTCCTTCTCAAATGTTTTTGTTTTCTTTGACAGCACAGCAATAATTCACTTGGAATGCTGCAGAATAGAATAGCACTTTAATGCTGTTGTAAGGATGGCTTTTATGATTTCTATTCATCGAGTTGTTTTTAAGTTAAAAGATACCAGACTGAAAAGAACATAAATCCCTGTGGAGATATGTTATGCTTAGATCTTTGCACCCTGTTCCCACCCAAGGATATATACATAGAATATATGTATAAACACACATCCACATATGCATAAATATATGTGTACATATACGCTCAATATAGACATTTAACACAACATTCACCTAAAGTGTTTACTGTTTTTGTTTTTGTACTTTTGTTTTAAATTTGAGAAGTATAGCATCTAGATTATAGTAGAGTTTTGTGTTCATGCAAATGAAGATGTAAATTAATGTTTATTCCTACCTAGAAAAGTTTCAGGAAAAAAATGTCATAACACACTTTTGCTTACTTGGTACATACTCTTGTTCTCTTTTTTCTGGCCATGCACTTACTAAATATGAAGTTTAGAAGAAAAAAACTTTATATATAGTTTGTTTCAAATTTGATATATTTTAGTTAAAAGTGCTTTATTGCCAGGCATGGTGGCTCACACCTGTAATCCCAGCACTTTGCGGGGGCCAAGGTGGGTGGATTGCTTGAGCCCAGGAATTCGAGACCAGCCTGGGCAACATGGCGAAGCCCCATCACTACCAAAAAAAAAAAAAAAATAGCTGGTATGGTGGCACATGCCTGTAGTCCCAGCTACTTGGGAGGCTGAGAAGGGAGGACCACCAGAGCCTGGGAAATCAAGGCAGCAGTGAGCCGTGATCATGCCACTGCACTCCCGCCTGGGCGACAGAGCTAGACACTGTCTCAAAAATAAAAAAAAGTCTTTATTTTTTTTCTTTCAGGGGAATGGTTGATTACTGTCTCAGATGTACATACCAGAATTAAGTTTATACCTATGTGTCAAAAATGGAAGGATGAAAATTGACTTGAGAAACTGCACAGTTTCTGTGCAACATTATATAGGATATCTTTACAAAGGACAACATTCGAAGCAAGAAATTGGAGCTTAGGCAGTATTACACTTTCTATCTTACCTATACTACTCTCTGAGAAACCCATTTCTAGCCTGTACAGCATAGCTTGTAAACTGTGATCTTCGACTAGTATGAATAAGTCTTGTGTTGAGTTTAATTTCAGAGGCCGGGAGTTTATCAGCTGAGCCATCTCACCTGCATTCCTTGCAAGTCATTAGAGCCTTAGATGCCTGGCTTGGCTTTGGGCTTCTCCAGCAGAGAGCAGTGAAACACTGTCAATAAACCTAATTCTGGAAACCAGAGTAGATTCCAAGTTGGGAAAAAAGCAAAGGCAGAACTAGCAGGCTCATCAGAGTTATAAAGAAACTGGGGAAACTGGGCTTGTAGATTTTTTAAAACAGATATGTGTTGAAACTTTGATGTCAATATTAATGGCAATACACATATTTAGATATTTAAATGTTATTCAAAATATCACTTCATAGCAAGGTAGATGACCCAAAAGAAAAAGTGTGCGCTTTCCAAAATTTGCTTCTTATTTTAATCCTGCAATTGCTATACAGTTACACGTTTATTAGCTTTACTATTACACATGTATTAGGTCATTTCCATTTGCATTCAGTGTTAGAACAATGTCAGCTCTTCAATCCCAATCTCTGGCTACCTAGCTTGGCAGTTCTTCAAGCATCCCTTGTTTACAGGGACCACTTGGAAAGTCAAGTATGTTATAACAAGTTTATGCATCCTCATTCTACAAGAAACGTTGTTGCAGAGAACCATTTTAAGAAGCTTAAAAACAGTTTTCTATGGCTCCAGTTCAAAATGGGGTTCATAGTGGGGATGTGTGAATGGCGCTTCCAGGTAAAATGATTTATTATTACATTACACATGAACTTGTTAACAGTATAACACAAAAGTGTGAACACTCCCCAGGACACCTCACCCTTGGCTGGGGTGCAAGTAGGTTCTTCTCCTTTCAATCAACAGTAGCATGATGACAGAGAATATTAGTGAATGCAGTATGTTCATGCTTGGCTGCTCTTAAAGAAAAAATTTTCACAAAAGGAAATATGAGCGTTTACAATCCCATGATATGGAACATAGGATCTGACCTGTTTACTTCTCTTGGATGACAAATAATTTAATCTATTAATTTTTTTTTTGAAGCAAAGACAAAAGGGAAGAGGCCTAAAAAAAAAACCAGGCAGGTCATCCATTGCTCCATTGACGTGGGAGATAATACCCTATGTATAACCAGTGACTTGAAGAGTTCTCATTCTGAAACTTTTTTGCTCTCTTCAAAGCACTGGGCTCAAATGCTAGCCTCTGTGTGCAGGCTGCCAAAATACTAAGTGAAGCATGGGGCACTACACATTAAAGGGGAAAGGTCAGCATGGCACCATGCCCAAAATGCATGCTGTACAGCGGGATGAACTTTGGAGAGACCAGCTCACATCAAGTCACCGTGTGTTTTACATTCTCCCAGTGACCGGGGTCATTTTACCTCCCATTGGAATCTCCTCTCAGCCATTATGTCTCCCAGTTCTCAAAGGAAAACCTCTCTCCTTGACCCCTCCTAAGGCCTCTCTGCACAGTACCATTCTAGCAAAAAGGAACAGCTCCAAGCCAGGAAACTACTTCCACAGGGCAAATAAAGCTTCTGCCAGAACTCCTAAAGGCAAAGCTTCCCTGCTGCTGCAGCAGCCAGCAGACGCAGGGCTGCATTGCTTGGGAAAGTGCAGCCTGCCGCTCCACGTCAACATTCCACCCCCTTAGCTTTTCCCAAGGTCTCAGTGAGAAAACCTTTCTTTTTTCTTTCTTCATTTTTGTTTTTGTTCTTATCAGTTCAAACAAGAACAATGAATTCCTCAAGCCCAAGCAAGAATGTGACAAGGTGTCAACAAAGCCAACCAGGAAGGTGATGTATGGCCCATAAATCACTTCACAAACCAGGGCTGCAAAGAAAGCACCCAGCAACCCAGAGCCCCGAGTGTGAGTTTTTTCTACTCCTAAACCTTCACACCCCCCACATCCACCCTCCTCCAGCACCTCACTGACTGCTCACCTGTCACTCCTCCACTGACCAATTGGCCTACTCATGGGGTAAGACAAGTTCTGTTCCTTCTGTGGCAAATACTGGGCATCTATGGTAGAGCACCACATAATATAATGTGCTTTAGGGACATGTGTTGCTATGGGGTATGGTTTCCGGAGGCTGTCTGGAAAGCTCTACTCAAAACCTTAATTTGAAAGGTTTATAAATGGTGAAAGTATTTGTTCTTAGAGTAAAAATTTGATTTAGAAAGTTTGGGCTTAAGTGGTGAAATGATTTTATGGTTTTCAAAAATCAGAGGCCAGAAATTGTTTTGCGTGCTTTATAAATGATATAAAGAGAAATGGAGAACAACCAAATTAGAATCTCTTTCTGGGGTTGTAGGATTTGGTTTTCTTGAAAGAAATATTGAATGTATAGTTGTGTACATATTAAGATTAGGAAGAGAAAGAGTATTCACAATTGCCTTATGCAAAGTAACTTATTGGCTAATAGAAAATTACCAAATATTTTCTTTCACTGTTTTAATAGATGTGACTAATTATACTTTTTATGCCATGGTTTCAGAGTGAGTATATGGTGTAAATTCCTAATGCAAAAACTCCTGAAAAGATTTAAATTCAAATGACTAATTTTCAGCAACTCAGTATCCATTCTGTGAGCTTCTATTTTTTTTTCTATATATACATTTTTTTTTTGAAAAAACAGGCCTTAAATACATATTTAACTAACAGGCTGGAACAGCTAAGTAAATCATTTATAAACACAGATTTATATAATGGAATGACCTGTACCTACTACATTCCTATATAACCAGTTTAGGAGAAAAAGCAAAAACTTCCAAAGAAGCAATTTTGTTGAAAACTGAAGACATCAACAAAGAGAAAACCTCACCAATCCCCATGATAATGGTGACCAAGTTCAGTCTAGTTGAATGCAGTTTCATTTCTTTCCTCCAACCACTTTTAAAAAAAATCAGATTCTAAAAATAGCTGAAGAAGCAGAGATGAGCTCATTCTCTACTAAGTAACCTTGCACATTCTCTAATGATAGTAAAAATAATTCAAAGAAAAAAAGCAAATAAAAAAAGAAAAACATCCACCAAGTTGGTAGTTCAAACTCACAGAAAGTTGACTAATGGCATACGTAGGCCTACTATTAAAAAACCAGACAAGGCCGGGCACAGTGGCTTACGCCTATAATCCCAGCCCCTTGGAAGGCCGAGTCAGGCGGATCACCTGAAGTAAGGAGTTCAAGGCCAGCCTGGCCAACTTGGTGAAACCTTGTCTTTACTAAAAAAAAAAAAAAAAAAAAAAAAAAAAAAAAAAAAAAAAATAGCCGGGCACGGTGGCATATGCCCGCAATCCCAACTACTTGGGAGGCTGAGGCAGGAGAATGGCTTGAACCCGTGAGGTGGAGGTTGCAGTGAGCTGAGATCACACCACTGCACTCCAGCCTGGGCAACAGAGAAAGACTTTGTCTCAAAACAAACAAACAAACAGACAAAACTGAATATATGAAAATCTGAATAAAATATTTCTTTGCAACACAGTATAGTCTTTGAAATAATAAACTAACAGTTGTCATAAACTGCAAGCTCTAGTGTATGTAAATAGATCACCTTAGAATAGTATCATTTACTCACTCAGGAACACAGCTATTCAATTAAATAAAATACATCTGGTATTATTGCCAGTAAGACAAGCAAAGCAAGCAGGTACTGAGCCACTGTCAGTATATTTTCTCATATGAGAATAGGGGAGTAAAAATTAATTTGGGACTACTTTGGGACAATTACTTGTATTAACTCTAATAAATATAAGCATTTCTTTTTATTTTTACATCTGTGATTAAACAAAACAAGACAAAACCCATTATGGCCATAGCATCAAGCTACATGATAATTCTAAAAGGGTATTACTGGGGGGGCGGGGAACCTTTCTGGTTGAATAAAGGGAGATGAGAAGATAAAATAAGTACTGCAGATGTGTGAGATCCCAATTTTCTTGCTCTGGAAAAATCTGTAGAAAGAGCTACATCTGTCTCAAAATGTGACTCTCTTTTTCTGAGATGGAGCACCAAACTGGAAAAGGGAGAGATGAGCCCATTGGGGCAAATCTTTAAACTCTTCTACTATTTTTAAGCGTACTTGTGAAAATGTTTACCTGTATGTATACATACAGAAAAACAAATGAGTTTGAACTATGATTATCCATTACTTTATTTTTTTAAAAAAGATATCTTGCCAAGTCTTAAGGTGGTTCTGCGGGTAAATCAGGGTAGCAAGCTGCTTATTATAAAGCAGCTTGAAGAACAAGTACATAGAGGTCACCTGCACTCACTTCAACAACCCTAGAGAGGCACCTGGAGTCACACTACACCTCCTTCTGAAAAGATTCTAAACAATTTCTAAAGGGCACCACATCTTCAAATGGTTTCCCTCCTGCTGGAAACCTAGGCTTTGTTGTATGAGCGTAATTCGTTACCACTGAAAAGAAGATGATTAAAATTTCTTGAGTATTCACCTCACATCATTAAAGGTTTTTATATATATTTTCACTCAATGTGTCTCAGCAAGACTGACAAAGTCTTCAACTAAGTAGTAGACTTTATATAGCTTTAAATTCTGTGTATTACATATATCTATTATTTATATAGCTTTATTATTTATATTATATATTTATTAATTTACATTTTAAGTTTATAAAACAAAAATAAGTTTTCTTTTCTTGTAGGTGATAAATGAGATCTATGAAACTGTAAAGGATAAATTCTTACTCTTATTCCCAACAAGCTGGTGTCAACAATAATGCATACAAGGAAGAAAACATAATTGAAAAATTAGTACAAATTTGCTTCTGTTTTATTGTCCACTCATTCAGCAGATGTTTATCCAGTGTGTGCAAAGTGCAATAGTAGGCTATAGAGAGATAAAAAACAAAATCTCACTAACTGTGGGCCATTAATTGGCATACCTCAAACTGCCCTATATTGTTACCTACCTTTTTTGGTGTCTGATTTTTGAATTCCATAAGGACAGCGACCATATGTTAAACCTCCATGTGTGCCTGCTCTTTTCAGTCATCTAATAAATGATTCTGCCATTATTGTTACTCTTGTGCAAGCACGGGCAAATACCACAAGCAAGACTTGAAAACAAATCCTCAGTTCCCTGTCTTTAACAATGAATTTTGTGAGGATGAATATAATAAAATATAACAGAGTAATGTGATAATGGTCACATTTAAATATATGTATGTATCTACATACATATATGTATACACATCATAAAACACATGTAGACATGCTTTATATATCTTACTTTCTACCAAGCTCTTTTCATATTTATAAGGGAAATTAAAGTATAATATATGTGGTTCACTAATAGTGACACTGGACATCTCTCCTCTTTTCCTTCTTTCTTTTTTTCTAAAATAAATACTATCCTCCAATCCCACTGGTGCATTTGACTTCATGAATGACTATCTATAGCCATCTACACTTAGCCTAGATTCAGTACGAAAAAAATATTGAGAAAAGGAAATAAGCCATTTCTGCTGATGGCTGCCGTATTTGGTGCTGAAAGCATTATTTATTTGTAACACACCAGACAACAGAACCTAGAGAGCTCATGGTACAGGTGCAGACACATGGCTTGGACACATTCATTCTTTGGATACTTTTTATAAGACACACACTATGCTCTGTATTGAAAATACAAAGATAGATGAGACATAGTTTCATGCATGAAAAACATGTAAACAAATAATTATAGTAGACGGGTAAAAGTCCTTTACCTCAGGTGTGTGCAAATTCCCATGAGGCAAACAGGAAGGAAATAATTTCAAGAGAGGTTGGCGGGGGCACCGTATTTGAACTGGGTCTTGGGAGATGTGTTGAGATTGGTCCAAATGGAAGTAAAGGTAAAGACTATACCAACCAGAGCACAGATGTGAAAGACCTAATGGAAGTTTCAGAAAAACGGGTCTTTCTGTCCTAAGGAAGTGAAGATTTCAACTGGTGGGTAGTAGGAGGCAAGATTAGAAACTAGGCCCAATGCTATAATCAACATAAGAAGTTCAGACTTCCTTGGGTGAATGGTAGTCATTGAAAATGTTTGGCAGGAGAGTGATAAAGTGTCTGTTCTGAAGAAAACACTTGCAGTGATAATGGAGGTAAGCTGGACAAAGAAAAGTAGAGGCGGCAGGAAAACTAGTAGGAGGCTGGTGCAAATAGTTTAAGTGAGAGATGATAAAGACTTGTACAAAGAATGTGGCAGTGGGAATGTAGGAAAAGAAAACTCAAAACATATAGCTCCAGGCACCTTTAGGAGTAATAAATGGCAGAACTTTGCAAATGTTGAAAATGGAGACTGACAAGTCAAGGATGACCGGGTGTATGATGGCACTCAGATAAGCTACGAATACAGTCAGTCAATGCAGGCAGTGACTGAAACACAGATACCACAGAGCTAACTCAGAATGAACACATGGAATGAAAAATAGAGGACCTCAGATATAACCCTGGAGACGAGCGACGTGCAGAGGGCAGGTAGAGAAAGAAGAGCCTCCCGGGTGCAAGGAACTTCTTGACAAGAGAAGAAACACAGGACAGGTTTACCTTCAGGCATCCAAGGAAGGCAAGTGTGAAATAAGGAGGCACGGCTGATGTGTCAGATATTTCAGAAGAGACATCAGGACGGGGACTGAGAAGTGTCCCCTGGATTTGGCAGTTAAGAGGTTACTGGCAACCTTATTTAGAGGATTTTGTGTAGGGGGACCCTAGGAAGGATGAAGGGGGCAGAAGCCAAGTCACACTAGGCTCCGGACTGGATGAAAGATCTGGAGCATATGTTTCATTTGGCTGGCATCCTGTTGCCTCCCTGCCACTTCAGACTGGCTTCAGTCTAACAAGGACAGGCTGTCACACCTTTTGCTATGCCCACAGACCCCTAAACCCAAGAAAGTGATGATGCAGTGGAGCACAAAGCTACAAAGCACAGAAGGCAATTGGTTATTTTCTGCGGCATCAGCCTATCAAATAGGAAAATTAAATATATTGTTGGTAATCAAAGATTATTCTGCTATTGCCAAGCCTTTCTGAGGAAAACTAACAGAGTAAAGTATGGGCAGAAGTCAAACTGGAAGTGATTTTTAAGAGGTCTTAAGAAGCCCATGTGACATTGTTCTGTGCATCTGACAGCCTGAGTGTGAACTAAAATGGAATCTGCCTAGGAAAGGAATGTAGTTCTCTCACCTAGAGGGAAAACCGCACCTTCAGAATCCCCATAGGAAGGGGATATAGTAATGGAGAAAACATTTTCTGCTTCATTATTCTTTAGCCTCGAGAATCTAGATATAGAACATTCAAAATTCTCATGAGAAGGAAAACAAATAATACCTGGAGGCCAAGCTAAAGGTGTCTTGCTTCTACTAATGAACTTAAATTCATTTTCCATTCACACACAAAAGGAAGAAACCTATATAAATGGATTAAGAGGGCCAGAAAGACACAATAGAGCAGGAGTCAGCAACCTTCTTCTCTTAAGGGTTGGAGAGTAAATAATTCAGGCTTTGTTGGGCAGACGGTCTCTGTGGCAGGTACTCAGCTCTGCCACTGTAGTAGGAAAGCAGGTATAGACAATACGTGAACCAATAGGTGCGGCTGGGCCCAGGAATACTTTATTTGTTGATACTGAAATTTGAATCTTACATAATAAATATTATTATTCTTTGTTTCAACCATGTAAAACTGTATAAATCTGTATTATAAACACATATCTTAAAAGCTGACTTCTAAAGAAGAAAATTAGTGTAGCAAGTAATTATGATGCATTGGTCATTAGACTATGGCTTCTGACTGAGCCTACGTTTTTTCTAAATCATGTCGGATTTGACCTGTCATTCTCTTGCTTAGAAATCTTTAATAGCTTCCCATTTCCTGTAACATCCAATCTCCTTAAGCATGTATGCACGGCCCCTGTGACCTGCTACCACAAAGCGTTTAGGTTCACTGTCCACATCCACCCCCTCACCCATGGTATGTCTCTAATGTACACTATCCAATCCAAACTAGCTGCTCTTACCTAAATACACCCTACATTTCCCTGCCTCCATTGATTTACTCCTACTTTTCACATGACATGGAAGTCCCTGTCCCAGGGATGTCATCTTCCAGCTGTTTTGTTTTGTTTTGTTTTTAGATGGAGTCTCCCCCTGCCCAGGCTAGAGTGCAGTGGCACGATCTCGGCTCACTGAAACCTCAACCTCGTGGGTTCAAGTGATTCTCCTGCCTCAGCCTCCAAGTAGCTGGGATTACAGGCATGTGCCACCACGCCTGGCTAATTTTTGTATTTTTAGTAGAGACGGGCTTTTGCATGGTGGCCAGGCTGGTCTCGAACTCCTGACCTAAGGTGATCTGCCTGCCTCGGCCTCCCAAAGTGCTGGGATTACAGGTGTGAGCCACCACGCCTGCCCCCAGCTGTTCTATTAGAATCCTATTCATTCTTTAGGGCTCAGCTGAAGTGTCATTCATCTCCTTTGTAAAGCCTTCCTTATTTTACCTAGTTGGAATAAAGGCTTCACATATTGTTTTTTACTATTTACATTTTGGCAAAAATATTTCGAAAACCACTACCTTACAAGGCTCGTACAAGGTTAAATAATAAATCAAGACAATGTTCATAATGTGCTCAGCCTAACACCTGACACATAGTTGAAATTCAAAAATAAACAGAAGTTGTATGCACATGCATATCTACCCCTAGACTGAAAGGTCTTAAAGCTAAGGACCATATTGTGTTTACTTATACACAGACCTGTAACAATGACCTGTATATACATACGTTGTATTCAACAAATGTTTATTGAATATAGCTGGAATATTGTGCACTACTTTTTTTTTTTTTGCAAATCATGACCAATACTTTTAATCCTAAAGCTAAGTGTGAGAAGGGCTGAAAAACTGTTAAGATTTTTTATAACCTTTCTAACTGGGTTGGCCACATGGAGCAGAAAATCATGGACTTTAGAGTCTGACAAACCTGGGTTCAAAATTCAGTTTTATTACTTTCTAGCTTGTGTATCTGTGCAAGTCACTTTAATTTTCTGAGACTTGTTTTCTTCATTTATACAACTGTCAATAAAATATGTTTTTAAAGGTGTATTTTGAGGTCTCTAGAACAATGCCAGGCTTGGTAGGCATTTAATAAGTACTGGCTAAGAATATTAAACAGGATTGTGTTTAAATACTCCCATTCATATTACCTACATTGTGAAACACTGTCAAAATGGTATATACCAGAATAAAATGTGAATTGTATTTTTTGACCATTCTTTCTTAAATACATAAGGAGAGCTGCTATCTCTAGCCCATTTTGTGGGAAAGAGTCAGTGCAATGGAGGGTGGTTCACTATGATCCCTAAGAATTGACCCCACTGACAGCACCCTCTTTGACTTTTCCCTGCTAACTTCAGCAGGTAGCAAGAGGGGAGCATGGGCTATGGTGTCAGATTAATTGAGGCTCCATCAACCACCCAGATGGAATTTTAGGAGCTATGGTAATTCCTATCTGCTGGGTAGGGTTCCTGAAATACAACCATGGTGTTTCATTTCCTAGTTGTTGCTGTCGTCTTTCTGAGTTGCTCTGTGATCCACCATATTCCTTCTCTAATCTTGCTTTGATTTATGAATGTACATGATGATGGTGATGGTAATTTCCTAATTTAAATGATAAATACTCGAACTAACTTGGCCCAGAGAACCCTACCAAAAAAAGGAATCAATGAGTCAGATCCTTAGAAAACAGTTCCTAGAGTCATTCTAGCTAATCTTTTCATCAGTTGAGAGTTTTGCAAAGGGGTTTCTGCCTCATTGACCAAGAAAGTGTAGCGGCTTACCAATGCCAACCTCTTAAAGCATAAGTAGAGGAAATCAATGGTAACCTGCTAACCTCAGTTCTACGCAATGCATTGGCAGTTTGGGACAGCATTAATGTTTATAATATGACCTTGTCTACATTTGGGGTTTGGCACAAATTTTTACTTTACTTCTCAACTTCAAAATTTGATGATTCCATTATTTTGTCAAAAATAACCAATAAATACCACTAATCACTTAGTTGACAACTTATTAAAATTGATGCTAACAGTTCCTATAGATTCTAGTGAGAGTTTAAATGAAAGAGTTAGGTAGAAACAGGCAAGACTGATAGTACCTGGATTTTTCTGCTATGTCATGATTCCACAAACCATCCTTTAAGATGCACTGAATTGGATAAGAACCATGGAGAAAATGGTGATTATGTACAAATGGTGATTATGTATAAAAAGAAACTCTTGCTTCACATTTTCTCCATATTCAACGTAGGTGGTGCTTTGGGCCCAAGTGAGGTGACTCATTGCCTCAGTTCTCCCTTTCCTGTTTCACAAGCAGACACAGCAAAGCCCGGAGAGTAATCTGACTCCTCCACGATCGTAGTGGACTGCATCCGGGATGATATTTAGTTTTCCTTCTCTGTGGGCTCTGTAAAACCACCTACTGCTTAAAGAAGCTCTTTGACATGTTCTGAACTCTAAGAACAAATGAAAATGGCATTTTGGGAAAAAAAAAATGAAGCCAGAACAAAGAAGTCAGAAACGTGATACTGCAAGATCAGGCACTTATCTGCACTGCAAATGAAAAAAGTTTCAGACTCAAAGAATTAACAATTTAACCACTAGTTTCCCCTTGAGATGTTACTGTCACAAGAGATCCTTACATTTCCAGTGGCATTCAACAGATTCTCCTCTTTAGTGAGGACAGCTGCAGAAAGTTACTGAATATTTGCTCCCTCTCAGATGCATAAAGATTATTTTGTAAGCAATGTTGGAGAAAGAAAGAGCTCAAAAGGAGGGTGAACATCAGAAGAAAAAAGGGACAGATCTACAAGGTGCTTGTGACATCTGTTTTCACTTTGTGCTGTGGCCAGTGGCAGAGTGGAAGACCAACCTTTAATCAACTTAGCAACATGGTGCCCATGTCCAGTTATTCAAGTGCTTAGTAAATACTGTTACAGAGAGCCCAATGAGGAATGTGGGTCTTCTGGGAATGTGTAAGAAAGAAAAGGCACGTTCTTACCCTCGAGATGCTTATAGTCCTGTTCAGATGACAAGCTTTATGTGTTAATACGTTAATTCAGATCTTTTCCTCACTTCCTTCAAAACTCCATCCAAAGTTCTTCTCCTGCAGGCAGCCTTACGGCTCTGACTAATAGCTCATGCCTCAACTCTGTGTCCCCACAAGACTCATATCCTCCACTTTTACACAACTTGAACTTGGCAGAAGTGTTCTTCAGTTGATTCATGTGTGCTCAGTCCAACTGATTTGTCAGTATCATGAGGATACGGTTTTGGTCTTCTCATTCCTTTATGTCTTTTCACAGTAATTAGTTCTGTAGCTTAAACATAATAAACACTCATTAAGGGAAAACTGGCCAGCCAATTCTAACTCCTCCTGCTCAGATGACACTCCAAGTGTGCTGGTTCCTGGCTTTCCCACTAACAGATTAAGTTCCTAGAAGTTCCCCTTCCTGAGAAGGCCTCCAGATTTTCATGCTGCCTTTGTATCCAAAAGCAAAGATGTTCTCAACAGAGCAAAAAGTTAGAAAAGAACTCGATGTCTCAGTGGGCTAGATTTCTGCTCATTGCAAAAACAGGACAAGGGCCTGTTTCTACGTAGCTTGTGCCATTAGCCACATTCAGGGATACCAGTTAACAAAAATGGCAGGCCCTCAATTTAGTGTCAATGTTTTTTTGTCATTATGTGAGCTAGTTATTTAACTCCCTGCTAAGTTATCTCATGTACCTCTTGCCATTTCTTTCCTCACACACTCTCCTCTTTCTTCTCTACTTTGTTCTTCTGCAGTGTTTAGAAACTAGAAAATCAGAACTGATTTCTCCCCCTTCAATCTCTCAATCTCTCTCTCTACCAGTGTCAAGATGGGAAGGCACATGTTCCTATCTTGACAGCAGCAGAAAGAAAAATGGCAGCAGAAGGAAAACAGCAGCAGAAAGAAAAATTTGACTCAGATGGGTTGAGAGGGCAATGGCAAGCAATCTTGGTACATGTCAGCTGCATCTCAGGTAAGTGTTAGTGATTTTTTTTTTTAAAGTTGGCACTGCTGAAAAGAAGAATGACTATTCACATTAATAACTGCCTTCTTAAATTTGTAATGAAGAATGAGAAGCGGGCTAAGGTACAAGAGGTAATGTTTATTTCACTTTGAAGCTTATAGGTAGTTACATGGGTATCACAAAAAGAACAGATATAATGAATCATCTTGCCTTTTACCTGACTCTTAAGACACCTGCAACATATCCCTTGGATGTTCCGCCTTGTCACACTCATAACCGAGGGGAAAAAGAAGACAAAGGTGAATGCTCAGTTAGCCCCTAACCCTCTTGTCCTATCTGCTGTTAATGTTGCCCACAGGTCTACCAGCTGCAAGGCTATCCATGACCTCCTCCATCAAGTCCACCCAGACTCTCTGATCTAAAGCAGCCTCGCCTACTCCAATACTCTCCATTACATTAACTTGGTTCACTTTTCTTCTTTGCTCTTATAAGGCTTGAAATCATCATCTGTATTTTTTTAATAACTACGCCGTCATTTATAATCCCTCTCTAGAATGTAAGAGCCACAAGACTAGGGACCTTAAGTTTTCTCCAGTGTCTCTCCAAATATCTAGCACAGTGCCTAGCATTAGCAGAGTGGGCTAAATGTTTGCTGAGTGAGTGAACAGATGTTTCCTTAGGAGTCAGTCTCAATTTCCATTTTTTCCCCAACGTTTGTAAATCTTCTCTCTAATATAGAGGTCCACCCTCCTTAGACACAAAGGAATTATAGTTATACACTTGCTATGATTCCCAGAGTTCACAAATTCTGATGCTCCATCATTTTAGCCAGCAACTCTAGCTTGAATATTAGTGAAAAATAGATGGGGATGGCTAGGCGTGGTGGCTCATGCCTGTAATCCCAGCACATTGGGAGGCCAAGATGGGCAGATCACGAGGTCAGGAGATCGACACCATCCTGGCTAACATGATGAAACCCCGTTTCTACTAAAAATACCAAAAAAAAAAAAATTAGCCGGGCGTGGTGGCAGGTGCCTGTAGTCCCAGCTACTCGGGAGGCTGAGGCAGGAGAATGGTGTGAACCTGGGAGACGGAGTTTGCAGTGAGCCGAGATTGAGCCACTGCACTCCAGCCTGGGTGACAGAGCGAGACTCTGTCTCAAAAAAAAAAAAAAAAAAAGAAAAATAGATGGAGATACAGACGCTTAGAATGTATGCCTTCCCATCTTGACACTGGAGAAATGGAGAAATGTTATTCTAGCACATTCTGAATTGCATTCCAGTTCAAATTTGAAAACCTTAAAAAGCCTGAAGACTAACTTAAGTTTCAATTTAATACAATTATTTTAAAACAACAGCTATAATATTTTTACTGTACATATGTTCAATTATTACTAAGTACTTTCATTTCTATCTGTAAAAGTATAGTATAAAAAGTTCACCCTCATGAAATCAGACAAAAATACAATTGACCCTTCAACAATGCAGGGGTTGGGGCACTGACTCCCTGTGAAGTCAGAAATCCAACAAAAATCCACGCAAAACTTTTGACTCCACAAAACTTAACTGCTAATAGCCTACTGTTGACTGCAAGCCTTACTGATAACACAGTCGATTAACACATATTTTGTATGTGATATTATTATATACTGCATCCTTACAAACTACATGTAAACTACAAAAAAATAAGACAAGCAAGAGAGAAAATTTGTTCACTACTCATTAAGTAGAAATGGATCATCATAAAGGTTTTCATCTTTACTGTCTTCATGTTGAGGAGGCTGAGGATGAGGAGGGGTTGGTCTTGCTGTTTCAGGGGTAACAGAGGCAGAAGAGGGAGAAGAGGTGGAAGAGGAGGCAGGAGAGGCAGAAGCACTCAGTGTAACTTTCACTGAAAGAAATCTGCATATAAGTGGACCCGTCCAGCTCAAACCTGTATTGTTCAAGGGTCAAGTGTGCACTAATATGAAAAAGAGCTGAAGTGAAAAAATGGATCAAAATATTTCTAATCATAGTTAAATAATCTAAAAAATGTAGGCCACTGACAATTTTATGCTTCTGTTCAATGGCACTGCACATACAATCCAGAAGAAAAGCTACTATGTGTGTTAAATGGAAACACTATAAAATCATTTGTAGTGTGTCCTAAGAAAAGAGGAGTATATGAACATTACAATAGTAATGTTAATGAATTTAAACCTTTTTTTCCTAGTATGTTAAATATTTCCCTGTATTACAAAAATTGTGAGCATTCATAGCAAAGCTGGTGTTCTCTGCCAAATGCAAGGTGAATGTGTGCTATCTACAAAATAGTCAACAGTGGAGTGAGTAACATAACAGGGGATTTCAAGGAGATGGAAGACAACACTATTATTTTCCTAATGCTCATAATTCTGTTTCTGGCTATGTAATTTTGTCTTTATAACACTACTCAATTAAATTTATATTTGGGCCAAAAAATTATCATCTTGGCTGCCATGTAGCACTCTTCAAATCTCTTAAAATCACTTGCTTAAGTTTGCTTTTTCTGAAAAGCACTTACCCACCTCTCTGGGGTGTTTTTTTTATGAATTAGGAATCCTGGAGCCCTCAGAGTCTAAGCATGGTTGGCAGGTTGGAAGCAAATAAGCACGATGGAAATGGGCCCTACTTAGTTACTATGGATACCTCAGATATAAAGGATCCCTATTTGTAGTGCTCATCAACAACTACTAGCACAAAATCCCTCATGCTGCTTGGACCTAAATAAGGTCATAAATGTTTACTGCACATACATAATATTCATGGAACCCTTCTAAGATTGCAGAGCCACAGTGCGGGAAATGATATTTCTTTCCTTTGGTGGATTTTCATATCCCATTTTCCATCTGGAGAAATGAAGATATTGTTTTGCAATTACCTTTACAGAACAGAGCATTTTTGCTGGACTACTAAAATCGCTTAGCCAAAGTTGGGCATAAATGCAATTCCTGTGCCAAGCCAAATTACCTGGAAACATCACACCCTTCAAAAGGTTTGAATACTTCATGTTTTGGGGTGAGGGTTGCGACTTCTGTAGTCTAAAGACAACATTCCCTAGTCAGTGAGACTGAGCTGGGCACAGGATTTGGTATTCCTAACCTCCAAGATCCTGTCCATGGGAAAACCATTCAGGACTTTTCTTGTGAATGAATCCCAAATTACAATTTAGTTTCTCATCATCTGGTCCATGCAAAGGATATTGTTGTGATTTTTTTTTCTTTGAAATCTAATGATCCTTGAAAACAAGGCAGTCAGTGTAAACACACCAGGGACACTGTACTCCTCTTTACAGATGTTCACCTCATACTGCAGAAAGGAAGGTGCAGTCAATTTCGGGAACCAGGACTTGCACTTGTGCCCTGTTTTGGCTTAACAGTTTTAGTTTGAGGCCAAGGCAGTCAGTTTAAACACACCCGGGACATTGCATTCTTCTTTACAGATGTTCACCTTGTACTGCAGAAAGGAAGGTACAGCCAACTTCTGGAGCCAGGACTTGCACTTGTGCCCTATTTTGGCTTAACAGTTTTAGTAAACCAACAGAAATGCTCCATTCTGTAAAGCTAATTGCACAACAAAACCTTAACTTTTCCAGAGGCAAAATGGGGTGTCACTAGATATGAGTTAATGATCTGGCCCCAAAAGAATTCTAGTTTCATTCCCCAGCTCTACTTAAGTGCTGATAGTGTCGTCAGGATTTAGGGTTCACTGCTGTTGTTGATTATCCCAGTGGTAAGCTCAGTCTAGTGACCTAATAGATATGAAACAGCCATGCCAATTACCATGAGCTGAGCATGGGTGGGTAGAGCAAGGGAAGCATGCGTAAGTTCGTGTGGACGGTGGGACAGCTGGAGAAGGATGTGGTAAAGACCACTGGTCCACATACTGCCGTTGGCAGTTGACAACCTATATTATCTCCTTTGTGTGCAGTGGTCCCCATATTCCCTTTCTTCTCCACTTTCTATATCACATTTCATTTTCCACATTCTCTTGGGATCTTTATCCACAGCCATGGCTTCAGCTACTGTGACCCATGGCTCCATCAGCTCAGCTCCCTCTCCTAAACTTCACACACACTAAGTACATGAGTGTTTCATCTCTATCTTGAATTCTAAATCCACTCTTCCTCTTCTTGAGTTGCATGGTCATCCACCAAGTGACACATACTTCTAGTCCAGGTCTAATCCTTGATGCTTAACACTTTTTTAATTTTTGTAGTATAAGAGATTTCTAACAACTGGCTTTCATTTTGTACACCCAAGTAGATTAATTGTTCTAAAGTAGTATTTTAAATGCACTTTCAAAAATATTTAGTTTTTCCTCAATTACTGTGTAATATAAAAATGTAGAACTACCTAAGACATTTAGGCTTATTTGCAGAAAATTGATAATACTATAATAAAAGCAAACTGTAGTAGTGGTGGTGGTACTGATTGTGGGACACAGAGACAGACAGAATCCCATTTTCTGTTGTTTGAAGTTATGGAATGTGTGTGTGTGTGTGTGTGTGTGTGTGTGTATGGTGCATTTTGGTAAATTTGTTATAACATCTGAAAAAAGGTAAGTATATCCAATGCTTATTCTTTTGTTAACTCTCTTAAAACAGTATGACTCTCTGAAGTCATACTGTTCACTTAGAAACATGTTGCACAGCCAGGCGTGGTGGCTCACACCTGTAATCCCAGCACTTTGGGAGGCCGAGGCGGGTGGATCACCTGAGGTCAGAAGACTAAGACCAGCCTGATCAACATGGTGAAACCCCGTCTCTACTAAATAAACGAAAATTAGCCGGGCGTGGTGGTGGGCGCCTGTAATCCCAGATACTCAGGAGGCTGAAGCAGGAGAATCGCTTGAACTGGGGAGGCAGAGGTTGCAGTGAGCCGAGATCGCGCCATTGCGCTCCAGCCTGGGCAACAAGAGCGAAACTTCATTCCAAAAAAAAAAAAAAAGAAACATGTTGCACAAAAACGGATTTTTTTTTCAAAAATATGTTGTTATATTAAATGTTAAAGCATATCTTTAAAGCCAGTTCACAGAGAGAAAAAAAATTTAAGTATAATCTATATTTATTTACTCAATTTACTCTTAAAATTTTATCAGTTTGTTTTCCATGGAACTACAAGGTGCTTAAATTAAATATATATAGTATCTAGGTTTTTTTTTTTTTTTTTTACCAATTTAGGATAAATCAATATTACCTAAAACGAGATGAAACTACCAATGCAATATTTTGAAAAAGAAAAGTAATTTATTTTCTGAACGCAGTGTTCCATAGTGACCCACATATATAAAATGATGATTAAAAAATAAGAAATACGTTTACATACAGGTTTTGTCACATGGAACGCTCTGTTTTATCCATCCAATACAATAGCATGTATTGTTTTCTTAAATTACCTTTTTTTGTTTTGTTTTGTTTTGTTTTGTTTTGAGACGGAGTCTTGCTCTGTCGCCAGGCTGGAGGTGCGGTGGCACGATCTGGGCTCACTGCAACCTCCACCTCCCAGGTTCAAGCGATTCTCCTGCCTCAGCCTCCCAAGTAGCTGGGACCACAGGCATGTGTCACCATGCCCGCTCATTTTTTGTATTTTCAGTAGAGACAGAGTTTCACCATGTTGGCCAGGATGGTCTCGAACTCCAGACCTCGTGATCCACCTGCCTTGGCCTCTCAAAGTGCTGGGATTATAGGCATGAGCCACCACACCTGGCCTAAATTATCTTTTTTAAAATCAATCATAGACACGTTTTTTTCTTAATTTTGAAGAAAATGCCCCAAAGTAGACACATCTTTTTCCAGTTCTGCAGAAAAGTGTGCCATGAAGTCAAACACCATGTGTGGCAGCTTCAGCTTAGCCTATGTCCCTGAACCAGGCCTAGTAAGATATTCTACATTTTGTTATCTTTGAGAATATTTTCCAACATCTGCTTCTATGTCTACTTTCTATTTTGTAATCTCATTGAACAGTAGCAGTGCTAATGTCACTTATATTTATGTCTCTAAGTACTGAATCCAAGAGATTAGCAGCAGCAGTAATTCCTCAGGGTATAGTAATTAATGACATAATACTGTGGACATACTTTTTTGAAAAAACAAAAACTTCCAATTACGCAGTTTAAAGAAATCATTTTGTGGGAATGACCTGAGTAGCCTAGCCACGTATTTTTTGTTCTTCATTTAACAAATATTGTATTAAGCGGTTACTGTATACCACAGTCCTAGGTTTTGAAGAAAATGCAAAACTGTTCTCAAGGAGTTTACAAAACTGGTAAAGATAACTGTTCAAAAATTACCAGTACAAGAGAAAATGGAGAATGCTATAATGAAAGCAAGGCATTCATACAGACAGTCCCTGACCTATGATGGCCTGACTGGAATTTTTTGGCTTTACGATGGTGTGAAAGTGATACACGTTCAGTAGAAATTATACTTCAAATATCCATACAACCATTCTGTTTTTCACTTTCAGTACAGTATTCAGTAAGTTACATGAGATATTCAACACTTTCTTATAAAACAGGCTTTGTGTAAGATGACTGTAGGCCAATGTAAGTGTTCCGAGCATATTTAATGTAAATATTCTCAGACTGTAGGCAGTGTAACTGTTCTGAGCATATTTAAGGTAGGCTAGGCGAAGCTAGGATGTTCAGTAGGTGAGATGTCTTAAATGCCCTTTTTCCTTTTCTCTTTTCTTTTCTTTTCTTTTCAGACAGAGTCTTGCTCTGTTGCCCAGGCTGGAGTGCAGTAGCACAGTCATGGCTCACTGAAGGCTAGACATGCCAGGCTCAAGCATTTTCCCACCTCAGCCTCCCGAGTAGCTGGGACTATAGGTGTGTGCCACCACACACCTGGCTAATTTTTAATTTTTTTTTTTTTTTTAGAGATGGGGCATTACTATATTGCCCAGGCTGGTCTCAAACTCCTGGGCTCAAGCAATCCTCCCATCTCAGGCTCCCAAAATGCTGGGACTACAAGAGTAAGCCACTGCACACGGCCTAAATGCATTTTTGACTGATGATATTTTCAACTTCCAATGAGTGTATCAGGACATAACCCCATGGCAAGTTGAGAAGCATCTGCAATGCGTGTTTACCCTCCTACAAGGATGAGACAGCCCACTTCTGACTAGGGCAGTAAGGAGCTAATTCATAAAAGGTGCTGTCTAAACTGGACTTTGAAGATTAAAGAAGATTTTAAGCAGCTGAAAATGGAAGAAGGAAATTGCAGGTAAAAGTGAAGGTGAGAAAGTGTTCGTCCTGTTCATGGAATAGGATGTTTACTCTTAGTTATTTCCATATTGGAAATAGAGCTTTCGGCTACATGTATATAAGAAAAATGGTATTATTTAACCACAAATGAAGACCCAGTTAGCAGTTTCTGAGCAAAGCAATGACATGCTGGAGTAATGACAGAGGAAGAACAATCTGGAAGTGGCCTCAGGACACACATGTAACAAGAGCAGGGGAGAGACAAAGTGTGCATTGGAAAACAGGCAGACTGTAGGTAGGGTGATCATACAACTTACTCTCCAAATTAGGACACTTTGGGGAGTGAAAGGGGTGCTATTGATAGTTACACTACTTGGAGGCTATAAGTGAATTTGGTAGAGGAAGGAAAGTAGTGGGACAGGAACCTGATGACCTAGCAGGACAGGAAATCTTAGGTTGATTCCTATTTCTTCCAGTGCAGAACTGTGTCTTGTAATTGTTTCAGTCCCTCACCAAGTCTGGCTTATAGCCAGTGCTCAATAAACATGGAGTCACCAACTGATGACAGATAAACACGATCCCTAGGCGTCATGCCTGGGAGATGCTGTCTACATTTCTCCAAAAGGTCAAGGGTGGCAATATCCCAGAACTGTCAAGATTTTCCCTTTTATGACTTTTAAGAGTGTTTCTTCAAAAACCTTGTTAGCAATCTACATAAAAATAATGCAACAGTCCAGTTGATTAGAATAAAAAGTAGAAATACTGTACAAGAAGGGCTGCCTTTTAAAAATAATCAGAAAGAAGCACAGTGAGCGAGATTTAGACTCTTTGGCTTTATTTTTAGGAGGTTTTTTGTGGTTTTATGTTAAAGCATTCACCATTACTGCAATATTTAATATACATTTTTTTAAACCCCTGGAATGTCAAATAACTAGGCTGTGCATAACTCTCTCATGAATTCAATATGTAAAGGTACAAATATAAGGTACCCATTAAACAAAAACAGAGAAAAATCAAAGAAGCACAGCAAAATTGTTACAGAGTGGTTTTTTTAATTTTTCATTTCTTGCAACACTTCATTCTAAAAGAAAAATTATCACAGGATTGAAAAACAAACTTGTTTTCCCTTTAGATCATACATAAAACTTGACTATTATTTGAAGTTGATAACAGAAACTGGTGTTTCCAAAGATGTCACTGAATACAATACTTTTAGGAATTGCTGAATCAAATTTTCTTTTCTTTTTTTTTTTTGTAAATGAGAAAGGTAGAGAGAACTGTAAAATCAGTCACAAAACATATGGAATACTGAGGGATGAGTCTAACAATCTGACTTACTCTTGTATGTATACACATTCATTTTCTCAAATTAGTACACACCATTGGAAACTGCATCAACCCATAAAAATAACTCATATGCCTATTATGTTTTTCCATTTTAAGCTTATAATAGCAGTAACGACCTCAGCAAAAGACATTTCCTTAGAATTAATGGCTGGCTGGGAGGCAGAGCCAAGGGCCACTGGTTCCTCCCAGCTGGTCATTAATCCTCAGGAAATGCCTGCACCTCCATCATTATTGCTAAAGCACCATTATAGAAAGTTCTCACAGTTCCAATATATGGAAATTTGAGGCCATTTTGCAAGCCCATGGTATTCATGTGAGTTAATAGGCCACCACTGAGCACAGAGGATGTAATTATCAAAACGACAGAAGGGAAAATATTGTTCTCCTAGGTCTGTAAGATTATAGGAAATGGGGACTAGCCTTATGGGAAGAGGTATATTTGAAGCTAAAAGACATTAATTTAAAGGGAGGTTTGGAATCACATATATAAAAGTCAGTAAAAGACAGAGCAATCCATTCCCATGACTTCGTTTAAAACTATTTTTTTAAGGTGCAAATAAAGGTTATTTGGAAATTTCCTCCCAAATTGATAAATGAATATTAAAGAGAATGCAGTCAGGAAGACTGTTTATACACACAAATTATTATATTCAACCAGTGAAGTCTGGGGGAATGAATACATTTGACAGTGCTGAATGAGAATGGGATTTCTTTCTTTTAAATTTTGGTTTAAAAATTGAATACACACCATTAAATATTATAGAGCAAACATTTTATTCTAGACTTTATTACTGCTAAAACAAACAAAAACCCTAAAGTTCTGTCTTTTTGTCTTAGCTAGGGGCTTAACACATCAAACAAGCATTAATAAAACTGAAGGCCAAAATGATAACAAATACAGTGCTGGTGCTCTGTGACACAGTTTCAGTTCTCTGCAAAAGCTTTTGCTAGCTTCCAGGCTAAATTGAAAATAAAAATTAGGTGTTTTCAGGTCTATTCATTCCTTCCTTAAAATAAACTAAGCCCAACAAATGTCTTCAAAAGAGGGAATTAATCCAAAAATCACACCAAAAGCAGTCTATAAATCTTTTGAATGTGTTATTGTAACAAACTACAAATGTTGGATATGATGCTTTACACTTAATGAAATTCACTGCAGTTTCTCATTATGCATTACAAATACCAGCCTGGTTCTAACAGGTTTAAAGTTATAAAGAACTGTTATGGGTTGAATTGTGTCCCCTAAAAAGATATAGTGAAGCCCTAACCCACCTTGTCTCTATGAATGTGACTTTATTTGGAAATAAGGTCTTGGCAGATATAATCAAGGTAGGATGAAGTCAGTGGGGTGGGCCCTAATCAAATATGGCTGGTGTCCTTATAAGAGGAAAAGAGACACAGACACACAGGAACTGCTGTTACCACCATGTGGCAACCAAGGCAGAGAATGGAGCAATGCATCTAAAAGCCAAGGAGCATCAAGGATCACCAACAGCACCAGAAGTGAAGGGAAAGAGATGGAACAGATTCTTCCCTAGAGCCTTCAGGGAGAGCACGGCCCTGCCAACACCATGATGTCAGACTTCCAGTTTCCAGACTGTGAAAGAGCAAATTTCTGTTGTGGTAAAGCACCCAAGTTTGTGGCACTTTGTTATGGCAGCCCTGAAGAAACTAACACAGGACCTGAAGGAAGAGATTTATCAGAACTGTGGTCAACATTCCCAATGGAAATCCAAGGAAGATCGGGTGAGGCAAGAGGAAGCGGCTCGCTACAGGGAAAAGCAATGGACTAGAAGTCAGGAAACCTGGCTCTTGTCAGAGCTAACAAGGTTGTGTGGCCTTGAACTGGACACAATTGCTCTGGGTTTTCATTTTGTCACCTGTAGAATATAAGAGGATTTAACTATATAATCTCTACACCAAGTCTAGCTTTATAGATGGGAAGACCAAGGACCACACAGACCAACATTTTAATACTTTCAAATTCACTGTTCTGGCATTGCTTGGACCTCAGGGACAGAAAGCAGGACACAGGAAACAGAACTGCAGTCTTCCATTTGCCTCAAGCCATGCTTACTGCAGCAATGTGGCCACATTTATTTTGGTTGAGTAAGGCCCAAAGGAGTTTGCTATGGAAGCAACAGCAGCATATGCTGATATTCTATAATTATTTTCTTTCAAATATAACTTTTTCTGCACTTCCAAGATTGTCAAAAATGTCTACAGCTGATTCAAAAGCATGATTTTTGTTTAAATAAGATAATAGTTACCACCAAAAATAAAGAATATCACTTGTAATTCGTAGATATTTGAAGTGCCAATAGTCAAAAAGCATTAGTCCAAAAAAAAAAAAAGAAAAAACAGCTCTTTGTATGCCACAGCATAGCTGGGATTTAGGATCCAACAGGGCTTTTGGTCCAAATATACTAAATGTATTCTCCAAAAGAATCCCATAATGATCACATTGATAGTGTTTTACTCTTCAGTTATTATGATCAATCATTATCATCATCATCATCATCATCATCATCATCATCATCATCTGTGTTCTGGTTACCTAAACAAACACTCAGATTCTAAGAGTGACTAGTGGAATGCAATAGACCTTGGCCATTCTTAAATGTTAATATTCACAGTTTGAACTGTTTGCAAATCCATTTTTTCTCAGACTAGAGTGCAGGCCTGAGACATTTAGCCTGGAGGGGCAACTTGGCCATCTGCCTAGTGTTTGCATCTTAGCACAGCTTTGCTCTGTGTGTGTGTGTGTGTGTGTGTGTGTGTGTGAGAGAGAGAGAGAGAGAGAAAGAGAAAGAGAGGGAGAGAGAAAGGAAAGAGAGAGACATAGTTGTAATATGAAATTTTTATTTGGGGAACCTAAACATTACAGTGGCATTCTCAAATGTGGATCTTCCTAAATGTGTCAAGATGACATGGTTCTACTATAATTGTTCTAGAGACTGGGCCAGATAGCCAAAGTACAATTAACAGGACAGTTTTCTCAGTGAATATCTGCCCGCAAGGACATTTAAAATCTATGTGAAACAAGGAATTTCCAGGGGATGAAGGTATTCATCCACAACTTCAGGACGAAACAGGCATGTGTTTCAATATATCCCAAAGGGCAAGCAGGTACTCAAATACGCCTGTTGTATGTGCCTTCAGGAAAAGCAGGTGTGTTACACTCCCAGGCCAATCCTTTCTTTCTTTCCTGGCCTCTGAAGTTGGCAGAACTCTGAATGCAGTACAAAAGTGTAAGTTACTTCAGGCAAGCAGTTAGCTGTGTGCAAAGCCCACCTATGATTTTGCCAGGGCCAGCCAGACCTTTATAATGAGGGAATGTGAAAGAGTAACTGCACAGCCAAAGACAGGAACCATGGGCCAGAATTCCTCTCCCCACATTCCTACAGTCATGCAAAGTTCTTGTGTACTTAGAGAAGACAAATTTAGTGTATGTCATCATGGGATGTGCCACAAACTCCTGAGCAACTGACAGTCTTAAAAGAATACCGGAGTGGGGAGGGAGAGCATCAGGAAGAATAGCTAATGCATGTTGGGCTTAATACCTAGCTGATGGGTTGATAGATGCAGCAAACCACCATGGCACACATTTACCTATGTAACAAACCTGCACATCCTGCACATGCACCCTGGAACTTAAAAAATAATAATACCTTTGGTAGTGAATACATGAACCTACATGTGATAAAGTTGTATATAACTTGATGCTCACACATACACACACACAAATAAGTACATGCGAAACTGGGGAAATCTAATCGCGATGAATGGATTGTGTGAATGTCAACATCCTAATTGAGATCTTGTTCTACAGTTTTACAAAATGCCAGCATTAGGGGAAAACTGGTCAAAGCCCACAAGGCACGTCTCTGAAAGAAAAGGGGGCTAATTTTTCTCTCTACCAGAGAAAGGGCACGAAAGAAAGTTTTATTTAAAGAATTTTTTTATTTTGAAAAACATAAATGTGTAAGGCTATCAAAATGTTCCTTTCTATATTGATGTTTCTCTTATCTAGCAATCTACAGAAAATGTGGAGGGACTTCCTTCTGACCTTTTTGTAAAAGGAACAGAAGATGTCAACAAGATAACAAACAACGTAGGTGGAACACAGGATATCTCGAAATGTGTACCTTCATCAGCCATTTTTCATGACAAACACTTTGAAATGTCCCAGCATTACACATAGTTTAAAAATTCTGCATTAAGTTAAAACTCATTAATCCTGTAAGAGTTCTTATGATTCATGAGCATGGGAAGCCTTGTTGTAAATACAGTGCGATCATCTCTCCTAGATTAACTACAGTGTCTGGAACTGCATTCCCACACATCTGCCTCAGCTTTTACTATGGACTTTAATTAGGGAACTTAATGCTTTGGTGGCATTCTCAAATTTGGATATTTCTATTTGAGATCCAGAGAGAGACGGGAAAAGCAACTGAATTTATTGAGCACTCACGATGCGCCAAGCACTGTGCATTGAGCTGCCTAGACCAGGAAGGGTGGGACCCCTGTGCGGCGAGGATGCAGGCTCATGCCCCAGACATGACATCACATTACCACTCTGCCCGCTCAGAATCACTGACTTAGGAGGCCAAAAACGATTAAGCGAGTCAATGGCTAAGGTCACAGACAGCCATAGAGAAAAGGGCCTCGGGAAAACAGCATCTACAAATCCCATATGGATCACTGCGGCTGATTTTATTAGAATACTGAAACACATAAAGTAATCTGCAGGGATATTTAACCACATTCCACTCTAGACTACTCAAACTTATGTACTTTCAGCCCCATAATTAAATATGAAACAAAACTGAATTGAGGCAAGGAAACCAAAAGATTAATACAGTACAAATATGGGGGGAAGTTTCTTGCTTCTATAAACTTGAACAGTATATTCAACAGATTTAAACTTGAACAGTATATTCAACAGATTTTAAATCTGTTGATAATTACGGTATCACATGTAAGTATTCATTTAAGCATTACCATGTCCAGGCTACTTTCTTTTCTCCCCAGTTTCAGTGCTCTTAGACAGTCCTCATGGTTCAGCTGTCACAGCCAGGACAATCAATTTTCCAACTGGTCTTCTCCAGTGCCACACTCCCAGTTCCCCACACGTCAGTCGGCAACCTTCCCCCTCAGACTGTACCACTGCAGACACGGCCATTGTCCTCTCCTGCCTGGGATCACTGCAACCTTCCAGGTCATTTCCACTCCAAGCCATCCTCAATGTCCCAAAGTTTCCTTCTCATTTAGATATGTTTTGTCCATGATGTTCTGTTGGAACTTGGCAGTGAATGTCTTAAGAGACGAATTCTAAAATCCTCCTCTTCAATGTCTACTACTGGAGAGGTCTCTTCTGCTCATCTCTCTCTCCTGGGCACTTCACCTATTTATTACCACATAGATCATGTGGCACTCTCTTAACCTCACCCAACCCTGCTTATTTATTCACTACTTCTGCACATGAACCCAATACCTTTCATGTTGGAATTCTTTTGATATGTCTCTGTGATACATCTGAAAGTTGTCAGTTTTAGCCTTTCAACCATAAGAGCAGATGGAAATGGAAAAAGAGTAAATGCCTCATAAACCATTAGATAAGACAAGGGAAAAGCTGAAGATAGCAAGCTAAGTGTTAGAAGTTATATAAATAACAGGAACAATTTCATTCACCCTATTGTAGTATATGAAATTTTAATTATTATTATTATTATTTTTTGAAACAGAGTCTCGCTCTGTCACCCAGGCCAGAGTACAGTGGTGCAATCTCAGCTCACTGCAACCTCCACCTCCCGAGTTCAAGAGATTCTTTGGCCTCAGTCTCCCGAGTAGCTGGGATTACAGCAGCGCGCCACCATGCTCAGCTAATTTTTGTATTTTTTTCTTTAGTAGAGATGGGGTTTCACCATGTTGGCCAGGCAGGTCTCGAACTCCTGACCTCAGGTGATCCACCTGCCTTGGCCTCCCCAGGTGCTGGGATTGTAGGCGTGAGCCCCCGCATCCAGCTAGTGTATGAAATTTTAATTGCTGATACTTACTGCTGTTACCTTATGATTGCAAGGTGCTTTATTTGTACAAATTATTTGTACAAATTATTTGCACAAATTGTACTTTGTACAAATTTGTACAAAGTACAAATTACTTTCAAATTATTTGTACAAATTATTATTTGTACAAACTGTACCTTGTACAAATTTGTACAAAGTACAAATTACTTTCTTATATTATTCTGACCACAACCCAGACAGGAAGACAAAGAAGATATGACAATTATTATCCCTCTTTTACATAAGAGCAAGCAGGTTCAAGGATAAGTCACCTGTCCAAGGTCACAAAGCTAGAAATTCATTAAGTCAGAATGCAAGTCAGAAAGGCCTTTCATCACGAACGTAGTGTTCCATCTACCATATCATTTGAAGTCTCATTCAGAACCGTGATTAGTGGGTTAGAAAAACAGGACATAGTGAGAAAGACTTGGGAATGTTATTGTGGAAAATGGAAAGCTGACAACATATTTTCACAGGGTTTAAAACTAATGATTTTTTGTTGTTGTTGTTGTTTTGAGACAGAGTCTCGCTTTGTTGCCCAGGCAGTGGCATGATCTTGGCTCACTCCAAACTCCGCCTCCTGAGTTCAAGCTGCTCGCTGGAATTACAGGTGCCCGCCACCACAGCTGTCTAATTTCTTGGTTTTTGTTTTTGTTTTTGAGATGGAGTTTCGCTCTTGTCACCCAGGCTGGAGTGCCATGGTGCAATCTCAGCTCACTGCAACCTCTGCCTCCCAGGTTCAAGTGATTCTCCGGCTTCAGCCTCCCAAGTAGCTAGGATTACAGGCATGCGCCACCACACCCGGCTAATTTTTTGTATTTTTAGTAGAGATGGGGTTTCACCTTGTTGGCCAGGCTGGTCTCGAACTCCTGACCTCAAGTGATTGACCTGCCTCGGCCTCCGAAAGTGCTGGAATTACAGGCCTGAGCCACTGTGCCAGGCCAAAATAATGGTATTTTGAGCATTTACTAGGTACTGGATACTTTAGCTGAAACTACAATGGAGATATTACCAGCCTCATTTCACAAAAGAAGAAATTTAGTCTCAGAGAGGTAACAAAGGCCTAAGGTTAGTAAGTGATAAGGTTCAGACTCAAATGCAGATATGTTAAGACCCAAAGTACGTACACTTTACAGTACCCCAAGTAGGAAGATATATTTTGAAGAGGAACATAGCAGATGTTCTCTGTCACCATTAAGAACAAGACAAGAGGAAATGGACTAAGAACCGTAAAAGGAGAAATTCTAGGTTGAATACATGAAGACCCTCCTGTCACAGGAAAGACGATTAAACTTGTACACCACTGTCAAGGATGCTCATGAAATCTCCTTTCTAAATTGCTTTTTTCATACACATAAGGATGTTTTTCTACCAAAGATAACTTCAAGACTGCAAGTGAATTAATCTAAACATTTTCTTGGACACAAAAATATCTCAGACTCAAAAATAAAAAAATAAATAAAAGCACAGGATAAAACACCCAAATTTTCATACAAATTGGGAAATTTTGTGTTTGCCTTATGGATATAAAATGTCAGCTTCTCTAAATGTTTATTGTAATATATTTGTTTCAAAGATAGCAAATAGTAAGTCTGAATACTTACCACATTATTACAATCCCAGCAGAAAAGTCTTTTTTTTTAGTAAAAAAAAAAAAAAATTCGGTCTCTTCATACTGTGACTATGTAAGGCCAAGCTCTCTCACACTACACAATCTAAGTGCATTGATCATTCTATTAAAGCAATAATATACATAACCCATTTGCTTTATCATAGCAGGAAACAATGCAGTACAAGTGAGTTTAGTGTGAATTAGTTTCCTGTAAATACTGTGGCTCCCTAAGAACTTCCAACAGTGCAAATAGGGTCATAGCTGTAACAGCTTTGTTCCCATAGGTCTTAACAGTTGAAAAGGATCCCAACTGATCTCCACTAAGATGAGTGATTTAATAGCGAGGGGGACTACATGTTAGAAAAAATTACCTATTTATTGCTTATAAAATTATGGATTTTAAATGGTTTTATGTAGCTCATCAATTGTCTAAACAGGATGGAAGGCACAAAACTTTAAGCCTGGCTGATTTGATGACAAATTTTAATATCCACAAAAAATTCAACCACCAATAGAGGAAGGGCAATACTAAATAAAAAATAGAGGCTAGGCACAGTGGCTCACGCCTGTAATCCCAGCACTATGGGAGGCTGAAGCAGGCGGACCATTTGAGGTCAGGAGTTTGAGACCAGCCTGGCCAACATGGTGAAACCCTGTCTCTACTAAAAATACAAAAATTAGCCAGGCGTGGTGGCAGGCACCTGTAATCCCAGCTACTCGAGAGGCTGTGGCTTAAGAATCGCCTGAACCCGGGAGGCGGAGGTTGCAGTAAGCCAGGATCGCGCCATTGCACTCCAGCCTCAAAAAAAAAAAAAAAAAAAAAAAATACAGAGCCTACCATTGTCTTGGTTTGGTAGTCTGGAGATGACCACTCTCATTTAGGAAAATCTCAATAGCAAATCCAAACAATGTCATTAAGCTCTACCACATTGCTATGTAAGAAATTATAATAAGGAGAATTAGGACTGGGAATGAGATATTTTTCACCAAATATATATGGAAAATATGTAGTCCAAAGATATGAAAGGGGAATAAGGGATTTATTTATTGATTTGTAAATCAAACTATACTTTCTCTTAAAAGAGAAATTTTAGATTAATAGCACAGAATGAACATGTTATAAGATGGACAGCATTATCACTCATTGCCTTTTCATCCTTTCCTTAAAACTTATAAGGTGTGCATCCAGTGCCAAGAATGTCCATCTCTCAAGAGAATGAGGGGACACAGAGATGGCCATGTTCATACATTCTAACTCCACCCCTAGGAGAGTGGGCCCAGGCATGCAAATGCCTCATCAAGTTTCCACTAGAGAATTTAAGGAATACTGAAGTTGGACTACCTGAGAGAATAATGGCAGGAAAGAAAATGTAGGGACAGAGACCCTGTAATAAGGAAATTACACTCGAGGATCAGCTTCTGACACAAACTGCGTAGGATGTATCTTTTCTGACATCAGAATCATTCTGAACAGGAAATAATAAGGGACCGCAAAACAAACAGTGCTTTCTAGAACATTACCAACCATAATCGTATGAGTCCATGTTCCTCCATGCACATACAGTTATTATCTCACCTTCTTGGGATTTAGTGCTTCCTGCACTGGGGAACTGCCTTAATATTGAAGATATTTGGGTTTTCTGGGAACTTGGTAAACCTGCACTTCCGTTATTGGTAATGCTTAAACTTTTTTTTTTTTTGAGACGGAGTCTCGCTCTGTCGCCCAGGTCGGACTGCGGACTGCAGTGGCGCAATCTCGGCTCACTGCAAGCTCCGCCTCCCGGGTTCACGCCATTCTCCTGCCTCAGCCTCCCGAGTAGCTGGGACTACAGGCGCCCGCCACCGCGCCCGGCTAATTTTTTGTATTTTTAGTAGAGACGGGGTTTCACCTTGTTAGCCAGGATGGTCTCGATCTCCTGACCTCATGATCCACCCGCCTCGGCCTCCCAAAGTGCTGGGATTACAGGCGTGAGCCACCGCACCCGGCCTTAAACTTTTAAGTTATGTAACATTGCTAGCTATTATTCTAACTGAAGTACTTACTCCCATGTTGACATAAGCCTAGGATTTCAGGTTGTTGTCCCCAGTAAATCTTTAGTTGTACACCCTACTGCCTTAATGTATCACTTTAAGTGCTTTCAAATGCCCTTGAAAGAAACAAATAGAGTAATTGACTTTTTACTTTTCTTTATTCTCATGTTAGTACTAAAAATTAACAGAAAGAAAATGGGACACAAATAGGCCATTAAAATAAGTTTTTGTAAAAAGAGAGAGAGAAAGAGAAACTACCTTAGAAAATTAGTTCATGAGGTTTGGCCAATAAAGCTGTCTTCTGTTTTTCTGATGATCCAAAATTGTGACAAAAATCCTTCTAAGGTACAGCATAAGAGTCTATTTTGGAAAGCAGAATGCTATTTCCAGGAGTGAGGGAATGGAAACATTAACATAGGGCAAGACATTCGAAGTTTCTATTGGGCCTGGGTGATAGTGGCTAGCAGCTTACTTCTTTAGTGGAGAGGCATAAGATGGAATTCAAAATTATTACAAATACTGCTTTGATGCCTATAGGTTGTGCTTTTTAAAAAAAACCTGCTGTAGCCTCTTTGGAAATACAAATCATTAGTTTGGATTTTTTTAAGTCAAAGAATGTAATTCAAATCCACATTCATTACTGGAAAACAAAAATTCAAAGGCCATCCTTTATACACACTAAAGAAAAACTGTCATCCTACTCACCGAACATTTAGTAAGCACCATTATGGGCCTGAGACTGTACTAACATCAACAATTATGACCTATTGAGAGCTTGACACATGCTGAATAAAGTTTTTTTGATGGCTTCTCATTTAATTCTTATGAAACAATCCTACCAGACAAAAACTATGATTACCCTTTGTTTTACACACAGGGAAACTGGGGCTGGGATGATCAACAACTTGCCTTGATTAAGCTGATACCTGAACCCAGGCAGTCTGAGCTCTTAATCACTTTGCTGAATTCCCTCCTATGTCCTAGGTGCTGAGGTTAAAAAGATAAATAGGAGATATGCACCCAACCCTCAAAGAGCTCATTTTAAAACACAAAGGGCTGCACTATTCAGAAATATTAAAGTATATAATTAAGTTGCTATAAGACCTGGTGATTTAAAAATTATTTGATAAGCATAAATTATATTGAGTATGCACAAAGAGGAAAAATAAGGTCACCATATGTTAAATGGCTCAACAGAATTTTCCTGTTTTTTTCTGATTCCCTTTTTCTCCCTCTTTTTGGAGCCTGTACCTGACGATTTAACACCCATCTTTTTAACCCAATACTAACTAGATGAAATTTGACTACTTTGATAAATCAAATCTGTATACATTTTGTATTAGCTTATATATTTGCTGTGAAGATAATGAGAGAATGTAACCCCAGGCACACAGCACATAGCACAACCAATTCATATATCATATATAAGTGTGTGTGTGTATATATATAGTATGTATGTATACATATACATGAACATTCAAATTATGGTGTTAATATAGGTAAATTCAAATAGTGTGTCATTAGGATTTGGAAAGCAATATAATTACTTCTATGGAAGGACTTAAATTCTAAAGAGCTCAAAATACTTGAAAACTGTAATTTAATTTAGCCTCCTAACATCTGAAGCATAGAATAATAATCTACCTGGCAGGTATCAGGTTATCTCTTTAGAGCTCCCCAGACTATAAATTCCCCAAAGGCAGCCCCACCTATCTTGTCAGCCTTGACATCCCTAGGACCCAGCACAGACTTGATTTATAATCGTGTCAGAAGGCTTTGGCAAAATGTTTAGACAAATGGGAAAATCACAAAATCAAAGGGTCTCAGAACTGGAACTCTAGGGTTTAAATGATCCAGCCAAGAAAGAGACAAGCAACCAAATAGGTGAACAACAACAACAAAAAAAGTGTTTCAGTAGCCTCCGTCTCTATCTCTGTCCTGTACATGCTGTTCCTTCTGCACAACATCACGTTTAAACAGGCACTCGAGGTGCATTTTCTGAGTTAATGCACTGAAATTACAGTACAATGTGATAACACGGGCTTTCCCTGGTCATATAGTTAGGGTTAGCTCTGTGGCCTCTTAACACCCAAACAGGACTCTTTCAGCATCATAAGACAAATTCACTAAACCTGAATTGAAAGAACTACATTCCACAACCTGAGTCTAATGTAAGCATAGATTTGATGCCATTCTTCTGAATCTGAACAGAGGCTAAAGACTTGCCAGAACAAGCTTGACCAGCAGCCATTCATCGTTTACTAAGGAAATGCTCAAAAGGGACTCTTGTTTACTACGGCATCCTGAAAAAGACTTTTTAACTAACTTATAAAACCACGTTTATTGTAAGAATGAAAAAATAATGAATGAAAAACAAATTTCAGTGTCATGGCTGCATTCAGTGATTCCTGAGGACAGGGTTGGGGGCGAGCCTGGATGTAGATAATCTGAAAACCTTATGTTGGCTGTTACTCTCAGCCTCCTTCTTACCAAGCCTTTTACCAGAGCTGACCCCCTGTTCCTGACCCTGCCCCCCATCTGGTGGAGGCGCTAATGAGCAGTGAAATGGCCAAAGGGCAGGCAGCAGGGGGGAGGAGAGAAAACAAAGCAAAGAAGGGGACAAGAGGCTGGATCATCACAAACTCAATAATCAGTCCCTGGATGATAGAGCTGGCTGGAGCAATAAAGGTTTTTGTGTTTTACAACCATAAATGCTTGACAGCCATTAGTTATGGACAGAATGTTCCTGTCAGGCACTTAGACATGAGAAAAGGCACGGATAAATTAAGCAACCTGCCCAAAGGTATTCAGCCCATCAAAACGCAGAGGTCCTTTTTTCAATCTGGAATACAAGGAGTAGGCTTGATTTCATCCCATCTTTTGTCAAAAATGTTTAAATGTTTGTGTCAAGTATTGAAGAGTTTAGAATCAGGAATTCCTTGATTTTTAAAAAAAATCTTAAAGGCCGTGAGTGGTGACTCACGCCTGTAATCCCAACACTTTTGGAGGCTGAGGTGGGAGGATCACCTGAAGTCAGGAGTTCAAGACCAGCCTGGCCAACATGGCGAAACTGCGTCTCTACTAAAAAAACAAAAATTAGCCAGGCATGGTGGCGTGGGACTATAGTCCCAGCTACTCAGGAGGCTGAGATAGGAGAATCACTTGAACCCGGGAGGCAGAAACTGCAATGAGCTGAGATTTTGCCACTGCACTCCAACCTGGGTGACAGAGCGAAACTGTCTCGAAAACAAAACAAAACGAAACAAAACAAAAACAAAAACGCTTATAAAAGCAGCCTCCACCTTTAAAAACACAACAAAAATGTTCTCCTGGAATATAATCATTTTACTTGTTTACCTAGTTAAAAAAACGTGGCATATTAATTTTATTAATATACAGCATGGGGATTTCCAACCTTTTAGAAATATTTACTACCATCCATAAATACTTACAGTAAGGTGAATGTAGGTAAATATGTGTATGGGAGTAGGGATAGTACACTGTGTAAGGAAAGTCTTACATACATTTGTTGTCATACAAAATGGTCACTGATTCTACATTTGTCATTTTATTAGAATTAAAAATTGAGATTACTGTCTTGGCCAGGACTCTATTGATCTGATGATAGCATATGGAGAAATAAGATATTTTTATGAACTACCTCCTGTCTAGAATTTGCCACTCCACACAAGTGAGAAAAATCTCTTCTTCCTTGGTGATAGTCGATGCTATTTTGGCACAGCAGCAAAGCCACTGGAGCTTCAGACTCTGCAGTCAATGTTTTTATAATCCTAAATGGTTAGGGTCTGGTAGAGGTTGGCCATGCTAAACTGGATGAACTGGCTGACCAAGTAGGGCAGATTATCAATCTCTTTTTTTGAAAGTCTTCATTTAACAGAATAATTAAGAATAGCACTTACATATTAAAACAAATGAAAAAGATGTTAGTATTGAATCAAAACATGAATGATCAAATTCAATTCTTCACTTTTAGATATGACTTATTAGTGTTTTCATATTTAATCTTTTAATTTTAAATAATCTCTTTAGTGAATTTTGTGGTAAACTATTAAAATAAGATTAAGCTACTTTTCCCCATAGGGAAAAAATTTGAAAAGTACTCTATTTTTATCATAAAATATTGCAAAGGAAAAGATAGTTTCAGAAAATATTACTTACCAACTTTGAATGCATTATATGCATCAGCAAATTTATATTTAATTACTAAGCATGTATTTTAAAAATGCAGTTGCTTTAAAAAGAGCATCTCCTGTTTTTTAAAGCACGTGATAATGGCAAGGGTCTAAGGGAAAATGATTTCACCTTCACACATTCCATTAGCAGACAGTTTTTGATGTCATATCAAAGTTATTTCTTCCCCTCTGACTCCAGTACAAAGTTGCAATTATCTTCAATCTGCATTATTGGATATCCCTTTCTAAACATTGCAGTTATATATTTCTTTTTTTTTTTTTTTTTTTGAGATGGAGTCTTGCTCTGTTGCCCAGGCTGTAGTGCAGTGGCATGATCACCAAGCTCACTGCAACCTCTGCCTCCCAGGTTCAAGCAATTCTCCTACCTCAGCCTCCTGAATAGCTGGGACTACAGGCATGGGCCACCACACTCAGGTAGTTTTTGTATTATTGATGGACATGGGGTTTCACCATGTTGGCCAGGCTGGTCTCGAACTCCTGGCCTCAAGTGATCTGCCCGCCTTGGCCTCCCAAAGTGCTGGGATTACAGGCATGAGCCACCATGCCCAGCCACTTTCAACAAGGAAAGTCTTAAATTACAAACAGCTAAAAGTTTTTGTTTTGTGTGTGTGTGTGTGCTTGTGTGTGTGTGTGTGTGTGTGTGTGTGTGTGTAAGTAGCAAACCTCTCTGGAGGGAAACAGTAATGGACATGTAAAACTTAATGTTTTAGCTTCAAAATCAGATTTCCGGGTTCTTCAATGCATTAATGCTTGGGATCTTTAGAATAAAGCCAAAGAATTCCAAAACCAAAGAATGTGTGTAGTAGATTTTATTTTGATTCAGTTCTCCCTTCTCGATCCTCAAATCATCACTTAAATTTCTAGATTTCTACAAACTAGGGGAAAAAAACCCTTGCTGTCTTATCTAAAATCCTCACGTTTGACTAATATATAAAATTACATCACTTTCCTGTGTATCACAAGCTCTTTAATAAGAGAAAGACAACTGCCCCCCTTCAAAAGCAATGGAATGGAAATGCATATTTTTTAATCAACGTACTGCACACACCCCATTACCAAATAAAGGGAATCAGCAGCCTGAGAAACCAGCTGGGGATTGCTGGGATCTTTCTAGTGACCAATTGAAGTGAACTTTAAGCATCTGGTCCTTGGATCAATTTCTAGGTCAATCTTAGTATCTCCAGAAAGATATTTTTCTTATAAAAACCATTAATTCATATAGGGAAATATTTTTCTTCTGTTGTTAATTTCCTTTCTTTTAAAATATTCTGAGAACAAAACACCTAAAAGTATCACTTGTTCCCATTGATGTAGTCTTCATTATTTGGTTCTTGCTTCTTTTCCTCCAGAAGCACTAGCTGCATCACTAAGCAACATCTGGATGGAGGATTTTATACATGAGGTTAACAACTTTATTACTTCATTGTATTCTTGAGCCTGAGCCCCACTCTCTAAAACTTTCTCCAAATACTTTCCATCACTAAACTAGGTATGTGACGAGCTCCTTTCCTAGGCAAGAATAGAAAAATGCAAATAATTAAATGCCAAATTTCAATTGGCAGGACTGGCTAATGGAATTCTATAGAAGTTCTGAGAATCAGCACATCTCTGTATGTACATCTTGAGGCAAACAGCAGAAATACTTCTTTTCAAACTGATGAACACCACATGACACCAAATCTCTGCTATTGGAAGAAAGGCTTCTAAGCTGCAATGTAAAACTCCTCCTTAATAGCAAAGAGAATTAAAATGTTCTTTAGTATTATTTATAAGCAGTTCTTAAACTTGATTAATATTCAGCATAAATATATTGAGGACATAATGATACTGTCAAGGGTACTTGGTTAGTCTGACATATAACTCTGTTACTTCATTCTATGTGTAACTACTGGTGGCTGTAAGTAATTAAGGTTTAGCCTACAGCTAATGTCAAAATGAAAGTGTACAGTGAAATTAATCATAATTTCCAACATTTACTGAGCACTACCTATGTGCCATGCTCTTTATTAAGCCCTTTGCATGCATTATCTCATTTAATCCTTACAACTCTATGAGAAATATACCTTTTGCAGATGAGGAAACTGGACCTTTAAAGGTCATGTGATTTTCTTAAGACTCCAGTTAGCTAAGTGACGGACCAGAATTTGAACCCAAGCCATCTGAATCCAGAGCCTGAGCTCTTAACTATAAAAAGCCAGGAAAAAAAGAGACCCAATTTACCTCTAGCCTCTTCTACACACACACGCACACACATGAAAATCAGACCACCTCATAAAAACAATAGATCTGAAATCCAGTTCAAACTAGGGGGATAAAAAAAAAAAAAGATGAAGGGAATTAAAGTAAACAATAGAAGTGTTCTTAAGCAAATCTAGTTAACACACTCGTTAGATCACTGAATTGGCCAATGCTTCATCCCCTCTGAAAGCAAGACTGATGCAAGTTTCTCTCCCACACCTACCCATATGGATCCCAATTACATCAGATCAGAGGATTCCTCGGTAGGTATCTTTTCCCAGGCCTCTTACATGAATCTATAATATCTACTGGAACAAGTTTTAGAAGCACAAGAACTTTAAAACAAAGCAAAATATCCCACAAGAATAAAAGGGGAACAATTTGGCTTCTAACCCATATACCTAATGAATCCAGTCGGTTCAAAAATATATCTCTAACTCAAGGAAATCGGTGAATGACACTGTTGGAAAGAATTGAACTTGCTATAAAGTATAAGCCCATTTCCTATGGAAAACGCAATGATTTATTTCTTCAGCACAAGCTTTCCAGCAAAGAATGCCATTGAACGGAATGCCTTGCTGTGACTGGCTGCATACTCTACCCAACAGAAGATATACAAGCAAAGAGGAAACACACTGTCTAGAAAAAATATACAATTTCCTTTTATTTCCTCTTCTCAGTAGAACAACTCTTCTTTGGGGACCAAATCAGGGACTTGTAACAATTCACCACATAATATTTTCCATTCTCACAGCCAGTAAAAATTAGAAACCAGGAGAGTCAAAGAAAATGGCCCAGCTATTCTCAGAAAGGCAAGGATTTCTGTGGTGGGGGCCTCACATGTGCTTCTTACCCAGCAGGAAGATCTGATGCCTGAAATCCAGATCCCCCCTAAATTAGCAAGAATCCGTTAAGAAAAAAAACATATATATCCTTTAATTGCTCTATAGTTTACTCCTGCTTGGCTGAATCATCAACTGTTTAAGGATGTGTGGTGAGAAAGAAAACTGTAAAGAAAGGTAGATGTAAACTGAATGACTTCGAAGTACTAGGGCAGGCTGTAATTAACTAGCTGGCCAGATGTGGAGCCATAGGAAGGTTCGGAGAAGACAGGACTCTAACCTATGGAGGTGAATTGGTGACCATTATAGGACAGCCCAAGGGCAGAGGAGATGAAAGGCTGAGAGAGTTAAGAGGCCCCATATGATGGAGGTTAGTTTGCTGGTTAACTGCCACTGTATTCGCTTGCAATTTAATTTCATTTTAGCCACATTAATCCCATGGCTTCAAAGAACTCATCTATTTTCTATTATGTTGCCTATTAGAAAGATTATACACGTCTTTCTTATTAATTAGTTCAATGGTATGGGATGTCCTTTCAGAGTTCTGATGCTTAGAAAACAGCAGATCTCTATTTGATATGTATGCCAGTATCAACTTAGTCAACAATGTGCTCATTAGAGTATAATGGAAGCAGCAGTTTTTGACTTCCGAGTCTAAGGCAAAAAAGGCCTTGCAGCTTCCTCCTCAGTTACCAGAAAATTCCCAGAGGTAGTCCTGAGTGCATGTAAGAAGCCTGATTATCCTGGGGAGGCCATGTATGGGTGATCCAGTGCACGCACTCCCAGATCCGCCCAGATTTCCAGCCAATCTTGATAAAGCACCAGATTTGTAAGTGAAACAGCTCCAGATTCTGGATCCCAAGTATTAAAGTCATCCCCTGATGCTTGAGTCTTCCCAGTGGAGGCCCCAGACATCATGGAGCAGAGACAAGACTTTCTGCTCTACCCTGCCTATCCTTGACCCAAAGAATCCATATGCATAATAAAATAGTTTTTTTACACTATTAAGTTTTAGAGTGGTTAACTATGCAGCAATCGATAACTGGAACCATATGTACAACAAGGAAGGTGATAAACCCACTGTTTATGGAACCCACACTTGAAATATGATATTTAGTTCTAGGTGACATCTTTCAAAAGATTAACGAACAAACATGTTCAGAAAAGAATAACAAGAATGTTCCTTTATGGGGAAAAAATGAGAAAACTGGAGTATGTGTTACATACAAACACAGATACATACAAACAGTATGTGTTAATTGCCCTCAACCGTTTGCAGGGCTATCATGAGTGAAAGTGAAAACAATTACTCTATATATTCCCAGAAGGATGACCTAGAGACAGTGGACGGAAGTTACAGGTAGTCAGATGGAACAATTTTCTAATGTGCAGAGCTTTCCTAGAAGAAAGAGGCAGCCTTGAGAGGTAGCAAGTTCCCTAACTTTAAAGGTAATCAAGCACGCTAGATGATCACCACTTGATAAGTAGGTTTGGAGAGAACTAATTTAATGAACAGAAGGTTGAATGAAATATCCTTACTTTAAGGTCACATTTTAACACTGAGATGTTTTTCATCTAAAGATCATCCCATTTCCTTATGCTAAGAAATCTAATCCCAACACATGTTGAGCAGAGGAAAAATATAAGATGAATAAATTAAAAGAAAGGCAATACCAAAGTATAAATAGAAAGTGATGCAGAACTCTAGAGGAGAAAGGAATGGCAAACAGGAACATATAATCCAGCATAACAGAAAAAAAAAATCTTTTTAAAATTTGAAGCATGAAGAAAGAATTGAGGAAGAGGAAAAAGCAAAGCCAAAGAACCCATCATATGCAACACTGGGTATAAAGGATGCCCTCATCCTTCTTGAGAAACGATTTCATTCATTTTTAGGACTTCTTTTCTCCGTCAGTGGGAAAGACAGACCAGAAGAACATGGGTAACACAGCAAACAAGGGAACAAAGTTCAAGCAGTAAAATTAGCAAAGCTCTTCAGTGACCACTGAATTTCTGGCCTCAAAAGATACAGGATCTGTGTGCCTATAGGATCAGGTGCACTTGTATGGATACAGCTATCTCTAATGTTTGCATGTGGAGAATGACTACTAAGGGAAGCAAGAAAAACTCAAAATAAACCCTTGCTTCCTAACAAAGCCATGTGAAAAAGAAAACACAAACCATCTAGAAAATGAGATGTGTCCAAACAAAAGCCATGGAGAAAACCAAAAAAAAAAAAGAAAAAGAAAAAGAAAGAAAAAGAAAAAAGAAAAACGTTAAAAAGTTATCACATACACATTGTGTATGAATTTTAACACCATTTGTAATCAACTTCCAAGGCTTCATAATACCCTTTAACTTTAGTTACTCAATCTACTGAACAAATCATCTCATTGTTACCCTATTTGAAGGAAGAGTGGAGCCTCTTTTGATGTTGATAAGAGATAGAAAAATGAGTCCACCTTCAGGAAAGAAAAGTGTTCTACGTAAACACCTGGAGCCTAGTGGTAGGAAGTGATGATAATTTGTCTCTTGACTTAACCCTTTCAAAGATTCATCAAACCAGAAGTTGGAAATTCATGTAATCGACGAAATAAAACTTTTCTCATTTAATACAACAGAAATTTTTCTTTAAAAAAAAGAAGAAAAATTATATCTTATTACTCACCCATTTCCTAGGTCTGCCTCTTGGCCGTTTTTCTCCAGTGGCTTCTGCTTTCTGCAAATGAAAAAGGAAGTCATTATAGTTTTCTACCTGACATTGTTTATAAGTACTGCACCAAGGGACACATTTGAAGTAAGAATGTTCTGCTTTGCAGATGACGTATCGGTTTTTTTTTTTTTGTTTTTTTTAACAAACTTCGTCTCCTCTAAGGTTAATCTTTTTCCACATTTCTGAGTAGATTCTTCTTCATTGCATGATGTAAAGAGGTATCTATGCAACCCCTCGCCCTAAAAGACACCCCCTGTAGTGATCTCTTCTGAAATACATGAAAATGCTTTTTCAAAAGCTATTTTGCTTTTATTTCTGTCCATATTAAAAACATTATCCCCACATTCTGTAACTACATAAGTTAGTATTTTAGAAAATTAATATTTCTTAAGATGATCAAGATTCTTTCCATGTCACAACTAAAGTTGCAAAAATTAATATTGACATATTACTTTACAATTTACAAAGCTCTTCTACCTATATTGGTAGTCAAAAGCAAGTATAAATGTGAAAAAGAATACACAAGCATTCTAATTCAAAATAACAAATATTTGCACACTTCTACATGTTTAATTTAATGTTCCTTGCCTGAAACAATCACCTGTCAATCAGTTCACCTAAAGCAGAGGAAAAAAAAGCAGGCAGAAATCATCAGTTTGTCCCAGTGATTAAAACTATATGTGCCTAGAAATAATGATTAATTAAAAATGTACTTTATTAACCATAATCCCACACTTAACATGAATACATTTCTATCTTGAGAGTTTATTTCATTGCTTTACTTCACAGAAGATTTTTCTGATATCACAGTTGTTAACATTATTTATAAAGCAATTAGTTTTTCCGTTTTTGTCAGCCCTAGTCCAATCTTCATACACAACAACACACCAATACACACACATATCACATACATCTATAAAAACGTGTTCCTGCTTTTTAGGATAAAGAAAACTTAGTACATATTGTTTCATGTATAAGAATCATCCATGGCTATATTAACACACAAATACAGGTAACTTGAACCAGGATACCTTGTTCCACATTTTACTTTTGTTATCTGAGTTAGCAGCCGGTGGGGGTACTTGGTACAGTGATATTGACTGTCTACACTGCCAAATGAAACTTTCCTCTTTTTCTCTTCAATCTGCCTGGTAAAAACAAATAGCTTTACATGATAGTTGACAAACAGATAGATGGATAGGCAGATAGACAGACAGGTAGATGAGAGATAAAATAAGCCACAACATTTCTCACCAAATAGTATCTCCCTGATCTGGCATTACTATCCAACAGGTCCCATGAATTAACGCAAACTCTATATGACTGTAATGTTAACTCACAAATATTGAGCATTTAAAATATCCCAGGCACTCGATTGTCAGTCACATGTGTTACGTTAATCCTTACAGCAGCCTTATAAAGTGGGTATTATTATTCCTCTTATTTTGTAGATGAACAACTAAGTCTTAGATAGGTTAGGTATACAACTGGCTCAAGGTCACAAACAAAGCAGGTAAGTGGCAGACCTGGGATTTGAACCCAGTTTTGTCTAACTGTAAAGACTGTGCTCCTAGCCTCTTAACAATGCTACTACCCGGTAGTATACAAGCATTTGCTACCATAAAAAAATACTTTAGGAAACTAAAATTGTCACTGATTCAGTTAATTTCCCAGGACAAAAGAAAACCTGGTAGCCTTTAGGGGTTCTATCTAACCATCTGATTTGGACACTCTGAATCATTGTTTATTATCACTTTTGAATGGCTCCACAAAGGAATCATTTGTTGTCAGAGGTTAGTGGCATTGTCTTACCTTCAGTCCCAAGGGCATGAATTTAGCGAAAGCCCAGAGTGTCAAGTAAATAATACCCTCTTCAGAGCATTGCCTCATGGAGAGGGAGGTGCCCTGAGAAGATCACAGACTCTACCTTGGAACGCTTAGATTCCAATTCCTGCTCTTCCATTTTAGCTTTATGACTTTGGGCAGGTCCTTGAAGACCTCAATTTGGTTTCATCCGTGCAATGGAGATGACTCCTCCTGTGAGACATCATTCCTAGAAGTACTTAGAAGTTCCTGCCTCCCATGAGGTGCTCCATAAGTGTTCTTTCACTCCTAACTAGATGGAACCCTTAAAGGGAGTTTTTCTTTTTTTTTTTTTTTCTTTTTGAGACGGAGTCTCGCTCTGTCGCCCAGGCTGGAGTGCAGTGACGCGGTCTCTGCTCACTGCAAGCTGCGCCTCCCGGGTTCACTCCATTCTCCTGCCTCAGCCTCTCAAGTAGCTGGGACTACAGGCGCCTGCCACCACACCCGGCTAATTTTTTGTATTTTTAGTAGAGACGGGGTTTCACCATGTTAGCCAGGATGGTCTCGATCTCCTGACCTCGTAATCCGCCCGCCTCTGCCTCCCAGAAAGGGAGTTTTTCTTCAAGTTAGTTTCCTCTCACAGAAGCCTTGGTCAATGCAAGTATTCCTTCACACCCATCTGTCACCTTTAGAATGAGGCTTTTAAGGATCCCTTTGGCTATTGCATAGTGAGTTATACATGAGTGTGGAGTTCTCTAGCACAGAAGCAGCATCTGACTTAATCTTTGGAAGCAACTGTAAGATTGCACAGTTAACCCAGTAGTAAATTACACAAACATGGAAAATAGAAATCCTTTTTATTGAAAAGGGGGTGTGAAGTCAGGGTGGGAGAAGGAGCCTATTGACCTTAGAAGTTAACAGTGCTACACCAGGCTTTTTCTGCACGGTTGTTATGTTTCAGGGGCCATGATGTGATCTGGGTGTATCTAAAATCTATTGAAGAGAGAGGTTTTTTTTCTGAAAGAGTTTCACTGTATTTCAAAATCAGAGAAAGCAAATCTCTCAAAAACAGAAAAAGCCCTGCAAATAAGATGACTTTTAAATGAGCATCTCATTTACAAAAAGCCTATTGAGAAATAAAATTTGCACCATTAACTAAAGGGCAAAATATCACGATTATCACTCGGACTTGTTAAAAGCAAACTTGCTCCTTGGTCGTTCAGGCCAGTGTTACATGTAAACTGAAACCCTCTTCTGAGACTACATCTAGAAGAAACACATTAGCTGTGCTGTGTGGCGTCAATCTGGGAGGTTTTCATTGTTCTTTAAAACCCACATTATTTAATCATTCTAATCAAACTCCACAAAGGCTGCAAAACAAGTTAGGGTTTTAGTTTGTAAACCAGCTTAGATCCAGGATTTTTACATATTGGAAAACATCAGCTTTAATATTGTTTTCCTGTGTTTAATGCTCTTCAGGATATTATTTTTCAAAAAAGACAAACAAAACATTCAGGAGGCTTGTTTTGTTTTAACATATGCAATACTGTAGAAGTGTATATTTGGTTTTCCTTTGCCAGAATAGAATTTGGCTTTATACTACAAACCCATGTATAACAGAGGCATAACTAATTCTCACTATTTATTGCTCACATCAAGAGAGAAAAGGGAGATATGGTCGGAATTCTCATTGGTAAGAACTGAAATTTCAGACTGTTACCAGCACTATTATGCGAATATTTACAACAATCATATCTCATTAAAAGTGTCATTTCTCCCTTGTTTGCCCTCATTAATATTTTTATGTTTTAAACTTCAGATTCAAAACTGTACACTTAATTTTATGATATATTTAGAAGCAAGTCCATGAAGATTAGGAGAAATGTTAAATGGGAAATATAATTATTTCTTTCTCTAAGAAGTTCTGTACTCCAGGCTCTTCAATGTACTGCATATTTTAAAAACTAATTAGGAAAGAAATTCACTAGCAAATACATCTCTTGAGCTTGAAAACAGTGCTTAGCACTAGTGCCTCGTGTACAGGAGGTGTTCACTATATACTTGTTGAAGGAAGGGAAGGAGGGAGGCAAAGAGAGAGGCAGGGAGGAACGGAGGGAGGGAGGGAGGAAGGGAGGAAGGGAGGGAGTGAGGGAGGGAAGGAAAGAAGGAAGGAAGGAAAAAAAGGAAGGAGGAAGAAGGGAGGGAGGGAGGGCAAGAGGAAAGGAAGGAAAAGTGTTTATATGTGTGTCTTATTTCCCTCTTATCATCAGAATTCTAGAGTTCAGTAAAACTAGAGATAATTTCACCTAGCCCTCTCATTTAGCAAAGAAGAAAACTTCTGGATGTGTTACAATTCCCAAAGACATAGCCCCATGATATTATTTGGGAACCAGAAGTCTTGTGGGTATCAGTCGCAGAAGGCATACATTTCCAATCCCTTTATAACCTTTGGAGTGGCCCTTCAAAGGTTTCCCAAAGCGTAATTTCCAACCTGCATTTCAGGTTACTGGAGATAACAGAAATCTACCTTGTAACAAATATTTTACAGAACATTCAGCACATGGTAGTGGAAAGAGTATAAGCTTTAGAATTAAAGTGAATTCAAACCCAGGTGCTACCATTTACCAGAGTTGAATATCAGATATGTCCTGTTTACATCTTTGAATCACAGTTTTCTCATTTGTGGAATGAAGACCACAATGCCTAAATCAGAGGATTAAAGGAGCTAACATATATATAAAGTGCCTGACAAAAGCTATGGCATTTAGCACTTAGTCAAATGTAATTTCTTTTCCCTCCCCTTATTTTAAAATGCTACCCACAAATATAATACTTACCAATTTTCTTAGTTTCCAAAGTGACTTTCCAAGCATTATCTTACTTCAGTAGGGCAGGGCAGGTGTTACTTCCCGTTTTACAAATGGGAGATTAAGCAACCTGCCCATGTTCACAGGTAGTAGAACTGAGACCCAATCTGATTTCAATGCAGTGAAGTGTCTGTTCTTTGGAGAGCTATTCCCATATAAAATAAAACTGCCATTCAAAAATTTAAAAAATAAAAGATAACCTTCTAGGGTGAAAATCAAATTAGTTAAAAGTAATGTATTTCCAAGTTTCCTATAAACACATGGACAAGAGCAGAGGTTGGAAACTAAGAATAATTCAATTCTGACTTCAGGGTCAGGTTTAGGTGGCTATTAATTTTTTGCTATTACAAGTTCTCTCATCATTTTTTTTATGTACTGTGATATAGCCAGAAATCCCCCACTGCAAATCCATCAGTGCATCTGTACCAAAAAAAAAAAAAACTAGAAAAATATTTGGGTGTGATGGTGCCCTGTCTTGTTTGCATGTATCTTGATTTGCATGAAGCCCACTATCCAAAGCCTAGAAAGCACATTTTATTTCCTTCAGTTGCTATTTTTAAAAATATAAACAGTATAAATCAATGTACACTGATATCAAAATCAACTCTACGAATCAATCCCACTAAGTACTGAGGAAATTCTCATTTTACCTTTTTGATAATCCAGTTCTGTAAGTTTCCTAATTTTACATGCAACACTTTTAGCCTTGAAGAGACATTACAATTTGCTATCACAATATATTTTCCAATAGAAAATATAAGTAATTTCCATCACCCATTGTAGTTCCTGCCTATTACCCAAGTTAGCCTTTACTGTCAACTCTGGTGTCCTTATTTTGCACATGCTTATCTTCATGTATACAAACACTAAATTAAAACCAAAGCCAAATGACAGGCAAAGTTATCATTTTCAAAGTTTAAGATTCTTCTCCTCCAAATCTTCTCTCTACTTCTTTGTAATCATAAAAATCAATAGCAATGATACAAGAGATCATTGCTATTGATCACAGGAGTTACCTTCTGAGCAAACATGATCCTAGACAAAAGAGAATGCCTGCACTACTCTTCCCTAATTTAAATAGAATATGCCATTCAAAATTGCTCAGTGTATTAAAACAATATGAAATAATGCAATGCCCTAACAAATAACAGTTCTCTATTTCCCCTTTTCTCTTGGTTGGCAGAACAAAGATTCATAACTAAAACCTTCAGAATCAGTGAAATTAATTCAGTTTCCACTTTGTGCCTTCTGCTCTGTAAACTGCAGAAAGTCAACTAACAAGACAAGACATGTTTGAATGATTTAACTGACATAAAATCCTCTTCAGCACCCATCTATTCTCAAGAAAGAACTGAAATGCAATAGAATACCAATCTGGTATATTCTATCTCCTTAGCAAAATGATCTGTTGAGAACTTGAGATAAAAATGAGCCAGGAATGTAGGTCAGCCAGAGAAATGAGGAGACTTCAAGTTCAGAAGAGTTCAGAAGGATGAGAGCTTCCAGAGAAGTAGAACTATAGGTCCCTTGAAATAAAATTACTTCATAAGATAATTCAAATGTATTTCAATCTCCCATATTTGGATCATAATCTGTGATGATTAAAAGCATTACCAGATAGAATGTGCTGGTGCATTAAGTAAGGCTTTGTCTTCCCTGGCAAAGTGAAAGAAAAAAATTAGTCAATTGTTTAGGTAAGTCAGCCTAAATATCAAGATAATGGAACAACAGTTGGACTTTACTTAATTTCACCTGCTGAATTCATTTGTATCCTCAGATAGGGCCCTGAATCCGCCTGAATTCATTTGTATCCTCAGATAGGGCCCTGAATCCCACAATAAAACTTACCTGCCCATTGAAACACAGAGGAATTAAACTAAATCATAGTAGTTTAATTTAGAAACCATAGGCCAGAATTATATGATAACTTCCAAAGTTACCTTTCCTTAACTCACCAATAATAATGTCTTTGGTTTCTCCTTTTAATTAGGCCTACTATATTCTGAAGAAAATTCTGTCCTCACTCAGCATTTATGCTGAATGATTTTTCTGAAATGGTGACTAAAACTATCTTCTCTCTTTTTAAAATATCTGTGATTGGTGTGGGTAATGATTATGAAAAGCAAACCACATTTCGAGAAATGCAAATGATTAGAAGGAGCATGAAGTAGTCTTTACAGTATCTAATTAATTCAGGCCTTCTTTTTATAGCAAATCAAACATAGAGATTAAACATTTACTCTGAACACATTATTTTAACTATAACTACTTTATCTAGATATTTTCATTCTGCACTTTGCTTCCTAGATCTGTCCATTACACCTAAAGTCAAAAGGGTGGTGAACAAATATATGACATGATGAAGTAGGGTTATCTCACACCTGAGATCTTTTTTTTTTATTTTCATTTTCCTTCCAATAAAATTTAATTCAACCTCAGAAAAAAACTTCCTAAAATATGTGAATGAGAATTGGCTTAAAACTTAAAGGTGAATTTGACCTGAGACCTTCAACACTGAAGAATTAGTGACAACCCCTCCAGTATTCTGTCATGATTAAAAAAGTACAACAAAACCCTAAACTAAAGGAGATTATAACTTCTTTCTCTCTAACCATCTGGGAACTGTAAAAATGCAAAGATTTCCATCCACCACAACCAGGAAAGCAAAGCAAAGCAAAACAAAACAAAAAAGGAAGTTAAGACATAACTGGTCATAGGTGTACCTCAGACTAAAAAATAAATAAAAGGGTAAAGATATGCTCACACAGACGTATACACACATGGACAAATGAATTATTCAGGAAAACTTTAACTTCTGATTTCTTTTATTCAGGTAACTATATGAAACTGATTCAGGGACAAATTTTGAGCACTCAGATTGGAGTTCTGAGGAATGACTAGAATCATTACACAATGGTCATGCATAGTAATTAGTTTTAATGGAATATTAAGTAGATTGAAGAATAATTATCTTCTCTTCCAAAAGTTCCAAGCATAGGAAATTGTGTTCTTATAAATGTCTTTGTTTTACATATTATATAAATCAATTTTCTACTGAATATGGTTTGAAATTGAAGTGATGGCTAATTTAGTAGTCATTCACTTGGTCTTGCAACATTCTGCATGCATTGTCCAGTTTCACACTGTTAATTTTCAAATCAACAGCTTTGTTTTCAAATGTCCCAAGGCCAATTACTGAATCCAAATATAAACTTTGTAAGTCAAGAAACTCCAAGCAGCAAGAAATTTTAAGTATATAACCATCAGGATTTCAGTGTGCATTGCAGCTCCTCTAATTTTAGGCTTCTTTCTTCTCATATACTTACCAGTCTTTGCAATGTATTTTGCATTGTGATGGGTCTCAGTTTACAGGAAAACACTCACTTTGTTACTCATAGAAGACTTCTCATATCTATTCTGGTCAGTCTCACAGGGTATGTTTATCTTACATGTTATGAACAATATAACTTTTTCTAAAAAGATTTGCATTGCAAAATCCTGACGAACATATATGTTTTGTTAGAACACAATATATGCTTAATAAACAAATGTTTGAAAATCATATTTATATAGAATAGTAACATACTCAACAAATTCTGATTTGAAAGTGAAAATACCTTAAGTTTACACATGCCATGAACGATTCATCAATGTCATTCATTATTTTGCAAGGTATTCTCTTCTCCAGATGAAGCGTAATTTATAAAACTGAAGAAAAATAAGTCATGTTATGGGCAAATGTATTTATTCATTTTTATTACAAGAGGGATTTTTATAACACCATTGTAGGAAATAATTGTGTCTGAAAGAATGAAAGATTCTGGAGAAGGAATCTTTAGAAAAAAGAAAGCCTACTTCTGTTTTGGAAATTGGAATAATGTATGCATACACATGAAGAATTTTCAGAAAGATGAGCGGCGTAGGGGGGTCATTTACAAATGCCTGTCACTAGAGTCACTAAAAATAAATCAACCCTTACTTAGGAATAGATCAACTTTAAAAATTTTGCTTTAGGTGGTAAACTAGGCACTAGCTTCAGCTTCCCTTTTCTCAATACAAATTTTGTTAGTCAGTGGTAAGCTTTTTAAAATGAAGCGGAGGCGATGGGAGCGTTTCTATCTATTCATCCAAAAAACATGAAATATAGTAAAATATGGGAGACAATTCATTTTCCTTTTTAGTATTAAATTTCAAATTACTTATTTATGGTGAAATTTAAAGATTTCTTCCTAGGAGATATTATCATGATGTGTTTTTCAGAGGAATTATACCACAGCTTAAATGCGTGTCAGCTATCTAACAAGATATTCATTTGTGCATCTCCTTAGAATAAAAGTAAATTAGGTAAACTCCACACTTACACAACATAGAAAAACTCCTTGGTAAAATCAGTCCATTTTAGTTAATTTATAAATGAGATAAAATGAAACAAATGTAAAGTATTCATATTAAAAATACCAGATTATATATTGCCATTTTTAAATAACAAGGTTACTTAGAGCTATTTTAAAGTTTATTGATTAAATAAGAAACAATTAAATCTAAACTCTAAGAAGCAATTAAATTTAAATATATTAAAAATATGCTCCTCAACTCTGTTCAAAACTGTTAAAACAGACAAGAACTCAGAGTAACTTCCTAAATAACTTTATATGTACCATTAGTTGCTATGGCAGTTTACATACATTACAGTTAGTACCCACAGTCACAAAGAAAATCACACAAAACATTAATCCCCAAACGATGAGCATATAGTCCTTTCTAACAAATACTGTACATGGAGTACCCAAAACCGGTGAAAAGGTATATCCAAATTTAGTTCTGATTTTTGAAACTTTGTTCTCAATTACTACACAAACCTACAAATACAACGCAGAAACTTTTTTTTCCAATTTATTTATAAAGTCAAAAAAGTGACTGGTACTTCTCTATACATGCATTAACCCTGACATAGTTCCTCTTTGCTAGCTTAAACACAGCCAACCTGAAGTTATCTTAAACTGCAAGTTTAAACTTATTAAGATAAACACTGAATATTACACTTAACTGGGTTCCATTCTGCCCAAAAAGAGATATTAAATGAGCCAAATACTTGTTTTAAAAAGTCTCATTGTCCAATTCAGACATTTCTATGTCACTTGATGAAAAGGCATTTTGAGATTATGATATACTATACTGCAGGTTTATTGTAAAACAAACAGTATACTTTATTATCACAATTAAAGCTGCAAAATTCATGGAATTTTTCCACTATCCCACAACTAGATTTACTTCTAATTATCGTCTATTTGGCAAAGTACTTTAATAGGGGGATTTGGTTTGCAGTAGCCATGTAATAAGCACAAAGTAAATCAATCTTTATCATTTTTCAGAGGAAATTGCAAAAACTTTACCACCAGGCAAAATCTATAGTTTTGATTTGTTTTTAACTATTTACAACTGGTGCAAATATTAATTGTGTCATTTTCATCCCGCCCCCCCCGCAACCCCTTCCTTCCTCACTTCTACCCGTTTTAAGGTTCAAATTATTTGGTGGCTGTTTGTTTAAAAACAACACTGTTAAGTATCTTCATAAACTTTTTATGCTGAGCATCTGCTTACAAAAAAGGTTAACTCGCATCTAACTAATGTTAAATGTAAGAAATGAGTCTTGTGTTACCCAGTTGGGACAAATTCCTGGCTGCGGAGTTAGAATGGGAAAGTTACAGGCAGGCTCCTGTAGTCAGTCATTGATGAAGTTAGGAGAGCTTGACTTGAGAAATCTCACCTTTTGAGCTGCTTTAGAGGGACTCTTGTTTTTGCTGCCTTTGGGTCTTCCCCTGGGTCTCTTAGGAGAGGGCTCACCGGTTGGTTCCTAATTGTGAGGGAAAAAAAAATGCTGTTGTGGCAAGAATGTCTGAAAGAAATTGACCCTGACTCTTTAGCTATATTTTCTGCATGTGCTGCTCAAAAGAGCTGTTGGAACACGTTCAGTTCAAGCATAAATGGATGATGATGGTACAGAGTTTACAGAAAGGGGAAATAACTATACTTTTAATGCAAGGGTTCAAAGAGGAAACTCTATTTTGTATATGAAAACTAGATTCTACTTCAAACCTAAAATGGTAACAAAGACTGAAGAGGCATGTTCTAGAAAGAAAGTCATATACTTTTAAGGTGTAAAGTTTACAGGGCTATGCATTTGGCAACTCATAGGAATAATAGGCATTTTAAACGAACACCACTCTGCATTATACTAGCATTTCAAACAACAGAAATACGAAGCTACCATCACAGATATTTCAACAATCTTCCATATTGAAAAGGTGGCCTTTAATCATCTTTGTATACCTGCCTTCTAGGTGGATTATGATTCAACTGACACATTTTGAGTGAAATACTGGAGCAATTATTCAAGTTCTTCAGTTCAAAATAACTCCATTCCCCCTAAAATTTCCAAATAATTATAGTAAATCTATGGTGGGAGGTTTTGCTTGAATCATCTAGTTAATTGCTTCAATTCTCCACTTCCTTTTGGAGATGCAGGCATGGCCTCCAGTCTAAATTTAAATATCTTTTGATAAAAATAAACATATTTTCTTCAAAACTTTCTTTTGAGAAAACTCTTATGGGGGTGGAGTGGAGAAAACTAAAAGGAGGTAAAAGCGAGGAGGAATGGAGTGTCTGGGAATGAGAAATGGAAGCAATCACTTGGTTTAGCAAAACTTTAAATGGCTCCTATGCCAAGTAGTAAATACTCAAGTGGTTAAGAGAATGCGATGATTAATATTCCAGATCCCAAATATTTATCCAGTGAATCATCTATTCACATTTCATTCAGATTCGGTGATTAAGTGAGACTAATTAACTTAAAACCCATGAACGTCCTCAATGAAAATTCGCATCCCATTTAGAGAATTCGGGAAGGTTCCCTGCAAGCTTCTGTGGGACCACTAGCACCAGTGGGCACATCGAGAGCAAACACATCGGAGACAAATTTTTCTTTCTTTGTGAACTCTGCCTTAACTCAAAGGTAAAGTATCCAATCACCTCCAGACCCCATTGTAATTTCTTTTGGATTTTTTTTTTTTTTTTGGAGGGGGGGCAATTAGTGAGTTAGAACTGGGTGGCGGGTGGGAAACAAGTGGGGGAGGGCAGAGACTTCCTGGGAGGTGTAAAACAGGATTCAAATGCGGTGTAAAGTGTCGCTTGGGCAGAGCGGGAAAACTCAGGGGCCTCTAGATCGGCTTGTTTCCTTTGATGATTTCAAAAAGGTACAACTCTCAATTTTTCTAAAATGCACTGGCAAGCAAACATTGTTCAGTTTCCCCACCTTGCTCTCGGACAACTTTGGGACTCTAGGATTATTTTCTAATCGGCGTGTTTGCCATGAAGGAAGCGATTTAAGACTAAGCAGAGAGCAAGTTTTAAAGCCCGAGAAAGTGGAGTTTAAATGTTCTCAATAGACATATCCCGCTCCAACTCTGCCCGCCGCGGCTTGGAAATTACAGCGAACAAAACCCCCAGCCCTGCGCGCTGAGCGCAGCTCTGCAAGCGCCGGCTGCACGCTTAATTGGTTGCATCCGCAGACAAAACCCTCCACTCCGCAGGGTCCCGGGCGCCCCTCGATCGTCCCCTACTCAACCCCCGGCCACTGGCCTTGGAGAAGAGCATTTAATGGCTGCAGCTCTGAGGCGCGAGATCCAGGGGCAAAAGGGGGACCGGGCCCCTGACAAGGAAGCGACCCTGGCTACCCTGCACTCTCTTGGACACTCCTTTCAACGCGCCCTTAGCTGGGCGAGTTAACCCCGTCCTGCGGGGAACCAGGCTCCCCGTAGCCCCTGCCCCGGGCTCCCTCCGGCGGCCGCCGCATATTTAAAGAGCCCAAAAAGGACCAGGCAGCCGGGTCTCCATGCGTTCTTTGTCGGGAGGGCGCGAGTCTTGGGCCACCGAGAGCTTGGAGGAGGGCGCCAAGGGGGCGGCTGCGGCGCGCCAGCCCCCGACCCGCGAGCAGCCCCGGGAGGCGGGAGAAAGAGCCTCCGGCCCCCAAGACTCTAGCCCCTTCAGCCCAGATCGGCCGAAGCGCCCGGGTCCCCGGCACCTCCTTCCTCCCGGGCAGTTGCAAAAGCAACTCGGAAAGCGCCTGCGAGCCCGGGTTTGTCGGATCCCGGTCGCTTCCAGTCACTGGGCGACACCGCGCCACTCGGGGCCGTGCACAATAGCGAAAGTCCGAGGACGCGCTTCGCCCGACCCCACCTCCCGCCTTCCCCGGGCCGCCCGCCGCGGCTCCCCACCTCCCCGCCCGGAGGGTTGCTGGCGCCCCGGGGCCGCGCGGCGCACTCGTGGGGTCTGCGCCGCTCCCCCCGGCCGGCCGGCGGGCAGTGTGCGACGGCCGCGGCGACTGGGCTCCCGCACTCCGGCCGCCCCGCGCGTGTCTGGGCCCCGGCAGTGGGGACGGGGTGGGCTGGTGCCCCCACCGCGCCCTCGTACTGACTTGCTGCTGCTTCCTGGGGCGGCCGCGTCCTCTCTTCTGAGGCGCTGGGGCGGCAGGTTGTCCCTGGGCTGAAGTGGACGGCTGCCCCGCGCCCTCACCGCGTGCGCTCATCCTGCCTCCCGCCGCCGCTACCGCCGCTGCAGCCGCTTCGCCTCGACCGCCCCGGAGCTGCCCAGCACCTTTCGGGAGATGAGGTGATAGGGCTGGGGACGCCGGCGGGGCGAGCGCGAGCTGGCGGGCTGCGAGGGCTGCTGTTGCTTAGGCTGCCGCCGCTGCCACCATCAACACCGGACGTCCAGCGGCTGCCAAAAAGAGAAGAGGGGAGGAGGAGGAGGAGAGGAGGAGGCGCTGCCGGTGGCGGCGGCGGCGGTGGGTGGGTGCCGGAGGTGGAGGTGGCGGTGGAGGTGGAGGTAGCAAGAGGAGGAGGGAAGCGAGGGAGAAGGAAGAGAGGCTTTGAGGTCGCAGAGGCTCCTCTCGCGGGTTGGGATCAGGAGTTGCGGGCACCGGGAGCACTTCGGAAGCGGCTTGGAAAGGGAAGAGACTTGGAGTGAATTGTGTCCCTTGAAATGTTAGGCGGGGAAAGAATTCCTCCTCCTCTTCCCCCCACCCTGCGAGAGAGAGAGAGAGAGAGAGAGAGAGAGAGAGAGAGAGAGAGAGAGAGAGAGAGAAGAGATTGAGATTGAAAGTGCCTTGGGCAGTCGGAAAGCAAAGGAGGATGGGGAGACTCCGCCGGGATAGGGTCGGGCACGGAGCACAGGCAGAGGACAGAGTAGTGGGTGGCACCGCGCCTCCTAGGGTGGCGGGAGCAGGCAGCGGCGGCACCGGAGAGTCGGAGGGGGACGGGCTGCTAGCTCCTGAGTCTTGCACCAAGCGCGCGCTGCCCGGGCTGGAAGTTTTCTGAGTTCCTGCCCCAAGATTCAAGTGGGATGAGTGTGTGTGAGTGTGTGTGAGTGTGAGTGTGTGTGGTGTGTGTGCGTGCACGCGCTTGCGCTTGGGGAGGGGGTGGTGGTGGGGGGAGTGCCCACCTCTAATCGTGGGCGGATAAAGGGGAGGGGGTTGCGCAGGAAGAAAAGTATGAGGAGGAGGGAGGCCAGGCGGACCGCCGAGCCAAGGCGCCTGGCTGCTAGCCAGAGGCAGCGTTCGAAATACAACTGCCTCGGCGGCGGCGGCGCCCGGGTGCCACCCGGAGCCCCGCTCACGTGCTCCCGCCCGGCGGCGGGGTTAAAGGGACAGGCCGGGGATCCCGGGCTGGCTCGCCGTGGGCCTAGCTCCACCCGCCTCTCGAGGTCACCCCTGGGCAGTTGTCCTGGGAAGGCGCGGGAACGTGACTGTCCCGGAGCCACGTTTCGGGGCTTGGCCTTTACCTGCGCCTCTACCGTGCCGAGCCAACACTTTGCAGGAAGCGTCTAGGCTGCACCTCAGGCAGCGCACCGGTTCACTGTGAGTGGGAAGGGACTGCAGTGGAGTGGGAGAGGTCCCCTGACAGCCGTACTCCGCCTCGGAATGCCCTCACCACAGAGCCTGCGGGCGGGCGAGCGCGCACATACACGGAGACATGCATGCAGATACACACGAACACGCGTGTAAGCACATGCACGCAGATACACGTGGACACGGGGGCATTCATGCGCTGGTAAACACCCGCATTTACACACACACACATACACACAGGCACGCAGATAGACATGCACATTCGCAGACACATGCAAACAATGTGCACACACAGAGCGCCCCAGCTTCTTCATTGAACTTTTTTCTCCAGGAAAGACTAGAGGCAACCGAAGTTCCCTCCCCATCCCCCTCCCCGGGAATCCGATGTTCCCAGGGTAAAGGGCACCTTGTAGATTCCTAACACCACAATTGCACTCACTGCCCAACTCTCCCTTCAGTTTACCTCGATTTAACCTTCTGCCTGAGAACTCTCTTTCTGCCAAGTCCTAATTTTATGGCCTGGGCTGTTCTGAGTTATGTGAACACCATAATGGCCACAGTCCGTTTTTAAAAGGTGGAGTACATTTTTAAATGTACCTCTTTTCATCCTTGAATAACACAAAACTCTGAAAAAATTAGGTTCAGATTTTCACACATCACACCCAAAATTATTTTGGACTAATTCCAAAATAAAAACTTTCACCTGGGGAAGAATTTATTTTTTTCAAAGATACAGACCACCGTGGAATAAAAACGCCTACTTTGCAGCCCTAAGCAGGAGTTAGGCACCGCCAGGTTCCGCTGTGCATGTGGAGGAGGCGCGTGTAAATGTCTGCTTTGGCGCGGCAGCGCTGATTGGTCCGCGTTGCCATTTTAAATCCATTTCCAGCTGCCCTTTGCAGAGCTGGGACACTTTGCTGCACGTTGAGTGCTCTGCAGGAACCCAGGGTTTCTGCTGGGTCTGGGAACGCTTAGCTGTAATGGAGAGAGAGAGCCTCCATCCCTCCGGATGGAGCCCAGCAGCTGACTGGGGAGGGAGGGGTCTAACAGGAACCAAAGGTTTTCTGTCAGGGCTTGGCTCAAAGATGGTATCTTCATCAAAGGGATTGAAGTTTCACCTAACGATTACAGTGACATTTCCTAACTGCCAATCGTGCACATTTAAAAACTATCACATATTTGCACTGTGGTGTGCACATTTCACATACACGTACAAAATAGGTTTTTGGGTTTGTGTTGTTTGCTCACTTTTTGCCAGGAGTAGAGAGAAATTCTGAAGGTGAATGCAGGGGAGTCACTGAGGAGTTCAGCCAGCCAGTTTTGTGCTGTATACCTCATTATATCCTAGGATTTTTTTTTTTTTGGTAACGTGTACAGAGGTCAGCAAAGAGCAGATTCCAAAATTTTGTTTTTGCGTTAATCTTTGAATATAAGAGAAGCACAGAAAAATTGGGGGTGGGGGAATATACAGCCACTTGTTTTCAGGCTGCTATCATTTTGCTATTAGACTATTTGACCCCTTTTGAATTTATAACAAGGGTATAAAACAAATATTGTATCAAGTTCTACTTAAATCAATTTTATATATTTTCATTCTTTGGAAGCTGTATTTAATTTTTCAGAATTCTGTATACTTTCTGTAGGTGAAACATTAAAATTTGTTGTAATCTTTGAAATTATTGAGACTTTTACTATTCAAAAAGGATTCTCATATATTTTTAAAATAATGTTAAATGGTTAGATTTTATTTTTAAGGAAAGGAATTTTTTTTTTACATTTACATCTGAGGGTTTTTCCCCCAGTTTATGTTTCTCAACCATTCACTGCCTCTTCTTTATCACACCATATTTTACCCATGTATTCAAGGCTCAATTCTTCTTTCCAATTTGAAAACTTTCCAGGTAGTTTCTGTCCATATTCAATTGTGTCTTTTCTTCTTCTGCACCCACCATAGAATTAAGCAATTAGCACCTTGGTTGTATATGTTAACAAGGTTTTTAATTATCTGTGACACATGATGTAGATTAGTGTTTAGATCAGGTCAGCCCATTAGTGGGTGGTAAAATTAATTTAGCAAACCCATAACATCATTTAAAAAATAAGTAGACTAGGATTGAGAATATCACATGTAAAATTTCTGTCTTAGATATATAGTACATATGTATGAAAACTATTAAGATATATTGTATTTTCATCTTTAACATCTTGGAATTTGGGATGTATCTTAGAATTCAAGGTGTCTTAGCACTATGTTATCACATACTAGGTAGTGTCTTTTCTATTTTGGTGGTATACATGCTGCTATGGTTTGGCTCTGTCTCCACCCAAAACTCATCTTGAATTGTAGTTCCCATAATCCCTACGTATGGTGGGAGGGACACGGTGGGAGGTCATTGAGTCATGGGGGTGGTTCTCCCATGCTATTCTCATGATAGTGAGTAAGTGTTCACAAGATCTGATGGTTTTATAATGGGCTCCCCTCTTTACTCAGCTCTCATACTTCTCCTTCCTACTGCATTGTGAAGAAGGTGTCTTGCTTCCTTTTTGCCTACTGCCATGATTGTAAGTTTCCTGAGGCCTCCCCAGCCATGCAGAACAGTGAATCAATTAAACCTCTTTCCTTTCTAAATTACCCAATCTCGGGTATTTCTTCATAGCAGTGTGAGAATAGATTAATACACATGCTTATATGTAAATTTTATGTATATTCCCAGAAGACAGGTAGCATTTCAAGCACCTCTTTTTTTTTTTTTTTTTTTTTGCACTAGTCTTGTCTAGGTAGTGTTCTGTTCATGATAGACTTCTGGTAGTTATTAATTTATTACAACAACGAAGGTATCTATAATAAATTTACTATTTTAAAGAACATGCCATACAGGATGAGAAAAGCGTTAGATATACTAAAATACCTTTGGCATTCTTTTAACGAAAGAAAGATGCATCTGTGACAAGGAGATTTAAGTTCTCATATTGCACTTTATCAATGACATATTGACACCTTAATACATTCACAAATTAAAAAGAATTATTTAAGGATTTACTCAGATTATAACTGATTAATCATGAATATATTTCATGTGTAATTAAATGCAGATTTATTATAATCAGGTATTTTGGAATTGAATCTATATAAGGTCACAGAAAAAAATTATAACTAATATTGATCGAACAGAATGCATAGCACTCGTGTGTGTGTATGTAAATAGAAGTTTAGTAAAGTACAATGTAAACACATAGGCTAGGTGAAGTGGCTCATGCCTGTAATCCTAGCACTCTGGGAGGCCGAGGTGGGAGGATCACTTGAAGCCAGGAGTTCGAGACCAGCCTGGGCAACATAGTGGGACCCTGTTTCTTCAAAAAATAAAAAAATTAGCCAGGCATGGTGATGTGCACCTATAGTCTCAGCTACTCGAGAGGCTAAGGTGAGAGGATCACTTGAGCCCAAGAGGTCGCAACTACAGTGAGCAATGATGGTACCACTGTACTTCAGCCTGGGTGACAGAGTGAGACCCTGTCTCAAAACACACACACACACACACACACACACAACAAAACAAAGCAAAATAAACACATAATCTGGCCTTCAGAGCTTTGCATTCTACTTTGGCTGAAAAACATTTCATGTGTTTTAATATAAGGTCATTCGCACTGCTCAAACCCACAATTTAGAAATTATGTCTTTAATAATTTATTATTTAATCATAATTGTGGGCCGGGCGCAGTGGCTCACGCCTGTAATCCCAGCACTTTGGGAGGCCGAGGCGGGTGGATCCCGAGGTCAGGAGATCGAGACCATCCTGTCTAACACGGTGAAACCCTGTCTCTACTAAAAATACAAAAACGTGGTGGGCACCTGTAGTCCCAGCTAGTTCGGAGGCTGAGGCAGGAGAACGGTGTGAACCCGGGAGGTGGAGTTTGCAGTAAGCCGAGATCGCGCCACTGCACTCTAGCCTGGGTGACAGAGCAAGACTCCATCTCAAAAAGAAAATAATAATAATAATAATAATAATTGTGTCTTTAATGCTTAATAGTTAATGAAATGTAGGAGAGATTATCTCTAAGAGTTTCCCTACAGTATCATCAAGAACAAATATATGCTGCTAAATTAGTTTTGGGGTTTTAAATTCTTTCAGATAGGCTTCCTAGTCCTGTAGTCAGAGGATCACCAAACAAAATAAATTTGTCCACTCATTCATTCAAGAAACATATGTTGAGTTGAGTTGATTTTGCAGAAATCTCACCTGTTATTCTCTCAGGACTCAGAAATGTAATTCATCTAAAACTAGAGAGAATCTCTATTAACACAATTAGGTCTTCATTTAAAATCTATTTACTTATCACATTAAGTCTTCCAGTACTCTCCTCTGTCCAATCCATCATTCATTCAGCCCTATTTATTGAGCACTTAATACATGCTGGGATTCACAGAACATTCCTTTCAACAAAAGTCATGGAACCAGAACAGAAGTGGAGGAGTTTCATGTCTGCCTTTCATCTATTGACATTGTATTATCAGCCCCAAGCAATCTCGGTCTCCATATATTATCAAGCAGCTTTGGGTAGCAGGAAGAACATGGGCTTTGAAATCAGATTTAGGGACAGGAGGTGTAGTAGGCAGAATGGCATCCAAGATCTTCTGCCTCGAGGTGTACATGAGTACATAATCACTGGCTGGGCTTCACTCCTGTGACTAGGTTGTATTACCTGACATACTGGCCTTAAAACAGGGAAATTATCCAGAGGAGTCATACCAAATGTGTGTTTAAAGCAGAGAGTTTCCTCTGGCTCAAGAAGGATTTGACTCATACCATAGCTTTTTGAAGATGGAGGACATGGGTGGCAAGGAATGTGAGTGGTTTCTAGGAGCTGATGGCAGCCCAGACCAACATCTAACAAAGAAATAAGGACCTCTGTTCTCCAATCACAAGGAACTGAATTCTACCAACAACAAGAACAAGCTTGAAAGTGGAGTCTTCCCCAGAGCCTTCAGACAATAGCACAGGCAGGCCGACACCTTGATTTCAGCCTTATGATCCCTGAGTAGGAACCCCAGCTACCCCATACCTGGCTTCTGACTCACAAAACTGTGAGCTATTAAATGGGTATTTTAACCATATTTTAAGTCATTAAGTTTGTGGTAATTTGTTATGCAGCCATTGAAAACTAATACAGGAGGGAATCTAGTTAAATAAACTTCCTCTCCTTTCACCATCCGTGAAATGTCACCAAGCTCCAAAGCACAATGACTTTATCTAGAATTTATCTGGAAATGCCCCACGTGGTCGCATCACTCCTACCAAGCCACCTGCCCTGTCTCTTTGCGGTAATTGGGTAGTAGTGACCAGCATCATCTTGAATTGCTTTCCATCCTTCCCTGCCTTTTTTTTCGTTTTTCCTTACTTTCACTGCCTTGAGTGTGTACTTCTCAAATAAAGCATAAGGATTAATCCTTACCCAAGACTCTTGTTTGCTCAGGAACCAGACTAAGGCACCCAGAAATTCAAACTCAGTGTCTGTGAAACTGAATTGATCATCTGTGGTGGTTTAAGAACATGTTTGTAAATTCTTCAACATTCTTCCCACAAAGGGTGAAATCTAATTTCCACTCTTCTTAAACGTGGGTCAATTTTACTAACATGCTTGTAATAAATAAAAGGCAGTAGAAATCATGCTGCATCATTTTGGAGACTAGATACCACAAGGCTACAAACACAGATAATACAATTGCTGCCTTGATCTCAATCTCTCCCCGTGCCTCCTCCTGCCACCTTGGAATTCCTGAATGTGAGAAGCTTAGCTGCCTTGAAGCCACCATGCTGGAGAGACCTTGGGCAGAGGCCACACAGAGATAGAAATGCCAAGGAGCCCTTGCTGTGACAGGTCTCAAACATTTATCTTCCCATCAGCTGCCTGATAAGTGAGTGCATGAACATTCAGATAATTCCAGGCCCCCACCCCCAACTGCCTTTAAGCCACCCCAAGCAGATGTGAAGCAGAACAAAGAGGAGAGACCCCTGCTGAGCTCTGACCCAAGTGCAGATTTAGGAGTAAAACACATGTTGTGTTAGTTCTTCATTCACTAGGTTTTTGGGTGAATTGTTACATAGCCATAGAAACTGGCCCATAATTTTTTCCCCAAAACGATTTTCTTTTCTTACCAATCATTCTTATCCAGGAATCGCACTTAGCTAGGAATCAATCTAGATCCTTCTCTTTCCACATCAAATGATCACCAAGTCCCTCTAATTCTGCCTTCTAAATATTTCTTGACTCTACTTCCCACCCCACTGTCACTGCCTTAGTTAGGGCTCCCTCCCCTTCTCTTTTGGATTACTTCACTATCTTTCTCCATGGTCTCCTAGCTTTCAGTCTTACACTGTAAAAATCCATTCTTCACTGCTTTTAGAAGGATTTCTTTCTTTTTCTGATCAGTTATTGTTATTGTTCTTTTTCTCTTATCACAACTGTAATAGAAAATGCATTGTTGAAAATGCATGCGACAGAAAAGTAAAGACAAAAATTCCCCAATTATCACACCACTGAGAGAAAACTCTAAAACTATTTTAATCCTTCCGGACTTTAAGTGAACAAATACAGGTTCATACTGCACATTAGAATTTATGACTTATTTTTGTTGTTGTTGTTTGTTTTGTTTTGTTTTGTTTTGAGACGGGGTTTCGCTCTTGTTGCCCAGGCTGGAGTGCAATGGTGCGATCTCGGCTCAGTGCAACCTCCGCCTCCTGGTTCAAGCCATTCTCTGTCATGAACAGTCAAATGTAATTCTTAATTGATAAAATATTCAATCCATGCATGATTGGCAAAAGTTATAATGTGACTGGCTTTTTAGAAAAATCAATGAATTTTATTTTTACAGCACTTTTAGGTTCACAGCAAAATAGAGTGGCAAGTACAGAGAGTTCCCATATATTCTGTGTCTCCACATACATACAACCTCCCGACCTATGTATATATACATTGACACCATTTGTTACAATCCATGAACCTACACTGAAATATCATTATTGCCCAAGGTCCATAGTTTACAGTAGGGTTCACTCTTGTGGATGTACATCCCGTGAGTTTTGACAAATGTAGAATGACACGTATCCACCATTGTAGTCACATACAGAATAATAGTTTCACTGCCCTAAAAATCCCTATGCATTGCTCGTCATCTCCCCTCCCACCTAATCTCTGTCAGCCACTGATATTTTTACTGTTTCAATAGTTTTTGCCTTTCTAGATTTCATAAAGTTGGAATCACACCATATGTATCCTTTTCAGATATGCTTCTTTCAGTTAGTAATATGCATTTAAGTTTTCTCCATGCCTTGTCATGGCTTGAGAGCTAATTTCTTTTTAGCACCAAATAACATTTTATTGTTTGGATGTACTACAGTTTATCCACTCACAAAGTGAAGGATATCTTGGTTGCTTGCAAATTTTGACAATTATGAATAAATCTGCTATAAACATCCATGTGCCAGTTTTTTGTGTGTGTGTGTGTGAACATAAGTTTTCAATTCTTTTGGGTAAAGAACATGAAGCACAATTGCTGGATTGGTAAGAGTATGTTTAGCTCTGTAAAAAACTGCCAAACTGTCTTCCAAAGCAGCTATACCATTACCATTTTGCATTCCCACAAGCAAAGAATGAGAGTCCCTGTTGCTCCATCCACATCCTTGCCAGCTTTTGGTGTTACGAGTTTTGAATTTTGGCCATTCTAATAGGTGTGTAGCGGTATCTGACTGTGGTTTCAATTTGCAATTCCCTAATGACACATGATGTTGAACATCTTTTCATATGCTTATTTGCCATCTGTATATCTCCTTTTGTGGTCAGGTCTTTTGCCTATTTTTTAGAATAGGTTTTTTTTTTATTTTCTTATTTTTGAGTTTGAAGAGTTCTTTGTATATTTTCAATAAGAGTTCTTTATCAGAAGTGACTTTTGCAAATATTTTCTCCCAGTTTGTGACTTGTTTTCTCATTTTCTCGACATTGTCTTTTGCAGCACAAAAGTTTTTAATTTTTGTAAAGCCCGGATTATTCATTATTTCTTTCATGGATCATGCCTGTGGCATTGTGTCTAAAAAATCATTGCCATACTCAAAGTCATCTAGGTTTTCTCCTATGCTATCTTCTAGGAGTTTTATAATTTTGCATTTTACATTTATTAATAAATCAGAGATTTATTTTAGTTAATTTTTGTGAAAAATATAGGGTCTGTATCTAGATTTATTGTGTGTGTGTGTGTGTGTGTGTGTGTGTGTGTGTGTGTTTAATTTCAATAGTTTTTGGGGAACAGGTGGTGTTTGGTTGCATGGAAAAGTTCTTTAGTGGTGATTTCTGAGATTTTGTTGCACCCGTCACCTGAGCAGCGTACACTGCACCCAATGTATTGTCTTTTATCCTTTAACCCTTCCCTCCTCCCCGCCTATCCCCAAAGTACATGATATTATTGCTATGCCTTTGCATCCTCATAGCTTAGCTCCCACTTGTAAGCGAGAACATATAATGGTTTTCCATTCCTGAGTTACTTCGCTTAGAATAATGGTCTCCAACTGCATCCAGGTTGTGGCTTATGCCACTATTTCATTCTTTTTCATGGCTGAGTAGTATTCTATGGTGTGTGTCTGTGCATATATATATATGTCACATTTTCTTTATCCACTCGTTGGTTGATGGGCATTTAGACTGGTTCCATACTTTTGCAATTGCTAATTGTGCTGCTATAAACGTGTGTGCACATGTTTTTTTGCATATAATGACTTCTTTTCCTCTGGATAGATACATAGTAGTGGGATTGCTGGATCAGATGGTAGTTCTACTTTTAGTTCTTTAAGGAATCACCATACTGTTTTCCATAGTGGTTGTACTAATTTACATTCCCACCAGCAGTAAAAGTGCTCCCTTTTCAGAGCAGTCCCACTGGATTCTTTTTTTTGGCGGGGGGAGGGATTTGGACATCCAGTTTTTCCTGCACCATTTGTTGGAAAGATTATCTTTGCTTCATTGTACTGCCTTTGCTTCTTTGTCAAAGATCAGTTGGCTATATTTATGTAGGTCTATTTCTTCACTCTATTCTGTTCCATTGTCTGTCTTTTTTTTTTTTTTGAGACGGAGTCTCGCTCTGTCACCCAGGCTGGAGTGCAGTGGCGCGAACTCGGCTCACTGCAAGCTCCGCCTCCTGGGTTCACGCCCTTTTCCTGCCTCAGCCCCTGGAGTAGCTGGGACTACAGGCGCCGGCCACCACGCCCGGCTAACTTTTTTTGTGTTTTTTAGTAGAGACGGGGTTTCACCGTGTTAGCCAGTATGGTCTCGATCTCCTGACCTCATGATCCGCCCGCCTCAGCCTCCCAAAGTGCTGGGATTACAGGCGTGAGCCACGGCGCCCGGCCTATCTGTCTATTCTTTAACCAATATCACACTGCTCTGATTACTGTAGATTTATATAAAATAGGATTATATCAAACTAAAATGCTTCTGCAGAGCAAAGGAAACAATCAAGAGTGAAAAGACAACCTACAGAATGGGCGAAAATATCTGCAAACTCTCCATCTGAAGGGATTAATAACCGGAATATATAAGGAATTCAAACAATGCAACAGCAATAAAACAAATTATCCAATTTTAAAATGGGCAAATGATCTGAATATACATTTCTCAAAAGAAGATATACAAATGGCCAACAGATGTATGAAAAAATACTCCACTAATCGTCAGGGAAACGCAAGTCAAAACCACAATGAGATATCATCTCACACCACTTAAAATGCCTGTTATCAAAAAGACAAAAAATAACAGATGCTTATGAGGATGAAGAGAAAGGGTAACTCTTGCACATGGTTGGTGGGAAAGTAAATTAGTACAGCCATTATGGAAAACAGTATAGAAGTTCCTCAGAAAACAAAGCAATTCTATCTGTTTTTGCCTCATGTATTTTGATGCTCTGTTGTTAGGCACAAATACATTAAGAATTGTTATGCATTCTAGGAGAATTGACCTATTTGTTGTTATATAATGCTCCCTTTTAAAAGATAACTTTCCTTGCTCTGAAGTCTGCTGTGTCTGAAATTAATATAGTTACTTCCTCTTTCTTGTGATTAGTGTTAGTGTGGTGTATCTTTCTCCATCCCTTTACTTTTAATCTATGTTTTTTTATATGTAAAGTGGGTTTCTTGTAGATAACATATACTTGGGTCTGTCTTATTTTTTGATCCACTTTGAACTTTTAATCAGTGCATTTAGACTATTGCTGTTCAAAGTGATTACTGATGATATAGTTGGATTAGTATCTATGATATTTGTTACTGCTTTTTATTTGTTGCCCTTCTTTGTTCCTATTTGGTCTTCCACTCTTTTTCTGCCTTTCATGGTTTTTTTTTTTTTTTTTTTTTTTTTTTTTTTTTGAGACGGAGTCTCGCTCTGTCGCCCAGGCCGGACTGCGGACTGCAGTGGCGCAATCTCGGCTCACTGCAAGCTCCGCTTCCCGGGTTCACGCCATTCTCCTGCCTCAGCCTCCCGAGTAGCTGGGACTACAGGCGCCCGCCACCGCGCCCGGCTAATTTTTTGTATTTTTAGTAGAGACGGGGTTTCACCTTGTTAGCCAGGATGGTCTCGATCTCCTGACCTCATGATCCACCCGCCTCGGCCTCCCGCCTTTCATGGTTTAATTGAGTATTCTGTATGAATCTATTTTGTCTCTTTTCATAGCACATAAATTGTACTTTTTTTTTTTTTTTTTTTGGAGACGGAGTCTCGCTCTGTCACCCGGGCTAGAGTGCAGTGGCGTGATCTTGGCTCACTGCAAGCTCTGCCCCCCCCCGGGTTCACGCCATTCTCCTGCCTCAGCCTCCCGAGCAGCTGGGACTACAGGCGCCTGCCACCACGCCCAGCTAATATTTTTGTATTTTAGTAGAGACGGGGTTTCACAGTGTTAGCCAGGATGGTCTTGATCTCCTGACCTCGTGATCCACCCACCTCGGCCTCTCAAAGTGCTGGGATTACAGGTATGAGCCACTGCGCCTGGCCCATAAATTGTACTTTTTAAACTTTTTCTTACTTGCAATATACATTTACAATAAATTCAAGTCCACTTTCAAGTAACACTATACCACTTTATGGGTAGTGCAGGTACCTTACAATAACAAAACATCCCTAATTCCTTCCTCCCTTCCTTTTATTGTCTCCTACTGTTATTTGCTTTATTTACACATAAGAATATATAAGTATGTGTGTAAATATATATATGCAAATACACAGTTGCTTGCTATTTTGAAGAAACTGTTATCTGTTAGATCAACTAAAAATAAGAAAAATAAACGTTTTAATTTTACTTTCACTTATTCCTTCTCTGATGTGCTTCCTTTCTTTATGTAGATCTGAGATTCTGAGCTCTATCACTTTCTTTCTCCCTGAAGAGATCTTTAACATTTCTTGTAAGGCAGTTCTACTGGCAACAAATTCCCTCAGCTTTAGTCTGTCTATGAGTCTTTATTTCTCTTTCACTTTTGAAGAATAATTTTACAAGGTGCAGAATTCTAGGTTGACAGATTTTTTTTTTCTTTCAGTGCTCTAAATATTTAATTCCACTTTCTTCTTGCTTGCATGGTTTCTGAGAAGTCTGATGTAATTATATCTTTGCTCTTCTATGGGTAAAATGTTTGTTTCCTCTGTCTTCTTTCAAGACTTTTTCTTTATCTCTAATTTTCTGATGTTTGAATATATTATAGCCAGGTGTAGTTTTTGTTGTTTGTTTGTTTTGAGTTTGGGTGGGTTTTTTTGTGTTTGTCCTTGGTGTTCACTGAGCTTCCTGGATTTGTGGTTTGGTGTCTGACAATACCTTGGGGAAATTCCCAGTCACTATTGCTTCAAATATTACTTCTGTTTCTTTCTTTTTTTGCTATTCCTATTATGTGTTATGTTACACCTTTTATAGTTGTCCCACAATTCGTGGATATTCTGTTCTGGTTTTTTTGAATCTTTTTTCTATTTGCTTTTCTGTTTTGGAAGTTTCTAATGTTACATCCTTAAGTTCTGAGATTGTTTCCTCAGTCATGTCTAGTCTACTAATGAGCTCACCAAAAGCATTTTTTATTTCTGTTACAGTATTTTGATCTCTAGCATTTCCTTTTTTATTCTTTTTTTAGAATTTCCATCTTTCTGCTTACATTATAATCTGTTCTTGTATACGCTCTACTTTTTTCATTAGAGGCCTCTACTTACTTATCATAGTTTTTAAGAATTTTTCATTTGATAATTCCAACATTCCTCCCATTTCTGACTCTGGCTCTGATGCTTGTTCAGTCACTCAGACTGTGTTTTTTTGTCTTTTAGTGTGCATTGCCATTTTTGTTGAAAGGTGGACATGCTGTACTGGGTGCAAAGAACTGAGGTGACTAGACCTTCAGTAATGTAATCCTAAGGTGTGAAGGGGAGAGAGTCTTCTATAGTCCTATGATCAGGTTGCACTTTTTGGTGAGCCTGTGCCCCTGAACTGAGTGCTTCTCCCTTCTTTCCCCTGCCTGTTAGGTGGAGCAGGATGGCTATAGGAGGCTGGGGTTATTTTCCTTCCTTCAAGTAGGTTAGGCTCTAGTAAGACCCCGATAGATTGGATTCCAGTTAATAGTTTCTCCTGAGAGCAGGCCTTGTTAGGGACAAAATGCTGTTGCAAGTTTCAAAATGGGTTATTTTCCCCTTCCCTTGCCAGAAGCATGAGAAGATTTTTCTCAGATAATCACTGTGAAGACCTGGTAGAGATCCTTTACATAAAACTCACAGAAGTGTGGACAACCCCATGGCTGGAACCCCATGGAGTTTTTTAACTCTTAGGCTAGCATACTCTGAGCCTCCAGCAGTTCATCAATTATAGTTCATGTTTTCCCATCCTGGCACTGGTTCCCATTATCTCCCTATTCCCACTCTTGGAAATAATCCCTAGAACTTCCTAGAGCAGAGGTGAAAAACACTGGGTTAGGAAATAACTTTATACCTCTGATTCTAACTTATAATGGTAGATAACCCTCAGTTACAGATGAATATTGGCTTATACATTTTTTTTCTATGATACCCAATAAAAGTATTGGGAGAAAACCAGATTTATCACCTGAAAATATTAAAATAAAAATAAAATCACTTATCATATTTGTATCATAGATGAATGATTATTGTATATTTTAAGTGCAACAAATGTGTTGTCACCAAAAGGAAAATTTTAGTCTGTTCCATCATTTTCTATTTTTTGATAAAGTGTTCACTGTAACTGTTATCTCTTGTAGTACTAATAAGAAGCAGTAATAAGTGGTAAGTAGTAATAAGTAGTAATACAAATGAATGAGACAGTACCCATTTGGTGCCAAGCTTTTGGGAGAGAGAAGCAAAGTTTGGGAAGAAGCAAAAAGAAGAAAAACAAAAACAAAAACAAATCAGACCTGGATGTGAGTTCAGACTTCAAAGTGTTTACCAACTGGCCAGAGTTGCATGTACATAAGTCACTATAATTTAAACCAGAAAAATATAATTACTATCAAGTATGTGCTGAGTGAGTTCAAGGAAAAAGAGATTTCCCATGTTGTGGGGATTAAGGAAGGCTACTTGGGAGGAGTGGTGTTTTGAGAAGGCCTTGAAGGACAACTAGACACAGAGATGGGAGGACAGGGATTTCAAGCAAAGGGAGGATTATGAGAAAAGTTGCTGAAATACAAGCCCAAATGCATGTGCCAGGAGAGGTTTTACTGTATTAGTCAGATGCCAGCTGGAAATAATTCACTGCAGATGGTTCTTGTGAAGGCACTAGAATTCAAGGACCATGTATAGAGATTGGACAGGGTTATAAGAATAAAATAGAGATGTTAAGGCACCTAGATATTGGCAGCAATGGAGAGCCATTATCACTCTAGGGCTTAAGGGGTAAGGGGAAGAAATCATGTTGAAGACCCAGTGAGATTTGGAGCCCTGGAGGAGGAGCTACCTGGTAGTAGCTCAGGTCAGGAAGCAAGTGGCCATTGCCAGAAGGGAAGCACCAAAGCAGGGCAGTGGGAAGAAATATCCTGAAATTTTTCTCTTCCCACTCTTGCTTCCTTATGCCAGTGCATCCCATTGGCCAAACTTAACAAGCAGCTAACAAGCAAGGGGTTCTGGGTAACTTGGGCTACCAGCATCACCCTCTAGGTAGGGCACAGAGCAGGGCAGAGAAGGATGAAGAATAGATCTTGGGTGGCCAGTTAGTGGTAAATCAAAGAATAATCATGAGATGAAAGATTAGAAGTTTAGAGACAGCTTTGGAACATCTTAATTACCACACTAAGGAGTTTGTAAATTACTTGATAGTTGGTGCAAAGGTACTGACGCTTTATCAACAAGATAGTGACAAAACAAAAACTCCAGAAGTGAGTATGCCAGCTGAGTCAGAGTTCCATGTGTTATCAGTGTTCATGTGCCTTCTTCCATTCTATGTCCCAATTCTTTGCATCTGGTTTTCCTTGCTGTGATCACCTTATGGTTAAAGTATGGTCACTCCACCTCTAGTTTCATATCCATGACCTAGACAAAGCAATACGAAGAAAATGACAAGGACATTGAATTATCTTCAATGTCAGGGACAATGACGAGGAAACCAAATTTTTCCAGAAGTCTACAACAGAGTTTCACCACAGGGTCAACCCCAGCTGCAAGTAAGGGAGGCTGGGAAAAAGAACATTACCAGAAAAAAATCACCTGTTTTTCTTTTGTTTTGTTTTTGTTTTTGTTTTGAAAAAAAACATTATTGCATAGCAGCTAGCAGCATTTGATACAAAAGAGGAGTAGGCTTGATGGGAGAAAGACACTGTAATTCTTAATCATTTGGTCTTTTAATAATTCTAAATTTGGGTGTTGTTGCCTCAAATGGAGAAGTTGGGAAATGAGTTCTTAGGGGAATTAAGAGAGTTTCTGAGATTTGAGAGACATGGAATTTTGAATGACATCAATTTATAATAATAACATAATGGCTAAGCAGTGCTGGAAACTGAGAAAGAGGATGGAACTGGGGACAGGGAATTGAGTGGTAAAGTAGACTGGATTACTGTTTCCACTCTTCCTTACTTAATACAATTATACACTCTTGCCCTTTGCCACTGTGAGCCACTGTTTACTTACTGGCTTCATTGAAGTTGGGTTTGGCAACATGAACTTTTTGGACAAAGGTTTGACAGCAGAAATAACAAGTGCCAGTCCCAGGCCACAGAGTATTTCTGCTTGCTGCTTGAGGTTCTGAGATCCCCTGTGAGAAGAGCATGCCTGGTCCTAGGTTGAAGACACATGAAACAGATCAGAACTACTGCCAAGCCAAGCCCAGTAGAACCACAGTCAACTTGCAAACCCATAAGGAAGAAATATATGCTTATGGTTCAAGCCAGAGAATTTTGAGATTGTTTATAGGCAATACTATTGGAGCAGAAGCCTAATTCATACAAGTGGTCATTCTAAAGAACACAATAATATATACAGCAGCTCCCCACCAACTAGGATGACTATGATTAAAAAGGGAGATGAAATAAGTGCTGGTGAAGATATGGAGAAATTGGAACATTCATAAATTGCTGGTGGGAATGTAAAATGATGTCGCCACTTTGGAAAACAGTCTGGCAGTTCCTTAAAATGTTAAAAGTGGAATCACCATATGACCCAGCAATTCCACTCCTGGACATACCACCAAGAGAAATTAAAACATACATCCACGTAAAAGCTTATGCATGAATGCTTATAGTGGTACTATTCATAATAGCCAAAAAATGGAAATAGCACAAGTGTCCACCAACTGATGAATGAATAAACTCAATGTGATGTTTCCATACAATGGAATATTACCCAGCAATAAAAAAGGAAAGAAGTACTGACACATGCTACAACGTGAATGACATTACGCCAACTGATATAAGCTAGACCCAAAAGGCCACATGCTATATTATTCCATTTATATGAAATGTCCAAAGTAGGCAAATCTATTGATACAGAAAGTAAATTTGTGGCTTGGGGATAATAGGAGGAGGGATGAGGAGTGATTGTTAATAAGTGAAGGATTTCTTTTTGGAGTGATGAAAATGTTCTAAATTGATTTTGGTAATGGTTTCACAACTGTGAGTATACTAAAAACCAGTGAATTGTATACTGTAAATGGGTTAAGTGTATGATATATCTCAATAAAGCCATTTAAAATGAAGAACAAAGGATGAAGCCACAAACCTACCAACAAAACACATGCTGTGACCTGGGGGGCCGGCAATTAACCAGTCAAACCCTCTCACTTGATCTTGATTGTGACAGGTGCCATGTGTGGTTGCAAAAGCTTGCTGGGGTTATATGGGGTGCAGCCTTTGTCAGACAAACAGATTTTCTCTATGAGGTACCAACCTGCCTATATAGGGAAAAGGCATATATTCATGGCCTCATTAGCACCAGGCTTTAACTCAGTGGTTTCCAAACTCTTGGAAAAAAATATTTATTTAATAACATACACAAGTTCTACTTGAATGAATTCTCATCGTAGAACATTCAAAAATTGAGAAATAGTTGGAGTAAAATGTAAAAGTACCTCTTTACCAGCCTCCCAAGTCTACATATTATCCTCCCCAGAGGTAATGACTGGAAACAGTTCATGTATACCCTTCTAGTTCTTTATTCCAAGCACTTACATGTATATAATAGGCAGATATACAGCTTTCTTTTACATAAATGGGACCATACTCTTCACATTGTATTGAAAAATGCTCTTAAAAAACTTAACATGTCCAAAAGATCTTTCCATGAATTTTTATCAGCTGTATAGTATTTCATAGTATAGCTTGCGTTACTATGCCCCTATTAAAGAATATTAGATTGTTTCCAATTTATTGTCATTACAAAACAATGATAAAGGAGCTCTTGATACATACATCTCTGAGCATGTGTGCAAATATTTCTGCAGAATGGTTTCTAAAAGTTACATTTCTGAGTTGAAGAGAGCACACATCTCAAATTTAAAGTATTTATTATGTTTATCAGCAGAAACCTTTTCCAAACAAACTTTTACATGGAAGCGCAATGCATAGAAAGTTGAGAGGAAAGTCACTGAGCTGGGGCAGGGAAGCAGAGCTCTAAAGCTTCAACCCCTTAGCCTCTCTCTTAAACTCTGCCTCTCACTGTCCTAAGAGGCCTCTGCAGAGCCCTAGGGTTCCATGGAATACAGATTGAAAACATTGCTTTAACCAACTGAATTGACATGTTTTATTTCAGAATGTAAAGATGGATTTAAAACATGATTTACATAACAAATTAATTCCAAATGAAAGAGTTTTAACTACCTTAAGAGTAGCAGGCCAGGCATGGTGGCTCATGAAGCCCAGCACTTTGGGAGGCCAAGGTAGAAGGATAACTTGGGCCCAGCAGTTCAAGACCAGCCTAGGCAACATAGAGAGATTCTCTCTGTACCAAAAATTAATAAAAAAATGATTAGCTGGGCGTGATAGTGCAAACCTGTGGTTCCAGCTACTTGGGAGGCTGAGGTTGGAGGATTGCTTGAACCCAGGAGTTCAAGGCTGCAGTGAGTCGTGATCATGCCAGTGCACTCCGATCTGGGTGACAGAGCAAGACCCTGTCAAAAAAAAAAAAAAGACTAGCACATTCTTTTAGTTCAGCCAGTTTTAAAGCAGTAGTAGCTCCAGAGTATCTAGAGAGGAGGCATCAGGGGAGATAAGCTGATTGCTAGAAGGGGCTGGATTCATCCCGCTGCTGCATTCACACATCCAGCTCCTTGCCTAAGGTGGCTTTGGGGGGACTGAGAGTGATTGTTGAGGGTGGGATAAAGCATCCTCCTTCAAGCTACCACTTGGCTTGACCATATCATAAATGTTCCATAAATCAATACTAGATGTCAGGAAGACAGAATATTTCAGTGCTAGATTTATTTATTTATTATTATTTTTTAAATTTATTTTATTTTATTTTATTTTATTTACTTTTTGAGACAGAGTCTCACCCTGCCGCCCAGGCTAGAATGCAGTGGCCCGATCTTGGCTCATTGCAAGCTCCGCCTCCCGGGTCCACGCCATTCTCCTGCCTCAGCCTCCAGGGTAGCTGGGACTACAGGCGCCCGCCACCACACCTGGCAAATTTTTTGTATTTTTAGTAGAGACGGGGTTTCACCATGTTAACCAGGATGGTCTCGATCTCCTGACCTCGTGATCCGCCCACCTCGGCCTCCCAAAGTGCTGGCGTGAGCCACCGCGCCCAGCCAATTTTTTTAAATTTATTTTTTAAGATGGAGTCTTGCTCTGCAGCCCAGGCTGGAGTGCAGTGGCACGATCTTGGCTCACTGCAGCTGCTGCCTGCCGGGTTCTAGCGATTTTCCTGACTCAGCCTCCTTGGTAGCTGGGATTACAGGTGCCCACCACCATGTCTGGCTAATTTTTGTATTTTTAGTAGAGATGGGGTTTCACCGTGTTGGCCAGGCTGGTCTTGAACTCCTGACCTCAGGTGATCCACCCACCTCGACTTCCCAAAGTGCTGGGATTACAGGCATGAGCCACCGCGTCCGGACTCCGTGCTAGATTTTTATACATCTTTATTACCTATGGTTTTGTATTAAATCCAAGGCTTAGAAATTAGAACTTTTAGAATGCTTATATTACTATCAGCAAAAGGAGCACATCTGGCTAGCAATAAGTCTTTTGCAAACCAACACAAAACATAAGGTGATGTCACCTAATTCTAATGAAATCTTTAAATGAAGTTAAATTGAATTCTTGAATGAAATTCAAGAGCATAAAATACTTCCACAGAAGTTCAAGAGCATAAAATACTTCCACAGTAACTCATTTCAAAGACCCCACCAACATCATTTAGCTTGGAAATCATTGTGAAGATGTACAACTTATATTTCCTAATTCCATTTAATAGGAAAAAACGTAAGTAAATCTAGTTAAAGCTGTATAGTAGAGGGTACTTACTATCTGAAGTAAAAGGTTCACCAATATGTAAGAAAATAACACAAAACCCAAGACATTCAAAGACATTTCTCATCATAACATTAATTCCCTCCTTGAGAACAGAGCCTCTGTCTTTCATCTTTCTTGGGCCTTGCATACAATCAATAAATCTTTGATAAATGAATGAAAAAATGAATGGTAACCACCGCCACCAAATCTGAGTGGCCTCCCTTCCTGAAAGCAGAGGGTACATAATTTAATTAAAACGTTCCAGCCTCTTTTTAAAAGCAGTTCTAAAGAAAGAGACAGGTCTTAAAAAGTAAACCAGTTCTTTGAAATCAAAAAAAGAAACATATGTCGCTTATAAAATTCTTAAATACTACCGAAACATATAAAATGAGAAGTAAGAATCTTCTCTCACCCACTCCTGAAACTATAGCTCTGGTTCCACTCCCCAGAGGTAATTTCTGATGGCAATTTCATATTAATTCTAAATGGATTTTTTTTTTGAGGTGGAGTCTCACTGTCGCCTAGGCTGGAGTGCAGTGGCATGATCTCTGCTCACTGCAAGCTCCGCCTCCTGGGTTCATGCCATTCTCCTGCCTCAGCCTCCTAAGTAGCTGGGACTACAGGCGCCCGCCACCACACCTGGCTATTTTTTTGTATTTTTAGTAGAGACGGGATTTCACTGTGTTAGCCAGGATGACCTCGATCTCCTGACCTCATGATCTGCCCGTCTCGGCCTCCCCAAGTGCTGGGATTACAGGCGTGAGCCACTGCGCCCGGCCCAATTCTAAATGTTTTATGCATTTGTGTGTGGAGTGAATGGCTCTTACTTTTTTTTTTTTTTTCTACACAACATCATCATCTTCTCCCCGTGTTTTGGGAATTCCCACCTAATATTTAATGAGGTGGATCTTGCCTCTTGATACGACAGCTAAAAATGCCAGATATTCCCTTTTCTGGCATTTCTTGCAGCTGATGTATAAACACACCCTGGCTGCCATCACTTAGCACCCTAAACTTTGTTTTATTTTATTTTTTGTTTTTTGTAATTTCAACTTATTTTAGATTCAGGGGGTACATGTGCAGGTTTGTTACATGAGTACATTACATGATATTGAAGTTCGGGGTATGAATGATACTGTCACCCATGTCCTGAGCATAGTAACCAACAGTTAGTTTTTCAACTGTTGTTCCTTTCCCTCCTTCCCCCCTCCAGTATTCCCCAGTGTCTATTGTTCCTATTTTTATGTCCATGAGTAACCAGTGTTTAGCTGTCACTTATAAGTGAGAACATACGGTATTTGGTTTTCTGTTAATTTCACTAAGGATAATGGCCTTCACCTGCATCCATGTTGGTACAAAAGATATGATTTCATTATTTTGTGTGGCTGTGTAGTATTCCATAAACGCTAGACTTTAGAAGTCAGAGATTCCAAGAGCAGGTTACAGGCAGAATCCATGGGAGTGAGGATGGGGCAATGACTGCAGTCAGCAGTTAGATGCAGCAGTGGGTAGTGGTGCTGGCAGGGCACCAGCAGCATCAGAGATTTCCCTGATGGTGCATGGGACAGCTGCAGGGTGTGGTTTGGAGCATTGTTACTGCTTGTGTAAATTGAAAGCTGATTGTCTCAAAGTGGTGCATTGCATTTGTGCATTGCCCAGGTCTCACTGGATCCTTTTTTGCTATTTTCTGTGTGTTCCTTCTCCCCAGCATTTGAGGTGCTTTCTATTTCAAAAGCCAGTGCCTAAATCTTTCTCTCAAGGGCTGTCCTCTGGCTTGTGGAGCTAGCTTTTGCCAGAATGCATAGAAAGCTGGAAATCCTAGGAATTTGCCTTCCAAGGAGCACTCTTAACCAATGATTCAGAGATGTGGAATAAGAAAGCCCAGCTTCTGTGCCTTGAGTTGGGGCAAGACAGCCATAACTTCTGCTATACAGTTCCCCTGTGGGATCAGGCTGAAACTACCTTTGCATAGGATAGCACCCTTGATGGGTGTGGGCTTTCTCCCATTCCCTGCCTTACTTCCCCACTCTCTAGTTGGCTTCTCCTGGCATCATTTAATAAATCACTAAGACATAAATTCTCCAGGGTCTGCTTCTTGGCAATCTACCTAAGACACTCAACTTTCAGGAGATTCTGTACCAGTCAAAATCCCTTTTAAAAAATCTCCCTTTCTGTCTAAATTAGCATACATTGGTTTCTCTTGCTTGTACCTCAGTATAGATACATGCATGTATATATATACACATATGAAAATATAGACATACTATTAACAGTATTACAAAAATATTTTAGATTTTTATTCTTTGCTTTTTTTACGTTTAGCCATCTACTTTTATGTTCATTTTCGCCAGTCTATTATTATGAGGATTCTCTTCTTGCCCTCTTTCTAAGGGTTCCTTGAATTTTTCATCAATCCAGTTTGGATAGAATTGGTCCCACTTGGCTTCAGGGGTGATCTATATAATTGGCTTAAAACAACCATCAATTCCCACATTCCTCAAAGTAGGATTGGTTCACAGGATTGATCACAAGAGCAAATCTGCCCAATCAGGGCAACAAATTCCAGGACTTTTATTTAACCTTTATTTCTACCCACCTCCACTTCCACCAAAGAGCCTGATGGATTTGAGACCTTAAAGAGGCCCATGTGATGGAAGTGTAGAGTGCAAGTGGTACAATGGGCCTGAGAGGAAGTTGAAGAGATAAGCAAGTTTTTTTCTGTTGGACGATCTTGAAATTTTTGCATATTTTTTCCAAGCACAATAGAAATTTCCATTTTAATTGAACAGGAAATATGTACCTAGCTCATAGCTGTAGGCAACCATTTTGGGACTAGGAGTGGGGAGCTTGCTAGGATCTGGAGTCAATATAGCACCAGTTGAGGAAAAGAAATGGAAAAAGGGATACACTATGTAAGCCTTGAATAAATCCCAGACTGAAGGATGCCTCTGTTCTAGACCCAACCTATTTCCTTTTTTGTTTTGTTTGACACTGTTTGGGTCAGGCTTTCTGTGACTTTCACTCAGTAGGTGTGCCATGAGCTTCAGTGATTTAATATATGTAAAATGCTTAGAACCATGCCTGGCACATGGCATCCACTAGATTGTAGTAGCAGGAGTAGCAGGTGTAGAACATCACACATGACACAAACATCTTCAATTCACCTTGTTTGTCTCTGGTGCTTATAGCAGGTTTTATTCCCTTCCCCATTTCTTTGTGATTCTAACCACTCCTGAGCATCCTCCCTCCAGCTTCCTTATCCCACTTTCTTCCCATTTTCCTGTCCTCTCCCCCATCACTTCATTTTTCTCATCTTCTCTACCCTTGAAGCTTGAAGTTGTGTGAGGATGCAGAGTTTAGGATCAGGGAGAGAAACTCTGGAAGGAGATGATAATGCTTTTGTGTCTTTTTTTTTTTTAATGGGCTAGATCTTTTTTTGTCTTGTATTCGATCTGATATATCTCTCTTGCTTTTTGATGCTTAGAGCCATGATACTCCAAAGCCTTTGTTATTAACAAGGAAATAATTATCAAAAGTTGAAATCACGTCTTTCCACACTTTCTATGAAAGCATACAGCTCCTTGGTTATTCACTGAATATGCATCTTGTAGAAAAGCAGATTGCTCTTCCTTTTGATTAAATCTTTTAGCAAGGATTCTGTACTATTTTATGCTTTTTTAGTATTTTCCTTTTCAGATAAAAATGCCCATCAAATCTTTATAACATATAAATTTTCCTCTTGTGTTCAGATGAGCAATCATGCAGTACAAGGAAAAAATTCCTTGAGGTGTTTGGATGACTTCACAGTATGAACAACTGAATTTTTAGTGGCTTGGCAACAGAACCTCAAGATAGAATTTCTTTTGTAATACAGTCTTAAAATGTGCATTTCTCCAAATTCATTTACAGGAAATAGCATAAAATTAACATTAATACTGACATGACATAATAATTTACCAACCTGACTTCTCTTGCAACATAAATATACACAGAATTTTATTACTTTTTTTTTAGAGACATGGTCTAACTCTGTCACCCAAGCTGAATTGCAGTGAGTGGCATGATCATAGCTCACTGCAGCCTCAAACTCCTGGGCTCAAGTGATCCTCCCACTTCAGCCTCCCAAGTAGCTGGGAGTAGCACACAGTAGCTCCCGAGTAGCACACCTGACTAATTAATTTTTTTTTTTTTTTTGTAGAGATAGAGTCTCTATGTTGTCTATGCTGGTCTCAAACTCCTGGCCTCAAAGCAATCTTCCCATTTTAGCCTTTCAAACTGCTGGGATTACTGATGTAAGCCACCAAGCCTGACCCATACACAGACATTTTAAGTGGGAGAACTCCAGCTTAATAATTGTAACACAGAGTAACAATATAAAATGATTCAAAGTATAGTATTTTTCTCATGAATTATGAATGACGTGATTTAGATTTATTTTCCCCATTTATATCTTTCCAAGCCATGATTTAAATTATTTGACATTCATCTTTCAGCTTTTAATCTACTTATCATTTATTTGTTCATATTTGCAGTCAGCGAATAACTATGGCGTGTCTGTTGTACACAGAGCACTGTGCTAGGTGCTAATAAAGAGGGAGAGGGAATAAAAGTGAATAAGTCCCTTCACCTAAGAGCTTACAGTTGAGTAGGAGCAAGACCCAACACACAAATAACACTCAAAATAATGTAAAGGCATGACATATGAGGCAGGGAGAGAGAAGAAAAAATAAGGTCAGGCAAGTGAATGGTTAATCAAAGGGGAAGAAGTAAAGCCTGATACATATGTGTGTCTTAAATTATTCCATCTGGAAGAGTGTATGAAAGGGAGCAGCAAAAGGTAAGAGCAGACAGCTAGCACAGGCCAGACCATGGAGGGCCATGAGGCCAGTCTAAGCATTTCATGGTCGGCAGAAGCCCAAGGTTACTTGTAGGGACTCCAAGGATTAAATCTGGCCTTTAGGAATGTTGATCTGTCAGAATTGTACAGAATAGAATGCAAATGGATACAAACTAGAGATGTTGTGGTTGATGTTGTGCCAAATATTTCATTTTCCTTAGACATATACAGCTCTCGCCAACATTGGTGTGCCATTCAATGACACTTTTCCATAAATATTGGGGCTATGGAGAATAAAGAGATGAGACCTGGAGCCCAAGTCCATAGCTGAAAATAGAGTTATGCTGTGGAACCCAGAGAGTCTGAAAGATTTGCTGAGAATGCTTAAAATGACTCCACAAGGAGCAGGTTTTCACGACTCCTGGGACATTGTGGATGGAGATGGCAAATTGGATCCACTATTCTTTTAATTCCATGAAGTTGCACCATATGTTTATAAATAGTGCTTTTGTGATGACCCTAATTGAGGGAGATTGAGTGCTATAACTGGCCTGTTTCTGACTCTCTATTGTCTAAGATCTTGCATTCTTTTAAAAGTTGAAACAGAAAACTAGAGTAAATTACACATATCTGCTACCCAAAGGATTTATATTTTCCTTTTGTTTGTTCTTAAATACCATCATTCCTTTCATCTGGTGACTGTTCAGTTGCAGGACAGAGTGTCATAAAGCCAGATATCCTGTCCTGTGAATTCCCCTCCACTTCGTGAAATTAAGAGGTAAGAGGGGCATGGAAGGAGGAAAGGAAAAAGGCAGAGGAAGTTCTGTTTCACTGAAGACCTAACCCCCAAATAAAAGAAAAATATGTTAGCACACAGAAAATTTCTGATTAGCCACAAGCTTCAGTGTTGTCACTGGTGCTGGTTTACTTACTCCATCTGATGAGAAATGGAGACAGCATGAATTTCAACAGCGTGCTGAAATGGGCTGTGATGGCACTCAGGCTAAGTGCCGACAGAAGGGGCCCACCTGCCTTGCTATGCAGATGAGGTCTGAGTGTGTGAGGACTTCAGCTGCCCTTAAGAGGTGGCTGCTGGCCTCCCTCATCCCAGCTCTCCTCCAGGCCCTTCCATCTTGCACTGGTCAATTGTGCCAATGAATTTACCTTTCTGTGGTCAATGAAGAAGATAGACAAGGTTTGATTGAACAATACATTCAAATATTCTATGAGCATTGCCCAGCAAGCAATTTGATTTTAATGCTAATGTGGTACATTCTACATTTCAGATGTGAATAGGGCTTTTCCTTCCTCTTTTTCTCTCTCTCTCTCTGCTTTCCTGTCTTTCCTCATCATCCCATTCTTCTTTCCTTTCGTCTCTTCCTTCCTGCCCCCTTTCTCTCCTTCTTTCTTTCCTTTCTTCCTTTGTTCTTCTTTTGGGGGAGCAGTAAGTAACTTTCATGTTATACAAGTTCAGAGAAATTAAAAGAGGATTTGTACTATGCTCAGGAAAAAAAGTGCTGCCTTCAGGAAATGGGAGGTGTTGTCTTCTGACTTACATTGTCACAGAAAGCATGGGTTTGTCTTAAGTTAGGTTTGTAACTATGGGTAGTTGGTGTGGGCATTTCTGGTCAAGGAAATCTGCACTTTGCGTAGGAGTAATCAGACTGTTTATCCACAACACTGATATTTGCAAGCACACCATGGGCTTTTATCCTGGCCACACACTTCCACCAACTAAGGCCAACAAATGGTTGTGTGAGTACCGATCTCTGTGATAGAAGCAGCTGATGGTGAAGCATCAGTTGTTCTGCCTTCTGTGGCTGTACCTGTAACATTCTGACAGCCTCTTGAACAAAAGAATTGTCCCTAGAGCCACACAGGAGACTTACATTATATATCAGTTTCCTAGGGCTGACATAAAAAATTACTACCAATTGTGTGTAACAGAAATCTGTTCTAAAAGCCAGAAGTCTACTTCTAAAAGCCAGAAGCCTGCAATCAAGACACCAGCAGGGTTGGTTTCTTCCAGAGACTCTAAGGGAGAATCTTCTATGCCTCTCTTCCAGCTTCTGGTGACAGCTGGCAACCCTTGGTTTGTAGGTTTACCACTCTAGGCTTTGCTTCCGTCTCCATGTCGCTTTCCTCTCTGCATGTCTGTGTCTCAAATCTCCTTCTCCTTTCTCTTATAAAGACACCAGCCATTATCGTTAGGTCCCATCCTGCATCCAGGATGATCTCATCTTGAGATCCTCAACTTAATTACATCTGCAGTGACCCTACTTCCAGAAAGGTCACATTCACAGAATCAGGGGTTACAACTTGTACATACATTTTTGTGGGATACAATGCAACCCACCACACACTGCTGCCTTAAAACAGAAAAGTCAGAGACAAAAATCTGTAAAGCTTTGGCCGGGCCTGGTGGCTCACACCTGTGATCCCAGCACTCTGGGAGGTCGAGGTGGGCAGATTGCTTGAGTCCAGGAGTTTGAGACCAGCCTTGGCAACCTGGTGAGACCCCGTCTCTACCAAAAAAAAAAAAAAAAAAATACAAAAAACATTAGCCAGGAGGGGTGGCATGCTCCTGTAGTCCCAACCATTCAGGAGGCTGAGGCAGGAGGATCACCTGAGCCCAGGGGGTTGAGGCTGCAGTGAGCCAAAATCGTGCCACTGCACTCCAGCCTGGGCAACAGAGAAGACCTTGTCACAAAAAAAATCAATCAATCAATCTGTAAAACGAAATCAACATTTAAGCCAATGGGAAAGGATTATTGAGCTCCAGGATTAATTTGGGACTTGTCATCAAACAAATAGAACACAGGCTCCATTTGCTCATAATCTTTTTGTCTAGAATGATTTCTTTTGAGTTTTGTAAAGGAAGTTCTCCTTAAACACTGATGTCACATTTCCAGTCATTTCAGAAACCCAACAGAGGAAAAACAAGACTGCTAAGTTGCTTCCACAATGTTTTGCTGAAAAATTAAAAATGACTGCAAGGGAAAAAAACATGCAGATGGCTTCACTGAAGATTATCTTGGGGTTAAGAAGCATGATCTATTAGCTAAGGCTTGATCTCTCAGGAGACAGAATCCAGAGGAAAGTTAAGGGTAGTTTTGGTTAAATCAGTTTAGCAGTTTTAATACACTCAAGTCAAATGGTCAGTTTGAAAAAAAGAAACCTGTCAACCTCATTGTTTTAATTCTAAACTAAAATCAAATGGTAAGTTTCATTTAACCATCAGAAAGTCTCTGATGGACCATAACTTTTTCATGCTTCTACTATTATAATCATGCTATTCCCCTGCCTCAGGGTGGGAAAAAAATGAGTGAGTCGCTCTAATAGATTAGTGTTTTCTGTGAGCAGACCAGCCTGCACAATTTTATGATTGCTGACAACTCCTTTTTATACACTTCCCTATTTTGTTGATATCTCTATACATTCGCTCAATGGAACGCATTTGGTGTTTTCTGAAGTGAGAACTTGCATTTATTTACCTACATATTTTTTGACATCTCTGCTGATTTTGTATGCAGGGAAGTCCTTTGAAAAGCTGATACTTAAGGAAGATAATTCAGTGAGCACACCTAGTTATTAGTCTGAAAGCTGGAGACACTGGGTAACTACCTCATGTTCCTGGGTCAAGTAATATTAATAAGACCTTAACCTGGAATTCAATTCTTAGTGCCCATATTAAAAAATGACTGCAACAATGCATGCCACTAACGTTCTTTGCACACTGCCATTCCAGATGACCTGTACCTCTGAGTCCCTCCAACACTGTGAACCATCAGGAATGGACTTTCTATCTTTGCACTTCTCTTGCGGGACATTACAACCTATAACCATTAGCCAGAAAATGGTTAAAATTGATACTATAATGATAATTCTGATGTTAAGGTAACTTAAGGCAATGCTCAGATTTTGACAATAATTGCACAAGAAGATATGATAGTTTGGCATGTTGATATTATTTCAATAAGAAAAACAGCATTGTAATTACTGGCTGCACAGACATTTGGAGTCACATATATGCACTATCAGAAGCACAGAGTGGGACCCTCTTATAGAGCCATGTGATTCTCTTGGTTGTATTTATGGACCTAGGCACTAACACCTGGGAAAATACTATGAAATATAAACCTTAATTGAAATATGCTCATCATGCTTAATTGGAGCATGCTCCCGGGAAAGTAGAGGAGGTTTCTGCCTATGTTAAAAATTGCAAAATAGGGCCCAAAGGTAACACAATTTTCTTCTTTTAGTAGAGTTTTTTATTTAACAAAACTATAACAAAGCTGTAAGACAAATATCTAATGTGCTTGGCTCATTAACAATACTTATTTTTCTAATCAGAATTAATATTCTACCATATTTTCTTTGGAAATAGCAATATTGATATTTATATGAAATGCAAACAAATGATGCAATGTTCCATATTTTACAGTTTTTTACTGTGATATATTCATTCTTTAAAATTTTATGTTAGCTCAACTACCAAAAAAATGCTTACACAGTACTTTTCAAGATAATATATTGCTCCATTATAGCAAATGCAGTATGACTTGGGCTTAGGAATTGGAAGCTAAAAAGCAATCTTTGTACATGTGTTCATTATGTCTCAAACAAGGCTCTTTTGGTAGGTCTTGGACCACTGATAAGTTATTTCAAGGCACAATTTCCAAGCATGTGGCAAAACTGTTTAAATATACAGTATAGATGTAGATATAGACATACATATGGATATATTTCAGGGCACTATTAAAATATCTTTAAAGGGAACATCCTTGGCAGCAAAGGGAAAATATTAAACCTGTAATTCTAAAAAATTAAATGGGCCAGGCAAGGCAGCTCACATCTGTGATCCCAGCACTTTGGGAGGCCATGGCAGGAGGATCACTCAAGCCCAGGAGTTTGAGACCAGCCTGGGCAACATAGAGAGACCCTGTTCCTACAAAAATGAAAAAAATTAGCCAGATATGGTGGTGCATGCCTGTAATCCCAGGTACTTGGAAGACTGAGATGGGAGGATCGCTTGGGCCCAGGAGGTCAAGACTGCAATGAGCCATGATCACACCACTGCACTCCAGTCTGGGAGACAGAGCAAGACCCTGTCTCAAAAAAGAAAACAACAATAACAACAAAATTAAATGAACTTCACAAGAAAAAGGAAAGTTGATTTTGACTTTTGATATTTTGGTGGTTCTGTGAATTATAGATCTTACTCGGTAAAATCACAAATCTCTAAACTCCATCTATTTACTTTGCCATGAAAGCACATTAAAATATGTTTTGTTGTTGTTGCTGTTGTTGTTGTTGTTGTTTTTTAAGACGGAGTCTCGCTGTCGCCCATCTCGGCTCACTGCAGGCTCCGCCCCCCAGGGTTCACGCCATTCTCCTGCCTCAGCCTCCCAAGTAGCTGGGACTACAGGTGCCCGCCACCTCGCCCGGCTAATTTTTTGTATTTTCAGTAGAGACGGGGTTTCACTGTGTTAGCCAGGATGGTCTCGATCTCCTGACCTCGTGATCCACCCGCCTCGGCCTCCCAAAGTGCTGGGATTACAGGCGTGAGCCACCGTGCCCGGCCTAAAATATGTTTTTATGTGTAATTGTATATAACATTTTGTGAATATTTTAAAAATTAAAGTAATATTAGCTTAAAACTAAGCATACTTACATAAATTCATTAATCCTCATGACAATCCTTTGAAGTAGGTATCTTGCACTCGTTATGTGTTTCATTAGTATCACCTGCATTTTTAAATATTCTATTTCTTTTTTTCTTTTTTTTTTGAGACGGAGTTAAGCTCTTTTTGCCCAGGCTTGAGTGCAATGGCATGATCTTGGCTCGCTGTAACATCTGCCTCCTGGGTTCAAGCAATTCTCCTGCCTCAGCCTCCCAAGTAGCGGGGATTACAGGCATGGGCCACCACGCCTGGCTAATTTTGTATGTTTATTAGAGACAGGGTTTCGCCATGTTGGTGAGGCTCACCTGGAACTCCTGACCTCAAGTGGTCCCCCTGCTTTGGCCTCCCAAAGTGCTGGGATCACAGGCGTGAGCCACGGCACCTGGCCTCTACATTGTATTTTTATATTGAAATGAACTAAATCATTTTCTCTCTTGTTTAAACAGAAAAAACTGTAGGGAAAAAATGAGAACTTTAGGTTGTTAAAATATTTGAGCAATGTACACTAGAGCCAAGTACTAAATAGCAAGGATGACATTATTCGTATTTTCTTAGGAATAAGATCTTTCTAGGAGATCATAAATATTTAAGCATAAACACACCATACAGTGGCAACCAGGGCAATTCTTGATTCAACATGGAATTTTTTTCAACCTTTAGACTGCTAACTATACAATCTGAATTTACTCATTAATTGCCAAGTATCAACTTTGGTTTAGAATGTGCAGATACAACTTTTAAGCCAGATCTTAACTTTTAAGATGTTTAAGCTTAAAGACCTTGGGAAGATCTTGTGAGAGTGATGCACAAAAGGAAATGTTCCACAATAATTGATTTTTATGTTCTTGTTCCATCTAATTCAAATATCTCAGTCTTTACCAGGTTTTCTCCTGCTCCACCTATTTTGTAATTGCTGTAACTTTATACAATTTTATTGTATTCATTAATCATATGCGGGGCTGAAATTTAGTTTTGCCTCAAATATCCATTCTTCCTCAACAAGGTAAACCCCTGAGTTTTAGCTGCACATATGGCCTTCAAGAATAAAGACATTTCTGGCCAGTTGTGGTGGCTCACGCCTGTACTACCAGCACTTTGGGAGGCCAAGGCAGGTGGATTACTTGAGGTCAGAAGGTTGAGACCAGGTTGGCCAACATGGCAATACCCTATCTCTACTAAAAATACAAAAAAAAAAAAAAAAAAAAAAATCAGCGGGTCGTGGTGGCAGCCGCCTGTAAGCCTAGCTACTTGGGAGGCTGAAGCAGGGCAATCGCTTAAACCCAGGAGGTGGAGGTTGCAGTGAGCCAAGATTGCACCACTGCATCCCAGCCTGGGCGACAGAGCAAGCAAGACTCCCTCAGAAAAAAAAAAAAAACAAAAAAACGAATAAAGATGACATTTCTTAACTTTCCTTACAGCCAGGTGAAGCCATCTGAGTAATTTTAGCAAATGGAATGTAAATGGAAATCATGATACAATGCATGCCCTTTTTAGCATCTTCCTCACGTAGACTGAAACAGAGATGTGATGTCTGGAGCCTCAGCAGCCATCTTTGAACATGAAGTGATCTTGAAAAGCAGGCTTCACACGACAAGACAACCACCTGGAAGGAGGCAAACTTTTGCCATTTGGGAAAACCATTCCAGCCAGGATCAACTGCCTTCAGATTTCTTAAACTTAAGACAGACATTTGCAGCTTATTTAATATGCTTTTTATTTTTTTGTGACTTGCAATCAAATCACTTTCTCCAAAACAATATCTAATTTACTATCACATTTGATCTTTATTGCTTATAAAGTGTCTCAACAGTGTCCAGCACAAGCTAGTGTTAGAGTTCTGTTGCCAGGCATAAACATATGCTCAGATGATCAGAACATTGCTGACTTAAAGTTTTATGAATTTATTTGCTGGTTAATATTTCTTATATTTTACATGGTACAAAATGACTTTTCTTCTTTCTGAATAATATCTGACAATGTGTAGTTCAACAGATTTTGCAGGTGAAATACTCCTTGAAATAGTGAAGTCTATTGTGTGCCTACCTTATAACGTTTTCTGGCACTGTACTTGTGTGAACAACATGAGGATAAATTCAGATGCAAAAAGTCAAGCGTTCTGTATTCTCAGGTTAGGAAGGGTGCAGGGGTGGAGATATTCAGTTGTTCAGCCTTAAGGCTGAAGAAGACCTTGGCATCTGTAGATCCTAGGGAGCTGCTAAGTTCAACTTAAAGAATATTTCCTTTAACAAAGGCAAATCATTAAAGGCATAGAGACGAACAACAAGACAGCTTTGTCAGCTTTGCTACAGGCCTTAATGTCGTTTGAACAGAAAGGCCTGTGAGGTTTTATCTTGACTCCATGACAGGTTATGTGGATAAATCACTGTGAATTAAACCTTAATCAAGTGTTTAGTCAAGTTCAATCCAACTATAGCTCTATAAAGCCAGTCTTGCTTTTACTCCAATTTTTCAATATGGTAAGCAATTTATTGAACTCTGGAAAATTCTAGATGAGTTTCCTAATTTCTCATATGCTATAACAAGAAGAACAATAATTAAATGCTGCCTAATTTTACATAAAATTTTAATTATTTAACAATTTGCATTTTGAGGTATTTATACTTAAAAGCCTTTGAAAAAAGTGACTGAATAACTATTTTCTTCTTAGATGAAAAAACAAATTTTCCTTTTACTAAAAAAAAAAAAAAAAAAAAAAAAATCACATTTGGAAGGCAGTCACCAGGGACAGTTTCACTTGGAAAGAAATTTTTTGAGAAAGTTCCAAGTGACTGAGAAAAGAGAATTATAATGGAATTTGTGCCACAACTTTTATTCTGACAGAGGGGCTATTCATCCTATGGAATTCTTTTAAAATCACTGACCTGAACAATATGCTTCTCAGAATGTTTTCCTGCTTAGCTTATAAAGATATTATTATGTATCTATGATATAATCACTAGAAAATGCTCCCTGTGGGGCATTTGTTGTCCCCCTAATTATCATAGTTGATTGTAGAATTGATATACCTGATATACTTCAAGGTACAACAGGAAAGCAGATAAAATCTTTTAAGCAAATGGCAACTTCTGTCTTCATACTGAAATCTGTTATTATATATAGTACTTCTACCAATTAAAGGATAGCCTATAAGCAGAACTTTTTAGTTTAAATGGGCAAACATTATGGTAATAGGGTTAAAATAATGATTCCTCTAGTTATTTGTGATTTTGATATCAAGACAAATCTATTTCCAATAATAATCATTAGTTATAATCTCTGATACAAATTACTCCTCAGGGACTCAGTTTCCTTTCTGGAAAATGGAGCTAGAAATACTTTCCATCTTTAAGGACTGATTTGAACATAAAGAGAGGTAATGTATGTAAGGAGTCTAACACTGTGTTTAACTAATTTCTATTAGTGTTTATTTTAGAATTCGTGCAATTCTGAAGCCCAGAGCCATAAATTTTATTATACCAATTTTTCTTATTTTGGCTGTGATACTGAAGAATAGTAACTCAATAAAGTTAACCAACTATAAGGAAATCACAGGCTTCATCTGTCACTTAGGTCTTCATGATTATTCAAACTATTTGGGAAGATCACAGATTAGGTTAATGTAAAACAGCCGTGAAACTTAAATTTCTTTACATTTGGCTTTGGAATGTGTTTGAGTCTTCCATTTGAAAATTGGTGTGTCTGGGGGTCTGGTATTCACTTCAAAGAAAATGATGAAGATGGATTGAGAAGCTGTGGCTCAGGCACAGAGAAAGATGCCCAGTTCCTCCCATCCTGCTTCTCTGTCCAGCTCTTCCCTTAACCCACGCAATGGTTAAAAAACAAACAAACAAACAAACAACAACAAAAAAGTCTGCTTTCCTTTAACTGATGAAAAATCTGTGCACTCTCCAAACTTCCTTAGAGTAAGGAGGTGGCTAAGTATTTGAGCTTCAAAGGACTTCTCTGCATGCAAACTCATAGAGGAAATTGGAATGTCTAAAACGCTATAATTAAACAAATGCAATACTAACTGCATTGAACTTGAAAGCTAGCTTGTTATGGTATAACCTCAAATTCTGATAAACCACCCAAGGAAAATACTGATTAACAGCAGTGTGCTTTGAATATTTATAGACATAGATCTGAATATACCAAAACAAAGCCTGCACCACTGATTCTATTATTTATTTAGAGATATAAACGTATTTTTAAGTGAGTTTTTAAAGAGCTGATGTAGCAATAACATTAAGCTGGAAAGATTTTCCTTTTGAGGGAAAAGAATCACTTTCAGGAAATTCTCAAATTCTTTCATTTTAGATAAAATATTTAATGCTTAATTTGAATGTGATAGAAATTAATTTAAATGAGGCACATTAAAATGCACCTAAATAATAAAACCTGCTACATATTTTAAAACCACACATGAATCTCTGGTTAACAAAGGTGAAATTATTCTTAAAGGAGAAGGTGGTATTTAAGTAGAACAAAGATGTCAAATCTGATATTTAGAAAGCATAGAGGTTATAGTATGACAGTGTTTTCATATTTTAAGATATCAAGTATAGAATGATTTTTTAAATGGTTATTTCTAAAAGATTTAAAACAGAGCTTCAGGGAAACTTGATAAAATTTAATTATATAGTGATTTTCAACATTCTAACAAAAGAATGGGCCACAGTATTAATAGGTATAATGTGGGATCAGTGTCCTGGGTCAAACATTGAACTATATAAAGTTAAACATGTTTCATTATACATTCATTATCTATTGCTACATAAAAATTCCTCCCAAATTTAGCATCTTAACTGGATGGTTCTGGCTGGAAGACTCTCATGAGGTTGTAGTCAAGATGCCTTACAAGACCACAATCATCTGAAGGCTTGAGTGGTGTTCAACCGAATTAAACTTAAAGGAGTTTAATTGAGTAATGAATGATTTGGGAATCAGGCAGCCCCCAGAATCACAGCAGATTCAGAGAAACTCCAGGGATGCCTCATGGTCAGAACAAATTTATAGACAAAAAAAGTCAAGTAACGTACAGAAATCGGAAGTGAGGTGCAGAAACAGCTGAACTGGTTACAGGTCAGCATTTGCCTTATTTGAACACAGTTTGAACACTCAGTGGTGATGAATGGTTGAAGTACGGCTGCTGGGATTGACCAAGACTCAGCTATTGTTACAGGCACATACTCCTAACTTAAGTTCTCAATCTTCTGTTTTCCTATTGAGTTAGGTTATGGTTCATTCACAAGGACTCAAATATAGACGTAAGGAGTCCTCAGGCCATATTTACTTCACTTTACAGTGGGTATGGACGATCCACTTCCAGGATAGTGCACTCTTGTGGCTGTTGGCAGAGGCATTCATTCTTTGCCATGTGGGCTTCTCTTTGAGACATAGCAACTGGCTTCTCCCAGAGTGAGGGACCAAGAGAGAGCAAGGAGGGGGCTGCCATGCCTTTTATAACCTAGTCTTGGGAGTCACACACTGTCATTTCTATCACAATCTATTCACTAGAATTCAGTCACTAAGTTTAGCCTATATGCAATGGGAAGGGAAATAAACTCCAATTATTGGAGGGAGAAGTGTCAAAGAATTTGTGAGTATATATTAAAACCACCACATATCTCGAGAACTTTGTAGAGACCTTAATATGCTAATGTGAATCCAGTAGTATGGGTACCATTTCCCAAGCATATTTGACCACTGAATTCATTTTTGTGGATAATTTTGCAGAACCAGTGTTCCATTGAAGACACTTTGGGAAACACTGGTTTAACACTGCCATCACAAAGAAAAACATACGTAAATTTCTTCAAGGCTACAACATATCACATTATTAGCTTGTTATCCTGGTGCTCGATTTGTAGATCTTAAATAAATACCGACTTTACTCAGTGAATGTTTATTGTTATCTTCTCTGTGCCAGTCACTGCGCTAATAATTGGCTGTTTAAGGCCAAATAAGAAATTGTCCTTGCTCCTGACCAGCCAACTAATGAGGTCCAAGGTATAACAGTTACAGTAAGGCAATGGCAAAGATGTGTAGCATACCTTATGTGCATTGCACAGTTTAAAGTGGTTTTCTCATTTTAACTCATTTAATCCCCACAATAACACTAATGAGATAGATCCCTCTTTTACAGATAAGAAAACTGAGGCTGGGATAAGGTAACTAACTTACTCGAGGTTCCATAACTCCAAAACGTCAGAAGTAAGATTTCAATCAAGGTGAAGTCTAGCTGTGAAGTTTAGCTCATAGTGTTAAGAATATGCCCTGCTAAGTCCTATACTATCAGATGCTTGTAGGAACAAAAGGAAAGTTGCAAAAAGCTGTAATCGGGGACTAGATGAAAGTGTCACAGTGGAGGTAACATTTAAGGCAGGCATTAAAAGGCAACCAGGAGTTAGCCAGAAGGAAAAGGAAGAAAGGCAATTTCAGCCTTAGGACCTGGTGTTCCCAAAGACACAGAGTCCTGTCCCTGAGTTGTGGGTTTAGAGAACACTGGTGTGAATAGGGAACGCCAAGAATGACAGAGGGTCCTGGGAGATGAAGTCTAAAGTTTACCTGGGGAGTAAAATCCAGGACCGCAGTATTATTTAGCTATTATCTGCAAATGTTTAATGTTAATATTCACCTTTGCAGAAAGTGATTCACCAAGCCAGGAATATCTGGCTAAGAGAGCCTTGAATACCGGGTGTGGTGAACACTGGGATGCACCACCCAGAACCCCTTTCAGGGATGAAGGACATACTCTCCTAGCTGCTGGGAGCACTGCCAGCACAGAGCCCTCAGCTGTCAGCTCTCTATGGGGATTGTGTTGGCTGAAGACAGCTGCCTCACCCAAGGTCATGCCCCTTTTCCAAGATGCTTGCATCCAATGACTGATCAGTGTTGGTGTAGAAAGGCCAACCTCTCACCCCAGCTCAGGACAACACAGCTACAGAGGTCATCCCAGCTTCAGAGATCCCTGTAGAGTCAGCTGCAGTGTTGGTTGAGACTGCATCACAGCTTGATTCTCCCTTTGCGCAATCCTGCTTTTGCCTCTTCTCTTCTGCAGGTAGAGTTCCTTAGAGGCTTCATAATAAACTTGACCTCTAATTTCCATTTCATAGGCTACCTCCTGGGGAACTCAACCAGTGACAATTGGCATCAGGAATGGTTAAGAAGGCAGATCCTGGGGTGGAATTTGGAGGTCTTGACTGGCAATTCAAATCCTGTCACTGGGGTAGGTGGTGGCCAGGCAACCTCTAGTACAAAGTAGCAATGCAATGGTTAACACTTCTGCCAGTGGTGAACTGGGATGATGTACTTACTGGTGACCCATGGAAGTGAAAGTATTACCTGGTGTGGAGTTTGAGAAAGGTGTGGGAAAAAGTAAACAGAGGCTGATGGAATTGGTTTGCCATTCCTAAGCATGATTAATGCTCTGAAAAAAAAATTATGACAAAAAAACAAAAGTAACTAGTTGACAAAAAAGCTAAAATTGACTAAAAGCTAAATGTGAAAGCCAGAAAGAGTGTCTTTGGTAGCACAGAGAGGCTCTCACCTTGTGGAGTGAAGGCAGAGAAAGCTGAGGTTCAGATGCAGGACTTTGTCCCTGTAGTAGCAGAGCTCAAAAGGTTAAGCTCTCAAGCACGGCAGATCCCTTATGCCAAGGTCAGGGCCCTGACTGGGTGGGAGCAGGGGAGTGATTCTGGCAATGGATGGGACATCTGGATTAGTGTGCATGAGAATCAAGAACTCACAGACTGCTGGGTGCAGTGGCTCATGCCTGTAAATCCCAGAACTTTGCGAGGCCAAGATGGGAGAATCACTTGAACCCAGGTGTTCGAGATGAGGCTGGACAATATAATAAGACCTCATCCCTACAAAAAATAAACAAAATTAGGCAGGCATGGTGGCACGCAACTATGGTCCCAGCTACTGGGAGGCTGAAGTGGGAAGATCACTTAAGTCCATGAGGTTGAGGCTGCGGTGAGCTGTGATCGCATTTCTGCGCGTTAGCCTAGGTGACCTGGCAAAACTCTGTGTCCAAAAAAACAAAAACAAAAGGAAAGAAAGAACAAAGGAAAGAATGAAAGAAAAATGAAAAGAAGGAAGGAAGGAAGGAAGTGAATTCGCAGACCTCCCTGAACCTACTGAGCCTGAACAAGGGGCATACTCTTCCCAGTTAAGGACTAGCACATTCCCTTGCTACTTGCTGGGCCCATAGCTAGGATTCCCTCCCTTTCACCCAGCTGAGGATGTGTTGAACCTGACATGAGAGGAAAGGGACTAGACTCCAAAGAGCTGGCAAACTGGCAGGAGCCAGATGAGGGTCCACAGGTCTGGATTCTGTGAATGCTTGATCAACAGTGGTGAAATGTAAAGTTAGAAAGGGAGAATTTACCCAGGATATAGAATTAAACACCTTGGCAAGGACCCTGGGAATGGTACAAATACACTATAAGATGACTCCTAGAAAAAGTAACAGAGCACTAAGCAGACATGTGTATACCTGCCAGAATTGCCATGATAGATGGCATGAGAAGGGGTTTCAAAGCTCAAGGAAATTGACATGTTGGAGTGAGTATACTGTGTAAGGCCAGAAAACCACCAGAGGCCCTTGATCCGCAGGAGGCTTGGGAGGAAGGGAAGCACTATTTGCCAAGCAACGAGGGTTTTGCTATTAAGAGGGGCATCAGCATCCCTAGGAAGTTCAGTGGTGGCTGTGCCCTGTAGGTTAGGGCGGATGGTAGGAGATGCCATCCCTCATAGCAATGGGGGTGATAAGACCACAAGGTGGACATGATGATCCAATCAGGGGCAATGTCATAAAGGCAGTGAGAGGGGTCTCTGACAAGAATGTTATGGAATTGTTAGTAGAATACAGTGTCCCTGAGGGCAAAATAGATGGGCAGCCAGCAAGGGTACTGCTCAATCCATAAAATCAAAAGAACTGAAGGATGAATGATCAGGAGGCTGAGGGCAGTCACCCCAGCAAAATGTTTCTGAACCTAAGCCAGTTTTTCAACCTGGTACTCAGTGACTGAAGAAGCAAAGTCCCCAGGAGGGAGGACCTTCCAATAGCTTAGCAAATGAACACAATAATGACTGCCCTTTACTTCCCTGAAGATGCTGGTGTCCATTTACTAAGAAAGGGGACATTGAGGTGCAGAGACCCAAAGCAGTGCCTTGTCTCCTGGTTAGCATGTGGTCACATGGGGGCCAAGTATGAAATGGGGTCCTGGTTTGGGTCCACTGGGACAGCAGACTACCCCTCCTCCAGTGGTCCTTTCTCTGGCCCCCAAATATACAACTGAAATCGATATAGTTGGCCATGAAATTTACATTGGACTCTTGGTTAATATGATGTTATGTATTTGTCTGAATTAAAAGAGTTAATACATGTGAAGAACTTAGTTCCAGGCACTAGTAAGCATTATAAAAGAATCTGAACAATATTGAATTATTATTATTATTAATATTGGATGAAAAATACTTTGGTCACATACCATAGCTCATACAGCACCCATGTTTGAGTTAGTCAACACAGTGTTTTCAATTTTTAAAATTAGTTGGCAACATTGAAAAAACCAGGGTGTTACAAAACTTGGATGACCGTAGCTGCTGGATTCACTTTGTCACTTGGCACAGTCAGCAAGCACTGACTGCGGCATCGTCTACAGTTCACCGCACTCCTCCTCACTTTCTGTTGCTCCCTGTTGCTCCCTGACACTGACGGAGTGCCAAAAGCTATTTACCACAGTGTTTGTGTTGTAGTCTTTTCTCATAACTGCCTGCTTTCCTTTTTCTTTTCTTCAATTTTCCCAGTCCCCATGGGCATTCCAGTCTGCATGTCCATTACAGAACAGAGGATTTGCAAATTGAAAGGGACCTAACAGTGTTGTATCATTTTTCCTATGTCCTCTTTTTTGCTTCTTTTGCTGTATGACTGTTAAAAGAAAACTGCTTCTTTCTTTAGACAATATGGTCTGAGTAGAGGCTGCAGCCTGGTAACCTACCCCTCTTGGGAAGAGAGTGTGTGGCCTCCTTGCCTAGTAACCTCATTGACTTTTCTGGGCTTAATCATTGTTGTCCATATAATTTCTAGTAGTAAATTGGAACAGACGTAAAGCTATTTCATGGAACTTGAGAGTTTTTCCACTTACTCCCAGCCCATCCCCCAAAATAACCCACCACTCTACAATTACTTTTACATTCATGAATTTGAGTAGGTAAAAGTTGAAATACCTTTTAAAAAGAATTTGGTGGCTGTGCACTTTGTACAGTTCCGAACAAAAAGTAAGTTTGGTAATTTAGAAGAAAGCAGTTGTTTGGTGCTCTGTAGTTGAAAATTATTATGTAAATAATTATCAAAATAATTTTTAGTTCCTTACTATGTTAGTATTTAGACAGCCTATGGGAAGTGATATTCACTCTAACTTTCATAAGGCAGCTTATCTTTTCTATTATCTTTTTGGGAAGATTTATGAATTGGAATTAAGGAGGACAAGTTTGGCACCCAATCACAAGATTCCTTGTGAAATATTTATATTTAATTCCAAAAAATGTTTCTAAGTTCTTATTGTAGTTTTCACTTGAAAAGGCCCTATGACTTATCTTCATCTTTCATTTAAGTAGCAATTGGTTAGGGTTTTTTTCTCTTTTGTTTCTTTTCTTTTTCTTCTTTCTTTCTTTCTTTTTTTTAAGATGCAGGGTCTTGCTATGTTGCCCAGGCTGGTCTTGACCTCCTGGCCTCAAGCTGTCTTCCAGCCCTGGTTTCCCAAAGTGTTGAGATTACAGGCATCAGCCACCGTACCTGGCCAGGTAAGGGTTTTAAAGTACTTAATGCATTCAGAAAATCTTCCAAAAATATAGTTGTATTTGTTTATTGACTGATTTTGCATCAATAGGTTATAAGGAGAATCCAAACTTCTACCTTTGTTTTTACACTGTTCTGCAAATTTGATTTCTGGATTGCTTCCCTCCCCTCCCCCAGATGAAATATTGGGCAATTTCTCTAGTTTTTCCCATTGTTCTTGGGTAATAAACAAATAGTTCCTTCATTTGGGCATTTAAAATGATCCAGTGTAATCATCACAAAGTCCAGCACACTGTAACCAAACTTTATTCAATTTAGAGCTTTCCATGTAAACTTTAGTGGGTCATGGGCATTGCTATTTTATTCCCCTTCTTCACTTCCTTTCTCCCCTCCTCTTCGCTCTAGCTGGTGTTTCTGACCCTTGGAGGGTACATCAAGTTATAGAGGAGATGAAAGGAGGAGCTGCAACATGGCGTTGGTGGCCCCTAGGAAGGTAGATACTCCAAAGTTGGTTCTTTCTCCCAGGCAAGGCTATTGCTGGCTCGTTAGTGATCCTTGGCCAGTGGTCTCTGACTGCCACCACCTTGACATAGCTGTCCGATTAACATTGTCTCTTTGGAGGACTTTTGGGTGCTTACTTCATTGTTAGGGTCCCATTGTTCTGCTAGAGCACTTAACCTCTTGGGTAGGATCCCTTTTAAGGCAGCCCCATGGTGGCTCCCTTTGACCTGAGCTTCCTTTGCTCGTTATCAATGAAGGTGAAGTTTGCTCCCACTGCAGGCTTCCTTATTTTGTGACCAGACACAGTGCTGTGGTCACAGCCATAGACTTTACCCTTACTGTTCTTACTGGGTCTCAGATCCAGTCCATATGTTCCTACACTCCAAGTGGTACATATAATTTTCTTAGAGGTCCTCTTGAAGTTCCTGTTACTTGTATTGAAGTACAATCCAACAATTTTTTCCCATGGAAATTCTCTCCCTACCTCTTCGAACTCAACTTCAACTGGAAGATGATGCTGACCAACTTGGTCATAGCCTTTGCAAGTCCCACTCAGGTGGCCTAGCATTCCACATTTTAATATGGGGTACTTGGAATGTCTTGCCTTATTCTTGGATTTTTGGTGTCTCCATCAAAAATAAAGCAGAATGACTTCAGTGTTATTATCATCCAGCAACATTAATCCTCTCGACTCAGGCTCAGTGGTGTACTGGAGCTGGTTGTTAACCATGGCCATTATTGAAGTTTAAATGAGACAAAATTACAATTAAATAAATTATATTACAAAGGAAGGCAACAAATTGTCAAAGATCATCACTTCCTAATTATTTCACTCCATTTTACTGTTACCTTTACTCCTGGGATTATGTATGTCTATTGTATCTGTATGGTAAAAAAAAAATTATATGATGGTGTATCACTGCACATTTATTCCCAACTCTACATTCAGTGACCTAACTTTGATAGCTTGAAATTGGTTATGGTAGGAGTATTTACACCAAGGAAATTGGCAAATGCAACAAATCAGGGTACTCCCTACCACCAAGCCTGTTGTTAAACATTTACCAATTCACCACTGCTCAGGATCCACTCTTCAAAGATGTTAAGAATTAGCAAGATAACAGATGCTATCCAAGGTAAAGCAGTTCCTTTCAATATAAAAGGGCTATTTTGTAACAACTAACACTTCCTGGGAACAATAGAGTCAGTATGTTCAAACAAGGTGTGTCTCACTCTCCAATGGGCGCAATACTTGGGAGATCAAATTGGTTCCTCTTCACAGGTATCCACCCTTAATACATTTTCAAGTAAAAGTCCGAGATTAGAGAAAGAAGCTCCTGCAGCTGCACATTCCTTGGCAGCCCACATCATAAATGCTTTTGCAAAAATGCCTCACCCAATTTTTTAAACTGTTCTGGGCTACATTTAATAGATGATGAAAATAATGACTTTTAAATATGCCACTGCACAATTAGGCTACTAAAGCAACTGAGACACTTTGGGCAGCTTGAGCCTAGGAAACAATACAAAAATACCTGCAGGGAAAAAAAGCAAAATATCTGCAGGAAAAAGGTAGATGTTGAAGGTCAAAATTTGCATCTACACAGTCAAATTGAATCCATGTGAATGACACTTCAAAAGAAACAACCTCTCATTTCTCATTCAATAGTATACATTTCAGCATTAAATAATCTCTCTATTTTGTTTTTCTTGAGCAGACTCAGGGAAGAGCTAATGGTACCATTGTTTCTCAGAATTTGGGAGAGCATAAACATTTAGAACACATTCTCTAAAAGTGGAGTATTTTTCACAAATTTTAGAAGGATATGTTGATGTGATGTTTGTTGAAAATATGAGAGAATTTAAAGAAAATAGGTGTGAAGGCAAAACTTTGAGACATACAGAGGAGAATGTTGATGGAGGAGCTTCCTTTATAAACTTGACCTCCCCCTGGCCTGACCACGCCCCAGGCTTTCATACATCAATATTTGAACCTGGAACTATCTTTTACATCTGCCCTACAAGAAATATTTCCAGGTAATCGATGTGACCATATCCTTTCTGATCAGTTGCCCCTCGCGCTGAACTGGTTGTTTAACATTTTGAGTATCACTGATATGCTTGTCTCTGTGTCCCCACATAAATAACATGTTGAATTGTAATTCCCAATGTTGGGGGAGGAACCTGGTGCGAGGTGTTTGGATCCTGGGGATGGATTTCCCCATGCTGTTCTCCTGATAGTGAGTGAGTCCTCACAAGATCTGATGGTTTAAAAGTGCGTGGCACTTCCCCCCTCGTTCTTTCTCTCTCTCCTTCTCCACCATGGTAAGATGTGCCTGCTTCCCCTTCACCTTCGGCCATGATTGTAAGTTTCCTGAGGCCTCCCCAGCCATCCTTCCTGTACAGCCTGCAGAACTGTGAGTCAATCACCCGTCTTTTCTTCATGAAGTTCCCAGTTTCAAGTAGTTCTTTACAGCAGTGTGAGAATGGACTAATACAATCACCGTCGTATAGCACTTTGTGTTCCATAGGAACATTTGTGTTCACCATTTCAGATGAACTTCCCAGCTACTCTTTCAGGTAGGAAAGGCAAGCATTATTAGTTCCTCTTTAAAAAGGTATTGCCCCAGCATTCTGGGCCAGTATCTGATGGATGAGCATACAGAAGCTGAATTAGCTGTCACCCGAGTATGGGTCCAGCAGAGCCTGGTAGAAAGGGCACATATTAGTTTTCTTTTGCAGTGTAACAAATTCCCACACACTCAGCAGCTTGCAACATCCATTTATTATTTCACACTTTCTGTAGATCAGAAATCTTGGCATGGCAATCCCAGGTTCTCTGCTCAGGGTCTCACAAGACTGAAATCAAGATGTTAGCCATGCTGTGGCTCTCAGCTGGAGCTCAGGGTCCTCTTCCAAAGTTCATTCACAACGTTGGTAGAATTCAGTAACTTGTGGTTGTAGGACTGAGGCCCCAGGTTCATGCTAGCTGTTGGCAGGGGTCACTGTCAGCTCCCAGAGATCGCCCTCAGGCCCTAGCCACCTGGTCCTCTCAAGGCAGCTGTTTTCTTCAAAGCCAGCAGGAGAATCTTCCTAACTTCTGCCAGAATGTAATGACAGGACTGGTTATCCCATCATATTCAAAAGTCCCACCCACACTTAAGGGAATTGGATCACACAGGACGCAGACACTGAGGAGTGAGAATCTTGGGATCTGTCTTAGAATTCCACTTCCACAGGGCACAAGCCTCCTGCACACAGAGAATCAACTCTCAGCTGGCCACGGATTAGCTTTGTGACTTAAACCTCTCTGTGCCTCATGTTCCTCCAGATTAGGGCAATACTGCTCCCTCAGAGATGTTCTGAAAAAAATAAAAGTACTAACATCTGGACAGTCTTTGGCACGTGAAATTCATTCAATAAATGCTTTCTCTCGTTCTTGCCACCCAATGTATGCCTCACAGCATGCAGGTACCCCTGGTCAGTTCAGTGTTTCTTATAGGTTTCAGAACAGCGTGTTACAAACTATGATATTCAACTTCATGCATTAACAATGAAATACAGAAAATTAAAAAAGATGAACTAATCTTACTTATTCCATCCTGAATGAGGATTTCCTATATCAGATGCATCTCATGTTATCCACTTAACCCTAAAAATCCTGCATGGAAGATATTATTATCCCCATTTAGCAGGTGAGGAAACTGAGACTCACAAAGGTTTCCAATGTACTCAAATGCACACAGTGAATAAGTGGTCTAGCTCATGACTGGGAGTCTTAGCTTGTAACAGAACATCCCACCAAAGAGCCACTGATAAATCAAGGAGTGTGTGTGTCTGTGTGTGTGTGTCTGTGTGTGTGTGTCTGTGTGTGTGTGTGTGTGTGTGTGTGTGTGTGTGCATGTCTGATTCATCAGGAAGGAATGCAAAGAATTTCCTTTTCCCTCAGGGAGAAGGCTGGGCCCCTTTACCTTCAAGGAGAGTGCACAGATTTTAAAATGTTGCAAAGGACCATCAATTTCCATTGAGAGAGAAAAGAAGCTGAAATAATATTTTGTGAATAAGGATTCAAGAAAGCTGGAGCTGGAATTAGTGATGATGATCTATTTCTCTCACTATTTGATGCTAGTTTTAAGTTCAAAAATAATCCTTTGTTGTTGTTGCAATGTCATTATTTCCACATTTTTAAAAAAGCTTGAAGAAGGGAAGAACACACTGTGGGACCTATCAGAGGGTGGAGTGGGAGAGGAGGAAGAGGATCAGGAAAAATAACTAATGGGTACTAGGCTTGATGCCTGGGTGATGAAATAATCTGCACCAACAAACCCTCATGACACAAGTTTACCTATGTAACAAACCTGCACTTGTACCCCGAACTTAAAATAAAAGTTAAAGAAAAAAAAAGCTTGAAATCAGAAACAAGGTCAATGGCACAACGACTCAATTCTCAATTAAAAAAAAATGCTGAACAAATCTTCCCACCCAGATGATTATATGCCCAACTAAAATCTCTAATGGAAAAAAAAAGGTATATTTATTTAAAAAGATTACTCCACAGCTCTCAAAAAGGGGAGAGGACTTGATAATTGACAAGGCAAAGTTGATGCTGCAGAAATAATTCTTCTGTTATTTTTAAAGTTTCTTTTGTTTTGGTTTTATTTGTCTTGTAAGAATCACTCAATTATGTGTAATGAGTCAGAGAGGCAATCAGGCTGATACAAAAGGTTTGGCAAGAAAAAAATGTTAAACAAAGTGGTTTTCTTTTTTTTTTTTTTTTTTCAAAATTTTGATGAAACATTATTAAAGTATTAGTCAAAGAAAACTAGTCACAATTTTGTATCTTATGCCAATTTTCTGATGTAAAGAATTGGTATTATGCTTCTTACATTATGTTTAGAACTTTTTTTGGTCAAAATTCTTTAAAAGTTTTATCTTTTATATACCTATTTAATTTTATTTATGGAGTACAGGGTGATGTTTTGATATAGGTATACATCATGGAATGATTCTTAATTTAGGTAAAAGATTTTCTAAAAAAGGAGAAAAGGAATGTAGGTAGCACTTTAATAACATAACTATACTTAATAAAATGAAAGAAAGGGAAGATGAACTGGAAATTTTTTGTTTTTTTTTTTCTTTCTTCTTTTTTTTTTCTTTTTGCAATAAAAACTGCATCTCCACTTGAGCCCTGGAGATCTAGGCTGCAGTAAGCTATGATAGCACCACTGCATTCCAACCTGGGTGACAGAGCCAGACCTCATCTCTAAAAAAAAAGGATGACAATAACAACAACAACAACAAAAACCCCTGCATCTCTCTAGCAATAGATGTCCCTGCAAAAATAAAAAGCAAAAGTTGTTCAAACAGATCTCAAAGTTATGAAATAAGAGATGGAAATCTTTGAAGCTGAAGGCATCAGAGGAAAATATTTGGAAATGGGATTATTACCATCTCTTCATCACCTCACCAACTGGTATAAAGTCAGAAACAACTTTTTAGCAGCTGGCTCACTTAAATCACATGTATAGGTGATTTAGCTGCAAAGAATAATGAACATGTTGGATTTTAAAATATGTTCATAGGCTGCAGTTGGAACTCAATAGTAATAAGACAAAATTGAGTTCTTTGCTTGGGTGCAAATATTAATAGCTAACTGTATGAACCAAGAGATAGAGACACGAGTTAGCAATAATATGCAGTAGACAGAAATTGTGTTGCTTACAGATTTTTACTTTCCCTTCTACCTTGATGATAAAATCTGGATTTTATTTGGAGCAGCAATGTGTTAGAACTGTATTTGCCAGCATCCCATGAAGAAAGGTTTGGCCATGAGATTTAAATGGAATTTTTTGCACGTAAGTTTAAAGATAGCTATTTAAAGGGTATTTACTCATCTAGAAGGTGTGTCTCTTTTGCTCTTGCCCCTCCCGTTCTTCCTGCCTGGAACACAGATGTAATGGCTGGAGCTCTAGCAGCCACATTGTGTCATTGATGATGGACATGAATAAGGGTGGCAGAGGAGGAAGGCAAGGGAGCAGTGAGTCCCTGATGACATTCTGAAGCTTCTGTTCCAACTCTGGACTGGACTACCACAGGAATTTCTTTATATGAAAAAATAAGCTCTTAACTAGTTATGCCTCTAGTTGAATATCTGTTACTAGCAGAGGAGCTCAATTCCTGATACTGATCAGCAATATAACATGATTATGAAAATGATCCACCTGATTTGAGACTGCATTAATAAATGAATTATACCAGGGTTAGAGTAAACAAAACAAGACAAAAACATGAAACAGCAACCACAAAAACTGACGGATGCCAGGATCTCCTTCTACCACAGTACTCCAAAAAAAGGCAAAAATTATTTTCTTTACATCTTCTGAGGGGAAATGATGTTGGGCTGATCCAGAATTGGAGAAATCAAAGAATATGCTTGGAGGGTAAAGACAGAAAAGGCTGGTCCTGGGAAGTGGGAGATTCTGCAAACCTGAGAAGGGAATGGAGGGATCTTTGCTTTATAGCACCCTGGGGAAGTCACAGGATTGTGGAAAGAAATGACTGTACAGTGCACTGAGGAAGGCTGGGCACCCAGCATCAAGGGTTTCATTTTAGCTTTGGCAAAGACCCTAAAGCCCAAGCCTCGAGTGAAAAGAGCAGGGTCTCCTGTCTTCACATGGACCATACAGGACTTGGACAATGAAACTCTCATGGGGGATTATGATGGCCTGAAGATAAAAGCCACATTCCTCAATTTCCAGGACCCACATAATGCCTTCTCAACCTCAATCATACTTTCATGTGACCCTAAAGAGGCAATACTGGATAAAGGACATTGAATTTTTCATTAGCATGGTGAGACAAGGTACACGGTTAGATTTAATTTGATTTAGAAAAGTACAAGGACTTTTCTACATCTGTATATGATGAAATAAAATTGCTATTTTTGCAGTGTGATATCTTTCATTTAAAAAAAAGGCAGTGACATATTGGCCACAGCACTTCATGAGAGACCAAAGAGCACAAGGAGAGAGTGTGGTAAGTAAAGCTGATTGCCTTCAGTATGCATGTCCCTTTCTTCTAAAGCAACAGTACCTCCAAGTTTTAGGAAGGCCTATGGCTCCCTAGAACACATTTCATTTCCCAATTTCCCTTCCATGTGGGTGCAGGCATGTAGCTAAGATCAATGAAACAGAAGCAAAGTGGCCGCTTCTGGACACACTTCCTAAGGGACCACATGCATCCATCCACGGTTTTGCCCTTCTTTTTTCCCCTTCCTCTACCCTGCTGCTTAGAACTTGGGTGCTACCACTTGGATCCTGAGATGCAAGTCAAGTAGCAGAGAGCAACGAGCTGGCCAGAGCCTGGGTCTGTGGTATTATGGAGCACCACACTGGAGGTAAATCACTTACCTGAAATTTTACACAGAGAATTATACTCCTATATTGTTTAAACCACTTGATGTTAGGTTTTTGGTCATTTGTTGCAAAATCTAGCTACAGAGGTTAGTTATCTAAGTACAGAGGTTTGAGGGAATTCACAGTTATGTCAGGCCAGGTATGATGGCTCACATCTGTAATCCCAGGACTTTAGGAGGCTGAGGTGGGAGGATCACTTAAGCCCAGGAGTTCAGATCATCTTGGGCAACATAGTGAGATACCTTGGTTCTATAAAATACAAAATAAAAAATTTAGCCAGGCATGGTGGTGTGTGCCTGTGTCCCCGGCTACTCAGGAGGCCAAGGAAGAAAGATCACTCAAGCCTGGGAGGCGGAGGCTGCAATGAGCTATGATCTCACCACTGCACTCCAGCCTGAGTGACAAAGTGAGAGAGACTCTGTCTCCAAAAAAATTCAATTATGTCAGAGTGTTGAAGGAGCAGGGTCTACTTGGCCTTAAAGGACAGATCACTCAGAGGGAGAAGGTGGCTGTTTTTTAAAACCTGAAACATCTTGCAGAGCACAGATAAGCATTATTCTGTGTGGCTCCAAGGGGTAAATCCAGCACTATGGAAAAAACATTCTAGGAAGATAAATGTGGGCAAAATATAGGATGAATATCACTTTTGATACCTTTTTGATACTCTTATCAGTATCACTTTTAATTGAGGCCAGTTTCTGATCTGGACACTGTAATTGGCTCTATTCCCAGATATGACTGGTTATTTTCATAAAACATCCCTTGGATTGTAAGCTCAGTGTGGGGAGGGACAGCATCTCCCTCACTTACCATAGTGCCCAACCCTTAGCCAGTGCTAGATAAAGATTTGTTATGTGGGATAAAGGACAAAGCATAACTGGAAGGCGGAGTGGCAAGAGAAGAGATCTTTGAGGACAGTCCTTCTCATAGCAGCAAGCAGAATTTCATTGCTATTTAAATTCAGCTCTTTTTCTTGTTTGGTAAAGTCAAAGCAAAATCTACATAAATAAATGAATCCAAGAACGAGTGGCCATTTTCGTATAACAAGTATGGGATGGAAATGATTCTAGGGAAGAAAAAGAGAAGTTCATTTGCTTTCCCCAATATATGTGTACATATGTGGAAATACCTAAAGAGAAACACACCAGGAAATATGGTATAAGAACTTCACCAGCATTGCTTTCAGGTATGTAGACATTTCAGCCACATTTCAAACTATGCCATCTTGGTCCCATTCAGAAAATTTGAACTTTGCAACTAAAACTATATCAGATGTTTTGCTCCCAATCAATTTTCTTTGCCTTCCTTTTATCTCAAAAGCTAATTCAGGTGTGCCCTGCTTTAAGAGAGCCAAATACAGTATACTACAACCCAAAATTGACAACCTATAAATTAGGAGAATTTACATTACGAAAAGATTCTGAATGGTAACTTCTCAGGAGATAGGCAAACATTGAAACTAAAGTCATTTTATTAGAATAAAATCAAAATATCTCCGAAATTATGATGTAAACCAATGAGAAAACACTATTTATTTATTTATTTGAGAGAAGATCTCATTCTGTCACCCAGGCTGGAGTGCAGTGGCACGATCACAGTTCACTGCAGCCTCAATCTCCCTGGGCTCAAGTGATCCTCCCACCTCAGCCTCCCAACTAGCTGAGAGGAAAACATTATTTTAAGGACACCCATCCACTTGAGACATCCTTAATAGACCAATCAGTGCCAATAGAAGTGACTAGATGTCTTTGGAGTCTGGCAAGAAAGAAAAATCTATGACATGCATGGCTATTGTCTAAAGGGAATCCTCCCTGTGTTATATTGGAGGAAATTATTATTTTACATAAAATTGACTTATAGAAAACAATCATGGTAACAACACTTTTCCATGGTGCTTTTATATAAAGAGTCTTTTGAATCAATTATTTGGCCTTTGGTCATTCATTCATTCATTGGTAAACATTACTTAAAGCCCAGTGTCCCTGAGCCTAGGTTGGGTGCTGGGCATTCAAAGAATAAGTTATGGAGATACTTTTGAAAAGTCCATTCACAAACAAGTAATCATACTAGCTTGGGATGAGTGTCATAGAGTACAAACAGTCCTATGATGAGTGCTCGAGACTACAGATGGTTGCAGATGGTTTGAAGTATGATTTTTCTACTTTATGATGGTACCCATGCAACCATTCTGTTTTTCACTTTCAGTACAATATTCCATAAATTACATGAGATATTTAACACTTTATCATAAAATAGGCTCTATGTTAGAGGATTTTTACCGAATTGTAGGCTAATGTAAGTATTCTGAGCATGTTTAAAATAGGCTAGGCTAAATTACGATGTTCGATGTTCGTCAGGTTAGGTATACGAAATGCCTCTTCACATCAGCGTCAGCAGATGGGTCTTGGAAGAACAATCACTGTCCCTAAGAGTTTTCATTGTATCCTGTAGTAGCCATATTGACTGTGGACTATGAGAAAGTTTTTGCCTTTGGATCATGCTTGGCTTCAGCAGAGAATCTGGAAAGAAATAAGAAATATCTTTTTAAAACTTAGATGTATCATCCTAAGATGGGAGAAGATAGACTAATCCAAAGACAAGGCTGACCTGAAGACTAGAAAATGAGAATATAAAACTTAAGAAGTGAAACTTTTCTACCATTAGGTTGGATATGGGAGATAGAAACCAATATTTCTTGATTATCTCCTGTGTTTTGGGCATTGTCCCAGGAATACTTATAAAAGATGTTCTGCATGGTAGCCATGATATGAATACACTCCATTCTCAAAGATACCAAATCTTAAGTTAAACCAAGTGTACTAGATGTGAGAGCAAGAAGATAGCAGAACCAGATTGGGAACTAAAGTATGTTTCGTGCCAAAGCCTGTGCCCTTTTCCTGAAGCTGAAAGTAGACTTTCTCTTTCTAACACTATAGAAAAAGACTACTTTCTTCTCCATAATTCTAGAAGTCAGAGCTGAGTGGGGGGACTCTATATGTCTTTTCACATGTTCCCTGTCAAGAGAGTATTTCTCTAGAGTAAGAGCTTCAGACTGAGACCCAAGTGATACAAAGGGCATACAGGTAATTGGGACAGATAGAAGAGATTAAACCTTTGTCTATGGAAGAGTAGAAAGGAGAGTTGGAGCATCTGCCACCCTGCACTGGGGTGGCTTCATGCAGGGAGCGGGAGCTGGACATGTGGGGGTTGTTGTCTGGGGGTGAAGCAAGGGGAGGGCAGGCAAGCTTTGGCCTGGATGGGGTGGGGAAGGCAAGGAGTGAACTAAGCAGGGGCCTCAGCCAGGAAAAAGAATGACTTGGTCTGACTGATGGGTTTGGAAAGAAACTGGGCATGCATTGACCAGCCCTTCCTCTTCATTTTATTTTTGGGAGCTGCTGATTTATGAGAAGACAGCATATTGCCTTACTTTTTCATGTTACAAGTTTTGCAGGGACAGACCTCTTCTCCGGGGAGAATTTACGGTTGCCAAATGCAGCCTCTGACTGGGTTGGTCAGTCTGTCTCATTCTGCAAGCCAACTTGCTGATAGGGGAAACATTGGCCAACATCAGCATCATCAGTACAAATATATTTTGTATTCCTCTCTGCCTTACTCTTTTGTCTTATTTCTTACTTGGTCCAGAATTTAAGTGGGAGAAAACAGTGTGTTATTAACTGGGCTGCCTCAAATTTCAATAATGTGAATAGGAGGAAGAAGCAGGGTTTGGGAGATATAGTGGATTAGGTGCCACAGGCAGGAAAAATTTGGATTCACTACTGGGCTGTGATGCGGAGAAAAGGCATTGCAGTAGGAGGAGCTGAGAGGTATACAAGCTGCATCATCTGCACTCTTCTCTTTTGGAGAGGTTGATTCTGCATGAAGGATCTCCCCTAAGACAGGCAAGCAGAAATTAGGCTCAGCTTAGGCAAAAATGGGAGCAGAGAGTTTCAGATTAACGAAGTTTTGCTCCAAGCCTAAGGAGATATGTTCTTTTCTCTTCAAATTCATTTTAATCTGCTATTTGCCATCAGAAGTCCAAGTAGAAGGAGACAATTCAATTCATTTATATCCTAGGTTATTAGCTACAAAACTCAAATCTGTTTGGCTCACACAGGGGCCAGTTCACCAGGGCAGTTCATTACAAAGGGATTTGAGATCACAAAGGGTCTAGTATTTGGACAAAACAAAGTGTCATAAGAGAAGGTGGCTGGTCCAACAATTCGGGATCTAGTTCTCTCCTCTGGGGTAAGTAGGCAAGGGAAGAAAAAATTCCTGCCTTAGCTTCAGACTAACCAAATGTTTTTTTCACAACCATCCTCAAATACATGTGTACGTGTGCCCACACACACACACACACGATTGTTTTAGCTATATAAATAACATATGCCATTGTCGAAAAATGGTAAGTTGACAGAAGAAGGAGAAAAATCCAAAAGTATCTATTAGGATCATGTTTGGCTGCTACAATAAGTCTACAGGAAATAACATGAAGATGGTGCAGCAGCTCCACGATGCCTTCAGGACCGACCCTCCATCCCTCCCTCCCTCCCTCCTTTCCTTCCTTCGTCTTGCTCTGTTGCCCAGGCTGGAGTGCAATGGTGTGATTTCAGCTCACTGCAACCTCCACCTCCTGGGTTCAAGAAATTCTTCTGCCTCAGCCTCCCAAGTAGCTGGGATTACAGGCTCCCACCATAATGCCCAGTTAATTTTTTTTTTTTTTTGTATTTTTGAAGAGATGGGGTTTCACCCTGTTGGCCAGGCTAGTCTCAAACTCCTGACCTTAGGTGATCTGCCTGCCTCAGCCTCCCAAAGTACTGGGATTACAGGCATGAGCCACTGTGCCCAGCCATAGGATGCAGGCTCTTTCTTTTTTTTTTTTTTCTTTTGAGACAGAGCCTCACTCTGTCTCCCAGGGAAGTGCAGTGGTGCGATCTCGATTCACTGCAACCTCTGCCTCCCAGGTTCAAGCGATTTTCCTGCCTCAGCCTCCCCAGTAGCTGGGAGTACAGGCGCCCGCCACGCCCAGCTAATTTTCTGTATTTTTAGTAAGGACAGGGTTTCACCATGTTGGCCAGGCTTGTCTCGAACTCCTGACCTCGTGATTCGCCCACCTTGGCCTCCCAAAGTGCTGGGATTACAGGTGTGAGCCACCATGCCTGGTGCTCCATTTCACCATTCTTATCATGAAAGCCTCTGCCTCACAGCTGGTGCCTCTTTGTTCACAAGATGGCTACTGCAGCTCCAGGCCTCATATCCTTCTGTGGCAGGAAGGAGAGAAGCAGTGCCCCCCTCAGTAATTGAGAGAGAAGAACAGATCACAGAATGGCATGGAGAGTTGATACATATGCTTTGAAAAAAGTGTAATAGTTTCAACTGGGTGCATAACTAGAAAAGAGAAGGTTCTCATTTTGTCAGCTGGGTGTAAAATTGGAGGAAGCCTTGGTGCTTTAACCTGGGTGACGGAACAGCACACGGGTTACTAAAAGAATGGAACAAAAAGTTTCAAAGGAACTTTCTGAGGAAAGGGTAGTGCCTTTATCAGAAAAGTTAAAGCTTTTTTTGAAACTTTTGCTTTAATTCTCATTAGCCAGCACTTTTCGCATGGTCTCCTAGCTGCAAGGAGTTCAGGAAAGCGAGTATTTTTGGCTGGGCCCCTCGCTCCTCTCAATGACATCAGAATTTTGTTGGTAAGGGCAAGGAGGAAATGACCACTGGGTAGGAGAGTTAGTGCTGCCTCTGCTTCTGGCTCAGCCTGTGTTCTGCCTCCCCTTCCCATTCCTGCGTCACCCACAACCTGTTCCATTCTCTCGGTAACCCTGTGCTGTTCTGCCACACAGGTGGGAGCACCAACGCTTCCTCCAATTTTACACCCAGCTGACAAAATGAGGACCTTTCTCATTTCTAGTTATGCATCCAGTCAAGACTATTATACTTTTTTCAAAGCATATGTATAAACTCTCCATACTATTCTGTAACCTGTTCTTTTCTCTTAATGACGTATTGTTAGTGGCTTTGACAGAAGTTAAAATCCATTGCATCTCAGCTGCACAGCATGCTTCCTTGACTCATATTTACCATATGCCATACAGTACTAGAGATGCCAGGGACAGACCCCGAACAAGACCACACAGTCTCAGCTCTCATGGAGCTGATATTCTAGTGGGAGAAGACAATGAATAAATAAATAAGTGAATACATGATACAGCAGATGGTGAGAGGCATTAAGGAGAAAAATTAAGCAGGGCAAGCGAGATAGAGCATGTTAGGAATGGGAGGAGTCTCATGTCGTATGTGCAATGGTCAAGGAAGGCTACATTGATAAGCAGAACCCCAAAGAAGAAAGAGGGCACGTTGTGTGCATTTCTTGAAATTTTCCAGGCAGGGGAAACAGCAGAGGCAAAGGGAGCATGCCTGGTACGCTAGAGGAACAGTACCAGGGCTTTTGTAACTGGATCAGGGTTAGCAGGTGAGAGTGTTCAGAGGTGAGGCAAAGAGATAGCAATGGCTGCTCCAGATATAGTCAGTGCAGCATTTTTTAATCAATTGCATTGTATTTAGTTATTTCGTTGGACATTCTATTTCTTTCCAGTTTTTCATATTTACATAGATTTTTAAAGGTTTAGGTCATTGGTGCCTACATGAAAATAAGAATCGATTAATCTAGTTTTCTGAGAGGAAATTTTAAGTACAACTCACTTCATTTTAAAATAATGAATGGTGAGGCTTCAGTGAGCTATGATCACACCACTCACTGTACTCCAGCCCAAGCAACAGAGCGGGAACCTGTCTTTAAATAAATAATAAAATAAGATAGTATACAAGTAGTGGGGTGGGCAGGGGAGCATACCAAAACTCATCTCATTTGCAAACAAAACAAATTTTAAAATATGCTTAATTATCTTAGCATGATGAGTAGAGAAAAATAGCAATAAATAGAGGAAGAAAAAGGAAAATAGGAACAACAAAGTAGAGAAACACAAGGAATAAAAGGAATAAAGTTTCCTGAAGTAAAAGTTGTTAGTTCTACCTTTTGCTGCGTAAACCCTTGCCCCCCTCACCCCCTTAAAACCATTTTGTTAAGCTCATGGTTCTATGAATCAGGAGTTCAAGGAGGACGTAGTACAGATGGCTGGTTTCTGCTTCACAATACCTGAGGCTTCAGTTGAGGTGATTTGGACGGTAGGAAATAACGGGGCCAGATCAACTGGGGCCATATAGCTGGGCTCTCTGTTCTGGATATTGTCTGGGTTCTTTTGTTCCCCTTCATATGGCATCTTCTGGGGCTGGAATGTCCAAGATGGCTTCTTTATTTACTTGTCTGGAATCCATACTAGGATCCAGGGTGGCTAGAAGAGCTTTCTCCCTACTCTCCCCCTAGCTCTCCTCCCCACCCCCACCACCACCCACTTCACTCTCTCCAGATGACTAGCTTGGGCTTCCACACAGCATGGGAGTCTTAGGGTAGTTCAACTTGTTACACGGTGGATGGCTTTCAAGTGGCCAGGGTGGAAGTCACTGGTCCTCTGAAGAATAGGCCTGGAGTTGGTATAGCATTACTTCTGTCATACTCTCTTGCTTAGCCCAGCTTTTGCCCATGCAAGGTCCATGGCTGTGGTTCCATAGGCAGATGACAAACAAGACCAGACTCAGGGTCATTCTGGCTCACAGTCCTGAATTGTCCACCTTGAACCTCTCAGCCACATCTCCTATTTGGTTATCCATTTATTTATTTATTTTTAGACAAAGTCTCGCTCTGTCACCCAGGCTTGAGCGCAGTGGTGTGATCTCAGCTCACCGCAACCTCTGCCTCCCGGGTTCAACGATTCTCCTGCCTCAGCCTCCCAGGTAGCTGGTATTACAGGTGTCCACCAACACACCCAGCTAATTGTTGTATTTTTGGTAGAGACGGGGTTTCACCCTGTTGGCCAGGCTGGTCTCAAACTTCTGACCTCAAGTTGTCTGCCCACCATGGCCTCCCAAAGTGCTGGGAGTACAGGTGTGAGCCACTGCATCTGGCCTGGTTACCCTTTTTCAGATCTCAAAGGTACTCTTAGTCGATAACAAATTACAGACTATCTCTATAATCTTTAGAAAATACTAATTCTTTTTGTTTGTTTGTTTGTTTGCTCTTTCTTGGTGATGTGCTATTTTTTTTTTTTTTTTTTTGCTTTGCTTTTAGAGTAAGTTCATACGTGCAGCCTTGTAAATGGTAACTTGTCCAAGGTAACAGTCGCTGCCAGGAGAGTCAAAGGGAATGTTGATTGTATTTATTTTACTATCTGTGTACTTCCTGAAAGAAGGGCAGTTTGATAAAATACAGTGAAGCTGCTCTGTTTGGGGCACTTATTTGCAAGTCTGCATTAGCTAATTCCCTCCAGACTTTTGGATTCATGTCATCTGGACCCACTGTTTTGTGTATGTTCAGATTTTTCAAGTATTCCTTTACCTGCATTGACAGAGCATGTATTTGACAGAATAATATTAAAAAATATAAGATGGCAAGCAGATGGTCAGTCTTGACTGGAAAGAGATCTTGTTGAAAATGGTTTGTGAATGCAGACCATGTTTTTGTTTACAGGAATGTCCTTTTAAATATTTAGTTTGATCAGCAATGGAGGTCTTGAAAGAAAGAGCTCAATGCCTGCAAGAATATGTTAGTTGATATCCTCTACCTGAAATAATGGCTTCCTTAAAAAAAGTAAAAAAGTAAAGAAGTTTTTTATACTTCTTGCTGCCAGATGTCTGTATTGCTACCAAAATCATGGAGGTGAAAAAACCTTTTCCTGATCTCCATGCCTGATGCAGCTCTGTTTTTTCAAAGAAGAAAGGCATGGAGTTCAATCTAGTGAAAACAAGAGGAGGAAAAAGAAAAATAAAATGGAAAGACAAAGACTCATACCAAGCAGAATTTCCAAGGACCTCAAGTTTAGTTTCTTTGTGTTGGGAAAACAGGTTGGAGAGAAATCTGGGCTCTGCACTGATACTTGAAATAAGAACACTAAGAACTGTTCTTTAAATAAGAACAGTTTCTTATTTGAAGAATAGAAAGACCAATTTAAAACTCTGGGCACATTGCACAAGTTGCAAAGAGAAACTTGGTAGAATAATACTAGAGTTTTTTTCTACAAAGACTAATTTTTTTTTTCCGTGGATGCCAGTGTCCTGATAACAGAAAAGAATATAGATCAGTATTTTGGCAGTGACCCCTAGTACCTTTCATTATTCACACAGTCAATTCTAGTACCCTCTTGCCATTAATCTCTGGCTGTCACCACTGAAAACACAAGTGGAGAGGAGTTTGTCCAATGCCATTAGAATGTCAGACCCAATACCCTGCTTTCCAGTCCTTGAATCCCCATTCCAATTGCTAAGACATAGGGATAGGGTGATATCAACAGAGCAAGCCTGGAAATTGCTTATATCTATTAGCCACTATATGATGCCGAATATTTTGAAAAGGTTGAATATTTTGGGAGAGTGGACCTTCTATCTTTAAGATGCACATACACTTAACCTTCTTTGTCTCATACCAGGATACAAACCCATGTACAAAAGCACCTACCAGCCTCCAATAGCCCTATGCCATTTTGTGTCTTCAGACATCTTTCTTCTATTTCTTACAGCCTATGGTATTTTCACTCATTTTTCTACACTTACTCTTCTTCTCTCTCCCTTTCTTTTATACACAGCCAAGTTCTTTCTTTTACATTCTAGGCCATACCTCTGTTAGGAGTTATGGCTAAGCCATTTTAGTGGTTAAAATGAAATCTTGTTTTTAATGTTATCACATTGAAATGTTCAATAACTAATTCTCCAAAAAGACATCTTAAAAGATTGTTTTCCTTTACATGGAATAAAACAATTTATCATTATAAAGCTATGGGGGCTGGGAAATATGGCAGCAGCTTCATATACCTGCTTCCAGATAAGGCTGGTTTTGGCATCCGGATAAGTGGGTGTCTAATGGAGAAGGAAGATTATTTCATAAGAGATAGACCAGTGTGAAGAAAATTAGTCAAGTAGTAAGTGATTGACTACCGATTCATTAAAAAACCAATTTGCCAACAAAACAATTTTCAACATTATTGACTCACCAAGAACTTGTTGCTTTGTAGTTCTTGGCACAACCACTTGAAAAATTCCAAGCTTAAAACCATTGAGTATCTTCACACTCCCATTTATATCAGTTCATGACTCACAGTCACAGGCATACAAGCCTCTCCTTATCCATGTATAAAAATATTCCTAGTCCATACTTGTAATGCAACTCCTTTCTCTCCCTGTCAAGAAAGAAAATCTGTAAATTGTAGGAGGCAGGAAAAGCGAGAGATTGGTTTCACTTCACTAAACTATTTAAAATTCACTATACTATTTAAAAAATTCATTGAGATGGATGATATGCCTGATATCTGAATTTTTTTAAACCCAAGAAATTGTCTTCCTCCAAAGTAAGCTATATATTGAGCAGCCTTACTGAAACACACATTCCTGTTACTTTATTACTTGTCAGAACAAAATTATGAATCATTAAATGGGCAAATGAGTCATAGGGCCAATTCATCTATTGACAAATTGCTATCACCTGAAATCAACTTTGATGAATTCATCTAGAACCATTTTAAAGATTGTCTTTTAAGCAATTCTGGAATGTATGCATTTTTTCTCTCCAGAATTTTTAAGTTCATTCTTTTTTTTTTTTTTTGAGACGGAGTTTTGCTGTGTCCCCAGGCTGAAGTGCAGTGGCCAATCTCTGCTCACTGCAAGCTCCGCCTCCCGGGTTCATGCCATTCTCCTGCTTAGCCTCCCGAGTAGCTGGGACTACAGGCGCCCGCCACCATGCTCGGCTAATTTTTTTGTATTTTTAGTAGAGACGAGGTTTCACCGTGTTAGCCAGGATGGTCTCGATCTCCTGACCTCGTGATCTGCCCGCCTTGGCCTCCCAAAGTGCTGGGATTACAGGCGTGAGCCACCACGCCCAGCTCCCCCTTTTTTTTTTTATCAGTAGACATGCCAATGAGCTGATTTAAACAGTGAAGTTATTCATCAATAAATACTTATTAGGTACCTAAGATAAAATATTTTGTTAGACACTTACAGGTGAAGAAAAGAAAGGAAATACTAATGAAATAGGTGATGAAAATTCTTCTCTTTGCTGACTCAGAAGACAAAATATTCATATACTGGCTGACTTGAGAACAATTACAAAACATTCTATCAACAAGTTCACAATGGTGCCACACAGTGTGATGTGCCGACAGCTCCGACCTCCTGCTGGGTCATGCCCATAATCCATTCCCAATGTCTACACATGAAACTCATCCTTTTTCCTCAAGCATGATGTCTTTTTTTCCTTCCAAGATAAAACTTCTTTCCCATTTTCAAATCATAAGATATTCTTCTCCCCAGGCAAATCATTTTAAACCATACAGGTATTTTTACAGTTTTTGTTGTTTGACTCACATATGTCTGTTTTGATTTTAAATTCAATAGGAAAAAAATCTGAATGTAGTATATTTCCTAACATAGAAAATACTTAAAAAATACTAAGTTAATATTTTTAAAAATATATTTATGTATATACATGTGTAGATGATGATTTTAAGCAATACATCAGGGATCAGATGTCTTTAAACATCTACTTTTGAAATCCTTCTGGTATTCAGAGAAAGCTTGGCCCAAGTTAAAAGACCAGGTGACTAACCAGTCAGCCAAATAAGATCTACAGAGAATACAGGAGGCTTAAAAAAAAAAAAAAAAAGAAAAAAAAAGCCTGTCGTTTCAAAAGATGAGTTTTCTAATTTAAATGCAGCCAAAGTTCCCAAGGATGCAAAAAGAAATCCAGCCGGTGTCAGATCCCAAGGTTTTGGGCCTCTGACATTATACATAATTTTTCAGACATGCACCTTAATTACTAGGAAATACTTTAAAAAATAACCAAAACATTACAACAGGTCCTGAGGCATGGGAAGAGAGTCCAAGAACTGAGCAGCACAGTTCTCCAGGGTAGTGACCACATTTCCTCTATTGTTTCATATAGCAGTGTGCATAAGGTTGATGGGCAACAAATAAATTAATAAAACATTCATGACTGGAGGGAGTTTTCATAGAAGACACAAAAAATATTTTACAAATACTGACAAGCAAAATGGTACAATTATGTAGTTCGATTCCTTTCAAATACTCGTTGATGTCAGTATAACCAGACATGGCCCACTTCCACGTATTCAGCCTTAGCTGCCTTTAGAGACTATTCAAAATTTAACTAATGCACTGGATTCATAGTTTGCTATATTTGAGCGTCAGCATACTAAGAATTAACAAAACAGAAATGTCTGTTTTTCACATACCTATTGCACTCCAAGATTTGTTACAAGTCCACATCTGCTATCCGGGTCCTACCTCATATACTTTATTTATGAGAAAAAAAACATATATAATGCTGAATTTTTAAATCCTTGAAATGCAGAGTTGGAAGAGCCTTTAAAGATGTTCTAGTCCTGCCATCCAAGTCCAAATTCCTCCTCATTCAAGTCTAGACACAGAGATTCATAGCTGAACTGCAGCATCCATACATCTTTGGTCTGCCTAAAGCAAGGGTTGGCAAGCTGTTTCTGTAAAGGGTCAGAAAGTAAATATTTTAGACTGTGTAGACCATACAGTCTTAGTTGCAACTACTTCTGTCTGCCTTTGTAGTATAAAAACAACCACAAACAACATGTAAACAAGTGAGCGTGCCTGTGTTCCATTAAAATTCTATTTACAAAGACAGTGGGCAAAATTCAGCCAACCTCTGGTCTAAAGAATTTGCTGTCAAGCATGGAGCATCAAGATGGGTGGAAAAAATAGCCTAAATAATGCAAATAAAATACTCATGATGAATATCAGCAAAAGCTGTCCCTGGCTTTTCAGTCCAAAGGACTCAGATTTTTTAAATAAATTGAGCTTCTTACTAAATACTTTTGTTGGGCCTTATTAAGTAAAGTTCACCTTCCTCTACTCCACCCCTCTAGCCAACCCAAAGATAAAAGAGAGAAGCTGCCAGGCATGTTGGCTCATGCCTGTCATTCCTGCACTTTGGGAGGCCAAGGCGGGTGGATCACTTGAGGTCAGGAGCTCGAGACCAGCCTGGCCAACATGGTGAAACCCCATATCTACTAAAAATACAAAAATTAGCTGAGCATGGTGGTGCATGCTACTCAGGAGGCTGAGGCATGAGAATCATTGAAACCGGGAGGCACAGGTTTCAGTGAGCCGAGATCGCGCCACTGCACTCCAGCCTGGGTGAGAGTGAGACTCTGTCTCAAGACAAAAAAAAAAAAAAAAAAGAGAGAGAGAGAGAGAAGCTAACACATCCAAGCAATCATTTACATGCATTCTGGATATTCTTAAGCGTGATGTTATTTTAAAACAAAATTAAATACACTGTGGTTGATAAGAAAAGAATGTTATAACTTTGTCCTAAGTGGATGGCACCCAATCATATGCAGATAATAGAGGTGATCTATGAACACTGGATCTGGAAGTAAAGGCAGTGCTCAGCTCCACATGGAAGATCACATGGGGAAGCTGATGTTGAAATGAGGGACAGCACGGCCTATTACAAAGCCCATGAGCTGTGGCATCAGAACCATCTGGATTTGGATTGTTTCTGCAATTTAGTGATTCTGAAACACTGGATATGTTTCTTAATTTTCTTGAGCCTAGAGTACCTCATATATAAAATGGAGATAATAATATTTATTTCTCAGGATTGTTAGGAGGGCCACATCAGGTAAGTCCTGCAAAGTACCTAGCACAGTGCCTGGCACACAAGAAACACTGACATTCTATACAGAAAGAATAATGACTGCTCTGTTATAAAACTTAGCCAACTCATCACCATTTGGAAAAATCTGCAACCTGGGACAAAACAAACAAACAAACAAACAAACAAACAAAAAAACACCTAACTTTTAAGGAAATGACTTGCTTCTATATTTCCTGAGGAAAATGTCAATGCTTTCACCTTGCTAAGTAATAGTTACAATCAAGAGCTTAGAGAAAGGCATTGAACTTAGCACAGAAGTTACCTGTTTCTCTCACTTTTACCTTTCCTACAACTCTTTGGCTATTCAATGAGGTTTGGAATTAGCCAGAGTTAGCCATTTAAGTTTCCTTTCAGGTGAGAACTCATGACTCAGTAAATAGAGATTCCAGAATGTTGTATGCTAACGAGGTCTTCAAGTGATCAGCAATGAGAGGAAAGTCTTACTTGTTTTCCTTTGAAGGCAGCCCTAAGACCACCCAGGAGCTTGTGACGCTCAAGAAAGTAACAGCATGTTTATGTAGGAATGTGAGCTGCATAGAACATGGAACACCTGTACTCTGTGGCCTTCACAGACCCAATTAGCTTCTGGAAAGAATTCAGGGTAGAAATCCTTAATGGGATGCCCCAGAAAGTGCCTCAATTCTGAACACCGAAATAATTTCTCCAGCTCTGCCTGCTGTGTATAAAACATATTCACTAAAAACTACTTAGTTACCCAAGGAATACCACATAAGAATCTTTGACATTCAGAAAAGAGACTTGACTTATTTATTATGAGAACTTACAGTGTTGTTACAGGAAACCTATTCGGGGCTTAATTGGAGACTTTCAAAATCCAGAGCCATTCAAATAGAGAATTGGCTGTCCTGTTAGGTAGCAAATTCTCCATGATGGAAGTGATGATCTATCAGAGATATTGTGGAAAGTATCCCAGTAATGGAAGGAAGAAAGATTTGGCTAAATTGTTTTATTCTTGTGTATTTATTTAACAAGCATTTTTGAGCATCTAATATGATCTGGTACTTTTGAAGTTCTGGCACATTGATAAGGGTTAAGAATATAAAGGAAAACATAATGACATTTTTTCCCTTAAAGGACTTAAATATGAGATGGGAAGATAGACAGGATAGCCAATGAAGACTGTAGAGCAGAGGTGCTACCCTAAAGAAATGCAAAGGTAGAGTACCTCACCTAGCAGATAATGATCAGGGAAGGGTTCCTGGAACAGCTGACACTGAACCTCAAGGGGTTAAGTAATGTAAGTTGGTCAGATGGAAGAAGGAAGCAAGAAGCCATTCCAGGAGAAAGAAACGACATAAACAAAGGCACAAGAAGGTCACAGAGATGAAATAATGCTTCAGCCAGTTTAGAGGATGTCATTAGTGGTGGATCCCGGGGCTCTGTCATCAACCTGTCCCATTCATTTTTGTAAAAAAACTTGTGTGTACAGGGTCCCTAATGAAAACTGTGAATATGAGTCTGAGATAATACAAAACGCATTTAAATAGCAAAATCAAGACCCCAAATAGGACACAGTAGGAATTTAAGAAATAATGCTGAATCCATAACTCTTGGCAGGGTGATTAGATGGGTGCAGAAATACAGTATACGGGAGAACCGGGCAAAGAAAAGCACATGTAAAGAAAGATTTAGTAATCCGAGGTAAATAAGGCAAAGCTGTTAACATGTTAATCTTGGTGATGAGTTCGTGGATGTCTGCTATATCATTTTCTGCACGTTTAAATAGTTCATAACTTTTAAAAGCACTTGGGATTTTGGTAACTATAATACAACAATAGGATTTAGTTGCCAAAATTCAAATGCAATTTTTGGCTGGCGTAAGGGAAGTCAGAATTCAGAAGGAAAGACGTGTCCATCTCCTCTATTCCATGCTGACCTGATCCCATGTGCACAGTCTGAACAGTCCAGGACTTTATACTTAGGGGCACATGTTCAGCTCTGTTCTGAGGAGAAATACAAGTGAGTAGGGGCTCGAAACTATGTTCTATGAGAAACATTTGAAGGAATGATGGTGCTTCGTGTGGAGCTGTCTCAAGAATTCTAATCACTGTCTTCAAAACGCTTTCCTGGAGACGACACGAGACTTGCTGTATGTAGCTTTAGAGGACAGGCCTACAGTGGTATATGTCATAAGTGTGTTTAATGGACACGCATTCAATTAGATGAGCTCTGCAAAAATAATCTTATTTTTAGAGAAAAATACAAGTAAGTAGTGTGGGTGGCTCCTTCAGCCATTCTGCTTAATGAGTGTATATGTGCCCCAGAATGAGCAGGAAGCAGGAAGTATGAACTCTCCCATCTCAGGTCCATTTTGCCTCTCTTAGCATAAGTATCTCCCCAGTATGAGTGTAATTCTAGCTTTGTAAAATTCATATTTTTTTAAATGCCTCCATCACCATTATGCAAACCAACTACATTTTCTGCTTTTCAACCAAAGAAACAGTAATCAGTTCCAACATGGGCAGGAATGCTGGCTAACAACTCATAGGCTAATAATGGTTGGGTTGCTTTCCTGAGGAACTTTCAAGACCATGTTTGGCCATATTCAGTTGCTGCCTCATGTGGCTTTAGAACCAAACCTCTTGCAAAAGATACAACTTCACAATAAAACCAAATGTTAAAATTGCAGGGAGAATGGTTTTAGCTTAACCCAAGGAAGAATCCTTTAACACCTAACTTCTTTGAGAAATTAAGAGGATTCTCTCTGACATCAAAGATATTTAAACAGAAACTAGATGATAGCTTTTCTTTGCAGATGGGACTCAGGGATTTGACAAGAGAGGTTAATCAGACTCAAACTAGCTGATCTCTTACAATCTTGAGGTTCTAAAATTCTGTGAGGCAGTGTTTCTGCGCTACCTACAGTGGGGTCCATAAGGTGTTGTTCTTAATTTCAGATTCCTGTCATGACTTAAAGAGAAACTTTCACAATGTCTGGAGCCCTTGATGTCCTGCAAATGAAGGAGGAGGATGTCCTTAAGCTCCTTGCAGTGGGAATCCAATTAGGTGGCACCAAATTGACTTCCAAATGGAACAGTACATCTATAAAAGGAAAGTGATGGCATCTACAGCATAAATCTGAAGAGGACCTGGGAGAAGCTTCTGCTGGCAGGTCATGCCATTGTTGTCATTGAAAACTCTGCTGATGTCAGTGTCATATCCTCCAGGAATACTGGCCAGAAGGCTATGCTGAAGTTTGCTGCTGCCACTGGAGCCACTCCAATTGCTGGCCACTTCACTCCTGGAACCTTCCTAACCAGATCCAGGCAGCCTACTGGGAGCCACGGCTTCTTGTGGTTTCTGACCCCAGGGCTGACCACCAGTCTCTCACAGAGGCATCTTGTGTTAACCCACCTGCCATTGCTTTATGCAACACAGATTCTCCTCTGTGCCATTGGACATTGCCATCACATGCAACAACAAGGGAGCTCCCTCAGTGGGTCAGATGTGGTAGATGCTGGCCTGGGAAGTTCTGCACATGCGTGGCACCATTTCCTGCAACACCCATGGGAGGTAATGTCTAATCTCTACTTCTACAGAGATCCTGAAGAGACTGAAAAAGAAGAGCAGGCTGCTGCTGAAAAGGCTGTGACCAAGAAGGAATTTCAGGGTAAATGGACTGTTTCAGCTCCTGAGTTCACTGTTACTCAGCCTGAAGTTGCAGACTGGTCTGAAGGCATGCAGGTGCCCTCTGTGCCTATTCAGCAGTTTCTACTGAAGACTGGAAGGCTCAGCCTGCCATGGAAGACTGGTCCACAGCTCCACTGCTCAGGCCACTGAATGGGTAGGAGCAACCACTGAATGGTCTTAAGCTGTTCTTGCACGGACTCTTAAGCAACATGAAAATAAGGTTGACAGAAAATAAACATCAGTTTCTAAAAAATAAAAAATAAAATTCTGTGATGCAAAGACCAGAGTCATCCTAAGTCCATGGCATAGCTCATATCACATTGTTGCTCTTTCCATCCTTCTTTCTTTAGATTTCTCATTTTCTGATCTTTTGAAAACAACTTGCTCTGTCAAGAAGCATTTTCCAATTTATCTCAGTTCTAATGTAATAGATGGTAGAGTACTGTTGGTACCCAGGAATGGTAACTGTTCCTGAATTATTAATGATAGCTCCATTAGATCTTAACTTCTTTTTTCTTAGTTCACAGCACTCATTTTGCAGGGAATTTTTACTTTTTCTTGTGGCTAAATCTTAGGAACTCCAGATCCCAGTTTAGATGGTTTCTTTAAAAGTGGATGTTTAAACATATGAAATTATTAGGACCAACAGCAAACTCCCAGTAGAAGGGGAGAACTCAGGGTTGGAATTACCTATTGGTGAATAAGAAAAATCCAAAACTTAGTGGCTTATGATAAATCTTTTTCTCTATCACACAGATCTGCAATTTGGGCAAGGCTCAGCAGGGACAGCTCAGCTCAGATGCTGAGGATGACTTCTGGAGCCTAGAGTCATTGGATGGTTACTCACACACAGTAACCTTCAGATGACTCCAGGCTCCAGGAGTGGTAAGTGATATCAGCTGACCAGAGGGACCACAGCTGGGGTGGTCAGCTGGAACACCTACATGTGGTCTCTCTCTGTGGCTGCTTGGCTTCCTCACAGCATGGTGACAGGGTCCTTAGAGCAACTGTCTTAAGACAGCCAGGTAGAAACTAGATCTTTCTTTATGGCCTAGCCTTAGAAGTCACATAGTGTCACTTCCACCATAGTCAAAGGCCCTCTCAGGTTTATGAGAAGAGTGTCAACATCAAGTTGTAAGAAGAGTATGTATGATAAGAGATCTACTGCAGCCACCTTGGGAAGTACAATCAACCGTGAAATGGATGATTCATTCGGAAACAAGAAGACTGAGAACCTTCTCAGTTTGACTGTTTGCATTCTGTGTTTAGAAAAAAAGTGCATGTGTTTCATCTCCTTTGATCTGACATTAATCTTGCATGTAGGGTTTCAAAAGTCTATGGATTTTTTCAGGTGACTTGGCTACTTGACTAAAATAGATGTAGGGAAGGTAAAACAAGTGCCTGAATTTAAGGTAAAGAAAGCCATGTGCAGACATAAATTTGATGAATAGTTTGCTATGGCTACATTAATTAACAGCATTGCCGTCAACACTAGTCATGTAAAAGACCTCCTTTCTCCCACTTGTGCAGACAGTTGGACATATGCTGGGGTTCTGTACTCAGAGCAGAGCAAACATGCCACAATCACAAAATGTAAGAATTAGCACAAGGGACTAGAGAAAGGAAGATTCTGACTAGTTTGCCCTCACCTCTCTGCTCCGTTTCTTAAACTTCTGTCACCACCGCACCCCGAACTACCTAGCCAACAAAATAAGAGATCCAACACGAACCAAAAATTTGCTATCTAATTAAAGCATCTAAACATTGTTTTAAATCCCAGTATAGTTTTAAGTGATGAGTGGGCTCGTTGCAATGTGCACATGTGCATATGTATGCATGTAAATGGCCAGTTGTTCTCAAACTTTGCAAGGATCTGCCAAGGACTAAATTTTTTAAAATTCTACATTTGGAGGCTTCCAGATGAATGGTTTCCCCTGGTTCACTCAAGCAAAAGAAAGGAAGGGAAGAGAAGAAGGAGGAAGGGAAGGAGGGAGGAATGAATAAGAGGACATAGAGGGAAGCATTCCCTAGGGATTTTGACATTGAATTCTCCCTACGCAGATACATTGCTACTGTTCATTTCCAGTGTTTCTCCAAATAAAAGTCATAAATGTGGTGAATGTCATGACATGCATGTGATTCTGTAGCATCATAAAGGCCAGAAAAACTAACTTATAATATGTTCATACGACTTTTTCTTTGGAAGCCATCCTGAATCTTACAAACTACAGCGACCAACAATAACAAGAAACACATAACACCTGCTTATTCTTCACAAATGGTGGAGAAATAAGCCCAATGAAATGAGGACAGCTGAAACAGCATCTCTAAAGCAAAGGTTGTGCTAGTAGGCTATTCTAGAACTGTTTTTCCTCTCCTTCCCTTCGTTTCTTACCACAAGAGAACAAAACACTCCTTGACCTTCCTTTATCCCCAAGCCCATCTTTCTCCACCACTGCTGAATAATTTGCTCTTCTGAGTGCCTGCTGTGGAACTCAGGTGGTGAGTTCAGTGGGCTTGGCAATGAGACAGGATTTACTGAACTCATCCATGCCTGAGTTGCGTAAATCCATTGGTTGAATCACCCACGTTGAGATTTATTGATTTAAAAGTCCCTAAAAATACACCGCAAAACATTCCTAATCTCTAAGATGGCATCTATACTCTCTTTTGGAGCTCAAAGGTTCAAGAGAAGTTTGTGGATGATAAGAGAGCGTTAAGTTCCCCCTCAGAAACGTTTGGGAAGATAGATAGATTTTTTTTTTTCAGGCTAGATTAAGGGTCAGGAGAATGCCTACATTTAGTATAAAAAGGGAGGGAGTTTCCTCTCAACGATAGTGTTGTGGCTCAAAATCCCAGTGGTCAGCTGGAGCCAGACCAAACACACACCTTGGGAAACAGGGATATTAATCTGTCTGGCTTGTGGGTGTGAGATGATTCTTTGGAGGTCAAGGGACAATGAGGTAACCAGGAACGAAAAGGAATGAAAGGGATTTGAGAACAGTGAGGGAGAATTGATAAAATGAGTAAGAACTATGGGTTTCTGTCTGCTTAGAATAAACAAGGGGTTTCTGGTGAGACAGAGTCAAGCACAGAATAACCTGAAAGATCAGGTGACATATAAGACCAGATAGGAAAGGCTGGACTTACCTTTGTTATAATGTAAGGATTTACTTTATAAGGTGCTAGGTCTGATACCAGGGAGTTGAGGAATTCTCAACAGGACATTCCACTGTGAGCTGCATCCGTCTAGGGAGATTTGCTATCAGTACCAGCAAGTATCCCCCAAAATAAACATAACCCAGGGTGGTCTCTGGGCACCCGCCCCCTTCTCCCTCCTGAGAGTTGGGGGCGTCTGATAGCTGGCATGCCTCCCAGCTAAGAATCATGTGTCCCTGCCACCCTGGCAAATTTACAAGTGAGCTGTGGCAAATTTACAAATTTACAAGAGTGCTGCAGAGCTGGGAAAACACTGGCCTAGTGGGATGGCTGAAAGTTCTCCTGTTTCTTCCCTAGAAAGAGCATGTCGTTTCTCTTTTTGAGGGTCCACTTATTTTTCAATTCTGCTCAGACACTTAAAACAGCCCCCTTTCCCTAAGCCCGCTCAAAACTAACCAGTTCTAGCAAAACTTGTGTTTTCAAAATAAAGTTGTGGTACAAATTCTGAAAATGAGCTCCTTTGACAGTTGGTTCTCATTAAAAGTCTTACCTTAAGGATTTAAAACCTGGTCTCACAGCACACACACACACACCCACCACCAAAGCATTGCAGAAATCTACTAAAGCCTCGGATGCCTGACATCATTTTACATAAAGACGAATACTTTGTGTTTTACATAAGCCCTGAAAGTGAGAAGTTTGCCTGTGTAAGAAAGTGATGATTAAGATCTTCAATAAAGCATAGGTTATATATGTATTAGGGAGAAGAGGGACATTGCCACAGCTTGTCTCTGGAAATCCAGCTGTTAAAGTAGATTCAAGCCATTACAGAAAGCACAAAGAGTTCATAAACATATCAAACCCTCCAAATCAAAATCACAGCAGCTGTGACATGCCCAAAAGGAGGGGCAGTTTAGATGTTTCACAGCAAAATAAAAGTTCCATGCCAACCAGCTTTCAAGGGGAAGCGTGGTGTTGCCATCTCAGATGTAGGCTGGTCTGCAGAAAGTGTTTTTGTTTCTCAATAACTCTGCCACTATATCTCTCACACACGTGTTGGGTTCATCTGCACTTGATGCTGAAAGGGTGAGGACAGAATTCCTGGGACAGCACTACCGAGAGATCTTTCTATCCAAACACTATAGAGAAGGTAAGATGGCCAGATCTCCTAAGTGCTAAGAGAAAAAAGAGAAGAGAATTAGCAAATGAGTGTGGTTCCAACACCAGTCTGGCTCATCTCAGTGGTGCTCCCCCATGATGATATGATCCAAATGGCATCATTTAGACTTTTGGGTCCAACTAATCCCAGGTGATGCCTTGAGAATGAGAGGAGAACTAATTTTGCCAAGGCATCAACAAAGCAAAGTCCTGTGACCAGATGTCAGAAAATTTCAGTCTACAATCCGAGAATTGGATTCAATTCAATTCTTGATAACCCAGATAATACATTCAACTCTTGATAATGCAGAATTTTTTCAGGTAGTGTGTTTCACCAGAACCTTGTTGGATTGGCTTTTTCTTTTTTCTACATGATGTGGATGCATTTTAGTCAAAAGTATTCCATCTATTTAGTTTCAAGGCTAAGAAAAACAGCAGCCCTGACTAGGTCATTACACCTATTGGAAGTATTTGCTTGTTAGCCACTTCTTTTCTCCTGTACCTGACAAAAATTTCAGAGCCAACAGTTCTGCTGGAGGAGGCTTGAAAGACATTGGTAAAAGATTTCCCCTAGATTGAACTCTGAGTGGTGAGGTGTATTTATTTGTAAAATGCACCTTGTCTGTCTTCCAAGTCTTGTGGAAATTGATGATTTGATGTTGGTTTCCTTTATTTCCTTTGTCTCCAACCATTACACCAAATAAGTATAAAACTTAGTTCTTATTTACATGGCCTCAGAAATAGAATCAGTCCTCAAAACCTTGGAATGACTTAAATGCCCATTCAGCTAATAGAATGACAGGGGGAGTAAGTTAAACTTTTAGGTCCCAAAATTTTCTATTCACTCCAGACTTCATGAAGTCCCAGAATCTCACCTTTCCCAAATATGTAGACATTTTAATTTACCTTTCATGTTGTGAATTTACCTTTCATGTAGTTTACCTTTCATGTCAGTTGTGGCACTTCCAGAATGTACCAAAAATTCTGGTATTTCCTGACCATGAATTTCTATGTAGAAGGATAAATATGTGGAAAAGAGGTAAAAACAGTCGGGCGTATTGGCTCATGCCTGTAATCCCAGCACTTTGGGAGATCGAGGTGGATGGATCACAAGGTCAGGAGTTCAAGACCAGCCTAGGCAACATGGTGAAACCCCATCTCTACTAAAAATACAAAAATTAGCTGGATGTGGTGGCACGTGCCTGTAGTCCCAGCTACTTGGGAGGCTGAGGCAGAAGAATCGCTTGAACCTGGGAGGTGGAGGTTGCCTTGAGCCGAGATCACATCACTGCACTCCAGCCTGGGCGACAGAGAGAGACTCTGTCTCAAAAAAAAAAAAAAAGGTAAAAACGCCTTGTAGCTGGATGGATTTCCATCGACTGGACATATGTAGCAGCTCAAAAGTCAAAAGTACAAGCTAATCTTTCTATTAATATAATATGGCGATCACTTGAGAGACAAGCGCTCTTCCCTGGTTCAAGTTCTTCTTTGGATGGTGGATGTCATGGATTTTAGCATAGAGATCTTTGCTAAAATCATCCGTTAAGTTCATCCAGAAGGACACTGCTTTGGAGAGACTACTACTAACAATGCGGAGCTTGAAGATGAGTGAATCCTGCAATTATGAGGGGTAGAAAGTCCTTTGAACTTTCACATGAAGCCTATGATTAGAAAATATTTATTCAAGGGGGGATATTTGTTGTCTCCCAAAAAAGTGTATGAAATTGGCCTGGTGCCATGGCTCATGCCTGTATCCCAGCACTTTGGAAGGCCAAGGCAGGCATATCATTTGAGATCAGGAGTTCGAGACCAGGCCGGCCAACATGGCGAAATCCGTCTCTACTAAAAAATACAACAATTAGCCGGGTGTGGTGGCACATGCCTGTAATCCCAGCTACTTGGGAGGCTGAGGCAGAAGAATCACTTGATTCCGGGAGGCAGAGGTTGCAGTGAGCCGAGATCGCACCACTGCACACTCCAGCCGGGGGACAAAGTGAGACTCTATCTAAAAAAAAAATAAAGAGTATATGAAACTTGAGCCACTTTTCTTCTTCTGTACTGACTATGGCTCTGTGAGGAAAACAGCAATTTCTTATAGCAGTTGGTAGATCAAGAGGTACCGTGATTTTCTTTTTCTTTTTTTTTGAGACGGAGTCTCGCTGTCGCCCAGGCTGGAGTGCAATGGGGAAATCTCATCTCCCTGCAACCTCCACCTCCCAGGTGCAAGCGAGTCTTCTGCCTCAGCCTCCCAAGTAGCTGGGACTACAAGTGCACACCACCACACCTGGCTAATTTTTTTGTACTTTTAGTAGGGACAGGGTTTAGCCACATTGGCCAGGCTGGTCTCAAACTCCTGACCTCAGGTGATCCACCTGCCTCGGCCTCCCAAGGTGCTGGGATTAGAGGTGTGAGCCACCCGCACCCAGCCTGATTTTAGTTTTCAAGTCTTCATTTGAGACTGCGCGCAATGGTTCCCACCTATAATCCCAACAATTTGTGAGGCCAAGGTGGGAGGATTGCTTGAGCCCAGGAGTTTGAGACCAGCCTGGGCAATAGAGGGAGATATTGTCTCTACAAAAAATTTTAAAAAGTAGCTGGGTGTGGTGGCACATAACTGTGCTCCTAGCTACTCCAGAGGCTGAAGCAGGAGGATCCCTTGAGCTCAAGAGGCCCAGGCTGCAGTGAGCTGTGATGGTGCCATTGCAATCCAGTCTGGTTGACAGTGCAAGACCCCATCTCCTAAATAAATAAATGTCTTCATTTGCACAGACTGTGAGAGTTTATTTTTTTCCTTAGAGGTGACTCTGCTAAGCAACAAATCTGGGCTTATACAGGCATATTTCAGATGATGTTAAAAAATCACATGACCTGGTTGCAGACAAGTTTAAGGCCTCCCTTCTTTAAGGATTTTCTCTCCTGAAATCAGCACATTCAACCTTCTCCTCCAATGAAATGTTGTTGCTTTGCATGTCTCATCTACACCATCCGAAGACAACTGATGACAGGTGACAAGACTACTCCAGAAGTAGCTTCCTTTTTTGTGGGTTGACTTTCCTATATCCCAGGTGACTTAAATGTATTTTTGCCCTTCTTTGAAACAACCACTTTGCTTCAGCTGATACCACCAATCCCTCCAATAATAAGTCAACAAATATTTATTGAGAACCCAATTTAAAAATAACAGCAAATGTTCAGTATACTGAACATTTACTATATTCCAGACATGGTTCTAAGAGTGTTACATACATTTTTTATATCCAATTCTCACTACACCTCTATGACACAGTTTTATTACCTATTTACAAGTAAAGAAACTGAAAAACTCCAGAGGTTAAGTAACTTCTTCCAGCCGCTTGCTAGTAAAGGGCCAAGAGAGGCTTTGAACCCAGGCAACCTGACTTCAGAGCAGCAACATTTAATCCCGATCCTATATTACCTACAGCCCCACACAGATAATCCATAAAGATATAGAAGAAAATAAGGGGCCGGGTGCAGTGGCCCATGCTTGTAATCCCAGCACTTTAGGAGGCCAAGGTGGGTGGATCACTTGAGGTCAGGGGTTCAAGACCAGCCTGGCCAACATGGTGAAAACCCATCTCTACCAAAAATAGAAAAATTAGCTGGCCGTGGTGGTGCGCATCCTTGTAGTCCCAGCTACTTAGGAGGCTGAAGTGAGAGGATCCCTTGAACTAGGGAGGGGAAGGTTGCAGTGGGCCGAGATCGTGCCACTGCACTCCAGCCTGGGCGATGGAGTGAGACTCCATCTCAATTAAAGAAAAAAAAAAAAGTCATGATCGTCCCTACCCTTTTCACTGCCTCCTACCTGCCCACTTCCATGTGGGTCAGGTTCCTGAAGATATTATGCCCATTCTGCCACCTTTGCTAGTGCTGGTCCCCTGTTCTGGTGTGTCACCTCTATGCAGATCTGATTCCTCTTCAAGCATACTTTTATCTCTCCTCCAACCTATCTCCCTTTCAGCTTTCCCTACGGAAGCCTCCAGCTTATCTCTGTCCCTTCTTTCTTTGATCTTATTACACCTAATCAAACACTACAGTGACACTGTAAGATCCTTGAGGTAGGGTTTCATATGTGATACTTCATTTATATTCTCTAGGTTAGACAGAGCCACCAAGTTGCTTCTACAAGACACCCTCAAATCCACTTCCAGGATCTTAGAAGTTTGCTTCCTGTTTTGTTGCCCACCATTGTTCTTATTTTCTTCCTTTTCCTCATTTCCTCTATTCTCCATTTTATAAAAGTAATCTCTACTCATTTTCAGCCTCCATTGTATCTGATGAGAGGTCAGCCATGGTTTGTATCATCATTCTCCTGTGTATAATTTTTCTTTTTTCCTCTGTTTACGGACTTTTCTCTTTATCTTTGGTTTTTAGCAGTTTGACTATGATGTGCTAAAATGTGGTTTTGCTGGTATTTATCTTGTTTGTGGTTTGCAGACCTTTTTGGATTTTTTAGGCAATTTTAGAGGTTTGCTTTCATGTTTTTTTTAACCAAATTTGGGAAAATCTGGGTTATTATTTTTCTCAAATATTTTTTTCTGCTCCATTCTTTTTCTTTTCTCTTTCTGACACTCCAACATATATGTTATGCTGCTTGGCATTTTGCTAGTACTCATAGAACCCTTGTTCATTTTTTAAAAAATTGTTGTTTCTCTTTGTATTACAGAATAAATAACTTCTATTGATCTGGACCTCTGTTCTGTAGTCTCCAATTTGCTGTTAAGCCCACCCAATGAATGTTTCATTTCAGATATTACAGTTTTCAGTTCTAGAACTTCCATTTGTTTCTTTACTTATTACCAATTCTCTGTTGAAAATTCCCATCTATTCACTCATTACGTCTATCATTTCCTGAAGTCCTTGAATGTATTTTTAATAGCTGCTACAAAGTCACTGTCATCTAATTCTAACATCTGTGTCATCTCAATATTTACTTCTATTGACTACTTATTTTTCTTTGATTATGGGTCACATTTTCCTTCTTTGTGTACTTTGAATGCTTAGTAATTTTTTTTTTTTTTTTTTGAGATGGAGTTTCACTCTTGTTGCCCAGGCTGGAGTGCAGCAGCGCAATCTCAGCTCACTGCAACCTCTGCCTCCTGGGTTCAAAGCAATTCTCCTGCTTCAGCCTCCTGAATAGCTGGGATTACAGGCACCTGCCACCTTGCCCAGCTAATTTTTTGTATATTTTTTAGTAGAGACAGGGTTTCACCATGTTGGCCAGGCTTGTCTTGAACTCCTTTACATGGGAGACAATTTGCATGTTCAGTTGTAGGGAGACTGGAACAAGTCGTCTTCCTTTAAAGTTAACTATATGCTTATTTTAAAGTACATTTGAGAGGTGGGAGGATCACTTAAGCCCAGAAGTTTGAGACCTGCCTGGGCAACAAAGGGAGGAAAAATATCTATCTCAAAAATAAATAAATAAATAAATAAATAAATAAATAACGTACAATTGAAAATATGGAGGGAAAGTAATTATCAATTCATTCATAAGCAAATGTAGCCATTTTTTAAAAATCCCTATTTATTTTAGTCAATCAGGGCTGCTATAACAGAAATACCATAGACTGGGTGGCTTAAACAACAAATATTTACTTTTCACAGTTCTAGAGGCTGGAAGTTCAAGATCAGGGTGCTTCATGGTTGGGTTCTTGGTGAGTCCCTTCTTCCTGGTTTGCAGACAGACGTATTTTTGCTGTGTCCTCACATGGCAGAGATTGCAAGTGCTAGTCTGTTTCTCTCCTTATAAGTATACTAATCCTATTATGAGGACTCCACCTTCATGATCTCATTTAAACCTAATTACCTGCCAAAGACACCATGTCTTACTACCATTCCTCTGGGGGCTAAAGTTTCAACATATGAATTTTGGGAGATTACAAACATGCAGTCCGTAACACTATTTATCCAGCAGACAGTGTCCTCCATTCTTCCAAATTCACTCTCCAGAGTTGGTTTGTTTATGGTGCTAGGAACTTGCTCAAATGGAACTTGAGTTACTTGTTAAAAGATGAATGAACAAATGAGTTGTAGTAGTAAATTGCAGAGACTTAAAAAGGAGATAAAATTTGGAGAAACTGAAAAGGTAGGAAGTTCACGTGAGGCATATAGGACATATATACAACAAGTGGTTCATATCTTCTTGGAAATTATCAAGAAATAATGTTCTTATTTTATCCCTTTTCATTATCCTAAAATTGTATTACCTTGCCAGCACTGTCAGCAACATACAAAAAGGATATAGTGTATTTATAATCTACCTTTCATACATTTCTCTCCACTTTAGTCATCTAAGCTGCTGCCAATTAATGCCTTATTTACTCCAGGATCTGACCCAAATATTTTGCATTCAGGGATCCAGTCACGGCACTTGAAATAAATAGATAGATCGATGGTGAACCCTGATGTTTACCCTTCAGCCTAATTCCATGTTCCTCCTGCCCTGCTGCAGCATTGCTGTCTGTCTCCTTGATTTGTGTGCACTGTGATGTCTTAGAAAGGTAAACGCTGAATGTCCAGTTCTGTGAGCAGTGGGTCACAGTAAGAAGGACCCAATTCAAGCAATCTGAAGTAGCAGCCCTGGTATAGAGGCAACTTCTTGAATCCAATTTTATAATTCCTCCTTTTCACTATGCCTATTTTTAGTTCCCCCACCCCCTATTTTTTTTTTTCTTCTTGTTAAAGGGAAACAGGGTCTGCAAGTCAAAAGCCCGAAAGTCCTATAGTACATCTTGGGACATTTTAAGTCTTCAGGCCTCTATGCCTTCTGGGAGGTGGAATGGGAGTGGCTAAAACATGAGATTAGACCAGATATTTGGTTTTAACGTTTTAAATGCTGGGTCTTGTTTTATGGAAGATGCTTTGCTAACTATCCACTATTAGCCTTTCTTCCTCACTAACAAAACCCTCTTTGCCTTGTGCTGGCAATGCGTCCCATTCATTGGCTCATAACTGTGAAGGTCATCTGTACCTCCTTGGATGCTAGGAGTGGCCATTTACCCAATTTTGGCCAATAAAATTATAAGAAGTCTGCTGTGATGGGGTGTTGTGGGAACATTTTTGCTTTCATAAGGGATAGTCAAGCTGGCATTGTTCCTTCTTTCTCCTCTTCATTCAATATGGATCTGTCAGGAGCAGCAGCAGCTCTGTGACAGGAAGGAAAAGGTCAGAGCTTAGCAGAGATGCCACAGTCTGTCCCAGTTGCAGTCTCCTCAGGCTTCTTATGAATTGGAAAAAAAAAAAATGTTTGTTTAAGCTACTGGTCATCAGGTTTTACGTGCTTGTTCTTTTGATTTTGTTTCTCTGCTTCTTGTAGCTGAAGCATTCTTCAGTGACAGGTTTTGGGAAAGTTTTTCTTTGTTAACTAGGAGGAATAATACTAACCCATAATAAATTAAAAGGTCAGTGGAAAAGAATACAGTTTAATATAAGAATTACCTATTTTGAATTACCTATAGCCTATGGTTGATAGAAGGCTGTTGTTTTAGAGTTATTTACTGTATTCTATATTTTTCTCCTTCAGCCATTTTTTTTGGTAGTACACTTCGCTCACTCATTCATGCACGCGTTCAACAAATATTGCACCCCAGCTATTTTGCTTGCACCAGGGTGGATACTAGGGATACAAAAATGAATAAGAAAAGTCTTTCATCCCCATGAAGCTCATTCTGGTAGAGGAGGCATGCTAGGAAAGAAGCATGAGTAGCAAGTGAGGGAAGAAAAAATGCAAACCAAGGAGAGAGGCCTGCAAGTACAAGGTTCAGAGAGCTGGGATATGGTGTTTTTTGAGTAAGAAGTTCAGCACAGAGCATGTGGGATTCAGAGCCTGGAGATAAAGGTGGAAATACAGAGCAGAGCTGGATATAAAACCCTTGTGGTCCAAGCTTTATAATTTGGTGCAGCCTGTAGGCAATAAATAAACCACAGATAATCTAAACTTTTTCCAGTTTTGTCACATTTTAAAGTTTAGTTGACATGATCAGATTTCCTTTGTAGGAAAATGGATGGCAGTTTAGAGGACTCACTAAAGTGGAAAGAAACCCATCAAAGGGAGAACATTTCCACCCTGGCAAGAAAGTTCTATTGAACAATACTGGTTTAGAGAATTTTAAAAGCCTTGAATAAGTAAAATTCAGGGAAAAGGTAAAATTCTAGGAAAGAGTAAATTACAGTGATGTACCATCCACTTCATATTCATGAAACTGGGGGAAAATGGGAAAGTCGGCTAATACTGTGTCCGGAATTGGTGGGTTTTTGGTCTCACTGACTTCAAGAATGAAGCCGCGGACCCTCGCGGTGAGTGTTACAGCTCTTAAGGTGGCGCGTCTGGAGTTTGTTCCTTCTGATGTTCGGATGTGTTCGGAGTTTCTTCCTTCTGGTGGGTTCGTGGTCTCGCTAGCTCAGGAGTGAAGCTGCGGACCTTTGCCGTGAGTGTTACAGCTCTTAAGGCCGCGCGTGTGGAGTTGTTCATTTCTCCCGGTGGGTTCGTGGTCTCGCTGGCTTCAGGAGTGAAGCTGCAGACCTTCGCAGTGAGTATTACAGCTCATAAAGGCAATGTGGACCTAAAGAGTGAGCAACAGCAAGAGTTATCGCAAAGAGCGAAAGAACAAAGCTTCCACAGTGTTGAACGGGACGCCAGCGGGTTGCCACTGCTGGCTGCCGCAGCCTGCTTTTATTCTCTTATCTGGCCCCACCCACATCCTGTTGATTGGTCCATTTTACAGAGAGCGGAGTGGTCTGTTTTGACAAGGTGCTGATTGGTGCGTTTACAGTCCCTGAGCTAGACACAAAGGTTCTCCACATCCCCACTAGATTAGCTAGATACAGAGTGTCAACACAAAGGTTCTCCAAGTCCCCACCAGAGTAGCTAGATACAGAGTGTGAATTGGTGCATTCACAAACCCTGAGCTAGACACAGGGTGCTGATTGGTGTCTTTACAAACCTTGAGCTAGATACAGAATGCTGATTGGTGTATTCACAATCCCTTAGCTAGACATAAAGATTCTCCAAGTCCCCACCAGAGTAGCTGGATACAGTGTCGATTGGTGCATTCACAAACCCTGAGCTAGACACAGGGTTCTGATTGGTGTGTTTACAAACCTTGAACTAGATACAAAGTGCTGATTGGTGTATTCACAATCCCTTAGCTAGACATAAAGGTTCTCCAAGTCCCCACCAGACTCAGGAGCCCAGCTGGCTTCACCCAGTGGATCCCGCACAGGGCCACAAGTGGAGCTGCCTGCCAATCCCGCACGGTGCGCCCACACTCCTCAGCCTTTGGGTGGTCGATGGGACTGGGCGCCGTAGGGCTGGGGGCGGCACTCGCTGGGGAGGCTCGGGCTGCACAGGAGCCCATGGAGGTGGGGGAGGCTCAGGCATGGCGGGCTGCAGGTCCTGAGTCCTGCCCCGCAGGAAGGCAGCTAAGGCCCGGCGAGAAATTGAGCACAGCAGCTGCTGGCCCAGGTGCTAAGCCCCTCACTACCCGGGGCCTGCGGGGCCAGCCAGCTGCTCCTAGTGCGGGGCCCGTGAGCCCACGCCCACCCGGAACTCGTGCTGGCCCGCAAGCACCGTGCACAGCCCCGGTTGCCCCCTGCGCCTCTCCCTCCACACCTCCCCGCAAGCTGAGGGAGCCGGCTCCGGCCTTGGCCAGCCCAGAAAGGGGCTCCCACAGTGCAGCGGCGGGCTGAAGGGCTCCTCAAGTGCAGCCAAAGTGGGAGCCCAGGCAGAGGAGGCGCCGAGAGCGAGCGAGGGCTGTGTGGACTGCCAGCATGCTGTCACCTCTCAATGCCAAGTATTGCTGGGGATGAGGGGAAAGCAGGTGGCTGACATACTGCTAAGAGAATAAACTGTTACAACCACTTGGAAGAATAGTTTGGTGATTGATATCTAGTAAAGATGAAAGTATGTAACCCTACAACCCAGCAATTTCATTTCTAGGGACAAAAGTAAGAGAAAACACTTTCATCTGCAAACAAGGGGACCACCACCACAAAGATGTCACTACATTATTTTTAGTAGAAAAAAAAAAAAAAGGCCTACTAAATGTCCCTATGGGAGAATGAATAAATACATTCTGGTATATTCATTCAATGGTATATCCCTACACGTCTCAAAATGGATGTGTCTCAAAAATGTATTGTTGGATGAAAACATTTGTCTACATTGTAGATGATCTACAGAAGGATATTAATGCTCATTGATGTCCCGCCACGGGTTACTCTGGAGGCACTTTACTGAATCCTCCATACTGCCACCAATTTTTCTAAACAGTTAATATGGTTATGCTAACTCCTTCCTTTCCTTTAAATGGGATAAAAGCTGGCTAACAGATAAAAATCTTAAGTTGCCAATTTCTAGATTTGAACAATCTGTGTCCAGTCTAGCCTTGTGTTCATAGCTCAAGACACGACAGAAAAAGTAATAAGGACAATTTAAAGTTAGAGACTTACATTAAGAGAAGCTAGCATTGTTAGCCAGGAAAACACTATGAACTTGAGATGATGTTTAATATTGGTTTTAGGGCTTCTGTGTTCTCAGATATGCAGATCTGTCTGGTTTAGCTTTGAGATTTAAATCTAACCTCTTTCTTTCAAAGGATCTGAAATGATTCTGGGATTCCTTCTTGCATCCTCCGTTTCTTTTTCTCCTTCTGTTTTCCTTCCTTCTTGGAAAGCTTTACATAACATTTTTAAGTATGATAAAGTGTTTGGAAAGCTCCATGCAAAAAGCTGGTTCATTTGAATTCAACATAATTGATTGCACAGCTACAATTTATTTGCCATGCCCTATGCTAGAATCTGCGGCCTGCGAACTAACACACCCCTATGCTCAAAAAATTCATAGTCTAGTTGAATATAGATAAATATCATTCAGTGACTATGCCCCACATCAGTGCCAAAATAGAATACTTAAACCTTCTTTAACTCTTCTAAGCAAAAGAACCTTCATAAAGTTAAGGATTATAAATAGCTGTAAAGGAATCACTCGGTTACGGCGACCACCCAGGTGGTGCCAGAAGTTGGAAGTAGCCCTCCTCCCTCAGCCCGCCATCAGTGCAGCTCAGAACGAATTGGCTTTGCAGGAACGCTGAGAGAAAAGGAAAAGCCGGCCAAATCTTCCAGGCAGAAGTAGTTCTGATCCGAGGATTAGAGCCTGTCAATTAGGGGTGTCCGAATGGGAAGGAGGAAAGGAGGCGAAGGAAATATGGCTTAAGCTCCAGGGGAGACTCATTTTCTTTAGGAGAGAGGGTCAGGCACCAGGACTAGCGCGTTCCCATTCTCCTCCGAAAGGAGTCCATCCTTATCCGGATTTCCCTTGCCATGAAAATGAGGCCCCCCTCCCGCCGGCGCGTGCTCGCTGGGCTGGTAGAAGCTCCCGGGTGGCCCGCGCGTGGCCCGGCCGCGGCGGGGGTGGCCCCGCGGTCAGCTCTGGAGTCCGCCGCCGCCGCACTAAGGACGGAGCCGGCCCCAGACGCGCCCTGGCCCGGCCTCCCCCCGCCGGGGAGCGCCCCCGGCCCACATCCAGGCTGCGTCGGGGTTTGGCAGGCCCGGCCGGAGGAGGCGCCTTTGAAGTCTCGGCTGGCCGACCGGGAGGGAGATGGATGACCGGGCAGGGGCAGGGACGCTGGGGCCCCGCCTGGTTCCCACGATCAGGCCAGCGCAAGGGGCCACCGTGCGGCGCGGGCGGGCTCCGGGGCAGAAGGGGACGAGCGTGCGCCGGCGCGACCGAGGGAGAACTGGCGGCCGCTCAACACGAAACTGGAGTGGGTGTGAGACAGGAGATGGTGGGAGTCAGAGAACAGTGTGTGTGCGACAGGGGGTGTGACAGAAGACGCAGTGTGAGTGTGAGGGGGCCGGGATGCGTGCGTGCGCCCTGCGTTAAGTGCGCGGGGGTAAAGAAGACACGGGCTGCGCGTGGGGTGGGGGTGTTGGCGGGGCGCGCGCCACAGCGACGTGGAGAGGTCTAAGCCCGGGCCGTCTGCGTGGGGTGCTGGGGTCTCTAACCCCGAGCGTGGGCGAGGGGTGGGGGCTGCTCGCCGGAACCAGCCGGGAGCACCTAACGCCCAGTCCCGCGCAGCGCCCGTCCCGGCAGCTCCGGCGGGTCTGTGGAAGGAGACTCGCGGCGGGAAGGAGATACAACTTAACTTTAGAGCGCGGCGAGAGCTATTAACTTGTCACGGGCATCCGCTCATTCTTTATTTAAAAAAAAGTCACGAGCCCAGAAACCCCCCCAAAGGAGGGAGCGCGCGGGGAGCTGCAGCCACCCCCACAGCGCTAGGGAGATTGGGGTGTGCGCCCCCGCCGCCCGGCCCCGCCCCGCCCCTGCCCTCCCCTCCCCTCCTCTCCTCTCCACTCCTCTCCCCTCCCCTCCCCTCCTCTCCTCTCCTCTCCTCTCTCCGCAGTTCCCCGCACCGCCTGGCCACGCCCCGCCGCCCGGCCACGCCCCCCCAGACTGCATGGCGTCGGCCCGTGAGCCAATGGGAAGCTCCCGGGCTCCGGCCGCCGCGGCAGGTCGCGGCAGGAAGCGGTGGGCTAGCGGTGGCCCCCAGCAAGATCGATCACCTTTCCCCCTCCGCAGCTGGGCCAGAGACCCCGAGGGGAACCGGGCCATGTTCTTCTCGCCCTGCCCTGGGCTTGGAGAAGGCTAAGGCCGGTGGTCCCGGACACCCAGGAGGTTTGCTTCTTAGCCTCTTCTCCAGACTTGCAGACACGGATAATAACTCGCCCGGTTTGAGGCCCAGAGAGAGGCTCATTAACTAGAGATTATACAATAAAGGCTCTCCTGGAGAGGAAGGTCGCCTTCCCCCTTCACCCCAAATTATTTCCGATGGGGTCATTGCATACATCTACAGGCCACATCTGTTCAAAAGGACCTATTAAAATATTTGTTGACCTAGAAGTGAGAGAAGGGAGAGGACTGGGAATGTTGGGGCTCCGGGCGCGGGCGGTGGGGCAGCCGGATGTGGTGAGCGCTGGCGCTTAAAATGCGCCCAGTGGGAGGATATGAAGGGGATGTTAAAAGTCACGCAGGTCGCCTCCTCCCCCATATTGTGTTTGAATGTTCTCCATGTTCAAGGTGGAACCTCAGGCTGCAAGGTGTTTGCTACTCTTAAACTGAGTGGTGAAGAGCCAAGATTTGAAATGGAGGAGATATTTCACAGAACGATTTTGAACTGCAGAAAGAAAAAGGTGGAGCCAGTGGTGGAAGTACAGAAAACAGATGATAAAGGATAGTTGCAAAAATGTCATCAGCATTCTTCAAACCCAACAGGCATTTCTAGAGACCTCTGCTCTCTCTTCTCTGAGTCAAAACTCAAATCTGGGCCCTTAGAGAGCTGCAAGTAAAGGTGCTTGGTTTGTGCTATGGTGAAGCCCCACAGGCTGCAAGGTTTGCTGCCTTGTTGGTGGAGGGCAGGCCCCCTCTTTTAGGTCTTTTTTTCTTTTAATTTCAAATTTGAGCTGGAAGACGGTTTATATATCCTCTTTCTTCTCACTCACCTACATCTACGTTCTGAAAATGGGAACATCGGCTACACAACAGAAGCTGCCTTGCTCCTCTTGATGAGGCGCAGTGTTTACTTGTCACTATTTTATTTTATTGGCAACTTAAAACCTCTGCCCTTGAAGGCAGTTGCTCATCCTGGAGTTTCTTTCAGAACATCTTTTTCTTTCTTTCTTTTTTTTTTTTTTTGAGACGCAGTCTCGCTGTGTCACCCAGGCCGGAGTGCAGTGGTGCGATCTCGGCTCACTGCAAGCTCCGCCTCCCAGGTTCACGCCATTCTCCTGCCTCAGCCTTCCAAGTAGCTGGGACTACAGGCGCCCACCACCACGCCCGGCTAGTTTTTTGTTTTGTTTTGTTTTGTTTTTTGTATTTTTAGTAGAGACGGGGTTTCACTGTGTTAGCCAGGATGGTCTCGATCTCCTGACCTCGTGATCCGCCCGCCTTGGCCTCCCAAAGTGCTGGGATTACAGGCGTGAGTCACCGTGCCCGGCCAAGAACATCTTTATTTAATGAAAAATGGTTGACTTGCAGCAAGTATATCTTAACAAAATTGTAATTATAAATGCATTGTATTGTAGCAAACTGATATTAAAACCAAAAAGGAACCATGTAAACAATGTTTATGACATCATAATTCTTGACTACTTGAAATTAAACTACCTACTCATTTTTAAAAATCGGTCAAAAGCTTTCCACTTTCTTTGTTTTTTGAGATTTTCTTTTTGCATTTGGTAAATTTAGAGACAGACAAAAGGGGGAAGGGGTGTTGTATCTTACTCAACAAATAATTGGGTTAATAACAAACATTCCTATAGCCTGTATGAGGCATGAGACTCTCAGTAAAAATATATCAGTGCAAAGCAGAAGTAAGTTGAAAGGTTATACAGAGAAATTCTACCATGGTGTCAAAATATATACCATAGATATATATATAACAAAATATATACCCTAACAAACTATCTCAAAAATCTATATTGTTAAACTGTTAGTAAACAAACAAACACACCAAACAATGTGGTTGACATCCTCTTTTTTCTCAGCATTAGTGCTGAAATTTACCAGGGCTTTCTCTTCTTTCTCTTTCATCTATCCCAAGGTGATCTTAAACATTCTTACGGATTTTATTTACATGTTGATGGTTCCAAAACTTTTACCCCCAGGGCAGATATCTCCCCTGAGCTCAATCCCACTCTCTTCGAAGGCTCCCCAAGCATTTCAAACCTGACAGGTCCAAAATTGAACTCCTGATTTCACATCTCCAAAATATATCTCTCCCGGTCTTTTCAATAAAAAGAAATAATCCGGCTGGGCGCGGTGGCTCACGCCTGTAATCCTAGCACTTTGGGAGGCTGAGGCGGGCAGATCACCTGAGCTCAGGAGTTCGAGACCAGCCTGGGCAAAACGGTGAAACCCCGTCACTAGTAAAATCAAAAAAAAAAAAAAAAAAAAAAAAAAAAAATTAGCTGGGCGTGGCGGTGTGCGCCTGTAGTCCCAGCTACTCAAGAGGCTGAGAGGCAGGAGAATTGCTTGAACCCGGGAGGCAGAGGTTGCAGTGAGGCAAGATCGCGCCACTGCACTCCAGCCTGGGCGACAGAGCGAGACTCTGTCTCTTAAAAAAAAGAAAGAGGGAGGCCGAGGCGGGCGGATCACGAGGTCAGGAGATCGAGACCATACTGACTAACGAGGTGAAACCCTGTCTCTACTAAAAATACAAAAACTTAGCCGGGCGTGGTGGCGGGCGCCTGTAGTCCCAGATACTCAGGAGGCTGAGGCAGGAGAATGGGGTGAACCTGGGGGGCGGAGCTTGCAGTGAGCCGAGATCGCGCCACTGCACTCAAGCCTGGGCAACAGAGCAAGAGATTGAGAGAGAGCGAGAGAGAGCGAGAGCGAGAGAGAGAGAGCGAGAGAGAGAGAGAGAGAGAGAGAGAGAGAGAGAGAGAGAATCCTACCAAACACCCAACTGATCAAGGCAGAAACCTCGGAGTCACTTTTTTTTATTATGTGTTCATTACTCTCCACACCTAATCCATCACCAAATTCTATTTATTCTACATCCAAAGCCTATCTAGGAACGTTCTAGTTCTATTTTCGCTGTCCTCCTGTACGCCAAGCCCTATCTCTCACCAGGATGGCTGCAATAGCCTTGTTTACTGGTTTTCTTAGCTTCTATTGCCTCCTTCTAATCTCTCCTTCCCACACCCCCCAACATCTCTCCATCCATCACCACCCCTCCACCCCACAAGCGGATTTTAACATTTTTATTATTTTAATTTAATTTTTTTTTTGATGGAGTATTGCTGTCGCCCAGGCTGGAGTGCAGTGGCATGATCTCTGCTCACTGCATCCTTCACCTCCTGGATTCAAGTGATTCTCGTGCCTCAGCCTTCCAAGTAGCTGGAATTACAGACGACACACCTGGCTAATTTTTTTGTATTTTTAGTAGAGACAGGGTTTCATCATGTTGACCAGGCCAGCCCCAAACTCCTGACTTCAAGTGATCCGCCGACCCCGGGGGTCTTCCCAAAGTGCTGGGATTACAAGCATGAGCCACTGTGCCCGGCCTTATTTTTTAAAACCACAAATTGGATTGTGTCACTGCCATTCTTTACGATTTTCAAACTTTTTTGTGCCATGGCCTGCTAGACCTGCATGATCCAGTCTCTGCGTACTTCTCCACAGTCACCCTGGGCCCCTCCCCCTTAGCTCAGCATGACTTCTTTGGCTTTCTCTTCCCCACACTCTGCATGGATGGCTTCATCTTATCTTTTAGGTTTCAGCTTAAATGTGACCTCAGAAAGGCCTTCTTTAAGACATTCTATACTCTTTTAGCACTGTTTGTTTTTTTTGTTGTTGTTGTTTGTTTTTTTTTTTGAGACAGAGTCTCACTCTGTCTCCAGGCTTGAGTGCAGTGGTGGGATCTTGGCTCACTGCAACCTCCGCCTCCTGGGTTCAAGAGATTCTCCTGCCTCAGCCTCCTGAGTAGCTGACTACAGGTGCGTGCCACCACACCCGGCTAATTTTTTTGTATTTTTAGTAGAGACAGTGTTTCACCACGTTAGCCAGGATGGTCTCGATCTCCTGATGTCATGATCTGCCCTCCTCAGCCTCCCAAAGTGCTGGGATTACAGATGTGAGCCCCCGCACCTGGCCCATTTTGTTGTTTACTTGTTTTTTGTCTGTCTCGTCCACCTGACTGTAAGCTTCATGTGGGCAGGGGCTGTGTCTGTTTTATACTACCCAGGGTCTAGCATAACATATTTGGCTTTCAGTAAATATTAGTTGAATGAATGAATGAGTGAATAACCCAACACTGAAAATGAGTATCTCAATAAAGTGCTAACAACCTGTATATCTGGGCCGCATCTCCTTTCTGAACTCCATATCTGTATATCCAAACTTCAACAAAGCATCTCCACCAGAATTTCGATCAGCACACCAGACTGAACAGGTCCCAAACTGACTGCATGGTGTGCTGGTTTTCCTGCATTCTCTCTCTACCAGTGACACCACTTGTGCATTTGCTTAGTCCAGAAATCTGGCAGTCATGCAAGGTTCCTTTCCTTTCCACTCCCCATATTCAACTGGCCATCAAGCCCTATCCATCTGCCTTTAAAAATAGCAAGCTCCTTATCTTCCTCTGTTTCCCACTCCTCTCTAGTAGGTCAGAGCCTCCCAATTTCCCTTTGTAATCACCACACTGGTCTTCTACCACTGTATTGTGGGCAGACTGATCTTCTCCCTGCTCCCTAAAATGTTAAGCATGTTCTTCCCTTAGGATGGTACACTTCTTCTTTCTTCCTGGTATCTTTTCCCCTAGGTATCTGCACAGCTCACTATTTATTTCAGTTCTTTACTCAAACATCTCCTTTCAAAGACACTTTTTCTTTTTCATTTGTACAAATTTAAGGTGTAAAAGTGCTGTTTTCTTACATGGATGTATTGCCTAGTGGTAAAATCTGGGCTTTTAGTGTAACCATCACCTGAATAATGTACATGGTACCCACTAAGTTATTTCTCATCCCTCATCCCTCTCCCACACCCCCACTCTTCCAAGTCTTCACTGCCTATTATTTCATACTCTGTGTCCATGAAGTTTTCTTGATTGACCTACATAAAATAGTAACCTGAAACCCTTCATTATCTTAATTTTTTTCTTAGTGCTTACGTTATCTATGTATGTCCTTATTTGTTTAATATCTGTTTTCCCTAATAAAATATAAACCCCACAAAGGTGGGGATTTTGTCTGTTTGTTCATTGCTGAATTCTCAGTGCCTCACTGTGTGCACACAGAGGGCACCCAATAGATGTTTGTTGAATGAAGAGTCTTCTAATTTGTCCTCTGACCTCAATGTACCCTCTTTCATTTATCCTCTAAGCTGCAGTCATAGTGATTTTCAAAAACCCAAATACGCTTGTTTTCCTTTTAGGAACAGCCTCAACTTACATCATAAGGTCCAGTCTCCTCAGCATATGTTAAAAAGCTATTGACCAAGGCCACCCAGCTACCAAGGAGCAGAGCTGGGATTCAAATCTGGTTTAACTCAAACTCTTCAAAACTACATTTCCCTGCATCTTTAACTCAGAAAAAACCAGACTCTTAGGACTTACAATACACTGGACTATTCATACCTCTGTGCTTTGGCATATGCTGTTCCATCTACCAGGAATGTTCTTCCACTTCTTTTTTCATTCACCTTCAAAGCTCCCATTATCTTTCAAGATCCAACCCAAATGTCACAACTTCTGTGAAACTTCACTGATCGATCCAACCTAAATGAATCATTTCATTAGCTATTCAACCATGGTACTTTACACATCACATATTTCTATTTTGCATTATCACTTAGTATTACAATTATTTTTTAACTTGTCTTTCATCTGCATAGTGAGTACTCAATCAATGACTATTGAATGATACTTTAGATACTTGAGTCTATTTTTGCTTAATGCTACACTTGGATGAATACTACATTGAAAATGTTCGTTTCTTTTTTTTTTTTTTTTTTTGAGACCGAGTCTTGCTCTGTTGCCCAGGCTGGAATGCAGTGGCGTAATCTCAGCTCACTACAACCTCTGCCTCTCCGGTTTAAGTGATTCTCCTGCCTCAGCTTCTGGAGTAGTTGGGACTATAGGAGCCTGCCACCACGCCTGGGTAGTTTTCGTATTTTTAGTGGAGATGGGGTTTCACCATATTGGCCAGGCTGGTCTCGAACTCCAGACCTCAAGTGATCTGCCCCCCTTGGCCTCCCAAAGTGCTGGGATTACAGGTGTGAGCCACTGCGTCTGGCCTGAAAATGATTGTTTCTTTATCATCCTAATCTTGAGCTTTGCTGCTCCCATCTCTCTGTACTCATAACTTAATTGCCTAGTTAGAAAATTTGGGAAGGATAGCATTTAGGAATTGCTTTCAGATGCTAATAACAGAGATCTGAAATAAACGTGGCTTAAACAAGACAGAACTTTTTTTCTCTCTTGCAAAGGTAATCCATGACTGGTATGGTGGGTTCACAGTCATCAATTACTCCTTTTACCTTTCCTCTTTGACTATTGTATTGTATGGTTTCCATTCTCAAGATTGCCTCATGGTCCACAATGGATGCTGGACTGCAGCCATCACGTTGCTTTAAAAGACAGGAAGGAGGAGAAAAGGACATTAGAATCACAGAATAACTATATGAAATTTTGTAGATCTTTGACACCTCTTGAGCTAGGTCCTACAAACTCCTCTGCCACAGAACAATTGATTAACATATTATAATTCTGGGTTAAAGCATATTGCTACTTGTAATGGTTATTTTAAAAATTGATGTAAGTCCTTGGATATTCTTCCTGCTAAGAGAAGATGCCTGCTCCATGCAAATCTGGATAACTTTGTTTCAACACGTAGAGTATGGCAGACATGATGCTGTATGACTTCCCAAGCTAGATCATGAAAGGCCACGGACACCATCCCCCCTTGCCCCTCTCCCTGACCCTCTTGGGATGCTCACACTAGGGTAAGCCAGCTGCTATGTAAGAAGTCAGTATCTTGAGACTGCTATGCTTAAGAGGCCACATGTAGTCACTCTATTGACAGCCCCATCTGAGCTCCCAACCAATAGCCAGCATCATCTACCCAGCCATGTAATCTTTAGATGATGGCAACTTCAGCAAATATCTTAGTACAACAACATGAGTAACCCCAGAAGAGAACTGCTCAGCTGAGCTATCCCCAGATTTCTGACCCACAAAATTGTGAGCAAAGTAAAATGGCTGTTTTAAGGTATTGGATTTGGGGGATATCTGTTCATAGCAATGGATAATTATAACACTACCAGAGATGACTTATGGCCTGTTCTGATTGATATGTGCTAGTTTTACCAAATTATTTATTTCAAACCACCTGTCTGCTAGGACCTTGTCTGTTTACACTCATAATGATCTACCAGCAACTCTCTTCATCTCACAAATTATAAGACCAACAGTTAAAAAAATAAAAATTTAGAGACAGGGTCTCACTCTGTTGCCCAGGCTGAAATGCAGTGACTCACTACAGCCTCGACCTCTCAGACTCAAGAGATCCTCCCATCTCAGCCTCCTGAGTAGCTGGGACTACAGGCATGCACCACCACACCTGGCTAATTTTTTATTTTTTATAGAGATAGGGTCTCACTGTGTTGCCCAGGCTGGTCTCGAACTCCTGTGCTCAAGCATTCCTCCTGTCTCAGCCTCCCAAAGTTCTGGGATTACAGGCTTGAGCAACCATGCCTGGACCCAACAATTATTTTTTCATAATTAATCTAAGACTTTTTCCAGTTTTCTGTATGTCTGAGGCTTTTGGCCTGACATTTGCACAAGGAGCAAGTAGGCTATATATGTAGCTACTCTTTTTTTTTTTTTTGACAGGGTCTCACTTCATTGTCCAGGCTGGAGTGCAGTGGTGTGATCATGACTCACTGCAGCCTCAGCATTTGGGCTCAAGAGATCCTCCCATCTCAGTCTCCTGAGTAGCTGGGACTACCATACCGCACACTACCATACCCAGCTACTTTTTTGTATTTTTGTATTTTTAGGTAGAGATGGGATTTCACCCTGTTGCCCAGGCTGGTCTCAAACTCCTTAACTCAAATAATTCGCCTGCCTCTGCCTCCCAATATGCTGGGATTACAGGCTTGAGCCACTGTGACTGGCCTGCCCTCTCTTAATGTTCAGTGATGATACATCCCCCATCACCTTGTGGAGCTATCTGCCGAGAATAATGTAAGATGGTCTACAAGTTTCACTGACTCTTAATTTTGTGGATAGAAATTGGTTATAAGTCACATTGCATGGTTTTAACGTAGATTACTAGTTAATAATGTTCTTATAAAAAATTCTCTTTGAAGATATTATGCTAAGTGAAATAAGCCAGTCACAAAAGGACAAATAATGTGTGACTGCAGTTACAGGAGGTACCTAGAATATAGGTACCTAGAATATAGGAGGTACCTAGAATATAGACAGAAAGTAGAATAGTAGTTGCCAGGGGCTGGAGAAGGGAGAAATGGGAGAATTCATGTTTATTGTATGCAGAATTTCAACTGGGAAAGATGAAAAATTCTAGAAGTGGATGGTGGTGATAGTTGCACAACATTGTGAATGTACTTAATGCCACAAAACTGTACACTTAAAAATGATTAAAATGATCAAGTTTATGTTATGCATTATTATTAGTATTTTTTTTTTTTTGAGATGGAGTCTCGCTCTTGTTGCCCTGGCTGGAGTGCAGTGGTGTGATCTTGGCTCGCTGCAATCTCCGCCTCTCGGGTTCAAGCGATTCTCCTGCCTCAGCCTCCTAAGTAGCTGGGATTACAGGCGCACGCCAACAAGCTCAGCTAATTTTTGTATTTTTAGTAGAGACAGGGTTTCACCATGTTTGTCAGGCTGTCCTTGAACTCCTGACCTCATGACCCACGTGCCTTGGCCTCCCAAAATGCTGGGATTACAGGCGTGAACCACCGCACCCGGCCAACTATTTTTTACAATAAAAAAAATTCAAAAAAAAGTTTCTACTCCAACACCCTTTATTAGAATCAAGAAGAGAAGGAACAGATCAGATAATAATCCTTTGAGGAGTATGAAATAGAATGATGTCCCTTCTCTTTTCAAAGTTCCCCTACCATAACAAATAGGAAGATAGATATCCTCTTCTGGTCTGATCATAGTATCTTATTATCATGAACCAGAAATTGCCTCACAAAAGGTAGTTGCAGTATCTAACTCCTGCTAAAAATAATGGCTAACCAATGATAATGAAATTAAAACTCATCGTTTGTGGGAGCTATTGTCAACTCATTCAATGACATTTTGCAATGCACTCATCCTGGAGTTCCATTGGAAAACCATGTTGTTCAGTCAGAGGTGCCGTGGGAGTCCTGATGTTTTCCGCCAGCCACTGTCGGTGATTAGGAAACACCAGCTTTGAAAATTTTCTATGCCCAAACGCTGTATATCTCTAGGGACTCAATTAAGCATTTGTTCAAGCACTGGAGCACATTCAAAGCAACTTCCTAAGGAAAATTTGGGCCCAATCTTGAGGTGTCCCTGCAGCTTACCTTGGAGGAAAACTGGGGTGGTCTTCATCAGTGAGAAAACACTGATTTGCTTCTGCAACTTTTGTAGGATGGCAAATTTAGTATTTGCTCAGTTGTTTTCCAGACCCTGTGAAGGTGTCTTCTATGATCCAAAAGAAATACTAAAACACTGGGCTCTTGCCAGAGAGAAAAATCTTAACTTTTTCAATTATTTGATTCTTACCAAGATCCCAGCTGAGAGAAGTAATACATGGGGAAGACTGCAGAGTGGATATGTTATTTAGCGTTCAAGGCGAATCCCCAAATACAGAATTATACTAGCTTAGTCTGACAGGACTCACCTTCACTGAAGTCTTGGTTTTCATGGGAGGTTATTATAAGAAACAGGGCTGCAATATCCTCTTTTGCTTTTCCATAAAAATACTGCTAAGACATTGCCTGTTACATCCCTCAGAGCCCTTTGTGGCACTCCATATAGTAAACTCCTTCTGTAATTTCATTTCATTTGAAAACAGGCATTCTTTGCTTTTTTCAACAGCAAGATTGATGTCACTTACGTTTTTTTCTCTCTTTACCTTGGCTATAAGAAGCTCAGACCCAAATCTGAAGCACAATCTCAGTAATCATGTTAACTCTTAGGGTTGGCTTATTTCAAGTTTCCTTTTTCTTTTTTTTTCTCCTGGTTTTCTATTTTGATTTTACCAATTCATTTTAAATGGGGTGTTTTCCGTCATAGACCACCCAGATTCTTTCTGGAAAGAAGTAATACGTAAAACATACTTAGCTCATAACTTTTGACTCCCTTTGATTGTGTCATCTCAGCTCAGCCTCAATTTACAGAAATTGGCTCACAAAATGACTGCTTAACAAACTTAAGGAAGAAAGTGACAACTTAAAGTTGATAGAAGGAAACATACTGAAGGCTCTAGAAGAGGTAGTACACTAAATTCTTATCAGAGACGCATCTAATAGAGAAACAAACTTCAGTGAACTCTTTCACTTACATGGAGCCCAAGACAGACTGAAGTTTGGCCAGACTCAGTTTACAATTGGACAATCCTTCAGCTGACTGTAATCTCCCCTCCATGGAATTCCCCATGAGTTTATTGAGATCCTACCTTGAGGGATTTACCACTTTTCTACCCTTTGGTATCTTTTTTTTTTTTTTTTTTTTTTTTGACAGAGTCTCACTCTGTCACCCAGGCTGAAGTGCAGTGGCGCGATGTGGCTCACTATAACCTTCGTCTCCTGGGTTCAAGCAATTCTCCTCCCTCAGCCTTCCGAGTAGCTGGGATTACAGGCGCCAGCCACTATGCCTAGCTATTTTTTTGTATTTTTAGTAGAGACGGGTTTTCACCGTGTTAGCCAGGATGGTCTCGATCTCCTGACCTCGTGATCCACCGGCCTCAGCCTCCCAAACTGCTGGGATTACAGGCATGAGCCACCGTGCCCCGCTATCTTTTATTTGTAAAATTTCTTCCTCTTTCCTATCACTAAACTGGATGATCTATGAGGGCAGGGGAGCTGTATCATTTATAGTCTATCCCTCAATTCCTTCTTACCCTTCCCAATAGAAGCAGTTGTTCAAATATTCACTCACTCACTAAATAAGTGATGTTCTTTCAAAGATTCCTGTGATATATTATTTACTCCTGGAAATCTGCTGCACAATGTTGTCCCTTTCTTTGTAGTGTCAAACACTGGATGTTTGCCCAGACAAGATACCAAGATCTAAAAAGCATGTGACATTCCTGGCATTGCTTTGTTTTCTAATTAGGATCAGTCATAAAGTTTCTGATAAGTAAATAGATATAAGTCTCAGTTGGTCCTTTCTATTCCTTTCCAAAATTATCTTGATCATTAATTTCACTTTCCAAATTACTATGCTTATTTGTCTTGCATGATGGGAACTGAAAGATTTTGGAATGCATTCCTCAAAAAAGAGTCGGTTAAAATATCAATTTGTATGATTATGTCATTTGGGAATTTTCTGATTTGAAAAATCTGCGATAATTTTTTAAAAAAAAATCCTAAGTAGCAATCTGCTACAAAAGATGTAAGTCAACTTCCATTCACAAACAGGAGATCACAACAAATTTAGTGGCTGCATCCTAATCACAACAAATCTAGTGGCGCTGCAGTGAAAAAGGAATTTATGATGGCAAGTCTGTTAAGCTAACCGGTAAGCACGTACACATAATATTATGTTTGCGGGTGGGTGGAGGCTGCAGGTCATTAATATTCGTTGGGTGTCCAGCCTGGCGTTTGTGGTTCAAACAGCTTTTGTGTTTCGTGCTCCACCTCCCGCAGAGTCACAGACAGCAGTCTGCCCCTTTCCCCACCCAGTCTCAGTTCAGGCGGAGGGTCGAAACGCCACGCACGAGTCCTCATGCCGGCGGGCGCAGAGCGGGGCGCCAAGGGCTGCCCGCGGGGTGCACCTCTAGTCCACCAAGTCCTCTTTGCGGCGGGGATCGGGGCGCGCCGGGGGAGCCGCCCTTCGCCCCCGAGGTCTGGGCGCGCAGGAGGTATAGGACTCTGGGATTTTTTGGCCAAAACTCCGGCTCGGGGTCCCCGCCGCCTGGAGCGGGAAAGTTGCGCGTTGGAGAAACAAACTTTTCCGTCCCCAGGGCAGCGCGGGGAGCTCGCGGACAGGTCCTCTGGCAGCAGAGAGGGAGCGGTGCAGAGGACCGGGGACTGAGGAAGGAGGAGTGCGGGACCGCTCCCCGAAGGTGCCTCCTGCCGAGGCCACCGAGGCCGTCCTGGAGATGGCGTCGGCTCCTGAGTCTGCGGCGCCAAAGTGCTCCCAGGTGGCGCGGAGCGAAGGGGGTTTAAATTTCTCCCTCCTCGCAAACGTCCCCTTGCTTCGGGCCGGAGAGTATTGCGCCCAGACACCTCTCGAGGAAGGGAGATTGGACTTTCCCAGATTGGAGGGAAATTTAGAGCTGGCATTTACAGTTATTGTAAAAGAAAAAAAAGTGTTTTGAGGAGAAGAGGTGAAGGGTAGGAGAGGAGAAGTGTTAAAATTTCGACCAAACCACGAGAAACCTCACTTGTTTTAAGTTCGTGACAGTTTATTGGCTTTCCCTAAATGTCCTCAGATTAGCCTGACAGCTCCTTACCTAAAAATATCGAGTAAAAGCCCCCAAACCAGAAGCAGTTAAACGGTGTCACTGAATTCAATCTCAGAGCGATTATGGAGTTAATTCACATAATAAGCAAATCACAGAGTTGACAGATTATTATATGAACACGGACAAATTGTTACATAAAATATTTTGATACTGATTGTTTTATTAGTAATGTTAAGCCCCTTTATGTCTGTTTCTTTTTCCCGGGATTGACATGTTATACAATGCTCACTGCTAAATAAATAAACCAAAATGGTGTGAACTAATTGTCTCCCTCATTTAACTGTACCTTTTTATTAACATTATTAACATGATTATTCATAATTCCATTGGCTATTTACACTGGCAAAATTTTTCTGTTGTATTTGTTATCCACAGAGAAAAATATGTTAACATGAAGTGGACTTGAATAACATCCAGGTTTGAAAACTGACACTATCGATGTTTAAAAATATGTTAAGAGTTGTTCTATCCCTAGACTATTAGAAAATTTAAACTGCACGTGCCCCAGCTAATTAAAAACAATTTAAATTATTATTAAGAGAAAATACAAGGGATATAATCATTAGTCAAAACTTACTCATTTAAGTGTTGTCAAATGTAGTCAAAACTTACAAAAATACATTTTATTTAGCAAAGAAAAGATAAATGTAATTTATTTTTCATTTTATCAAAAAGGTATGGTACATTTTACTTAATTTTATGTAATTATGCTTTCTAGTTTTAATAGAGCCATGTGCATATACAATCAAAATGATTAATAGGTATTTTGTTGATAAAAGGAAAAACAGAAACTCAATTCTTTATATTTCTACTAAAGCTTCCTAAACAAGAAAATATTTTAGCTAATGAAAAATCTTGAATACCTTAAGTGGGGTGTTATAGATCACAGCAGAAATAGGTGAAAGGTGAAATTTAATTTAGCTGGCTTTATCCCTTCTCCTGGAAACTGGAATCTTACCTATAGGGTGAGGTGTACTGGGAGGAGAGGTGGAGAATTGGAAAAGAAAAAGGAAGAAACTGAAAGAATTTTAGTTTATAAAGAACAACATAAGTACATCAATAAATCACGTATTTTTCCTATAAAAAATAAAGTACAATAGTACTTTATTGAGTAAAATAAATAAAAAAAGTACTTTAATGAGTAAAATCATTAAAATTTCCTACAACACAGAGGAAGTAAGTGTTCAAGCAGTACCACCTATACCATCATATCATTCTCTGAGTGCCAATTTAACTAAAATTATGTCTTCTAGTAAGAGAAGTAAGAAAATTCAGAAAGATCACCAAATAAGTAGTGTTTTGGGGGAGGGCACGTGTAGTATTAATAGCATAGAAGATACTAACTGTGGCACAGATTTTTTTTCTTTTTCTTTTCTTTTCTTTTTTTTTTTTTAAGATGGAGTCTCACACTGTTGCCCAGACTGGAGTGTGATGGCTTGATCTCGGCTCACTGCAACCTCCACCTCCCGGGTTCAAGCCATTCTCCTGTCTCCACCTCCCAAGTAGCTGGGATCACAGGCACCCGCCACCACACTTGACTAATTTTTTGTATTTTTAGTAGAGGCAGAGTTTCACTATGTTGATCAGGCTGGTCTGGAACTCCTGACCTTGTGATCTGGCCACCTCGGCCTCCGAAAGTGCTGGAATTACAGGCATGAGCCACCATGCCCGGCCTCAATATGAGAATTTGAGGTATTTCAGAGAAAAGCATCACCAGGATTAGAAATTTAAGTTACATCAATTGAAAATATGAAAGGATTTAAGATTATGACCCTGAAAGAAAAGATTCAAGTTACTAGCAATCATATTCGGTTATTTAAGGGTTATCCTTAGAGCCCTGGAGTTGGGACATGCTGAAAGATTTAATAAGAAGAAAGGAGACTTTAATAGCATTGGGAGAAACTGACATTAGACCCTGAAGACTTTCTTGATTATAAAGTTATTGAATTATAACAAGTCACTAAGCAAAGCATGCTTACAAAACTGTACCTCAACTACTTGCTTAATTTACCTTAATGTTTAGAATATTCTAGACCAACTGGCCAAGAAAACTGGATCTGAGATCCTTCTGGTTGTTTATTGTGAAGTTCTGCATGGAAATAAAAAATATGCAGTTGTATTCCATTAGGATATTGTTTTTGGTAGTAGATTCTTTTTTGTTTGTTTGTTTGTTTGTTTTTCTTCTGTATTTCTACAATTTATTTGAGGTTTAAAAAAATAGCCATCTACTAGTTTGGGCTGACGACATAAACTCTCTGAACCTCATTTTTTTCAATGGTTATAATAATTCCTGCATCATAAGTTGGCTTTATAATCAAATATGATAATGAAAGTAATGTTTTGAAAAAGATAATTGTTGTTAAAATAAGCCTCCTACAAGTTTATATTATGGATTTCTATAGTTTTATTGCTGTATTGGGTTGCCTTTTTCCAAAGTGGCTGAAAGATGAAGAACATGCTTGCTTTTTATTGTTAGTTTTTTTACTTGTACAGTCGACTCTTGAACAACCCAGGTTTAAACTGCTCATGTCCACTCATGTGCAGATTCTTTTTTCAATGAAAGTTATACCACATATGCGTGCCTCTCCTGCCTTCCCTTCCACCTCCTTTACTTTTTCTCCTTCTGTCACCCCTGTGACAGCAAGACCAATCCCTCCTTTTCTTCCTCCCACTCAACCTACTCAATGTGAAGACAATGAGGATGAAGACCTTTTTGATGATCCACTTCCACTCAATGAACAAGTGAATATATTTTCTTTTCCTCATGATTTTATTAATAACATTCTATTTTTCTCTAGCTTACTTCCTTGTAAGGATACAGTCTATAATACATATAATGTACAAAATATGTGTTAATCAACTATTTGTTATTGGTAAGGTGTCATTAGTAGGCTATCAGTAGTTAAGATTTGGGAAATCAAAAGTTATATTTAAATTTTCAATTGTTCAGGGTTGGTACCCCTAACCCCCTGAGTTGTCAAAAAGACAACTAAATTTAATTTAATTTAAAAAGGCAATTTAAATTATTTTTTCTTTTGATAAGTTGAATGAATATACTAGTGAAACTTAACATTATTTAGCATGTCTTAAGGAACTAATTCACCATTAGAAGTGAACATAAGTATTCATACCAGAGGGTTTCAGGGACCCAGCCCGAACTCAGTGAGTCATACATTCTAAGGGTGGAATCCAGGGATTGTAGTTTGTAAAATCTCCACAAACAAAATGCATGTCCCCAAATGTGAGAATTCCTGACCCAAGAGTTAAATTTATTGCCTTTCTTCTGAAGCCAGATATGCCAGTCATGTCTGCATATTTAGACCTCAGGATGATTTTAGCTAATGATTGTTGTATTACCCTGTTCTCACATTGCTATACCTGAGACTGGCCGGGTGTGGTGGCTCATGCCTGTAATCCCAGCACTTTGGGAGGCCGAGGCAGGCGGATCACAAGGTCAGGAGATCGAGACCATCCTGGCTAACACAGTGAAACCTCATCTCTACTAAAAATACAAAAAAATTAGCCAGGCATGGTGGCAGGCACCTGTAGTCCCAGCTACTCAGGAGGCTGAGGCTGGGTGTGAACCTGGGAGGCGGAGCTTGCAGTGAGAAGAGATCGTGCCACTGCACTCCAGCCTGGGTGACAGAGTGAGACTCCTTCTCAAAATAAATAAATAAATAAATAAATAAATAAATAAATAATAAATACCTTAGACTGGGTAATTTATAAAGAAAAGAAATTTAATTGGCTCACTGTTCCACAGGCTGTATAGGAAGCATGGCTGGGGAGGCCTCAGGAAACTTACAATCATGGCAGAAGGCAAAGGGGAAGCAAGCATACCTTCACATGGTCAGTGGGAGAGAGAGAGTGAAGAGGGAAGTGCTACACACTTTTAAACAACCAGATCTCATGAGAACTTACTATCAGGAGAACAGCAAGGGGGAAATCCACCTCCATGACCCAATCACCTCCCACCAGGTCCCTCCCCCAACATTGGGGATTACAAGTCAACATGAAATTTGGGTGGGGACACAGAGCCAAGCATAGCAATTGTCGTCTTCACTCCCCAGCTTTCAGGGAGACTTCAGGAAGTTAATGTCCTTTGCCAACTTGTGAGCTGGCTACTCTGGCTAGCTACTCCTCCAAATTCAAAAGCGCGGATAGATTTTTGGGTCTTCTAGAGATTGCAGAGCCTAAACTTTAGGATGACCTTGGAATTTATCATCTATTTCTGAGTGATAGATGTGCTAATTATGCTAGAATAAGAATTGTGCTGGGATAATGAGTGCAAACTATGTCTGCTTGGAACAAACAAGGAGATATGGTCAGCCTGCTGAATTTAGAGCATGCTTTCTGGAATCATTCTGGAAGCGTCAGAAAGATCTTAACAAAACCTCGGTAACTGAGGAGATATACTCAATCAATCTCCTTGCGCCCCCCCAGATTTTGACTCACAGTCGAAAAAGAGGCCTTAGGATGATTTGAAGGGAGGATCCAGAGGGGTCCCAAAATTCAGACTGCTAGTCCTGGGAAGAAGAAAAATATCTTCTTCCCCGAGGACCCCCCTTTCACCATCTTGTTAAGCCCCGTGTTTTCAAACAACCAAAAAGTGTCATAAGGCAAAGTGTGCCCTGGGGCACCTAAGCTTTTTTTTTTTAATTTTTGAATTTTTGTGGGTGTATAATAGGTGTATACATTTACGGGGTACGTGAGATATTTTGATACAGGCATATAATGCTTAATAATCACATCAGGGTAAATGGGGTATCCATCACACCTGTTTCAAATCTGCAGCTGGCCTTTGGATATAGCCCCAAATCGCAGAGCTCCTCCCGTTCTATTTTTTGCTTTGTTGACTACTTTTCTCCTTTCTCAGCACTCCTCTGAAAAATCTCAAATGTTTTACAGGCCTAATATAATGAATCTTCCCAGATTCTTCCACTTTTTCCACACCTTTGTAGTATAGCATTGCCTTAACCTCTTGTTTCCAATCCTTCCTATCTGTTGACATTTCCATCTGTTTACTGTCCTCTTTTCCACATTATTCTTTCTATCTGATGCCATAACAGGACGCTTGACTAGAGGAAGGCCAAAATTAACATATGAGGACCTTATTGAAAGATGAAGAGATAAATATGGCTGGCGGAAAAGGAAAGTGATAGTTGAAAACTCTTATCTAGTTTAAAAGATCTTTTGGAAATAGGAGTAAACCTCTCAGTTTCAGATAAAAAAGCAGAGGAACAACATTTGAATCTCAGTGTTATTTTTGAAAATGTACGGATTTGTGGTGTGTGTTTGTCACACCACACACTTTATCTTTCCTAAATCCCGAGAGCAATCAAGAGATTGTGAATAGGCAAAATCCATCCAAACATTTATTTTTGATCATTTAGTATCAGCAACAGAGGCAAGAATGAAACACAAAGCCTAAGAGAACATGTCTTAGAATTGTATTTAAGAACCAAACACTAAGAGGGAGAATGTTCAATGTTCTCTCACATTTCATCTTCATGAAATTTGTTGTTTAAGTTGTTTTACTACAACTGTCTTAACCTTTTCATATGTATATATTTTCATTCCCTGCTGCAGTTCACTGTCTTACAAGGTAAACACATTATTGCTTCTCTCTTTCATAAACCATGAACTTCCTCTCCATTTCTAGAGATCAGAAAACTAAACTGCCTTTATTTGTAATTCATTTCTGAACTCTCACTAAAGCATGAACCCCTGTACATTATCACAACGCTAAACTCCTTGCAAATTACTTCCCTCCTTTTGCCTAAAAAAAAAAATGAAGAGTCTTAGACAAATAAGGTTAGCATTTCTAGAGGAGTGGCATGAACATTTCAAATAATAAAACTTGAAGGCAGGAAAGGTCATGCCACTGTGGATATCTTTGCCTATATAAAACATTTGCCATTTTTCAAGCTTTTTCATAAACTTAGCTGAGTTAGGGGCAAATTCTTGTCCTTTTCTAGGTAAAAGGGAATGATCACATTAAAATCATAAAGAATTCCATAATATGAGTTTTCCTTTTCAGGATTATTGAAGTTTGAAATAATGAATTCCAAAATTAAGGGTGCAAATTCTTAGAAAACCAAACCAAACTAAAAATAATGGAAACAAAGAAGAAGTTTATCACACATTACAGCAAGTCAGTTCTTCATTTTAGCAATTTCATTCCCCTGAACTTTATGATTTTACATAAATTACATATCTAGTAAAAGTAAAATTATTCATCTGAGAAAGAATTGCATAAAATATGACTACTTTACTGAACTAAATGTGGATGTTCAAAGTTTGACCAGATCTTTTACTAAATTGATTAATATTTTGAAACCCTACGACTATGAAAGCTTTTCTAGGAAAAAGTTTATATAGTAAAATACTTAGTAAAAACAAACAAATAAACAAAACCTCCGACCTTTGGAATTACCAAGAAAAAGATATTCAAGATATTGGCATATCCTGTAAAACATACCTGGGAATTTAATAATGTTTTACTTCTTAGCTTATTAGCTCCACTTCAATTAACAGTGATTGAAATACACTCTACCCTTTTCTTCAATAAACTTTTAATTCATTCACAAATACAATGGGCCTCTCCCTGGAATGAGACCTTTCATTTTTTAAAAAGCCCGCTTGACCTGTAAGAGTTTTCAATTAATCAAAGAAACAAAACAAAATGTGAAATACGCACCAATGAACTTAGGCTCCTTTAGCATTCCCTTAGAATAAACATTGTCACTTATCACAGACAGTCCTACAAATCCTTGGAATTCTCATAAAGTGAAGATTCCAAAATGTAATTGCCCTCTTAACCGACAGTTAACAAATCCATTAAAAAGTTAACTGGCTACCATACCAAAAACAGAGAGAGAGAGAAATTGGAGTGAGAAGCATAAGATTTGGAAGAAGTCAGACTGCTTTGCCTCTCTATCCCTTCTGTTTATAAGAAAGGAATAGTTGTTAATGAAGATCAGACCAAGTTAGAAACCAACATCTCTTGTTTGCAGGGTCAAACAACTCATGGGCCTTTAAATATTTAAAAAACAAAACAAGTTGCACAATCAATGTTTTGCTTTAAGTAATCTACTTAAATAATCTCAGAGCTGTTTCAGATTTCATTCCTAGAAATAAAATGAAATCCAGAAACATAAATATTCATCAAACAGCTTGATATGTTTGTAACATATATATACACTAAGAAAAAATAAGCACACATACAGCTGTCTTCCTTTCAATGTTTTAAGATTATACGCACCTGAATGATTAAACTAGAAGTGTTATACATCTGTTTTGATAGAATATGAAATAAAATCTTTACATATCCTTCAAGCATTTGAGAATACTGATATAGAAATTAATAAAGAAAAGCTTCAATCTCCTCAAACATCAGTAAGTCATCATTTTAAAGGTGCTACATACTTTCCATGGAGAGTTAACAGGGGAGACAAGAAGGCTCTCTCGGACCATGGAAGCCAGTAGAATGAAAACAGAGCAAGGTGAATGAGAAACCCATGCTTGGCTCTTTTAACCACATTACTTATCACAATAATGAAATTCTATCAAAAGCAGTGGTCAGGACGATGTATTACATGGCCAAATCATGAAGCATTGTTACCATCAGTACCCAAAGGCCTCAAGATTCTGGCCACCTCACAGATCAGCTTAACATTTGTCCTACTTGGTTACTAATGCCTCTGCACGACAGCAACTATGTTTACAACATAGCAGTGCTCCTTTGTTCTAGATATACTGTCAGCATGCTTGCCATTTGAAGCAATATTTTTTAACTCATGAAGTTGACATCTTTGCTCAGTTTAGGTTTGTGGGCTGAGCCACAGGACCTTTCTTCCGGATGACCGAACACCATGCCTGTGGCTGGCCACATACGTATTTTAATCATTGTGTTCAAATAAAGCTGGGAGCACACAGATGGCTTGAGACCCGGGACCAGATGTGCCTCCTTACTCTGAAATCTCTGCTGCAGTCCTTCTCCCTTGGCTTTCAATATTAATCTTCATGCAAGTCTAACTTAGCTGTTTCAAAGATGCAAGAGTACAAAGGTGTCTTTCTCCTTTACCTTGTGCCCATCCACCTTTTAACCAAGGACTGACAGAGATGACTTCCTGCAGTGAAAGGGGGTTCAAAGTGCAAATTGCTTTCAGTGAGCTAGCATTACTTTTTTCTTTCTTTCTTTTTTCTTTTTTTTTTTTTTTTTTTTAAGACAGGGTCTCACTCTGTTGCCCAGGCTGGAGTGTAGTCTGCAAATGCGGCTCATTGTAGCTTCGACCTCCTGGGCTCAAGGGATCCTCCTGCCTCAGCTTCCCAAGTAGCTGAGGCATGACTACAGGCATGCGCCACCATGCCTGGCTAATTTTTAGAAGTTTTTTTTTTTTTGTAGAGGCCGGATGTGGTGCCTCATGCCTGTAATCCCAGCACTTTGGAATGCAGAGGTGGGTGGATCGCTTGAGCTCAGGATTTCGATACTAGCCTGAGCAACGTGGTGAAACCCCATCTCTGCCAAAAATACAAAAAATTCACCAGACTTGGTGGTGCGTGCCTGTGGTCCCAGCTATTCGGGAGGCTGAGGTGGAAGCATCGCTTGAGCCTGGGAAGCAGAGGTTGCTGTGAGCCGAGATTGTGCCACTGCATTCCAGCCTGGGGGACAGAATGGGAGCCAGTCTCAAAAAAAAATTTTTTTTTCTTTGCAGAGATGGGGTCTCACTCTGTTGCTCAGGCTTAGTATTTTAATTCACACTACAATATAAAGAATCCTTTCAGTGCCTGAAACGTTAATAGGTAGAATTTGTGCAGGCATTGTAAGAAGCGCTTCATAATTACCTCACTCACTAACCATCCCCAAGAAACTGTAATTATCCCCATTATATAGTTAGGGACAATGAGGTTTAGGGGAGGTTAAGTAACTTGTCCAAGGTTGATATAGGATAGAGCCCAGCCTCACTCATATGCTTATAATTCTTTATTTTACCACCTCTTTTACTGTTTCCCTAAATGCCACCATCTCCTGCCTCATCCTCTGTCCTGTGAGAATCATCTATGAGCTCCATTCAGAATCTTTTTACTTTACACTTCGCTCTAGAAGATCAATTTCTTTCCTTTATTTACAGGTTCTTAACCTAGGATCTAAGAAAGAACCTTTAGGAGAGGAGCCTTGGGAGAGACAAATGACTTGAAGTTGTTCATTTTCATGTGTATGAACAGAAGTGCATTTTTCAGGAAGAGGAGTTCCCACGGTTTTCATCAGGTTCTCAAGGAATCTGCGACTGCAAAATATTAAACCCGCGACTTGATTCAATTTTCAGGGCAGAGAGGTAAGAGAGAATAAATCTGCCTGGAAAGTGGATTCTTGGTGAAATCAAAGTAGCACAAGTACAATTCACCGTGAACTCCACAAATCTGTTCTGAATTTTTCTAGAGGATCTGTTGTCAAAGCTTTGCCTAGTGCCCTCAGTTTAGCTCTACACATCTCAGGTGTGATCAGGAGCATGTCAGGTATGATACAACCTGTGGCAGGTATGTGAGGAGTGGGGATGGTAGAGCACGTAGGGGTATTTTTGATGTTTCTTTGGAAAAGGGATCTTAATTTCAGACTTGACTGCGAGGGCTACAGTGCCCCTGAGGCTCCATCCTGCTCAGTAAGAAGTTGAGGGAAGTAGAAAAGATGGTGACAGTAATGGTAGAGAGTGTCTGTGAGCTACAGCCTCCTCAGATCTCTAAAGATGTATTCAATAGCCTCAGTGTTTATGATGCAGTTCACCTGGTCAAACAGGACAAAATTACACACAGCTCTCAGATGAGGCCAGACTATTTTGATCATCATTAGCATGTTACAAGAATTGAACATAAGTGAGATCTAATGAAATTTAAGGAAGGTATTCTGTGGTGGGTGAATAAGTAGGAATGATTTCAGAGAAAAACTATACTTTTCAAAACAAAAACACTCAAATGCAAGGAAAAGAAAGATCAATGACTAATGAAGGAAATCCTAGTTTTAACTACTATTCGGATTTTTATAGTTAAAATTGTTACCACTTGATCTTGTACTTTCTCATTGTTAGAAAGCACAGTTAAATTTATAAGAAAAATAATTTCCCTCCACCGGGCATGATGGCTCATGCCTGTAATCCCAGCTACTTGAGAGGCTGAGGCAGGAGGATCACTGGAGGTCAGGAGTTCAAGACCAGCCTGGGCAACAGGGTGAGCACCACCCCCTCAAAAAATAAATACACAAAAAATAATTTCTTTCTGAAAAATAGTGGCTGTTGTTCTGGGGGTGGCAATGGCAGAGAGGTGGAGAGTGGAATGAATTAGATGTGATGGTATTTTTTTCTACTTAAAGAAAAAGGACAGATCTAAGGTGGTTTAACACATGTAACTAAGGTCTGAAGGACCTGTACCCAAAATGTCAATAAACATTGCAGAACTTTACCAGAGGAGGCTATTTCTGGCAGCTGAGCTGGATCCAAGTTGCTAGTCCCAAGCAGAAGGAGATCAAATCAGGAGGAGCCAGTGTGTACAATTAAAATTCCTGGAAAAAAAGAAAGACAAAAAGGAACCAGGAGCCCATGTATGGGGTATCTTTTGTGCCTATCTGTAGGGCAGGCAACATGGAGCAGGAAGTTAAACTGAAAGGTAGATCTTGGTTACAAGCTGAAAAGAATCTCCAGGACTAAGCTAATGAAGATGTAACCACCCAGTGGGTTCATTTTGCTTGCTGCCCAGACAGAGCCCATTTATTAAGACAGGGGAATTGCAATAGAGAAAGAGTAATTCACTCAGAGCTAGCTAAAAAGAGACTGGAGTTTTATTATTACTCAAATCAGTCTCCTTGAAAATTTGGAAACTAGAGTTTTTCAAGGATAATTTGGAAGGTAGGGGACCTGGGAGTGGGGAAATGATGATTGGTTGGGTTGGAGACGAAATCACAGGGAAGCTGTCCTCTTGAACTGAATCAGTTCCTGGGTGGGGGTCACAAGGCCGGTTGTCAAGTTTGAGTGGAGTCATCTGCCATCAGAAATGCAAAAACCTGAAAAGATGTCTCAGGCCGGGTGTGGTGGCTCACGCCTGTAATCCCAGCACTTTAGGAGGCCGAGGCGGGTGGATCACAAGGTCAGGAGATCGAAACCACCCTGGCTAACATGGTGGAACCCCGTCTCTACAAAAAATTAGCTGGGCGTGCTGGTGGGCACCTGTAGTCCCAGCTACTCGGCAGGCTGAGGCAGGAGAATGGCGTGAACCCAGGAGGCAGAGCTTGCAGTGAGCCGAGATCGCACCACTGCACTCCATTCTGGGTGACAGAGTGAGACTCTGCCTCAAAAAAAAAAAAAAAGAAAAGACATCTCAAAAGGCCAACCTTAGGTTCTACAAATAGTGATGTTATCCACAGGAGTAATTGGGGAATTTGCAAATCTTGTGGCCTCTGGAATAATTGTTGGTAATTATTTCACTACACCTACATATTAGTAGAATTCAGGCCCCTCTTATCTTCTTAGCTTAGTGGACTTTCATTAGTTTTACAAGGGCAGTGTAGCTTGGGGGAAGGACTATTATCATTTAACTATAAACTGAATTTCTCCCAAAGTTAGCTTGGCCAATGCTCAGGAATGATGGAAGACAGCCAGGAGTTGAGGCTAGAAGCAAGATGGAGTCCGCCATGTCAGATTTCTCTTACTGTCATAATTTTGCAAAGGTGGTTTCAAAGATATGTAGCACATGAGAGATATTATACTACAAGTTACTTTTAAACCTTGGCTGGGGCAACAAGACAACAGGAAACTGTAGTTTTAGCCCTTGGTTATATATGGTTTACATTACCAAATTCTCTGTGCACACAAAAGTCATACAAACTCATGGTAAAATGTGTTTTCTAGTGTGTACAAAACTATACAGAATTATATAACCTCTGGATACAATCTGTAACCTAAAAGTCTACATGACTCTTCCCATAATCCAAGTAATTTTCCCAGAGGCAACCAGTGTTAATAATTTTATGTGATGGGTGAATTTATGAAATTGTGCACCACACACATACACATATGCACACGATTTTTTTTCAGATCCATGTATGTATCTTATGACTCAAAGTGTATCGCCGTCTCCTCACCTTTTCAATTCATAATAGATCTGCTTCATTCAACTAAAGGCTGCACATTATTTTGAAGTATCAAATACTGTAATTTATCCCATCCTATCTTTAGCAGAAACCTCTCAGAGGCCATTCATTCATTCATTGGATTTTGGACATCACTATCAACATGGCCCCATGTCAAACATCTGATTATGAAGATGTAAGTTACATATACTTTATGCTCAAGGCTTAAAATCAAACAAAGCAGATAAGATTTAATTGTATTAGTATAGTTGTGAAATGTAAGGCAGTTTAAAGCCACCTTAAATTCTTTCTGCTCTAAAGCAGAAAGTGTTAGTAGGAAAGGAGTAAATAAACAAATAAATAACCAATTTGCAGCACCAGATAAATGTTTCCTGGGGAGCGTAAACAAAGAGTCACAGGAGTTTAGAGGCACTGGAGCTGGTTTCCAGCGGGGCTTCCCTGCCCCTGCCCTGCAGCACCACCAGATCAATCTTCCTGCCACAGCGCTTTGATCATGTCACCGCTCTACTCAGAAAACTTCCATGACCCTCTGTGGCCTGGCGTCTTTTCCCATCTGCTATGGAAGGTATTTCATCCATGTTATTTCATCCATGACACTGTCCCATTAGAATTGTGACATGGTTGAAAGCCCTGGAGTTGTTATTACCAGACCTGTGTGTGAATTCTGCTTCTGTTACTTTTTAGCTGAGTGAGCTGGGGCAATCCTTGTAACTTTCCCAGATTTAGCTTCTTCATTTGTCAACTGTTGATATTGTCCATATCATGGGTTTGGCATAAAATTAAATGAGATAATATGGGTGAAAGTTCTTTGTTAACTGTAAAGTGTCTTGTGAGCACATGCACATATGATATACACCTTTACAAAGGCACTCAGTAATCACCTATTTATAAATATGGCTAGTGCTTTCCTGTAAAATATGCCTGTAAGTCATTATACACCGCCGCCCACCTTGGAGTGGGATATTTGTTTTGGGACTCTGAGGGATGAAAGGAATTTGAGAAGAAAATGGGAGAAAGGCATTTCAGTCTCACAGAGTGGCATGAGAATATGTTAAGAGGTTTTAAGGCCTACAGTGTATTTGGGGAACAGCAAATCATCTGCTTTGCTCAAGTGCAAGGTATACCCAGAGAAAAATCTGGAGCTCACCTTGGAAAGAACTGGAATCAAATGTGAAGGCTCCCAAAGGCTGGGCCAGGAGGTCTGCGCTCAGGCAATAGGAGTCATGGGAGGTTTTTGAGCAGAGAAATAATTTCTCAGTCTTCTAAGGGATGGATTGATAGGAAGATGGTTAGAGGTGAAGAGGGTGCCTGGGAGGCTGTGGCTAGGGCAGGTGTCAAAAGATCAGTTGCTGAGGCCACATTCTGACCAAGGAAATGGAAAGGCATAAAGATAAGTTAGTGAGATTGTTGTGAAATCATTGGCTGGATTTTTGTGTGTGTGTGTGGTCCATGACTGAACCCTGGGGAAGAGGAATAAAGACAGATCGAAGAGGTTTTAAGCTTGATGGTGATCTTGGGTTGGAGAAAATTAGCCTATTGAGGACCAGAGAACATGAAGGTGATGTGTGTGTGGGGTTATTTATTTGCCTGGGATGTGGTGGTAATGGAAGAGAAAATAGAAAATGTAGCCAGCAGTGATACCTGAACTAGCTAGGGAGGCAGCAGCCTAGGGGTGGGACAGTGCCTCCAGTTGCTCACAAACCTCACTGATTCCAAAGCTGGACTGAGACATTCTCTAGGAATACAAAGTGCACCCAGAAAATTAATAGTAAAAACTAGACTTGGGGAAAGTCTGAAATTTTTTTTTTTTTTTTTTTTTTTTTTTGAGATGGAGTCTTGCTCTCTCGCCCAGACTGGAGTGCAGTGGCGAGATCCCGGCTCACTGCAAGCTCTGCCTCCTGGGTTCACACCATTCTCCTGCCTCAGCCTCCCCAGTAGCTGGGACTACAGGCACCCGTCACCATGCCTGGCTAACATTTTTTGGTATTTTTAGTAGAGACGGGGTTTCACCGTGTTAGCCAGGATGGTCTCGATCTTCTGACCTCGTGATCCGCCCACCTTGGCCTCCCAAAGTGCTGGGATTACAGGCATGAAATCTTAAGGGAACAGTTTTCAATAACCCACTTATTGGAAACAACAGACTTGTTAATTATAATTTATTCTCAAATTCCTTTTCAATTCATGAGTTTCCTTCAAAGGATTTGGCTTAGTAACTTTGTTAGCCACGTTTCAATGACCATATAGCCTGAAAAGGGATCCAGATGTGTTTCTTTACAAATAGTCTTCAATTCATTTAACCAGTTCAAACTCACTTTGATTTCTAATATGTTTGAATAAATAAGGCTGTGCTGCAAAGCTAATCTGTTTCCTGAGGATTTGAGAAATAACTTGGAAATCAACTATAAAGCACTATTCTCAGGAAAAACCCAATACTTTGCAGCCAGATGTCTGTCAAGGCCCTATAACTGAGAAAAAGCCTTCACTGGAATTATTCACCAAAGGAAATAAGAATTTCTCCCAATTGTCAAAACTAATAAAAACTTCTTTATGTGGGTTTGCTCCATTTCATCTTATGATCTACTATTACCTATACTGAAAGCAGTAACAAAATATAGTTCACTGTAAAAATAAAAGTAATTTGAGTATAAATGAGAACTTGTAATGGAAATAGATTCTCACATAGGGACAATAACTGGCATCGGGAAACTCAGTGGTATAAATCCCAGACTTAAAAAATATACAATTTTATATTGTCTTATTTATTACAAATTTGTACACAGTTTAAGAGAAGTATTTTAAAGGACTTAGATTTTTGTTGCAACCTTTAAAGTTAAAATTATATCGTTGAACCTTCTTGAAAAGTTACCAAGATAATTATAAATAACAGTTCAAAAATCTTAATACATTATACAATTGGGAGTGGTTATTAGATTCAAAAGCAGCGAGCATCTGTTGAGGGTAGGAAAAGCACTTTGGAAAAAATCCCTCCACACATGTAATGGAGTGTCAAGAAATTGATAGTCTTTTTGACCGGTTCATTTTCTAGCACCCACGGAGACTAATACCTGTCTTTTTTTTTTTAAGAAAAAGGAAAAAAAAATGTTCTCTGTAGAAGCCTAGTGAGGCCTGCTGAGGATATAGAAACATTGGAATGAGTGTGTGGCAAACGAATAAGAGCCATAGAGGTCTCTATCCTTATTCCATATGGTCTGAAGTGAGTCTGATGGGATTTCAGATTGTGACCAGAGATAGCAGAGGACTGTCCAAAGCTCCTGAATGAAAACTTCAGACTTCTGAATCAAAACCTCAAATTCAGGTCAAGTTTGCTGAGAAGTTTTTGCTGAGGCTCATGAACCTCTCCGTGACCTGCCTCAAGTCCTACACTAGATAAGGGAACATTTCAAATAAACCTGAGATGAATTATGGCTTAAGGTGGAAATCAAGTGAAATCCAGTTTCATCTGTGTTTCAGTTTAAATTTAGAATGAGGATCCACATAAACCAGAAATGTGTGCCATCTCCCAGCCTCTCATGAACCTCACAGAAACAGAAAACACTAAAGCTAATGAATGGCAGCTCAAGGTAATGAGCTTTTTTTAACAGACATGCTTTCAATGTACACAAACATGTAAATCAGCAGCTACATTGCTTCATTGAAATGTAGGCTTCAGGATTCTGAACCTATGGGTATCTGACATAGTACCTCATCCTATCCTGAAATAATTGCTGGTAGCTTGGAACAAAGCTAAGCATGCTGGGTAGTTACTCTTTATAACCCTCTGGCTGGCAGGATGCACAGACTGTCATTGCATGGATAGAGAAATCAAGGGGGCCAAGATCATGTGTTACTGATTGTAAGGCCCAGGGTCACATAACCACATAGGGAATTTAAGCATGGTAAATGAGTAAAGGCTGCCTATTCCTTGGCCCTCACCCTGTCTGCCCTGCCTATGCTGTCTCTTTAAAAAAATGAAGATGATATGATTTTATAACCATTAACAATGTATTGAGTCCCCCAGAGAAGGAAGGACTAAATTTGGGGAGGAGACTGGCTGTTGGAAAGATAATTTCCCCTGGAGAGGCAAGAGAAGCCTTAGCTCTGGCACAGAAACGGGAGGGAAGCAGAGTAGGGGAAGGCCACCGTGGGGCAGAGGAAACTCAGAAGAGCTCAGTGAGCATCAGCCACTGTGTGTGTTGTATGTGCATGTACACAAGCGTGCATACGTGCATGTGTGCATAGCAAGTTTGAAGACAGGAAAGCTCCCACATTGCTGAGACAGAGATAGGGAGAGAATGAATTATAGCAGCTGTAACAACTGCCCTCAGTACAGTTCAGGAGTCACTTGAGATTTCGTTGTGGATGGAAAGGGAGTTGGAGGAAATTGGGGTTTCAGCAGTGGCACAACTGCTGGTCCCTGAAATCAGCCACAGATCCTTATTTCATTGCCCTCATGTCACATGTATGCTTAGCTTTTTACCCCCTCATGCTAAGTGGCTTGGCCAACACCCAGAGCCTATTTGCAATATGCACCCCTCTCTCCCACCTACCCAGTACTTTATGTTTCATTAAGACAAGATTTGTGAGAATTTGAACATGGGCAGGGCTAGAGACTAGCTTGTATGATTTAAGAATTACTGTATAATAAGGCTGTAGATCAAATGCTTACATGTGAAGGAAGTGTTAAGTATCGCAGAAATATAGACAAATATTTGATACTTTTATTAAATTCTTTCCTACTTGCAGATCTCTTAAGGCCTTTTTTTGAATAAAACAGTCTTGCCAATTCTAAATAGAATGTGTGCTTGAAAAACATGGAAATATTTTACCTGTTTGGAGATGACTCCTCACTTTACACTCTTTCTCCTCCCTTCTTTTCTTATGCCTTTCCCTTTCCTCTGCCCTAAATGAAGTTGTCCAATTTGGGAAGTTTTTTTTTCCTTGTTTCAATCCATAAAACATACTGCCGTTTGCTGACTTTTGGGTTTCATTTTGCATTCCTGTATAAATAATTAATTAAACCATGTCTCCAATGTATAAGAACTTCAATGAAATCAACAAATTGATCTTGCTTCAATATAAAGGTAGAGGCAGGTTCTCATATATCTATTTTCAGGTGGGTGGCTTAGATTCCCTTTCACTTTAGCGGAATACTCCTAATACTGTCTAATGTGTTCGAACTCTAGAGTGGGGAGACAAACAAAGGAACTTGATTTATCTTAAGGTAGGTTAATTTCTGTAAGAATGAATCATTATAAATTAGAAATGGATTGAAATAAAATGAAAACTGGGTGCTAATTTAAACATAGGCTCATGTTGCATGAGACAGCTGCTGAAGACCTTTAAATGGTCCAGCACGTCCCTTAAAAACATTGAGATCTGCCTACAAACACTGCCTGAGTCTTTGCAGAGCACTGTGTGGGTAATCTTGAGAAGACACTAACACTCAGGCTTGGAATAACCCCAGCCTTAATCCCTAGCCTTCTACCTCATTCCCACTATTTTCTTGTATTGGGCCATTCTCATATTGCCATAAAGAAATACCTGAGACTGGATAATTCATGAAGAAAAGAGGTTTAATTGGCTCATGGTTTTATAGGCTGTACAGGAAGCATCTTGCTGGCATCTTCTTGGCTTCTGGTGAGGCCTTAGGAAACTTACAATCATGGCGGAAGGTGAAGGGGGAACAAGAACATCACATGGTCAGAGCAGGAGCAAGGGAGAGAGGGGGAAGTGCCACACACTTTTAAATGACCAGATCTCACAGGAACTCACTTACTATCATGAGAATAGCACCAAGAGGGATGGTGCTGAACCATTCATGAGGGTTCTGCCCCATGATCCAGTAACCTCCTACCAGGCCCTACCTCCAACATTGGGGATTACGTTTCAATGAGATTTGGGAAGAGACACACACCTAAACTATATCATCCCTGCATGCAGTGGAAATTGAATAAAGGCTATATCGTCAATTCTAGAATGTGCTTCCTCTTTCCCATTTTAACTTCTCTGAAATTGTATAGTCAATGACATCTTCCAATCACTGTTGGGCAGGTGGAAGTCCTGACACAATTGTCATTGCTTCTGTTCACACAACCTGGAATTATGCTGATGCTCTGTAAGCATGACTGGATCACTGCAACCCTTCAACATTTTAGTCAGAAAACAGTTAAAAGATAATTTGAGGAAGAAATATAAATTCTGGCTTTTGTCTGAAAACCTTCCCTTGAGGTCTGGTGGGATCAAGGAATTACAGCATTTGCAGAAACAGATGGCTAGGAGTTGAAAGACATTCCCACAGAAAACAGTGGAGCACTATTGTGCTGCAAATACAACATTTTTGATAGCACAGAGAACAATATTGTGTGGGTTGAAAATCCTGAATCAGGAGTGACGCCACCAACATGGTGCAATAGAAGCTCCTGACTCTCCTACCACCCATAGATCCATCAAATAAACATCCATTCACAGATAAATTCCCTCTGAGAGAAAATCAGAGACCAACTGAGAGACTCCTACCCACCATGCAACTAAGGAAACATCCACACTGAAGGGGTAGGAAAAGCTGAGGCACACTTAGGCATGAACCCCACACCAGCCGGGCTCTGCTCCATAAATTGGGAAAGAAATCTCAAACAACCAGTTTCCCTCCGAGGAAAGGAGGATCTGGACCTCACATACAGGACTGTAATGCTGTTTCCCCACAGTTTGACTCAATTCACCAACTATGGGAGTGGAAGGGATTAGACACGTGCTAGTTCTCTCTAGACTACATGAAAAAAAGTGGTGGTTTTATAAGAGTGAGTCTGCTCTTCCAAGGACTACATCCCTCTGGGAGCAGTGCAGAGTAGGAGCTTAAAAAACCATAGCCCTCACTGGGCACAGTGGCTCACACCTGTAATCCCAGCACTTTGGGAGGCTGAGGCAGGTGGATCACTCAAGGTCAGGAGTTTGAGACCTGCCTGACCAACATGGTGAAACCCCATCTCTACTAAAAATATAAAAGCTGGCCGGGCGTGGTGGTGCATGCCTATAGTCCCAGCTACTCGGGAGGCTGAGGCAGAAGAATCCCTTTAACCTCAGAGGCGGAGGTTGCAGTGAGCCGAGATTGAGCCACTGCCCTCCAGCCTGGACGATAGAGCGAGACTCTGTCTCAAAACAAAAAAACAAACCATAGCCCTCTGTTTCAGCCTAGAAGGGGTATAAAAAACATTTCTTTATAAAAAGTATTTCTCTAGTGGCTGTATAGTGACCTGGCTTCTAACTAACTTGCATCAGGGAGTTAAACAGACAGTCAATTTTTTTTTTCTTTTTTTGAGACAGGTTCTTTCTCTGTCGCCCAAGCTGGAGTGCAGTGGTACAATCTGGGCCCACTGCAGCCTCAACTTCCTGGGCTCATGCGATTCCCCTGCCTTGGCTTCTCAAGTAGCTGGGACCATAGGCACACACTACCACACTGCTAAATTTTTTTTATTTTCAGTAGAGACGAGGAGGTCTTGCTATGTTGCCCAGGCTGGTCTTGAACTCCTGTGCTCAAGCAATCCTCCAGCTTTGGCCTCTCAAAGTGCTGGGATTACAGGCGTGAGCCACCCCTTCTAGCCTTAGACAGTCAATTTTTAACCCACCACCAGTCTGGGAGGAGTTTTGCACTCACCCCAAGGACCCTAACTCTTACAATATCCACTTAAGGGACTGCATTCTAAATCTCTTAGCTCAGGGAGCTGAACGACTGGCATACACGTGTTTTTCTAAACTGCAGGGGGAAAATAAAAGGTTGTTTTATATGGGCATGCAAGCTCTTTAAAGGATTCCACACCCCTGGGAATAATGCCATTAAGGAACTTAAAAACACAGCCATTTCCCTCTGGAAGGGGTTTATGAAACACCCCTCCAGAGGCTGCTTGGTGGTCTGACTTCTAACTTGTATTGGGGAGTTAAATGGATAGTTAGTTATTAACCTGCTGTCAGCCTGGGAAAAATGTGCACTCACACTGAGATCCCTAACTTTTATACTATCCACCTAAGAAATGGCATCCTAAATCTCCAAACTGAAAGAAGAGACTGGCATACACATCTCTCCAGACTGCAGGGAAAAAGTCACATTTTAAAATGGGAGTACAATCACTTCCAGCGTCTTTATCCCCCTAGAGTGGTACAGAGAAAGGGCTTTAAAAACTCAACCCGGGTCAGGTGCAGTGGCTCACGCCTGTAATCCCAGCACTTTGGGAGGCCGAGGCGGGTGGATCACTTGAGGTCAGGAGTTAGAGACCAGCATGGCCAACATAGTAAAACTTCGTCTCTACCAAAAATATAAAAATTAGCTGGGCTTGGTGGCGCATGCCTATAGTTCCAGCTGCTCTGGAGGCTAAGGCAGGAGAATTGCTTGAATCTGGGAGGCAGAGGTTGCAGTGAGCTGAGATCACACCACTGCACTCCAGTCTGGGTGAGAATAAGACCCTGTCTCAAAAAATAAATAATAAATAATAAATAATAAATTAAAAAATAAATAAAACTCTGTCCCATGCAGTGTCTCACGCCTGTAATCCCAGCATTTTGGGAGCTGAGGTGGGCGGATCACCTGAGGTCAGGAGTTTGAGACCAGCCTAACCAACATGGTGAAACCCCATCTCTACTAAAAATACAAAAATTAGCCGGGCGTGCTGGCTCATTCCTGTAATCCCAGCTACTTGGGAGGCTGAGGCAGGAGAATCACTTGAATGGGGGAGGCAGAGTTGCAGTGAGCCTAGATTGTGCCACTGCCCTCCAGCCTGGGCGACAGAGCAAGACTCCGACTCAAAAAAATAAAAAATAAATAAATAAATAAATACAACGCAACCCCTTGTTTCTCTCCAGAAGGGATTTAAGACACACATCAAAAGCCCCAATAGTTTTTTTTTTGTCTTTATTTTTTCTTCCTTTTTGTGGAGAATGGGGTCTCACTATATTGCCCAGGCAGGTCTCGAACTCCTGGGCTCAAGCTATCCTCCCACCTCTGCCTCCCTGAGAGCTGGGATTATAGGCATGAACCACCGCACCTGGCAAAAGCCCCAATTGTTAAGCTACCTCCTGAAAGACTCCTTCTTAAACCTAGTAAATATGGGAACAGAAGGGACTAGTCATATCCAAGTCTCCCTTGATCACAGAACAAACCAATGGTTTTAAACAGGTGTCCAACCACTTCTAGAGGTTATACTCCTTTGGAACAGTGCAGAAAAAGGTTCAGAATGTGCAGCTCTAACTTTCTCTCTGGAAGGAATGTGTAACACACATTCCCAGTGGCTACTTGGTCAACTGGTCTCCAGTGAACATGCATCAGGGAGCTAATGGATCAAACAAACAACAACCCTTTAGTAGCCAGAGCCAGAGCTTGATATTTCACAAGACCTCCCCTGGCTCACCCCAGAGATAAATCTGTGCCTGTATATTCTTCCTAGAAAGAGTTCAACCATGCACCAAATCTCACAACTCCCACAGCTCCCATCTAAGAGACTGTCTGCTTAACAACCTAGCCATGGAAATTGAGAGTGCTTTGTAATTTTGAGTGACTCAAGATTATAGAAATCAAACAGGTAGATGTATAACAGGCACACTCCTAGCAGCTATCCCTCCAGGATCAGAAGGTGCAGCCTGAATTGTGAGTACAGCATTTTCCACAGATCCTCTTCCCAGCTTAATGCAGAGAGATAAACACCTTCACCCAGCCCCATCATGAAGATAGAAAGAACTGAAAGACACATCCAACACACCAACCTTTTCAGCTACAACTAAAAAGCCTGGCTTCTATCATACTAGTCTCAGGGTACTGATGACTTGGCATATCCTAAGCTCTAGAAGCCACCAAAAACAGAGATAGCACCCTGGACAAACACAGATTTGAGAGGCACCTTAAAAAACTTTGACTGCGGCCGGGTACAGTGGCTCATGCCTGTAATCCCAGCACTTTGGGAGGCCGAGGTGGGTGGATCACGAGGTCAAGAGATCGAGACCACCCTGGCCAACATGGTGAAACCCTGTCTTTACTAAAAAAAATACAAAAATTAGCTAATTAGCTGGGTGTGGTGGCACGCACCTGTAGTCCCAGCTACTCGGGAGGCTGAGGCAGAAGAACCCAGGAGGCTGAGGTTGCAGTGAGCCTAGATTGTGCCACTGCACTCCAGCCTGGTGACAGGGCGAGACTCCATCTCAAAAAAAAAAAAAATCTTTGGCTGCATATATTGGTGAAAACCTTCTACACAAGGCTAGTCTAACAAGGTGAAGAGAGGTAGTTATCTTATTTAATGTACAGAAACTAACACAGAGAGTCAAGAAAAATGAAGAAATGGGGGAATATATTCCAAACAAAAGAATAAAATAAACCTCCAGAAACTGACTCAAATTAAATGAAATTCTGTGATTTAACTAACAGGAAATTAAAGATAATAGTCATAAAGATGCTAAAGGAGGTCAAGACAGCAATGCAAGAATAAGCTGAGACCTTCAACAAAAACAGTACCAAAAGAAAACAGTAGATATGAAGAATGCTATAACTAAACTGAAAAAGTTGGCAGAGGAGTCCAACAATAGTCTAGATCAAGCAGAAGAAAGGGTCCTTTATTTTAAGACATATCTCTAGAAATCCCCCATTCTGAGGAGAAAAACAATGGAAAAAACATGAATATAGCTTAAGAGACTTACGAGAAACTATCATACGGAACAACTTACACGGTATTGACATGCCAGAAGGAAGAAAAAGAGAGGAAAGGACAGAAAATATAATCAAAGAAATAATGGCGGAAAACTTCTCAAGTCTGGAAAAGTAATTAGGAAACCACATTTAGGAAGCTGAAAGCACACCAAGTAAGATCCCAAAGAGACTCACACCACTATACATCATAGTCAAATTGTCAAAAGTTAAAGACAAAGAGGGAATATTGAAAGCAGAAAGAGAAAAGTAAATTGTCACATATAGGGGAATTCTCATAAGACTATCCGCATCCTTCTCAGCAGAAGCCTTGCAATGTAGAAGGGAGTAGGAGCATATATTCAAAATCCTGAAAGAAAAAGCCTTCAACCAAGAATACTATACCCAGCAATGCTGTCTTTCAAAAATACAGGGGTGAAAAAGACTTTCTTAGACAAACAATAGCTGAGAGAATTTATCACCACAGGACCTGTATTATAAAACATTCTAAAGGAAGTTCTCTAAGCAGAAGGAAGAGGATGCTAATGAGTCACATAAAAATATGTGAAATTATACAACTCACTCAAATTCAAAACACTCTGATACTGCAACAATGGTGGCTAAATCAATAATATCTCAGTATAAAGGTCAAAAGGCAAAACTATTAAAAAATAACTAAAGCTACAGCAATTTTCTAAGGGATACATATTTTAAAAATATAGAAACTATGACATTAAAAACATAAAACATGGGAGGAAGGGAAGTAAAAGTAGAGTGTGTATGCAATCAAAATTTAGCTATTATCTGCTTAAATTAACCTGTTATAAGATATTTTACGTGAGCCTCAGGGTAACTACAAAGCAAAAACAAGCCTAAAATTGATACATGAAAGATATAAAGAAAAGAACCAAGGCATACCACTAACAAAGATATCAAACCATAAATAAAGCAAGCAAGAGAGGGAGAAAGGAACAAAGAATCAACAAAACAAATAGAGACAACTAACGAAATGATAGGATTGAGCACATACCTATCAGTAATTACCTTGAATATAAATTGATTAAATTTTCTAATGAAAAGATATAGAGTGGCTGAATAAATAAAAAAAACAAGACCCAACTCTATGCTACCTACAAAAGACTTACCTTACCGTAAGGACACACATAGACTGAAAATGAAAGGATGGAAAAAAATATTTCATGAAAATGGAAATCAAAAGAGAGCAGGAGTAACTATACTTACATCAGATAAAACAGACTTTAAGTCAAAAACTGTAAAAAGAGACAAGATAATTCTATAACGGTAAAGAAGACTATTCAGCAAGAGGATATAATGATTATAAATATATATGCACCCAAAACTAGAGTATCTAAATTTATAAAGCAACTATTAGTACATCAAAAGAAAAAGATATACTGCCATATATTAATAGTAGGGGACTTCAAAACTCTACATTCAGCAATGGACAGATTATCCAATCAGAAAATCAACACAGAAACCTCAGAGTTAAACTAAATTCTAGACTAAATAGACCTAACATTTATAGAACATTTCATCCAACAGTTGCAGAATACACCTTCTTCTCATCAGCAAATGGACCATTTTCTAAAATAAACCATCTGTTAGGCTAAAAATAAGTCTCAATAACTGTTTTATTCTTTTCTTAGAGGTGAGGTCTTGCTATGTTGCTTAGGCTGACCTCAAAACTCCAGGGCTCAATCTATCCTCCTGCCACAGTCTCCGGTAGTCTGCCGTAGCTGGGAGGACAGGTACATGCCAGCACATCTGGCTTTCAATACGTTTAAAAAAAATCAAAATAATATAAAATATCTTTTTTTTCACTACAATGGAATAAAACTAGAGATCAATAACAAGAGGAACTTTGGAAACTGTATAAATACATGGAAATGTAACAACATGCTCCTAAATGATCAATGGGTCAATGAAGACATTTAGAAGAAAATTAACCCTTTTCCCATTTGTGGGGAGAATTCTTGCCCATCGCACTTGCAGTTGCATTGTTTACCCCAAGATAACGCTGCCACAAAATATCTCACTTTTATTATTATTTTCACATATATCAACTTTGGAAACAAAGTCATTATTCTATTTATAGCATTCTGTTTTTAGTAGTGGTTTTACATTTACAAAATATAGTGGTTCTCAATCACTGAAAATGTCAAATCCTAGGAAACGTAGCATTCCTATGTGATGCTAACATAGTTCTTGAACAGTTGTTGGCCAAAGATTCATTTGATGAATCCAAGTTTTTGAAAATAGATGATTCTGATGATCCTGACGATTCTGATGTTAGTTCTGTTTAGAAATAACTCTAAGAACAGTTTTTACATTTTATTTTTACATTGAAAAATCAGTCAAATTTGCTTTGGCCTCAAAGAGCATGTTTATGTAAAATTAAATGAATGCTAGCCGTGAGCTGCACTTTTTTTTTTTTCTAAACGGGAAAAGGGTTAAAATTTTTGAAACAAATGAAAATGGAAACACAATATACCAAAATCTATGGGATACAGCAAAAGCAGTATTAAGATGGAAGTTTATACCAAAAACTGCCTACACCAAAAAAATAAATAAATAAATAAATAAATAAATAAATAAATAAAAAAGATTTCAAAAAACCTAACAATGCACCTCAGGGAACTAGAAAAGCAAGAACAAACCAAGAAAAAAGCATTTGATAAAATTCAACATTCTTTCATAAAAAAACTTTCAACAAATTAGGTATAGAAGAAATGTAACAACGACGCCACATGTGACAATGCACATTAACATCATACCGAATGGGGGAAAGTTGAAAGAATTTCTTCTAAGACATGGAACAAGATTAGGATGCCCACTTTCACCACTGTTATTCAACATAATACTGAAAGTCCTAGCCAGAGCAATTAAGCAAGAGAAAGAAATTAAAGGCATCCAAATTGGAAAGGAGGAAGGCAGATTGTCCCTGTTTGCAAACAGCAAGATCTTATATTTAGAAAAACTTAAAGACTCCACTGAAAAACTGTTAGAACTGATAGATTCAGAAAAGTTGCAGGATACAAAATCTACAAAATCAACATACAAATGCGGTAGTTTTTTTTTTTTTCTGTGTGTGTCTGTGTGTAGTGTGTGTGGGTGTGTGTGTGACTGAGTTTTGCTCTTGTTGCCCAGGCTGGAGTGCAACGGCGCGATCTCGGCTCACCACAACCTCTGCCTCCCAGGTTCAAGCTATTCTCCTGCCTCAGCCTCCCGAGTAGCTGGGACTACAGGCATGTGCCACCACACCCGGCTAATTTTGTATTTTTAGTAGAGACAGGGTTTCGCCATGTTGGTCAGGCAGGTCTCAAACTCCCGACCTCAGGTGATCCGCCCACCTTGGCCTCCCAAAGTGCTGGGATTACAGGCATGAGCCACTGTGCCTGGCCCAAATGCAGTAGTGTTTCTATACACCAATAGCAAATAATCTGAAAAAGAAATCAAGAAAACAATCCCATTTACAGTAGCTACAAAAAACAGTACCTAGGAATAATTTTAACCAAGGAGATGAAAGATCTCTACAATGAAAACTATAGTACATTAGTGAAATAAATTGAAGAGAATGCACATACACACACACACACACACACACACACACACACACACAATGGAAAGATATCCATGTTCATGGATTTAAAGAATTAATATCCTTAAAATGTTGACACTACTGAAAGTGATCTACAGATTTAATGCTATTCATGTCAAAATACCAATGACATTCTTCACTGAAATAGAAAAAGCAAGCTTAAAATTTATGCAGAACCAAAAAGACCCTGAATAGCCAAAGCAGTCCTGAACAAACAGAAAAAAAGTGGAGGCATCAAACGGTCTGACTTCAAAATATACCACAAAGCTGCAGTAACCAAAACAGACACATAGAGAAAAGGAACAAAATAGAGAACCCAGAAATAAATCCATGTATTTACAGCCAAGTGATTTTTGACAAAGGTGCCAAGAACACACAATGTGGTAAAAAATATCTCTTCAATAAATGATGCTGGGAAAACTGAATCTTCTTATGCACAAGAAGGAAACTAGACCATTTTCTTTTACCATATATAAAAATCAACTCAAAATGTATTAAAGACTTCAATGTAAGGCTTGAAACTATAAAACTACTAGAAGAAAATTTAGAGTTAAATTAGTCAGGACATTGGTCTAGGCAAAGATTTTTCTGGATTAGACCTCAAAAGTACAGGCAAAAAACACCCAAAAATAGACAAATGGGATAAATGGGATTATATCAAACTAAAAATCTTCTACACAGCAAAGGAAACAATCAATAGAGTGAAGAGATAACCTACAGAATTGGATAAACTATTTGCAAACTATCCATCCAACAAAGGATTCATATCCAGAATATAGAAAGACCTTAAACAACTCAATAGCAAAGAAATATATATATATATATATATATTTGAGAAATATCTATTCAGATCATTAACCCATTTGAAAATAATGTGGTAGTTGTATTTTTAGTTTTTTGAGGAAACTTCCTAATAAAAAATCTATTTTAAAATGGGCAAATGATCTAAATAGATATTTCTCAAAAAAAGACCATAGATAAAAGACAATATCCAAAAGACATATCCAAAAGACAATAAATGACCAATGTTGGTAAGAATTGGAAGAAAGAGGAATTCTTATACACTGTTGGTGGGAATGTAAATTGGTACAGCCATTATGGAAAACAGTATGAAGTTTCCTCAATAAACTAAAAATAGAACTACCATATGATCCAGCAATCCCACTACTGAGTGTTTATCCAAAGGAAAGGAAATTAGTATGTTGAAGAGATATCTCCACTCCCATGTTAATTGCATCACTATTCACAATAGCCAAGATATGGAATCAACCTACATGTCCATCAATGGATGAATGGATAAAGAAAATATGGTATATATACACAATGGAATATTATTCAACCATAAAAGTATGAAATCCTGTCATTTGTGGTGATATGGATGAGACTGGAAGACATTATATCAAGTGAAAGAAGCCAAGATCAGAAAGACAAATACCACATGTTGTCACTAATATGTGGGAGATTAAAAAGTTGATCTCATAAAATTAGAAAGTACAAGGCCTGGCACAGTGGCCCATGCCTGTAATCCCAGCACTTTGGGAGGCTGAGGTGGGCAGATCAGGAGGTCAGGAGTTCGAGACCAACCTGGCCAATATGGAGAAACCCTGTCTCTACTAAAAAAATACAAAAATTAGCCAGGCATGGTGGTGCACACCTGTAATCCCAGCTACTTGGGAGGCTGAGGCAGGAGAATCGCTGGAACCCAGGAGGCAGAGGTTGCAGTGAACTGAGATAGCGCCACTGCACTTCAGCCTGGGTGACAAAGTGAGACTCCGTCTCAAAAAAAGAAAAAAAAAAAGTAGAGAGTAGAGAGTAAAATAGTGGTTACCAAAGGCTGGGAAGGGTAGATGGGAGGATTGAGAAAGAGGTTAGTTAACAGGTACTAACATTATAGTTAGGTAGGAAGTTATACCTTAGGTAGTTAGGTAGGAAGAATAAGTTCTACTGTACTGTGGCACAGCAGGGTGACTATAGTTAATAATAAGGTATATCTCAGAATAGCTAAAAGAGAGGATGTTTAATTGTTCCTGATATAAAGTAATGACAAATGTTTGGGGTGATGGATATGCTGATTCCCCCAAACTGATCTTTATCCATCATACTGATGTATTAAAATATCACTTATACTTCACATTTATGCACAATTATTATGTGTCAGTTTAAAAATCTGAATAAAAAATGACTAGGAAGAGTTAAATTATGAATAAAATAGCTTTAGGAATAGCTTAGTCTATTTATTTTGTTTGTATTTCCCTTTTTACCTATGTACAAGAGTGATACATGATAAAGAAATATCTATGTCTCAGTAAGCTTAAAGGAATTCTTTCACTAAGTACAAAATAAAAATTCTAAGTTAAAAAAAGCCTTGTGTCATTTAATTGGCATACTTTTCTCTTTTTATTATATCTATGGATGAGTCTTATAAGCAGCATTATCTTGGGCTTGATAAAATACAATCACAGTTGCACTCTTTGCAGAGGGGAAGAAAAAAGGAGAGGGAGTAAATAAAGATTGAGAGAGCAAGAAAGGAGAGATTTTTCTATGACTTTTCTGCTTGCCGCTATTTAGAAGTTCACAGCTGAAACTAGCCAATGGTTGTATCTAAAAATAGCAGAATAGTACATTACATGGTATAATAATTAAAACCAATGTGAGAAACATCTTCAAAGTAAGAAAATATAAGTAGAAGGCAAACGAATGATATTTATTTTATGACCTTTTAGTTGACTGCTACCATTTGGTGTTCCTGCAATGTGTTTCTTGGCAATTTGCAAGTGTGGGCTAATGAACATTTGAAACTGATGCTGATGGTTGTTTTTTCCACTTACGCTTTCCATTCTTACGAAAACCTAAGCCAACCAGTGCCTCTTTAAAGACTGAGTCAAGCTACTGAATGTTGGGAAATAACTGTAGTCCTCTGCTTCTGCCACTAGACAGTGTTCTCTCTCTATGTTCAATGCACTGACAATACTGTACTTCCTTAAATCAGAGAAACTGGCTATTCATTAGAAGAGGTAGCCCTTTAAATAACTGTAAACACTATACATAAATGGACTAGCTAATATTTACTACAGATCCTATCTATGTTGTTGTCAGTGTTTTAAGTGCTTGTCTCCCCTGGATTTGTTCCAAGAGTAAGAGAGAGGAGATTCCCAGGAGGAACATTGCATTCTATGGCAAACTATTTTTTCTTGGGAAATGAATGATCTAAATTGAATGAATTTATTGACTGTTTAAACTGTAGGCATTAGCTCCCCAACTCACATCACAGAAATCTGAAAGCAGAACTCTTGTTTCCTGGGAGGATGGAAAAACAGAACAGAAATGGAGCTTATACATTTTTTTTTTTTTTAGATGGAATCTGGCTCTGTTGCCCAGGCTGAAGTGCATTGGCACAATCTCTGCTCACTGCAACCTCCGCCTCCCGGGTTCAAGCAATTCTCCTGTCTCAGCTTCCCGAATAGCTGGGACTACAGGTATGTGCCACCAAGCCTCGCTAATTTTTGTATTTTTAGTAGAGATGTGGTTTCACCATGTTGGCCAGGCTGGTCTCGAACTCCTGACCTCATGATCCGCCCACCTCAGCCTCCCAAAATAGTGGGATTATAGGCGTTAGCCACCACGCCCGGCCACTTATAGATTTTTTTTAAGCAAACAATTGACACATAAGCAAACAATTGACACACAGTTATAAATAGAGGTAGTGAGGTGTAGTGAACAGAACAAGGCTTTGATGTCAGACCTGGGTCAGCACCAAAATTGTGTGGTCTTGGGCAACTTACCTAAACCCTCAGTCTTAGTTACCTAATCTGTTTGTTGTGTGGGAAGATTGCATGAGATAATTAATTATTGGTTCATAGTAGAAGCTCAGTAAATATTCATCTCTTTGGAAGACAGTGACTATTGGTATCATTAATTTTATAAACTACCTGTCCTTAAAATGTGTGATGTTATAAATAATGCTGCAATGAACATCTTTGTGCACAAATTTTTGTCAAATTCTTCACTTTTTTTTCTTAGAATTTGTTCTTGAAACTTTTCCATGAAATCACAAGGTCAAGGGTGTAAACACTCTCTTTTGTTTTGTTTTGTTTTGTTTTGTTTTGTTTAGACAGAGTCTGCTCTGTTGCCCAGGCTGGAGTGTAGTGGCATGATTTAGGCTCACTGAAAGCTCTGCCTTCTGGGTTCAAACAATTCTCCCTGCCTCAGCCTCCCACATAGCTGGGATTACAGGCATGTGCCACCACACCTGGCTAATTTTTTTATTTAGTAGAGACGGGGTTTCACCATGTTGGCCAGGCTGGTCTCGAACTCCTGACCTCAAGTGATTCCCCTGCCTTGGCCTTTCAAAGTGCTGGGATTACAAGTGTGAGCCACCACGCCCGGCCTGGATATAAACATTTTTTTTCAAATTTTAATACATTAAAGCCTTTCGAGAAAGGTTGCATCCTTTCATTGAATAAGAGAATATCTTTCTCATCTATGCCTCATAGGCATTATGTTTAATTTTGCTTGCTTGATAGTCAGTACCTTTTATTTTAATTTTGCTTTAATTAGTCCTTTTAGATTACTAATGAAATTGACCTTTATTATTCCTTAATAATTTGTATTATGATTTTTCATAAAATATTAATTTGTGGTATTTATTTCTTATTATGTTTTTACACATATTAAGTGTAAAACTTATTAAGTTTTTACACTGATTATGAATCAACTACATCTTCCATTGATCTCTTTCTAATCTTGTATTAATGTCATATTATTTTAATTATCACAGCTTTATGTTTGAGTACAGTTTTAAAAGCCTTAAGTCAGCCGGGCGCAGTGGATCACGCCTGTAATCCCAGCACGTTGGGAGGCCGAGGCGGGCGGATCACAAGGTCAGGAGATCTAGACCATCCTGGCTAACATGGTGAAACCCTGTCTCTACTAAAAATACAAAAAAATTAGCCGGGTGTGGTTGCGGGCGCCTGTAGTCCCAGCTACTCAGGAGGCTGAGGCAGGAGGATGGCGTGAACCCGGGAGGTGGAGCTTGCAGTGAGCCGAGATCGTGCCACTGCACTCCAGCCTGGGCGTCAGAGTGAGACTCTGTCTCAAAAAAAAAAAAAAAAACCTTAAATCACTGAGTGCTCAAAAATAGCAAGGCATCATAGGATTCTGGGGAGAAAGCATCAAGAGAAAAAAGAATTAGTGACACCAACACAAAGATAAAATGTTGGGAAGCCTCAATAAACTTCTCCATGGCTTGCATAAACCTGGAAGTAAGATTTGAAAACCTTCTTAAATCCATTATGGATCACGATAGAGAAAGAAAGACAGATGGAGAGAAAGATAGTTTTTTCTCTATGTCCTGATCAGCTATAATGACCAGATGCCAGATGACAAGTGGATCCCATTGTATATACATTCATTGTGATTTTTTATTCACCTGCAAATCTGATCATGTCACTGCTGTTTGGAACTTTTCAGTCATCTACCATTAGATGAAGAGTAAAATCTAAATGTGATTTACAAAGCACTGAATGACTTGGATCCTGCTTGTCTATCTAGTCTTGTCTCCCTCCAAGCCTCTGCCCAGGAGAGGAGAGGACCTGGATTTCCCTTGGTCTCCATGCCCACCCCTGCTCTAGTGCCTCTGTAGCTCTGGCTGCGGCCTCACTCACCCTTTTTCCATTCTCTTGATTTTTTTTGTCCAACAAATCCCCATAGTCCTTCAAGTTTCAGTTCAAATAGAAACTTCTTAATCAAGTCATCCCAGGCTCTCCTAGGTGTTCTGTTTCATACTGTCTACATCCCTCCATCATAGACAGCAATTGTTTCATTTCAAGTGTGTGTACTCCAGAGAGGGAAGGACCAGGTTGTTTCATCTTTGAATCTCTGGCATCTAGCATGGTTCCTGGCACAGAGTCAATGATTAATAAAAGGTTTATAAATAAATAATGAGGCAAGAATTAGATCTCAGATGCAATGTAACATGTATAACCACATTTTCCCCTGCCCTGAGGAATACTCCAGGGTTAGAAAGCAAACACAACATGGCAAACATTTCCCAATATAATCTTTTACTTTCTTTTCATTTGTTCTTTGCTACTGCAAGAAGGGCATATTTGAAGATTTTTCTTCACCTATCTTCACACATCTTATTGATGTGAAATAATCATAAAGCTCTTTTTGTAGAGGAAGTATATGGCTGGGATAAACATGGCAAATCCAAAGAAGACCAGAGATATATCCCTGAACAAGCACCACAATCATCCAAAAAAGAGAACTCTCACAAATCCACCCATTCATCAAAAACACAAGTAAGACAAAAACTATCAGTACTCTCTAACCACAGAACTAAATTATAAACTTCCAGCTGCCAAGCATCACTTCAGATAATCCTCTTCTTTCTGGCCTTTCTGAAGCTTTTACACACATCTCAATTTTCGTGCTAAAAAATAAGGTATATCTGAAGTCTATAGCTGAGTATCAACCCCCACTGGCCTCAAAGTCCAGTGGTTCTGGGGAGAATCCCTGGGAAGTGGGCTAGACAGGAAGCAGAGCTACCTCTCACTTCCACAAGTTGTAATAGCCTTCTAGATCATGTCTGTGGTCAATGACTGGCCAGAACTGGCCAGCCTCCAACAGGCTTGTTTAGACTACTTGATGAGTTGACACAAGGAACGACTCTTTCCAGTGCTATTAGTGTCTGAACATTAACAAGCAATAGTGTTCAGTGAGACTATTAAAGAGAAAAGGCATTTTAATCTTTGTTTTGGAAGTGAGCCCTCCAAACAAACCCGTGGTGAGGGAGCCCTTGTGAGCCAGTTTCTGGATGGCAGCAGAGGATGGCAGGGCTTGGGCTGAGTCATCATAGGGATACTCTGCTCATAGCCAGAATAACTGGGAGGGACAGCAGGGAAGGGACACCCCCATTCCATACCCTTAGAGAAAGAAAATGCTAAGTACACCATGTGATGAATTTTCAGCACTCTGTCAGCAATACTATACATTTAAATTCCAAGCAAATGGTTTGCAAAGGACTCCCTTACCATCACTAACTGCAAAGTAAACAAATCTCAAGGAGAGAGGGTTTCTCACCTTACAAAACGTCCATTGGAATTTAGAGACTGCAGGATGGTCTGGCAGAATTTAGAATTATGGTTCTGGGAACTGGTGCGGTTCCCAGGTATGTCACTCTGTCAATGACAATCTCAATGGAAAGTGTAGAGACAGTGGCAAGAATGTGACATATGAGGCTGGATCTGTCATCAAGAGTGACCATTCCAAGCCAAAACAAAGGCAAGTGGTTCACACACAAAGAAGAAATGTGTGTTCATCATTGTTTCTCTTCTCTTGTTTTGTTTTGTTTTTGTCAACAAACATGAAAACAGATAATCATAAAACTTACAGTTTAGAAAGTTCTTAGAAATCTTTTGCTCAAAGATCCATCTCTTTTACATATTATTAAGTTGTGGTTGGGGGTGGGCGGCAGATAATGAAGGCTCCAATTGTAGTTTTCAACATATAGCAATAACTGTCTAAGTTTTTTCCCTGAGGAGTTATAAACCAGACTGAGGAAAGTTAAATCTCTCAGCATTCATGAGCATGAATCAAGAATAGTTGGTAGGGCCAACTTACCAAATCAAGTACATACTGAGTTTATGGAGTATGCAACAGTGTTTATTGTTAATCATTCTTCTGCACTGTTTGCAAAAAGCAAGAAATTTTTGAATGTTCCACAAAATCTGTTTTCTTCTAACTATTCAGCTAACTGGGTCCATCATTAATTTGATTTACATAGCAGAGGCTGAAATGAAAAGCAAAGTTTTAAGTACAGTCTATCACCCACATTTAATAAAAATGTTTTAAAATGGGAGTGAGTGACAAATAAGTAAAACTATCATATATTCAAGTTAAAGAGGAAGGGAAATTGGACCTGCCTGTCCTTTCATCCTCCCCATCTACTACTGAGAACGATATAAATAGTGGATTGTGAAAGCCCAAATAGTAATCTTATAGAGATTTCTGATCTTGGAGAACAAAAAAGAGGAAGAAATGGTTGCATCCTCAATTATATTAGTGATTACAACTGGCGACGGCAAGCCTGTTGCAAATATTTCTATTTTGACATTAGGAATAATAGAAGAGATACCTGGTGTCTGTTTTTCTATTTTCAAGATAAGGAAGTGGATATGTGATGACTTAAGGTTATCAAAAAGGTAGTCATAACTGCTTTTTGCTTTACTTATCTGTATTTCTCAGGCATTCAGATTTTAGAAAGTTGGCAATTATTAGTGTAATTACCTCTATCTTATTCCCAGTTTAAAACTAGAACTTCAAGCCACCAGCCTGCTATTTAAGTCATGTGTTTATCACTGTGGTAGGTTGAATAATAACCCCCAACAAGTGACCTGGGTCTTGATCCCTGGAACCTGTGAAAGTTACCTTGTATGATAAAAAGAACTTTGCAGATGGGATTAAGTTTAGTTTCTTGAGATGGGGAGGTTATCCTGGATTATCCTGATGGGCCCTAAATGAAATCACAAATATTCTTTTAAAAGGGAGATTTGGCTGGGGGCAGTGGTTCACATCTGTAATCCCAGTCCTTTGGGAGGCCGAGGTGGGTGGATCTTCTGAGGTCAGGAGTTTGAGACCAGCCTGGCCAACATGGTAAAACGCTGTCTCTACTAAAAATACAAAAAATATACCAAAAATTAGCCTGGCGTGGTGGTGCATGCCTGTAATTCCAGCTGCTAGGGAGGCTGAGGCAGAAGAATTGATTGAACCTGGGAGGCGGAGTTTGCAGTGATCTAAGATTGTGCCACTGCACCCCAGCCTGGGTGACAGAGCAAGACTCTATCAAAACAAATAAATAAATAGAGGGAGATTTGACGAGAGACAGAAGAAAAGGCAATGAAACAAGATGCTACGCTGTTGGCTCTGAAGATGGAGGAAAAGTTCATGAGCCAAGGGAAGCAAGGAGAGCAACTCCAGCAGCTGGAACAGGCAGGCAGACGGTTCTTCCCTCCAGCCTCCAGAAGGTATGCAGTCCTGCTGACATCGTGGCTTAAACCTGGTCAAAGTATTTTGGACTTCTGGCCTCCAGAACTGTACAAAAATAAATTTCTGATGTTTTAAGTGACCCGATTTGTGAGAATTTGTTACAGCAGCCACAGGAAACTAATATAATTAGCTTTCTTTTAACTGGCTTGGTATCACTCATAAAATTAAGTTTTCTTTTTTTCTTAGAGATATGCAAGTGTGAGAAATCTGGACTTCATAAGAAGTTATGTCATAATGCAGCACATTAAATTGAGGCACTCTGTTCCTTTTAAATCAGTCATATTGGGAAGGATACTTTGGCTCAACTATTTTTTGGCTGGCAATTTGTAGCTTGTATCATATAAATCAAAGAGGATATATGATATAGTTTGGATGTGTGTCCCCACCCAAATCTCATAATGAAATGTAACTCCCAGTGTTGGAGGTGGGACATGGTGGGAGATGATGTGATCATAAGGGAGATCCCTCATGAATGGTTTAGCACCACCCACCTTGGTACTGTCTTTGTCTAGTGAGTGAGTTCTGTGAGATCTGGTTGTTTAGAAGTGTGTAGCACCTCCTCGGTCTTGATCTTGCTCTTGCTCTTGCTCCTGCCTCCATCATGCGAGACACCTGCTCTCCCCTTGCTTTCCACCATGATTGGAAGCTTCTGAGGCCTCTCCAGAAGCAGATGCCACTATGCTTCCTATACAACCTGCAGAACCGTAAGCCAATTAAACCTCTTTTCTTTATAATTACCCAGTCTCAGATATTTCCTTATAGCCCTGTGAGAATGGAGTAGTGCAATATATTTAAAAGATTAGTATATTCTTGACAAAATTTTTATTACTCAATATTTAAAGTTTGCCAGTTTGGAGACTGGGCAGTGGCTCACACCTATAATCCCAGCACTTTGTGAAGCTGAGGTGGTCAGATCACTTGAGCCCAGAAGTTCAAGGCCAGCCTAAGCAACGTGGTGAAAGCCTGTCTCTACAAAAGATACAAAATTTAGCCAGGAGCAGTGGCATGTGCCTGTAGTCCCAGCTACTCAGGAGGCTGAGGTGGGATGATCGCTTGAGCCTGGGAGGTGGAGGTTGCAGTGAGCCAAGATGGCACTCCTGCATTTTAGCCTGGGTGGCAGAGTGATATTGTCTCATATACATACATACAAATTTCCTGCTTAAACTGATTGTTCTTTTAAAACAAGTTAGTCTTTCTAGGATACTTTTCCCCACTTCCACCCAAGAAATTAAATGAAGCAGTGGTGGCAATCTATGTTAAAATGTTTGTCCTTTAAACTGTTTTCAAAAGTCTCTAGAGGCCGGACATGGTGGTTCACACCTGTTATCCCAGCCCTTTGGGAGGTTGAGGTGGATGATTGCTTAAGACCAGGAGTCCAAGACCAGCCTGGGCAACATAGCATAACCCCATCTCTACAAAAAAAATTTTAAAAATTAGCCAGGTGAGGTGGTGCACACCTATAGTTGGGAGGCTGAGGCAGAAGGATTGCTTGAGCCCAGCGGGAGTTTGAGGCTGCAGTGTGTTATGATTGCACCACTGCACCCACTCTGGGTGACAGAGAGATACCCCATCCCTTAAAAAAAATTCCTTTGAGATGGTTGCATTGTAAACATCTGAAACTCCATGGGACCATTAAGGATATAACTAGTGAGGAAGTGATTCTTGACAGAAGCATTGTAGAAAGATGAGACCATTGATGTACACATCTAATTACCAAGCCTCTTTTGGAGTATAGACCCTCTCCCTTACACACTGATATTTAGGTATGACACCTTTATGAAAATACCTTCCCTACCCTCTACTCTACTCAATTCCCAAATTGCAAAACAAAGAAGTGGAGATTGTTGAAGGAAAAAGAGCACATCCTACTCATACACTAATTTCAGGGAAAAGGATTCGATGCTCCAAATGGATGATATGTTTGTTGTCTGGTCTTAGTAGCAGAAGAGAGACCAAAACCCAAGTCTCCTCACTCCCATTCCAGCACCTTTCCCACTTGTTAATTGCTATTTTCCCCCTTCCTAATCTTCAACAGAACTTATTTTACTTCAGAGGGGAAATTAGATTGTAAGTATCTTTTAGAACCACAGGCTTTAAAAAAAATCTTAGATACAATCTACTGAAGTCTCCCAATTTCCTGAGCCAGGCAAGTTGCTCAGCTTCACACAGGTCACCAATGGCAGCAGGAAGCTTGGATTACACATCTCTGTCTCTCATTTTCCTACATGTGATAATCTCTCAGGTTCATTTCTTTTCCTCATTCCTCTCCCTTCCAATGATCTGAGGCAATCTTCAATGCCTAAAATTGAGCCTCTTGCTCTATAATCTTCTGTAAGGCTCTTCTGCCCTCCTAACAGGACAGCCTAATTCCCCTGGCCCACATCCTGACCAGAGAGTAGTGAAATAGGGATTGCTCATTCTTCTAGGAGTCTCTTCCCTCTGAGTAGAAATAAGATCTTGAACACATCAGAGGGTTCTTCACCAGGGATTTGGGGGTAGAGATACAATTTTCCTGTAATTCATGGGAACTGTACATGCATTCGTTGTTTGGAACTTTTAACATCAATTTCCCAAGAGCCCTCCAGCTATCTATGGGCCTCTGTGCACAGTGGCTTGGAAAGGCTAACACAATTACCTCATGACTACACTCTCTGAATTATTTCTCTGTGAAGCCCTCTCTCTTCAAGACTGAAAACTATCTGAAGTCCTAAATTATGCCTTCACTGCTTATCAGATTTTCATCTCATATGATCTTATTAACTCATCCAACACACATTAATTAGTACCCACTATGCCAGACAGTGTGCCAGCTACCAGAGAGACAGTGTTAAATGAAGCAGACGTGGCTCTTGCCCTCACGGAGCTTACCGTCTTTTCTTCTTGTCAAATTTAACTTCCCTATCACCACTAGTTAGCAAATATCCAGTGTTATGAATGTAGTTTTTCTTTCTATCCAAAGACACACCAGCTTCTAAATAAGTTGGTAAAATAATTCATGGTCTCTACATACAAAGAGTTGCTGAGTTTGTTGAGCTTGGAATCTCATATATAGAGAGCGTTATTTCTTTTTCTTCCTTATTAAATTTATAATTATTCTTTTAGCCTCTCTATCCCATAGCCACCTTGCTACTAGTTCATCCTTATAGTTACCTCCCAAATAATTCTTCAGCTGAGTGCACTTCAAAGCCCAAGGATAAAACTCTTGGGAGTGTTTTATGCATGGGTACTCTCCTGCTTTGTCCAACTTGGTCAGGAGTTTATGAGGATGGGTCTATGAGATTTCAAGATGAGCTAGATAGGAAATGAGAGAACTGCATAATTTTCCTTATTTGGTTTGCTGCCGAAGGCTATGTCATCAAGTCAGTGTAACAGTGGACATTTATTGAACACCTCCTTTGCGGTAGATACTGTGCTGAACACAGGAGTTCAGGAGATGTATACTTTATGTCCACAAGGAGCTCAGAGAACATGAATTTAACCAGTCCTTGCAAGATAATATGATTTATTTCCTCTTAATTAGTGTAATTCAAGCGGATGATAAATTAGATCACATGCACATGTGAAACTGTAAGCAATTGGCTCTTTATGCTTGGTAGATTGCAAGAAGGCCCACATTGGCAAGGTCCAAATGTTGGCAGCTGGTTATCCAGCTCATTGCTATGCCATTTGTTATTTCTTCTCTTGGTGATAAGTGTTGCTCGGGACCAATGATCATCTGTGCTTTTCTGCTATGTTCATTGGTAGTAATTGAATAAATGAACATGATATGGAGGGAAAAGGATTGGTTTTAGGGGTCAGAAGATCTATGTTATAACCCCAGCTCTGCTACTTGCTAGCTGTGTAACTTTAGATACATTTTAAAATTTCTTACTATCTTCATCTGTAAAAATGGAGATAAGGATATCTCTTCATAGTGCTTTTTAAAAAGGATCAAATAGAATAACACATGAAAAGCAGCTTCAGCAAAACCTGGGCACCATTGCCCTAGGCAGAACATAATAGTGCTCTTTTGGAACTAGGTCACCACCATAGACTGAGATTCTTTAGAGAGAGCTGATATTTCAGCTCGTGGACACTGGTAGGGCTGTGCTTGGTTTTTATGACTGGGATCATTTTGATTAGCTGGTGCTTACACTAGACCAATGGTAAAATATTTTGAATTTCACTCTTGCCTTGCAGGAAACTCTTTTCAGGGTAAAAGTTGTTAGTGTGTTAGATCTAGGGCAGTTGAAACAACCCTATAAAATCCAATGCTTCAGCTGGGAGCAGTGGCTCACGCCTGCAATCCTAGCATGTTGGGAGGCCGAGGCAGGCGAATAATGAGGTCAGGAGTTCGAGACCAGCCTGGCCAACATGGTGAAAACCCGTTTCTACTGAAAATGCCAAAAAAAAAAAAAAAAAAAAAATTAGCTGGGCCCGTGGTGGTGCGTGGCTATAATCCTAGCTACTCGGGAGGCTGAGGCAGGAGAATCGCTTGAACCCAGGAGGCAGAGGTTGCGGTAAGCAGAGATTACATCATTGCAGTCCAGCCTGGGTGACAGAGCAAGACTCTGTCTCAAAAACAAAACAGAACAAAAACAAAAACAGAAACAAAAAATCCAATGCTTCCTTTTTACAACAATACCTTTTATTATCCTAAAATATAATTCATAGATAATGCAACCTACTTACATATACCACCTAACTGTTATATAAAGGCCAACTAAGGAAAAGTAATTTATAACAAGAATCATACATGCCTCAATATGAATATATGGGCGTCAAGACACTGAAAGACATAATAAAGTGATTATATGCTTACACTTATTTATAATGAATAAATGGGAGTTAAGGTCAGCAGCCATTCTGCAAAAGTTGCTGGGAAAATTCAAGAGGAAAAGTACAAATTGATATAAGAATAAAAACTAGTGTTGGGATAAGTAATGACAGGCTATACATTTTTGTATATAATAATATAAAGAGGAAACTCATTTTAAGTATAGGAAAATGTCAGCCGGGCATGGTGGCTCACGCCCATAATTCCAGCACTTCGGGAGCCCGAGGAGGGTGGATCATGAGGTCAGGAGTTCAAGATCAGCCTGGTGAAGATGGTGAAACCCCGTCTGTACTAAAAATACAAAACTTAGCTGGGCATGGTGGTGGGCGCTTGTAATCCCAGCTACTCAGGAGGCTATGGCAGAGAATTACTTGAAACCGAGAGGTGGAGGTTGTAGTGAGCTGAGATCGCGCCACTGCACTCCAGCCTGGGCAACAGAGCGAGACTCTGTCTCAAAAAAAAAAGAAAATGTCAAGAAGAAATCGAGTCAAATTGTAGAACATGAAGTCCAATATTCTTGTAAATGAACTATTTTTTTAAAGTTTTATCTTATTTTTAATTGACACATAATAGTTGTACATATTTATGGGGTACAATGGGATGTTTGAATACATGTATACATTGTGTAATAATCAAAATTATGGTAATTAGCAAATCCATTATCTCAAACACATTATTTCTCTGTGGTGAGAACATTCAGAATCCTCGCTTCTAGCTACTTTGAAATGCGCCATAATACATTATTGTTAACTATAGTCACCCTACTGTGCAATAGAACACCAGAACTTATTCCTCCTATTTAATTGTAGCTTTGTACTTATTGATAAACCTCTCTGTCTCCCCTCTATTCCTACCCTTCCCAACCTCTAAGAACTACTATTCTATTCTCTATTTCTATGGGATCAACTTTTTAAGATTCCACGTATGAGTGAGATTATGCAGTATTTGTCTTTCTGTGTCTGGCTTTTTTCACTTAACACAATGTCCTCCAGATTCATCCATGTTGTCACAAAAGAGGATTTCATTCTTTTTAATGGCTGAATAGTATTCCGTTGTGTATATATACCACATTTTCTTTATTCATTCATCCATTGATGCACACTAAGAATGATTCCATAACTTGGCTACTGTTAATAGTGCTGCAGTTAACATGGAAGTACAGATATCTCTTCAACATATTGATTTCCTTTCCTTTGGATATATATCCAGTAGTGGGATTTCCAGATCATATGGTAGTTCTATTTTTAGTTTTTCGAGGAACCTCTACACTGTTTTCTATAATGGCTATATTAATTTACATTCCTACCAACAGAGTGTAAGAATCCCCTTTTCTTCACATCCTTGTCAACACTTGTTATCTTTTGTCTTTGATAATAGTCATTCTAACTAGAGTGAGGTGATCTCACTGTAGGTTTGATTTGCATTTCCATGATAAATAGTGATGTCGAGCATTTTTTCATATACCTGTTGGCCATTTGTATGCCTTCTTTTCAGAAATGACTATTGAGATTTTTTGCCCATTTTTTATCAGGTTTTTGGGGTTCTTTCTCTCTCTCTCTCTTTTTCCTTCTTTTTTTTTTTTTTCTTTTTTTTTGGCTATTGAATTATTTGAGTTTGCTGGGCCCTGCTTATAAATGTAATGTCAAAACAATTCCCAATGTTATGACATGGATTAGGATAATGACTAAATATCAAAGAAACTTCTATCTCCTATATGGTAAGAAGATAGAATTCCTTATAATTCATTTTCTGTTATTTTAAAAGTCCTTGGAGACTATATCTTTTGATAGGCAATGAGAAATAGAAGGTAGTTTGGGAAAAGAAATTGTAGTTCAAGAGGTTGTAGAAAAGTAGTGTGGTACACCGTAAGATTAAAAATAGCGAGCAACCCTCAAAATTGGCAAATACTATCAAAATGTAATTTTCACAATCACATCACATATTTCTTATTATTCTGCCTCAAAATTTTGATTATAAAATATAATCAGCATTATTAATAAATCTCAATTTGATTTGTGTGTTTTATATGTGTTTGCTAATATGATAATATTTCATGCTAAGTCCATTAAAGGAAGTCTCAGATTTTTTTTTTTTTTTTTTTGAGATGGAGTCTTGCTCTGTCGCCCAGGCTGGAGTGCAGTGGCGCAATCTCAGCTCACTGCAAGCTCCGCCGCCGGGTTCACACCATTCTCCTGCCTTAGCCTCCCGAGTAGCTAGGACTACAGGAACCCGCCACCACACCCGGCTAATTTTTTGTATTTTTAGTAGAGATGGGGTTCACCGTGTTATCCAGGATGGTCTTGAGTCTCAGATCTTGTTTATTGTGATTTTCCGTGACATCTCTAGATTCAGACTGAAACAATTTTGTTGTCCAGCAATTCAAGACTTTAAGCAGTGTGGAAATTGGTGGCCCAATTTTTCAAAATGACAACCAACTCTTACAAATGTTCTCAACAGAACGAAGTGATTTTTGGTCAGTTGTCTTCCTGAAAATTATGTGTCTATTAAAACTACTAAAAAAAACCTTTGTGTCTGTATATAAAGTAGCATTTGGTTTCAGGCTGAGATAATTATAAACAAATTTCTCACTTACATGACTATTTTCTGGGGTATTTAAAAGCTGTCCAAGCGGTCTGAGACTTCTTCACTGAGTGCTTCTTCCCCGCACCATAGGACATCTGGTATTCTTGCTCCATCGAATGCTAGAAGTATCCCCAATAACTGTGAAAACAGAAAATACTCCCACAAATTTCCAAAAAGGCCTCTAGGGGGAGGTACTATCTCTGCTGAGAAACAATGATCCAGATCCATGACCTTGCACTAGCAACAAAGACCATTCTCATCTAGCCTCTGAACACAAACTTTCTCCATTGTTTCTATGTTGCAATGTATAGGCAATTCTACAAGTGATCATTCCAGTTTTAATGGCAAAAGAACTATCGAAAAACTAAACTATTTCTTAAGGTAACTCTTGACTAGAAGTCTAGTCTGTTAAGACCTTGTTGTTACTATACATATATGTATGTATATGTGTATGTGTGTATATATATGTATGTGTATATGTGCATGTGTGTGTATATGTGTGTGTGGGTGTGTGTGTGTGTATATGATGGGATCTTGCTTTGTCCCCTAGGCTGGAGTGTAGTGGCATGATCATAGCTCACTGCTGCTTCGAATTCCTGGGCTCAAGGGATCCTCCCACCTCAGCCTTCTGAGTAGCTGGGAACCACAGGTGCGAACCACCATGCCCAACTAATTTTTTTATTTTTTTGTAGAGACAAGGTCTTACTATGTTGCCCAGGCTGGTCTTGAACTCCTGGGCTCAAGTGATCCTCCCACCTCAGCCTCCCAAAGTGCTGAGAATATAGGCATGACCACTGTGCCTGGTTCCTATTGTTATTCTGTACTCATAACACAACGGTTGTAACCCAGGGAGAGAGTTTTCCTTGTTGTATGTCTGTGCATGGGCACCACTGGAGAGATATGAGGGCAATAACCTGTTGAGGTCAGGGACTTGCCTCTTTCATGTCTCCATTTTCCCCTTCCTTCCTTCCTTCCTTCTTTCCTTCTTTCCTTCCTTCCTTCCTTCTTTCTTTCTTTTTTTTTTCAGAGTCTCACTCTGTCACCCAGGCTGGAGTTCAGTGGTGCAATCTTGGCTCACTGCAACCTCTACCTCCCAAGTTCAAGCGATTCTCCTGCCTCAGCCTCCCAGGTAGCTGGAACTACAGGCACAGGCCACCATGCCCGTGTCCGGCTAATTTTTGTATTTTTAGTAGAGACGCAGTTTCACCATGTTGGTCAGGCTGGTCTCAAACTCCTGACCTCGTGATCTGCCTGCCTTGGCCTCCCAAAGTGCTGGGATTACAGGCATGAGTCACCGCACCCGGTCTATGTCTCCATTTTCTAGGGCAGTGCCTGGTGCATATTTGCTGCTGCCATTCATTTCTGTTGGGTAAAGGTTGAAAGAGGCATGCTGACACACAGGTCGTGATGCAGGGTAGAGGAAAAGGGGATGGAGTCAGAGGTTAGCACTATATTCACTCTTTAGGGAGGATGGCCATTTGTAGAAACTGGTGACTGAGGGGCACACCAGGCTCAATCACAATCCTGGAGGAGGCTGTTAGCCCAGAAGGTGTGTGAGGTAGGTTGAAAGAGAATGGAGTTAGGAAGAGATGGCGTTCTCAAGGCTGGGGGAGCACAGTAACCAGGAGTCTTGGGAAGCCATGTAGGAGAGCAGGGAAACTGCTCTACTGATTCAAGCCTCCATAGCTAGTTTGAGACCCAAGTACGGGACTGTTTAGGGGGGCCTCAATAATAAAGTACAGTGCAGTCGTACTGGCATCACATTGGAGTTTAAGAAAATGCTTTAGATCTCAAGGAGATCTGAGGAAGGAAGCAGGACCCCAGGCTGGAAACTGCAGAACAGAATCGAAGGTAGTATCCCAGTGCTATGGCCTGAATAGGGATACAGGGACTAGGTATGGAATGAGTTGTGCAGGGGGATGATATGACCAACCAAGGGCCTTAGTCTCAAGTCTCAGATATGGCTGACAGCAAGTGGGATTTCAAGGGTAATGTCGTGGGACAGAGCCTATCATTTGGGCCCCTTGAGTGGGAAGAAAGGATGAATTCCAATGAAAGAGAACCTGAGGCTGTTTAAGAAATCTAGGGTTGATCTGGAAAGTAGGGTCAGGCTGGGCTCAGTTTTGAAGGACTGGATAAAGCAGAAGGAAGGGAAGTAAGCCAGGTGGGTGGTAGAAGTGAGGTGGGATAGACAGCAACATTTATTAAGTATAAAATTGGCTTGGGTGATATATTTTGACCTATAATGTACGATGAGGTGCTTGAATTATGATTAATTTTTACTATATAAGTAAATCACAGGAACTTACTAAGAAAGGTCTAATTCTTAGTGTCCCAACCAGAGGGCAAGCAGACCAAAAATTTCAGGTTTATTTCCAGTAACTAAAATGTTGGGGAATGGTCTAAAATGTTCCAGATGGAATGTAACTTGAAGTGGGAAGCAGGAAGTAGGGAGAAGTGTGTGCCGTTTCTCACCTTGACTTTACATCTGTTATTACTTTCTTATTTCCCTGAAATACTAGGCTTGTCTCCATAAAAAACAATTCCTCACGCATACTAGCTCCTCTCACCTCCCCTCCCATAACAAAAAGAAGGCAATGGTATAAATGTGAGGCCCTTTTGTTTCTCAACCTATCAATAGGATTGACTGTAATTGAACATCAGTTATCTTAAATTTCAATATTGCCATCTCCTCAAAAAAGTAATGACTGCTTATGTAGAAACAAATATCACATCACTGCTTAATGCCAGGGTTTGATGACAGGGCACTTCACTACAAACGAAAATCTCAGCATAACATTTTTGATGTTGTGGAAGTCTCAAAATTCTTGGTACATATCACTCCTGAGTAGGGTCCGTTGGGGACCACAACTTGTCTACAAAATCAGGCAGAAGTCACTATTTCAATCTGACATTTTTTTATAGATTGAAACAAAGAATGAAAGAAAATTGTTAAAAGACTAGACAGTAAACCAAGTAGATGAAATTTAATTCAAGATACCTGTCTCAAGGTCTAGGAAGACATGCTTGCTCAAGAATATCATAACACTTTTGTTGGTTCAAGTGTGGATTAGATTAAGAAGCAATAAATTTAGATTCTGGGGGTGTTTAGAAAGCAAGGATGAGATTTCCCACAGTGATACTTCATGGTGATCAAATAGCTGTGGACAAGGATCTATGACAAAATGCTGTGAACCTAATACAATAGCTGCTAAGGGCCAGAACTGTGCACTTGAATGCTAACTAGTGAAACATTGCTGTCACTCTATGAGTATCACTTCTCACTGTTTCCCAGACATCCCTCCCCCCGTTTTTAAAGTAAGTTTACAGTCAGGTTAACCTATAGTACCAAGAAAGCCTTCCACACTTAACAAGAACCATGACTAAAAAGTCAGTAAAAAGATACTAACCAGGTTAGATAAATTAAGATCATCATTACTATTTTGCAAGTAGAATGTTTCTCTTTCCCTTACCTAGAACCCCTTCTAAACACCCTCTACTGATCTAAACAACATGCCTCAAGGCCCAGTGTAAGTCATTTATCATCCCAGTCCCTGAACCTCACCGATTGCCTCCTACAGTCCTGATAGTCTCAACCGCATAATTCAACATGCACTTCTTTGTGTGTGGGTTTTTTTTTTTGTCTTGCTATCGTTTCCAGTATTAATCTTGCCTCCTCCACCAGTGCAAATATTCCCTTAAGGCAAACTTCATGTGGTAAGCATCTTTTGCATTCAACTGGTACAGAAATGAATTACTATTTTTGGCAAAATGACTTTACAATTCACAAAGCACTTTCCCATATATCCTCATTTAATCCTCATGATAATTCGGTGAGGATGATACTATCATTACCCCCATTTTACAGACCAGGAAATAGGCTCACACAGGTCAAATTATTTGCCTAGGATCACACCCTCAGAGAATATGGGACTAATATCCAACTCAGCATTCCAGGATTCTAAATCCTTGGCAATTTTCACTATATAGTCAGCCTCTTCCTAATAGGTTGCTCAGTGGACCTACAATTACTTTGCAGGTTAATTCTGTTTATAAGCGGGGTAGTTATGTTTATGATTGTTGTGTCATACAGGATAGAATCCGGTCTGAAAATTCAAATGTTTTAAAGGTTTATGTAAGAGCTTTAAGCACATCAGTATTGTAGGAAGAGATTGAAGTGAACTCCATTTTCCATTTGCATTGTTGACTGAAACATGTAGTTTTAGACATATGAAATATTTATATACTTAATATGAAATATGAAAATAATATAATATAGCTTTCATTTATTCATTCTACTACTGTGGAATATTCCTTTGTGTGACTAATTCCAAATTTATATATCCTCTCTATAAATAAATGTCTGTTAGTGGACATTTAGGTGACTTCCAGTCTTCCACAATGATAAACACTACTGCTCTAGATAAGCTTATATATGTCTCCCATGCACACATGCTAGAATTTCTCTAGCGTCTGTATCTTGGAGTGAAATGGTTGGGTCATTAGGCACAAGTATCTTTGACCAAGATAAGAGTTTCCATAGTTTCCTCACTAACATTTGTGTTATCATCTTTCAAAAATGTTTCCAGAATGATAGATATGAAATGGTACCTTCTTGTAGTTTAAATTTGCATTTTTCTAATTACTAATAATGTTGAGCATCTTTTCATATGTTTATCAAGCATTCCCATTTTATCGTCTCTGAAATTTGTTTATAGTCTGTATTCATTTTTCATTGGTTTGCTTGAGTTTTTCTTATTGATTTGGGAAGTTCTCCATAGACTGTGGATATGAATATTTTGTCAGTTATATGCATCGCTAATGTGCTCTTCCAATCTGTGCTATCTTTTTATTTCAATGATTTATTTTGGTCACAGTTTTAAATTTTAATATAGTCACTCATTAATCTTGTTTTCTTTATGATTTTGATTTCAGTTTATATCTCAAGATATCTTAAGATATTCTTCCAAAGTGAGGTCATAAGGATGAGGTCATAGTGTGTTATGTAAATATATTTACCCAAAAGTTTTGGTGCTTTTTTTTTTTCCATGTTTAGTTTTTTTTTTTTTTTTTTTGAGATGGAGTCTCACTCTGTCACCCAGGCTGGAGTGCAGAGTGCAATGGCACGATCTCAGCTCACTGCCACCTCCACCTCCTGTGTTCAAACGATTCTCTTGCCTCAGCCTCCCAAGTGGCTGGGATTACAGACACGCGCCACAATGTCCAGCTTATTTTTGTATTTTTAGTGGAGATGGGGTTTTACCATGTTGGCCAGGCTGGTCTCAAACTCCTGACCTCAAGTGATCTGCCCATCTTGGCCTCCCAAAGTGCTGGGATTATAGGGATGAGCCACTGTGTGGGCCTCATGTTTACTTTTTCATTCCACCTCAATTTTTTATAAGTATAATGTTCAGCAGGGATATACTTTATTTTTTCATTTGAAATACCAGTTGTCTCAGTACTACTTGTTAAATAATTCATCACTTGGCATTGATCTTTAGTGCCATTTCAACAAGTCTCCATGTAGGCATGTGTTTGTTTCTGGACTCCTTGCTTTGTCTCATTAATTTAGTTATTTATCCCTGTACTAATAACTATGTAACTTCTTATTGTTTTCCAAAAAGTTCCTTACTCTTGAAAATCACTGTGCTTCTGGCTGTTTGTTCTAGGTAAAATTTAGGATCAGTTTGTTAAGTTTCAGAAAAAATCCTGTTGGATGTTGATTATAATTGCATTGAATGTATAGATGTAATATCACCATATTAGAGAAAATTCAAACATGCACATATATGTATACATATATATGTGCATATGTGTATTTATTATTTATTTCCCACTAGAAAGTAACCTCCCTGAGAATAGGGACTTTGCCTGTTTTGTTCACTGCTATGATGATGATATTTATAAAAGTGCCTGGCACATAGTAAGTACTTAATAGGTATTTGTAGAATAAATGAATGAATAAATATAGGTGCATTTTCTTGTATTTTTTATAACTGTACTTTAAGTAGTTTTAAAACCATTATCAGAAAAGCTATACATTATTTTATTCCATGTAGATTTATGAAAAATAAGACGTTATGCTAAGGAAGCGTTTCCCATAGTATGTTACACAGATAGTAGACTAGCAGGTTGCTGTGGGAAAAGAAAGCTCAGTGGGCAAACATGTTTGGCAAATGCCTCATCCAATACTCCTCTCTTAGAGTTACCATGTACATTAGAATATTAAAGTTTCTGAGAAGTCTCGTAGTAAGAAAACTAGTACAACTTTTTCCAAAAATCATGTGATCCTCCTACCCTTTAAAAAAAAATAACAATCCTGCTTTTATACCAAATACAAATGCTGTTCTAAAGAACAAATTCTACTATATCTGGGAAAGTATGGAATTGAAAAATATTTGAAAATGTAAAATTATTTAAATATCTTCTCCCATGCAATTTAACATTTCCTGGGGTAATGCTGTATGCTATAGAAAAGATTAATTCATGGACTGACACATCCCTTGAGAAATGTCCATCTTTAATAATTCTTTTTTCCTGCTATTATTATTATTTTGAGATAATTTCTCTCTCTGTTGCCCAGGCTGGAATGCAGTGGCATTATCACATCTCACTGCAGCCCTGAAATCCCCGCTCAAGCCATCCTTCCACCTCAGCCTCCTGTGTAGCTGGGACCACAGGTGTACGCCACCACAACTGGTGAATTTTTATATTTTTTGTAGAGATGGGGATCTCTCTATGTTGCCCAGGCTGATCTTGAACTCCTGGGCTCAAGAGATCCTCCCACCTCAGCCTCCCAAAGTGCTGGGATTACAGGTGTGAGCCACCACGCCTGGCCTCCTGCTATCATTAAATAAAGTAGAAATGATTTGTTGCTGCTAACTTCCAAATTTCTATTAGTTCATGGGAGTAAAATTTACGCAGAATAAATATATTTATAAATATCAGTTTTCTTTTTTTTATTCCTGAAAGAGTACAAATTTGTAGACATGACCTTATCTTTGTGTGTCTTTGTTATTACACTGGTGTTGGCACGGCAGTCAAGCTATCCCTGAGATTTGGCTCTCTTTTCTTGCCCTTTGATTCCACCAGAACACGTCAGCTACCCTGACATTGACACTGGGTAACCCATCTTTAATTTCTGCTTAAGGGATGGGGTGGCCCTTTCCAAGCGCGAATTTTTTTTTTTGTCAACTTTTATTTTAAGTTCCAGAGTACATGTGCAGGATGCAGAAGTTTGTTACATAGGTAAACGTGTGCCGTGGTGGTTTGCTGCGCAGATCAACCCATCACCTAGGTGTTAAGTCCAGCATCCATTAGCTTTTCTTCCTGATGTTCTCCCTCCCTCTAGCCTCAACAGGCCCCAGTGTGTGTTGTTCCCCTCCCTGCATCCATGTGTTCTCATCGTTCAGCTTCCACTTATAAGTGAGAACATGTGGTGTTTGATTTTCTCTTCCTGCGTTAGTTTGCTGAGGATAACGGCTTCCAGCTCCATCTATTTTCCTGCCAAGGACAAATCTTATTCCTTTTCAAGGCTGCATAGTATTCCATAGTGTATACATACCACATTTTCTTTATCCAGTCTGTCATTAATGAGCATTGGGTTGATTCCATATCTTTGCTATTGTGAGTAGTGCTGCAATGAACATATGCGTTCATGTATCTTTATAATAGAATGTTTTAAATTTCTTTTGGTATATACCCAGTAATGGGATGGCTAGGTTAAATGGTATTTCTGGTTCTAGGTATTTGAGGAATCACCACACTGTCTTCCACAATGGTTGAACTAATTTACATTCCCACCGACAGTGTAAAAGCATTCCTTTTTCTCCACAACTTCTCCAGCATTTGTTGTTTCTTGACTTTTTAATAACTGCCATTCTGACTGGTGTGAGATGGCATCTCGTTGTGGTTTTGATTTGCATTTCTCTAATGATCAGTGATGTTGTGCTTTTTTCCATGTTCATTAGCTGCATGAATGTCTTCTTCTGAGAAGTGTCTGTTCATGTCCCAAGGGGGATATCTTAAGAAAACTTTGCACAGCAGTGGAAACATTTTTACATTTTTTCCAAATAATAAAGTAAGATTGTATGCTATTTTAAATTAATAGTATATCTTTCAAGGGAGCTCTTTCTGATATCTCTTTACATGATAATAACAAAAATAGTTCGCCCCCAATTGTGCTTTATGTGTAGAATCATCTTCTTGCTGAAGATGCTTTATTCAGTTGTTTTCCAAAGCTATAACCTGGAAGAGCTTAAGCTGAAGCCTCATGTGTACTTAATACAATTTTAAGCATAGTGAAATACAGATATAGATATGCATGTTGTAGGAACATAGTTATCTATTCTACTTATCAGGAGTTGCCCAGGAGGGCAGTTCTCATCATTCAGGAATAAGTTAATCAGATTTGAGGCCTTAGTAGCAAAATGATTATATTGCATATCCAGCTGTATAGTGACAGATAGACAAGACAGATGGATGTAGGTACAGATATATTTAGAGTATATAGCATATTCAGATGTAAATATAGATGATGCAAATATAGACACGGACACACATCAGCATTATATAGATGTTTATTTTCTATTTTAACACATGCGTTTAGGACAACTTAACAACAGGAGATCATTACTTTCATCTTTGAATGATTCCAATATTTTCCTCTTCCAAAATATATTTTGGCTGTTATATAAATGAAACCCAAGGAATGGTTAGGATTTACATTAAGATTACAGACTTCTTCCCATATACTCTAACTTGAGTTATGCATTTAGAGAATACTGATTTGGAAGGCTTCTCAAGGGTTTGTGCCCTACTGGCTCCCCAGTCTGGAGTGTTCTTTTCACAGAGCTCTAAGTTGCGTTCACTAATATCATGCCAAGCTCTGCATTAATTTCATCTACTCAGAGAGGGCTTCCTGACCACTCTGTCAGAAAGAGCAGACCCACTCCCAGCCCTTCTCCTCATCATTTTCTAATATTCTGCTTTGTTTTATTCCTTATATTTTGTCATTACTGATTTTTTCTTTCTTTCTCTTTCTCATTCTTTCTTTTTCTTCCCTCTCTCCCGTCCTTCTATTATTTCTCCCTCCCTCCCTCCCTCCCTCCTTCCTTCCTTCCTTCCTTCTTTATTTTTTCAGCTGTCTCTGTCTCTAAAGGACTGGAACTTCATTTGCTTGTTATGGTATTTTTAGTGCCTAGAATATTGCCTGGCACAGAATAAGTGTTCAAAATATCTTTGTTACATGAGCAAGTGAATGAATGAATGAATGAATGAAATCCATTCAATTTAACTCATCAGATAATGCTGCATGAAAGTCTTGTGACCCTCCATAGAAATAAGAAAAACACATTTTTTGAAGTCCAAGTATGTTGTGGGCATTGTGCTAGGAAAGGCTGGAAAATTATTTCACACAGTAACATGTGAAATGGACCTATTGTCATATTTCTTGAACAGAGTTTAATTTCTATGTTCGGCCCTTATACTGTTGGGCAGTGAAAAGTCGATCTTAATCTGTTTAGGATTCCATTCTGTTCTCTTTAGGGTCGTGCCTACATTTTCAAGCTTGGTGTATGTGAGTGGGAAGGAAGGGTTCTGGTGCTGCCAGGCCATGCTGGTGTCTGATGTAGCATCCTAGTTCCTCTCTGGTCCTTGGTCATTGGTCCACACAGGTTTCTTCAGTGTGGCTCTCTCAACTAATTCCTGAGAATCTGAGAAATGGGTGGCTGCCTCAAAGGCCAGGCTGAGACATCAGTAACTCTGCTTTCTTGCCTCTTTGAGACCCATGAGATCATTTTGCAGCATCTGAGTAGAAAAGATAGTTTAAAGACAGGACTTAAGGGAATATTTAGAAAACATACAGGAAAATGTGCTGTATCTAGAGCTCTAGAGGTGGTCCAGAGGTAGGATGACAGAATAGTATCATGGGAACCAAAGGAAGAAAGGATTTTATAAAAGAGAGATGTCAACAGCATCAAACACCAACAGAAACCGACTGGAATGGAGTAAAAGAGGCATTAGTGTCATGTCTACAAATGCCTAAACAATGATAACTTTTTTAGAAAAAAGGAGTAAAAGGAAAGATCTGCTAATATATGGTACAGCATAGACAAACTGACTTATTTATTTGTACATTTTTTCTTATTGAACAGTTTTGTGGTTTTCTTATAGAAACCCAATGAATGGTCAGGAATGACTTTTCCACTTTTCCATTGTAAGATCACTGGTCACTGGCTCTGCTTCCTCAGTTTTTAATTTAATGAACTTGGCACAATTCAAAAACAGTTAATAGTTCATCCTTAGATTTGTGCAGTTTCTCAAATGGCAATGACCTTTTGCTATGGTCAGTTTCTCATTTTCTTTCTGCCCATCCCCCAAAGGAAAAGGTTTTGTAGAGGCATTACACAGAACAGCTGCTTGGAACATGCATAGGCCAGTTTACATTAGGCTGTTTTTTCTTGAGAAAGTCATAGTTTAAACAAATGGTTGTGTCTATTTTAATCATTTTTGCCCTCTTTTGAAGTGTTTTTTCAAACAGAAGTTTTTTTTTAGAATAGAGTTTTGCATTATAAATTAGTCTGCTCTGTCATGTCCCTTTTAAACACAGCTGTTACTACAATGTAAACAGAGTTTTTAAAATGTAGATAAACAGTTACAAGAGGAAGAGTTTCAAGTGTTTTTAACACATGGTCAGTTTTTGCTTACTTGAATTCTGTGGTTTGAAAGTTGAATTCGAAATACACTTTTGATTTCACAGATGTCAAGCTATTCAATACAGCTGTTCATGGATGCCCAATTTTAATTTCACAGCTGGCACAGTTTTGACAATATCACATTTTTGAAGTCATATCAGTAGTAAACCTAGGATGAATATGGAAATTCTACAATGGTACACTACAATACTCCTTTGAGGCATAAATGTTGAATGTAAAAACTATCTAGTAGGCCTAAGCTAAATTATAAAACAGTTTTTCATGGTCATCCACCATATTTGCTATGAAATACACAGCAAATTTCAGTATCTTCATAGAAGGTACAGTTATAATCCCAAGAAGAGAAACAAGAGAATACTAATTCTTTAGTGTAATAATCTTATATTTTAAGAATTTATGCCAAAGTACCCACCTTAAAAAGTTAAAAATTACACATTATTTGGATGTAAAGCTTTTGACTGATCTAAGTTTGTTGTTTTGACAAAATTCAAACAAATGAACTTAAATATAGCATCTGTGTCATTTTCCATCAGCATAAAATGCAAGCACTAGACATAAGTACACAAGAATCACAAGCATTTGGAACTGGCAGAGTATTAAAACTAGAGCATTTCAATGTTTTTTGGGGGAAATGTAACAATATATTTGAAATGTATACTTCCATGATCTATCTAAAAATCTACTATCAAAAATATTATAATGGATGATTAAAGGTATCACTGTTTAAATTATTATCCAGAAATTCCCAAGTCGTTGTTTACCTGTGACTTCTATTACTTGAGTAATAAATTTTGGGACCACATAATTTTAGATAATTATTTAGCAAATGTTCTTTTAGCAAATGCCACATAAAGTAAAAATGAATGTAAAATTAAATTCTATCTAAAAAACAGTTTAGTTAGAAAATACCATCACTGAAATGTCCAAGAAAAACATACACAATTTCTATCCATATTGTTCCCAAACCACCAGGCCTGAGTTATGGATCTTAAGGAGGAAGCCATCTTACCAAACCTAATTACTCTGTGTTTGGCTTGGATAAATGGTTAACTGATTATTTAGTTATATCACACAACCCAACATGACCTCATTTTCAATAAAAACATATGATTTGATCCAGAGCTTTCCACAGTACTTCATAATTAGACACCTTATCCATCAGGCTGCAAGAAAACCCTGGTAAAGAGTAAAACAAGAATTTTCATGTGTTAAGTTATACACCAGAGGGAGTCCCATGAATATAATACAAACATACTGACATTGCCAAGGAAAAGTCAATTAAAAATTATATGCACTCTAAGAGTTACAAAGCTCAAAATGTGTTGTGTAATTCAGGCTGAATAGCCCTTGAGTATAAGCATTCATGAAAATTAGGCTTTATTTATTAATGTTTTTATCTCTAGGAGTTCCTAAGAACTTTCCTAAGTGAATTTTAGAACTGATGTTAAAAGTATAAACCACATTTTCTTCATCAGAATTTCAGATATGTTTGTAGGTATGAACACACATACTATATACTTATAAGTAATGCCATATTTAGAATCTTTAAATTTTTCCTAAAACATGATCATATATCTGATCTTTTAATGTACATAAATACTCTTTCAAGCTAAATTGAGTTAACTCCCTTAAATAAAAAATAATCTGAATTTCTTCCAAAAACTCACCTCTTATATTTATTCAGTGTGATGGCTGTCCCTCATACCTCTCTGAGTCATGTACATAAAGCCTGTACATGAAACCAGGATAATTTGCTTCTGTTTCTGCCAATTTTTTTCCCTTGGATTTCTCTTTCTTGTTGAGCCTTTACTGTACAATTGACATGGAGAATCTTGCCAAATACAAGTAACAGTAACTCTATAGGCTTCCATGGTTACAGTCCCCAAAGAGCTTTGAATAACACTTGAAAATTTAAGACCAAGGAAACCATTAATATCTTTGTAGGCTCTTCATTTACTTATTTATGTTTTTAAAAACAAGTTTCACTGGGTTTTATTTCACTTATTACTTCAACCCATTGATATAATTAGTATTAAACATGTCAAGTGTTATTTTATTAACATAATGCAAAAGGAATCTTCCAACCTATAAGCCATTTTTTTAATCTGTTAAGGGGAAAGAATTAGTGAAACCTTGGTAAAGAGTAAAACAAGAATTTTTCAAGTGCTTGAAAATTTTAGACAAGGTGTTAAATTGCCGCTGAAAATATAGAACCTCCTGGGCTGACAACTACTATTCTTTTGGAGATGCTAACTTACTGGTGGGCTTCCCTGTTTCTTTTAAATATTCTTAATGTGATACTGGAAGGGGCTGTCCCAAGGTCAGACATTGAAATGTAAAGTTGTGAGGTGATGACTGAAGTGGGAATATTATGAAATCTTCACCCTATATTATTTTAGTATAGCACAGCCTTAGGCAAATATAATCACTTCCACCAGATACTAATTCCTATTTTTGTGAAGAAAGTCCAGGATAACTCAAGGAAGGAGAACCTCTAGGGAATGCAATCTGGAAAGTGTTCTTTCCCCTGCCACTTCCCTGCATTCCTGACCAGCTCTCTCTTGCCCCAGTCTCCGCCCTAAATGGCCCCATTGTCCTTTCACTTACGCAGGTTAGCTGCCTCCAGTAGCTTTGCCCAACATCACCTAGGGACCTTCCTATTCCTTCCTCCAATTCTTTTCATCCCCCACTCCCCACAATCAATGTATTTTCTGGAGATTGGTCGGGTTGCCCTATCTTCTTGAAGGAAAACATCGGATTCCTGCCCACTCCTACCCTCCATGGAACTTTGTGGCATGGTACAAATTCCATGGTAGTGATGGCATTCTGGCCAAAGGATGAAATAATTTACACTTTCATGAAATAAAATCCAAATGTCCCTGGCATACAACCTCAGCTCAGAATGTTTATCTGCCCCATCCACCACATCATCTCCACCAGGCAGCTAAATAATTAAAATGATAATTTTCTTTTTTTATTTTATTTTTATTTTATTTTTTGAGATGGAGTCTTACTCTGTTGTCCAGGCTGGAGTGCAGTGGCGCGATCTTGGCTCACTGCAACCTCTGCCTCCCGAGTTCAAGCGTTCAAGCAATTCTCATCCTTCAGCCTCCCTGAGTAGCTGGGATTACAGGCACCCGCCACCACACCCAGCTAATTTTTGTATTTTTAGTAGAGACAGGGCTTCGCCATGTTGGCAGTGGCTTTAAGTGACAGGAAAAAAAAATCTAATTCAATCTTGCTTAAGCAACAAGAGAAATTTATTTGTTCAGGCAATTGAAAAGCTTAGGAGTAGGCTAACTTCAAGTGTGACTTGATTTAGGGACTTGAGTGTTGTTATCGAGATCCTTGATGCCTAGTTTTGCCTTTCCTTCTTTTAACTTCGGACTCCAGGGACACATATTCCCAGATGCAAGTTGAGAGGAAAACTCTATGTTTCTTCCTGGTGATTCTCACCAAAGTCCCAGAATTCATTCTTAATGGATCAATTTGAGGCAAGTGCATATTTGTGAGTTAATAACTATAATTCAGGGAGCAACAGTGCTATTGACTGGCCAGTCTTGGATCATAAGCTCCAATCCTGGAGTTGGGAAGAGAGGCCATCTAATCACGCAGTCTGATAGATGATGAAACATGGTCCCCCAAAGCAAGTTCTGGCACTGTTTCCAAATAAAGGGAGGATGAATGTTGGGCAGTATGATCTTCTCAACTCTAAGTAAAGACACAAAGCATCACAACCTGCTCTCAAGGTGGGCTTACATTTGGCACCAGGAAAATGAGGCCATGTTGAAAGAATATAAAAATCAGGTCTTATGCTTCAGTTGCATGCTTTAATGTCTAGGTGTATTTTAAATATTTCAGCAATATTTGCTGTTCCAAATCAATTCCTTCTCTTGAATTTCCCAATTCTGTAAATAAAAACACCACTCTCCTAACTTCTTAGGCTCAAATGATCCAAGGCCAGGCCTGTGGTGAAGAATGAGGTGAGGCACTTGCCTAAGATGCAAAATTTAGAGTGAACTCAGTGTGGTTGGCTAAAAATCAGCACATTCTCCCACCAGATAGCCACATCCTGATTCCTGGAACCTGTGAATGTTACCTTCTATGACAAGGCATTTGCAGATATGATTAAATTGAACGTCTTGAGATGGGGAGATTATCCTGGAGGAAGAGGGCAGGCCCCTACATGCAATCACAAGTGTCACGATAAGAGTGAGTCAGGAAAGCTTTCATTCTATTTTGTAGAATGGAGGCTACCTCAATTCATTAAAAAAAAAAAAAGTGAGTCAGAGAGAAACTTTACACAGACAGAAGAGGAGAAAGTAATGTGACCACAGCGACAGAGATTGAAGTGATGGAGGAATGCTGACAGCCACCAGAAGCTGGGAGAGGCAAGGAAAGCATCCTCTCCTAGAGCCTTCCAAGGGAGCGTGGCCCTGCCAACACCTTGATTTCAGACTTCTGGCATCCAGAATTGTGACACAGAATCCATTGCTGCTGTTTTAACCCACTAAATTTGTAACAATTTGTTAAAGCAGTCACTGGAAATGAATACACTCAGTAATCGCGATAAATATTTTAATGCAATTTTTTCATTATTTATTTTTGTAACTTTTATTTTAAGTTCAGGGATACATGTGCAGGATGTGCAGGTTTGGTACATAGGTAAACATGTGCCATGGGGGTTTGTTATACAGATTATTTCATCACCCAGGTATTAAGTCTAGTAGCTATAATTTTTCCTGATCCTCTCCCTCCTCCCACTCTCCACCCTCCGATAGGCCCCAGTGTGTGTTGTTCCTCTCTATGTATTCATGTGTTCTCATCATTTATCTTTCACTTATACTTTAGAACATGTGGTCTTTGGTTTTCTGTTCCTGCATTCGTTTGCTAAGGATAATGTACAATATTTATTTTCAAAAGTCAAAATTAATGCAAAAAATCCATGATGAACAAAATAGCAAAATTTTAAATGAAGACAGACTATCTCAAAGTAATTCTTTTTAAAAATAATGTTGACTTTTATTATAGATTAAGGGGTACATGTGCAAGTTTGTTATATGTGTATATTGAATGATGCTGAGGTTTGGAGTGCAAGTGATCCCATTCCCCATAGTACACAATAGGTGGTTTTTCAGTCCATGTCCCCACCCTCCCTACCCCATCTGTCTCCTGGTTTCCAGTGTCTCCCACTGTTTCCAGTGTCTCCTGTTCCCATCTTTATGTCTACGTGTATTTCATTGAAAATATACAGTATTTGGTTTTCTGCTCTTGCATGAATTCACTTAAGATAATGGCTTCCAGCTCCATCCATGTTGCTGCAAAGAACATAATTTTGTTCTTTTGTTTGGCTGTGTAGTATTCTATGGTATATATGTACCACATTTTCATTATCCAATCCACTGTTGAAGGGTACCTAGGTTGATTCTGTGTCTTTGCTGTTGTGAATAGTGCTGCAGTGAACATATAAGTGTATGTGTCTTTTTGATAGAATGAATTCTTTTCCTGCGGGTATGTATCTAGTAGTGGGGTTGCTGGGTCAAATGGTAGTTCTGTCGCAAGTTCTTTTCTCAAAGTAATTCTTAATTTTGTTTGCTTCCTTACTCCCCACAGCTAGTCAGCTGATTGGTGCTGTGGTTTGAGCACTGTAATTTCTCTTGACTTTCTCTTTTACTTATCTTTCCACTGGGGCCACTTTTCCAGTTCAGATGCTCGTGATTCCTCACGATTATGACTTCAGCAAACAGTAATCTACTTCGCCTGTCTCTATTCTCTCCTCCCTTCCAACCCATCTCATTACAGATAGGTTTTTCCTAAAACATATTTTGAGTCATGTCATTCTGTTGTTCAAAAGTCTTTAATGGATTCTCAAGGCCCTTGGGAATCTGGCTACAGCTTTCCAGTCTCATGTACCATTTTTCCTTTTCACATAGTCTTAGTTATGCAAATAGGTACTGCTCTTCTCTAGCCCTGCAGGATGTGCTGGGGGACAGCAGGACAGATTACACTTATGTAGCATGTGTCTTCTTCTCCTATAGGGAGATGAAGGGAAATATCTTTACATATTAGTCAGACTTTTCTGAGTTTGTATTTTGCCAAGTGCCAGATACTCCCTATGTAAATGAAATTATACCCTGTGTTATGCAGAATCATTTCCAGTTAAACAACTTTGATTCTTCATATTGCATCCCAGGATATTACATGGTCATACATGTTTTTGTCTTCTTTTGGTCTCTGGGTAGAGTCTCACAAATTTTGATTTTTCATTAATCTTTCTACTGAATTTCATTACTGTCCCCTCAACACTGGGGTTTATAGCAGCCTTAACCTCACCTTATAGCCTACGGTGAATCAAACTTCTCAAAAGACAAGTAGGAAGATTGCTAAGGTCTTCGTCGTGGAGGAAGGTGCAATGTCTGAGAGCTTCAGTCTCTGAGATTCCATTTCACATCCTGGTGTGGATAACGATTTGTTCAGTGAAGGAAGAAGAGGCACTTCAGCTCTTTTGAACTTTCTGTTTCCACTTGGAAAATCCTCAGCATTTTGGGGGTCTTCTTCTCTTTCTCTTTCCTCCATACAAAAACCCTTAAGAAGCAGGCCTGGATATGGAGTGACACAGGTATTAGGTTGGTAGTTGTTAGCGACAGGGGGCAGGAAAAGATAGAAAGGGAACAGTAGTGGAGCCAGGAATAAGGAAAACATAATGGAGGCAATTGTTCCATTTATATTTCCTTTCAATGTAATCTTAATCCTTGGTTAGAGCTTAATACATATTTGGTGAGTTAAGGCTTATATTTATTGCAGTCTCTTTCGCTTTGCAGTGGAGCATCAGTAACAAGAAGAAAATATGAATAATATGCAGACTTTCTTCTCAACAGCTGAGAATATGTTTTTCGGACTATTTCATTTGGAGAGAGAGGAAACAAAATTCCACATTCATAGCAACCTGACCCCTGGGCAAACAGGAACAAGCACAACATAATGTGCAGTAAGCTGGAGCTCCAGCACCGGCTGGCAGCGTTCACACCACAGAACGCCCTCCACTCTGCTTCCTGGGCCTTCGTGGGAGAATTCTCACACGGGAACATTTGCATAACCAACAGGAAAGGAAGCCATTGCCTAATAACTTCACAAAACATAGAATACCAACCTGGAGACTTGGCTTATTGGGAGGTCAATGTTTCGGCATCAAGCACAGCTCCTGCCGGCTATGTGTTATGATGTAGTGTGGACATCTGTTGTTTTTGTCTTCCCGACATCCAGCTTCTCTTCTTATGGTAACAGCACATCCATTTCCATTTGGGAAATCACTCAGTCACTATCGCACAACAGTATTGGCAGGACCAATATTTGACTATCTAAAGAGTGAGAATGAGACCCAAACTGAGACTCTCATATTTTTTTTTCTCCTGGGAATGTGACTGTCGAGTGGAGTGACACAATGAAGAAAAAGGACCAGAGTGAATTCATCCTGACTCTGGTGCCCTTACAATGGCTCATTAACACTTGTTACCTAAATATCCAGAGCCTGCCCTTTTTAAAGCCTGGGGTGGCAGTCTCCTTAATTCTGGGAACAACTTAAAACCCTTCTAAGAATCCCTTTGTTGATTAAATTAGCCAGAGTCAGTTTCCTTAGCTGACAACTGAAGAGCCTGAGGAAGTCATCACAGGACAAAAGTCAAGACACCTGGATTCCAGGCTGGACCCTGTCCTAAACCAGCTTATGAACTCAGAGGGGTCCCTTAATTTTTTGAGCCTCAGTTTCTAGGATTAGATGACTCTAAGGTCTTTTTATTTATAGTGTTCTGGAATTCTAGGTTAAAAAAAAAAACCTGTCTTCATAGAGTTGTATTCATTTGTAAACATAATTTATTGAGTTCCTGTCGCACTGGTCATTGGGATACATAAGTGAACTTGGGGTACAGAGGCTGTAATCTAGTAATAAAATAATTATAGACAGAGAGAAATGCTTAGGAAACAGCAAACAAGTTGAGATAGAGAATCAGTGGGGATGATCAGGTCTGAGAGCATGGCCCAGGAAGCCTCTCTCTGTGGTGGTGAATTGGGATGGAAACTAAAAGATAAGAATGAGTCAGCCACGTCATGAAGGGCAGGGGAAACTCATTCTAGGCAGAGAGAACAACAGTTGCTCAGGCCTGGAGTTAAGAAAGGGGCTAGATTCCAGAGCACAGTGAGGAGTGGAGGGGATGGTAGAAAAGAGGCTGTCAAAGGAGGGAGACCAAGAGCTTGCAGGATCGTGTGGGCCAAGGAAAGTGTGTCAGTCCATTTTCACACTGCCATAAAGACATACCTGGGACTGATAATTTATAAAGAAAAGAGGTTTAATTGACTCACAGTTCCACATGGCTGGGGAGGCCTCAGGAAATTTACAATCATGGAAGAAGGAGAAGCAGGCACCTTCTTCACAGGGTGGTGGGAGGGAGAAAAGTGCAAGCACGGGAAGTGCCAGACTCTTATAAAACCATCAGATCTTGTGAGAACTCACTCACTATCATGAGAACAGCATGGGGGAAACCACCTCCATGATCCAATCACCTAACACTGGGTCCCTTCCTTGACAGGTGGAGATTATAAAGATTACAATTTAAGATGAGATTTGAGTGGGAACACAGCCGAACCATATCAGAAAGTAATTTAAATTTTGTTCTTTTTGTTTGCTTGTTTGTTTTGGGGACAGGATCTCACTCAGTTGCCCAGGCTGAAGTGTAGTGGTGTGATTTTGGCTCACTGCAGCCTTGACCGCCTGGGCTAAAGCTATCCTCCCACTTCAGCCTCCCAAGTAGCTTGGACTACAGGAGCATGCCTCCATGCCCAACTCATTTTTGTATTTTTTTGTAGAGACGGAGTTTTGCCACGTTGCCCAGGCTGGTCTCAAACTTTTTGACTCAAGCCATCTGCTCGCCTCAGCTCCCTGAAGTGCTGGGATTACAGGTGTAAGCCACTGCATCTGGCTAAATTTTATTCTAAAAGATTCAATGTATACATTAAGAGAAGCTCTCTAGATGGTCTGTGAGGTTTAGAATGCCATGGGAGGGTAGAAAGACTATGTAGAGTTATAGCAATAGTCTAGCTGAGAGAAGATTGTGGCTTAGACTAAAAAGGTGTCAGTGCAGGATGGAGGGTGATGCAACCATGTGTTGATTAATGACCATGCTACATTCTGAGAAATGTATTATAGGAAATTTTGTCATTGTGCAATCTTTTCATTATGAAAATATCATAGACTTTACTTACACAAACATATATAGATGGTAGAGCCTACTACACACCTAGGCTACATGATATGGCCTGTTGCTCGTAGGCTACCAACCTGTACAACATGTTACTGTACTGAATACGGCAGGCAATTGTACCACAATGGTAAGTATTCGTGTATCTAAACAGAGAAAATGTATAGTAAAATTATAATATCATAATATTTTGTAACCAGCATCATATATGTGGTGCATCATTGACCAAAATGTCATTATGTGGTGCATGACTGTAGGTGGATTTGACATGATTTTGAAAGCAGTGCCAAGAGGACTTGGTAGCATTGGGTTAGGGAAGAGAGAGGAAAGTAAGATGAGCCTTAAATGTTTGGTTTAACCATGTAGGTGGAGATGGTACCCTTTATTAAAATACAGGAGTCAGGGGAGCAAGAGGTGTGTTGTACATAGTGATGAGAGAGGGTAAGAAGATATTAATTTCATCTGTATTAAAAGTTTGATATCCTTATTAGATCTCCAAGGGGCATGGAGATACTACATAAGAAGTTGAGTATGAATATCTGGAGCTCAAGGAAGGAGGCATGGCTGGAGATAAATATTTGAGAATCAACAGCATCAAGATAGTATTCAAAGGCATGAGAATAGATGTAATTCATTAGAGAGGGAACATAAATACAGAGGAGGGCTGAAGACCAAGACCTGAGGCTCTCCAGCATCAGAGGCCAAGTAGCAAATACGATTCCAGCCAGGAAGACTGGGAATCAAGGCCAGTAAGGGAGAAAAAAACCCCAAGAGAGTATGGTATGATTGATGCCAAGTGTGGGGAGTGTTTCATGAAGGAGGGAGTAGCCAACTGTGTTCAGTTCTTCCAAACATTCTGGAAGTGGGGTTTAGCAACATGGAAGCCATTGCAACTGTGACCAGAGCAGTTTCAGTAGGGTGGTGGTGACAGAAGCCAGAAAGGAACACATTGAAGAGCAAGTGAATGAGAGGTGACTCGGGTGCTGACAGCATGAGGTGTGAAGTCTGGAGAAATTTTGCTCTGAAAGGATCAGAGAAATGGGCCATGGTGGAACAGTTGAATACAGGGTCATGAAAGGATGATGCTAACATAGCCCTGTGGGAACGACTCAGTAGAGAATAAGAGATTGCTGATGCACAGAAGCCAGAATAGCTGGCAAAGAATTGTCCCTGGGAGGGCACTTAAGCATAAATGAAGGGACTTGTTAACCTTTTTGATATAGAGATGATTCTTCTACTGTAAAAGCAGGGAATATGCATACAAGGTCAGATAAATTGGTAAATGTGTAGGTTGGAATGTAGGGCAGGGATCCCCAATCCCCGGGCCTTGGACAGGTATCAGTTTGTGGTGTGTTAGGAAGCGGGCCACACAACAGAAGGTGAGCAGCAGGCAGGTGAGTGTTCCAGACTGAGCTCCGCCTCCTGTCAGATCAGCAGCAGCATTTGATTCTTATAGAAGCACGACCTCTATTGTGAACTGCACATGTGAGGGATCTAGGTTGTGCACCCCTTATGAGAATCTAATGCCTGATGATCTGAGGTGGAACAGTTTCATCCCATAACCATCCCCTCCCACCCTCACATCTGTGGAAAAATTATCTTCCATGAAACTGGTTCCTGGTGCCAAAAAGGTTGGGGACCAAAAAGGTTTGTAGGGATTTCCTTTTTCTCAGTAAAGATGAGACATGACCAATGCCTCAGGCAGGGAAAGTTTGAGGCAGCAGGAGTAAGTATTATATGGTAACCTGAAGAGTGAGAAAGCAAATTACTGAGGGAATGAGTTAGAACCGTTGGGCAGTAATAACAGACTTTTGGGATTTGGGGTCATGATTCTGAAATAGACCCTGTTGTGATATCTCATCCAGCAGCATAGCAGCATGGGTCCATGCACAGAGATGGAGGAGACTTGGGCTTAATTGAGGTTGGTTTTTTTGTTCTTCTTTGTTTTGTTTTGTTTTGCTTTAACCAGAAGAGTATGATGGGGGAGTGAGAAAGAAGGGAGCTGCGGGTGGGTGTTTACGATGATGCACAATGAAGTCTAAGCTGAGTAAATAAGGGAAGTGCAGACACGAGAGGCCATGAAGAATGTGACGGTTGTAGGATAAATGAACAGTGAATCAGAGGTGGGGCACTGACGGAGAAAATTGCTGTAATGAGAGGCATACCAATAAGTGAGGTGCAAGGTTAGGAGGTGGGATTCAGGGAATGAGTTTTGAAATCAAGATTTTGGAAGAGGCATGTTGGGCTAATGGATGTGTGTTAAGGACTGAAGTGGAGCAGACAAGCAGGATGAAAGTACTGTAGAGAGAAAGAGGCAGACCATCCCCTATTTTTTAATCTCTTCACATACCTTGTGCTGCCTGATTTTGAGTCAAATCCAACTGGTCAAATTTAGGCCTACTTTGCAAAACCCAAAGAGGTTAATCCAAATCTAACATGGGTCTGAAAGTGTCAGATTAAGATGATACTGGCTGCATTCAGATAGGAATGCATTTTGCTGCCAATAATAGAAAACTCAACCAACAGTGGCTTGAACAAGTAAATGATTATTTTTCTCATACGATAAGAAGTTCAGAGAGCGGCAACTATTGGCCCTGGCTAAGAACCTCTACAATGTGAAGGCCAGGTCTGTGATTCTTTTGGCTTTTTTCTCTTGGTCACGTGGTGGCTGTTGGATCTTCATGTATTACAACTTCCGGGCCAGCTTTCTGCTAAGACCAGGTGGAATCATTTCAGACTCTGGGAAAAGGATGGGAGAAAAGAATCAACTCGGGCAGTCAGCAAGGTCTATAACTCATTATTGGGTTCCTGACCCACTCCTGGTTGAAATAAGGAAACTTTCCCTGGAATCGTTGAATGAGTTCAAAGGAATAGGAAACTAAAAGTGTTTTTAATCCTTCATCAGCTGTTTTCCTTCCCTCATAATCCCTCCTCCCCAAAAGATTTATATATAAGTATGCAAACCAGATTAGTCGGAAACCTGTAATGTGGTTATCTTTGGGCAAATAAACTGCTCTATGCTTACTGTTGAAATTCTAGATATAAATGTAGAACTACAGACAGTCAAAGAAATTTGGGTTTCACCTATGAGGATTTTCAGGCCACTTCTGAAGCCTCACTTTAGGCAACCTTCTCCCACCATCCATAAGTCCTAAAGAATATCAAGTTTCTTATTGGAAGCAGATGGGATGCTTTCAGGAGTTGCCACTTCTATGTCAATGACTTAAGATTTAAGTGATTGGGGCATTTGTGGACATTCTAAAATGGATGAAGGGCTAATGAATGAAAGTTAATTAAAATAGCATACATACAATCGTAACCACTCAACTTTAGAGGAATCTTTATCTATTTTTAATTCTTCTAATCTGGCTTATCTAAAGAAAAAAAATCCTAGCTAGATATCTTCTCTCTGTATTGTTGTTTGATCTTTGACATTTATTGTTTTAGAAATATTTGATTTTACTATATTATATTTTATCATATTTCTGAATTCTTTACTGCTTTATGACTTCATGATAATCCATTATGTACATTTATTATTGTTAAATTTCACAGTCAAATTACCAAGGTGTGTGCCTTCTGCTGAGAGGATGGCATTCAGGTTCCTGCACATCTTTTGTTAGTGGTTGCTATGTATAAAATCTACTCTGCATGGAATTTTTTTTTAAAGCATAGATAACTCTTAAAATTGAATCCATGAGAAAGATCAGAATAGCAAAGAGACCTGTTCCAGTACAGGGGTTTAAATAACTGTTAATCTATGGTTTCACCAAAGTGGATTTCTCAGTGACTCTACACTTTTGCTGTTGACACTATCCTGATCAGGTCACCTTGTTATAGTCACTTTAGAAAGTGCTCTTTTTTTTTTCTTTTTTGGCCAGAGTGTTGCTCTGTCACCCAGGCTGGAGTGCAATGGCATGATCTCGACTCACTGCAACCTCTGCCTCCTGGGTTCAAGCGATTCTCCTGCCTCAGCCTCCCGAATAGCTATGACTACAGGCACCCACCACCACGCCTAGCTAGTTTTTTGTATTTTTGGTAGAGACGGGTTTCACTGTGTTAGCCAGGATGGTCTCGATCTCCTGACCTCGTGATCCGCCCGCCTCAGCCTCCCAAAGTGCTGGGATTACAGGTGTGAGCCACCGCGCCCAGCCGACTAGAAAGTGCTTTTAAATGTCAATTGCCTTCCTATCTTAACTATATCCACACTTTCTTTCTTTCTTTTTTTTTTTTTTTTTGAGATGGAGTCTCGCACTGTCACCCAGCTGGTGTGCAGTGGCATGATCTCAGCTTGCTGCAACCTCTGCCTCCCAGGTTCAAGTGATTCTCCTGCTTCAGCCTCCCAAGTAGCTGGGATTACAGGCATCCACCACTACAGCTGGCTAATTTTTTGTATTTTTAGTAGAGATGGGGTTTCACTATGTTGGCCAGCCTGGTCTCAAACTCTTGACTTCGTGATCTGCCCACCTTGGCCTCCCAAAGTGCTGGGATTACAGGTGTGAGCCACCATGCCCGGCCTATATCCTCACTTTCTATTCCAGAAAAAATAAAATAAAATAAATAAGGAAAGCCATAAAACAATAGGCAAGTTTAATATAAAATTTATATTTGAGACCTTAATGTTGACCAGTGGAGGCTCTAATTATTTTTATTTTTCTGTATCTACAGTGAAAGGGGAAACTTCTCTGATTTATGCTGTCCTTAGCTTACTAACACTGCAATCTCGAGACACCATAGATCGGTGTACCATCTGTAGTCATGGTCATAAATAATGGCAAAATCTGAAATTGCTGAATATATGCCCATAATTTCATTTTTGATCTCTCTTTTGTTAAAAATATGAATGACCACATCTACTTTATTCACCGTCATTCTAAAGGAAACTAAAAGACTTCAAGGAGCTTATGGAATAATGGAATAACCCATCATGTGGGTAGGATTTATAAGCTAATATGGAAATTCCCCATGAGCATTCAGAAAGACTCATATTCCTATTCATTGCTGTGTGTCTAGTCTTACGATACTGGAACGAGTTTAAATTTTCTTTCTATCCAAAGTTGCAATGGACAATTTTCATGCCGGTTTGAAATACCATCGACTTCTCCTTCTCTCATAGTTACCTTTATTTTTAACTATAAGAACTGACTTAGTGGCTCCAGATGTTGTTGAGAGAAGGGGGATTCAGGTTTTGAGGTAGAGCAGAGATATGGATGGTGTTTCAAAAATAAAAAAGATAGACATTGATATATAACAGAATGAAATATACTGAGCACCTATTTGAGGAAAGATACTGTGCTAAACACTGGTGACACCGCACAAGACAAACTCTTCTTGCTTCTTACAGCTCATCATCTATTGAACACTTTCCCAAGACTTGGGAGAATTAGGAAGGTGTAGGAAGGAAGAGAAAAGATTAGAGCCTAATGAATGAAAGAATTTTTGATGTTGCTTTTCTTTTCTTTTGATTAAAGGAATTGCAAAGGTTACCACACTTAGTAGATCAACAAGAAAACCACATTTTTAAAGTACTAATTGCTCTATACAGGATGCAGGTGTCTTTAACCAAGTCTTTGGACTACTAGAAACAGTTATCACCCTAGAAGACTAACAGATCCCGCTTTGTTGACAAACCATTAGAACGATTACCAGGTGTTTAGTGCTGTCTTTGACTTGAGCAGTTCAAAACCTAGCAGACGCAGGAAAGTGTTAATAGCTCTCTTCCCACGCTTGGTTGGCATGCCAGCTTGGGAGGCAAAAGATTCTTAGCCTTTCCATTCATGTTAATTCAATTCAATAATGTTCAATTCATTTAAAATGAATTAAGACATGACTTTGCTTTAGGTGTTTGGAAACTACTTCATACCCGGTCTATCCACTAAATCTAGGTCTAGCCAACTTCCTATTGGGCTTTTCCACATGGCTACCTCACAGGCTATCTCACCTAAAACTCAACATGTCCAAAGTTTGCTTCCACACACACTGCTTGTTCTGTGTTCCTTTCCTTATCTCAGAAAGTAGAACACTGTCACTGCAGATAACCAAGCTGAAAAATGAGCATCTCCTTCTCCTTCAACCCCTTATCAATCCATGCATCCATTCACTTAGTAAACATTTCCTGAGGAGGTATTATTCTAGCCCCTGGGATGTAGCAGTGCATAAAACAGATGGAATTCCCTACACTCTCGGAGCTTAATTCTAATTGGAGGCAGACAATAAACACAGGAAATAATGTAAGAAATGGATAAAATTGGTGGAGAAAATAAAGTAGTATAGTAAGAAGGATGGGGAGTATTGACTTAAAAAATTTAAAAATAGCTAGTCAGGTGGGTTTAAGAAAAAATTTGAAAATGATAAGGAACAATATTACGGGAATATCTAGAGGAGAAGCATTACTGAGAGAGGGTGTGGTGGAGCCAAAGACCCCAAGGCAGGACCAAACGTGGAGTGTTTGAGGAACAGTCGGGAGAGCAGATGGCTGGAGCTGTGAGCAAAACGTGAGGCGGGAGATGAATTGGAGACTGGATCATGCAGGACCTCGCAGGCCACTGTAAGGACTTAGATGTTTACTTCAAGTGAAGGGGGAAGTCATTGATGAGGCTTCAGTAGAGGAATAGAACATGATCTGTATACATTTTAAATAAATCATTCTGTGGTAGTTGATGATAACACATTGAATTAAAATTGAGTGGACATTGAATCCACCGTGAGAGTCAGGAGAAGGAGGAGGAGGAGAAGGAGGGCAGCAGGAAAGGGTAGAAGAGAAGAAAGGGAAAAATAAGGAAGGCGATTTTTTACTAAAACGTCTGTTACAAAATAGGAGTGAGAATATTTTAAAGTCATGATTTTGCAACTTCCAGTATAATAAATAATCTAGAAAAGGTTATTAGTAGATAGCAAAACCATTGGGTAAAAGATCGTGGATATTTGAAAGGTGTCAAAGTATCACCCCATGAATTTCTTACTAATTACAAAGAGGAAAATTTATCTTCCCAATGGAGAACTCTGGTGAGTTGATTCATTAGTCAGGTGATCAAACAGCATCATAAGCATTAGGACAACCTGACATTATGTGCCTCTTGATCTGATGCAATATGAATTATACAACATAATATATGAGGAAACTGACAAATTCAGAAAGTGTGGGATATTCTATATGAAAAAGTACATGTCATTTAAAAAGAAGAAAGATTATTCTAGATTAAGAAAGACTAAAAATATACAACAATCAAATGTGATCAAATTGCATTTGATTGGATCTTGGATCAGAAAAAGAAGCTGCAAAAGACATTTTATATTGTATTGTTCTTTCAAGTTTTCTGTATGCTCGAAAAGCTTCAAATAACAGGTTGGCGGGGGTGTTGCATCATTCTGGCTGCTGTGTAGAGAATAGACTGCAAGGGCCAGGGAGCAGCAGGTAGACAGGTTAGGAGCCTATTATACTAATCCAGGAGTAAGATGGTGGTAGCTTTGATTAGAGTGGTAGTGGTGGAGGTGGGAAGAAGGGATCTGATTCTTTGTAGATTTTAAAGTTAAAACCAAGGGCATGTGCTGATGGACTGAATGTGAAATATATATATATAAATGTATATGTGTGTATATATGTATATATGTGTGTATATATGTATATACGTATATATACACATATATATATACATATATATACACATATATATACACACACACACATAGGAGTCACCATTACATCAAAGTTTCAGATGTAAGCAATTGAAAGTGGAGTTGCTACTAACAAAAATGGAGAAGACTGAAGGTAAGCCAAGTTTCAGGGAAGGTCTCCCATTCAGATTGGGTTATAGTATGTTGAATAGCTCTGCTAAACATCCAAATAGAGGTGTTGCATAGACTGTTGAATATTCAAGTCTAGAGTTCAGAGATGCCTGGGCTGGAGATATAAATTTGAGTGTCATCCTGAAATTGGTTGTGATTGCAAGGAAGTGTGTGTTTCCAGAGAAAAGAGGAGAACCAAGGATTCTGCCTTTGGGGTGGTGATGGGGGTTGGGCTCCAACATTAAGAGTCTGATTGCCAGGACTCTAAACCACAGTCCAGGATTCATTGCCAGGTCCTATTAGTTCTAGCTCTATGCCCACTGATCTTGCTTTCATTCTGGCTGTACCCCATCTGCCTCTTGGATGACGATGATAGGCTCCTAACTGGTCTGCCTTCCACATCTTACTTTGCCCTCATCTAATTTCTCCTCAACTCTGGTGCAAAAGGTCTCATTTCACCCCTCTGTGGAAACAATTCAGGGCTCCTCCTGGATCTCAGGATAAAGCCCAAACTCTGTAGCTTGGCACACAGGTTCTTTAAGATCTAGCTCTTGACTGCTCTTTCCAATCTTATCCCTTATACTCTCCCTACAAATTCCCATAATCTGAACTTCAGTCACACTGGGCTATCTAAATAAGTACCACTATCTCCATAAGTGGAATACAAGGTAGACATCCTGTAAGTATTTGTTGAATAAATAAATAAATAAATAAATGTTCACTTTTAGAATGCTGAAATTGAGGTCAGTGGCATGTCTTTAATCTGGAAAAAACAAACCCATATGTTTATTGTATCCCTACTTAGACCAAAAAAGGGGCACTGTAGGTCTCTAAAAATAGGAGTTGCAAACTAGTCTAGACCAGTTTAATTATAATTCTGCAAAAAGCTGGGAAGAGGTGACTTCAGAAATGTACATTTCAAAGCACTGGTTACATGTTTCCGGTGTTACTCGCTCCATATTAAAACTCTGAGCAGCTGGGTGCCACATTACTGAATTTTAAAAGCTGCACTTCGGTGATCCATAGCAAAAGAGCCTATGAGTCAGGTGATGATCCATTCATCAGTCATAGGAAACATGAGGCACTGAAAATTTAATACAAAACCCCAAACCCACAAAAACTATCCACAGTTTCCTAACACAGGGGATGTGACTCATATCTCAGCAGGGGTACACATACCTTATTATAGTCACAAAAGAAAATGTTTCTCAAACAAAATTTTCCCCCCAACATCATTTGCACAGGGCAGTAATTTGGTGAAAATCTTTTGAAACTTACAAAGTAATTTATTTCTTTGTGGTTGGCCCATATTGCTATGCTTGGTTCTTACCACAATGACTCTTAATTTAGGGAACAAAATGATGGCAATTAATCCTTTAACTATATTCAGCTGAATCCAGAGTCAAATTGAGAAGGGATGGAAAGAAAAAGCCCTTGGTTGACCTAACCTCTGGACCTCCCAGAAAGTGCTCCCACACTCTAGGGATGCCCCCACCAATACCCAGAGAGAAGAGGTCCTGAGCCGGCCATCCCAGTCTCAAGTGGATTCCCATTAATGCACTGCTTTTCTTGATGATAGATAGGGAGGAGGAGAAAAGGAAGGGGTGTTGCTAATAGAGAGACATCACAAAATACATGTTTAGTACTAATCTGAATGTATAGGAGAGAACTTTTTCTTAAATACATCTTTAAAGTTGCGGTGCAGATTTGATGATTTTGTTCATAAAGGACAAGAGAAATAAATGAGTGAGTAGCATAGAGACCTCACTTACATGTCCACTCAGTTATTCAGCAATAATTAATTACATGTCTATTATGTGCCAGAGATTTCATAACAAATGGACTAGAACATGAGCCATGCCCTAGAGAAATCTCCTATCTAGTGTACATGAGACAGCCCTATAATCAAGAAATTATAGTGATATGATAGAATATTCATGCAGGAGCCTTACAAAAACATACAGTGTAAAAGTATCTAACTCTGCCCAAAGGTTAGGAGGGTCCAATCTGTAGGCAATTTTTGTAAGTTGAGTCTTGCAGCATAAATCTTGAGTTGTCTTAGAATACAAAACAGAGAAAGGAATTCGAGGCAGGGAGAACAATATATGCAAAAGTCGGGAGATAAAATGGCATAAATTGAATTCCACATACCAGATTCAGGGGTTTCAGAATATATTTGATACTGACTTCTTTTGACTGAACATTCTTTGAAGGTGTTTTGAGGCTGAGGTTATGAAAACAAACCTTCAAATGGGAACAGTAACATTAATGCATTTTTGTAAAAAAATGTTTTCTGAAGCAATTTTTCTTAAATCTTGATTGGTTTCTTGAACAGTTTAACAATTTCCAGTTTTTCCTTTTAAAATTTTATTTAAATTTTCATTGGGATCAATTCTTTCTTCTCTGGGTAAACATTTACAAAATTTGATTCATCAGTCAGTTTTCTGATCCTAATGATTCACAGATTGCAGTTTTTGCTAGTAAGAGTTGTGTGAGGGGAAAGTGGGAACAATTATTTCAATAAATTCAATATCCCAGGGACAAATTTTATAATTCTAAGTCTTACGGAGTATCACTTTAACTGTTGTTGATTTTAATTTGTGGTATTTCTTTTAATAATATTCATTAAAATTGAGTAAAAGATAGATAGCCATTTTTTAGTTAATCAGCCAGTCAGACTGAGAGAAGTTCTCTTGAATAGTCCGGAATTGCACTGTTATATTTTTCTTCTAGTTTTTTGATAAGCCTGTGTTCACTAACTGTCTTTGCTACTGCAATAGCAAATGATAAATGTTGTAAACAAAATGTCCTGCTTCAGATAGAGCCCATCCACGATGAGTCACATCCCTGCTTCTACCTATCAGATTAACCCCACAGACCAACTACAAAACACCAGTGTGCTTTTTGGAAATGCTAGGATCTCCCAGAACGTAGTCACTCAATTAAACAGCGTATACTGCTAGCAAAAGGATTCTTTAAGACCATATCAGTGACGATTTAGTCTTGAACTCGGCATTTCATTCTTCCTTGGTTCTCTGGATTCCATCCGTAAGCTCCAGGTGCCATTTGAATCAGTACCTTTCTGTGTTGAATGTATCTGTGTCAAGTTCAATTCTTCCTTATCATCTGCTTTGTTCAGGCTGTTTTCGTTGATTGATTTCTTAGGCCTCAACGTTTCCAGCTGTACTACTTTTCTGTACAATTTATGCTCCTCGGAAGTTATACAGAATTTATGATTTTTAAAACCTGAGATATATCTGCTTTTTATTTTCTCATCATTTCAACAATTATCACCTTTGTATATGATTAAATCTTCATAAACAGGGTCTTCTAACATCAAGCACCCTGATTAGTTATTTAGTCATTTCAAAAGGTTTTTAGTCAAGTATCCTTCTTTAATATGTATTGGTAACTCCTAAAACAGAGATTCAACATGTTAGGATTTTTGTAGGATGGGATATATTTGTACTTCTTTTTACTAGAGAATCAGGTCTAGTGTTTGAAGTCCAGTTCATTATATTTGCAGGCCAGGCGCAGTGGCTCACGCCTATAATCCCAGCACTTTGAGAGGCCAAGGTGGGCAGACAGCTTGAGCCCAAGAGTTTGAGACCAGCCCGAGCAACACAGCAAAACCTCATCTCTACAAAAAACACAAAAATTGGCCGGGCATGGTGGGGCATGCCTGTAGTGCCAGCTAGTTGGGAGAGTGAGGTGGGGAAGATCGCCAGAGCCTGGGAGGTTGAAGCTACAGTGAACTGTGATCACACTCCTGCACGCCAGATTGAGCAACACAGTGAGACCCTGTCTCAAACAAACAAACAATCCTCACCTGCAAATTATTTTCAGTTACAATCCTTGACATAAGTATATTCTCATGCCTCTATGTCAGTGTCATACAAGGAGAATCCATTAGGATTTTTCCCCTGATTAAATTTCAAGGTAAGTCTTGCCATCTCTTGCTTTTTCAGATATTGCTGCTTTCTTGCACACCCCATGCAAAGTATGATTGTCTTGAGACTGCTGGCCTCTGATTCAGAAAGAGTTCAGAGTTTACAGTTAATTAACCTGACAAAAGCACCTCGTACAACTTCCTTTTCACAAAACAACTCGAACTTCCATCTTCAAAGCATTAGACTTTATCTAAACGGTCTCAAAATCCTTAGGAAGGAAAAAGGAGAAAAGAAACTAGTTGATACTTCTCCAAATAACCCTGCATGGCCATATCTACAGTCTTTTAAAAGCATTTCCTAATCAAAGAGCTAGAGGCTTGCTCAGAGTCTTTAATATTGATTAGAAATTTAAATATTGAGATTTTTCAGAATATCCTTACAGTTTGAATTGGCACCTGGATTTTCAGTGTTGTGTGCTCTGATTTTGCCATGGGTGGAGGGGATTCTCAATGATTATTCTCCTGCATACACACATCAGGAGTTTCTGCAATGATGATCTTAGCATTATATAGACATTCACAACCACCACCACCCCAATTGTGTATGTGTGTGTGTGTTGGAAGAGGGAGTATGGTGTATTGGAGAGAAACAGAGATGGTTTTTATAGTCACCTGTTTTGTGTTGTGTTGCGACTGGCTGAGCCAGTAACTTGGCTGTCTACAATTCATCTTTTATCTGCAAGGCTCTGTAGTGCAACAACAAGAATATTTGCAGTTCATGTGCATATGACTTTGAGTGGGGGAAGGCGTAGCATGCAGTCACCATTTATAGCATTAGCAGTTATACTCTACAAGTGATTGCAGCATACAATGAAATAGCATTTTGATGATAACTCAATTTCCATTGATTGTTGAAGATTCAGTGATTATCTGACTCCAGTGAAACAAGAAATACTTCTATCTAAAGTCAGTTTAGTCAAGTTGTCTGCAACTTGACTGCAACAGACATTTAACAGTCCACTTAACAGCAGCAATTTCTGAACAAAGATATTTTTCAAAGGAGAAAAGGAGCAAACTGCTTATTGCAGGCTCAGGCAAAGGCCAGTTATTTTGTTTTTTAAAATATACTTTTAATTTTAGAATAATTTTACAGAAAAATTTATAGAAAAAATTGCAAAGGCAGTACAAGTAGTTTCCATATGCCCCACACCATTTCCCCTATTGTTAAAATCTTACAATAGTGCCATACATTTGTCCCAATTAATTAAACAAAACATATGCATTATTATTACTTAAAGTCCATACTTTTTTCAGCATTCCTCAGTTTTCCCCTAATATCCTTTTTCTTGTCCAGGATGCTATCCGGTATACCACATTACATATAATTGATAAGAAGACTTTTTCCCCATCTGGCTTTTGGACTTGTGTGAGTTGTTGTTACTATCTTATGACCATAAGGAAAAGAACCTGGCACCAAAGTCGACATGCTGAGAACGGCAGGAAAGAATCTAGGTTTTAATATGCTGTAGATCTCTGGGCCCACCAACAGTGGAATCAACCTTTCTCTGGACATCTTGATATGTGAACAATAAACCTCTAATTTAAAAATTATTTGAATTACTTGCAACCAAGACCATCCTAGTATGTTAGTATATAAAGATAACAATGATTAACTAAATGCATCTTCAGAAAGTACAGTTAAGTGCTATTGTGAAAAGGGCACTGGAATCGGAGTCAGGGCAGGTATGTTTGAGCTTGCACAACTACAACTACCTACAGGCTCTATGATATTGACCAAATGACTCTCTGCAATTTTCTCATTTTTTTCTTCTTCTTCCTCCTCTCTCTCTCCTTTTTTTTGGGGGGAGGGTCTCACTCTATGGCCCAGGCTGGAGTACAGTTGCACTATCACAGCTCACTGCAGCCTTACCCTCCCCAGGCTCAAATGATCCTCCCACCTCAGCCTCCTGAATAGCTGGGGCCACAGGCACACGCCACCACGCCCGGCTAATTTTTGTATTTTTTGTAGAAATAGGGCTTTGCCATGTTGCCCAGGCTGGTCTTGAACTCCTGAACTCAAGTGATCCACCTGCCTCGGCCTCCCAAAGCGCTGGGATTACAGGTGTGAGGCACCACGCCTGGCCAGGTTTTCTCATTTCTAAAATAAATATTTGAACAGACTGATCTCTGAGGCCTCTATCAGTTCTAGAATACATGTTTCTTGAATAGATCTAGACCAATCTCTTCTGTTACATGTAAGTAAGGAAAAGCTCAGAGACTTAAAACTTGCCCAAGTTCTTCAATAGATGGTACCAAAACCCTGTTTCTGATTTCTTGACTATCAGTCAAGCACAATCTTTTATGTATGCCTCCCCTTGAAGGTGTTTATTGGAACATCTGCGATTCGCACAAAGCTGTAAATTATTTTAGAGATTGTATTACTCAGGGTTCTTTGGTCTTAATGGACAGAAATCCAACTGAAACTAACTCAAGCCAAAAGGGAATTTATTGGTTGACATGCTGGGAGGTCTTAGGATTAATTTGGCTTCACGTATGGTTGGTTCCTGGGAGTTCAAACAACGCTTGCAGGTCTCCCTTTCTCTCTCTCTCTCTCGCTTTTTTTTTTTTTTTTTTTTTTTTTTGAGACACAGTCTTGCTCTGTTGCCCAGACTGGAGTGCAGTGGCACAATCACGACTCACTGCAGCCTCAACCTCCTGGGCTCAAGAGATCCTCCTGCCTCAGCCTCCCGAGTAGCTAGGACTACAGGCATATGCCACTACGTCTGGTTAATTTTTGTGTTTTTTGTAGAGATGAGGTTTTGCCATGTTGCCCAGGCTGGTCTCGAACTCTTGGGCTCAAGTGATCTGCCTGCCTCAGCCTCCCAAAGTGCTGGGATTACAAGTGTGAGCCACCATGCCTTGCCTCCTTCTTTTTTTCTGGGTGTCAGTTTCACTTTTAGTCAAGATCTCTCCACATAGCGGGTAAGATGATTGTTCTCAATTTCAGGCTTACATTGTTCTCACAGATGATGATCTTAGAGGAATCACCTTCCTTATAAGGGACATGTGTTGGTTGCTAAACAAACTTTGGGAAGAAGACCCATATCTTTTCTAATTTATATGATGGGGAAGTGGGGTGCAATTTCATCCTCTCACCTAGGGAGGTTGGAATGAGTTCTCACATTGGCGAAACAATTCCATTCCCCTGCCCACAACTACTGATTTAGGGAAGGGCCATTTCAGAGGCCTTCACAAGGAAGGTAGGGATTCAAAATTAAAAGGCCTATAACATTAACAAAAATTATAATATTAAAAAACTTATATGGCCTATCAGTTGCTTTATAAGGGAGCCAGTAGTAATAAAAATACCAATTTATGCCCCTCCAGATAAACAACATAAATCAATTCAGTAAAAGAAATTTACGAGATAGGGCTTTGACACCTATGCTTTGAAAATTTTGAAAGTTATTGAACAATTTCCCACTGGCTTGATTTTTTTTCTATACCTTGGAGCTCAAGTCACAGCTAATGACCTTAATGATTTTGAATAGCTCTTACTGTGATTTAAAAGCAGAGGCTCTCAACCTTGAGCCTACCTCAGAAGGTACCAAACTTGAGCCTACCTGGAGGGCTTGTTAAGTACATACAGCCTGTTGAACTCTTCTCTCAAAGTTTTTGATTCAGTAAGTCTGGGGTGGGGCTTGAGACTGCATTCTAACAAGTTTCCAAAGACCTTGCTGATGGTCTAGGGACCACACTTTGAGAATCACTGTGCTAGAGCATTCATGGGGGTTCTTATATGCACATCATTAAAATTATTACAGAACAGGAATCTTGTAAATACAAGGAATCATATTCATCATTACAATGAAAGAACACTCATATTTCTTATTCATTCTAGGCAAAGAATAAAAGTTAAAAAGTAAATTAGGTGTCATCTCGGAATTGGAGTTTTGAGAGAGGCTTTCCATTTGAACCTATCAAATGGGCAGTTTGGAAGTGGCCTGCCACTCAAGAGGCACATTCTAGCCTTTCTTCTTTGGGATTTAGTTGATTCCCCAACTTTTAGTTCAGGTGGAACCTTGCTGTGATGCTTTTGTAATTTAGGTTGAAATTTCAACCTTCCAAACACTTTGTGATTAAAGGACCTAGATGTTTGGATAATAAATCCAAGTCCTCTGGTGATTATTGGTCTTTTGCCTAAGTCCAAATGGCCTTATTCTTCAAAGAACTTGGTTCAAGCTATATGTAAAGCCCTTTTTGCCATCCAGTGGTCGTGTCCACTACAGCTTTGGCAACTGTATCTTTCTCCCTGACCCCCACTCCTGTTCTTATCATTTTACTCCTATATCCCCCAAATCTCTGTTTCTGGTTACTGTCTCCAAAGGACAAAGAAGTTGAATTTCCCTAAGCATTAGTGTTTATACAATTTAGGAGTCAACGTGATTTTTCAATCAAATCTTTACTTCCTCACTCAAAAGCCCACATTGGCTCCCTAATGCCAATCATATCAAATCTATCCTATTCTGCCTGAGTTTAAAAGCAATAATTTCTGTAGGTATGACATCTAGCATGCTGTGGATTTTTATAAGCTCCTTTTCGTATAGACACCAGGACTTATATTATCAAATACCTGGGTGGCCAGCCTGGCTTAGCATCCCTCTTGAGCTAAAAGCTGAATAATTTGAGAAAAGAGATCAATGGGAGGTCTCTAGCATAAAACCAAAGCTGACAACCATTTCCTCAAAAAGTCTTGATTATTTTATATCCACAAGGAACTGGCTACATTCTGTAATCTCTTTGCTTGAGTGACAGTGTTCCACTCCAACTAATAGGGGTGCATCTCTTAACTGGTAATAAATGAGTGGGAGTTACACAAAGACAAGTGGTACTCTAGTACATCCGATCTTGTGATTGTCAACATCTATGGTTATTCAGTTCAATGTTGAATTCAATTTATGTTGAATCACTTCAGGAAATCCAGAGAGTCCTCATTACACATGGTGAGTGTGTTTCCTCAAGGAGGTACAGTACTTGGCATCTCTTAGATGACTGTGACTCACTGCTTCGTCTGGCTGCTATACAAGTACGTATTGTTTCATTGAATAAGAGGGTAAAAAGTCACATAAAACATTGCATACTACAAACGGCCAGGGAATAATTTGACTTGCCTTGGTGCAACTTAATTTACACATTGGACTTCTAGAAAAAAAGACTGTTCCATAAATACAACTTCATCTGGGCACATGAACCATGAATGGCTTTGATTATTTTTGTTGTTGTTGAATTCTCCTTGCCATTTTTTGGATTATAATATTTTTTCAGACAGACTAAAGCTACTTTCAGGCAGGGAGAAAATTAAATAATATGAAAATAAGATAAAAGGGGCTTGTAGTAAGCAAAGTAGATGAGTAAGGCAAGTAATATAGGTTTTTCTCAGACTTTGAAAACATTACCATTTATTCTCAACCCTGGTGAATATAACTTCCTTCATCGTACGGCTGAAGTTTTTTAATTAAACTTCTGATTAGTAGCCATATTTAAGGTTTGACATGTTGTCTCCAGAAAGGAAATATAATGAACTTGTTTTACAAGCTCAGGTCACACCCAGGGGATATTGCTTTAAATAGAAGAAGCATGCTGGTTTTGCAAAGTATGCTTGTTCTGTATGATGTCAATATCCCTGGAATTTTACATATATGAGAATGTTTAGATAAATACTGTATATACAGAGATTCTAATTTGAGCACTTCTTTTCTTTTCTCTCTCTCTCTTTTTCTTTTTTTTTTTTTTTTTGAGACAGGACCTCACTCTGTTGCCCAGGCTGGAGTGCAGTGGCACCTTTACAGCTCACTGCAGCCTTGACTTCCTGGGCTCAAGCCATGTTCCCGCCTCAGCCTCCCGAGTAGCTGGGACTACAGGCAAGCACCACTATGCTGAGATAATTATTAAATTTTTTGTAGAGATGAAGTCTCACTATATTGCCCAGGCTGGTCTCAAACTTATGGGCTCAAACAATCCTCCCATCTCGGCTTCTCAAAGTGCTGGGATTGTAGGCGTGAGCCACCACGTCCAGCTGAGCATTTTTTTGGTGAAGGAAAAAACTAGATGACAACTAGAATATTATCTGGATATTTCCAAACATGACATGAGTTGCCCTGAAATATCCAGCTAAGTGATGCTGGAGTGTCTTCTGAGAGGCTACCTGAATTATTTGGAACATTTACAAGTGAATAGCGGATATGGCTATACATAGACTTAGTCTGTGTTTGTTTCCGCACAGAACCAAAATTAAGGAAAGGGGACAGTCACAAAACACATTCTAGAGCTCCTCTTGCTTCCCCCATAGCTTCCCTATGCTTCCCTGAGGCAAAGAAAACCTCGTTGTCAAACAGGATTCCACTACTGGGCTGAGTTGTAGGTACAAATTTCAGTCCTTTATTTCTTACACATTGCAAACTTTGTTTTCTGTATTTCAGTTTTTACTTTTTAAAACTTTCTATACATCAATGAATTGCATCCTCCAGCTCCTTTTCTGATTTAAAGGTTGACTGGGGTTGTGCTGTGGTCTCACCTAGTGCTGTTTTCTGAGATACCCTTTGGGTTGGAGATTGTCCCAGCTTGCATTGTCCCATCAGTTGTCTTCCTGTACCATGCTGAGAGTAGTGCAATCTTTGGTGAGCGCCAGGCCTTGGACCCAGCTCCGCTGGAGCATCTCATGGCCATTTTCCTTTATCTTCTGCCGTGTCCTTCAGATGGTGCAAGGAAAGAGCAGAAACCCACCCTTCTCCCCTTGAGTCGAAAAATGACTTCTAGGCTGGTCAATAGCACAGGCTGCTGCACGACGGGATTGTAATGGCTTCTGCGAGCATGCGTGTTCCTGAAAGGGAGCCAGGAAAAGGCGCCTTAGAGATGTTCTAAAAGCAGAGCACCTCTATAAGATCAAGCTTCATCCCCAATTAAACGCTGACCGCAGTTGGTTAGCTCACTATGCTGTGCGGCTGCTGAAGAGATGAGCTTGGCCAGGTTAAAGGTCACATGACCTGAGTATGGCCCAGATGAACCAGGTATGCAACCACAGGCAAAACCTAAGTGCATAGAGGGAGGCTAGTGGACTGATTTTTTTTTTTCCTGAAATTGTCCATTTAATATTTTCAGACTGTGGTTGACCGTGGGTAACTAAAACTGCAGAAAGGCAACTACTATATATCTATGAATTCAATCATCATGGACATCTAAAATAAATGGTGTATTTCTCTATTTACTTATGGAAAAAGATTTCCAAGATCATAATCCTTTATTTTTCAAAAAAAGCAAAATGCATTATTTGTATATAATATAGTAGAGTACCATTTTGTTTTACTCATATATCCATGTAATAACATATATTGAATGCCACTTATTTCCCACATTTTATATATTTTTCTGAAACATATAAATACATAAAGTTATCCTGTTTATTTTGAAAGATATGTTTTATAAGAAGTTTATAAAAACAAAGGAGAAAGCTATAGAAATATTTCATCTATGTGAAATTTTAAACATATAATAAATGTATTTTCTGTTAAACACCAAGTAATAAACACCTTCTTTTCTACTGATGTTGTTCAATAAAGGTACTTGGGAGTTAAACTCTGTGTCTTTCTATAAATTGAAAATGTCTGTATTTTAAACTTTTAGTAAATATCATTTAGTGGAATATAAGATCCTCATTTTGAAATTGTTTTGTAGGTTTTTTTCTTTCTTTCTTTCTTTCTTTTTTTTATTATTGGACTGAATTAAGAAGTGGATACCAGGGAGGCCGTGGTGGGGAAAATGGCGGCCGAGAAGAGGGGAGAGAAGCAGCCTGAAAAGTCGCAGCGAGCTGGAGCTACCGGAGGACCTGAGGAAGAAGCAGAAAAACCTGTGAAAGCTAAAACTGTTTCTTCCAGTAATGGAGGGGAAAGTTCCAGTCGCAGCTCTGAGAAGCGATCAGTGAAGAAGCTGCAGACCTCCCAACAAAGCCTACAAAGATCTCCAACTTTGGATTTGCGTTAGGTAGACGACAAAGAAAGCGTCAGCCATATCCATCAAACTTGGATCAAGTAAGCCTAAAGAAACTGTTCCAACTCTTGGCTCCAAAAATTTTCAGTAGCAGCAGCTCTTAATGAAGATGAAGATGGATACACCAACATCAGCTGGACCGAACTCCTTCAATAAAGGAAAGCATGGGTTTTCTGATAACCAGAAACTATGGGGGCAAAATATAAAATCTCATCTTGGAAATGTCCATGACCAAGACAATTAAATGATGTTTTGAAATTGGGGTGTGGGATGGGTGTAAAGTTAAAAGGAACAGTTTCTCTTTTTAAAGAATGGTATAAGACTATCTTTGGAGCCGCTTTTTTTTTCTTTTTCATTTTTTTAAAAGATTGAGTGGTACACTAATAAATGAGAGTTTGAAATTAGAGGTAATTTATGTTTTGTCTACAGATTTCAAGACATTTGCTAATTTTGTAGTTTCATGTGATTAGTTTCCAAAGGTTACAGATAATAAATAAATCAGAAATGGTATCTTTTTAAGAATTGCATTTTTTTTTAGACACAACTATTAGCACATTAAGAGGGAAACAAAAAGTTATTGTTTGTTTAAAACTGCAAGCACTTACTCTCTTAACTCCCTTATTACCTAAACTTGTCTGGCTCCCAGGAACAGCCTTATAGAGAGGAGTATTGTATTGGGAGGAAAATGCTACTGAACTATTGACTGAAAGTAAATTTAGATAAAATTAAAATATAGCTTTTTTTCCTTATAGGCATTTGTTTTGTTTCAAATCATCATAAATTAGGTATTGCATTGCTGTCAGTGGATACAGACGCGTAGCTCTTAAAAGAATTTTTTAAAAATGTAAACTGTTGAATATTTGAAATAGCCCACTTCACCTTAATGGGTCTTGTCTATCTTCATTAGTCCTCAAAGAAAAACCATTTGCTACAAAAGTAAATCAGTATTTTCAATTTGCTTCTCTTGTTTTTTGTTTATTAGCTAGTTCCTGTAAGCATTTTCACCAGAACTTGACACAAATCATAAGGAGGCGGTTTTTTAAAATACAAGCCACCACCAAAAATTTAAATGTACATATTGCTTAAGTATTTGGCTGTTTTTATTTTTTACAAGGTATAAACACCAAAAAAAAATTTAACATTGTATGAAGATGGAAAACAAGAAGATGCACTTTCTGTAACTTTGTCTAAGGATTTAATATGAAATCCAATTTGAATTGAACTTAACTACTGGCTTTCTTACTAGTAAAATTATATGGTTTATTTTAAATGTATACATATTGACCAATGGCCTCTCAAAAAGCACATTTTAGATACTGAAATAGAAGGAAAGGAAATGCATCTTCAAACATTTTTTGGAATCTTACCACATATACCTTGTTAGATTTGTGTATTGTAGGGTGTTTGTTTTTGTATTTTTGTATTGTATATGAACTTTAAAAAAAAAGTAACAAGCACATCTTTAAAAGCATTGTCACAGACAAAAGAAACATACAGTATAAAAATTTCCTTGAAAACTCCTACAGTATTGTATTTGGAGGCAGCTTCAGACTGTTTTATTGGTGGTAACTGCTTGCTGAGCTCTTTTAATCGGTAATAACTCTAGAGAAGCAGCCTGTGTATATTCCTAACACTTTGTTCACTAGCATTTAAGTTTAGAATAGGCCCCTAGTAAAACAATGGAAATATATATAGAACTCTTAGTTCTTATATGATTTCATTATATCAAGATGCATGAATTTAACTTACTTTAATGAGGCAAACTATCCATTTTTGTCCATTTTCTTGTTAAAGCAACATAGCTCTCCTACATATTCTTTTCTTGACCCAAATGAAATATTAACCTAAGGTCAAGCTGGGAGAGAGAAACGACTGAGATGAATGTCTTTACCAAAATACCAATAAATTTGTCAAATTCAAACTCAAACTCAAAAAAAAAAAAAAAGGTGGATTCACATGGCAGGATCCAGGATCCAATCAGTTTGAGCTCTGGCATCACCCCATGGCAGGATCCAGTCAGGTCATGCTTCTGGCATCACCTCATTGCAAGATCCAGTCAGATCATGCCTCATTACCCTATGCTTATAAAACCTGACCCAGCCCTTTGCTCAGACAGACACTGCTTTGGGAACTATCTCTTGTGTTCTCCTTACTTGTTACAAGTAATAAAATTGTCTTGCAAAGAAAAAGAAAAAGAAAACTGTCTTCCTAGCCTGGATAAAATCTTTCTCTCTTCAAACTCTCTCCTCTGGCATGTGCTTAGGCTTTTAGGAATAAAACCCAGGAAGTCCTGTCTCAGACCTCCCATAAGACAAGGGAGCCCAGGGTCTTCTATCTGCTTGAATGCAGGCAGAGAAAATACAAAATATCTCAAAATGTTATCGTGTCACAAATGTTGTCTTGCTTTTGGACTCTTTAGTTCCTGGGTCTGGACCATGGTAAATCTGATTTCCACAACATGACATAGATGCAAAGTGCTTGTGGTAGTTTGAAATCCAGCTTACTATAATGTTGATTAAGAAACATGAGTCTCATCTCCACACAACTGTTAGAATGACTATTATCAAAAAGACGAATGATAATAAGTATTGGCAAGAGGTAGAGAAGGGGAACTCTTGCACACTTGTGGTAAGACTATTAATTAGTATGGCCATTATGAAAAACAGTATGAAGTTTCCTCAAAAAACTAAAAATAGAATTACCATATGATCCAGCAATCCCACTACTGGGTGTGTATCCAAATAAAATAAAATCAGTATGTCAAAGAGATATCTGCACTCCCATGTCCACTGCAGCATTATTCACAATAGCCAAGGCATGGAATCCATCTAAGTGCCCTTCAGTGGAAAAAATGGATAAAGTAAGTGTGGAATATATACACAATGGGACACTCTTCAGCCTTTAAAAAGAAGAAAATCCTGTTATTTGCACAACATGAGTAAACCTGGTGGACATTATGTTAAGTGAAATAGGCCAGGAACAGAAAGACAAATACTACATGATTTCACTTATATGTGAAAAAAGTTGATCTCATAGAAGTAAAGAGTAGAATGGTGGTTACCAGAGGCTGGATGGGGGCAGTTGGAATTGGGGAGATGTTCGTCAAAGGATATACAATTTCAGTTAGACAAGAGGAATAAGTTCAAGAGACCTATTGTACAACTTGGTGATAATAGTTAATAATAACGTATACTTGAAAATTGCTAAGACAGTAGATGTAAATGTAGTAGTAAAATGTTCTCACCATAAAAAATAAGTTTGTGAGGTCACGCATATGTTAATTAGCTTGATTTAGATATTACACAATGTATACATATTTTAAGACATCATGCTGTACACCATAATATATACAATTTTTATTTGTCAATTAAAACATTTTTTAAAAAACACATGAATCTCATGGTACATGGACTTGCATTAAAGATTGGGGTTCAAATTCTGCCCCTTACTACTTACCTAGCATGGTAAGTAACGATCTTGGTGTTTTGCCTTTTCTTTCCTTTGCCCCATCTCTCTACTGCTATTTAGTTGAGACCTCCATCATCTTTCACCAAGATCAACATAACAGTCTCCTAACTGGTCTCTCTGTCTCCAATCTTACCCTCTACAGTCTGTCATCAATCCTAATGATAAATGGAAATGTGGTCATCCAAAGTCCTCCATCAAAACCCTTCAGTGACTCCCCATTGGCCAGAGGGCAAAGTTGGAGCTTCAAAGCAATGATTCATAGTTAATTCAATGATCTTTGTAATCCTTTATGATCAGTTTCCTCTTTTCACTCAGTGGCAGATACTTGTAGTTGTCCTCAAATTTCATACTCTCATTTTTCTTTATTAATATAACCACACATTTTTAACTGAGCTCATTGATCATCATAACAGAGTCTATTGAAAGTCCTCAGCAGGCGGTGTGACGATGTGACCAGCTCTGGCCAAGGAGCTGTAGGCAGAAGTGTCTTGCAGCAGCTCCTGTAAATCTTAAAAGACAGCTGGTGCGTGTCTTTTTTCCTTTTTTTTTCCCTTCCCCCTTCCTGCTGCGCTGAATATGGATATGGTGAGTGAATCTAGAGCAGCCATTTGGAGGTATGAAGAGATCTTGGAAATAGAGGCCATGTGTGTTGAAACAAGACCGAACAACTCCAAGTTCCTGAAGACTTCATTTCACCAACCCAGAACCTCCTTGATCATCACAGGTGAACTTATTCCTAAAGCAAACACTCTCATTTTCCTTCCTTCTCTACTTTACAACCATGCTGAACTGCTTGTTATTCCTTGAACTGATCACACAGTTCCGTGCTTCTGTGCCTTACCTCTTGCTGCTCCTCCACCTTATGCTTTGTCTTTCTAGCAAATTCTTTCTTATTAAGATCTACCTTGATTGCGCCACCGCACTCCAGCCTGGGCGACAGACTGAGACTCCATCTCAAAAAAAAAAACAACAACAATCCTACCTCTAGGGTTTCCAGCTTTGAGAAGACTACTCACTCACAGCCAGGCAAATTTGGTGATTCTTTCCATTTTCCATCATTGTATCTAGTCCATCTGCCTAACCTAATACTGATCACATGCCTATGTTTTGTTTACCTATGTGTTCTACATAATAGATGGTGAACTTCTACAGGCCATGCTTATTTTTTTTTTCATCTCTACATTTCTATTGCCCAGAACAAAATTGGGTCCCAAAGAATAGGGTGGCACAAATGAACAATTGAATAAAATTCTCTGAGTTTCTATTATTTCCTCCTCTGTAAAATCGAGTCATAATAATTCCCATTCTAGAGATTTTTGAGAGTCACATGAGAAGAGAATGAGAAGGTTCTCTGTAAACGTAACACATTATCAAGAAAACCAAGGCATTGTGTGTTTATCCAAATTTCTGTTATCTGGTCAATAACCTTAGACAAATATGTTTTCTATAGAATCCAGAGTTACTGATCTGTTTTATATCTACACGAAATGGAAACAAAGGATGAATTGGAAACAGGACACACTTCTGATCTTAGGCATGTACAAATTAGTAATATAACCAAGAGTTCTTAAGGTCAATTTAATTTTTATTGCTAGGTACTTGAATATATTTGAGTGCAACTATTCTACAAACCCTTAGCTCCAGGTAACCTCTTCAGCCACTGGACAAACATAGCTCCATTTAATGTAGTTGTACTTAAAACAAAAGTGATATGTATCAAGCTGATTCCACTTGCCGAAATCACTTCTAGCTCGTAGAATAGGTGTAAGAGCCAAGGGCTCAAGACATTCACTTTTTCTTCAAGTCAGCTGCTTTAAGAGAACACAGGATGGTCAGAGCTGGAGCTAGAGAAGCGGCAGGGTGTGCTCTTGTTTCTGCTGTATTAACCTAAGCAGCCAGGGAACTCTGGACATCCTTTAGAGAAAGTGCGACCAATGGAGCAATAGGCCTGCTCAGAGCATGCTGACTTCTCTCTTGGGACTAATTCTCTCTTCTGTTCTACGCTCTACACCCTCATGAAGTCATCCACCAGAGCCATCATGTGCTTGCATCCTGCTGTGTTCCTTCAACCAACTGCTGACTCTAGATCCTTGCTTTAGTCCTTTAACACTTTCCAGCACCAAGATCTCATGCCTGGGAGTCTAAAAGCACCACCCCCGCTTTTTTCTTTTTTTTTTTTTAAATAGCAATCAATTTGCTCCCACCACTCCCAGGGAATCCAGTCTCATTTTTGCCTGCATTTTCCTGTCTGGGGGTGGTGATGGTGGTGAGAGGGTGGAGGATAGTTTTAATGTCACCTCTTACATTATGAATCAGTGACATAAGCTTTTAAAGCCAAAAGTATTCGTAAGATCTCCTTTTAAAACGATAGAGGATTTAACTACCTTCACTCTCCTATTTAAACTGATTTCAGAAGGAAATGTAGGGTTGAAAATGAAGTTTGGGCTCTTCTCCTCTGTATATTTGCAAATGCACAAAGCTGGGTCTGTTATGTCCTGTCTGAAAGGCTATCTATTTGTACAGCTTTATGCATCTCTTCACAGAACACCCATGAAGTCACAGCTCATATTTCTGCTTTAAATATTCGATCTTTTGGCTTTAAACACCCATAAGGGTTATTTGTCAAAACGGATCTTAAACCTCGCCCCACAGCTCTGCAGCAGATCTTTAAAGTCATGCTGTTGGGGTGGGAAGGAAAGGATGGGGGAGACGGGGAAAGTCAGCCATTCAGCAAGCATTTATGGAGTGCCAAGTACGTGCAGAGCATATGGTATCTAGTAATAGGTGCTGTGAGAGAGAGAAAAAAGACATGGAGTACATGTTCTTGCTCTCAAGATGGAGACAGAAACATGAGCCCTGTTAGTTCAGTCCTAGATCTAGACACTTTAACCTTGTTTTCTAAAGATGTTTGCATGAACAGCAAAAGCCAGCAACCTCAGGCATGTAAGAACATGTTAGCAGCAGTGGTGTATGTGTGTGTGTGTGTGTGTGTGTGTGTGTGTGTGTGTGTGTGTCAGAGAGAGCGAGAGAAAGCATATGTTGGTATAGGGATAGGATTAGGATGGGGGCGAAGAAGAAAGAGTCATGCTTTATATAGAAGGTCCTTTCTTGATGTGTTTTCTCAATCATCTTCTGACCCAAGATGCCTTCCCTTAGCTTTCTGAGACCGCAGTAGCGAGTTCCCATGGCCCTTTTTTATAGCAACGCACTTGTAAGGGAGGAGACCACCCTTCATATTGTCTTATGTCCAATTTCTGCCTCCAAAGAAAGAGAAGTAAAAACTAAAAGGCAGAAATGAAATCCACAAGCAGATAGCATGGCGCCACACCCTGGGCCCTGTAGTTAAAGATCGACCCCTGACCTAATCGGTTATGTTATCTATAGATTACATACATTGTATAGAAAAGCACTGTGAAAATCCGTGTCCTATTCTGTTCTGTTCTAATTACTGGTGCATGCAGCCCCCAGTCACGTACCTCCTGCTTGCTCAATCGATCACAACCCTCTCAAGTGGACCCCCTTAGAGTTGTGAGCCCTTAAAAGGGACAGGAATTGCTCACTTGGGGAGCTCGGCTCTTGAGACAGGAATCTTGACAGTGCTCCGGGACAAATAAACCGCTTCCTTCTTTAACTCGGTGTCTGAGGGGTTTTGTCTGTGGCTTGTCCTGCTACACTTGCCCCCAGCACTTTCCTGACCCTTGGGATCCAGCTTGTTTTTCCAGATTTGTGTTTGTTTTGGTCTTCTTTGAAGGCAAACTTTCTTTATTGTGCCTAACCATTTATTTCTGCCACATACCTCTTTGGTTCTTATATTAGTCTGTTTTCACACTGCTATAAAGAACTGCCCGAGAATGGGTAATTTATAAATGAAGGAGGTTTAATTGATTCACAGTTCTGCATGGCTGGGAGGTCTCAGGAAATGTACAATCATGGTGGCAGGTGAAGGGGAAGCAAGGCACCTTCTTCACAAGATGGCAGGAAGGAGAAGTGCCAAGCGAAGGAAGAAGAACCATTTATAAAACCATCAGATCTCATGAGAACTCACTCACTATCATGAGAACAGCATAGGGGAAACCACCCCCATGATCCAATTACCTCCACTTGGTCACTCCCTTGACACATGGGGATTATGGGGATTAAAATTTTAAATGAGATTTGGGTGAGGACACAAAGCCTAACCCTTATCAGTTCTGAACTATGCTGTGGCTAGACACTTGGAAGGACACCTGTCATGTGTGGGCTGTGTGGGCCCAGGAGGGCTGTCCCCATGTGCTTAAGCAGGTGTGGCCTCCCTTAGCAGATGTGGGCCCCCAGGAGGCCCTACTAATCTGGTTCTTATGCTGTGAGTGACAACTTAGATACCACTGTAAGGTACTCTCAAATCCTTATGGAGGTGGAGTCAGACAAGCTTGGATTTAAATCCCACTCCCACTATTAGCTATACTATAAAAACTTAGAAAACTACATCGAGCCTCAGTTTCTTCATGTGTCCAGCGGAAATTCTCCCATAGTGTTATTATGATAGTTAAATGAATTAATGCATATAAAGGGCTTAACATAGTACTTGGTACATAGTAAGCACTCAATGAATGTTAGTATTATAATATAAATATAGTTTTCATTAGTATTCATGCATTTACTTTGAGACTTTTCTTTGTGGCCTAAGATATATTCGTTCCGTCCTACAAAGTATATGACTAAGAGAAAAACAGGAAATGTGACTTACTCCATCCATTAAACAAGCTTTTTTAAAGTGCTGACTGCATTTCCAAGTACTGTATTAGGTCTCTCCCTCCACCTCCCTTCATCCTTCCACAAACACTTATTGTGTGCCTATGAGGCACCAGGCATCGCACTGGATTCTAGGAACTAGTGGTGAAATAGACATATACGTTTCCTTCCATCACAGAGCTTATGCTCCAGGGAGAAAGACGATATTACATAAGTAAACCCAGGTATAGAACCAGGGATAAATTCTAGGTGCTACAGGTAGTGCTCATGGAACATGGAGACCTGCAGGGTCAGGGAGACCAGTGTGTTATGAATTTCTATTTATGAAGCTAATTTTCAAAAGGGTAAGTTACTTGGCTGCCATTAGGTCAATAACATTTTTTTATTATGTTGCTGCGAGGCATGGCTGACATTTTCGAAGGATATATAAATCAAACCCATGATTTTCCAACTCTGTATTTTAAGTGGCAAAATGTCTCTAAATTAGAAAATTTGAATATTATGCTTATTGACAAAAAGACATATAAAGTATCAAAACTTAAAAGAATGAGTTCACAGGTACAACCTCGTATGTGCTTTACCAAAACTTAACAGAGCATGCTTTTTATTAATACTTCTATTCTGAACTTAGTCACCAAGTCCAGACTTAACTAGATTATTTCTTTGTACATCACCTTGCATTAACTAAGACAAAAGCCAGAATATAAATGTGGTTCTAAAACTTCTCAAATTATATCTGTAACATCTTTTCTGCAGCCAATAGCTTCAACGCCATTATAGAGGGGTCAAAGGGATGGAGAACTCTATGTTTATTGATAGCCAATTATGTGTGAGTGCCAAATGTAATCTCATTTAATTCTCACAGGAGCCCTGTAAAATAGGTCTTATTTTTATCTCTTTTTACATATTAGAAAATTCAGGCCCAGAGAATTTGAAAAAATTTATTCAAGTTTGCACACAGGGCTCATATTCAAAGCTGAGACTACCTGATTCCAAATGGTAGTACCATTTGAAGTGGTATTCCCAATTGGGCATGAATGATCTATTTGCAGAAGGGCAAAGGAGTTTATTTCCATGCATGCGTGGTACATTTTAATTCACATAATCATGAGACAAGTTTAGATAACATGGCAAAACCCCTGTCTCTACAAAAAATACAAAAATTAGGCATGGTGGTGTGTGCCTGTGGTCCCAGTTACTGGGGAGGCTGAGGTGGGAGGATCACTTGAGCCCAGGAAGTCAAGGCTGCAGTGAGCCATGATTACACCACTACCCAGCCTGGGCAACAAAGTGAGACCCTGTTTCAAATAAGTAAACTAACTAACTAAATAAATAAATCACTGCAAATCTAAGCAGTCATATGATAATTACAGTTTAGCACATAAAAACCCCATTGTAGTCCGTATGTCACAAGTTGTGTGCAATTTATCCTGGGCTCTAAGACTCCCTTCTTAGAGCCCTTAAATCTATTTTTAAAATTCTTTCCATATACTACAGTTAAAGATAACAGGACAATGAAGGGCATTCAACATGTGACAAACAGGAAAAAATAATATATGTTCACTTTTTCTAAGATTATAATTTTACTTTACTTATTAAAAGCTCTCTTTTCAGCACAGTAAACTTGCCAAATTGGGCCTCATTCAGTGTTCCTAAAGTGGAACTAATCCATCTTCTTTCAGGACTAGGTTAATCTTGCCTCTTTCCTATTGCTTTCCATGGGATCATCTGTTTCCCCAAGCACCTGGGGTCAAATCTTTGTAGCCATCTTTGACTCCTCTCTCCTCATTCTCCTACATTCAGGCAAGCATCATTAAGAAAGAGAATGCCAGCCTGAACAACATGGTGAAAACCCATCTCTACCAAAAAAATACAAAAATTAGCCAGGTGTGGGAGTGCATGCCTGTGGTCCCACATACTCAGGAGGCTGAGGTAGGAGGATCACATGAGACTGGCCTCCATATATCAAGTGTCAGTTTACGTTCACTTTTTCATTTGTTCCAATCTTCATAGCAGCCACCCTAAAGTATTTGTTATCAATTCCATTTGTTTTCAATTCCATTGGTAGACGAGGAAACAACCTCAGAGAAGTCAGAAGCTGATAATTAATGAAGTGATTTGAACCTGGGCCTTTATATACTATAAAATACTATTCATTTTTCCTACATCATTGATCTTCTACTCATCTATTTCCTTTCATTACTCATGAACTCACCTTGAGTCTGACTTGCATTTTGTAAATGCTCAAATGAGTGCTACAGCTTGCTAGCCATTTTTCTTTCCCCAACTTCCATCCTAACTCTATGCCTTAAGCCAGATTTGTCTTCCCAACCATTCATCTTTCTCCACTACCTAATACAGTAGTTCTCAAGCTACTAAAAATCAAATAATAGTGATGTGTCACTGATTTACATAAAAAAGTTTATTTCTTTAAATTATGTTCTATTTTAAACATCTCTCCCTTTTTTTTCTTGAACTACTTATCCTGACCACAAGCTAATGTGAGTATATATGTTTATTTCATATTGCCTGCAAATAGTACTATGGCTTCTAAGACACTGTTGTGTCAATTTGAGAATCACAGCCCTAGATGATAAGGGCTGAAATGACATTCAGCTGCCTCTAAATCATTCCCTGTTTCCTACTACTCTTCAATCCAGCATGCTTCCTTGGCTGCCCAGGGCTGAAGTTCCTAGCCCAATACCTGGCACCCAGGAGGATTCACTCACTGCTTGTTGCCCATCGTTCCACTCATTACTCATGAAGCGTACTTTGCTACGGTCCATTCCTCTGCTTTGCTCATATAGTGACCCTTGGTCCCAACTTCTCTCTTTCCTCTCCTTTTTTTCCTCTCTTCCCCCTCCTGTTTTAAAAGATCATAGTTAATATTTGTTGAATGCTTCTAATGCTCTAGACATTTCCCAAGGGCATTGCATGTATTGACTCAGCTAAGCGTCTCAAAACTCTTCTGTTGTGAGTATTTGCAGGACCTTTTTTCCTGACCTCAGTTTCTGAATTTGCAAAATAGAGATTAAAATAATACTCACCTAATAAGATTGTTATGAGGGTTAAGTGAGTAAATACACAAAGTTCCTAGGATGTGATACACATTTGATAAGTATTAGTCATTATTTTTATTAAGCCACGTTATACTTTTGGAGCTTTAAGTTCGTGTTGATTAACAACTTGGAAGTAGCCAGTGCAGCTATTCAGGACTCAGCCATGTCTCCAGAGTCCAAACTCTCAAACACTGGGCTCCACCACCTCCTTTTTCCCTTTTTCCAACTCATTCAAATAACCCTCCCCCTCTAGAAAGCTTTGGCCACTCATTTGTGTTCCTAATATACCCTTTGAATATTCTGTGGTGTATAGCAGAGTGCTACACTCATATAGATAGTCCCTTACCTTCAGATAAGACTTCTAATTATTATGAAATAATCTCCATCTTTGTTTCAATTGTATTAACAATTGAGAATAGACCTGTGCTAGTGACATAATTTTCCCATTTCCTACTTGTATTGGGGACTGCCAAGACCATCCCCAGGGTCAATAATTAGCGAGGAAGACTTACAGAACTCAGCACAGAGTCCTAGTCAGGGCTAAGAGTTATTATAGCAAAAGGATACAAAGCAAAATCAGCAAAAGGAAAAGGTGCATGGGGCAAAATCTGGATGAAACGAGACATAAGCTTCCAAGAGTCCTCTCCCATCGGAGTCACACAGGATGCGATAAATTCCTGCAGCAACAAGTTCTGACAACAGGTATGAAATGTTGTTCACCAGGGAAGCTCATTAGAGATTCAGTGCCCAGTGCTTTTACTGGGGGCTGATTACACAGGCACTCTCTGCCTAGCATGTAATAAAATTCCAGACTGGGGATTCCTTTCCTTATTCCTTTTGGGAATCATGAAAGCAGGTGTCCAGCATGAACCACATTGCTTGTACAAACAGTTTAAGCACAGTGAGCCCTCTTATCACTTCTGGGGATAATGAAAACCCTCCTGTGATGGTTAATTTTATGTATTCACTTGGAGGGGGGTTTGGGATGAGATTAACATTTAAATCAGTGAATTTTGAATAAGGAGACTGCCCTCCAATATGTGGATTGGCCTCCTTCAATCAGTTGAAGGCCTGAATAGAACAAAAATACTGGCATCCCGGAACAAAAGAGAATTCTTAGCAGGCCACCTGTGGACTGAATTGGCTCTCCTGGGTCTCTACCTGCCAGTCTTTATTTTTATTTTTTATTTTTTATTTTATTCATTTATTTATTTCTTGACACAGTCTCACTCTGTTGCCCAGCCTGGAGTACAGTGGTGTGATCCCGGCTCACTGCAACCTCTGCCTCCCAGTTTCAAGCAATTCTCATGCCTCAGCCTCCCGAGTAGCTGGGACTATAGGCGTGAACCACCATGCCCAGATAGTTTTTGTATTTTTAGTAGAGATGGGATTTCACCATGCTGGCCAGGCTGGCCTTGAACTCCTGGCCTCAAGCGATCTGCCCACCTCGGCCTCCCAAAGTGCTGGGATTACAGACATGAGCCACCACATCTGACCACCCCAGCCTTTACACTGGAAATGCACTATCTACTCTTCTAGATCTCAAGCCTGTCAGCCCACCCTGTGTATTTTGGACTTATCATCATTGGCTTATAATCATGTGAGCCAAATCCTTATAATAAGTCTCTCTCTCTTTTGTATATGTATATACACATATATGTGTATATGTGTATATACATATATGTGTGTATGTGTATACACATATATATACACAAATATACACATATATTTACAAATGTATATAAATATACATTTGTATATTTGAATACACACATATACACATATATACATTTGTATATTTGTGTACACATATATATACATATATGTGAGTATATGTATATGTGTATACAAATATGCACATATATTTGTATATGTATATGTATATACACATATACATATCCTATTGGTTTTGTTTCTCTGGGGAACCCTAACTAATACGCCCCTCAAAATCCAAGTTGCTAGATGCCAGTCAAGGATCAACCTTGCAAGCAGGTCTTCCTAAGGCTAGCAGTCTCTGGCCTACTTTGTTAACCTTTTCTGTACACTACTAATTTTTATAGCAGTAGAAGCCATATGACAATAATGCCATGGAGCAGCAGAGCCTGTGAATAATCAAAAACTATGAGGTGGAGAGAAAGTCAGTAGAGAGAAGTTGGCTGGTAGTGACAGAAAAGTAAAAGCAACAGGCCCAGAGCCCTGGAGTGAAGGCTGCATTGTAAGAGGGGAGCATCCAAGGAGGAACAAGGGGAAGTCTGTGGCAGGGGAGAAGTTTGGGCAAGTCACTAGATGCTCCTTTACCCCACAAGACCTGACCATGTAATTGTGGTTGTGGTAGATTAAAGGTGTCTGGAAATTCTTTGCCACTCTTTACATAATGATATGGGATCTGTTTCCCCTCTCCTTGAATCTGGGTTGGCCTATGACTTGCTGTAACCAACAGAATGCTGCAGAAGTGACACTGTGGCTGTTTGAGACATGAACCTTAAGAAAACCTGGCAGTTTCTGCTTTTGTACTCTTGGGAGCCCGGGGTCCCCAGGTAATGGTAGTCGGCTGCACTGCTGGAGAAACCACTGAGAGAGAGTGAGAGAGAGGGAGGGAGAGACGTCGGACCAGCCCCAGCTGTTTCAGCCATCCCAGCTGTGGTGACATGCATGGGAATGAAGTCATTCTGTATTATTTGAGAGTTAGCCTAGTTGAGACTCTACATAATGCCACCTGCATGAGTGATTCCACGCAAGACCAGCAGCAGCATTGCTGCTGAGCTCCACCAAGATTACAGATTTCATGAACAAATAATAAAATGTTGTGGCTTTAAATCACAGACTTTTGGGGTGGCTTCTTTCCTAGCAATAGATAACTAATATGGTGAAGCAGCCGGAACTATCTGAGGACAGTGGCTTCATTGTAATAGTGAAGCACAGGAGTAGAAAGCAAGAGATGTCTGTAGCCGGGGCAGCAGGATGACTCTGTGACAGTCGACACAATATTTTATTTTCCTTCCAGTTTCCACTGTTTCACAATACTGACATGTGTCACTTTACAAAGAAAACAATCTGTACCCTTCTGAATTAGGCTTTACACTAGAATCTTTTCCAGACCTTCCCAACCCTCAAACCGAAGTTTGTGAACAGTGGAATGAGTTCCCACACACAATGAGTCATGTTTGTCTTCTGAGTGCCGATTGCCTTAGTGGAGACCTTAGATCATCAAATCGCATGCCCTGAAGCTTGTTTCTTCATGCAGGGAGCCAAAATCCATTGTATAACCTCATCTCCGGCAAAGATTCTCAACATGCGCCTGACTATGTATGTGCAAGATGCCAAATCAGTGAGTCCAAAAATGTAACAATTATCCCTGAAACCAGTCTGACCAATTTTATGGACAGAATTAATGGGTCATTTTGTGGTAGCAGAAACTGGACCTATGACCAATTGTTTCTAATATTTTTATGTATCTTTTATGGATGAGGAAACCAAGGGCAGGGGTGAGGGGAGAGAGAGAGCGCTCATGAATTATCAGAGCCATTGAACAAGTCAATATCGAAGGCAGGGACATCACCCATGGCTCCCAAATCTCCTTCAGGGCTTTCTCCACTATTGGCAGCATTAGTTTTCATTGGATGTATGTATATTGCTCTGCTGGAGAGGGCATAGTTACAGCCCTGCTTTTTTGTGTTTTTTTTTTTTTAACCTTAAGTAAAACATTTTTCTCCTTTGTGATATCACAGTTTTACCCCGGACACTTGGTTAGTTTCTTATGGGCAGTCTCAGTCATCTCTTTAAAAAAAAAATTCAGAAGTAAGCTCCCAAAAGATCATGTGTTGAGAAAGAACATTTAAACCTAGCCAGTAGGGTGGGAGGGAAGGAAGGGGAGAGTGTGGAGAGGCTCTCCCTGCTGATAATCTTGGAAGAAAGAATTACCTGACTTAGAAATGTGATATTTTTCTAGGCCACCTCGTTTCTTCTGATTAAAAATAACCACTTTCCATTATGTACATATAAGAGAAAAATGAATGAAAACATAGCTAGGAAGTAGCCTAGAATGATAAATCAGGGAGAGTATAATCTACACGTGCATATTCAGTCAGTAAACACTCAGTATTTATAGCATATGGAGAACTCATTCATTCATTCATTCATTCACTCACGTATCACCTGTCCATTGATCTGTTTACTTAACAAACATTGACTGAACACCTACTACAGGCAATGTCCTACAGAGACACGTAAGGTAAAGACCATATTTCCTGCTCTCCAGGGATTGCTTTTATAGTCTCATAAAGGAGATAAGACAAGACAAGAACACAAAGAACTATGATCAAGGTAATAAATGAGTAAGCACCATAGGAGAGAAAAATAAAGTGAGATGAAAGTTCAGAAAAGGGAGACATCATTTCTGGCCAAAGGAAATATAGAGTAGAAAGATTTCTTAAAAGTATAATCTATCACCCTGCAACTCCTAGTTTAAAAGCCTCACATAGTTATTAGCTCTGTGACCTTGGGCAAATCATAAATTTTCTGCTTCTTAGTTTGCTTATCTTTTAAAAGAAAGGGTTGGACTAAATGATCTTGAAGGTCCTTTCCGCTCTAAAGTACTGGGATACATAATTTTTCATGCGAAGACCCAGCTAAATATGTGACAAACTATTCTTTATACAACTAGAGTAACTCTTTAAACCTAAATAAGATCATGTTACCCATGGCTTAAAAACCTTTCATGGCTACATTTCAAAGAAAACCCAGACTTTTCAGATGGCCCTCAAGGTCCCGCAGCATCTGGCCCCACGCTCTCCAACCTCATCTTCCCATGTCCTCCTCTTACCCCGCTCTCTCCAACCTCATCCTCCCCATGTCCTCCTCCTACTGCTGCTCTTGCACTGCCAGGTCTTCTTTGCCACTCCCCTGAATGCACTGGTTAGGATCTTCACACAGGCTGTTTCCTCCGCAAGAAACGCTTTTCCTCTTCTCTTAAAAAAAATACATGTATGTGTGCGTGTGTGTGTGCATGTGTATGTGTGAGTAAAATTTTTATAAAAGGAATAAAAAATACAGTTTTAAAAAGTCAGATGATACTACCACAGGATTATAACCCAAACCCATAAGGTTGGCGCACCCGGAAGGAGAAGAAATCTTATGTTTCAATATCTACACTTGTGCTCAGACCCTTTTCTTTTGCACCTCCACTTCTTCTGGGGCCGGCATCCTGGTTGTGGAGCCACTCCAGTTCAACTTCTCCACAGAATAGTAAGATTCTGGCATCCTGGCAGGGTGAGGAGGAACACTTGCCTGGACCTGGGTAGAGGAGAGGGAAGAGAGGGTCCAGGGGTTTAAATGTGCTTTATACTGACTTTCAAACCATTCTCCTCATTCCTCCCCAGAACTCCACCCTTATCTTCCACAGACCAGGCACCATCAATGGCTGAGACTTACTAGGGGGGTTAGATGCTGTGACTTGGCTCCTTTGACATTGGCATCCAGTTTGCTCACACTTGGTATACAGCATTCTTACTTTTGCTCACTCCTCCTTCCACTTTTTATCTTCCAAAAATATGTTCACTCTTTGCAGTCACAATTCTCTCTCTCATCACCTGTTGTCTTTGTCCTTCTGAGTTTCTATCTCATTAGTTCCTTTTATACTCAATTTTAGAAAGGTCTGTGGAAAGGTTAAGAAAGAATGTCTTGTGTCTTCCATGTTTAACTGAAATGCCTCTTCCTTTATCTCATTTTAAAGCTTTTCATTCTTTTAGTATCAGCTTAAATTTGCTATCAGACTTCACTGACCGAACCATGTCTAAATAGATCCTCCTGGGATCATCTATGAGAGCATACTGTGTTTTACTTTCATAACATTTCTTATAATTTTAAGCTATCCTTATTTGTTGAGTTGTTAACTTTAAATAAATTTATTTATTACCTCATTTAAGGTCTGTTGCTCCCACTAGAATGCACACTCAGGGAAGGCAGGGACTGTGTCTGTTTTCTTCAGTCAATTTATGCTGAGTGCTTAGCACAGTGCCTCACCGTGACAGATGCTCAAGAATTCTGATTGATGAATATTGACAAACAAGGGAACCAAATCTTAGACTCCACTGACAGCACCTCCAGGGCAACAGCAGACTTGAAAGAAAAAAGACAAAGATGAGCAGACTGCACACAAGCGTGAATTCTCGACCCAGACTTTGTCCAAATCCCAGAACTACCACTTGCCTAGTGTGTAACCTTGCAGATAAATTGCATAAAAATGGAGAATGGAGATAATAATGGTACATCTACCTTATGAGGCTATTATAAAAGTTAGAATTAGTCAGTAGAGGTAGAGCACATAAAACAATGGCAAGCACGTAGTGCTCCATCAGTTTTGGCTGTTAGGTGTTAGAATACTTGGCTTGGGGTGGGGGTCTTGTTTTGGAGAGGAGCCTCCTTCCAAGTTTTGCTCTGAAAACTTAAAGCTAAACTTCCGTATATTACACACATGTTGGTATTGTTTGCCTGAAATGTTTAGAACTTTTTACTTCTGGATTCTACTTATGTTTTCACTGTGTTCATACTTATGTTGAGTAATTTGTAAGGTGTTTGGGAGTTCTGATAAAGCAGGGCCCCTTAGGCTATCCCCAAACAGAAGACTTCTCCATGGGAATGAGGCATGTCAGGGAAGATAGGGTGAAGGATTATAGAAAGGAGATAACTTGGCAGGCTTAAAAGAATGGAAGGTTTGGAAGGAGTGGGATGTGGAGGTGGAGAAAGGGGGTTTGGACACCAGACAGAATTTGGTTGAGATGCCAGTTCTACCATGACTAACTACATGACCATGAGCAATTTGCTAGACCTCTTGGTGCCTTCACTTCCTTAGCTATAGTAAATATTACATGAGATGATATACACAGAAAATGTAGGCCAGTACCTGGTATGGAGGAAAATACTCTAGTACTTAAATTATCATTGTTAGGAGTAGTCAAGCTTCTGCCACCTCTGAATCTGACTGGCAATGTGGCCTTGGAATATTCACTTTCCTTTTCTATGTCCAAGATGCTCATCTATGAAATAAAGGTTCTCTTTCTATTTCTTTGCCTCTCGTAAGTCAGAATTCTGCCAAGGGCTATCTTTGGAGACCTCCCCCTGACCACCCCCAGCAACACCCAACCACACAGACACAAGCTCCTGGTATCTTAGGTCTTTTCCATATTTTGCTAGAACAGTATTTCCATATTTTTGTCTGCTGCTGTACAAAGTTAAACTACATTACAGTGCAAAGGGTCAGCAGAAGCCAGTCTCCAAGATGGCCTTTGTTGATCCCCATCTCCTGGTATTCACACCCTTGTGTTGTCCGCTCACACAATGAATGGAGCTGAATAGTGTAACAAATACAATTTTTCAGAAATGACAGTGAAATTTCTGAGACTAGGTGGTGAAAGACATTGAGGCTTCCACCTTACTTCTTGGATCCCTCACTCTTGAGGAAGCCAGCTGCCATGTTATAAGGACACTCAAGCAGCCCTGTGGAGTGGTCCATGTAGTGAGGAACCTGGTCAACAACCAGCACTAACTTGCCAGATGTGAGAGTGAGCCTGGGCCACCCAGCTAAGCCACTCCCAGAACCTAACCCTCAGAAGTATAATATGTGTATCATCTGTGTGTGATAATACATGCTTATTGTTGTTTTAATCCTTTATGTTTTAGAATGATTTGTTATGCAGCAACAGATAACTGATACAGGGTTTCCTGGGAACATGCTATGCACTGTTGAGTCCAAGTGCAGGCCTTCTGGCTAATCTTGGCCCTGGTGGGAACTCTATGAACCTTTCCAAAATGTCACTAATTTCTCCTCCCTTTTAGGTAGCAGACCTCTTTCTCAGATCATAACACTTTGGATTACAGTTCCCTTTTGTTATTCTGAGTTGCTGTTGTTTTTTTCTTTCCAAGTCTTATTCTGAGATTTCTTAAATACCAAAGCCTGCTCCAGAGCCTGACAAGTTTCAAGGCCCTTCCCTTGCACAGTGATTTTCCAAGGCCCTCAGAGGGGCTCATGCAATGTGTTCACCTGATCACATGGATAATAAAATTTGTGAAAAGCAATATTTAACTATAATCAGTTAAGATCACTGTCTCTCTACTTCAACTTCCACTCTGTCTTACTCTCCCTAACATTCAGTGGTACTGGAGTGGCCATGGGCATTTTTAGCATACAGCTAAGGGGAAGTTTACTTTAATTTAGGCCTAGTGGGATGTACTTTTGTGGTTCACAGGCACTTTTTTGTGTGTAGGATTAAGCTATTTCTATCCTTCTCAGTGTTCAAATGGTTTCCAGCAACATTCCTACCACCTACTTTGCTGACACAAAGGTGCATAAACAGAAGTCCTATGGTAAGTATATATCTTGTACCATATCAGCCTGGGACCAGGAGTATAGGGACTGGGGAGGAGAAACAAGGTTTGAAATACACAAAGCCAGAAGCTAGTCTGTGAAAGTTCTTCCAATCTTCAGATATGTAGAGTGACTAGATCTATACCTAGTCAACACCAACAAAAATTACAAAAAAAAAAATCCAAGTTGTAATCATTCATGCCAGAATAAAGAATGAATTATTGTTCTGTTCACTGTATAGATAACTACATTACAAAGTCATTTTCCTGTAAAGAAGTGAATGGCCAATAAATGCACAATCAAAAAAAATTTAGCAAAATAAGTATAAAAGCGCATCAAGCAGTAATAGGGGTATGCCAGGCAGTTAATTAGAGCAGCCGCTATATTTTTTTCTGGATTTTGTCAGATTTGGGGTATTTGTCAGCTTTTAAAAATGTGTAATGGATTGTGATTTCTCTTTCTACAGTAACACACACTTTCAAACCTGATTTTGTATTTATAATTTGGTCATGAACATGGGATTTTGCCCATCAAACCTGGCCCTGTTCCTGCTGTGTCCCACTTAGCTCTAGATCCCTGTAGGAAGGATTCCTTCTTTTCTATGCTCCCTGACTCTGGCTTTGGATTTGCGCTGAGCTGCTCTTCTCTCGCCACTCACCCAGCCCTTGTTCCCAGCCAGTCTCATAGGAACTTCTGACTCCTCTTAGTCCTGAACCCTTCGTTTTCTGGGTGCACGCTTCCATCTTGATTAGCAAGTATAGCATTCTCTCTCATTGAAGCCCAGTTTATTTTTGAAGGCTTCATATTCTTTTTCTCCGACAGAAGGTAATGGCAACCCCAACTCATCCCCTAACAAGGAGGATCCTTCCAAGCTGCTGTTTATTTCACCTGCCTCATGACTACCATTACCCTGCCAGCCCCATGAGAGCAAGAAACACATCCATCTCCCTCAGTCATGCTTAGAACACTGCCGGCACACAATGAATGTTTGTTAAAGAAATAAATAGGTATATAAATTAATATCTATTGCCATAAAGATGAATTTTATGTGAGCAATCATAACTCAAAATTATAATTCAAATTCTAGCTCATAGTTCAAAATGTAGCTCCAACTAGGCAAATTGCCCCCTAATTCATAAGCTTTAGGGGAAAGAATATGTTTTCACCATAGAGATATCCTCTTTGCTTTTACATTGTTGAGACTTATCCTTAAGTTTTCTTCTCCTTTTTTTCCCTACCTTTTCCCCAGCCTCCCACTCCCACGTAACACACACACACACACACACACACACACACACCCCGAAATTGGTTGTGAATTGCTGGAGGCTTATGGTCAGAGTTATTTAATTTACCACTTAATTTTGTTGGCCTAGTGGCTGGCCAAGTAAAATCTGGCAATTTGGTGAGAACAGAGGAAATTCTGCAGTTAGCGATAAGCAATGCCCTTGTGAAGGTAGGAGAGGTCCTGTTCCAGCTGACAGTTTGCAGAAGATGAGAAACACTATCCTTAAAATGGGCCTCAGGAGAGAAAATGCATGTCTAGGAATAAATCTGTTAGTTTTCTCGTTGGTTAACAGGAAGGATGCCTTATTTTCCCAGTAATAATACATTTCCTTCATTGACATAAGCGACCTCTAGTTTTATTTCCTCGCAAACTAGATTATAACCCTCTAAAATGAAACACCTCACCCCATGATATTTCCTGGAATGGAGTGGAAAGCTGTTGTATTTGCCTGTCTAGTATCCATTACTTGTTATTCTGATAACAGTCCACTGGGTTTATGGTGGTGGGCGCTCACTCCATGCCTGGATCCTTGGGTAGGCTCAAGACTCAAGCTATGTCAGACATTTTTGCCCCAGAACTAAAACTTGGCAAAGTGCCAAAAAGTGAAAATTGGTGCACTTCTTTTATCCTAACCTCAGTGGCCTCAGGAAAATGTCCCATTTGTTCCTGGCCCAACTTCCTTGAAGCTACTCAAGTTCCTATACTAAGACCTGGTACTTGTGTTTTCACCTCTGTTCTATGTGTTAGTTCTAAACCTTTTTTTCTGTTCTTTTCTTCTCTTCTTAAGTGTCTAGAGGTGAGTTTCTCTTGTCTGCAATCAAAGAACCTAGCAGATACAGTAATAGATTAAATGGGCCTGAGTTGTGAAGAAGACCAAAATCTGGGACCAGACTCAATTATAATTGCACAGCAGGGAAAATTTGTTTCTCTAACTTTCCATTTCTTTTCCATTTTTGCCTTGCTTTGAAGCCAAAAATTCCTATCACCATACCACCACCTCCACAAACACTCAATGCCATGGCACCCTCTCCACTTTCCTAATAACACCTAGTCTCTGAAAAAGCACTGATCCTAGTCATCGTTTATTTGGTCGATCCTTTTTGAGCACCTATTATATGTCAGTTATTGTTCTAGGTTCTTGGAATATGTCAGCAAAACCCCTGTTGCAGTGGGGCTTATATTCTTATGGTCGAGGATAGACAATAATCAAGTAAACAAATAAATCAACAAAATAACTGGGGACAGTGATAAGTAGTATGAAAGGTGATGTGATAGAGATGACTGGGTGGTCAGGGAAGACTTCTTTGAAAAGTGGACATATAAGTTGAGACACAGATCATTTGTGGAGACCAACCATCTCAAAATATGACCGGTGGGGGAGGAAAGCTCTCTAGGCAAATAAAACAGCAAGAGATCAGGGACATATGCAGGGCATATTCATGGGCCAGATCATGCTGGGTTTTGTAGACCATGGCAAGAAGTTTGGATTTTATCCTCATTGTCATATAAAGCATTAGAGAGGAGTGACATGATATATATTTTTAAAAGATCACTGATTACATCATAAATAATCAATTGTCAAACAGAAACCAGATGAGAGGTTGTCACAGGAGATAATGGGACTTGGGCAAGAGTGGAGGTGGAGAGAAGTGAGATGATATACAACATATTTTGGACATGGAGATGCATGTGCTGGAATAGGAGGAGTGATGGCCCCATTTGCTGAGATAAGGACAATTAAAAAGGTAGTGGTGTGATGGAGGAGGAAGAATCCTGAGTTTTGTTTCGATTATGTTAAGTTTGAGATTGTTCATCAGATATCCAAGGGGAACTGTCTGGAGTCCTGTTGAAGAGTCAGGACTGATGTAAAGTTAGGAGTCATTAGCATATAGATGGTGTTTAAGGCTTGAATAAAATATCTAAGGAAAAAATATAAGGAGGAGAGAGGGCTCAGACTAAGCCCTGGGGCAGTTGACTATTAAGAAATTGAGCCATTATTAATAAATAAATAAATTTTATTAATACACTTTTCAATGTTCTTAATCAAGATCTTAAGCCAGATCTTTGACTTTGGATGAGTTCACAAACTAGCATAGTATTCTAAGGCATTTATTCATTTATTTTTTAAAGGTAGGATATTCCTCAGAAGAAATCTTAGGGCTAAATCTAACAGCTGAAATTGGGAGTACTCTGGTTGGGGTGTCAGGGGGTGGAGGCTGTTCCCAAGCCCTGCCCTGTTAGGGCCCCTCCACCACCCCCTTTCCATGAGTTATACTTGAAATGTTCTCTGGCTGCAGACCCTTCGTGAATCTCTATGGCTACATGTGGAACAGAGGGAAAAATCCCTCACCTCCTTCAAGTCTCTGCTCAAATGTCAACTTTTGGTAAGATCTACCCTGTACCCCTTTTTTACACTACAGAAAAACTGTAGCCTGTCACTGTCCCCACCTTAGTCCTCCTAATTCTTTTAGCCTGATTTTGTATAAAGCGTATATCAGATACTAACATACAATATGTTTTGCTTACTATTTTTTCTTTTTAAAGAAAAATATGTTGTCAGAGCATAAGCTCCATACAGGCAGCATTTTTATTTTCTGAACATTGATGTGTTTCCCTCACTTATAAATACTGTAGTGCCTGGCACATAGTAGCACTCAATAAATAGTCCTTAATGGATGAATGAACTAATGTTACAAAAGGAGTAGTTACTTAGTGGACACAGCATTTATGAATCCCTCAAGTATTTACTGAGTATCTAAATAACCTAAACTGTACTAGATTATACAAGAAAACCAAAGGCATTCAGAAAATTAAATTTTAAATAAAGCTTTGTCTTAATCTAGGCATCTTGGAGAATTCAATAGTTTAATTTCCAATTTTAGAGAAAAGTAACAATTTCTTTCTATTTTAATTTTCACAAGTAGTAGGTTGGAATACTAGGCTCAATTCTCCGTGCTCACCCTATAAAAGCATTTGCATCCACACGCCTTGTCATATAACTGCAGTGCTTCTGTACAGCGGACAAGGCATTCATCTCTGCCGTTGGGCTTTGCCATGTGACTTTTTCTGGCCAATGGGATGTGAGCAGATGTGTTCTGAACAGAGGCTTCATGGCACTTGCATGGTCCGGTTTGCGCTCTTGGGCATTTGCCATCTGCCATGAAACAAGCAAGTCCCAGTCAGCTACCAGAGTGAGAAATTAGGTAGAGCAAACCTGAACTCACCTAGAGCCTGCCAATGCACAGATCCTTAGCCAAAAAGTGAAACTTTATTGTTGAACCCACTAAGATTTCATAGTTGTTTGCTACCCAGAATTAGTATAGCCCAAATCTGACTAATGTAGCCACAAATAAACATAACTAACTTATTAATAGTAACTCTCCTACCTGGAATTTAATATAGAAAGAAAATTTCACCTTTCATTAAAATTAAAGTTAAAAATAAAAGGCATTTCATGGTTTTTCTAAAGCTTCCTTGAAAGTGAGCACATTAAAATATGAAAAGTGAGGTATATTTCCTAAGACAAACATGATTTAAGGCGCTGTTCTAATGAAGGTGAAATGTCTGGCAGTGAAAGAGCACAGGAGTAGGAGCAGAAAGTGTGTCCTAGCTAGATTTTATGCCCTGTCTTCCCCTGGGTGAGCCACCAAAAATCAAGAAATCCCTGGACATTCCTACATCTAGAACATGAGGACATCGCAGCAGATGGTTGCTAAGGTAGCTTTCTGCTCTAACATCTGATTTGCCATTTTCATGTAGAATTAGAATAAAAATTATCTCATAGCAATAGAAGAAAAGTACTCACTGATGGATGGAAACAAGAATTTTAAAAATATCCCATGGAATTGAATTATTCTATTGTACATAGAATTTAAAAGCAAATGAAAAGAAGGACAGCCTCAAATCAAATCACGTCAAAAGGATAAAACTCTTATAAGGCAGCTTATTCTACAGAATGGCTTGTGGCCATTTTTCTTTGATAAGAAAATAAGTGGAGAAACAGTGTCATCTTTATTTTTTATTTATTTATTTTTACTTACATTTATGTTTATTTAGGACTAAAGAGGGTTATGGAGATTATGGGGGAGCTGAAAACCTCATGGTGTTGGCTTCTGTTTTTTTTCTAATTTCAGTTTATATTTTAGATACAGGGGGTACACATGCAGGTTTGTTACATGTGAATATTGCACCATGCTGAGGTTTGGAGTACAGCCCCCATCACCAAGGTAGTGAACATAGTGCCTGATAGGTAGTTTTTCAACCCATGCCCCCCTCCCAGTAGTCCCTAGTGTCTATCGCTCCCATTTTATGTCCATATGTTCTCAATGTTTAGCTCCTAATGTAAGTGAGAACATGTGGTATTTGGCTTTCTATTCCTTCGTGAATTCACTTAGTACTATGGTCTCCAACTGCATCCACGTTGCTGAAAAGGACATGATTTCATTCTTTTTGTATGGCTTTGTAGCATTTCATGGTGTATATGTGCCACATTTTCTTAATCCAATCTACCGGTGATGGGCACCTGGGTTGATTCCAATGTCTTTGTTATTGTGGATAGTGCAGTGATAAACATACAAGGGTATGTGTCTTCTTGGTAGAATGATTTATTTTCCTTTGGTTACATACCCAGTATCAAAGTATCATTTTTATTAATAAGAATACAATTTAAAAAATAACAAGTCACTGGAAAGTAAATTTGTTGAAAGTTATTCTCATCCAACTTTTACGTAGCAAACGCATGGATCAAGTGTCTGGGTTGCTGTCTGTATTATCCATATTCACTATTCTTAGAACTGCTTCTGTAAAACTGATGTACTAGCCTCTCCAAGCTTTGCTCCAGGTTACAGCCTGCTTCTTTAGGCAGGAACGGAGTTGTAGAAATGGTTGCTCTCTGAAAGACAAACTTTATGGGAGGAATTCCTTTTTAGTGTCTTTTTTTAACTCCTCTTCAAGAAAAATGATCTGTCTTGGTAACATGTCTTGTCTTTTCCTGATCACTTTTTGCAATGTGCCTTCCCCTAGCAATCTGCTACAGCAATCAGCTTTTTCTGCGAAGGAGCCCTGTCATCTCTCAAGGCAGGGAGAATCATCAATGGCATCTCACTTCAACAAATTAGCCACAGTGTTTACACTGCAAGTCCTGGAGGCTGAGCTTTCTTGCATTTCAAGAAATTCCCAGGATTCTAATGTTTTTTCCAAGTGAGAATGTTTTGATCCAATGCATTTTACTTCTCTGGCTTAACATACATTATTCTATGGGCACCTACTGAATGCTTTAAGCCAAACTCTTAGAAATATTAATGCACATACACACATACACTGTTGATGCAAATAAAAAAGGCAGTGTGCTGCAGGAGAGAGAAACTGATTTGAAAGTTAGGAAACTTAGAGATTTACATTCTAGTTCTAGTTCAGGTAAGCCAATCATTAACTGTGTGACTTTAGGCATATCACTTCCCCTAAGATTCTCTTTCCTCCATTGTAAAATGAAAAACAAAGGGCTTGGGTTAGATTAATCCTAATAACTACTCCAGCGCTAGCATTCTATAACTTTAGGCTTCTAATTGGTAGCTAGATAGGGATAAATTGTTAAGGCAAGGCGGTGGAAGCCATTGTGCATAAGTCCTGTGATCAGCTTTTACCCCAAGCAGAAGCTGTAACTTGTCAGGGGCTTATTAAAAGAAGGGCAGCCCTGAAAGACTCACAAAACCCTTGCCTCAATTCTCACACAATATTATTAATATGGCTACAAAATAGTGGTATCACAAGGCGGCTTCAACTGCTGCCACTACTATATTTTATTAGTTGTATTGGTCCTCATGCAGAGCCCAAGGGTCTGAGCATTTGAAGAGCTCATATTATAGGGCTGAGGCTAAGGGAAGAATAATAATAATTAAAAAAAAAAACATAGTCAGGGGTGACCTAAGTAACTTCCTGAAGTTCCTTTCAGGCCCATGAGTTAATGTATAGGAAGAACAAGCTTATTAATCAAAAAACACTGATCTGCTCAATGTCTAATTATACCTGTCACTGTTGTTGCCCACACTTCAGGCCTGATATGTTTCTTCACTGAAGTCACGTGGCTGTATTTTCAGACCAGTTTCTAGTTGCTCTGTGTATTTTCTGTGTGACACATCTCTTCCATGTGACAGTTGAAAATTGTCCAGAGAAACACCAAAACCCCGCTATAGAACAACCCTGCAACCCAGAGACCATACAACCCCTTTCTCTTCTCCTCCCCCGCCCAGAGCCTCCTGTTAAATTTCCAGCCATCTCTCAAGGCCAAGCTCAAACCCTTCCTCCTCCGAGAAGCCTTTCTTGATCCTCTCCCCATCAGTCTTAATCCCTCCATTTCTTATACTCCCCAAGCACTTTGTACCTCTATTATTTTAGCACTTACTTACCAAAGTCTGTCTTACATTAAAGTTATTTTGTGCATATGTTTTTGCCATGACATTTCAAGCTTTTAGAGGGAAGAAACAAGTCTTATTTTTCCTTTCTATTGCCTGCAACATTCAGGAAAAGGGTTTGCTCATAGTAGACACTTAAAATTGTTCCATGAAGCGTGAAAGTAGAAAATGAGTGAAGCGAGAACCATGTCTTATTCATTCTTTCATTTTCACATTTTATTACAAAATGCTTTTTATGTAGTAAAATTCTTAAAATTGTTGGATCACTTATAAATGCATTAAATAATGTAAAAATACTAAAGTAGAAAACTAATTAGCCTTGTAATTTGCTCATATTGCCATTAAAATAAATTTAGTTTATTTAATCAATGTCAAGAATGAAATTTGCCAGTAATATTCCTTTAGAAGTAAATGCTCCTTTCATTCACCCAATGAATTTATTTATAACGAGTCTCTGCACACTTTAATTTGGAAGGAATGCATATATTTAATGAAACACTCAGAGTATTTAATTAATCATTTACAACAAGTCATAAAAGACATGAAAAACCATCTTTCCATTTATATGACTATTTCCTAGTATAACAAACTTTTCCAGTACTACTCAAAGCAAAGCTACAGTAATTTCTGTTACAGTATTTTACATTTTTCAATTTCACGATCTCCTTATTCTTTTTCTCCTTTCTTTTTTCTCCCTGCTCGATCAATTAAACCAAATTATAGGTTGCTAAAGTGATCTTGGTCTATCTCTGCCCCTTCCTTCACTAAAACTAATGTCAGAGGATCCTTCACATATACTTCTTAAAATTCTCAAAAATGTTCTTTTTTAGTTTGAGCTTTACATACTTGTAGAAAATTGCAATGTCTTGCCAGTTTTCACACTTCTTTTCTATTCTGGGTTCTGTGCAGTACCCTAAAATTCAAACCTCTTTGGATGACCTATGTCCTTTGGACAAGGTTAAGCAAGAAATGTTCTCATTCTCTCTCTTTTTGTTTGTTTGTTTGCTTGTTTGTTTGTTTTGAGACAGAGTCTCACTCTGTCACCCAGGCTGGAGTGCTGTGGTGTGATCTCTGCTAACTGCAACCTCCACACCCCGGGTTCAAGTGATTCTCGTGCCTCACCCTCCCTAGTAGCTGGAATTATAGGCATACACCACCATGCCTGGCTAATTTTTGTATTTTTAGTAGAGACAGAATTTTGGCATGTTGACCAGACTGGTCTTGAATTCCCAATCCAAGTGATCTGCCTGCCTCAGCCTCCCAAAGTGTTGGGATTACAGGTGTGAGCCACCACAGCTAGCTGAAAATGGCCTCATTCTCTAGGACAATTATGCATTGTCTTTCCTTACAGCAGGGCTATTATAAAATGCTGAAGTTAGTTTGATATTACCTAGTGCTTAATCTAATACTAATATAGAAGAGTTTCATTGGAGGAGGGATCCATTTTGTTTTAGACAAAAGACAAACATACTACATATACTACAAATTTCTGAGAATGACCATTCATTCAGAAAATAGTTGCTTGCCATTTATAGAGCAACTATTTTAAGGTAGGTGCTACTCTAAAAGGGCTTACAGTCTTGGGGAGAGATACGATCATCAAATTTTACAATACAATACTGTTAATGCTATCATAGAAGTGCATGCTAGAAATAGGGAAACAGGGATGAAAGTTAAAATAATCTATGGAATGTGAGCACATCTCACTCAGTCGCTGAGGGTGAAGTGCAGTGGTGTGAACATGGCTCACTGCTGTCTTAACCTCTTTGACTCAAGCGATCCTTTTGCCTCAGCCTCCTGAGTAGTTGGGACCACAGGTGCGTGCCACCACGCCTGGCTAATTTTTTTTTTTTTTAATAGAGACAGGGTCTCATTCACTATGTTGCCCAGGTTTGTATGAAGTTTTACAGAAAATTAATACAAACAGAAATCAGACCTTTAAGAGTTGAGAGTAAGTAGGAGAGTTAGGACTTGTACTTACTTAGCTATTATATAGTATAGAACCCATTGAGTACCAGAAGAAACATACAGTCATATTGTAGGGAGGATGCTTTCACATGGAGACAGGAGGGCAGCTTTCAAGGAAGAAGTGGAATTTGAGTTTAACCATGAAAGCTGAGTAAAGTAGAGAAGCATTAAGATGGGAGGGAAAGAGAGAAAAGAGGGAGTAGTAGTCTTGATGACAGCAAGATAACACACATGACCTTGTCCTGCTCTTCATTTTCCCAAGCAGGCACCAGATACTATAATGTTGCTTTTTGCTTTTAACAATGGTCTGTGCTACCAAATGTGCATGACCTAACCAGCCGTTGATTTCTCCTCTTTGACCTCCTCATCTGCTACCAATTGTGAGAAAACTTGCATTGGAGATAGAGCTTTTTTGTAGTCCTATTTAATAGCCAGGGAATAGAGAATGGCACCACCTGAGTGACTTGCTCATATTTTTCTATAAACTTATATCTCATGTTGTTTATCATAATTAAACAGCAAATGCACCAGGAAGGATCACTGTTTTACAAAAGAATCTCTATATTCTTGGCTCTTGCTCCTTCAAAAAAAGAAAGAGAAAGAAAAGAGAAGAGAAGAGAAGGAAGGAAGGAGAAAAGGGAAGGAAGGAAGGAAAAAGAAAAGAAAAGAAAGGAAAAGAAAAGGAAAGAAAGAAAGAGAGAGAGAGGAGGGAGGGATGGAAAGAAAGAGAGAGAAAGAAAAGGAAGGAAGGAAGGAAGGAAGGCAGGCAGGCAAGCAAGAAAGAAAGAAAGAAAAAAGGGAGGGAGGGAGGAAGGGAGAGGAAAGGAAAGAAAGGCGGCCTGGGTGTGGTGGCTCATGCCTGTAATCTCAGCACTTTGGGAGGGTGAGGTGGGTGGCCTTCTGAACTTTCAGAAGTTCACTTCCTCAGTCATACAAGCCACATTTCAAGTGCTCAACAGCTACACGTATCCAGTGGTTACCCTATTGGGCAGCGCAAATATGGAACACTTCTGACATCAGGGAAAGTTCTACTGAACAGTGTTGCTCTAGAGTCACTGTGCCCAGTTAGCGACCTTGGGCAAATTACTGTGTGCCTCAGTTTCCTCATCTGCAAATAGGGATAATAAAATGACTTATTTCACAGGATTCTATGAGGATTGAATGTGTTAATATTTGTAAAGAGCTTAGAACAGTGCACAGCACATGGTAAGCCCTATAAAGCATATGTTAAACAAATAAAAACACATTTTACGTATCTGAAATATGGCAGTCAAGTCCAAACAACATCCAACATGAATAAAAGGAGGTGGGGTGGGGAAGCAATTCCTATTGTTTCCCACCAGCTGAGGTTCTCTTCCCACCTCTTCCCTCAACCTCTACTCATGTTTGTTTTGTTCAGCTGGAAAGACCACCAAGCAGGAGCTCTTCTCTATTGCACAGTGAGTGCTTGATAAATATTTATACTAGAAATAATAATGATGTATATGGAAAAGAATCGTTCCATCATCTTGGAATTGTAGCCACTGCCAAGAAGTAGATGACTTCAAGCAACTCGGCTGTGCTCCATGGCAGATTAGGAGAGGAAGTGAAAAACTCAACTTGTTTGGGGATTTATGATGAGAAATAGTTCTAGTAACCAAAGTCTCTTGGATCCAACCCAGGCTGGTAATCCCACTTGGATACATATTTGGGTGTTTTATCATAAATACAAAAGAAAAAAAGTCTCTTTGCCTGAGATACTCTAAGTGTGTGTTGTTGAATGGAATTCTTCCTCACCTCCCACCCCATGGGAATGATGGACAGATTGTGAATAGAGAAACTGATGTCATTGGGGTAGATGTCCAAACTACAGACATAAACTTCTTCCTGCCTAGGCACTTTCTGTATCTGTGCAGACTATAAAATGCACCAATAACAGGCATATCCCTCTTTATCAAATAACAACTTGCTTTCTCTCATGCCATTTCCTATGCCAAGTTTGCCTTTTTTTCCACCACTTCCTACCATTCAAATTCTCTCCATCCTTCTAGGTCTTTGTAAAATATCCTTCCCTCTAGGAGGGCTTCTCTGATCAATCCCAACTGGGCATACGCACATCCTCTTTTGAAATCCTTGTGCCATTAACAAATTGCCACCATATATAATAGCCGCGTGCTTGCATGTTTATTTCTCCTATTGATCTAATGTGTTTTTCATCCTCTGCCTCTAGCACTGTATTTTTAACTTAGCAACAGTTGCTCAAAGTCTCAGATGGCTAGCTGCCTACTCCAACATCCCTTTCTTTCTTTTTATTTAGAAACAGAGCCCTGATTTTTAGCTGGACCTCTCTGCAGATTTTTTAAATTTTGTGTACATTCAACAGGTAAAAAATTGTGAGACTCCTTCACAGGTAGATGTGCCAATTTGTCTAAGTTCTTGACCAATAAGATAAAAGCAGAACTATAATATGAAACTTCCTGTAAGTCTGCATTTAAGGGAGGAGGCATGCCAGTATTTCCTCCTTCCTCGCTCTCTGCTGTTTAGAATGCAGATGTAATGGCTGGAGTTCTGGCAATTATATCAGACCAAGAGATGGGAGTAAGATGCTGAGATGGGAGTCTCAGCAAAGCCAGAAGCCTTGGTCCCCAAAGTCTCTGTGGAGTCACCATTCCAACTCCGGACTGCCTACTTCTAGGCTTATTTTGCATACATGAGAAACATATTCTTCTATCTTGTCTAAACCACACTTGTTGTTGTTTTCTGTGTTGTGTACAACTGAACTTAATCCTAAAGCATGCATTCAACAATTATTTTTATTAATTTATATAATTATATGATTATATTCACTTTCTGCTTCATAATAACTTTTATCTAGATTTTAAAATCGATTTAGTTTTAATTAATAAGTTTCATTTTTTACAAGTTTTAGGCTCACAATAAAATTGAGCAGAAAGTACAGTTTCCACATAACCATCCCCCAACACACACCCAGCCCCTTCCACCACCAACATGTCACAGTATGTTTTGTTACAACTGATGAAGTAATATTGATGCCTCATGTTCAACCAAAGTCCACAGTTTACATTACAGTTCGCTCTTTGTGACCAAAGCCCACAGTTTACATATGGTTCACTGTTTGTGTTGTACAGTCTGTGGGCTTTGACAGATCTATCATGCCATGTAGCTACCCTTTCAGTGTCATTCAATATAGTTCCATTGGCTTAAAAATCCCGTGTTCCATCTATTAATTCCTCCTTCCATCTTCCCAAAACCCTGGCAAACACTGATCCTTTACTGTCTGCATAATTTTACCTCCCCAGAATGTCTTATAGTTGGAATCATACAGTCTGTAGCCTTTTCAGATTGGCTTCTTGCACTTAGTAATATGCCTTTATGCTTCCTCCGTTTCTTTTTTGTGGCTTAATAGCTCTTTTTCTTTTTTAAGTGCTCAATACTATTCCACTGTATGAATATACTACAGTTTATTTATCCATTCACCTATTGACGGACACCTTGGTGGCTTCTAAGTTTTGGCAATTATGAATAAAGCTGCTATAAACTTTTGTGCAGAGGTTTCTGGGTGGACCTAAGTTTTCAACTCATTTGGGAGAATATCAAGGAGCATGATTGCAGAATGATATGATAAAAGTGTGTTTAGATTTGTAAAAAACTGCCAAACTGTTTTCCACAGTGGTCGAACCATTTTACATTTTCACCAGCAATGAAGGAGGGTTCCTGTTGCTCTACCATTTGGTACTGTCAGCGTTTTGGATATTAGCCGTCCTAATAGGTATGTAGCCGTTATCTCCTTGTTGTTTTAATTTGCAATTCCCTAATGATGAATAATGCAGAGCATCTTTTTATAATCAATTCAAATAATCATTCCTTCTTACAATGTTGTGAGGGAAGGTTGACATTCTTACCACTTCTACCTGGAAGTAGAGGACTAAGAGACTCAGAAAGCTTCCTGATTTGTTTACAATCTTTATAGGTAGGGAATGATAAATCACAGTTAGACTTCTCAGCTAATGGAGGCTTCATTGTTGAACCACCAAGGGTTGCTCCCTCTGTTTGATGGGGACGAGAAACTTCCCCAACATTCTGAGTGGTGACTATGTTTGGCCACGCCTGTGTCATACAGAAAAAAAGCGGCATTTGGTAAATCACCACCTGAAATGAAAGAGCAGTCACCAAGCAGTACACACCGGCTGCCAGAAGCACGTCAGTCTGGGCGGAACCACTCTGGCTCCTTTTCAGGCAAACCTCCTTTCCTCGATCTGAGAAACAAAAGCAAAAAAGCCTCCAGATGAAAACCAAAAACCAAAACACACAACACCGCGTCACACCAAGTCCCTCCCACAAGAAACACCATTTAGAGCAGACCCTCACAGCATTGCAAACAGCATTTTTCTGGCAATTTTTTTCCTCTTACACATTTCAGCTATGAATGCTAAATTCTTGTCCTCCAGAACAATGGAATTTCCTATACATTATTTTCAGTACTAAAATCTGAATTCCTTGGTTACTCATCAGCTCTGATTCTGGGCTTTGAGCTCAGGATGGTCGGGTTGAAGGGCACAGCAAACCACCATGGCACATATACCTGTGTAACAAACTTGCACATTCTGCACATGTATCCCAGAACTTAAAGTATAATACACTTTTTTTTTTTTAAAAATCTAACAGATGTAAAAGAAAAAAGTATCTTCAAATTAGCTAAGTTATAAAATATGACACACATCATAATTCCCTGCTCATGTATAATGAAAATTCTTCAAGAAGGGAAATTAGGATGGAAACGTTTGAAATAAAGAAATTTTAAAAATGAATGTGTTTCCATAGAGCAGGATTTTTCCTAGCCTTTTGAGTTGTACCATTTCCAGTCACTCGATAGTATTGGATTTGTAGTTTAGGATATGCAGACTAGAAGATATGCCAGTCTGGGAAGGCACTTAAGTTATCAGAGGATGTGAAATTTAGGCAGTGATGGTGGGGGAGGGGAGATGGTTAGATTCCTTTGGAGCTTAACAAAATTTCTGCTTATTCAATAAAGTCGTATTTTTCGATAAAGTCCTAACATTCCAAACATACATTTTTGGCACTGCTCTCAGATTATCAGCCAGCTTTCTTTTTATTGCTTTACCATATTGAAGAATTAAGTAACATCAGAATTGGAAAATGAAAAGGTAAAGAGGTTTTCTGAAGCCAAAATAAGACACAAAGAAAAGGGTAAGATTGTGGGAAATGAGAAAAAGAGGGAAGGAAACCTTGTGTGGAATTTGGAGCAAAATCCTCCTTTTCTTTCTCATGTTGAATTGCAACCTCCAGGATTGCTGCCTCCTTAGTAATGATGAGCATGTTCATGGCCTTAGGCTCTGCCAGTATTAGCCAATGAATTCTCAGACAACCATCAAGGAAGCCCTGGTTCGCTATTTTTTCCAAGAGAAATATGCCAGTGTACATCAGGGAATATCAGTGATTCGATATGACCAGAAGTCACAGGCCGTGTGTTTCTTTGGGGTTCTGTGCTCTATTGGAACACATAGCCACATTTTCACTGGGTGTATTTAATAGTTAGAAGGCTTTGGGCTGTAACAGAATATCCATCTAAAAGTGGCTTCAAGAAATCAACAGGCTCATGGTCTCAGGGTTGTTGTAGTGGCTCAGGGATGTCATTATGAACTCAAGATTTTTCTCCCCTTCCATCTTGTCAATGATACCATGGTGCCTTTGATCCTCAAGTTTGTCATCTCATGGTCACAAAATAATTGCCACAGTATGAAATGCCACATTCTTTCCCCACTATGTCAAGGAGAGAGAAGGGATAGCCAGAAAAACAAACAAGCAAGCAAGCAAACAAACAAACAAACAGAAAACACAACTCTCCTCCCATATTTCTCTCCTTTTATCCAAAAAGGAAAATATTTCCTAGCATCCTCCAAGCCAGAAGTGGCCACAACTGAGTCACATAGTCAATTCTAGGTGCAAGATAAGGCTGCAAAACTAGATGCCTGTTTGGAATTTTAAGTTTTATAGGCCGGGTGCAGTGGTACATGCCTGTAATTCCGGCACTTTGGGAGGCTGAGGCGGGAGAATCACTTGAGGTCTGGAGTTTGAGACCAGCCTGGCCAACATGGCAAAACCCATGTCTCCTAAAAATACAAAAATTATCTGGTCATGGGTGACACGCACCTGTAATCCTAGCTACTTGAGAGACTGAGGTGGGAGAATCACTTGAACCCGGGAGGCTGTGGTTGCAGTGAGCCGAGATTGTGCCACAGCACTTCAGCCTGGGCAACAGAGCAAGAGTTCATCTCAAAAAAAAAAAAAAAAAAGTTTTATAATGAGAAGTGGTCTATGCTAGGGAGGAAGGGATAAGAGAATGGAGTAGTCAATTTTGTATAGACAACCATTGCCACAAGTTCAGAAACATTGCTAAGAACCAACAGGAAAAATCCTTCCTGAAGCAAATGATATTTAGGGTTCATATTGGAAATCAGGGCTGTTCCCCAACCAAAGAATTCATAGTTGAAGAAAGGGTCAACTCAAATCCTATAATGAAAAAAGTCCACAATCTCTGATCTGATTGCTTTTGTAATCTTAATGCAGGAAATCATAGCACTGCTTATACAATGAAAGACTAACTTTTTGTACCATGGGGCTGATATTGCTATTCCTCTTGTTGCCTGTCTCCCATAGTTCTGTTTCTTAATTCTTCTAGTCCCAGATGGGATTCACTCTATAAAACTTAGCTCCCGTTGATTCCCTGAGGCCCAAATGCTTTTCACTGAACCATTAGAGTTGAATATTTTTACAAAATTTCCCATGGGGAGATGGCGGGTGAGAACCCATCCAGCCCAATAAAATCTGCCATCCCCTCTTCCAGGGCCTTCAATCATCACCAAGCTCAGAATACTGCAGCTCAGAAACACATTTTATTTGTACGTTTAAGGTAAAATGAGTATTTTGAAATTGCCAGTACTTCAAGACTGGATTCATCCTTGCTCAAAAGTCTCAACTAATTAAGAAGATCTTACCTTACTTGGTTCTATTCTTTTTATTTGCTTGAGCAATGTGTTTGTTGAGAATTTTAAATGCTAGGAATGCAAATATTCTTAGTTCTCATAAAATGATCTTCTCTTAATAAAAGAACAGAGGGATCACCCGCAAAACAAAATACTTAGTCTAGGTTCAACTTGAAGAATTGAAAATATTTGTGTTATCTTGGTTTTCAATAGGAGTTGCCCTGTGGGATCAAATCGCTATTTGTCAGGGCTAATATCCCCACCTACTGTTTAGCCAGAATCAGATGTACCAGAGAAAAGGAAAAGGAAAATAAAGAGGGAAAGTCAAGCCTATTGCAACTGGCTCATTCTGTAATATCCCACGCTGGATTGCGAGGTGGGAATTCCTTTTGCCCCTCCTTCCACATGTGATCAATTTACATCCTGGAACATGAGACTTCATTTCCTCGTATCTTTTTTGTTTTAGCTCACATAGCTTTAAATGTTAGTCATGCTCATAAAATTATCTAATCCTTCCTCAAATCCAACTCTACCCTGCCTCAGCAGCTCCCCATGGTAGTAAATGTCACAGGTTGACTATGCTGGTGGGTTGAATAGAAGTGGGTTGATTTGCACCTCTCTTTCTTCTATTTATATTTTCTACCTTCCAGGTGCAATGAATGTGTCCTGCTCTTACTTGGGATAGGTTCAAAAATAAATGCAATTGAAAAAAAATCTCCTGGGGCCAGGCGTGGTGGCTCACGCCTGTAATCCTAGCACTTTGGGAGGCCGAAGTGGGCAGATCATGAAGTCAAGAGATCGAGACTATCCTGGCCAACATGGTGAAACCTCATCTCTCCTAAAAATACAAAAAATTAGCTGAGTATGGTGGCACATGTCTGTAATCCCAGCTACTCGGGAGGCTGAGGCAGGAGAATGGCTTGAACCCGGGAGGCAGAGGTTGCAGTGAGCCAAGATCGTGCCACTGCACTCCAGCCTGGGTGACAGGGCTCAGACTCCGTCTAAACAAACAAAAAAAATCTCCTGGAAGTCCCATTTGATCTTGGTTACATGAGCTTACTAGAGAATTTTGTTGTTCCCAACATTAGCTGAGAAATGTACTCTAAGAAGTGAATAGACTAAAGTGGAACCAGGGTGCAGTGGAGAACGAGAGCTGTTATCTAGAAAACCTTTCTCAGGCATGTTTCAGCACACTCTGCTCCTGACGATGGCTCTATCATCAAAGAATTCTGTGGTCAGGTGTATGGGATATGCTGCATAGGCTCCCTATGAGCCTCCAAATTGTAAGTTAAAGGCTCTGAGAGCTTGGCAGTAAGTAGAAGACTCCTGGTCACATTTGTTTAACCCAGTGTTTCCCAAACTCATTTGGCCTTGGAACTCTATTTCTTGGGACATTTATTAGCTGCTGGTGGAACCAGTGTTCAAAAAATTACTCCCTAGACAATTTAGGCAAAACATCTTTTCTATAAATAATTTAGTCATTAGTCACTCTTATAGTAGTTATGCCTAAAGGCAAAGAGTACAGTATTTGGAGTCAGAAAATTTTGGTTCTAGCTTAGGTCAAAGAATGTAACAACTCTAAGTCCAGTTTCTTAAATTGTGACACAAAGATAGACTCATCAAGGTTTCTTAGAGAATTGAATAAGGTAGGGAAGCAAATGATTTGGGAGAACAGTAAAATATTAGGCAAATTCAAAAATTATATTCCATTGGTTTGACACTTAAAATATGTTATCTTGAATTCTTTTACTATTTGTATAATTTTCTGTTGTTAGTTGGGATAGGGTTACTACAAGAATAAATAGCCTTCAAATCTCAATGCTTTTATGTAATAAGAGTCTTATCTTTCTCACTGACCCTGTTCATTTCAGATGTTTCTGTTCAGATAATTCTCTTGAGTGGTTCCTCTCTAAGCAGAAGCTCAGGGACCCAGGTTCTTTCCATCTTGTGGCTCTACCATACTGTGGCTTCAAGTTCACCCTGGCACTATCCAGCCAGCAGACAGCAGGGGAAGCAAGAATTGATAAAGGAATATGTAAAATGATTTGGGGTCTGGAAGTGGTGCACACCACATCTGCTTCCATTTTGCTTGTCAGAACCAGTCATGTAACCCTTCCTCAATGCAAGAGGCCTTGGTATTCCTATGTTCCAGGAGGAAATGAAATAGCTGCATAAACACAAAGCATTGCCTCGGGCACAGGGCCTAATTCCCAACCAGTCTATAAACCCCTCCATTCCTAACATGCGAACCTTAGCTCCCAGTTAATGTTAATAATGAAACAAGTTAAGCAAGTTTTTCTTCTTGCATTGTTTACAATGACCTCAATCAGTTAACTTTTGGGACAAAGAGCTTCCAAGCCACTATGCACAATTACAGAGAAAATATAGGGAAGATACTCTCGTGGAAATGCAGTCTGATGAGGGAGAGAGAACCCACATAAATATATCTAAACACCAACTACAGTCTCTGCCAAATATTTGAAACCAACTGCAGCTGTGCAGAGGAAACATAAATCTGTAGAGAGTGAAAAAGGAAATAAAGGAAGTGGATAAGCTGGAGGTCTGAATTAATTGGAGCCAGAAGGAGATCATCTGAGAAGGCTAAACTTCATCCATTATTTTTCAACAGCATGTAATTTTCCTAATTACAAAAGGTACAAAATTTAGGATGCACAGAAAAATACAAAACATTTTAAAAATCTTCATAATCCCAGTACCCATCTATACTCCATATACCTTTTCTCTGTTGAGATAATTATAATCTACTTTTTGATGTAGGTTCTTCAAATCTCTTTTCTATGCATATACTTTCCCTCTCAGATTTGATGCTCTGCAGGTTTTATGTTTTTTTTTAATACTCACTAATACAATCTTGATATTTCCCAACATTCAGAACATGACTTATAATTGGTTGCATAGTCAACCATGGTTGGGCATAAATTGTTTCCAACTTTTTACTCTTATAAAAATGGTACATAAACATCTCTTCACAACCATCTTTTTTACATATCTCTGATTATTTTGTGCTCCAAAAGAATTGTAATCATGGGGACTAACATGTGTTGAATTTTATAATGTGTTTACTCTGAACTAAGTTCTTTATATGCAATATCTTATTTAATTCTCAGAACAACTGTTATACCAGTACTATTAATATTGTATTCATATTCTAGGTGAGGAAACAACGATTTAGGGAGGTTACATAGCTTGCCCAACATGACACAGCTAGTAAATGGAATAACTGGGATTTGAACCAGAACTGACTGACTTCAGAATCCAAGTTCCATCCATTGTAGAATACTCCACCCCAGGAGTCCACTTAAATTCTCACTAGCAGATTAACCTCCAGGGAAAGTTGACAGAGTAATGGATATGGCTCAAGATGGGGCATGTATAATCAGGAAGAGTGGTTTATGTGATACTTAGAGAAGAGAGTGGGTAGAGTTTTATGAGGGATATTAACTTTTGCCAGGTTGAAGTTAAAAAATATGAGCTAGTATGTCTAGAGTGATAAAATCATTTCAAATGAGGATCTCCAAGCCAAAGTTCAGGAGTGTTTAAAAATTATTTAAAGAGAATGGGAGTGCCTGTCCAGTTGTATAAAAGGGAGTGATGTCAAAACAATGCTTGAAAAAGATGTACTTTGTTTCATTCTTTGATTTAGGAAACTGGCCTTTGCCTTGTGGAATGAGATAAGATCGAAGTTTCAGAGACCTTTGGGGAGACCTTTTGTCACAATTTTCCTCCAGTCTGACATGTTCTCTGTGGGAATGCAACTCTCTTCACAGTAGCTGTAGAATTTGAAGGGAGCCTGAAAGGCATGACCTTGGAAGCCTCTTCCATTTCTAGTCTCCATGCACAGCCACTTCCCTGAGTGCATTCCAAATCCCAGATGGAGTCAGGGTACGAGCGTTTGCTGACAAGAGATAAGAATGTTGACCAGAGAACGTTAGGGCAGAGTATAGCATGGCGGTTATGAGCACAAGTTCTATCCCCACACTACCTGGGTTCACATGGTAGCCCCAACACTTACTAGCCATGTGACTTCAGACAAATTACTTATCCTTTCTGTGTCTTAGTTTCCTCATCTACACAATGGGATAATAATAATAATACTAATACCTACTTTATAGAGTCATTGTGAAGATTAAATGAGTTACAATGAGTCAAAAATGCTAGCTATTATTATCTCTGCAAGGTAAAGGGTTATTGCCAGATAATTTTTGCAGTTAGTCCTATATTTCAGCTCTTGAAACACTGTAGGTCTTCCATAGATGTGTATGGATTCAAACTGAGAGTCCAATTCTTAAATCAGTTAACTCATGTCCCCAAGTAACAACTTCTGTTTATTACATATCCTAAACATAAGTTCACAGAGTACCTGCTAAAACTTTCCTTTTCTCTTCTGAACTTTCTAGAGGTCATCACTGCCACTTTGTGAACAACACAAAGAAGTCTCAGACCAATATCTCTTCCTATCTCCTTTCTTGTGTGTGCCTCAATTTCCTCATTTCCTCATTGTTCACTGCTAAGTTAATCTCTGCATGCACATACATGCACACAATTTTAACTTCTTTTCTCTTTTCCTTTTATCCCATTTCTTGTCTTCTTTTCCTAATAGTGGTGGAAGTTGAGCAGGGGCCAAGGCTTTTCTCTCTGTTTCCTCCTTTAGTCATAAGTAAGCAGATGAAATTAAGTATCATCTATTTTTAGAGTTTCCAAAGTACGTCAAAGCCTTCTACAGAAATGACATAAAAGTCTCCAACTACTATCTCAAGTATCTATAATCGAAACTGGTTTTCCTGATGTCAGCATCTAAAACAGCCTCTAAATCAATCAGTTACTTTTGAGCCAGTTAACTAATAATAACAAAATTAAAATAATAATTTTTAAGTGCACAATAGGCTGCTACACTATGGGTTAAATAGCACTTAAAGGGTGGCCTGGGAACTAACTCCTATGGGTAGCACTGTTTTTATGGGAAAATACACTCCAAATTCCAGACAACTCATTTATCCACTAACTTTTGGAATATGACCCTTTAGTAAGTTGGAGACTGACTAAAAATACCTAATATTTTGGTGAATTTTTTATCAATGCATTAAAAATACATTCTTATGTTTTATCTTAATAAATTGAAGCAAATTCTAGCCTACTTTTCCATAAGAATTGCTTTCCTGACCTCAGAAGCATAATTGAAAGAGGGCTTGTGGATTTTCTGCAAAGAAAGGGCCTGGCTATTTTAATTAGCTTAACGTATGTAAGATCAATTATTTTGAGACAGTAGACAAACAAAATCATTCATAAGGTTGGCAGGTTTGTGCAAATGATTTCACAAGGGTAAATCATTTTCAGGTTACATAGGACAGATGTGTGCAGTGTATGTGAGAATGTTTGGAAAATATTTTGGATGCTTTTCAAAGGCATACACTACATGTGGAATTAACTGAAATTGGTTTCTTTAATTATTTCTTTCTTACCCACACAATAATGATGGGTTCCTACTTACAGGGTGATGTGACATTTATATGCCTAGAAGTTTCCTTTCCTTTTGACCATTTTTTAAAAGATGCAATATTTTTCCTTCAACATTAGAAGTTGGGTCCCCTGTAAGGCCTTATACAAGAGAATGAGAGTTGAAGAAATACATTTATGGTGGATAGGCTGTTTGAAACTCATTTTAGCTAAAACAGAAAAACTGCAGCTTGTGGAGTGGCAAGGGCCCAGAATTGGCCAGAAGTCATGAATTTTGGCTCTAACTCCTGAATTGAGTGGCTTTGAGCAAGTCACTTACCTCAGAGCCTCATTATTTTTATCTACACAATCAGGGGTTTGGCATCTATGACTTGAAATTCCTTTCCAGCACTATGTTTTGTTTCTGTGGTTGGTAACAATGTAAGAATTTTGGGGGACGCATTCTTCCAAACTCTTGTTTTTCCACTCACATCATTTCAGTAGAGAGCTGACTGCCAATATCACAATAACTTTTTTTTCGATTCATATCAACTTTAAAATGTGTTTTTAAAAATGGCAAGTTAGGTGTCTGTGAATAACAACTGATATTTTCCAGAATTTTTCCTTCCTTCCTTCCTTCCTTCTTTCCCTTCCTCCTTCCCTCCCTTCCTCCCTCCCTCCCTCCCTTCCTTCTTTGAAAGCCTTTTAAGAGGTGAACACAACAGTTTTGGCTTGGGACACAGCTCTGCGGGTCAGGATCTAACAAAGGGAAATCCCCGATGTGCTGGAACCTTACAGCTCCAGGAACCGGCTGTTTATGAAAGCTGAAGTACCGCTAGAGTGAGCAAAGAAGCCACTTGTGATTCCAGCCAATTGTCCCCAGTCCAGACCATTCAGAGGAAAGAGTTCTGCCGGTCTTCTGCATCCAGTTGCCAAAACCCAGGAGGTGCAGCACCTGCTTAGGAAAGCCATAGTGCATGGGGAAATGACCGCTGAGGGGGCCACACTTTCCCTTTTGCATTGGCAAAACTGTTGCTTTCTTACCTTTTAATACTCTTTCTCCGGATTTTGAGAATCCGACTATTTAAAGATTGCTTTCATACATTTAGTTTCTGCCCCACCCCACTACAGCCCCCTTAGGTTTCTTAACTTTTAAGACTTATGATAAATGAGGGTGGGACTGGGTGGGGAATGGGGTAGATGGGAGGGCTGGGAGGACTGGGAGAGTTGGAGTGGGGGATGGAAGATAAGGGTAGGGTGGAGCAGGAAGGGAAGGGTGGAGACGAAGGAATGAAAAAATGAATAACCCAGTGAAGCAAATGAATGGAGCAGCAGCCAAATAAGCAAACAAAACAAACATTTATTGACCGTCTGTCACTTGCTAGGTGTTGTGATAGACAGCAGGCAAATAGCTATGAGCCATGCAGCCAGGTCCTTGCCTTGTGAAATTTACAGTCCAAAGTGGGCGGATATCAAACAAATAATTAAGCAAATACTTTAATACTTACAACTGTGACACAATTGCCATGAAGAAATATAAGGGGCCCTCGCCCTAGTCCAGGAGGTGAGGAGGACGATGTTCAAGCTGGATTATTTCCATGCCATTTTCCAAATTGAAATCTCAAAGTAAATTATATTGCAATATGATGTATGTTTTTTCCAAGTGAAACCCAAGCACACATCCTGCTCTGCCCCACCCTCCGCCCCCACACGGGAAGCTCTCGGGATCAGCCTGGGTGTTCTGTGGTTCTGACGCCATCCTGAGAGCTCCACTGCCACACTCCTTCCCCTGCCTCCTAAATTCGATGTGGAGCGCCACCTAGAGTTTGGCTGACACATTCCCATAACCATAGGGTACAAGGATACTTTGAAATCTAGGATATTTGCTAAGTTTTGAAAATTGAATAAATAAATAATCCATTGGAAAAAATGAATAGCGAGTGAATGAGCAAAGCAGCAGGCAAATATACAAACAGGACAAACACTTTCATTCACTGTCATTGTCATCCAGCGTGAATTCAAAAGACTCCAAGTTTTCTAAAAAGAATGGCTTTCTCTAGGAGCTTTCCAAGATTTGTTTTGCAAAGCTGCCAAGGAGAATACTAGACAATGAATCGGAAGTAGCAAGTCTCACGGTGATATCCAAAGTGTTTTTCATCCAAACCTCAGAGCAAGAAGGTTCCAGGAAGATGCCTAAGTCAAATTAAGATGTTAAGTCAAATTTACCTCGTTCTAATAACTACCCAATAATTTATTGAACAGTCTATATTACTGAAATACCTATGGCATTAAGATAGAACCAACTGTTGTGATTTATGGAGTAGGCTAACATTGCAGCTGTTAAGGAAATGAAAAAATGTATGGGATCTGTCATTTTTAAATCACCTTTAAACAAGATATCCAGCTCTGTAACCACATTCCAATTAGTCTTACAAGAAAAGCCAAGCACAGTTACATTTCAAAAATGTTATCGCATATATAAAGAAGGAACTTATCTTTCTCTCTTACATTAGCCCTACTTTTCTCTACCAAAAACTTGCCCCAGAGAAAAACATATTCAGGTAAAGAAAAGTCATATCCATCCCCTCCATTCATTAATTTCATTTAACCAACATTTGTCGATCACCTCCGGTGGTACTACAGAGATGTTGGGATATCCTGCTTCATGATCTAGTTGGAGTAGATAGCAGATGCCAAGAAAGTGGACATGACAAAACTATGCTATTTCTAAATGCTATCTAGAAATAAGGAGAAGCACAAGGTGTCAAGGGCACTGCTGAGAGGCTCCTGACCAATTTGGAGCAGTCGGACAAGGCGTCTCCTGGATTACAGTGCTGTGTCTTCAAGTATCAACTTCCCGGAAGGCTAAGTTAAACAAAAGAAACTTACAAACCCAGAATGGTGAAGATATCACTTCTACTGAAAACTTTTCCATCTGAGATACAGTGATCTGGGCCAAAAGAACATAATGAAAATGAATAATTCTGAAATATAAGATCCAGGAGTATTGAAACGATTTTGATCTTGTCTGTCCTGTAGTGCTATCACTCTCCATATTGTCCAGCATATAATAGGTATTCAATAAAGATTTGTTGAAAGCTGGACAAATGCTGAACAGAAACCCCAATATGCATAGTAAAAAAACAAATCAGTCGATGTATATTTCAGTCATCTGTAGTTTAGTGACAGATGGTTTATCCACATGTTTTCTGAAAAGCCTTCAATGGTTATTTTATACTCCACCAAATTTCAGTGCTTCTGCCTATTTTTAAGTTGCCTACCTCAACCCAGTTCCTTTCTGTGTCTCCAAATGTGTTTCCTCCTACTCTTCAACATGAACTGCCTTTGCCATTCATGTTGGTTTGTTTATGGTCCCACCAACACTATGTGCATTCCTATTTGCAAAAATCCACTGTTTTGATTTCCCTCACCTAGCTGCATCCTCCTCTCCTCTTCTCCTCCATCCTTTCTCCAGATCTATGGAAATTCTCCCCATTCTTCAAGAACCATCTTGAGCTCACATTGCTTTCTCTGACTAATCCATTCTCTCTCAAATTCATATAAACTCTACAGTTTATGCCATATTAATGAACCTTCATTACATAACCCTCTTACATCATTCATTTTTATGTATGTTAGTCTTATTTTATTAACTAAACCCTAAACTCCTAAAAGGTTATGGTTCATGCCTTATTCTTCATCTATATCAAATACCCACTTGGCTGGCAAAGAGATTCTGAAATGAGGCAGTGGTGGAAGATAAGAGTGGAAGAAAAACTGGGTCTAAATCATGGAAAACCTTGAATGCTGTATCAAAAGATTGTCATTAGCCTTAAGGCAGAAATAAGATTGTGTTCCTCCACCATGTCAGTCAGAAGAAAGGAAAGCCTTTCCAAGAAACGTCCTTCTCCATAGTTACTTCACCATTATTGGTCAAGTACCAATCACTAGTTATAAAGACAAAGTATGGAGAAGGAAAAATTTAGTAAATACCTTCTCTGAGTTTTCAGCATCTTGATTTCCATGTTTCATAGAGTTTTCTGAAAGTGACTGTGTGTGTTAGGTAAGTAGTTAACTGAATATTCTGCACTTAATTTCTCCAGTCTCCATTATTTCAAAAGATTGGGTCTGCTGGTCTTCATGAGATTTCAAAGATCTTTGTTCCACCCAAGGTATGGAGAGAGTTGACAGGGCTGGTGATTCTGCTCTTGACAGAAATGGGCAGAGCAAGTGTCTAGGTCATTTGGGAGAAGTGATAAAATAATTAAAAATAAAATTAAATAATGGGCTAATAGAATTGTTTGTTTAATGAAGTCTTCTCTAGGGAGGCAAAAATTTCAGTAAGAACTTAATTAAAAAGAAAATTTTAAAACTTCATAGGTAAATGCTTTTGGTAAAAGCCCTCTTCTGTGTGGAGCAATGCCATAAACCAAAACTGCATCTTTGAATCCAGATAATTTAAATGAGCAAAACCTAAAAAAACATGTATTTACCAATTATCTGGTTTTTGCATTCAAACATTTAGGCTGAAAGAGCAATGTTTCATTTTTCCTCTAAAATGTGGGATTTTTTTCCTAAACTAGCTTAATAACTATGTCAGAAAGCCATCAAACCTCATTATTTATATTATAGATTTTGTAATTACAAATTTACCTACTCACGAAAATGTATTTGTAATTCTAAAATGAGTACTCTGAGAACTTTCTCAGTTATTCACAGACATGCACAGAATGACAAAAAAATTGAGCCACCCAACATTCATACTCCCAGCTGTGATTAAACAAGGTGACACTCTGCCTTCAATGTTTTAGCTTCCATACTATAAAGAAGTGTCATTTTCGTCACCTATTTAGTGTCAAATTTTTGCATTTTTGTGTTTTTTATTGATGATTTTGCTGTTCTAAATGGTCCCCAAATATCTGGTATTCCTAAGTGCAAGAAGGCTGTGATGCACTTTATGAAGAAAATATGTGCATTAGATAAGCTATGTTCAGGCATGAGTTACAGTGGTGTTGGCCATGAGTTCAATGTTAATGAATCAACAGTATGTATTAAATAAGGTGTCTTTAAACAGAAACACACACAAAGCAAAATTATACACTGATTGGCAGAAAAAAATGTGATCGGCAACTTGCAGGAACTTAACCCTGTCTTTTCTCTAGGAGCAGTGGTTCAGTACTCACTAATTCAGCGTTAATGATAACTTTGTAGAACATAGCTTCTGTGAATAGCAAAAAATTGCCTGCATATGAATTAAAAAGCTCCATAATTCATTTCCCATGATCAGGACTGAACATTGGGCAAACATTCCACACTAATGTAATGTAGTGCCAGAGCCTTCAGTTTTGATGTCAAACAGATTTGGAGTTGAATTTCAGATTGTCTATTCACTAACTGAGAGACTTTATACAAATCTCTCTACCTTTCTAAGGCTACATTTCAAAGTTATTGAGATAATTAAATGGAATGATGTGTATAGTGCCTAGCATATAGTAAGCCCTTGCTAGAGTGTTGCTACTGATTGCTCTACTTTATCTTTCAAGTAGTGCAATCTCTATCTCAATGGCTCATGACCTTATAAGGATGAGAATGACTTTCTATTGACAGTACTCATCCCCTGCAGTGGGCTCACAGAGTCCTTCTTACATAGAATTGTATGTTGAGAGCCAGACAGGAAGCTGGGAAACCAATTTTCAAGTTACCTGCTTACGGTTTTAACCTACTCCCAGACAATTTTGGCCTCAAAGGGAAATCTCTAAAATTTAATCATGCTTTTATCACTGGGAAAATTCACCTCCAGTTAGCATTTGTCCTTTACCTTGTTATTCTAAAAGAATGATGACTCCCCCTGAGCCTTGAGTTCTATTTGCAAAGTACCTCTTCTCTCATCTTACCTCAATCATGGGTAGTTGCCAGGAAAGGAAAGGAAAAGAAAACCCATCCCACCTCACTTGCTTTTCAGAAAGTTACCATTTTATCATTTTTTAAAATCTTGCTTTCTCCTCTCTTACCTGGTACAATGGATTATCATTTCTTGTTGGAGGTGGGGAGGGGAGAGATTAAGTAGACCCTGAGAACAAGGAGAAATATCACATATAGTCCCAGAATCTTTACTGATTGAACATTGCTGGGGATATTAATCGTGAGGGCTTATTTTCCAAAGAACATCAGAGCACATCTGGAAATTAAATAAAAATAATAAGAGGGTTTAAATCAACAGACATTTTACAGAGAATTCCTCAGGACAATTAATAAGATGCTGCCCACAGAGGCACAGAGAAACTTTGATTCTGTTGTGCCTAAACAAGCCTTAAAAAATAAGTATCAAAATCCCCCTCAAGTAGTTTGGTTTTTATTAACTGCCCTCTCTTAAGGAGCTCCATGTACAGAACTGGAATCTGCCTTCTTTGTGTTTGTTTCATTTGATTTCTTTTTGCCCACATTGAATGGATAGGTGGCTATTTCTAAGGGATCTTTTTGACAGTACAAAATTATGACAGCCTAAGCTAGGCTGAGCCCCAAGGAAGGAGACTATTTGCTTGGGGAGGCAAGGAAGTGAAGACCACATCCCTTGTGAGAAATTAATTAGGTGAATCTCTTCAAAGATCCAAAGTCAAAATTGAGTCTGGACTAGGCTTTCCCATGACAAGAGGGAGGAATTTATTTGGAGATCTTCTTTATCAGCAAGATGGTTGTTAGACAGTGCAAAGGCAGAGAAAGGAAGTGACTTCAACCTCTTCCTTATCTGTAAAAAGCAATGATTACTCCCTGTGGTTGGGTACAGCCTGCCTTTCAAGGACTGTGGAGTTGGGCCAAATCAAGGCAAGAGTAGGAAAAGAGCCAAGTCTGGACTCCACAGCCCCTTCACTCCTCTCCTCCTCCTTTGTTGTGTCTCCTCATCCTGCTGCCCTCCAGGTACCCAAGAACCTCTGACACCTTACCAAATGCTCTGGGTCCCCCAGCCCCATTTGAGCAACTTAACCTGGGTCTTAAGAGTTGAATTGATTCTCACAAAATTCCCGTGTTGAAGTCCTAACCCCTAGTACCTCAGCATGTCACCTCAGCATGTCACCTTATTTTGGATATAGGGTTTTTGCAGAGGTCATCAAGTTAAAATGAAATCATTAGGATAGGCCCTAATCCAATATGGCTTGTGTCTTTATAAAAATTAGAGGCAGAAACTTATACAGGGTTCAGAACACCAATGTAAACATGAAGACAGCTATCAACAAGTCAAGAAGAGAACCTTGGAACAGATCCTTCCTTCACTACACTCAGAAGGAACCAACTCTGCTAATACCTTGACTTCAGACTTCTAACCTCTAGAACTGTGAAACACTAAATTTCTATTGTGTAAGCCACTCAGTTGGTGGTCCTTTGTTATGGCAGCCCTGACCAACTATTATACTACTGAGCTATATAGCTCTTTTTGCTGTGCATTTGGTTTCTAAAGTGTGAAGCTCCAACCTAAGGGAGACTTGGAATTCTTGCCAGCTTGCTAAGATTTATATAGTCATGTGATCCTTAATTTAGAGCCATGTAAATATGCCGTGAGGATAACACATATAGATTGCTCAATGATTGTCCTTTGCATTCCTTTCTAGATTTAACTCTCTCTCTCACTCTCCCTCCTCTCTCTTTCTCTTTCTCTCTATCTCTGTTTCTCCTCACCCTATTCTAGCTGTACTGAGTACTGATCTACTCATTTCCTGGAGGGAAACCTGTCCTCTCACTACAGAACCTTTGCATATGCTCTTCTCTCTACCTTAAAATACCCCCACATATACCAAGTTCTGGCCAACTGCCACTTACACCTTAGTCACGAAGATGTGCTAAGTTGCCACATGTTTGCGGAAGTTGTTGCTGAACTCTGCCAAGATTTAGCTAGATGCCCTTCCTATGTGACCACACAGCACCATGTCTCACTTTTTTTTATATCAACAAAAAATCTTTGTTGATCACCTGTTTACTTGGTTACTTCACCCATTAGACCAGGGGAAGGGCTATTCTATCTTTAATCTCATGTTTGCAGCACCAGGCTCAGTGGGTAAAATGAAATTCATTTTCAGACATTACAATAATGCATCAAAACTTTTTGTTCTTATGAATTTCTTTTCTTTTCTTTTTTTTATGGAGTCTCGCTCTGTTGCCCAGACTGGAGTACAGTGGCACAATCTCGGCTCACTGCAACCTCCACCTCCCAGGTTCAAGTGATTCTTGTGCCTCAGCCTCTATAGTAGCTGGGATTACAGACACACACCACCACACCTGTCTAATTTTTGTTTATTTAGTAGAGATGAGGTTTCACCATGTTGGCCAGGCTGGTATTGAACTCCTGGCATCAAGTGATCCACCCACCTTGGCCTCCCAAAGTGCTGGGATTAAAGGTGTGAGCCACCATGCCCGGTAAATTTTCTTAATCAATAGATATGAAATGACTATATTGGGAAACCTCAGATTTTTTACTTTGAAAAGTGGTCCCCATCCTCAAAGGTTTGGAAACCATTGCTCTAACACAGAGGTCCCATAGATGCAGTCTAAGGGCCTAATCCAGCCTGCAGAAAGGTTGGTTTAGCCAGCCCAAGGCTGCAGGTGTCTCTGGATGTGAACACCTCTCCCTGGGTGGTGTGGGCTCTGCAGGCACCACAGGCTTCCCATCCCCCCTGTCTTGCACTCACGCCTTTGCTCATCAGTGCTACCTATCTGGTCCCTGAGCACTGGTTCTTTAAAAACGTTTCCCTCTTTGCCCCTGAGTTTTCATCGGAATTTACTTTCCTGAGGGTCTCCTTTCCCAAATGTGTTAATCTAAATTCTAAACAAAGGTTTAACTGGCTGACTCTTTTAGAGAAAATTCATATTTTATCCAGATCTGTGAGGGGGATTATTTGAGGTACATGTGGGCAGGGAATTGTTTTTTCTATAACCCTACAAAACAAAACTCTCAAAGGAAGGTTAACTGGTTACTCTTGGAGTTTCACCTTGTCTGGTAAAAGGTATACAAGGCCTGAAAACAGATACCTAACTGTGATCAAACTTTGCTTTCCTTCCCTGGGACCTGCTGGAGACACTAACAAGCAGAGGAACACTCAAATCCCAGGGAAGTTGAAGGGACGGAAGTGGTGGGGGGATGGGGAGAAGTAGGGAGTGCGGGGAAAGGTAAGAAGCGGGAGTGGGCGGGAAGTGGGTTGTAGGGGGGCATTGCAGCAAGGGCCACATAATCCCCTGTCAGAATTGTCCATCTCTAGGCAACAGGTTATCAAATCATCGACAGTGACATATGAAATACTGCTTTATTAATGTTCTTTCTTATCTGTAAACAGCTTCAGAAAGTGAAAAGGTAGTTTCATCTTGGAACATATTCCGATCATTCTGAGTTCACGCTACGTTAGGGTTTAAATAAATCAAATTGCTTGGTGGATTTATTTTGGAGACTCTCAAGAAAAAAGCAATGTACTATGTAGCTCAGGCTGACAACCAGGACGTGGTGATACAGTGCCCTTCCAGGTGGGGAAGTCCCCACAAGTAGAATCTGTCTGCTTATGGGTGAATTATCTCTTTTGTTCTCCTTACCCCTCCCCCCACCCCACTCCCCACTCCCCTTCCAGATAAACTTCCCAGAGGGACACCTTTAGTGTTCTCTGAAAGCTCCAGTTCAAATGCCAAGTACAGCTTCCCTCTCTCTCTTTTTAAAAATACCCTCTCACTTTTTTAAATCCCTTTTATGATCCTGTTTTCGAGGCTGACACAGCCTGTTTTCTGTCCATAGTTACCCTTTCTTTCCTCCCCTTTTGCCAGTTTTTAGTCCAATATGCCGATTGTCCTACACTTCCATGACTTCAGACCTTAAACATTTCAACCAACAGTGGAGAATTCTGTAGAGCGCTTTCTGAAAAACTTAGTCTATAATCTCCTCCCTTCCCCCATCCAGCTCACTGGGGCAGCGATTTCCTCAAAGAATTCCAACAAATTAGTTAGGCACGACTCCCCTTCCTGAAGTGATGTTAGCTGTCTTTAATCAAGCTTGCTTTTCCAACTGTTCCCCATTTGATACCTTAAAGTAGTTACAGAGTTTTTCCCTCTAACTAAAGCTACACTGACCAGCTTATCCTCTTACTCCCAGCATACCCACAAATATTGATAATATTTTGAAGAGAGGCTGTGGGTAATGAAGAGGGAAAGACTTCTTTAAGTCTTTTAACTTATCCTATTCTTTTCATAGACAGAGATGTTTTTTAAGCCCAAAGGTAAATGTTTAAAATCAGAATCCCAGAGAAAGGCATCTTAAAATCAGCCCTGGTGCCTTAAAAAATGTTACTACTTCTTCTATACATTGGAACAAATGTTTAAAGTAAGACCATCTTAATTTTTTTTAATGCCAATGGCATGAAGTTCCTACACTAATCATGCCTGGTATTTACTTGGTGTTTGCAGTGCCAAATCTCAACTTCTGAAGTCAAGAGGCTAAGTTATAAATACCCACCATTAGATAGCCATAAAATATTTGCCTGAAGGCTTTGATAGTTTAAAGCTCTCCATTATACATATATACAGATATGTATATTCTTGCAGATATGTATATTTTAAGATACATATGTATCTTCACAACACCTCATGTGTGGTCATGATATCCATCGCATAAACTTCTGCATTTTCCAAACCCTGGGATACAATTTCAAGCCATATATAAACTGACTTTATACTGCACACATGCACTGCACTGGGCCCTACCATGAAGATGGCATCATTATTTCTGTCTGATTCATGGTCCAAATCCAGGAGATGGTCTCAAGAAAAAGGCCTTTTAGGACCAGGCTTCCAACTTGAAACTCTCCATGGGAATTTCCAGAATAACTCTGATAGTTCAAGGGGAAAAAAAGTGAAGAAGGACTGAAAACCAGAACCAAAACCGAACAAAAGGAGCAGCATTAAAAAGTTATGTGATGAAGTGGGATGCTGTAAACTTTTTATTATGACTTGTTTGGAAAGAGCTTGCTTAACAAATGCAGTCATCCTTTATTCAAATGCACAGCAATAAAAGTTTTTATAGTCCACTATCACATGCCATAATGTGTACGAAATGGCTAAGCCCAGTCAGATCTTGGAAAAGAATGTTTTCTTTGCTCTTCTAGGAAAGTTTGCCTTGTAAAACAAAAAAAAAGTGAAGGAAGAAAGAAACTTCTACAGAGTTATGGGGATGGGGAATTGTCTGGAAATTATATCAATTGAGGAATGAGTACAGAGAAGGGACCCATCTCCTTACCTGGAAAAGAGAAAACTAATGAGGGAAATGAGAACTGTTTTCACATATTTTAAGGGAAATTACATAGAAGAGTTATTGATTGTAGAGTTATGATGTGAACTTATAAAGGACAGAACTAAGGCCAATGGGTAAACATTGGGGTGAAAGAACAGAGGTAGACTTGACTTTATAATAAAGAACCTTCTGACATGATGGCTTCTCAACAAAGGAACGATCTGCATTGAAAATTACTGAGTTCTCCATGCCTAGGTCAATTACCATCCAATTGTTACACACGTAGGGGATTCTTGCAACAGGTGGACTCTGAATGAGTTGGCCTCTATGATACCTCCCATGTCTAGATGTCTATGATTCCAAGATCTGCTTAAAATTCCAAATTGGTAATTGGAGACATTTCAAATCTCCTGTGAATCAGTATGCATCTGAATAGGATTTTCATTAAAAAAAAAATTAAAATTTAAAAATCTGTTCTCATTGTCTAGTGTTCCTTAAGAAGAAAGGCATTTATTTTTTAAAGTAGGAAATGTCAGAAGCAAAGGCTTTCAAAAGACTCAAGTTTGGAGCACAGGGTTTTTCTGTTGTTTATTCATATAACCCGTGTTGTCAAATGTTTTCAGGTTGGGAGTCACAGTATGTCGAAAGGCTGTGGGGCAATTGCAAAAGATTTAAAGAAATCAGAGTTGTCAGAATCTGAACAGAAATTTGATGTAAAATGCATTAGTAGATGCTTTTCCTTCCACAGGATCACCTCCGATTCCCCTTTTTCCAGATCACAGATCTGCCAAAGGCCCCTTTTTCTTTGACACCACCCTTTCTTCATGTTCACTTTCTGTGCCTCCTAGGTCTGTTCTTGTCTCCCTTAGCATATTTTCCTTCTGAAGCAAAACAGAGGAAAGCTATTCCTACAGCTCTCCCGTTAGTGGGAGAGACCAAACAGGCTCTCTGAAGGGATAAAGGATGAGAAAGTCAGAGAATTACTGAGCTAGTCTCATTATCTCACTCTTTATTTATTGTCAAACTTGCCAAAAAAATTGCCCAGGAACAGATTTCCTTCCCTATTATTTAAGCTGATTCTCTCTTTCTTCTACTCTCTTGCCAAACTTACTTCATGATATGAGAGATGGAAGAGGGCAGTGTAATAAGACCAGGATGAATTTCATCCTTATTTAGTACCTCTCATTCCTCAGAGTCCCCAGAGGCCTGGCAATCTATATTTCATGCCCTTCTCCTTCACTGCAGAAAGCTGGCCTCAATGCTGTGAAGCGGATGCCCAATGAAAGCAAAGTTAAGCTCTGTTCAAGTCTGACCATTACTTCCATTATGCATGAGCATTTCCATGACGCTCTATATTGGTCAATGTTATATTACTCAGTCTATAGGGGAGTGAAAGGAGTGTATTAGTAAATGGTATTTCCACACACTTCCCTCTCTTAACTTCTTTTTTGGGTTTCCTTTTCGGGTTCTGAATTTTCCCTCTCACATAGAATTCTTCTTGTTTAGTTCCATCAGAATCCCTTTCAGGAAGAAATTCTATGAAGACAGCATCCATTTTACAATGCACAAAGCAGGTGGCACACAGTGAAGTTTTCCTTTAAGTTTTTCATTAAATAGAAACACACTATGAAATAAAAACATTAAATACAAACAGTACATCACCCTACCTTAAAGGAAAATATATCTTATTTACCAAGTGGAGGAAAGAGGGACATAGTAACCACACCAGTTTAACCACTATCTATGAAAACATTAAAATAACTGATACATAAAGTATGTGCTTTATAGGTATCACCTGTTTTACATTTATTTTATTTTATTTATTTATTTTTTTATTTTTTGAGACAGAGTCTCACTCTGTTGCCCAGGCTAGAGTGCAGTGGCGTGATCTTAGTTTACTGCAACCTCCGCCTCCCCGATTCAAGCAATTCTCGTGCCTCAGCCTTCCGAGTAGCTGGGGTATAGGAGCACGCCACCACGCCCAGCTACTTTTTTGTATTTTTAGTAGAGACAGGGTTTCACCATGTTGGCCAGGCTGATCTCGAACTCCCGACCTTAGGTGATCTGCCCACCTCTGCCTCCCAAAGTGTTGGGATTACGGGTGTGAGCCACTGCGCCTGGCCTGTTTTACATTTAATATCTCATTTATTTCTCACGACCATGGTATTTCTTATCATGATAGAGAAAAACAAAACTTAACAGAGAGTAAGCAAGATTTGTTCAAGGTCATGCCAATTCTTTAAGTGATTTGAGTGCACATGATTCTGACTTGAGAATCAATTCTCGGAACCACCATTTCCCGTTCTTCCTCCCATATTTTTTCAAGGGCGAATATGAGAAAGAGGCCATTTCCACTTCGAGTAGATTCTTCTACCTGTGTCTATCTCTATTTTGGGTAAATGCAACTGTTCTCTGGTTCTGGCCCTTGGGTGAACCCCCAGGCATTTGGAGCTCTTCATTAAGGGGTGACTCCTGGCCTTCGACATCTTCATCCAAGCTTCACTCCATTTCCACTGCTCTTCTCAGGCCAAACATCTCTGAAGGGTCTGTGATTGAACTTGGGGGTGGTGGGGGTAGGGACAGCGCAGTACAAGCATACGCTTCTCACTGAAAGGGCAGCTGTCCACTGAGTTCACACAGTAACTTGAGTAGGTGTGTTACTTAATACGCCACAAGAAAATGCCCACCCTGAGATTCTGAAATTGTGGTTTTAATAGGCCTCCTGCTGCTGCTCGGCTGCCTTCCAAAGGCCTGTTGAATTGCTTCCTCTGCAAGCAGGACCTTCTGTCAGAGACTCTGGGGGGACTGTGGTTGTGGATCTGTGGTGAGAGGTGACAGGTGGCCACTCTGCAATTGTGGGATGTTAAAATGAATACTAAAACCTTTTTTCCAAAGGGTGACTAGAGACTAGGTAAAGAAAGAATGGCTATTTGGTACTGTGCCCCCAAGTTTCTGTGCCTCTGGAGAAGGTGTGCTGGCTCCTGCCCAGCTTTCCACACTCAGAGACCTAAATCCTCCCAAGACTCATTCTGGGAAGATCTTGGCATGAGGACACACTGGCTATGCCCAGGCTGGGCCTTCCCAGAGGTTTGCTTAGCTGGGACCCCTCACCCAACTAAGCCTCCCCACCTGTGTCAAGGAGGTGGCTCCTAAAAGAGCATAACTACCATTTTTGCAGAGGATCGTGCCTTTTTTTCCTCCTCAAGAATAGCAAGGAACTACTACAAATGGCCTCAGACATGGTAATTTAAGAGGCAATAGGCCTTTTTATTTTTGACCCAAGGCAGAGCAAACTTCATTTAATGACTAGGAGTTTTTAACAGCTTACCAAATGAATTTTTCCCCACTATGGAACAGTGGAAGTTGAGAAGTTCCTCAGCCCACGGAAAGTTCCTCAGCCCACAGGAAGGGCTTGGTACATGAACTCTATCAAACGTGCTCTGAAATGGGATGAGTTGAATCCAATTCATCTCCTAGAGACAGGGCATGGGCCATTTTTGGAAGCATTGTTTGTTGTAGAGAAGTGAGAAATGTTTTGAGAGTCCAACTAAGATATGTGTCATATGTTTTATATCAATGGCTATGCTTTTTTTTTTTTTTTAATCAGGTTTCTGTTGTTGAAACTTTTCTAGAAGTATCTGCTCCTTAGGCCTGAGCTGTGTTGCTTTATTACTGCTCTGATCTGTCAGGGTATTCCTGGGAGACTGTGCAGCTTTTCCTAAAATCAGGAATTCATTGTATAGACTCTGTTTTTCAAATACTTTCTTAAAGACTGAAAGCCAGGCTCAGCCTCTTATCTTTGGAATTAGCATCTATTAGCACTACTCTGTCATGGTACACAAATGTCACTCTTTTTGGTTGTCCAATAAACATCAGAACTTCTTACCCATATTTGAAGACTTCCACGCTTTAGGATTCTTGGTGGAAGCTCATGTTATCAACTAGTACAGAAGCTAAAAATGCTGCATACATACTTATTGTTTCCCAAATTTCTCTAGAGCTAGGCGCGAGCATGTGGCCCAGGTTCCCCAGTAATATGTACCTTTGCATACTTGGAATCTAGAAGTCATGATGCAAGAAGCTCGCATTGCAAGGAAGACTCTGGTAGTGGTGGCAGCTGCCCATAGAATCTAGGGATCATAAGCAGCTATGATGTCCTCACCAGAAAGGTTCTGCAATTTGATTCTGAGCATTGTTCCTGGCTATAGAGTTCAGAATCTTCTCTAAGGCACCTGGCAATTCCACGAGCTACTCAAAAGCCTTTTAAGAGCCGGATATGGTGGCTCTTGCCTGTAATCCTAGCACTTTGGGAGGCTGAGCCCAAGGGTTTGAGACCAGCCTAAGCAACATAGTGAGATCCAGCTCTAGAATAAATTTAAAAATTAGCCAGGTGTGGGGGTGTGTGCTTGTAGTCCCAGCGACTTGGGAGGCTGAGGAAGGGGGATCACTTGAGCCCAGGAGTTTGAGGCTGCAGCGAGCTATGATTGTACTACTGCACTCCAGCCTGCGTGACAGAGTGAGACTGTTTCTCAAAAAAAAAGTGGGGGCCTTTTAATAATTTTTTTCCTTAGAATGGCTGTCTGCTGTTTACAACTAAATATTTTCACTTAAAACAGTAGAAATAAGTTTTAAATAGGTAGAAGTTCCAATTTTTTGATAACAAAATCATCTTAAATTATAAAACTGTACACTAATGTGGCTCAGAGTCTTTGAACTTGAGAGTGCATTATGAATATAAATACACATATATTTACATATTCATGCAGAAATATGTATAGAAACATAAACATGTACACATGTATATGTATGTGTGTGCATGTCCAAGTCACACAATTCAATATGTCACATTAGAATTGGAAGTCAGTGGCTTCCAATGCCAAACTTTAAATTCTCTTCTGTAGTTGTTAGGTCACCTGCCTTCTCCACAGTCAATTGCTTTCTGTTCACTCCCTCTTTATTGAAAGAATGTACTTTATTTTTATCAAGCTGAACAGTGTTCTCCTCCTTTCCCAACCAATTTCAGCTGAGCTAATCACTGACACAAACTGAACTAAGACCAGTGTGGGCTATTCACCCACACCAGCCATGGAGTAGCATTCATTTTGAAGCAGAAACACTAAACATTAAGTGAAATGTGCAGTTGTTAAAAGGGAAGTGTGTGCCATATACCCTCAGGGACATGTGCTGTACTTAAGGAAATCTGGAGGCTCTGAAAACCTGGTTCACAAAGCGCACACACTTTTCTACAACAAGAAATCTAATAATGCAGAGAAAACTGAAGGAAACTTCCCTGGAATCTCCACGTAACTAAGTGCTTTCCAAAGCTCTTAGCCAAAGCATGAGAATGTTTTCTAAGTTTTCCCCCTTATAGATTATAGCATTTAATCTTCGCAGTGACTCTGGAGGGCGAACTAAGGCAGGCACTACTACCTCCATCTTAAAGATGGAGAAACCAAGGCCAAGGTCAACAGTAAACTAATGGCTCAGCCAGGACTAAACCTATGAATTTCTGGGTCCTAATTCATTGCTTTTCCCCCTTCACCATGCCATTTCTCAATGTTTCAGGGGTGGTTTTCTTGTTTCCTTCTTTTGGATGGAACTGTGTGTGTGTGTGTGTGTGTGTGTGTGTGTGTGTATTTATATTTGTATAAATATATATTTATATTATACATTTTAATATTTTGTTAAAATATATAAATGTACAAAATATATAAAATACTATATGATGAAGGACTTTCAGTCAAAGGTAAAGATCAAGAAATTGCTTATGTGTTCATCTTCAGAAAAGAGTGAGTAACTAGTGGCCTTTAGATGAGCCAACCGCAAGCCTGGACTCATCTTTGACATCTCCTGCTTCCCTCCATAATGACCGTCGTTGCTCCTCTTGCCCAAGGTAATCCCCGTTCATTCTCCATTGTTCAGCTTAAACATATCTCCTCCTGGGAAGCCTCCTCTGATCCCCCTGTTTAGGGCAAGGTCCTTTCATTATATGTGCTCTTAATAGTGTATTCCTTTCTCACTTTTTCATTCATTACATATGAGTTAGCATAACTACCTCTTTTTTGAAACAAGATTTTACTCTGTTGCCCAGGCTGGAGTGCAGTGGCACAATCATGGTTCACTGTTGCGTCTACTTCCTGGGCTCAGGTGATTCTTCCATCTCAGCCTCACAGGTACTACAGACATGCACCACCATGCCCAGCTACTTTTTTTAAAATTATTTTTTGTAGAGACAGGGTTTTGGCATGTTGCCCAGGCTGGTCTTGAATTCCTGGGCCTAAGTGTTCTGCCTGCCTTGGCCTCCCAAATTGCTGGGATTACAGTCATGAGCCACTGTGCTTGGCTGACTACCTCTTTAGTATCTGTTTTTGCATATAATTATATCCCAGAACCTAGCCCAGACACAGAGTGGGTTCTCACTCAATCTTTGCTGAAGGATGGCGTGAGAGCACAGGAGGAGGCACTTATCCATAGCAGGTGGCTCTCCTCAGTCAGTACAGTGCAGCAGGTAAGATGGGTTCTGTAGTTAGAATACCTGAGTTTGAATCCTGGCTCTGAGACCTCCTGGCTCTGTGACTAAGCAAGTTGCCTGAACTCTCTGTATTCAGTGGCCTCATCCAATAAAATGGTGATAATATAATTACTTACCACACAGAGCTATTTGAGAACCAAATGAGCTTATATATGTAAAGTACTTAGGACATTGCCTGTTATGTAATAAATGTTTACTAAATATTAACAGTGATTCCTTTTCATAACTAGATGGAGAAAATGGGTGTGGGTAAAGTCAGATTTATAGGTTCAGTGATGGGAAGATAGAGACTTCCCTCTTCTGGCCAAATTAGAACAAGATTGAGAGAAAGTTTGAGTGTCAGAGAGGAGAAGAGAGTGATTCAATTGAGGCTGCTGCACAGAAATCCTGAATATGTCAGTTCTGTCATGGAACTGCCTCTCACCACTTTTCCAGGCCTTCAATTCAGGCTTTCAGAGCCGGCTTGCCTCCACACAGGATGAGCAATCAGAGAAGTTTTGCTAATTCTCAGGAGTTGAAAGGTCAAAAGCCTAATGCATCTAGTACCTCAGAGCAATAACCTAGTCTGCAACACCAAGGCCTGAGAGTTTAATGTGAATTTGGAATGCACCAGGTGCACAATTAGGAAATAGCTTTTGTATTCTGGAAGAATCTATCCCTTTTGCAGTAGTTCTTAGTTTCTTGGAAGTTCTGAGATTTTATTGTATCCTTGGAGTGATCAACTCTGTTTCCTTAATGTGTGCAACGGCAGACATCCATCTGTTGGGACAGTCGACCTAACCTGTCACTGGGTGATGGATGTTTTCCTATTACTCTGCTGAAGAGCATTAAGTTAAAGCCTTTACTTTAGCTCCACAGATAGTTGAGACAACAGATGGCCTTTTTTTTTTTTTTTCAATTCTGGGGAATTGCTGCAATAGGAGGTTCAGAAGAGTGGCTTCCATTTGCTGATGGCTTAAAATAGACTAGGCAAATAAAGAACTATTAGTGTTATGTATTCCAGGAAGGATAGTAGCTAATGAGAGTGGAGCTGGAGGAAAGGAGGGAAAACTTGGTCTAGTTGCCTTCCTGACCTTGCAGGATGCAGTAAATTTAGGGTACAGTGTAGATGAGGGGAGCCAGAGAAGTTTTGAAGCAGTCAAGTTCTATCTATAATGCTCACACATTGAATATCTTTCTGGAGACAAAAGTGTCTCTTAATCAAACAAATACAACTAGAAGACAGACAATGCAAATCCATCCTCGAAAATTACTTGTATACTTCAATGAATACTTTAAAAATACTGGAGCCTGTATTTTTTTAATGACAGTTTGGAGGTATACACACTAGATTGAAATCATTTGTCCCATTTTATGAGATTTCTATGATCAGGTGAGGCCTTCAAATTATCTTGAAGCAAGCAAACTAAGGTATCTTCGATAGATGTAGAGTTTGCTTTTGATCATCTAGAGGACTCAAACATTCACCATGAGAAGTATTCTGTTTCAGGCTGGACATGGTGGCTCATGTCTGTAATCCCAGCACTTTGGTAGGCTGAGGCGATCAGATCAGCTGAGGTCAGGAGTTCGAGACCAGCCTGGCCAACATGGTGAAACCCTGTCTTTACTAAAAATACAAAATTTAACCGGGTGTGGTGGCAGGTGCTTGTAATCCCAGCTACTTGGGAGGCTGAGGCAGGAGAATTGCTTGAACCCAGGAGGCAGAGGTTGCAGTGAGCCGAGGTTGTACCACTGCACTCTAGCCTGGGCGACAGAGACACTGTGTCTCAAAAAATAAAAAAAATAAAAAAAAGAAGAATTCTGTTTTACGTAATAGTAGAATATTGATAAACTAATGGGATTATTGGCCGTATGCTGACTAACTGAAAGCAGTCATTATTCAGAGCTATAACCTCATGAAAGGAATGAAAAGCCTAGTTTGGAAGCTTGCTATTTATATTGCACTGTAGAAACCTTGCTGCCATCTTTTTTTTTTTTTTTTTTTTTTTTTTTTTTTTTTTTTTTGAGACGGAGTCTCGCTCTGTCGCCCAGGCTGGAGTGCAGTGGCGGGATCTCGGCTCACTGCAAGCTCCGCCTCCCGGGTTCACGCCATTCTCCTGCCTCAGCCTCCCAAGTAGCTGGGACTACAGGCGCCCGCCACTACGCCCGGCTAATTTTTTGTATTTTTAGTAGAGACGGGGTTTCACCGTTTTAGCCGGGATGGTCTCGATCTCCTGACCTCGTGATCCGCCCGCCTTAGGAACTTCTCAGATGGCAAGTTGCAGGATGGTCTCAAGCAAAATGTGCCCATTGCTTGAATGGGATTTGAAATTTGTAATGTCTCATAAAAGACAGTGAAACTAGCTTATGATACATGTTAGAAATTAAAGAGACAGCTTCTTACAAAATGCTCTCAACCACATGCACGTAGAGAGCCCTTACTAATCCCCAGGGTAGGAATTGCAGACTGTAATATCTCTAGCTTATCCAGCTATACCAGCCATCCTCCAGTGGCAGAGAATTACTCTATAATCCGCTCACAGATTAAGGATGTAAAGTGTAAAGGCTTTTAGCAGATGCTTTGGATCTTGAAGGCATATGTTGTTTATACTTCTTTTAAAGAAATCTCCAAAACTACTGTAGAATTTGAAATTATCTGGCATTTGGGAATTTCGGTTATCTTTTTTCATGTGAAAGTAAAACCAAGAGCTGGGTCATAAAAATACAGCCCAGTGCAAGATGGTCAGCAGTATACACAATAGAACTTAAATTCACTTAACATGCATGCAAGGTGAGCATGATCATCTGTGGATGACAATAAGGGATGCCAGCTCCATGTGTGGTGTCTTAGTAGGCAAAGTAACACTTCACAGTCTTTTCTATCAAAGAACTTAGACTTCAAGATAAAACACCACCATAACAGTGAATGCTGCTGGAAGGATGTGGTGAATGTGTTCTTTGATTTTATGCCTAGAATGTGGTAGGCACCCTGGTAAGCACCTGGAATACACACAACTTCATGGAGTGAATGTCCAAAAAATTGATTCCCATTTAAACAGCCTGGATGTCAAGAACTACAATATACCCTCCCTCCTAATCTCCAAAAAATGTAAGGTTCACAGGAGGAAACCATGGTCATTCTATTTAGATTTAGTCATTATATTCACTCACCAGAAATCTAGAAATGCACCTTTTGCTCTCGTGAGGTAAATGGAAAGATTTGAATATCTATTTAAGCAAAATGAATCAGTTACGTTTTTGGTTGCAATCATCAGAAAGAGATTCTGGTTAACCTAAGCAGAGGAAGGGATTTAATGGAAAGACATGGGGAAGCTAGATGAATTGAGGAAAAATTTAAACCAGTACTCAGAAAGGATACGAACCAGAAAGTCTTCAGAGGCCTGCATTGCAGGAACAAATGGTGCATATGGTCAGAACATCTTCAATAGAATATTTTTTTTTCTTTTGAGACAGGGTCTCACTTTGCGGCCCAGGCTGGAGTGCAGTGGTGCAAACACAGCTCTGCAGCCTTGACCTCCCAGGCTCAAGCGATTCACCCACCTCAGTCTCCTAAGTAGTTGAGACTACAGGAGTGTGCCACCACACCAGGCTAATTTTTGTATTAGTATTATTATTATTTTTTTTGTAGAGACAGGGTTTTGCCATGTTGCCTAGGCTAGTCTTGAACTCCTGGGCTCAAGCGATCCACCCACCTGGTCTCCCAAAGTGCTGGGATTACAGGTGGGAACCACCGCACCTGGTTGAATAATTTTTTTTTTTTGGTTCAGCTCTTTAATACTTACTTGTAAAACTGAAAAGGAAGATGCTCCCTGAACACTGCAGATCAAATAATAGAAGTTTTTGTTGGTGGTGGTTGTTTTTTTGTTTCCTAGAAGTTGTGGACACAATGTTGCTAGTATTTCATTAATAATGGCCAATCAGCCCCACACTTGATGTAAACTGAGGGCTGGGAGAGAACATTGTTTTCAATTAACATTCACATAGACCAAACATGAAAACAAATCCTCGACTTCAATTTCTGTTAAACCATAAAATAAAGGCCAGAATTTTAGGTTCACAAGAGGATTGTAGATTTTTTTAATTATAGATTTTAAAAATCTACAATCATATTTATTTACAGCTGGGAACTGTTTTCTGGGATGTCTTCCTGCCTAGTTAATGCACTTCTTCCACATGATAAAGGCCAATGGGAGAACCCATTAGCTCTGCTTGGCTCTTGGAAGTCCATATTTATTGAGGCCTTTGAGAGAGCTCAATATATAATAACTCTATTCCTCGCTAAGCTCTGAAGCAATTGAGAAATAAGACAAAATAGCAAACGAAGGCAAAAATTCCTCCCTGTTTAATGACAAAAGTGATTTAGGAGATTGCAGCTTGAATCTGTGGGGGCAAGTTCTTAATATTGAACACCAGAATCACAGACTTACCGAGTCATCTAATCATAACGGTCTAATCAGTTCAGACAGCATCTAATCATGTCTGTCTTCTCCACTATTTGGAAAAGGCGGACTATTCCTGTAAAAAAAAAAAAAAAAGTTATCAAAGAGGAACAGAGAAGAATACTTACAGCCCAAAGTCAGGTTGTTCCAAAGAGAAAGGTAGGAGGGAGGAGAGCTGTTTCTGTTTCCAAACTCATTAATCAGATAACTCAGTGCACTTCTCCTGGGAAGGAGTTATTAGGAATATGGGGAATGACCTAGTAATGGGTATTCCTCAGTAGAGATTAAACGTTATACCCTCCAACAAGACCCTAAAGTGCAAAGTCTACAGAGAGACAGGTAATCCCTTCCTGCCTGCCTAAAACCAGAGTTCAGAGTTCTGGTTTTCTTCTTGAGGACACAGCTCTTCTGATGAAAAACACAAGGAATGTTCACTTTTTCCAAGTAAGACTATGTCTACCTATACTGTGGCCTTAAGGTATAACTTTTGTCCCATGGAACTATCACCTAGAGTAAGGATAGTGTTTTGTTGTTTTTATCTCTCCTGTTGCAAGTGTATCCAATAGATATATTTTCTACTTCATTGGTTTTCTACCTACTTTTTTTTTATTTCAATAGGACTTTGGGGAACACGTGGTGTTTAGTTACATGAATAAGTTCTTTAGTGGTGATTTTTGAGATTTTGATGCACCCATCACCTGAGCAGTGTACACTGTACCCAATGTGTAGTTTATTAACCCTTACCCCACTCCCATTGTTCCCCCCAAGTTCCCAAAGTCCATTGTATCATTTTTATGCCTTTGCATCTGCATAGCTTAGCTCCCACTTATGAGTGAGAACATATGATGTTTGGTTTTCCATTCCTGAGTTACTTCACTCAGAATAATGATCTCCAATTCCATCCAGGCTGCTGCAAATGCCGTTATTTCATTCCTTTTTATGGCTGAGTAGTATTCTGGGGTATATATACCAAGTTTTCTTTATCCACTCAGTGACTGATGGGCATTTGGGCTGGTTCTATATTTTTGCAATTGTGAATTATGCTGCTATAAACATGCGTGTCCAAGTATCTTTTTCATATAATGAGTTCTTTTCCTCTGGGTAGATCCCCAGGAGTGGGATTGCTGGATCAAATGGTAGATGTACTCTTAGTTCTTTGAGGAATCTCCACACTGTTTTCCATAGTGGTTGTACTAGTTTACATTCCTGCCAGCAGTGTAAAAGTGTTCCCTTTTCAAAACATCCATGCCAACATCTTTTATTTTTTATTTTTTGTTTATAGCCATTTTTGCAGGGGTAAGGTGGTGTCACACTGTGGTTTTGATTTCCCTGATAATTAATGATGTTGAGCACTTTTTCATGTTTGTTGACTGTTTGTAGGTCTTCTTTTGAGAACTGCCTATTCATGTCCCTAGCCCGCTTTCTGATGGGATTGTTTTTGTTTTTCTCTTGCTGATTTGTTTGAGTTCCTTGTAGATTCTGGATATTAGTCCTTTGTTGGATGTATAGATTGTGAAGATTTTCTCCCACTCTGTGGGTTGACCATTAACTCTGCTGATTATTTCCTTTGCTGTGCAGAAGCTTTTTAGTTTAATTCACATCTCTTTATCTTTGTTTTTATTGTGCTTGCTTTTGGGTTCTTGGTCATGAATTCTTTGCCTAAGCCAATGTCTAGCAGAGTTTTTCCAAAGTTGTCTTCTAAAATTTTTATGGTTTCAGATCTTAGTTTTAAGTCTTTGACCCATTGAGTTGATTTTTGTACAAAGTGAGAAATAAGGATCCAGTTTCACTCTTCTACACGTGACTTGCCAGTGATCCCAGCACCATTCGTTGAACAGGGTGTCCTTTCCCCGCTTTATATATTTTCTTTTGCTTTGTCAAAGATCAGTTGACTTAAGTATTTGGCTTTATTTCTGGGTTCTCTGTTCTGTTCCGTTGGTCCATATGCCTGTTTTTATACCGGTACCATGATGTCTGGCCTTATAGTATAGTTTGAAGTTGGGTAATGTGATGCCTCCAGATTTGTTCTTTTTGCTTAGTCTTGCTTTGGCTATGTGGGCTCTTTTTCAGTTTCATATGAATTTTAGGATTGTTTTATCTAGTTCTGTGAAGAACAATGGTGGTATTTTGATGGGAATTGCATTAAATTTGTAGATTGCTTTTGGCAGTATGGTCATTTTTACAATATTGAATCTACCCATCCATGAGCATGGGATGTGTTTCCATTTGTTTGTTTTGTCTATGATTTCTTTCAGCAGTGTTTTGCAGTTTTCTTTGCAGAGGTCTTTCACCTCCTTGCTTAAGTGTACCTTAAAGTAATAAAAGCCACCTATGACAAACCCACAGCCAACATTAATACTGATGGGGAAGAGTTAAAGGTATTCCCCCTGAGAAGTGGAACAAGACAAGGATGCCCACTTTCACCACTTCAGTTCATCATGCTACTGGAAGTCCTAGCCAGAGCAATCAGACAAGAGAAAGAAATAAACGGCATCCAAATTGGTAAAGAGGAAGTCAAACTGTCACTGTTTGGTGATGACATGATCATATACCTAGAAAACCCTACAGACTCATCCAAAAAGCTCCCAGAACTGGTAAATGAGTTCAGCAAAGTACCAAGATACAAAATGAATGTACACAAAGCAGTAACCCTGCTATACACCAACAGCGACCAAGCTGAGAATTAAATCAATAACTCAACCCCTTTTGCAACAGCTGAAAAAAAAACCTTTGGTTTTTCTATTTTTAATCTGACTCAATCCAATTTGCGAGCAACCAACATGTATTTTCTGTCTTATATAGGGCTCCTTAATACTTTTTAATATTTTATTTTATAGTTTTTTAAAAACAGCTTTATTGAGGTATAAATATGAATGGTAAACTGGTACAATTTGTACAATTTGACAAATGTGTAAGCCCATGAAACCATTGCCACAACCATGATAGTGAATATCAATTGAAGATGAAAGATCAATATTTCCCCCCTGCCTTTTTGTAATCCCTCCTTCCTATTCTTCCTACCCACTCCTCCCAGGCAATCACTGACCCACTTTCTATTACAATAGATGTGTTTACTTAGTACTCTTTTTGGTTTAGCTTCTTTCACTCTGCATGATTATTTTGAGATTTATCTCAAAATTATTGTGTGTAAAAATAATTCATTCCTTTAAATTACTATCATTTCATACAATAGATATAGCACAATACATTTACCTATTTATGGACATTTGGTTGTCTCAAATAAAGCAGCTATGAACATTCATATATGCATCATTGTATGGATGTACGCTTTCTTTTCTCTTGAGTAAATATCTAGGGTACAATGTTTGGATAATATAGGAGGTTTATATTGAACTTTTAAAGACATTGCCAAACTATTTTCCAAATTGGTAATAACAATAATATATGAGAGCTCCAGTTCCTCTATATCTTCATTAGTTGATATGGTTAGTCTTTTTAAATTTTAGCCTTTCTAATTGGTTAACAGTGGCATCTTACTGTGGTTTTAATGTTCATTTTCTTAACAAAATGTGTCTATTCATTATTCATATACAGATTGAATATCCCTTATCTAAAATCCTTGGGATCAGAAGTGTTTTGTAATTCAGATTTAAAAAAAAAATTCTGGAATATTTGCATATACATAATAAGATACCTTGGGAATGAAACACAAGTCTAAACATGAAATTTATTTATGTTTCATATACACTTTATACACATAGCCCAAAGGCAATTTTTTATAATATTTTAAATTTCAGGTCAGATGTGGAATAGTTGTGCTCAAAAAGTTTCAAATTTTGGAGCATTTCAAATTTCAGACTTTCAGATTAGGGATGCTCAACCTGGATCTTCTTTGGGAAAGAATCTGCTCAAATATGTCTCCCATTTTTTTAAAGTGAGTTTTTAGTTGGGTTGTTTGGTTTTTATCATTGAGTTTTGAGAGTTTAAAAAATATATTCTAGAATATAAATCCTTTCTGAGATAAATGCTTTACAAATATTTTCTCCCATTTGGTGGTTTGTGACTTAATTAATGTCTTTCAAAGAGCATAGGTTTTAATGTTGATATTTTTAACGGTTCATCATTTCATGTTTTTCTTTTGTGTATCACGCATTTTATGTTGTATCTAAAATATCTGTGTCTATGTCTTATATCTTTATAGTCTGAGGTTTACATTTAGGTCTATGATCCATTTTGAGTTAATTTCTTTATATAACTATAGGTATTGATCCAAGTTCTCTATTATTTTGCAAAAGTTTTTCAGCATCATTTGTAAAAAGACTATTCTTTCTACCCTGAATTGTCTTTGTACCTTTGTTGAATATTACTTGTCCATATGTGTGGTACCCATATATCCATTGGTTGTCGTATGTATGGATCTGTTTCTGCACTGCCTATTCTGTTCCATTGATTAATTTGTCCATATTTACACCAATGCCAAAGCGTCCTGATTACCTTTATAATAAGTCTATATAAACACTATATAATAACTCTTTATAATAAAACAGTATAAGTCTTCTGATCTCGTTTTTCTTTTCTCAAGATGATTTGGCTATTCTAACTTCTTTGCATTTTGATATGAATTTTAGTATCAGTCTTTTGACTATTACCAAAAACAAAGCCTAAGATTTTATTGAGTATTTCATTGAAGCTACAGATCAATTTGGGTAGAATTGGCATCTAATAATATTAAACCTTAAGGCCCATGAACAAGGTATGTCTCTCTGTTGTTTAGGTCATAGTTCATTTTCCTCAGCAATATTTTATAGTTTTCATGTACAAGTCTTGTCCATCTTTTGTCAGATTTATTCCTAATTATTTTATATTTTAATGTTATCTCCAATATTGGGTTGGTCTAAAAGTAATTGCAGTTTTTACCATTACTTTTAATGTATTTTAATAGCATTTTTTACATTTCAATTTCCAAGTGCTAATATGTAGAAATACAATTGATTTTGGCATTGATCTTGTACTCTTCAAACTTGCTAAATTTACTTATTGGTTCTAGGGATTGTTGTAGATTCCATCAGATTTCCTACATAAACAATCACGCACTCCGCAAATAAAAACAATTTTGCTTTATCTTTCTTAACTTAAATGCAATTTTTTGCCTTATTGCTCTAATTAAACCTCTAGCACGGTGTTGAATAGTAGTACATCTTTTTCTTCCTTAATTTAGGAAAAAATCTTTGTATTTTTCACAATTAAGTATTATGTTTCCTCTAGGTTTTTCTTAGATACCTTTTATCAGATTGAGTGGAAGTTCTATTTCTGGTTAGCTGAGAGTTGTTTTTTTTTTTTTTTTTTTTTTTAGTTAGGAACAGATGTTTGATTTTGTCAAATGCTCTTTCTGCATCTGTCTTAGTCTGTTTTTCTGCTGCTGTAAGAGAATACCACAGACTAGATATTTTGCATAGAAAAAATGTATTTCTTAAAGTTCTGGAGACTGAGAATTCCAAGATTAAGGGGCTGCGTCTGGTGACAGCCTTCTTGCTCCATAATAATGGCAAAAAGATCACACGGTGCGAGAAAGTGCTGGCTTAGATCTCTCTTCCCTTCCTTATAAAGCCACTAATTATACCATGGGCACCCCACCCTCATGACCTCATCTAATCCTAATTACCTCGCAAAGACTCCACCTCTGAATACCATCGACATATAAATTCGTGTATTAACTTTTCAACACATGAACTTTTGGAGGATACATTCAAATCATAGCAGCATCTATTCAGATAATGATATAGTTTTTATATTTTCATGTGTTAATAGGATATATTACTTTGATTGATTTTTAATAGTAAGCCAAACTTTCATTCCCAAAATAAACCCTATTTGGTCAGGATGTATTATCCTTTTCATATATTCTTGGATTCAATTTTCTAAAATATGGTTCCAATTTTTGTGTCTATGTTCCTGAGGAATATTGTTCCGTTATTTTCTAATCTTATAATGTTTTTGTTTGGTTTTGGTATCAGGATAATAGTAACCTCACAAAATAAGATGGGAAGTATTTCATTCTCTTCAATTTTCTGTAAGAGTTTGTGTAAGATTAGTATTATATGTTCCCTAAATATTTGGGAGAATTCATTAGTGATGCCATCTAAGCCTGAAATTTTTTTTTTTTTTTTTTTTTTTTTTTTTTTGAGACGGAGTCTCGCTCTGTCGCCCAGGCTGGAGTGCAGTGGCGGGATCTCGGCTCACTGCAAGCTCTGCCTCCCGGGTTCACGCCATTCTCCTGCCTCAGCCTCCCAAGTAGCTGGGACTACAGGCGCCCGCTACTACGCCCGGCTAATTTTTTGTATTTTTAGTAGAGACGGGGTTTCACCGTTTTAGCCGGGATGGTCTCGATCTCCTGACCTCGTGATCCGCTCGCCTCAGCCTCCCAAAGTGCTGGGATTACAGGCGTGAGCCACCGCGCCCGGCCGAAATTTTTTATATTAAGGAATTATAAGTTCAATTTTTAATAAGTATAAAGCTAATCAAGTTTTCTAGTTCTTCTTTTGTGCACTTTGACACTTTGTATCTTTTTTATGTCATAGACTTCACAGCACATTGCTATAATTTTGTTTAAATAATCAAATATCTTTTTAAGAATTTAAATTTAAGAACATAAATCAAGTATAGTTTTCCATAGTTCCCATTTATGGTTCTCCTTGTTTTTTTAAGTAGATTCAGATTTTCATCTGGTACCATTTTTCTTCTACTTGAAGGGCTTCTTTTAACATTTCTTGTATTGAGGTGCTATTGGTGATCAATTATTTCAGCTTTTGTATGACTGAAAGAGTTTTTATTTCACTGAATATAGATGATAGTTATTTTTCCTTCTAAATATGTTGATCCACTGTCTTTCGCTTGCATAGTTTCAGATGAGGAATTTGCTGGCTGTCATATCTTTGTTCCTCTTATGTAATACATGTTCTTTCTCTGGCTACTTTTAAGATTTTCTATTTATCATTGCTTTGGAGAAATTTGATTATTATATTCCTTGGTGTAATTTTCTTTATGTTTCTTGTAATTAGAGTTCTTTGGGGTTGTTGGATCTGTGGGTTTATAGATATCATCAAATTTGGAAATTTCCAGCTATATAATGTCAATTTTTTTGCCTTCTCCCTACTGTCTTACATGTATATTATTACATGTATATTAATGATGTAATGTATATTATGTAATGTATGATGTAGTGTAATGTATATTACATGTACATTAATGAGTATCTCATTACATATTAGCCTGATAAAATTTGTCTCACAACTACTGAAGCTCTTATAATTATTTTAAAATATTTTTATTTCCTCTTTGTGTTTTGTCTTGAGTAGCTTCTATTGATGTTTTCAAGTTTGCTAATCTTTTATTCTGTAATGTTTTAACTGCTATAAATCCCATCTAGTGTATTTTTCATCTCAGACATTATAGTTTTTAGCTCTCGCTGTTTGATTTTTTTTGTATTTTTATAACATACTCTATATTTTTTTTAGCTTTTGGAATACTGTTAAATTAACTTTTCAAATGTCTGTGTTTAATAATGCTAACATCTGTGTCAGTTCTGGGTAGATTTCAATTGATTGATTATTCTCTTCATTATGGGTCTTATTTTTTCTGCTTCTTAGAATGTCTGGCACTCTTTTATTGGTTGCCAGACACTGTGAATATTACCTTGTTGGGTCCTGGATATTTTTGTGTACCTATAAATATTCTTGAGCTTTGTTCTGGGATATAGTTAAGTTCCTTGGAAACATTTTGATCCTTTTGAGTCTTGCTTTTTAAGATTTGTTTGGCTGGACCATGGCAGCATTTAGTCTGGTAATTTATTCCCTAGTACTGAGACAGGACCTTTCTAACTACTCTACCCAATGCTCCATAAATTACAAGATTTTTCAGTCTGGCTATTGGGAACAGACCCCATTCCCAGCCTTTTAACTGCTGAATATTTTTTATCTAATAGTTTCTCCAGCGTTGGACCATTTTCTCACATACATGTTTTAATCAGCACTCTGCTGAATACTCAAAGGGAATCCTCTGAGGATCTCCAGAGTTACTCACTCCTGTATCCCAACTACTCTGTCCTACACACTGTAGCTACCTTTGCAGTTGTTTGAGTCAGAGAGCTGAATCTGATCCCTGTTATTCCATCTTGGCTACAAGTAGAAGTCAATCATTTATTTTTAAATGAAATTTAAAGAAAATTGGCAAGATATGTACAAAAACTCCCATATCTCCTTACCCAAAGTTCCCAATTATTAACATTTTACCCCTTTCCTCCATCTCTCTCTCTCTCTCTCAAAATTTACATTATTCTGTTATAAACCATTTAAGCAGTAATTGCAGACCTGATGATTAATCACTCCCAATTCCTCCAGTGTATATTTCTCCAAAACAAATACATTCTCCTACATAACCACCTTACAACCCTCCAAATTAAGAAATCAACATTGATATAACACTGCTATCTAATTAACAGAACACTCTCAAGTTTTTCCAACTGTCCCAATAATATCTCTTTATTTTCTTGTCCAGGAGTCAACCCAGGATCATGCATTGCATTTAATTGTCATAGATTTTTAAATCTTCTTCATTCTGGAACAGTTCTTCAATCTTTCTATCTCTTCATTCTGTAGATATTCCTCTACCTAAGTTTATCTGATGATTCCTCATGTCCAGAATCAGGCCATTACTACTTTGCAGGAATGCTCTGATGCTGTACTTTACTTGGGCTATCACATCAAGAGACACATGAGGCCAATCTCTCCCTCCAATAGTGAAGTTGCTGTTCACTGGATCAAATTGACATCTACTAAGTTTCTCCATCATAAACTCAATGTTTTCCCTCTTCATAAGTATTTGGCAGGGAGATACTTTGATACTATGCCAATATTCAGCTCCCAATCAAACCTCCACCTTCCACATTCAACATTATTGATGGCTCACATTGAATTTCATGGAACCTGGACTTAACCCATATGCACTTAGTTTTCCAAAGGCATCGGCAACTATGATCAGCTGTTCCAGCTGTAACAGTCCTAATCTCCACTGCGGATCCATATATTTTTTTTAATTCCATAGTTTAGAGAAGCAGTTATATCCATCTAACCATCCAACCATATATAATTCATTCACTCATTCATTCATTAAACAAAAATTGTTGATATATCTACCATGTGCCAGGCACTGGAAATATAAAAAAAATAAGATGTCCAGGCGTGGTGGCTCACACCTGCAATCCCAGTACTTTGGGAGGCCAAGGCAGGCGGATTACCTGAGGTCAGGAGTTCAAGACCAGCCTGGCCAACATGGTGAAACCCCGTCTCTACTAAAAATACAAAAATTAGCCAGGCATGGTGGCAGATGCCTATAATTCCAGCTACTCAGGAGGAAGCTGAGGCAGGAGAATCGCTTGAACTCAGGGGGTGGAGGTTGCAGTGAGCCGAGATGGCACTACTTCACTCTAGCCTGGGGGAAAGAGCAAGACAAAAAATAAAATAAAATAATAAAAAAAAATAAGATACACTAATTGTACCTAATACAGTCCTAGCTTTAGTAGGGAAAAATGGCATGTCAACTAGTAATTACAATTTAATATGATTACAACAATATAATGCATTATTAAATATATGGAGTATCAAAAAAGCTTTATTAGCATATAAAAGGTTTCCTAAAGAGGTAATATTGGAGCTAGGTTCTTTAAGGTGAGTTATTTGTCTTTGGGTGGAAGTGAGGGGAGAGTAAGGATGTTTGAGATGGGAGAAAGAGGGAGGGCGGCAAGAAGGTAAGAGAAGAGAGACTGGTGATGGGGAGGGAGAAACAGAATGGAAAATTGTAGGTGGGCCAGGTCGGTGTGGGACAAATTGTTTTGATCATGCTTAGTAGTCCAGTTTTTATTCACTAGCGGTTCCCACTAAAAGTACAGATTCCTGGGACTCATCCTGAAGTTATTGAGTTAGAATCCCTGAGGAGGATCTGGGAATCTGTATTTTAACAAACATCTCAAGTTTATGAATCACTGCCATAAGCCAAAGAATATTTCAAATGCTTTAAAACAAAAGTGAAATAATCAGGTTTGTGTTTTTAAAAGCTCACAAAGGGACTTGTGGAGGATGACTTCGAAAGGGAGGCAGGTAGACACAACCATCTGTGTCCTCAGTCAGAGCACTCTACCAGTTATTGGCAACACACAGACTTCTAAATCCTATCTTTTCTGGAGCTTAAGTGATCTTAGCTGAATTTAAGGCATTTGTGGAGAGGATTTGATCCAAGCTACCAGCATTGTGTCTTGTGTTTCTGAATTGTTCAGGCTGTAAAGAAGATCCAGACCACTAAGATGCTCCAAAGTAGATTGTTAGAAGACACTAGCCGACAAGATCTGCCAAGAGTCTCATTGTTGAACATGTTCAACAGTTGAACTCTATGTTCAATAAGAGAAATTGTGGTGAATATGGTTGATTGGCACTCAATACCTATTCTACCCTCCTTTTAGTGCAGTGGCTTTTAAACTTTTTAAATAACTCAACCCACAGTAAGAAAAACATCTGATATTGCAATCCAGTATACACATATGTGTACTACAAAATAGTACTTGTGCTTACTGAGTTCATGATTTCTGATATTTTCTATTCTGTTCTATTTTCTTTCTTTTAATGTTCTCATGATCTGCTAATGATGGGTTCTGATCCCAAATTTGAAAGCCATTGCCGTGATGTGCAATGAAGACTACTTTTTCTCACACATTTCAGCTAAAGTCCCAGATGTATTTAGGCTTTGCAAACCAAATATCCTCATATTGCTTTTGCCATTTCTGCTGGCAGGTGTGTTATAAAGGTGTTTGGTCTTCTTGGCAATGTCAGCAGAGATTTGGTTGCTAGCATAGGTACCTTGCATGGGTATTTAGGAGAAAGGCAATGGACATCCATTTTTGCTAGTGCAGTTTGTGTCAGGAACAGAATGGTTCTGGAGTATGTAGCATTAGTGGCTTCATAATCCTGATACCTTTTAATCAGGAGGTTCTCTGATTGCAGTGGCTTTGTGATCAAGGCAGTGGCAATGTGGTGCTGGAGCCTGAGGAGCCCTGATCCTAGAGTGGCAGCAGCTCCCTTGGTTTCCAGTACTGTGTGTAACTGGGCAGGGCAAAGGAAGGTAACCAAAAGCTCACTCTATAGGCTGTGTTGTCTCTCCTTCCAAAAATTCTTTATGCCACTTAAAAACCTATAGTAAATCGCTACCTGCCTAAATTAGCTAGAGAGTATTCTGTTCTCTGCAACAGAACCCTAGACACAGAATAACCAGTCCTGCTGAATTACCAGTGAAGTACCAGCCGAGGGGGCTCAGGACTTGCTTAAGCCTTTATTCAGCAGAACTTATCTGGGTCTAGCCACAAAAATGAAGGAAGGACAACTGTGTCTAACAGCATGGGTCAATCTTAGAACCATAAGGTAGAGCAAAAATAGCAAAACACACAGTATATGGTTCTGTTTATATAAGGTTTTTTCTAAAACATGCAAATTAAACTATATTGCATAGTGATAGATCTAAAAAGAAAAGAAATATTTAACATTGATATGGTTTGGCTGTGTTCCCTACCCACAATCTCATCTTGAAGTTTAATCCCCGTAATCCCCACATGTCAAGGGAGAGACCAGGTGGAGGTAATTGAATCATGGGGGTGGTTTCCCCCATGCTGTTCTTGTGATAGTGAGAGAGTTCTCATGATATATGATGGTTTTACGTGTTTGGCAAGTTCCTCCTTTGCCCATTTTTCTGTCTCCTGCTGCCCTGTGAAGAAGGACATGTTTGCTTCCCCATCCACCATGATTTTAAGTTTCCTGAGGCCTCCCCAGCCATGAACTGTGCCATTGAACTGTGAGTCCATTAAACCTCTTTCCTTTATAAATTACCCAGTCTCACGTAGTATCTTTATAGCAATGTGAGAATGGACTAATACAACCATAAAATTCAGGATATGGGGCATGTGATTGGTAAGGTCATGGAAAGACTTCAGAGATGACTATGTTCTATTCTTGACCTAAATGGTCATTTCACAGGAGCTTGGTTTATGTACTTTTCTGTATGTGCATTCTATTTTACATTCTCTGTCACACACACAAAAGATTAAAAACTACAACAGAAAACAAAAATTTTAATTTGGATTCATACAACTTTGGAATTAAAAAATAATCTATGATCATCTGGTTCATCTACTCACCAGGTGTTTGACTCTTCCTACAGCCTTTGCATGGATGATTGTCTGTCCTCTGTTGGGCCCCTTCTGAAGAGTTGGAGTTGGGTAAGTGTCACTCATGAGAGCAGGAACACAATCAGGCAAACCACAGGTGAGCCTTCTAGCTTTATTTTCATGTAACTATGATTGTCCACTCTCTTCCTTCAACCAACCTGCTGTCAGGTCACTGCAGACCGTATTTAAAGAACTCAAAATGATCACAAACCTAATATTAAACCTTAGCACCCTAAGAATATAACTTCTCTCACCCTGACCCTTAGGTTATAGAACCTTTTTCATTTAGCAGGAGGATATCTATTTGTTATTTGTTGTTGTTGCTTGCAAGACACAAGTAAGACAGCAGTGATTAATATAACAGCAGAAAAAGAGATCCAAACCACATGGGTTATCTTCAAATATAAATCACTTTCTTTTTCAAATGGGCTGATAAGGTTTAGGGAAAGGTATTGGGAAAATAGAAATGAGGGACGGGGTGAAAGAAGACCCTACTTTTTGTGTAGCCTCCTTTCATGATATCTTAGAGCTCTCCAGAGTGACCTGAATTTAATAAGGGACACGTGGTCTAGATCTAAAAGTTCATTCAATAGAGGAAAATTCACAAACTGCAGCTCTGCTTCTCCGGTTTTCAAAGAAAGAAAAGGTTGGTTTTCTTCTGGGACTAATGTTGGTAAGATTAAATGTTAATGCTTGGAACATTTTCCAGTAAAAGGTGCTGTGTAAACTTCAAATAATACACTTGTTTTGCAGGTTAAACTTTTTGTTTTTACAGAGACGTAGCATTTCAGGAGAACTTTTCCAAAAGCTGTTTACTTTTTCCTGGTGCTTCTTAATACTTGAAAGATTTTTCTGCTAATTAAAGATTCCCAAATAAGTGGCATGATACAAAAGGATAATGTATCTTCTGTTTGTCCAGTTAAATATTGGCTGAATGAATCACAATGAACAAATGAATAAATGTATAAAAGAATAAGTAGCCATGTGGAATTAGGTGGTTCTTTTTGAAATATACAAAAGTTACATATTTTTATGGGGATGATTTCTGAGAATTACAGGTGATGATTTGATTATAACAAAAGACAAAACTAAATAAGTAGAGCTGCCTTTCTACTCCATGCAGAAAAACAAAAGTTGAAAAATGAAGCAATTATCTGGATAGTTCAGACAAAAAACTAACTATAGAGGGAACGAGGCCCTTTTTCGTGGCCCAGATTCATTTGAGCCATCCAATAACATGACCCACTATAGTGGAATTTGGCATTAAGCAGGCTTGTCTTGGCTCCTGTCCAGTGGGGTTTAGTTACTGAATTCCTTAAAGGACATTGTTCAAACATGGTCTCCCATGTAACTCGGTTCTAAGGCGTGAGCTGCAAGAACCCTGACATCACCATGTGACTCCAGGTCATTATTTCATTGGATCAAATTATCCAGAAAAACACTATCATTCCAGTTTACCTTTCTGGGTTAGGCAAACATAAAATGAATTGTCCAAGATTTGCTACATAACAATTACATGGAAATAACTAAAAGCTTTGCCTGCAAAGTGTATTAGTAAATATGATCCTGATTCCTGGATTCTGCAAATAGAAGCAAATTGGTATCTGCTAATTCTTCACTCACCACACCTGCCTTCTATAATCTTGGTTTCTCTGAACGCATATTTGGTTACTGAAATAATTGTGTTGATTTGATGAATGATAGAAATCACAACAGTTAAATTGCCTACCACTCCAACTGTCTGTCATGACTCTAACTTCCTCTCTGAACTCTTGTTTACCAATTCAAGAAAATGCAAGGATGTTTTGCAGAGGGTAAGCATATTGCAGAAATAGCAATGATGGTCTTTTACTTGCTTCCTCAGGACTGCCACAGCTTTGCTGGCCATGCCTGAGCAAGGTTTTTTATAAAACAACCTGGGACTGGGCATTCTGCCCATGCACACACCTGGCAAATCATAGCCTTCCCTCCTTGGGAACTCAGATGCACACTGGGTTCCCGTTTTCTTTGACTGCAAAACAGACAAGGACCAGCTGGTTAGTGCTGACAGGGTTCACACTACTGATGGGAACACTACTTAAGTGTCCTGCATTTGCTCATTATTTATCAATGGGGAGATATTTTTCTGGAGAAAAGCAAGTCCTTTGTCTTCTATAGAGCGGAAAGTCTGTTATTCCGATGGGAGATGACCTAGGAAGGAAAAGTTGATCATTCATTTCCCATGTGTAAAGTCCCAAGTGTAATTCCCATGTGTGAGATTTTATTTTAAAGATTTGAGTTCTAATATAAGAAATTAATTGTGGCCCTAGAAATACCAGATTCTCAACTTTTTTCTGTAGCAATATAATTTTTAATAGCCGAGTATGTCATTTTTCATTTACCAGGTTGCTTTTATCACTAATTTGAAGCATATATGATTGTTATAAGTATTATTAATTACTTGTATATAACTTTACACTGAAAATAACTTCTGACATCATTGGCCTCAAGACATCCAATAATGCCATGCCATGTTTAATGTGTGAGTATAGAGATAACACGTTCCTGTATGGGTGTGCAAACCTCATGTGAGCCTGGGGACTCTGAGAGATAGAAAAGTGGAGAATCAGGCACTTGGCTGATGAAGGGGTAAGGAAGGAACCTCTAATGCCTGTCCTGTTCTCTCCTCACTATTCCACCTATTTTCCAACATTGTGTGGGACAACATAGAAAAAAAATTAAAAATAAAAATTTCTACACCTTTACCTGAAATTTAAAACTCCCAAGCTTTTATTCTCTCCCTCCTCCAACTCTTCTGTTTTTTTTTTATCTCTACTTCTCTGTCTCCACCTCCTCCTCTTCTCTCCTTCTCTTGTTTTGCTCTTTTTAGTCTTGTTAGATCAAATATCAGGTTCTCTTTTGTCTTTATTACTCTGCTTAACATTGAATATTCATATTCATTCAAGTAAGCTCATTTTTGCATGTTTCCCAACCAAGAAACTAACAGAACATAATAGAAATGTAACTGATACTAAGCTATTGTCCTGGAAGCAGATCTCATTACAATTATATGTAAGAGATATTTAAAAATAGCTCTAAACCAGGAGGCATATTTATGGTCTTCTGAAGACGAACAGACTTATTTATAGGTGAAGAGTCATTCCATAAGATAAGCTAAAATTAATCATACCACTGAATTTTCAAAGAGGTTAGAGTCCAAATTAAATATAGAAGGGCAAACCAGTTTCTTCCTCTTATGTATTTTAATGAAGACTAGAGAGACTGGAGAAATATTTATATTCTTTTATTCATATTTTCAGGATTGCCTCATGTCTCAATTTTTTTCCCCCAAATCTCCCCCTTAAGTGAGGGTACTTCAAAGTGAATATGGGGATTCTCAACTCCTCATATCTTTTTGTTTAAAAAGGAAGAATTAATGGGACTAAAAATTTAAAACAACAGATGTACTAAACGTGTGATTACTGCTGTGAATAAGACATATGGGGGAGTCCCACTCCCTGTGGTTGAGGGCTGTGGTGGAGGTCTGATTCCATCCCAGAGGAGCTGAGCCTCAAGCCGCCACTAGGAAAGGACCGCTGATTTCCCTCAGCGTGAAGGAGATAAGGAGCCATTGCTGTCTAAACATAGCTATCTAACCGCTTGTGGTTAACAGGAGACCCTGCTAAGAATTTGGGGTAATTCAGTTAAGAATGACTATTGGAATGTGCTGTGTGGTAAGGGAGAAAATCTACTTCCAACTGACTTGCCACGTGACTCTGATGGAATTCAAGGGCAGAGAGGAACCAACTCTTCTAGACTCCTCTGCCGATGGCAACATGGTGAAGTGAGCTGCACTCCAGAATCCAGGGTCACAACAGTTCCAGTTGTGCTTAAATGCTATCTCTTCCATTCTGGCCCCAGATTTTTTTTTCTGTCTCTCGACAGAGCTACATAGCTGAGTCATGACGCCTTGAGTGAGAAAACAGCGTCTTCAGACAGTGCCTGAGATAAGAAAAAAAGTGAAGTAGAGTCCCCAGAACAGTGGTGTGTATGTTGATATCACTGAGTTATGGACTATTTCCTTTTAGCCAGTTTCAAAAGATGACTTAGATGACTTTCTCCATATGCAATTAATTCCACATATAACTACAAGAAACTGCATATTTTAGAACAGTTGTGTCATCAGTATGAATGTTTAAACAATCTCTGTGGTCTCTTTCCCACAAACTGATTTAACATGTATATAAAGAGGCTTTGGAATGAGCACTTTACATTTGCTTCTCAAACTTCAGCGTCTGTTTTCAGTAAATATTGAAGATGAAACTTGCCTCATTCATGCCTGGAGCACTGGCCAGTTACAACAAAGGAATGCGGTTGCTGGGCTTCTCATGAATAAAATTCTCCAGTTGTGAACCTAGCCTTTCTCAGGCCATGTCAACAGCAAAACAACAGAATGGATGTGGAATAAAGCATTGGTGGTCAGTCTGTTGAGCTGGCTACAGATTATCCTAATTAATATCCCAATGGTGGGAGTAACACAGACCCACGTTCAAATTCTGCCTCTATCATTTATAGGTGGGGTGCCCATGTATTTGAGTTTGCCCAGGGTGGTTTCAGCTCACTCTTACTGCTCTGGTGTAATTATTGATAGCAATTCCTTCCTATTTCAGATGTGTCCCAGTGTGAGCTATAATACATATGCTCACCCTACTCATAGCAACACCCCGCTGACTTCTCTGTGTCCCTGCTTTTTACGGGTACAGGAGTATGTGTTGGGGTTCTATTCTAGAGGCCCATTTCATATGACAAAGTCATCAAAACTGATTATAAAATAACTTAATTAAAACAAACTACATATGTGGTATAACAATTTATTAAAATATTAAGGTATGGTTTTTCTCCTCACACATTTTTTTCCTTCTTCGCTGATTTTAAGCAGGAACCTGTTCCTTGTATGCTCCTTTGCCTCAGGGACTTTTTGCAGGATGGAAGGGGAAAGCCCCTGAAGTCCTCCGTGACTATTTTTGTCTTTTGTAAAAGCCTAAGACCCTTGAAGAGATAATGTTAAGTGCCCCAGACTCCAAAAAAGAGAGGCAAAGTCACTGGAGGGCAAAGCGAGGCAAGAGAAGCTCTTTTGCCTAATAGGATAGAGAAGGAAGGCTGAAGACCCCTCTAAGAAAGCGAGCAGAAGAGCTGCTAACTAAACCCATTAGTTTTAGGATCAGCTTTATAATTTGCAAGGCCCAGTGCAAAATGAAACTGTGGAAACTTTTGTCCAAATTTCAGGACTTCAATAGAAGAGCATTAAAACAAACTCAGGGTTTTTCTGAGCAGGGGACCCTGTGAGACTACCCATGTCACTTGTGAATAAAGCTATCCCTTCCCAGAGGAGATGGCTCCTCAGGGCATCTAGAGGGAGGCACTTTCCTCAAAGCCTTCTAACCACAAATTGGCACCACCAAAATTCTGGGCCCACTGTGGGCTTCACAGTGGGATGCCAGTGATACCTTGAAAAATTGGAGGTTAGAGCTCCTTCCTCAATTGTCCTTATCCCGAGCAAGCTTTCCAGGTAGTGGTATGGTTTTGGGAAGGAGAGGGGGCCCTCAAAAGGATGAGGTAGATGTTTTTGCCATCTTTTAAGGATGGAGGCTGAGAGTCAGAAAATTAAATTGATTTAAAGAAATGAGGAAATTGATATGTTTTGAACACTTCAGTTTGTAGACTAAAATTTATTCAACGTATGCTTTTATAAATATTTAAGCATATAAAACCAAATGTTTAATATAAGATCCACATTGTAAATATTCCTTTGAGAGTATTTTTCTGCATGGACTGGAATGGCTGAGCTTCTTAAAATATAAGTCCATGAAATGGAAGGAAAGATGCCTGCTTTTCCTTCACTACTGCAAGGACCCTTGATCTCCATTTAAAATTCAGATTGTCACAAACATTTTTCTTGTCCATTTCATGTGCAAAAATGCTCTAAGAGTCATTGAATGGTAGGTTCTGTGAGATGAGAAATTTCCACGGCTTTGGTAACTGATTATAAATTTGAGCATCTCATTTAGGAGGGAGTAAATGTTTTTTTTAAAAGTCACAATTCTCTGTAATAGTGTGATATTTGAGCAAGTTCCTTAACCTGCTATATAGCGTTCTTATCTGTAAAATGAGGATCATACCTCTTGGGTTGTTGTGAGGACTAATGAGGTGACATACACTCTACCTGGCATACTAAATGGTGGATCCAGGACCTGACTCTGCTATGTTAGTCATATAATGGGGACACAATTTCTAGTTCATGGTTACCTCAAGCTGCTGCTGCTGCTGCTGCTGCTTCTGCTGCTGCTGCTTCCTCTTCTTCTTCTTCTTCTTCTTCCTCTTCCTCTTCCTCTTCTTCTTCTTCCTCCTCCTCCTCCTCCCCCTCCTCCTCCTCCCCTCCTCCTCCTCCTCGTCCTCCTCCTCCTCCTTATTCTTCTTCTTCTTCTTCTTTGGTTGTAAATAAGAGAACCCCCAACCACCATGAAGTGCTGGAGGTTTTTTTTGTTGTTTTAACACTAAGGTAAATTGCCTTGTCTGCAAAAGGACAAGCTAACGCCAATCTCCTTAGATGCCCATGGACCATGGAACAGATTACTTCATGCTGCTGTCAACCACCCCTGGCCTTGGGCATATATTGAATCATTGGGGATTACAATCAAAAAGGACCAGAGAGATCATTGCCTTCACTGGTCTTTGAAGTGCATACCTGGGAAGGGCTCTGTGGAGGTGATTTAGGGACTTTGCAGGGAGCCCAAGGGGCCTCCTAGCATATGTGGTCCCAGACATCTACTTCCCACTTTGCCAGAGGAAACGCCAGAGGTATCTGTTTTATATATTGGCCATCTAAGTAAGGTTTTAACAAAAGGGCTCTGCAGCCATGAACATTTGAAAATCATGGATCTGATCCAACCTTGTAATTTTAGAGTTGATGACATTTCGAAGTAGAAGACTAAGTGTCTTAACCAATATCACACAGCTAGTTAGTGGCAGAGCCAGGAGTAACCGAAGGTCAACTCCCAGTCCTGAACAGTTTTCCATCTAGCAGACTGCCTTTTGCTGAAAGATGAAGCTAAAATCGCAGATGTTGCAGGGTCAAGATTAACACCTTACAAATCAGATGTACAAAAACAGTAGCTTATTTATTTTCTGTAACTGATTTAATCTTGCTCTGAAGCTCTCATTTCCACCAATGGTGGAAATAAACTTGCTAAGTTACAGTCTCTTCCAGGGTGGAAAAAAAGGGGAAGAGGGCTTCCTTCACTCAATTTGATGCTGAAACTCCCTATCAGAGTCTATTCTCTACTTTCTATAGATCTCCCCTTCCCTCCTTCTTCCCAAAACAGTGTGTAAGTAATGGAGAAATTATGGATCTGTTAGTCTCAATCTCCTTTCTCAATGAAAGGAGTCTCAATCCAGACCCCAAGACAGGGTTCCTGGACCTCAAGCAAGAGAGAATTCAGGGTGAGTCCATACAGTAAAGTGAAAGCAAGTTTATTAAGAAAGTAAAGGAACAAAAGAATGGCTACTCTATAGCCAGAGCAGTGGTATAAGCTGCTCAATTGAGTATACTTAGAGTTATTTCTTGATTATTTGATAAACAAGGGGTGGATTATTCATGAGTTTTCCAGGAAGGGGTCAGAGATTTCCCGAAACTGAGGGTCCCTCTCCTTTTTAGATTATGTAGGGTAAATTCCGAATGTTACCATGGCATTCGTAAACTGTCCTGGTGCTGGTGAGAGTGTCTTTTAGCAAGCTAGTGCATTATAGTTAACGTATAATGAGTAATGTAGATGACCAGAGGTCACTTTCATCACCATCTTGGTTTTAGTGGGATTTGGCCGGCTTCTTTACCACATCCTGTTTTATCAGCAGGGTCTTTGCGACCTGTGTCTTGTGCCAACCTCCTATCTCATCCTGTGACTAAGAATGCCTGACCTCCTGGGAATGCAGCCCAGTAGGTCTCAGCCTTATTTTACCCAGCCTCTATTCAAGATGGAGTCGCTCTGGTTCAAATGCCTCTGTCAGGTTCTCATGGAGGCAGGAGGAGGGCTGTATAAACTTGCAGGTTGTCTTTCTCTGCAGGTTGCTGCTGCTGTGCAGCTGAGGTACAATCCCTCTCGTTCTTTGGGCATCAGCCTCTGTTCTCCCTACATGTGCTGTGTAAGTGTCTGCAGCTGGTGTAGTTTGTGGTCTGTTCTCTCAGCATGGGCAATCTATGGTGATAGCTCCCATGAAGCTAGGCCATCTCTCCCTGGGAAAATTCTAACCAGGGTACTGGTGCCATGGGAAGGCCATCTTCAGAACAGAACTGGCTGCTGTTTAGGGAAGCTTCTCTTTATCAGGCACCTAAGCAACTGAAAATTAACTAGAATGCTATACATTCTTTCCTTAACGTTTTCTTGAAGTAGAAAATTAAAAGCAGACAAATAATTATTTTGAAAAGTAAGTCTTCTTGTTAAAGACAGCAGAGTAAAAACACTTATGCCATTCCCCTTTCTAAAAATCCAATGAAAACAATAAATGGAACAAAAATAGAAGGACAAAACATCTCCCTATCATGAATGAAGTGAGGAAACAGCTATAATCCCAAACCACAAACTCTGAAGTATACCTGCCAAATATTGTGAGCATGGATGGAGATAAGGGAGACCCTTAATGCTGACAAATGCCTCTTTGGATCTCAAACAGGATATATATTTCTCTAAAATTAAGTGAGGTAAGCTAGAAAAGTCAAGCCAATTGTTCCTTGATTAGAGAGAAGGGCTTGAAGGGCGTGAATAAGACCAGGGGAGAACAGAGACTGTCCTTAGACATATACTGAGTTTGAGATGCTACAGATTATTCAATTTCTCCTTTGTACTTTTCTGAATTTTTTGAGTTTTTTTATGAATACTTTTTGCTGAAACAGTAGTCATTTTAATAATCACTAAATGCTAAACAACCACCCCCACCCCCCACCAAAAAAAGTAACAACTGGTTTTGTTAACTGTGCAGAAGGGTTAAAGGATAATAGCTACATTGGAAATCTTAGAGAAGGATAGCCTTTATTATAAAACCCTAATAGGCTATAGAGTATAAAAAGATAAATCAGACCAGAGTCTGGAAGAAGGGGGAAGAATAAACTGAAGGCCAAATTGTTCTGCATTTAAATATGGGCTCAAGTAGTAGGACTTGGCTGAGTTTATTACTCTCAAGAGTCAAACAGAAAGAGAAGGAGTGAGGAAACCAAGAAACAGTGGGGGTCAGGCTGGGAGTAGAGGAAGTACTAGAACTTGGGTTGGCAGAGTTCATCTTTGTAGTTCAAGAAGTCTGAAGTTTTACAGTTATTTGCATCACCTGGATAGAAGACTTTCTTGGCTTGCAAAGCTTTCTGCCACATCCATAAAGATCTTGTTTTTATTTACTTGTTTGTTTTCTTTATTTCTTTATTTCATGAGGCTGAATAGAAATGAAGGAAACCAAAGGAATAAGACAGCACTTGTGGGTAGGAAATGATAACAGAAGTCTGAGCTCTGAATCAGAGCTAATTAGGGAAGCCATGAGCAACTCCCATCTTCACCCCCAACCCATCCTTTCCCTATTCCAGACTCCTTCCCTATACTGCAAAGGGGTTTGAGCCACTTGAATCTGCACTTCAGCTGACCTCTAGATTAACTGCACTATAAGCTTTAGGTTGGGAAGGGGAAGGACAGCGCCGTTTTGACTGAGTCCAGCTAAAGGTCATTGCAAGGAACAGAGAAGAAGAGGCAGTGCAGGGAGTTCAACATGGCTTCTGTTCACAGGTGACCACTCTCCAGGTGAGGCCACCTGTATCCTATCTACCCACCCACTCTCACCCTTTCTAGACCACTTCCTTTCTCCCAGTTCATCAATCACAAGTAAAAAAAAAAAAAAAAATCCAACATGTGAGAAAGAGGATAACACAATGATTCTTACTGGTATTTGGAGACCTCCAAGGTCTCAGTCCTTGCTAAGATACCTGAGCAATGTTTTAAGTCCAGAACACATTCCTTCTCATTTTGAGGTCTTTGTTCTTCTGACAAATCTTCTGTCTTAAATAGTAACGGTAATGCTAATTGTTAAAAAAAACTATTGCTACTAAAAGCCCAAAGCTCAAAGACAAGCTATCTCCCAACACCCACTCCCCATTATGCAAATGTAAAGAAGAAACGGGATAACCAAGAATTTTTTTTAAACTTTCAGTTTAAAACATAGAAGAATGGGAAACACTCAACAGTTGTGAATGAGTAGCAAATAGCAAACCTTGGTGTATAGGGATAGCAATGAGACTTACTTGGTTGGTGATTCTAGAAGCTGCTCTCTGGGATGATCTCCTTGTTAATGATCCCCTATGGATTCATCTTTGATGGGCAATAAAGAATTGCTTTCTTGAGGGACGCACAGCTTCCTCAGACCTCTTCATGCTACTGCAGGTCTAGAGGCCTGGAATTTGTTTTAAAAATAAAAATTATACACTGTTTTCAGGCAGGCTTGAGGTGTCTTTGACAATGTGGTTTCCTAAAAATCTTAGTTGGCTTCTGTTCTATTTGCTTCCTATCAATTGCATATGTGTGTAGACACAGCCAAAGATGCTGTGTCCACAGTCTTTAAACCTGAAGATCCTTCCCCCTTTACTTCCAACATCACTGATCTATCCTTTTCTAGTTCTTCTTCAATGGCTACTTCTTTGAGACAATTTGAAATCATAGCTTCTCATGGGAAACACTCCCCTGAATCTGAACTTTTTTAATGGGTCCAAGGTGTCTTGCAGATAATCCTTAAATAATGGGAGAGGGCCCAGTGGGCATGCCTTACAAAATGATAGTAATAATAATAATGATAATAATAATGGGAGAAGGACTTAGGGTCTTTCTGGCTAAGGTTGCTACTTTGAAGTCACTATTTCTGCTTCTTTGGTGCAGATAAAGAAGCAGTTGGCCTTGTCAGTGTTTCAGTGCTCCATGTCATGGAGCTTCTCTCCATATTGGGTTGTGGCCACAGTCAAATAACACCTGCCTTGGGAAGGTAGTATTGGCAAGTTGTACCATATATAGTACTTTGTACATAACAAAATACATTTTGCCTTCTGTCTTCCTGCCTGCATTGAGCCCAATTCTGCATTTTTGATTCTTATAGATTTTAGATTGACCCTACTTTCATGGATGAAATTAATTAGTCTCTTTTCTTTCTTCCTTTTTTTCCCCTTTAGTTGCAAACTATAGAAACCATTTGGGCTGGTTTGAGCATAAAAGGAAATTACTGGGAGTTATTAGGTGCTCGGTGATTCATTGGGAGGTCTGGCAAAAAAGAAGCTCAAGGCTAAGCTCATAGGAACACAGCCCGGCATCTCACACAGAAGTGGCTTGATGAGGATTCTACTGCCTCCACAGCTCCTGCCATCATCTTCATCTGCACCATAGATGCTCAGAACCCAGTCTGTGTCTGCATGTTGCTGACTTCCAAATGAGAGCTTCATGAGAGTGTATTTGGTTGGTAGAACATAGGTCCCAGACCTTCTCCCTGGGAGCTGGAAGAGATGCTGGGAAATTCTGCCCTGGAAAAATAAAACTCACAATGTGGGAAACAAAGAAAATGTACAGCAGGGGTTTAACAGAATGACAGGTATCTGCTAAAGAAAATATTGATTTTTTTTAAAAAAAAAAAAGACAATTTTCCCTTTAGAGCCCCAGAAAGATTCAGGCCTTAGAGGCACTAAGTACTATAGAAAATGAGGCTGAAGCATGGGGCTGAAACTTGGTTTGGTTGAAGGTCTCTGGAAGGCAGAGCAGTTTAACCTCTAGGTTCCCTCATCCACCCCCATACAGCCAGACAATTATCCCTCCACCCTTCTGTTCTCCTCCCCTCTTCCCTTAGAAAACTTGAAGTTTATTCTCTAGAGAAGTTCCAGGCTCAGTGACACCAGGCCAAGGTGCTGGACTGAAAACAATTAGATTAAGTTAAAATCTGCTTGATAAGTGTACAAGTAATCTATTTTCAAAACCTAAGAGATGTTGTCAGCTATCTCTAACTATATGCCAGCAGTAGGCCTTCTAGGAAACTGTACTATGATTCCAGGAAACTCGATTGTGGGCTGGGGAAGGACAATAAAGTGGATTGTATGATCATCTGCTTCTGTTACTGGAAAGGGATCCTGATCCAGACCCCAAGAGAGGGTTCTTGGATCTTGTGCAAGAAAGAATTCAGGAGTCCATAAAGTGAAAGCAAGTTTATCAGAGAAGTAAAGAAACAAAAGGATGGCTACCCCATAGACAGAGAGCCCTGAGGGCTGCTGGTTGGACATTTTTATGGTTATTTCTTGATCATATGCTAAACAAGGGGTAGATTATTCATAAGTTTTCTGGGAAAGGGGAGGTTCCCAAAACTGAGGGTTCCTCCCCTTTTTAGACCATATAAGGTAACTTGGGTGTTGCCATGGCATTTGTAAACTGTCATGGCACTGCTGAGAGTGTCTATTAGCCTGCTAATGCATTATAATTAACGTACAATGAGCAGTGAGGATGACCAGAGGTCACTTTCATCACCATCTTGGTTTTGGCCGGCTTCTTTATGGCATCCTGTTTTATCACCAGGGTCTTTATGACCCGTATCTTGTGATATCAATCCTGCCGACCTCCTATCTCATCCTGTGGCTAAGAATGTCTAACCTCCTGGGAATGCTGCCCAGCAGGTCTCATTCTCATTTTACCGAGCCCCTACTCAAGATGGAGTCGCTCTGGTTTGAACGCCTCTGACACTTCCACTCTCAAGGAATGGTGTTTTTATTCTCTTCTCCCCAGAATGTACTTCTGGTCTGTCCCGCTGTTCCATTCCACAGCATTTTAGGAGGTTCTCAAGAGTGTCCTAAACAAGCAGAGAAGAATGGTGAGACTTACCCATTCCTAGTTTAAGAAATGAGTGAAATGGGGTCTGAGTTATATCACAGGTGAGCTAGACATCCTCGAAATAAAGAGCCAGAGTATCAGGCAAACCTTCTAATAGCTAAAATGAGCGTACTTCTATTCCTAGCTACAGTTTAGACTCCTGTGGTACAGTTGGCTTTCCCAGGCTCCCGGCGTCCATGCTGTCTCGGCGCTATCTCGCAGCCTGACGCCACGCGCCATCTGCTGGCCTTGAGCTGCATAGCTCTAGAGTAACTTCAGAGGCCACGGGGGAACAAAGAGCACTCGCCTACTTGACTGAGCTCCGACAGGCCGTCCCTCTGCTTCAGGTGTAGGCGTGAACAAGTCCAGACCACTACCTTAACAGGTATGAGGAAAATGAAGACTCTCCTATTTTGGCACGTATCTCAAAATTGTCATCATTCACTTAAAGTGCATAACCACAGAGACCTTCCTACTTATTTTCTCTGGTGTTTTGAAGTTTTGTCATGGGAAGAAAATAGCGCTTCTAGAAACATGAACTAGACTAATTACTAATGGATTCTTTCTCTTACATTTTGTACAGTGGAATAAGGGCTATTAATTCATTAAGCAGTTGGCTTGGAACCTTCTCTGACGACTCTTTGCAAAGAGAGAGAGGTCTAGAAGACTTGTGGGAAGGGAGGAAGTGGTGGTACCTGATATTTTCCAATTTTCCGCAGGTCACTGATGGGAACTTTGACCAGCATCCTTGTTCCTCCCTCAACTTATGGTCACCCTAAAAAAGCTAAGGCATAGATTTCAAATTCTGGAGCCAGTTTTTGTATTTAGGTCTCCAAGTACAGAGAGAAACTGGCAGACAGGGGTGGAGAAGTATTGAGAACGAATTCGGACACCCTGAAAGCGGAGTTCTAGATCCAGTGTTGCCAGCAACGAGCCAAGAGACCTTTCTTCACAAGTTGATTTACCTTTCCATGTTTCAGTTTTCTCATAATTCCTGCCCTTATTCCCTTCTCACCACCCCTGATCCCCTCCCCTTTCCTGATTGGGTAACAGGACAGGAAGCAGCAGAGCATTCTATGAAGCTTCCTCCTCAACGTCCTAGAGTAGCGGGTCTCAGTCTTCACTACACAGTCAAGTCCCATGGTGCATTTTTCAAACTTGCATACCTGGCCCTTCCTGTGCTGAATTCTGGTCTGCCCATAATTTGCTCCCTCCTTTCTCACTGTTTTCCTTTCTCCCTTCCTTGTTTTCTTTCCTATCCCTTGCTGTCTCTGTTAGAACTTCTTTTTCCTGGTATCTAGCCAATCTCTTAACCCTGTTTTACTTTACTGTCCTAAGATGCTGTCTTCTCATGCCTACATGTACTTTCTTTAAAAAAAAAACTGTTTAAAAAACATTGTGTGGGAGGAGCCAAGATGGCCAAATAGGAACAGCTCCAGCCTACAGCTCCCAGCGTGAGCGATGCAGAAGATGGGTGATTTCTGCATTTCCATCTGAGGTACCAGGTTCATCTCACTAGGGAGTGCCAGACAGTGGGCACAGGTCAGTGGGTGCACGCACCATGCGCGAGCCGAAGCAGGGCGAGGCTTTGCCTCTCTCAGGAAGCCCAAGGGGTCAGGGAGTTCCCTTTCCTAGTCAAAGAAAGTGGTGACAGACGGCACCTGGAAAATCGGGTCACTCCCGAATACTGCGCTTTTCCAACGGGCTTAAAAACTGGCGCACCGGGCCGGGCGCGGTGGCTCACGCCTGTAATCCCAGCACTTTGGGAGGCCGAGGCGGGCGGATCACGAGGTCAGGAGATCGAGACCATCCCGGCTAAAATGGTGAAACCCCGTCTCTACTAAAAATACAAAAAATTAGCCGGGCGTAGTGGCGGGCGCCTGTAGTCCCAGCTACTTGGGAGGCTGAGGCAGGAGAATGGCGTGAACCTGGGAGGCAGAGCTTGCAGTGAGCCGAGATCCCGCCACTGCACTCCAGCCTGGGCGACAGAGCGAGACTCCATCTCAAAAAAAAAAAAAAACAAACAACAAAAAAAAAAAAACGGCGCACCAGGAGATTATATCCTGCATCTGGCTCAGAGGGTCCTACGCCCACGGAGTCTCACTGATTGCTAGCACAGCAGTCTGAGATCAAACTGCAAGGTGGCAGCGAGGCTGGGGGAGGGGCACCCACCATTGCCCAGGCTTGCTTAGGTAAACAAAGCAGCCTGGAAGCTCGAACTGGGTGGAGCCCACCACAGCTCAAGGAGGCCTGCCTGCCTCTGTAGGCTCCACCTCTGGGGGCAGGGCACAGACAAACAAAAAGCAGTAACCTCTGCAGACTTAAATGTCCCTGTCTGACAGCTTTGAAGAGAGCAGTGGTTCTCCCAGCACAGGCAGACTGCCTCCTCAAGTGGGTCCCTGACCCCTGACCCCCGAGCAGCCTAACTGGGAGGCACCCCCCAGCAGGGGCAGACTGACACCTCACCCGGCTGGGTACTCCAACAGACCTGCAGCTGAGGGTCCTGTCTGTTAGAAGGAAAACTAACAAACAGAAAGGACATCCACACCAAAAACCCATCTGTACATCACCATCATCAAAGACCAAAAGTAGATAAAACCACAAAGATGGGGAAAAAACAGAGCAGAAAAACTGGAAACTCTAAAAAGCAGAGCACCTCTCCTCCTCCAAAGGAACGCAGTTCCTCACCAGCAATGGAACAAAGCTGGATGGAGAATGACTTTGACGAGCTGAGAGAAGAAGGCTTCAGACAATCAAATTACTCCGAGCTACGGGAGGACATTCAAACCAAAGGCAAAGAAGTTGAACATTTTGAAAAAAATTTAGAAGAATGTATAACTACAATAAACAATACAGAGAAGTGCTTAAAGGAGCTGATGGAGCTGAAAACCAAGGCTCGAGAACTATGTGAAGAATGCAGAAGCCTCAGGAGCTGATGTGATCAACTGGAAGAAAGGGTATCAGCGATGGAAGATGAAATGAATGAAATGAAGTGAGAAGGGAAGTTTAGAGAAAAAAGAATAAAAAGGAAGAAGCAAAGCCTCCAAGAAATATGGGACTATGTGAAAAGACCAAATCTACGTCTGATTGGTGTACCTGAAAGTGACAGGGAGAATGGAACCAAGTTGGAAAACACTCTGCAGGATATTATCCAGGAGAACTTCCCCAATCTAGCAAGGCAGGCCAACATTCAGATTCAGGAAATACAGAGAATGCCACAAAGATACTCCTTGAGAAGAGCAACACCAAGACACATAATTGTCAGATTCACCAAAGTTGAAATGAAGGAAAAAATGTTAAGGGCAGCCAGAGAGAAAGGTCGGGTTACCCTCAAAGGGAAGCCCATCAGACTAACAGCGGATCTCTCAGCAGAAACTCTACAAGCCAGAAGAGAGTGGGGGCCAATATTCAACATTCTTAAAGAAAAGAATTTTCAACCCAGAATTCCATATCCAGCCAAACTAAGCTTCATAAGTGAAGGAGAAATAAAATCCTTTACAGACAAGCAAATGCTGAGAGATTTTGTCACCACCAGGCCTGCCCTAAAAGAGCTCCTGAAGGAAGCACTAAATATGGAAAGGAAAAACCGGTACCAGCCGCTGCAAAATCATGCCAAAATGTAAAGACCATCGAGACTAGGAAGAAACTGCATCAACTAACGAGCAAACTAACCAGCTAACATCATAATGACAGGATCAAATTCACACATAACAATATTAACTTTAAATGTAAATGGACCGAATGCTCCAATTAAAAGACACAGACTGGCAAATTGGATAAAGAGTCAAGACCCATCAGTGTGCTGTATTCAGGAAACCCATCTCACGGGCAGAGACACACATAGGCTCAAAATAAAAGGATGGAGGAAGATCTACCAAGCAAATGGAAAACAAAAAAAGGCAAGGGTTGCAATCCTAGTCTCTGATAAAACAGACTTTAAACCAACAAAGATCAAAAGAGACAAAGAAGGCCATTACTTAATGGTAAAGGGATCAATTCAACAAGAAGAGCTAACTATCCTAAATATATATGCACCCAATACAGGAGCACCCAGATTCATAAAGCAAGTCCTGAGTGACCTACAAAGAGACTTAGACTCCCACACATTAATAATGGGAGACTTTAACACCCCACTGTCAACATTAGACAAATCAACGAGACAGAAAGTCAACAAGGATACCCAGGAATTGAACTCAGCTCTGCACCAAGCGGACCTAATACACATCTACAGAACTCTCCACCCCAAATCAACAGAATAAACATTTTTTTCAGCACCACACCACACCTATTCCAAAATTGACCACATAGTTGGAAGTAAAGCTCTCCTCAGCAAATGTAAAAGAACAGAAATTATAACAAACTATCTCTCAGACCACAGTGCAATCAAACTAGAACTCAGGATTAAGAATCTCACTCAAAACCGCTCAACTACATGGAAACTGAACAACCTGCTCCTGAATGACTACTGGATACATAACGAAATGAAGGCAGAAATAAAGATGTTCTTTGAAGCCAATGAGAACAAAGACACAACATACCAGAATCTCTGGGACACATTCAAAGCAGTGTGTAGAGGGAAATTTATAGCACTAAATGCCCACAAGAGAAAGCAGGAAAGATCCAAAATTGACACCCTAACATCACAATTAAAAGAACTAGAAAAGCAAGAGCAAACACATTCAAAAGCTAGCAGAAGGCAAGAAATAACTAAAATCAGAGCAGAACTGAAGGAAATAGAGACACAAAAAACCCTTCAAAAAATTAATGAATCCAGGAGCTGGTTTTTTGAAAGGATCAACAAAATTGATCCTTTGCTAGCAAGACTAGCAAAGAAAAAAAGAGAGAAGAATCAAATAGACACAATAAAAAATGATAAAGGGGATATCACCACCGATCCCACAGAAATACAAACTACCATCAGAGAATACTACAAACACCTCTATGCAAATAAACTAGAAAATCTAGAAGAAATGGATAAATTCCTCGACACATACACTCTCCCAAGACTAAACCAGGAAGAAGTTGAATCTCTGAATAGACCAATAACAGGAGCTGAAATTGTGGCAATAATCAATAGCTTACCAACAAAAAAGAGTCCAGGACCAGATGGATTCACAGCCGAATTCTACCACAGGTACAAGGAGGAACTGGTACCATTCCTTCTGAAACTATTCCAATCAATAGAAAAAGAGGGAATCCTCCCTAACTCATTTTATAAGGCCAGCATCATCCTGATACCAAAGCCTGGCAGAGACACAACAAAAAAGGAGAATTTTAGACAAATATCCTTGATGAAATTGATGCAAAAATCCTCAATAAAATACTGGCAAACCAAATCCAGCAGCACATCAAAAAGCTTATCCACCATGATCAAGTGGGCTTCATCCCTGAGATGCAAGGCTGGTTCAATATATGCAAATCAATAAATGTAATCCAGCATATAAACAGAACCAAAGACAAAAACCACATGATTATCTCAATAGATGCAGAAAAGGCCTTTGACAAAATTCAATGGCCCTTCATGCTAAAAACTCTCAATAAATTAGGTATTGATGGGACATATCTCAAAATAATAAGAGCTATCTATGACAAACCCACAGCCAATATCATACTGAATGGGCAAAAACTGGAAGCATTCCCTTTGAAAACTGGCACAAGACAGGGATGCCCTCTCTCACCACTCCTATTCAACATAGTATTGGAAGTTCTGGCCAGGGCAATCAGACAGGAGAAGGAAATAAAGGGTATTCAATTAGGAAAAGATGAAGTCAAATTGTCCCTGTTTGCAGACGACATGATTGTATATCTAGAAAACCCCATTGTCTCAGCCCAAAATCTCCTTAAGCTGATAGGCAACTTCAGCAAAGTCTCAGGATACAAAATCAATGTACAAAAATCACAAACATTCTTATACACCAATAACAGACAAACAGAGAGCCAAATCATGAGTGAACTCCCATTCACAATTGCTTCAAAGAGAATAAAATACCTAGGAATCCAACTTACAAGGGATGTGAAGGACCTCTTCAAGGAGAACTACAAACCACTGCTCAGTGAAATAAAAGAGGATACAAACAAATGGAAGAACATTCCATGCTCATGGGTAGGAAGAATCAATATCGTGAAAATGGCCATACTGCCCAAGGTAATTTACAGATTCAATGCCATCCCCATCAAGCTACCAATGACTTTCTTCACAGAATTGGAAAAAACTACTTTAAAGTTCATATGGAACCAAAAAAGAGCCCGCATCGCCAAGTCAATCCTAAGCCAAAAGAACAAAGCTGGAGGCATCACACTACCTGACTTCAAACTATACTACAAGGCTACAGTAACCAAAACAGCATGGTACTGGTACCAAAACAGAGATATAGATCAATGGAACAGAACAGAGCCCTCAGAAATAACGCCGCATATCTACAACTATCTGATCTTTGACAAACCTGAGAAAAACAAGCAATGGGGAAAGGATTCCCTATTTAATAAATGGTGCTGGGAAAACTGGCTAGCCATATGTAGAAAGCTGAAACTGGATCCCTTCCTTACACCTTATACAAAAATCCATTCAAGATGGATTAAAGACTTAAACGTTAGACCTAAAACCATAAAAACCCTAGAAGAAAACCTAGGCATTACCATTCAGGACATAGGCATGGGCAAGGACTTCATGTCTAAAACACCAAAAGCAATGGCAACAAAAGCCAAAATTGACAAATGGGATCTCATTAAACTAAAGAGCTTCTGCACAGCAAAAGAAACTACCATCAGAGTGAACAGGCAACCTACAAAATGGGAAAAAATTTTCGCAACCTACTCATCTGACAAAGGGCTAATTAATATCCAGAATCTACAAAGAACTAAAACAAATTTACAAGAAAAAAACAAACAAACCCATCAAAAAGTGGGCAAAGGACATGAACAGACACTTCTCAAAAGAAGTCATTTATACAGCCAAAAAACACATGAAAAAATGCTCACCATCACTGGTCATCAGAGAAATGCAAATCAAAACCACAATGAGATACCATTTCACACCAGTTAGAATGGCAATCATTCAAAAGTCAGGAAACAACAGGTGCTGGAGAGGATGTGGAGAAATAGGAACACTTTTAACACTGTTGGTGGGACTGTAAACTAGTTCAACCATTGTGGAAGTCAGTGTGGCGATTCCTCAGGGATCTAGGACTAGAAATACCATTTGACCCAGCCATCCCATTACTGGGTATATACCCAAAGGACTATAAGTCATGCTGCTATAAAGACACATGCACACGTATGTTTATTGTGGCATTATTCACAGTAGCAAAGACTTGGAACCAACCCAAATGTCCAACAATGATAGACTGGATTAAGAAAATGTGGCACATATACACCATGGAATACTATGCAGCCATAAAAAATGATGAGTTCATGTCCTTTGTAGGGACATGGATGAAATTGGAAATCATCATTCTCAGTAAACTATCGCAAGAACAAAAAACCAAACACCGCATATTCTCACTCATAGGTGGGAATTGAACAATGAGAACACATGGACACAGGAAGGGGAACATCACACTCTGGGGACTGTTGTAGGGTGGGGGGAGCGGGGAGGGATAGCATTGGGAGATATACCTAATGCTAGATGACGAGTTAGTGGGTGCATCACACCAACATGGCACGTGTATACATATGTAACTAACCTGCACGTTGTGCACATGTACCCTAAAACTTAAAGTATAAAAAAAAAATTGTGTGTATGACTGGCTGGGCTCACTGAAAAAATGTTGGAATATATTGTAAAGCACATAATGAAGATGATGATGATGACGATGATGAGCTATGGTTTACAGAGCACTCTCTTTTTGCCAGGCAATGTTGAAAGTCACTTCACGTGTATTCATTCATATAACACCCTGCCAACTCCATGAGGTAGAGACTATTATTATTTCTATCTTGCAGGTAATGAAATGGAGGCACAGAGATGTAACATAAAAATGAAAGCTAAAAATTACCCATAATGCCATGCTGAGAATTCAAACCCACCTAGCATCCCTATTTCTAAATGAATGGTATGACTCTTCCTTCATGCATACATTTATTCATTCAAAAACCACTTATGCCACAACTCTACATTGCCCTGGGGCCAGTTGTGGGGATCAAAGGACCCTTTCCAATAACTGCATTTGAAATGTGGCCTTTTGTCACTGAAGGCAGAAGGAACATCTGGTCAGTGGAAGGAGAACTTTGGCTGACCCTGATATGCATCTCTATAGGTGAAGATAAAATTCACCACTATCCTACATCCTTACTTCCATATCCAGCCATATGACAAAAATTCAAAAAAGGACTCAAGGTCTTGCCAAGAATGGGCTGTCCAGTGATGGCAGCAACCATAACACACACACACACACACACACACACACACACACACTGCATGTTTAATATCATGGAAAAATGCTTATGATGTATTAAAGGAGAAAAGAAGTCAACAAGACAGAAGGTGCAGTGTGACAGCAAACATTATAAAAAAGCCCAGGATCGGTGGGTGGGGAAGTGCAGGGGCAAATGCACCAAAAAATAATTTAAAAAAAAATGAGTGATTCTGCCTAAAGAAAGCTGATAGATTTTCTTTTTTGAAAAAATTACCTAAATTTCTGCAATGAAGATGCATTACTCATATGTTTAGGAAAAAATATTTAATCATGTTATATTGTTAAAAAAAAGTTGCACAAATTGTTTAGGAGTTAATGTCAACAAATTATATTCATGTGAAATTCAGAGTTTCTGATTATATTTTAAAAGGGAAGAAAACTAATATTTATTGGCTAAGCATTTTCCTTTTTTTTTTTTTTTTTTTGAGACAGAGTCTCACTCAGTCACCCAGGCTGGAATACAGTGGCATGATCTTGGCTCACTGCAACCTCCACCTCCTGGGCTCAAGTGATTCTTCTGCCTCAGCCTCCCGAGTAAGTGGGATTACAGGCACTCACCACTATGCCCAACTAATTTTTTTATATTAAATATTTTTACTAGAGACAGGGTTTCCCCATGTTGGCCAGGCTGGTCTCGAAATCCTGACTTCAAGTGATCTGACCACCTGGCCTCCTAAAGTGCTGGAATTACAGGAGTGAGCCACCCCACCCAGCCTGACTAAACATTTTCTCCTACATTATTTTATGCAAGTTTCAGGGCAATCTTGTTCAATTGTTTTGGGGACAGTAAGTAATGTACCCAAGGTCACTCAGCTGAAAAGGGTCAGAATGCCCAATTCCAGTCAACTCCCAAACTCAGACTCTGTTATCCAGGCCAATGGTGTTTCCCCATTTTATTTTTTAATCTGAGCATAATATACTTTCATCTGTAGCAGTGGCTTTTTTTAAGTAATGTTGGAGGCTAAGGGGTGGGGAGGGAGGCAGGAGGTGCATATCAGGGTCAGCCAAAGGCCCCCAGGTGATCCAGATATGCTCTTACTCTGCCCCCAGCCTCTCTAAGAGTGTAGTATTATCATCAGAGTACTGATGGCCTGCAAATTTGACAACTTGATTTCCAGGGTACTGGCAATGCCCATCATGCCAGCAAAATACCTCCCCAGAGACACTCTTTGGCTCAAGGTTCTTTGTGCAAATGTCTATGAACATAAAAATGCCTTAAACCACATCACTCCTGAATATAAATAAGTTTGTCAACTTATCTCCCAAGTAGTGAAAGAGAATGACTATTGAACATCCAGAGGAAGATAGATACTGTGAAACGCAAGAAGGACATTGAAAAGCTACTAGAATCTACACGTCCTTCTTCACGGTCCTGCCAATGGCTGGACTTGATTATAATATTTAGGTTTCGATGTTTATATCCTGTCAAGGGAAAGTAGAATATCACATTCTATCAAGTCACTTGAAAAGAACCACTGATTTACAACTCCAAGGCACTAACAGAGTGTTTGATTTAAAGGAGTGTGTCTATGTAACTGGAATAAACACACCACACTCCAGAAAGTCTACAGATAGCTTCTCTCTGAGTAAATGGCAGAGAAGAACTAAGACATGTTTATATTCCTTCCCTTCCCTAAGGGTTATCAGGACCTTTTTCATCACCTTGGATGGAGAACAAATGATCAAAAGATGGATGACCCCACGTCCCTTCCATATCTCCTTCTTGGTATGCCAAAAGGCTTTCCAGCAACACAGGGCAAGCTAATTATTTTCTTCTAATCAATCAGCTATTTTAATGATGTGTGACACTCCAGATCTATCAGTACCATTAAGATAATGTCTGTTCTGTTAGGCAGCAGCTAGTTTATAGACAACTCACTAGCCAACCTGGACCTTTAAAAACTTTAAACTCATGTTCATCTGAGTATGTACTCCAAGGCCTCAAAGGAAAATCAGGCCCGGAGGCAGCATCTGTGTGGCCGTGACTCAAGGATTATTACTAAATGCAGGACTGCTCCAAAGGCCTCCCTCAGGATTTGAAGTTCCCACTGGTTCCACTGAATTTTTTCTTGACCTTCAGGAGAAGTAGCTGTTATTGTTATTATTTTTTAAATTTGTCCCTGAGCATTGGGTAGGCGTTGCCTTCCATTCCACAGGACCTCAGAAACTGTTGTCCGAACAGCTGCTTTTCAGCAGCTTGCAAAGAGATAGAAAGATCTGGAATGTTGCTGGGGTGTCCCAGTCCTCTCCTTGGGGAGAGGGATGAAATGGACAGGAGAACATGAGGGTCCTTGGGAGGCAGGTCAAGAGAGAGAATGTTAAAAAAAAGTTGAGAAGTCTGGCAGAAATGTGGACCTAAGTTAATTAAAAGACATTCAGTTTTGATGCTCACATTGCCTTCGAAGATGTAGAGCTTTCCTCTCAGACTCTCTGTACCTGGCAGGGAACAGTGCCTCATTTTCAAGGGCCCGAGTTCCCGACCATGAGCTAAACAGAATCCAATGGTGGCCACTGCGGGGAAGGAAACGTGGTGAGAAAGGGCCTGACAGGCTGTGGGCTGCTGCTGCTCCTCCTTCTTCTCCTCCTCACTTTCTCTGCTGCTTGGGCGCCTCTAGCTGCCCCACGCAATCAACTGGCAAGCTCACAGGTCTCTGTCTTACTGGCTGACAGTGACCCTGAACAGATGTTTCACCTGAAGCCTTTACATCCCTCTCCCATTAGGCAGTAACTGTACTAGGGCCATAGGGAGAGGGGCGCTGGTCTGCTTGGCCACTGCTGGAAGCAGCTTTTGTTCTGGATGGTTTCAGCTTGAAAATCTGCCTGAAGAGTGCTTTCCTTTCAAAGGATGGGGAAATCCTATTTTGGCCGGGGCACAAGCTGCCTTCACTTCTGAGTGGGGCAGGTGGCGGGGAGGGAGCATCCCATGCTTCCTGTTCACAGACCATCCTTTGTTCAGCAGGAGGAACCAAGGGCAGGCATCGCCACCAAGGAGTGGCCAGCTTTCCCTGGCCCTTCTCTATGACATGTATAAAATCTGTAGGCTCCCTACGCATGTGTATATCATGTGAATATCATGTTCTGCACTAGGGCTGAAAATGGAAAGAGGAATGAGATAAGCTTTTTGTCCTCAGAGAGTTCACAATGAAAGGGAAGGAGTACAGGAAGATACACACATAATTACAAAACAGAGGTCTATGTGATAGTGTGAAGACACAAAAGAGAGAATATAAGAGAAGACTTCACAGAAGGAGAAAGTGTGGTGTTGGTTCTGGAAGCAGAATCAGTAGGAATTTGGAGATCAGCCAAGGGGAAAAGGCAGCCCAGATAGAAGCAACTGCATGTGGAAAAGCAGGGAGGTGTGGGGAAGTTATGCCCTATGCAATCATCCCTGCTTTCTGTAAGAAAAATTAAGGAGAAAGTCAAACTTGTATTTATTCCTTTAATATTTTTTTACATCATCTTAAATTTCAAGTGCAAGGGTGTGGTGAGTAACCATAGATTTACCCTACCTGGATCTTGCAGTTTATTCCAAGAGACAGACAAACAAATAAACAGGTGCATGCATTACAACCCGGGACAGGTGCTTTGAAGTAGGCAACCAGAGTTCTGTAATAGAGAACAGAGGAGGGTTTGCCCCAGTCAGGATGCTAGCGAGGCCTCTTGGAGTTGAGGGGAAGGATCAGCTATGGAAGAGCCTTTCTGTCTAAAGAAACAGCCCCTATGCTATGGTCCTGAGGCAGAAAGAAGCTTGGAAAGTTTGGGGGGATAAGAAAAGGCCAGTGTGGTTGGAGGTATAGAGTAAGAGGTTACATATAGGAGATATCTTTGATGAGATGTTAGGGACCAGATCATGAAGGGACTTCTAGGTCAAGGCAAAGGGTCTGGGGTTTCTTCCAAGTGCAAAGAGAAGATGTGGAATAGTTTTAAACAGGAAAGAGACATAATCTGAATTTATCTGAAAAAATGAAAACTGCTGGCTTTTGTATGGAGAATGCATTTGAGGAAATCTAGAGAAAAAAATTAGATCAATAAAGAGGACTTTGCCCGTATCCTAGGTAAGAGCTGATGGTGGCTCCACCAATGGTAGCAGCAATGGAAATGTATGAAATGAATGGGTTTATGATATTAATTTGTCATTCCGGTTCTGTTTCTGGTGTCACAATACTTTCTGTTTTTTGGATGTCATAATTTAAGCACCTCAGAGAGTAACACATCACTCATCTTTATTCTTCTACAGTAACAAGTACTTGACACATGTCCTTGGTCTAGAAAGGATGGAGGAGCCACAGACAGCTGAGGTGCAGGCTCCAGCTCAATGGCCTGTCATTACAAGAGGCTCTTGGAGTTTCTGATCTTCTTCGCCTCTCTCTATGCCCAACCCTGTCTAGAGTGCACCTCAGCATGATTTTAGAAAACAGCATGGAGAAAGAGAAGTTGAGGCCAGTCTTTCTCCTCCGATCACCAAGTATCTATTAAAAGCCATTCCCTCCATAGAGCCTTTTCTTGCTTCCTGAGATCTCATAGAGGATGCTCCTGGGACCAACCTGCTCCAGGCATTTCTGCAGGTGGTCAGTGCTGGGCTGTTACATTGTCTTCTCTCCATCCTTGACCTTGAAGCCTTTCAGATTATCCTCCAAGCACTGCTCCAAAAGCCCAAGAGTGCATACCAAAGGGGATCAAAAACACTCAGGGTGGTTTATAATTTATAATCTAGCTCCTTCCAAAACTCTCGAGGGAAGCCTTAGCCATCCTCAGGTTCCTAACTCACTCCTAAGAAAGTCTCCACACAACCTCCCCTTTTGATAAATATGACGATTTAATTTATGTCATGTTCTCTTTGATCCAACTTCATTAATCTTTCATTACACTTTGCAATGAATGGAAGACAATTGTGCGTGTGTGTGTGTGTGATCTTCAGTATATAGAAAACATTAGCATTTATAAAGCACTTTCCCATGCATTTTCTCATTTAGTCCTTGCTACAACCCCATTTTACGGGTGAAAAAATGACTCTCAGAGAGACAAAGTTATTTGGTTATCAGCATACAACTTATAAATTCCAAGAAAGTAGAGGCTGTGTCTGCATTGTTCTTCATTATATCTCCAGAGTCTGGCACAGTGTCTGACACATAGTAGACATTTGATAAGTATTTGTTGAGATAATTAACAAATGAATTAATGATGCCTTGACACAGCTGGGATTAAAATTCTAAATTCTAACCTCTGTATCCACCATGTATTGATTCCCTCTGATAAAACAGTGGGTCTACCTACAGAAATCAGAATAAATGAATTATTCAACTCTGTCTTGTTGTTTAGAAACATTTTTATGTTACACACATCAAAGCCATACCATGTATTAGTAACTCTACCCATTTAGTAATTTGTAGATTGAATGAGGCCAGGCAGAGAGGAATTCCCAGCCTGTGGGTGTCTGACTGTGCTCTGGCTTCAAGTCCCTTTGTGGCACGACACATCCCTTCTCCCAACTCCAGCCCAAAAAATATGCATGTGTGCTCACATAGTTTTCAACACCATTTTATGCAGTGCACAGTCAGACTCCCTGCTCAAGTTCAAGATTGTCTTTGGGGGCTTTTTTGCCAAAAGTAGTGTTTTAATGCATAGTAAGGGGCCAGGTTCAGTGGTTTATGCCTATAATCCCAGGGCTTTGGGAGGCCAAGGTGGGAAGATTGCTTGAGCCCAGGAGTTTGAGACCAGCCTGGGCAATATAGTGAGACCTGTCTCTACAAAAAATAAAAAAAAATAGCTGGGCATGGTGATGTACACCTACAGTCCTAGCTCCTTGGGAGGCTGTGGCAGGAGGATCATTTGAGCCCAGGAGTTCAAGGTTGCAGTGAACTGTGATTGCACCACGGCTCTCCAGCCTTAATGACAGAATGAGACCTTGTCTCAAAAAAAAAAAAAAAAAAAAAAGCATAGTAAGGGCCTCTGATAAACTAATGTCACCATAATGTTCACAGCCAGTGCTAGCTTTCCAAAAGGAAGAAAGAAAGGAAGGAGAGACGGGTTCATAAAAAGTGGTACTCTTTATTGCATCAGTAGAGGAACAGGCAGGTCACCCTTCTACTCAAGAAACCTCAGAGAAGCTGCTGCTTAGTTGACTAGTTTTTCATTTATTTCTGTAGAATGAGAGAAGGTTGATTGTACATTAAATCCTTGCTGACCTGTGGCTAGGAGCTGAGTAGGCTGACACATTGCATCAAGTCTTGGTTATTCATGTAAATATAATCTACTTAATGATTGATTTATCCTCAGAGAATTTTGAGTCCCAGGCCATTTTTTTTCTTGCCCCTTTCCCCCACTAATATTCTTGGTAAATAAAAATAGAGTGGTTTTATAAACACTCTTTTAATAAACCCCAGAAATTGAGCCAAGACTAGCATCTACAATCCCACTTTCGGGAACAGGCCCCCTTTCCTCAGATCATTATTCCTTGTGAAAATACCACATTCAGTTAAACAGACTTGCTGGTGTGGTCAAATAAAATGGTAAAACAGAAAATAAAAAACCTTTTGTATGTAGGAATGAATGAAGTAAAATAATTCTCCTGCCAGCTCAAATACATCTAAACATCTCTGGAGTTCCATGACCTTCAAAATAAAGATGAATTTGTGAAGATTAGCAGTGACAGCCATGGGAAGGAGAGAAGGATAGCAGAGCCCAGCCAAGCCTTTAATGAGGAAAAAAGAATTCAACCATTGAGAAGTCAGAGGCCCCAAATCCTGCATATAGCAACTGAATATAATATAAGCTTCCCATATCCTGCTTGTTACCACTGTGCCCTCACTTTAGAAAGGCCATATTTCTAAAACAGAATGAAAATCTTATGCTATCCATATATAAAACATATTTTTTAAGTTTTGAAAGAAAATATATGACACACATATAATAAAATACATTTAACAAAATTATGTATATTAAAATATGTGTTAACATATACCTATATATAGGACACATATATAACCTAATAAAATATATTTAACAAAATTATATCTATTAAAATATATGTTAACATATGCCTATATACATAAAATGTATTAACAAAAAAGTTTAATATGTAGGCAAGCTGAAAATAAGATAATGATGGCAAAAACATATTTAATGCTTGCTATGTGTCAGGCACCATCCTCAGTATTTCGCCTATATTAACTTACTTGAGCCCCACAACTCCATGAGAAAGTTATTACCATAGTTTTATAGTTGAGAAAACTGAGGCATAGAGATATTCAGCAACTTCCCCAAAGTTATACAGCTAGTAAGTGGCAGAGCTGTTTATTTTAATTCCAAGTGGTCAGAATATAGATTCTAGGCTTTTAATCATTACTCAAAGAGCTCAAAATGGAAGTTGAAAATAAAATTTCTTATAGTCATGTTGGAACTGGAATACTCCTAGGGCTTAAGGAAGTGTCAGCTATGCAGGACTGATGTTGAAAGCACATACCCCATGTGTGCTGCAAAGCTAGATCCTAAATTCTGCCTAAATCCAGGTGCTGGGAAGTTCTGTCTTGATAAAACACTAGGAAAACTCTATCCACCAGGTCAGGTATGTGGCACTGCAGAAGAGGGGAAAGTCACTTATGAGAAACAGAAACCCCAAGAGCACTCTGTTCAATGGCAGGTTACATATTCATGCTACCTATATAATACAATAATGAGAAATTAACATAAAAACTGGTCCGCAAGCAAACTTTGGACCTCTTCAAAGAGATGCCCCCTATGAAAAATAGCACTCCCTGAATATGAGCTCAGAAGCACATAAGAAAACAAACTTCCATGAAAGACTCTGAGCAAATGCACAAGAATAGAAATAGTTGAGAAATCAGAAAGAGATTTTTAATATGCATTTAAAAAATATTCAACAGAAAAAGAAAGAAATGTGCAAAAAATTCTTTGAAAAAAAGGGAGATTTTTTTTAAATGGCAAATATAGGTTCTAGTAATGAAAAATATATTCACTAAAAATACTTTAGAGCCTGAATATATGAGTAAAACAGCAAAGTGACCTCCTGACATTTACCTCTAATTTACTAACTTTCCCTCAGGGAAACACTTTTCAAAGAGATAAAGACATTAAGCATATAAAAGAGAAGATAAAAAGATATGGAGATAGAATGAACAACCCAACATGTGGGCAAGAGGTATTTTTAGACAATGGTAGAAATATTTTCAAACTTAAAGAAAATTATAAATCCTTAAGTTGAAAAAGAACATGGAATCCGCAAATGATAATTAAACACAAATCTGAACCTAAACACATATCACTGAAACCACACTACATGAAAATAAAGATAAATATTACCAGAAAGAAAAGACAAATTACCTTTAAAGGAAAGATAATTAGATTATTAACAGATGACTTCTCATAAGCAACAATGGATTCCAGAAGACAATGGAATAATATCTTCTCTGTGCTTATGGGATATGATTATTATTTTAGCTTTTTATAATCTGTTAAAGTTTCACTCTTAAATGATACAAAAATAAAGATATGTTCAGACTTCCAAAAAACTAAAAATGTTTACTACTAAGGCCTTCATGGAAAGAAATACCAAAGGATATATTTTAGCAGGAACAAAATTTAACCCAGAAAAAAAGAATGAAGTGCAAGAAGCATTGATGAAAAAAGAAACATATGGAGAAATTTAGGTAAGCATTGTTGGTGGAAATGCAATGCCCTATCAGCAATAATACAGATGAGGGAGAGTCAATTTGGTCTTAAGAAGTCCTGAGGTACTTGTCTAATTCAGAGGAAAAAGAGACATTGACAAACTTCACACTGAAAATTATGTCATAAATGTAACAGGGTAAAATATGCTAATTGAAAACAATAGTATTTTCTAGTCTGTTAACCAATCATTTCTGAATCCTTTGAGATATTTTTAAAAAATATGGATTTCCATCCCCCTAGATGGTTCTCATTAAGTGTATTTTGAGTAAGCCTCTGCTTCTGTTATTTTTTACTCCACAACCCACACCCACTAATTTTGCTGAGCAGTCATAGTTGTGACAAACTCGGTCAGTGGGGCACACATCTGGGTTCTTCCTCCTTGGGTCTCCAAGATGCAGGGACAAGCTGTAAGCCAGAACACTCTGTAGAAACCAGTGCGCCATAAGGAGAAGCTCCCTGGGCAAGTGTCCTGAGTTCGTAACAGGGAAAGTCTTTTTATTCTCCCTGGCACTTAATGTTTTTTCAGGTGATAGGTTTGAGGAGGTAATTTAGTAGATCCCAATAATCGGAAACAAATTGTTTTGAAGTGACGATTTAAATTGGGTATTGGCAGGAATTAAATATTTAGGCATAATGAGTATAATTGAGTATCAGGAAGTGTTTTTTACAATGATGTAATAACTGTTGGCATTCTGTGTGTAATAGCAGGAAGGTTTAAGTGTTTGAAGTGTTTGAACAGCCACTGCTTGTGAGAAAGTGCTTTTAGAAAATATGTAAAAGTTATTAGCTCCCTTTTTAGCCTGTGTGAGAAGCAAAAGTCAATGCCTGAAAGTCCCACGAAAATACAGCTTGGCTCTGACTAAAATTCTATGTCACTTACTGGATCCTTGAGTAAAAGTCTCATGACCTATTTATAAAGAATTTCAATTGGTGGGGCCCAACTTCCCCAAACTCAGCAATAGATGCCCTACAAATGAAGAGGCATGCAAGGCCTACATGAAAATGCAAATCCACTTCTTTTTTTATACTGGTATACTGAATTTGGGAGATTTTTTAAAGTGTTTAGTGTGTTATACTAAAGCCCTCCCTCTTTATTTGAAGACCTTGGAGTATGGAGCAGTTGGAATTTAGAAACCATGACCTTTGCCTATAGGGTTGAGATTAGAGAAGAATGACCCCTCAGTTCTTCCCATTGTAAGCAACCCTAAAAAAGCAAAGTCCTGCCAATTCAATCACAATGTATTGCTATTACTACTATGAGTGTTTCTGCTCTCACCAGACTCTGAATACCTCAAGAGTGGGAGATTGGTCTTGCCAATCAGAGAAGCTCCAGGGCTAGCCTAGTGCCTGGCACATGGTGAGTACCCAATAAATTTATGTTTTTGAGTGAGAGTGAATGAATGAAGCCCCCAGGTCAATGTGCTTATCGTTATCTCAGAAAAAAAAAATTATTTCCTCTCCTCTTTAGTAACCTTCTGCCCTGTGTAGCTTGGGCTAGTTCAGGACTTGGTTCATATAGATCTGTGCTTTCCAATATGGTAGCCACATTTGGCTATTTATACTTAAATTAATTAAAATTAAATAAAACTTCAGTTCCTCATCACACTAAACACAGTTTAAGAGCTAATAGCCACATGTAACTAATGGCTACCTGTATCCAACAGCATAGCTATAGAACATTTCCATTATTGCAAAAAGTTCTATTAGATAGGGCTAGTAAGACTCCTAACTGAGACCCCTGGAGCTCTTCACCCATCTCTGACTCTACTAGTTATTAATTGTATGACTGGGTGAATCACTCAACTTCACATGTGCGAGCTGTTCCCTCTGCCTGAAGCACTCTTCCTGCCTGTGGTATCCTAGTTAATTACTTCTCATCTTTTAAGTCTCAGCCCAATCATTATATCCCCAACTAGGTCAAGGCCTTTCATAGTACCTTGTCCAATTCCTTGTCAAGGTTGACATTTTATGTATTTTTATGTGACTACTTGATTAATATCTGTCTCTCAGATCAAATTGTTAAGTTTGGAAGGACAGGAGCATGTCTGGTTTTGTCCAGCATTGTATCTCCAATGCCTAGCAGAGTAAGTGGCATGTAGTGAGGGCACAATATTTATTGTACAAATCAATGAATAAGCCATCAGTGTCTTTGCCACAGCCACTGCAAGTGATTGGTGCTCTGCTGGACTGATACTCAGCTGAGACACTCAGGTAAGGTCACATATTTTTCACAGGATCGTCCTTTCAATTGCTCTCAATGTTCATTACCTTTCCTTTTTGCTTATGTTAAATATTCCTAACAGCACTCCTGCTGGTTCACCAGCACGGTTAAGACTTTCAAAGTGAATAAATTGACCGTGCCAGTTGAACATTCACAAAGTTGGAGATGAGCACAGCATTCCATTTAGGCTTTGAAACAGACACTATTAACCTTTGTATCTAGAAGCCACTCATCCAAACTCTTCATCAAGTCAGAAACCTGACACTGATATCCTGAATGGTTTTCTGGAAACTCCCTACTTCCAGGGTTTAACATCCAGCCCCACTCTCAGGATTATATATGGGAAGTTAGAAAACATATACGTCAATGCTCAAAAATTCTATTAATAGCCACATTTCTTCCAAGTGCCCCAGAGGTTTGCAACTGTCTGAGCAATCCTGAACATCATCCTAAGTCTCTTGTTTTAGTGGAAACTACAGGAAATGGGGGTAGTTCCAGCTGAATGTCCCCTCAAGTGTTCAGGTCTGCACATACCACAACCGCTGAGTACAGGCAGACCAAAACAGCAACAGAAAGGTCCGCCCACTTGAGCTCCTGTGAGCCTTCACGTCTGAGTTCATGTGGCTCTCACTCAGAAGCGGAAGTGGAAAACCAAATAAAGTCAACTCCATGGAGGTCCTGGGGACTTAACACTGAGCAGCCACACGAATACCAGAGTGATGCATCATGATTCATGTTATTACAATAAATGCCTAAGAAAGAAATAAGGATTTGGCACTTAGTATAAAGCATTGGCAAGACAGCTCAAAGTTTTCTGCCTGTTGTAAAGCATAGCCTGGGACATTTTCTTTCATTGAGCAATATGCATTAGCAATGTTATCTAGGGTAGTAAAGGAGTTACTCATAAAGCTTTATTAAGTGATGTCAAGACTCCTTCCTCCCTGCGTTCTTTTCTTCTCTGGGACAGGCTATAGAAAAGACATTAAGTTTTTATTTTCATTTTTTTCCCAGTGTGTCTATGCCAGCCTGATATTAGAGGATGAAACACATACCTAAAGGATTAACAATCTAGAAATCACCTTTCCCAAAGTGATTCACATTGGGAAAGAAGTGCTGAAAAGCAAAACAGGTACCCTCTTGACTTAATACTGTTCATATTAACAGAATAGGCTCTGTAAAATACAGAAACAAGTCACGTCAGAGAGCATTCTTTACAGCAACATTTAGGGAATAATGGGGAAAAAACGAACTCCAGCTAGTTCTCTAGGTCTTCATGAGCAATGGAAAGGGTGTGATGCCTCACCAGGAAAGGGTTTTTTTTTACTTAGAAAAACAAAATAATTAAACTTTCATCTCCACGGTGGCTCAGCCAGCTGGTGGTGGCCCAGCAAACACATCCATGCTGGTGCATTTATGATGGACATATCATTGCTGCCAAATCAACTGTGTGATGACTTGTGTCACTCTTCAAGGCAGCTGACATACATAGGGAAGGTGTAGGCTATTTATCTTATACACAGAGTGAACACCTCCCTTGTGGATGGCCTGATGGGGTGTATTCTTGGTTTAGAATCAAAGACTTGAAAGGGACCTTGGGAAAAATTCATCTTCTTTTCTCCCTTCTAATGTGAGAGTTGCCTAGACAGCATCTCCCACAGTTTTGCCGATCTACATTCTCAATCAACATGAGTCAGAGGAGAGATCAAGGAGAAGAGGAACATATTTGGAGGGCAATGGCTGTCCACTGCAAAGAAAGGCCTTCCACCTTCTCTCCCCAGGGTTCCCCACTTCCTCATGGTCTTGCCTGCTTCTAGGTTTTTGCATGTGCGGTTCTTTCTACTTAAGACCCACTCCACCTCCAATTCATCAACATCCTTGCCTGGCTAATTCCTACTTTCCTTGTAGGCCATCCCTTCTGCCAAGAAGCCCTCTCTGACTTGGCAAGATTAGTTCAGGTGCTGCCACTCCTCTGACTCTTCCCACTAGGGTGACCAACTGTCTGTTTGCTTGGGACAGAAAGACTTCCTGGAATGTGGGCTTTTAGTGTTAAAATCAAGATAGTCCTGGACAAATCAGAACAGTCACCCCACCTCCCGTGTTCCCTGTGCTTACCTTCCTCAGACTTAGCATCTTCTATTGTCACTGCCAGTTTGCTTTTAGAACTTTAGACTGTCAGTTCTCTGAGGGCAAGGATGGTGCCATTCATCTCTGTAATCCTGCTAGCAAAGGTCTGACACATGAACAAGTAACCAAAAGCCACAACTGCAATAGCTCCTCAGTGCTAGATGAATGAATGAATGAATGAATGAATGAATGAATGAATGTAAAATCCACATCTTTTTCCAAGAGGTCTCTCATTCCTGCTTCTTGCCTTTGCAGTCCTTCCTTAAATGCAGGCATGGCTCCTAAGATGTGCTGTGGTACCTCCCCAGCCAGCACCCAGAACAGCTCATGTGCGCTTGCCAGAGGCTCCTACATATAAATAAGGCACTCTTCTTCCCTACTCCCAGCCATCATTTACCCGTAGTTACTAGCATAAAACTAAGGCCTAGGAAACATTTTTATTATTGCTCATTTCTTTGGCTACCATTAATTGAGAGTGTATGTGTCAAGGACTATGCTAGGTCCTGTCATTCATTTTTAGATACAATACACCATTTTCCAGATAAGGACTCTGTAGCTCAGAGAGTTAAACAACTTGCTCAAGGTCCCAGTGTAATAGAAGATATGGTTACAGGTGACCGGGGCTAGAACCCAAGCCGAAACTTGACTCTGAGCTTATGCTTTTAGCCACTACCCTCTACCGCCAGATGCTTCCTGTAGCTCTGTGGGGAGTCAGTCCAGGGAAGACTTTTCTGTCCAGTCCACAGCACGGTAAATTGAGGCAAGGGAAACACAGGGCCTGTTTCTTCGTCCCTTGTCCATTACCTAGACTGTGCCTGGCCCCTTTTGGTTGAAAGGAAGCATGGTTCAGAAGAGTGTACCACTGAACTTCAGGGAAGCCTGACGCAGAGGTCTTTTGAGAGAACTGAATAAACAGCTGATAAAACAGGAAGGCTCTCAACCCTTTTATCTGATGATAACTTCGAAGCTGCGATGGAGCAAGGGTAGTCCTTCTGACCAAGGTAGCAAAGCCAGACAGTGGCACCGACAGGCCTGCAGCCCTAATCCCCTGACTTCCTGCCCATGTTTTCTCCCCACTTTCTACCCCCATTCTACGACTATAAAAAACACACAAGGCTCTCTTTACCACATTCCTCAGGTTTTAAAGCCACTGCTCCCGCTGTCCTGCCTCCCCACTCCTAATACTTTTTTCTTTCTTTTTAACATTTGAGGAAGAAAATGTTATGGTTAACTGCATTTGAATTCCACAATGTCACTGTAACATGTAATAAATACCTTTTATTATTTATTACCAAAATGCTTAGGGGCTGTGGAAGACTAAAGGCTATTCTGTTCTTTCTGATGCAGCTCTAACAAGTATATTCCAGTTACTTGGGGGAGGGGGCACAGCGGGCTTGGTAATTTAATCTTCTCAATGCCACAGGCCATGTCTCCGTGATTCTGCTAGAATTGTATGTGACTGGAAGATTTGTTTTAGCTCAATCTTTGCAGCCTTGAGGATGGCGGGTTCTCAAAAACACCTATCCAGCCCAGCAGCACTACCTGAATGAGCAAGGGGGAAACCCAATGAGCAAGGGTCTGGGTCGCCCCAGAATCCACAGCAATCAGACAATTCTGTCTTAGGGTAAGGGCTGCAGAAAGCACTGCACATTCAGAGTTAGCTGGGCAAACTCACTTTGGGGATATTTTTGGCACTTTTAAAAACGGTGGCTAAAACGACCCAGAGACTATGAGCCCTCCACACCCCACCCCCCATAGCTTTTCATACCTGCAACCCAGGAATTTTGCTTGCACTAAAAAGGCATCTTCCAAGAGGACCTATGAACTTAAAACAAATGCTGTTTAATTTGCCATTCATTAGGGGTGTATCTGGATTGATTTATTGCACCCTTCTGACCCCATGTCTTTGGAACAGCATTCCTTCACGATTACACAGGGAAAGGACTCAGGCAGGACTTCCAAGGATAAGCGTAGAAGGCCACAATAATACTTCAGATTGCTGTGTATCGGGTAGCCCGAAGGAAATGCTTCGCCCAATTCAACGCACAATGCGAATGAGCCAAAAAAGTTTGTAAATTTTTTGACCCAGGTTTCTCGAGCCTTTCCTAAGGGATGTGGCCAGCACAGACGACTATTATCCAGATTATGGGCTTTTGAGTACTTCCACATTCAGGATATTCTGAGAATGTCTAACCACACACAATTGATCACAGAAATTGCAATCCCTTTTGATCCTGAGGAAGGAGGAAGTGAGCTCTTCCTGGTAACTACCCAGCAGCAGCAGAGACAGGAGGAGGGAGGGAGAGAGAGAGAAAGAGAGAGAGAGAGAGAGAGAGTGTGGGGAGGAGGGAGAAATGCACCAGGGAGAAAATACATTTCTACTGGCAGCTCAATACGCCAGTGGTAATCAGAAAATGAGAAAAACTTTGTAAAGCTCTCAGAAGAGCCAGGCTACAACAATTGCCCTTTAGAAATGAGATCAATGGCCTCTCTTGTGGGTGGCACAAGTATAATTACAGCAATTAAGAGAAAAGACTACAGTCTATTTTTTTTTTTTTTTTTGCTCTTAATGTATAAACAAGCAATTCCGGCACTTGTAAGCCAAAAAGAATTGGTACATGGCTTAATACTATCTACTACTATGACTCTCCTTGCTTTAATTGGCTTCCAGGAAAATTTCATGAGCCTTTGTGGTTGTGGTTTAGTTAAATACACACATTTACCTAGAGGCAGGCTGGGGGAGGAGAGCAGAGTGCTTTCACTGACTATCCAACTCCCAGCAGACCAGTTAGCCCCCAGGCTGCCCGATCAGAGTCCGTGAGGCTGGGAGGAGAGGGATCCTGGCTGAGGGCCTGTGCTCCTGTACTTCCCGTGATGCCTTGAATACTGTGTTCCCCTTGGAGCAGCCATAATTTCATGTGACCTCTACGTCCTACATTCCTCTCCCAGTCTCCCTTCCTCCTACCCCTAAATGGCTTGTGTTGGGGTGTCTAGCAAGCATCCAACTCTTGTTTTGTTTTTCCACTGAAGCCCAATGGCCATAGAAGAAGTAAAGAGGAGTCTGAGGCAGTGGATGAGCTGGAAAGTTTCTCATTTTTTGTGGTTGGGGGCTACTAGGAAGCCCCTCTCAGCTCCAGCCTCCTCACCCAGTGGCTAACATTCTACTATTTGTGAGTGGCTTCCCTAAGGATTGCTTAGGATTTATTGGTGCAGTTAAATAAATGAATCCCTGGCTATCCACCATGGAACGCAGCTACATGGAACTGCTGCTGTGAAAAGAGCTTGATTGCAAATCAAGGCCTGCAAATTCTCTAGAGGATGACTTCTGACCTCTCCCTGAAGAATTTGGTGCATGCTTCATAGTCTAGCTGTAACTCAGGTCATCCTAAACATAGTCTCTGCACATAGTGACAATCCATCCAGCTATTTTCTCATGATGCAATAACGGACCAGCAGACAGAAATTTAATTTTATTGATAGAAATTTATTTCTTTTGTTTAAGAATTGCCTTACATTGCATTTTTGAAATGCAAATGCCTTTGCTTTCCTATTTTGGTGCCCATGCAAAATAAGAGGAACTTTTCTCAAGATGAGGCTGATAGGGGAAATGTCCCTGGCTAGGTTGGGAGACCTGAGCCCTCCTACCACCTCTGTGGCTGTTTGGTTAGGGAACCAAGAAGCTGCCTATGTGGGCTTTCTCATCATCTTGTACTCCTAGGGCAGCTCTTTCTTGCTTATCCAGGCTGTCTTTCTTACTGAATTTTTACAGGAAGCTCTCACTACTCCCTCATACTCTCACAAAGCTCACCTAATGGTCCTCTTGATGATTCAAAAGAGGCTAGAGCTGGTCAGGAACAGCTGGTATAGGATGGTGGACAGAGTGATCCCTGGCCAGCTCTCTGGCATGAGTTGAGGGCCAAGTCAGTATGACCCACCAGAAGGTTCAGCAGGGAGGGCTGAACTGAAAGCCTGAGCTAACCCAGGGTAAGGGGCTGAGCTAGCATTTCAGAGGAAAGAGAAACCAGAGGCCTAGTAGGAACTGGGAGTCACCCAGTGCAAGAGAATTATGGTGGTTTTTCCCTCTATACCATCCATGAATGCTTAGGTGGCACTGTGGCCCACCAGCTCATTCTGGCCCATTTCACAGTTGTCACCAATCTTCAAAGATGACTCAATATGGTGGTAGATGGGGTAGGAGGGAGTTGAAGAGTATGGGCTCTACATGCTTCCAACTGCCCCATCCTAAGCTCCTACCCTATTCCTTCTATCTTTTCTGGCTGGCCTCACCCTCAAACTCTTCTGCCATTCAGGCCCCTTTTGACTTCATAATTTTTGCTCTGCATCATTTGATTGAGAAGTCTTAACATCTTTGGTTATTCAGTGTCCTTTCTCCATACAACCTTCCTAGGTCTATGATCTTGGAAAGGTCCTTAACCTTTCTCTGCATTTGTAAATGGTGCTAATTACACAACCTCCTTTGCTGGGTTGCTGTGGAATTAAATTAAGAATATGAAATGAAATTATACACATATGTATATATATTTTTTAATTTTTATTTATTTATTTTTTGAGATAAAGTCTCACTCTGTCGCCCAGGCTGGAGTGCAGTGGTGTGGTCTCAGCTCACTGCAACCTCTGCCTCCTGGGTTCAACTGATTCTTCTGCCTCAGCCTCCCGAGTAGCTGGGATTACAGGCGCATGTCACCACAGCTGGCTAATTTTTGTATTTTTGGTGGAGATAGGGTTTTGCCATGTTGGTCAGACTGGTCTCAAACTCCTGACCCCAAGTGATCCACTCACCTCGGCTCCTCAAAGTGCTGGGACTACAATTGTGAGCCACCACATCCAGCCATATATATATATATATATATATCTTTAATAGCTACTGAATACCTAGCTGCTATTAGAATTATTAGAATTAATATTAACAAACACTGTACTATGTCTTTTTGTTCATTTCCTCTGAAAATAACACATTTGTGTAAAGGTGCCAAAGATGTGCCCAAGGACCATCCTTTTCTTTAAAATTTATTTAGCAGCCAGGTGTGGTGGTTCATGCCTGTAATCCCAGCACTTTGGGAGGCTGAGGTGGGTGGATCACAAGGTCAGGAGACTGAGACCATCCTGGTCAACATGATGAAACCCTGTCTCTACTAAAATACAAAAAATTAGCCTGGCACGGTGGTGTGTGCCTGTAGTCCCAGCTACTTGGGAGGCTGAGGCAGGGGAATCGCTTGAATCCGGGAGGCAGAGGCTGCAGTGAGCCGAGACCACGCCACTTCACTCCAGCCTGGTGACAGAACGAGACTCGATCTCAAAAAACAAAAAAAAAGTTATTTAGCAAATCTGCCTTGATTTATGTCAGGCACCACCTCTAGGAATTACAGTCTAAGCCATTCACTTAAGTTTCTAGCTGACTGCTGGCATTCACTTAGCACAAAGTGCAACAGAGAAGATTCCAGGAATGCATCGTAAGAGACTGCTCATGTACCCAGTGACAGACCTAGCAGAGGGGAACGCATTTCTGACAGTGGTTCCACCAAGTAGTAGGAAGAAAAAGAGATGGAAATAACAGAAGAAAAGCAGCAGAAAATTGCAGAAAAGGCTTAGAAAAACATGTGGAGAGTGGCTTTAGAGGGGGTTGGGATCTTGGAAACCACATGAAGGATTATCCTGCAGGACTGGCCCTGAGGGCCCCTGGTGAGGAATGGAAAAGCCTGAATGGAAGGACTCTGCCTTCGGAGCTTGCTCTGAGATCTGGTGTGGAGTTTGGTGACCCCTGGAGCACAGGATAAACTTTTGGCTTCAAGTCAACCTGCACTTCATTGGACAGAGGAATACTTAAAACTAAGTGACAGGACAAAGCTATTTAGTGTCAGATTTTTGCCAGATCTTTCCATCTTGAAGCTTAAATTCAAGCCAGGGCCAGAAAGAAAGACTCGCTGTAGGGTGAATGTGGCGCAATGAGGGAGTAGGAGCTTGGGAGTTTCACCACCAATTCACCATGGGACAATGAACCTCTTGGAGAGCCTATTAATGATGACAAAGCTAGAGAGAAAAATCTTTAGCACCCATTAAAAGCAGGGCCATTCCAAATGGTTTATGACAATTTTTCTGGGAAAATAATGTACAATTGAAATAACATGAGAATCAATGAGAAAATGCATAAGTACACAAGACTCCCCTCCATCCCCAACACCCTATAATGTCATATCACATCACAGAAAAGAAAATAGAAAGAAAAATGTGTCTCTGGAGAGTTTAGCAAATCTCAAGCCTATTTGTCCCAGGAAGAAAATGTTTACATTGTATATCCAAAGCGCCATATTAGGAAATTGCTTTCTGCAAGGTTTTTCTCAAATGGGTAATGGGCAAATGGATCCAAAATGATTACAAAAAAAATTATTTCTGTGGTTATTCAAAGCCTTTTTACAACTCTCAGTTCCCATCTCAATGTGCAGGCAAGGGTGGGGTGTCTGAATAATGCTCGCTCTTCATGGGAAAAAGAAGGCAGGAAAGGTCCTGGGACTCTAGTGATATCTGTGGAAGGGTTCCAGCCCCTCTGAGGAAAAATCAAGCCACCCAGCAGGGGACATGCAGGGAGAAAGAGGCCTTTTGATGCTGGCCTAAATAAGTTGACTGGCAGAGAATTGGCCAAGGTCCTGGGTCCCTGCTCAGTGAGAAGCTCTACTCAGCACAGAGACCTTCCAATGAATATCTCGATGACCAGCAGTGTAAATGATGAGAAGGTTCTCTGGGGCACTTTGCTGGGTTTGAATTTCACCTCTACCACACATTAGCTGCATTGCCTCTGGTGAATTACTAAACCTCAGTTTCCTCAAATGTAAAATAGAGATAATGGGCCAAACACGGTCGCTCATGCCTGTAATCCCAGCACTTTGGGAGGCCGAAGAGGGTGGATCACCTGAGCTCAGGAGTTCGTGACCAGCCTGGGTGACATGGCGCCTCATTTCTACTAAAAATACAAAAATTAGCCAGCTGTCATGGTGCACGCCTGTAATCCCAGCTACTGGGGTGACTGAGTCGGGAGAATCACTTGAACCCAGGAGTTGGAGGATGCAGTAAGCTGATGTCATACCACTGCACTCCAGCCTAGGTGACAGAGTAAGACCCTGTCTCAAAACAAACAAACAAATAAAAAACACACACACACACAAAACACGGAGATAATGGTGCCTACCATTAATACACTTAATAAATATGAAGCAATTATGACTAGCACCTATAACAATGACTTGCCCATAATAAGTGCTCCATAAATGTTAACTATTCTTGCTATTTTTATTAGCTTGGGTTGCCGTAACAAAATACCATAGACTCAGCGGCTTAAGCAACAGAGATTTATTTTCTTACAGTTCTGGAAGCTAGAAGTCCTAGATAAAGGTGCTGACAAATTTAGTTCTTGGTGAGGGCTTCCTGGCTGGCAGACAGACATCATCTCAGCTATGTTCCTTGGTGTGTTTGTGCCTAGAGAGAGTGATCTCTCTATTCTTATAAGGACACTAATCCTATTGGATCAGGGCCCCACCCCTTATGACTTCATTTAGTCATAATTATTTCCTTAAAGTTCCCATCTCTAAATACAGCCACATTTGAGATTAAACCTTCTTCCAGTATATGAATTTTGGAAGGACACAACATTTAATAACACTGATATTATTTTTATTATTGAGATTAGTATTATTCTTACAAAAGTGTACTTGTCTTGTCTTCAAAGATGTCCCAAAGTATGTGTTTAAAAATCTTGGGTTGGGTGAGCCCATTGCAAAACTGTGTAGTAGGTGAAGAGGGCTTCTGCATTCCCTGGGTTGGGCCAAGTTCAATTAGCCATCAGAGACACTTGACCAGACTGTCAAATATCTTTAAGCCTCTAATGGCCCAGAATGTTCCCTCCTGCCTGCCTACAAAACCAACAACTACTACCACACACAAATACACCTCAGCCTCTGAGGCCTTTGGTTTATTCCTGCTCCTGATCTTACTGACTATGGGATACAAGGTATTAGGAAACTTGTCTTTATGGGACAATCCACATTACCGTGGTTAAAGGCTTCTGCATGTACAAACATCTCCTACCTTTTAGGCCTCAACAAGACAGAGGGGAAGGACTGGTCTACCTCATGGCTCTCAGGCTCCATGCTATATGGAGCATGTTTATGGCTGCTTTCTCTGGGCTTACCAATTTCTCCCCTATTGATAGAGAATACATCTGGAAGGTCAGGGCCAAACTCCTTAGCATCCCAAGATCCTTTACAGTCAAGTCTCTGCTTAAGTCTTCTGGTTCATTACCCACTAGTCCTCCCCACAGACATGCCTTGCTCCTCTACACTCAGGACACCTTGCACGCCGTGCTGCTTATATCCAGAAGGCTCTTCCCACACTCCTCTTCCTGGCAAGTTCCACTGAAAAGCCACATCTTTGGTGTACTTTCCTACACTTCCTTTGGTAGAATTAGATGTGCGCTTTGCTCCCATAACACTTATTATTAACCTGTGTGACCATCTTCCCAATCAGATCACTTCTTGATGCTGTCCTCAAATCCCTACCAATAAAAACTGTGAATGTAATAGATGCTTGTTAGGGATGAATTCTTTTAAATTAGCTTTTAAATTCTGGAGAAGCTCCTGGCTTTTGTGAATGGTGCCCACTGGAGGTGTATGGTGCTCAGCCTGTGTGGCCATTTGCAGTAGCTCATTGGGTGAGGCTTTCCTGATACCTACAATGATGCAGGCGGTACCCCTGCTTTCTGTAAGCGAGATCTCTGCAGACAACATGCAACCCTTTCATAACAACATTTTAGCTCTCACTTTTAAGTGACATGACATTTTAATGACTATAGGCTTAATTCAGTCTAATTAGGTTTATTCTCTTTCTCTGTTAAGTATTTCATTTTGAAAGTCTTCTGCTCACTCATTGACTTATTCCAATTCCAAGTAACTTTGTTCCCCTACACTCTCCACCTTTTGTGAGGAGAGGGAGAATTTTTCCTTTATAAATGAGTATGAACCTTGATTATTCATTCATGCTCTAGTGAGTCACAAATGAGTTCAGTTTGATCAGGTGAATCTTTTGCTACTTTGAGTCCATTCATTCATTTAGAAAACCCAAATACATCTGTGCTGGGGACTGGGCCAGAGATGAAGACATCTTCTCCCTGCGGTTTTCCTTCTGGCTGCCTGGCCCCTCCGTTCCTTCAGGGCAGCTGGCTCACCAGTTCCTAGATCTGGGAGGGAACCTATTTCAGCATTAGCAAAGGGAGATATCTCATCAGAAGGAACTCTCAGGAGCATGGTATTTTTACCTTAGGCTGAGCTGATACCCTGTTTACAGAAGCAACACTGAGCTGCAGTCAAAAGCAGTGTTTTCTGATAAAAAAAGAGAACATATAAGTCAGAGGAACAGAAATGTTAGGGACAATCAAGCCATAATTGTGCACAGCCTCTGGTCCCCTCTAGGGAGGCCATATATCTCTCTTCAAGCCGAAAGCTCCTAGTACAGTGCAGACCATGATGCCTTTTGGGAGAAACACTGATGAAATCACCCAATGCAAGGTGCCCAGCCAGCATTCCAGTCATTGTTGCTGCCTAACAAATCAGCCCAAAGCTTGGTGGTTTAAAAGTTGTTACACTGTCTCTCTAGGTTCTAGGCTCAGCTAGATGGTTCTCACGCAGGCTTACTCATGCAGTTCAATGGCTGCTAAAGCTGGAGTCATCTCAAAACCATTTCACTCATAAGTCTTGGGTTGATGCTGGCTATTGACTGAGACCCCAACTGGGGGTGTCAGCTGAGTACCTACACATGGCCTTTCCATGTGGCCAGGGCTTCCTCATAGCTTAGTGGCTGGGGTCCAAGAGGGAGCATCTCATGAGGACCAGGTGGAAGCTGGATCACCTTTTATGACTCAAACTCAAAATTCACATAGAGTCACCCCTACCACATGCTATTAGTCAGCCAGATTCAAGGGGAGGGTACATAGACCTACGTCATGGGAGCAATCAAAGAATTTGTAGACATTTTAAAACCACCAAAGCTAAGCAGAGGAAATCATTAAGATATCATGGGATGACTATGACCAAGTGAGGAACTTTTGTCTAATTGGTAAAATAAAACCAAAACACACGCTTGGAACAGAGGTTGCAGATTTTAATGTGTTACATCTGTTGCCCTTAATTCTAGAAGGTTAGAACAATGGGATGACTACTGGCCTGGAAAGTAGATTATTTTCATTCCAACACCACTGTTTGCATTTACCATTATTAGTTGAACTTGGGCAAGTTACTTAACAGCTATGAATCTCAATTTCTTTATCTCTTTGATGAGGATAATAATACTGTCTATCTTGTGTGGGTCATGGATATTTACAAGAAAGCAATGAGATAAAGAATGCAAAAGAAGATTGAAAACGATGATTTCTAATTAACATAAGGAATCTAAAATATTTTAGGAATTTTATTCTTACCCATCCTAGGCCTTGGTCTTTACAACAAAAAAAAAGTCTGTGATAATGACGTGTTGGAATAGGTTAGTTTCTCAAACTTGGTGATCTAAGGACACATTTCAAGAGAAGAATAATTTTCATAGACTCCTGAAAATACATCTGTGGGCACTGAAGGCTCCATGGATCCTAGTTGGACAAACAGTGACTTGAGGAACTTTTGCCAAGAAATGTCTCTCAATTGTAAATCATTAGTGCAAACAAGAGGATCTTTTTTTCTCCTTTATAACCAGTAAAATACGTTTTAGATTATAATCAAAATGAAAACCACAAAATTAAAAGACAATTACTCTAGAGCTCTGTGACCCTGGAGAATATGTCTGTGAACCTGGACCAGATGATATTTCAGATGCTGTCCATTTTGCTGCATAAGTCTGTGGTTTTGTAGGGTGATTCACAGAGCTGGCTTTTCCGCTAAGACATAAGTTCCTGGAGAGAAAGGATGTGTCCCAGAACTCTTTGAATCTTTCAAGGCATTTTGCATATAAGATGTTCTCAGTAATTTTTGATTGAAAGGAAATATAAATGGAGAATGGCAATGAAAATAATAAATAGGATAATATATGGACTTTTAAATTCCATCTTTCTCCCAAGCTAGTGCTTTAATATTGGCCCCACCCCCAATCCAGCTCTTCAGTGGAGAATGCCAGCAGTCTTGCTCTGAATTGGCTGTTTCAGGATCTATAAGGCTGGTGCAACCCATTAATGGCAAAAACCACAATAACTTTTGCACCAACCTAATAATTCGCTCAATGATAGTGTGTTGCATCCAATCCAGTTGACACTAGTAGAAAGTGCTTTAAACAAAACTGATTGGAGGGAGAATTCAAAACACAAAATCTTGCTCTTGGCCATCAGGTCCTGCATGATCTGGGCTCTCCCTGTCTCTTGAGCCCCACCTGAACCCACTTTGCCTCACCCCTGCTGTTCCCTCTGTCCAGAAGACAGTTACCCCCAGCTCTTTGCTTGCATATTTCCTATCTATCTACCAGGCCTCTGTTTCAATGTCTCTTCCTTGCATCCTGAGCTCCTCAATCTAAGTGAGGCCCCCTATTGTATGTAGTCCCTCTTAGAACCCTATATCTCTCATTTACATGCACTTATTTATATTAGTTTTGGGATTTGTTCAATTTCTGTTTTCCCCACTAGACTGTAATCTTCATGAGGGCAGGAATGAAGTCTATTTTGCTCAGGATTGTCTTCCTAACAGGTACTAGCATAGTACCTGGCATAAAACAGGCATCTAAATGAATATTTGGTGAATGCATATGTCAAACAACAAAAGAGGAAATTATTAAAGCATTGCATGTTTGTGCAGCACTGTGTTAGTCGTAAGAAATTGGTAAGTTTCTCAGTCTTTTGAAGGAAAAGAAAAAAGCTTCTCTAAAACTAGGATTTCTCTTTTAAAACCAGCAGTCCAGCCTCTGTTGCCTGTCAAGCAAGTCTGTGTAGGCCAGATTGATTCAAACCAGATCTACTTCCAGGCCCTGTTTCACACCGTTTCCAATAGGATATGAATCAGACAAGATACCATCAACCAAGCATTCAGTCAGGAAACAGGGCCCTGGTCAGACTTTTGGGGTGACCTGCCTTACACGGCCAGGATCCAGCTCTAGTGACAGCATCTATTATAATGCTGAGGAATGGGAACACACTAAAAACTCACAAAGTGTGCTTTGGAGCCAGGCGGCCGGCAGCCATGGGAAGCGTGCTAAGTGTGGAAATTCCTTCAAGCCTTTCAAGCAACTCAAAGTCATAAGCTAAGGAGAGATTTCAAAACTCCAAAGAGAAATTCCACTTTCCTTTTCCTCAGCTCCAGTCTTTCCATTCCAAACACGAGTCCTGCTGGTTTGAGCCACTTCATGAATGTGGGATTGTTAGGGTCGTTGCAGAGACTTGCCACTATTTTTCTTAGGTTAAAAAAAAAAACAAAAAAACAATTTGGCATACATGTTCTCTTTCATTTGCCCTGAAGAAATCAATATCCCAGTCTGGGGTTACCAGCTGTGGTTCACATATACCCTGAGGCACAGCTGCTTTATTTTATAGCTGCCGACATTCTTCTCCAGAGGCCCCAACCCTCTCTCTGGTCCAAGCTCAAAGATGGGCTTATTATGTAGCCAGTGCTTTGACGAGGTCCTTCCTTATGAGCGGTTACAAGGACTTACCGTAAGAACCCAATTCCCACCTCCCACCTCCACTCACTTTTCCCTGTCTGCCCTGAAGCCATTCTAAAGAGGCAGAATGCTATCTATTTTGCTTTAAAAATTCAAGGAAATTAAATTTGATTTCCTTACTGGCTCCACCAATTGCTAACTATGGGTTTGGAGAGAAGTTATTTTTCTCTCAAGGCCTCAATTTCTTTACCATAAAATGGAAATAGTCATTGTACATACTTCATAGGGCTGTCATAAGATAAAAAGCCATGCTGCAAGAAAAGTGCTCAGTACAATATGGTAGAATAAAGATGGTCACCAATTCTTTTTCGCCTTTTTCATTGAGGGGTAAAGTCTTATTCCTCTCTCTTTGATTATGGACTCGTCTTGATGACTTGCCTGATATGTAGATGTGGTGCAATTGATATTCTGAGACAGCCAAGGTTAGGCCATAAGAAACCTTCCAGCTTCTGCCCAGTCGATTGGAGCCCTCATTCTGAGGAAGTCAGCTGCCACGTGAGAAGTCCAGCTACCCAGAGACCGCTGTGCTGGAGAAGCCCCAGTTAGCCACATGGACAGGCAGTGTGGAGAAAGAAAGGAGCCTGGCTTTTCCAGCTCTTCCAGCCCAGCACCGGGCATATGAAGGAAGAACGTTCATTTCATTTCCAGAAGATATACCTTGCAGAAGAATCAAGGAGCCCAGGGAACATCCAGAACCAAGACCCCAGGGACATGGCCCTAAGGAAGCCATCCCAGCCATCTCCAGACATTCGAGTCACCCAGCTGAGGCCCCAGTCAATGTGGAGCAGGGACAAGAATTGTGAAGCTGTCCCTGTAGTGCCATGCCCAAATTTCTTACCCACTTAGTGTAGTTTCATGTCACTGAGTTTTGGAGTGGTTTGTTATGCAGCAATAGAAAGCTAGAACACACAGTAAACCCCCAACAAGTGGTCATTATTACTTAATAAAATTATTATTATCAGCATTTGCGGGAGATGTCATGAATGCTCCATTAAATTCCCAGCTTTGCTAACTGCAAGACACAGGCTTGTTGAGGGCACGTGGGGTCAGGAGGATTATAAAGCCACAGAAGATCTCAGTATTCTGCACTGGGCTTGGCATTTCACAGATGCTCAATAAAACACCATTCTTTCATAAATGGGTAAGTATCATTGATCATGAATTCAAAATGTCATTATTTCATGAAAGAGTGACAGACATCATATATCTTGATATGGTTTGTATCTGTGTCCCCACTCAACTCTCATATTGAAATATAATCCCCAATGCTGGTGGGAGGTGATTGGATCATGTGGGTGGTTTCTCATAGTTTAACACCATCTCTCCTTGGTGCTGTCGTCCCGATAGTGAGTTCTCATGAGATCTGGTTATTTAAAAGTGTGTGGCACCTCCCCAGTCTCTCTTTTGCTCTTGCTCTGGCCATGTGAAGTGCTGGCTCTCTCTTTACCTTCTGCTGTGATTATAATTTTCCTGAGGCCTTCCCAGAAGCCAAACAGCTATCAGCATCATGTTTCCTGTACAGCCTGCAGAACCGTGAGCCAATTAAATATCTTTTCTTTATAAATTACCCAGTCTCAGGTATTTCTTTATAGCAGTGGGAAAACAGACTCATCATTTTGGAATATCAATTTTACTTCAAGATTATTTTTTCTATCTAACAGATTTTATAATGCAATAGAATATAAAAGTCTTTAAGATAAAACATGAGACTGCCAAAAATTACCTGGCAGGTTGGCCATTCAGGTTCTGAAGCTGCTCTGTATGGTTATGATTTCCCTCTTCCCTGCCATTGGCAGTAGCTATGTAATTTATTCATTTAATAAATAGTTGAGTGCTTACTCTGTGCCAGGCACTATTGTGAATGCTGGAGATAGAGTAGTGAGCAAACAAAAAGTACCTGTCTTTTAGAGCTAGCATTCTAGATGGGGGAGACAGTGAACAACAACAAAAAAATCAGGTAAGTGTGTGATTTTGAGTGCTCTGGAGAAACATAGAGCAAGGGGAGAAGGATACAAAGTGCTAAGAAGGGGTAAGGATTTGCTGTTGTTAAAGGATGGAGAGCAAAACCCTCCTAGGTAAGATGATATTTGCGCAGAGACTCAGGAGGCCTGGGAGTGAGTCACATAGCTTGACTGAAGTGGGTGCAGAGCACAGGGCACAGCACTGTGAAGCCTATGCAAGGAACAGGCAGGGGATAGGCAGGGGATCACTGTGCCTGCAGTTATGAGCATCTCAGGGAATTGCAGGGGAAGAAGGCCAGAGAAGTGGTTGGGCTGGGGGCAGGCCTTAGAGCCCCTTATTTTGGGCCATTGTAAAGACTTTGGCTTTTATTGAGAGAGAAGTGGCGAACCACTGGAGGGTTCCCAGTGGAGAAACAATGTGAATTGATTTTCATTTTAAGGGAGTCCCTCTGGCTGCTGGGTGGAGAATAAACTGGTGGGAGTTGGACAAATGCAGAAAGAAGGAGAGAGGTTGGGAAGCTATTGCTGTTGGGAAGCTGGTGGAAGGGGATGGTGACTTGATGAGGAAAAAGCTGAGGAACAAAGCTCTGGAAAATAAGAGCCCCCACTCCGACTCTGAGTGTGGCGAAACCAAAGGAGGAATCTCCATCTCTGCAGTGCCCGCCTCCTTGGAGTCTTACCTAAAATTAGAAAAGCAGCAACAGTGTAGACATTTCCGATCCCTTGGCGGGTCCACCAGAACTAAGTCACACATGCATGCATGATTTCAGCACTCCTGATTCTCACCATCTTTGAGGGAGATACTGGCATAATTGATTTTTATTCGTAGCCGGTCAAACACTGTTCACATGCCAGAGAGGATAGTTCCTTTCAACGGCATCCCAGGAGGCTCCACTATTTCCAACCATGTTACTATCATTCAAAACATGTTGGCCATACAACCTCTTTTGAAATTGCCCTCAGGACTTGCATGTAAGCCTCAAAGGGAAACCAGTCACATTGCTGTATAAATGGCACTTTGTTTTTTTTTTTTTTTTTTTTGAAGAAAATAAAAAATATTTTCAGGGAAATTAAAGCAAAAACTAGTAGAATCTTCATTTTCCTAAGATACTTTGAGAATGCAAAAGTAATAGCCAACATTTATTGAGCATTTACTATGTACCAAGCACTCTTCTAATTGTCTTACATGAATCAACTCATTTAAACCTCATTACAACCCAATGAAGTAGGTCCTGTTATTACCCCTATTTTATTTTTTATTTTTTAATTTAATTTTAAGTTCCGGGATACATATGTAGGACGTGCAGGTTGGTTACGTAGATAAATGTGCACCATGGTGGTTTGTTGCACAGATCAACCCATCACCTAGGTATTAAGCCCCTTATGCATTAGCTATTTATCTTGATGCTCTCTCTTCCCCATCCCCCACTGCCTGCCCCCCACAGGCCCCAGTGTGTGTTGCTCCCCCTCCCTGAATGACACCTTTTTTGACTCAACAGGATTCTACAGCTTTGTCACTCATCTCTCTTCTGAGACGCAGCTCCTTTTGGCTTTTTAGTGTTTCCATTTGCTGCAGAAGCTTTCTCTTCTGTTTTTCATTTTAGCACATCCGTACGTATTTTTAGATTTTTGAAAGTTTCAAAGAATTGAGGTATTTATCTCCCTAGCACCTAGTACAGTACCTAGCATAAAACAGGCATCTAAACAAATTCCTGGTGGATACATGAAACAAGCGAACGGGGATTTTTTTGCAGCACTGTGCTAGCTTTTAAAAATTAAGTTGAATCATCTGGACAAACTCTGGGATAATTGGCTGGCCAGAAAGGGAAGAGAGAAGATAGAGCTAGTGGGAAATGTGGTACAGACAGATGAAAAGGAAGAGTACTGAAGTCTCTGTCCCCTTGGGCCTGTGGTAAAATGTAGTCTCACTTAATGCTAAGAACAAATTAATTGACTGCCTCCTGCTGGGTGAGGTTTAGCTGGAGAGAGAATAAAGAAAGAAAGAATGGTAGGATTGTCATTTCTGGCTGGTGGTTAGATGGATAGGCTGTTCCAAAGGCCAAGCTTCAGTGCCTAGTAACAGTTACATACCAAAGGGGCTGCTTGGAGGCATGTCAGTGGTGGCAGCACCAGTGACTCAACCATGCAGGCACAGGGCTGGTAGAACAGGGTATAGGGTGTTTTGGTCTTCTATCCTTACATCACAAACTACTCCAAAACTTAGTGGCTTAAAACAGCCATATATTATTTCTCATGTTTTGAGAGGCCTACTAGACTCAACTGGGTGGCTCTTACTTGGGTTCTCTCATGCTGGAGTTATCTGACAGCTCAACGGACTGGGCATGCAAAATGGCTCATTCACATGGCTACAACTGATACAGGCTGTTGGCTGTAAGTTCAGCTGGGGGCTGTCAACTGGAGGGCTTCCTTCTGGCCCCTTGCCATGTCTTAAGTTTTTCATAGTTCGGTGGCTGGGTTCCTAGGAGAAGTATCAAGATTGAGTGATCCAAGATATAGGAAGTAGAAGCTGCTAGTCCTCTTAAAGGAAAGGCAAAGAATTGTCCCTTTTGCTATATTCTATTGGTCAAAACTATCACAGGTCAGCCCAGATTTTAGCAGATGGAAGATAGACTTCACTTCTTAATTGGGGTGGGGCGGGGGGCAGTGGAAAGAGCATAGAGGGAGGGAAGAAATTGACGCCAGCCTGCTTTGAAGACAAACTACCACATGGGTTGTCTCCAGAAAGTACCACCTTGATACAGCAAGGGTCCCACTGAATGGACTGAAACTGACTGCCAGAAAATGGAATAGTTATGAAGAAAAATTAATACATAAATTTAAATAAGCCCATTTGTTAAAAACAAAAAAACTCAAATCTGCCTTCTCTCCTTCCCAATGTTGCTCCCCACTCCCCAAACATACACCTGGAGGCAGAATGAGGTAGGTCAGAATTCCAGCAAACCAGCTGGTGGAGCTGAGCTGGAAGTAATGGACTTATGTCATTGTCTTATTATTTGACTATTCCCTCAGGCTGGTATAGCCTGGAAAATTACTTGCTGCACATAAGAATGCAGACTTAAAGGACTACGATTTACCATCATCAAGGCAATTCAAAAGAATGTACTAGAGGTTTGAAGACAATTTCCAGAGAGACATGCATTCTCAGAATGTTTTCAGTAATGTCAAAATCATTGGAATAAGGGGCTGAACTCCTCCCTGGGGGACCATGCTCATTAAGATGTATGTGCTCAGGACTGTTAAAATTCCAACTCATTACCTGATAGTTGTACCTTATGCACTTGGATACCTCTAAAATGCTTCTGGCCCTTCCATTTCAGTTATAACAACCAACTGACAGTCTCCTATACCTTTGAGAGGCCTTAACAGAATATTGCTTTAGCAAAGTTATAAAGGAAAAGGACAAAACTCAAGAAGTAAGTACTATTGATAATCCTTTCTGTTCATTTTCTTTGAAGTAATCTAGGATGCATGCGGAATGAATTCTTCCCAGCTTTGGGGTCAGTGCTCAAGTCTTCATTCATTCTTTTTTCTCATTAATTTGAACATTCCATCCGTGAAAAAAGATAATTCAATCTCAAGAACAATTCCAGAGCCGAAGCCAACAGTGTCTTGGAGGCAATGTCAACCAACATTCATTAATAACTAACATTTGTTCTTCAGGCTGTAACCCAAGCATCCCTTCCACTGGATGCTTCCTCTAATCCCTCTTTCCTGTGGTGGAGTCAAATCATTCCCATCACCATGCTCCCTTTCCTCTTCTATGAAATCATTTAACTCTTCCCTCACCCCCAACTTCTCTCTCCCTAAATTTTGAGCAGCTTGAGGTCAGGGACTATATTGCATTTATCTTTGATGCCAAGTTGGGCCTGCAGTCATAAAGGCTCAACTAGAGATTGAGGACCCATTTCCAAAATGTCACGTTCATATGACTGCCGAGTTGATACTGAATGCTGACAGAAGGCCTCAGGTCCTCAACAAATCGACTTCTCCATAGACAGCTTGAGTGTCCTTACAGCATGGCAGCTGGCTTTTCCCAAAGTGAGTCATGTGTAAAAACAAGGCAAGCGTCACAAAGTCTTTTATGACCCAGCCTCGCAAGTTTTTTCATCATTTCTGAGATATCATATTGGTGACATCCCTGTTCAGCGTGGGAACAGACTATGCAAGGAAAGACTCTTTGTGGACTAATTTGGAGGCTGGACACCAAAGGTGGCATAATTTTCAAGAGCCATTTATGGTAAAAGTTTGTTAGCGGAACAGACAAGTTTCCTGCTTTTATAGAGCTCATGTTCAAGGTGAGAGGAGACAAAAACAACGAAGCGAATTAGTTGAGAATTTCTTCCAGTGTTGAATGTTCTAAAGAAAACTAAGCAGGTAAGGTGAGGTGAACAAGGGTACTATTCTGTAATGGATGGTCAGGGAAGGCCTCTCGGGGAAGGTGACATGAATTAGGATATGAATGAAGAGAAAAGATTAGTCCTGCAAAGATTCAGGAAAGAGTGTCCCAGACAGGAGGAAGAAGAGCCAAGGTCCTGAGCATGTATGATGTATTCAAGGAATGGGCAAAGTAGCAGGCTAAGCACAGAAGAAAGTAGTAGGAAACAAAGTCAGGGGTGTGGCAGGGGCCAGAACAAAGAAGCTTGTAGGACAGAGTAAAGAATTTGGACTGTATTCTAAGCGTATTGAGAAGCCATTGGATAGTGTTAAGCACGTAAATGACATGATCTGATTTACATTTTCTATAAACCACTTTAAGAGGGAGATCCTTTATGAGGCAATTGTAATAATTCTACAAGACATTAGTTTGCACTAGGACTGCAGCAGAAGTGATGGGAAGGTGGTAAAATCAGCACATATTTTATGCTGGATTCCTAGACGCATCCAAGATTGAGTGATCCAGGAAGTAGAAGCTGCCAGTCCTCTTAAAGGAAAGGCACAGAATTGGTACAATGTATCTTTTGCTATATTCTGTTGGTCAAAGCAATTACAGGTCAGTCCAGATTTTAGCAGATGGAAGATAGACTTTACTTCTTAATGGGGGGTAGTGGGTTGTGGAAAGAGCATAGAGGATGGTTGTAACAGAGAAGAATCAATGATAAATCTACAGTTTTTAATTCGACAAATAGGATGGTGCTGCCATTTACAAAATGGGAAAGACTGGTAGATTATCAAGTTTTGAGAGGGGAAAATCAAGAGTTCTCTTTTGGACATGCTGATTGGAGGTGCCTATAGGTTATCTAGGTGAAGTCAAGTAAGATGTGAGATAGATCTGTATAGAGAACAGAGGACATAATCTAAGCCTGGTGTGCATCTTCATGTGCACAAATTAAGAGAAATCTTGGTTGTATGATTTCAGAAGAGAGAGAGTGCATATTCCCACTGGGCATATTATGAAGGATTCATGGAGGAGGTGGTGGCATTGGGGCTACCCTTTCAAAGGGAATTTGCCAGTGGGAATCATGGAGGAAAGTTTAAAGACCAGAGGAACAATTTTCAGGGAAGTAAGAAGGCCAGTTAGGAGACTTACAGTAGTGGATTTGAGGGCTGATAATGGAAGGGACAGTGATGGACAGCTGGAATGAGAAGGAAAACATATATTCCATGCACCTTACAAAGGCAGTTGAAAATAACATGAAAGTTGATTAGGCTGAAAAGAAGAGGGAAGAATCAAAGAAGACAGAAGCTTTGAAGTGAAGAACAGTGTTATGTTAGGGAGATGATTTGGGTTTTTTTTTCTGTGGAGGGAAGGGATGAGGAGAAGAAGTGGCTGGGGAAAATGAGGAGTCTACAATGCCAGCAAGATACCGAAATGGAAATGCCCACTTCTGCTACTCCAGAAACAGGATTGGAAATACAAGCTAGGGCTTTTGCTACCTGAAAATGTTCCTGAAGGTTAGAGGAAAAGACATGGTTAAGAGAGGAAGAGAAGAAGAATAGCGCTTCCCTAGGCTAGTTCAGGTGGGCACGGCCAGTCACTCAACTCCACAGACCACAGGCAGCTCTCAAGGCTGATCCTTTTGGCTCTCTACTCCCTGGGGCTCATGACTCACTTATTCTCTCTTAGCACATAGAAGGTGCTCAATATGGAATAAATTTCCGTGAGAAGTGACTATCATTCTGCAGCTGCAACTGACACTGGCGTCCCCTATATTCTGCTGTGGCTTCTACCATTGTCACTCCTGAAGCTGGGCAGCTCCTTGCTACTCCTGGAGACCCCAGCATTGCCCTTTGCACTCCTCGGAGGCTTCTCCTTCTATCATTGCTGCTTCTCACAGGGGGTATGGATTCTCTCTGAGCTGCCTCCCCCTGCCTGGGTGGGGGTGGAGATGCTAGCTGTTTAATTTAGACCCTAACTCTCTCTCATCTTTTGTGGTTTGTTACTTGTCCTAGTCCTCTATGCATTGGGCATGTGGGGGCAAGAAGGGGGCTCCACAAGTTAAGTTGAAGGAGAGAGGCCTAATGTCATGCTGGGCACACTGGGCACCTTGGTTCCTCCCCAGGTACATTAAAATGAGGCATGTGCATTAAATGTTTATGTTTGGGTGGGGAAGATTTATCCTTAGCAACCCCACACATTTCTCTTACTTACATAAAAATGAAAAAGAAAATGCTTTAGCAGGAAACTACCCCTCAGCGTCAAAAGATACTGGAGTGAATAAGACAAATTCATGGAATGTTTTACTTTAGGGAGTTGGTCTGGGCATTAAGATATTGCAGCCCCTGCCTCAGACATGGGTTAGCTCCTCAACAGACATGACTTGTTATAATGTAGTATCTGTCACAGTGTGACTTGATTTGCCCCTGGGAAAGTGACTGGACTGTCACATCACACCCTACAAGTTAAAACTGCTCATGTTTCTTGGTTCTGACCCAGGGCCAGTGAAGCCTTCCTTTTCAGCAACGTCAAGATGGGAGTTTGAGGGATCGCTCTGTCCTTTCTCATGAATTCCCATGTCAGTTTCCTCAGGGGACAAAGCAAAGGCTTTGTATGAGTTGCTGTTTAGGTTCTAGTCCCTAAGCATGTCCCGCTCCTCATTTTTTCTTCCTGTTGGACTGCTGTGCAAGCCGTCTACTGTGAGCCTTATCAGATGATGCATCTCTGTTTTTAGTTCTGCAGAACAACTTGTCCTCCTCTCCAACAGCATCTGAGCATTCAAATCAGGGGGGCAAAAACGTATCTTTCCCATTTTTGTTTTGAGACATCAGGGACTTGCGTTCTTTAGTGAATTCTCCTGCATCTTGCATGACCAAGTCCTCACTGGTAAGCTCCACTTTCTGTTTTTCCTCAGGCCTCACAACTCCTGCTCCCTCTCCTGTAGTCAAAGGTTAATATCCAGTTCTCTGGGAAAGAAAAATGCCATCTTTCCCTGCTCACCACTCTGTGTTAAGTTTCTGAGCAGAGTTGGGCCAGATCCCATCCACAATAAGGGGAGATGGAGGAACCCTGTAATAGTTTGCTGGAATTGCCATAACAAAGTACAACCAACCAAGTGACCCAAACAACCGAAATTTATTTCACACAGTTCTGGAAGCTGGAAATCTGAGTTCAAGATGTTGGCAAGGTTGGTTCCTTCCGAAGGGAAGGATCTGTTCCAGGACTGTTTTTGGCTTATGGATGGACATCTTCTCTCTTCACACTCTCTTCCCTCTGTCTATGCCTCTGTGTCCAAATTCCTACTCCTCATAAGGACACTAGTCACACTGGATTAGAACCCACCCTAATGAGCCCTAAGCCCTTACTTTAACTTAATTACCTTTTTAAAGGCAATTACAAATACAGCCACAATGTGAGATACTAGGGGTTAAGATCTCAGCAGATGAATTTTTTGTAAGGGGATGGGAAGGGGTACAATCCATGCATAACAGATCCACACTAGACTCTTGAGGCTGGATCTGGGGCCAGGCTGAGTGAGCCCTGCTTTAGCAATGACCCCATCTCCGAAGCCTACAGTTCATGCCCCTACTGCTCTCCTGCTGCCACAGCAACTTCTTGCACCCACTTGCCTGTCCAGGAGTTGCCTTCCCACTGGGGAAAAGCTCATGACGCTTGTGCCTCTTTCAACTCTGAAAGGTGGATTATGTCTCAAATCCCTGGGATAATTACCGCTCCTTTACAGTCATTGGAGGAAGAAGTAAAAAAGGTGAGAAAAAGCCCATGAAAGGGCATGATGTCACATCTCTTCTGGGCTGTTCTTTCTTTTTTACTTACTCATTGGACTACACTGAAGACAGGGGGTGACAGCATGTGGCTTGTGCCTTTTGCCTGAGTTCAAATCCCCTTCTTAATGAAGCCGTCCCTGTCTATCTCCCACCCACACTCCCACCCTGGCAGAAAAATCCACTTTCTCCTCTGGATTCTTGCATTCCTTATACATGCATTTACTTGAACACTGACCATATCACTATGATGATTTATGTATCTGTCTATCAGTGTACACCTTGTCCGTGAGAAGAACAATCTCTGTGTCCCTGGCATCAAGCACCCATGACACATTTATCCAATGTTGAATGACTAAGAGTGAACAATGGTCCGTGTATCTAAGAAGGTGTTAGTACTAATACAGTACAGCCGTGGTAGAAAGCCCAGTCACTATGTGTGTAACTTCGGGTCCTCCAAGAAGCAGACACCAAGACAGGGATTTAGACACATAAGAGGTTTACTGAGGGAAGTGTATGTGGGAGAGAAAAGGTTGAAAGGAAGATGAGCAGAATACACAGGGAGAGGGAGGGGAGGACAGAAGGGGAACAAGGTAGGAGAAAGTCGCAGGCTGTAGCACAATTCCCAGGAGCTGCTGCCAGGCTGATGGGAAGTCTTTGAGCTAAAGTCGTTGCTGGAGGAGTCCTAGCTCTCAATGAATGAGCTTGTGTTGGCATCCATACCACGCTCCATCAATGGCCTGGAGCAGCCCACAGGAAGCATGGCCTTGGGTCAAGCAGAGTAACATGGTGAGAATGTGGATGTGAACTTAGAGTTTGGCATCTGGGGTAATCAGCCAGCTACTCTCCATCACTCTCCCTGAAGCAAGGGGTCTGAGTGTTACCAATTCATGGCAGCCACAGTACAGAATACTAATAATAGCAATAATTAATAATAATAATTAGCACTTACCAATATGATGCTACGTGTTTTCTATGTATGATCTCATCACCGCTCACAACAACACTAAGAGGTAACCCATTTGACAAATAAGGAAATGCAAGCATAAGGGTTTCTCCCTCCAGAGCTCTCTCCACTGAGCTGGCCAGAACCCAGTTGGCATCCATGTCACTCAGCTATCTGATGCCAGGAATAAACAGGGGATGGCAAATGCCTACTGTCAGCCTCAGCCTGCCGCCAGCAGCAACTCAGTGGCTCTGCTAGCCTCTGGACTCACACCACCCTTCCATGGCTCAGCGTAGGCCTGAGCCTGTGCCTACATCCTTGCGCACATTTTGTGCGGTCCTCAGAAATGTGCCTTCTGAGGTCCGCCGATAGGGAGAGTGTGCGCTGCTGCCTGCGCTAACAGGATTGAGCTTTATATGACAGGAAGACTAATATGGGCCCTGAGCCATGTGCTGCTGGAGAGGAGTGTGGATGCTCTTTGTTAAGCTCCTGGGGTCTGGAAGGAAGCAGCTATGCTCTTGTTTAATTCCATATGAGCAGCTTTTTTATTTTTACAAATAGTCCTCTTGCTGTTAGGGAGTGAGTGAGCGACATAAATCATCATCATGTATTTGGCAGCCAGGATTTCTTGGGCATGGTCCTCATTAAAGTCTTTAGTTGCAGGGTTCCTGGAGAACTTCCTTTGATATCTAAAAACATCAAACTGAAAAGGCCGTGGTTATGAGGAGGAGGAGGAGGAGGAGGAGGAGGAGGAAAGGGGGTGGAGAAGAGGGGGCGGAAGCTCACGAGGACCCCAGAATTGCTATTGGGAAACAGCAAGGCAAAACTAGGACTATTATTCACAGTTACAAAAAAAAAAAAAAATCAGGAGCAGGAGCAGCAGGAGCTATAAAACCACCCTGCTGAACAGAATCCAATATGCCGAGACAAAGAGAGAAAGCGGCACAGGCCAGGCGGGAAGGGTGGGTTCTTTAGGTGATTCACAAAAAAGGGAAAGTTCTCTGAGCCTTTCCCTCCCCAGACCTCAGCCCAGCAGGCCCTGGCCGTCAATGAACTAACCTTTTCCTAAGGCCTTGTCTCCCTGCTGGGCGGGAATCCAATCCCCGGGCAAAGGTCACTGAAAATACCATCACGCTGTTGGCAGTGGCTGTTCATTCACAAAATGAGCCCCTTTGTGATAAAAGCGGGGAGAGCAGACCCGAGGCTTGTGTGCATTCCAAGCCGATGGAGGAGAGCTGCCAACGCGCTCGTCAGTGGGAGCACATGCGGCTCACTTTACACGATTGATGTGGCCCTGCAGAACCATGTACATCGAATTCCTATAAATCAAATCGCATTTTAAATGCACCAGGGGAGCCGGCCATTTAAAGGAACCCTGCAGTGAATCCTTTTGAAAAGTGAAAAATCACTGCTGAATTGATCTATTTTGCCACGAAGTAACAAATATTTACTGAGTGCTTATAATGTACCATGCAAAGTACTAGGCGCGGTGAGCGTTTCTTAAAATGGAGTGTCCCTGAGCCAGGGAAGAGCCCTTGGAGAGGGTTGTTTTGGGTTTTGGTTAAACCAGGATGAGCTAAGTACAGAAGCAGGAGGAGAGACTCCAGCTGGAGCCATATCCTCATGTCACGGCTAAAGGATCCACCAGTTGGTCTCCCTCTGGATAACCAGGCGATATTTCTCATTCATGATGACAAGCAATGCTTAGTGTCTTTTTAAGATCCGAAGGAGGTTATGGCCAGAGGCCCAGGGAAAAGGCCAGGCCCTCCTACCAGGGCATACAACCTGAGTCAGTGTCTGAATCAATATCCACCAGTACTGGCAATCAACTCTTTCTGTGGTTCTTTCTAGGAAACTCACTGCCAAGCTTATTCTTTCTGGGCTCCTATATATTGTTTGGTATACATAGAAAGAGATTTGCATATAACTTGAGTTAATCATATCTGCAAGACATATATAAGTTGTAGCCTCTAACATTTGGGAAATGCATCGTGCTTGAAAACACCTTCAAAAGAGACCCTAAGATAATTGAGGCTGTGGAAAAACAAAACCAAACAAAAGCATTTTCCTGGAATGAACCTGGGCAGACTCAGGTATGAGACTGCCAGCATTGGAATCCCAGATCTATCATGTTATTATATGACCTCAAGTAAGTTATTTATCAGCTTCATATTTTAGTTTGCTTACCTGTAAGATGGGGATAAATAATAGAACCTACCTCAGAAAATATTTGTAAGGATTAAATCAAAAGTGATTTTACGTCTAAAGGCTTAGTACATGCTCAATAAATGTTCATTATCATGACTTTGTAGTTCATTTAAAAAGTAAAACCCTAGGCATACGCTGCATAGTTTTAGAAGTCTGACTGTTTGGTAGGAGCTGGTTGTCAATTGGATGAAGCATCATAAAGGAGGGACAATACGTGCACTAAAATGTTGCCATTGTTTGACTTTATATGTCTCCAAAGGAAAATGAACTCTGTGCAATCCAAGCAGTGTTTTTGCAGACACTATTTAGAGAAGCATCTTTGGCATTTAGAATGGAAAAGGGATCTTTTAAAAAGATCACCTGGTCTAAACTCTTAACTTCATAATGAGGAAAAACAAAACAAAACAAAAAAACCAGAAGTAAGAGATTTAGCCAGGGTATACATCTTGGCTAAAATAATAATAATAATAATGTCTATGACCTTCCAATCCAGGATGCTTCCTGGTTTTAAAAAGGGTTTTCTCCAAAGCTAGAATAAGATGCAATGTGCTTCATCAGATCACCTTTCTTTCCTTTGGTAAGTATCTAGGTTATGAGTAGAAACTGTCAACAATCCCTCTAGATACAATCGGTGGGCAGGGCAGGAAATAATATACTGTCTCCAGGAAGAGAGAGAAAATAGATAGGTAACAGGTTTCGTGATAGGGTTCTTGTTTTTAGGGGTGAAAGTTTGTTTCAAAGTTCTAAGGAGAACTTTGATGTTAACAGTCCTCATCTGACAAAATCGGTAAAGAATACAATGAGATGTTGGTGTTCCGCTGACACAGTGTTGGTGTTTCCCACACATGGAGGAAACTTGTCGCTGGACAAACGTAGATAACATTCAAGGCACCACCCCACCCAGCCAGGAATCAGAGCAGGACAACCGGCAACAGCACACCAGTTCTACTCACATGGACCATTACAGAGGGGGGATTGTTACTACTCAACCTGAACCTCTTACCATGAGCAGAGAAGATTTAGTGGCAATAAATCCACATTGGCCAAGCAATTGTGGATTTATCATGAACAGAAAGAATTTTTTTTTTTTTTTTTTTTACCTATAGCAACTCTGTAGGCTGCACATGCTCCCCAGATGCCGTCTTCTTAAATGTTCTTTATTAAAACAGAATGTACTGAGATAATGTCTCTTGGAAACCTCTCAGGCAAAGCACAGATCGCAGGGAATTCCCAGAGACCTTCCCTTGCATCTGGATTGAATCCACGATGCCTTGAGGAATCTCCCTTCCTCTCCAGGTCTTCTAAAACATGTCATCCCCAGCACTGAAGCAGAGACTTGAGCTCATTTATAACCAATGACAAGGTCATCTCTGGGCTGGGGCTCCCACCCGCATTTTCTTCCAGAGCATGCCTCCATCTGAAAGTCTTTCTCATCCAACGCCCCATGAGCTCCATTGGAAAAGTGTCCCAGCTACATTTAACTGTGCTTGAAAGTTAAAGTCACAGCATTCAAGGTACAGTCAGCCCACCACATTCACGTGTTCCCTATCTGCAGATTCAACCAATTGCAGATGGAAAATATTCATAAACAAAAAAAGCAAAACAATAAAAAATACAAATAAAAACAATATAACACAACAATTACTTTACATAGCATTCACGAGATGATTTAACGTATACTGGAGGATGTGCCTAGGTGATATGGAAATACTGCACCATTTTGTATCTGGGACTTGAACATCTACAGATTTTGGTATCTGCAGGGTGTCCTGGAACCAATCCTCTGCAGATACTGAGGGGCGACTGCATACACCAAATTGAACAATAGACAAAATGATGTCTCCAGTCAAAATAGAAAAAAACAAGGCTTGGACAACCCGGCCCCAGAGCCAGACAAAATCAGAATACAGATGCCAACATGAAGAGTTAGACTGGCAAAAAGTGCAATTCAAAAGTATAAGTGACAAAAATTCAAAGGCAGTTGGAAATGCTGCAGAAGGCAAGGAAGAAAGCAGTGCATCTTCCCTCGTGGGGGCACTAGGAGGTGACCAGCATAAGAGTTGAGACAGAGAAATAACTGAACTGAGTTTATCTCCCTCTGCAGAATAACCCATGTGGGAAGCTTGAAAAGTGAGAAAAGGCTGAGGAAAGCAGCTATGTATCGGATGGATGTGCTGTGTCAGGGAGACACTGTTGGAGAGTGAAAAATGTGGCTGTGAAATTCTTAGGGTTGATATTCAAAGAATGAAAATCATAGGCCAAGCTCCAGAGGGATATGTCTGACCTTGGTACTAGCAGGAAGCAGGAGAGCAAATCTTGCTGAGGTGCCCAGAGGAATCCTAACTTCCCGCAGAAGCATGAATGTCCATGGATTGAATGCCAGACTCTACATCCGAAGAAAACCAGACCCAGACCTACACTGGATGGCCACGTGGCACTTCTCTATGTTTTTGCCTTTGTCTCCACCCTGCCCTTTGGAAAGTCAAGGAGCGCAATGGCCAAGTGACCAGGGACTCGGTGCCTCCTTGCAGAAGACAGTGACCCAGTGGAGAAAAACAAATCATAAGGCTCTCAAATCCTAAGAAGGGGCTTTGATGTCAAACGGATGGATGCAATGCAGGGAGGAGATGAAAATGAGGAGAACATCTGGAAACATCAGTGGACCACAAGCTTTTGAAAAGTAAAGGTGGTGTCTTTCTCATTTTCATATACCTTTGCCTCTCCTGGCTTTCCTGCTTTGCGAGGAGCTGCTAAATCTAATGTCATGGAGGGACACTGTATATGGGTCTTGTCTAGGGTTGGAAGTTATTTTTGCATTTACCAGTCAGTGGCTTCAGGCAAGCCTGTTTGAATCTGTGTTTCAACTTTCTCATCTGCAAGGTAAAAAACCATGTCCACTGCACAGAGGTGTGGTGGGAATGATAAGTAAAGACTTTTATTTATAGTGTTGGCTCATTGCCTGGCACAGATAAAACTCGACATCCTCTTTCTCTTCATCATTGCCATCTTCCTCCTAGTTCTCCCTCAAGCCCATCATGGATATGTGTTTCAGGCAGGAACTGATATTTCTACCCAAGAAGAGGGGCAAGCAATGTCTTCCGCCTATTCCTTATGTAATAACAGCAATAATGACTAAGTACCTGTGTGTCTGCTCTGCTGAGTTCTAGAAGGAACTCCTCCCAGACTGCTAATGTGTGAAATTGCCACCCCATCTCCCCACTCTTGCCTTGCCCTCTCTCTGTGCAGTGTTCTGTGCAGTTGCCTGGGAACCCTGCCCCTGTCTACACACACCAGGACAGGCAGAGAAGGCGAAGGAAAGAAAGAGCAGGAAAGTACCAAAAAGTGTAATCCCCGACACCAGCCTTTTCCACCCTCATGGCAGAGGCTCTCATCTCTACAGCCCAGGCCTCAGCTTCCCTCATGGCCCCTTGATTCCGGCACACCCCACCCACTCCTGTGAGGAAACACCAGAAAGAAAATCGAGTCTGGGTTTTCCCCAACCAGTCTTGTAGGCGACTTCAGGCCTTCACATCTCCAGAGTGCCATTATTATCTCTAGGGGAGTAATTCTCCTTGCCTAGGTGGTCTAAGGGAAAAAGGAGGAAACAGGGTGAAGGGGAAGGCTTCTTATGCCTTGCCTGTTTCCTGTTTTTGTTGAGATACAGACCCTTAGAAAGCCTCCCTGTGCTCAGGGAGGTGAGAATATGAGACTGACTTCTGTTTCCCCTCCTCTCAGAGTGCGGCGAGGCCATGTCGAGGATGCCTGTCCGAAGCAACAGGTGGAGGCTGTGTAAAGAGGAGCAGGCAGTTCATTCCTTGTGGTTCCAAGGGGAAAGGGGAGCTGAAGGCTAGGGCTGAAGCAGGGAATTCGCATTAATGAGGTTCTCCTCACCCCTCCCGACCAGCTTTGTCCTGTTGGCATTCTTACCCAAATCCCTCAGAGTCTGGGCTCGTGGCTCCTGAGCTGGCAGAGCCCCCAGGCTGACTGTGCCGCTAGAAGCATCACGAAAACAGAGAGAAAGTGCTTGTCTCGCTGTCTGGGCCAAGGCTGGAAGGCAGTGTAGGGCTGGGGAGGAGGGATTATGGGTCGCCTTCTGCCCAGGCTGAACTCAGGAAGGTATTTGCCAAGGCGATGCTGGGAGTCATGGTAATCAGGCTCCATAGCCTAGATCCTGAGAGCACCAGCCTGGAAACCCAAGCATGCTTGACACAGCACATGCTCTTGAGATCAAAGAAAACCCAGAAATCTGTGAAAGGGCATGTTTTCTATCCTGTTGATTCTAGTGACTTAATCAGATGGAGAGGAGGACCAATCCACAGAGTTTTAGGAAAACAAAGACTCAAGGGAGGAATGCCTCTTATAAGAGTTTGACATAGCCACAGTTATACTTCCAAGAATCTCTCCTAAGTCAATAATCAGAAATGCATAAAAATGAATATAAAAGATCATCCACAGACCATTGTCTAAAGAGAGAAAAACTGGAAGCAACCTAGTTTATCAATGGGGCAGGATCAGGTTAGTCTTGGTATGTTTGAACAATGAGGCATTATTCAGTCAATCTGCAGAAAAATGTTTAATAACACAGAGAAATGCCTAGAATGTATTAATAAAAAGTAGGATACAAAGCTATATGTTTAGTATGATCTCAATTATGTAGATATTTACACGTAAAAGACCAGAAAAAAATACAGGAAAATATTCACAGTGATTTTCTCTGGGGCATATGGATTAGGACTGATTTTTTTCATCTTTATATGATCCTGTATTTTAAGATTTCCTATGATTAGCACATTTAATTTTTCCAATTATAAATGTGTTTTAATTTCTAATTAAATAATGATAAAATTTTTTTAAGACTGAGAAAAGTCCCTTTTTGATGACCAGATGGGGCTTCATTATTTCTTCCTTCAATGACCAATCTGCCAAGAAAACAGGGGCAAGTCATTGAACTCCCTCTGTAAAAATAAACAGCATTGGCTTTAAATTTTGTAACTTAATTACTTTTAAGGTCTGTATCTGAGTTCTGCTGCCATGAGAAAACCCCGTGATTTCCACCCCCTACAAAGAGTTAGCACTGAGGTCATTTCTAAACCTCCTTTATCCAGGTACTTGGACAGCTGAGGTCATGTGAGTATTAATATTTATCTGAAGTTATGTGACTTCCAGAGAAAGTGCTAAGAGCACCTCTGCAACCTTGAGAAACTCCCTTTGGGCATCAGGACAGCCTCTGTCAGTAAACAGCATGCTCTTCAGGAAACCAGCAGTTCCAGAACTCTGAAGGACCCCAGCATTGATACCAACAGCAGACACTATTCGTGCTTCTTTTTTCAATCTGAAAGGACCAAGATTGTTATTATTTTTAAATCCCTCTCTCCTTTCTTTGTCCTGGCCCTTCTTAGGGCCACCTCACCTACCTCCTTCCAATGTGGTACCAGTAAAATATAGATCTCCAGATAAATTTGAGTTTCAGATGAACAATGAGTAAAATTTTTGGTATAAGTATGTCTCAAACATTGCTTGGGACATACTAAAAATTATTCACTGATTATTTAAATTCAGGTTTAACTGGTGTCGTGTATTTTATTTGCTCAACCTGGCAAGCTTCCTCCCCGACAACCTCCTGCCCCCAGACCCTGCTCCCACCCCCATGCCACTCTTGCCATTCTCTAATGTTGAGAAATCACAAGAATAAAATTAAAACCCTTAAGGAAACCAACCAGTTGCCTTATAAACAAAAGAAGACAAAAAATCCCTTTGCTAATCAGGAACTCCCATGACTAGGTATTCAAAACTTTAGACTTCAAGAAGAGGGAGAAATAAGTTCTCACTGGGTCCCTTCTAACAGCTGAAATTACCATTAACATTATTTTGAAAAAAAAAAAGAGTTAGAACCATTCTTTAAAACAACATTAAACAGTGTTGTGATCCAAGCTGGCACATTTTGGATTGCTTTGAATTAATTCTTCTTTTATTAGAGCTGCTTCCCAGCATACAGTTTAGGAATAACCAGTTCTTGCTCACCTGTGCTGCTAAGCGCTAATGCGTCAGCACAGGTATTTCTGCCACAGGACTGACAATAGCCATCCCAGACCACTGATGAGTTTTCTTGCAAAATAGGTAGGCCTGTTCCTGATAAATACTGTTGTTGTTGTTCTTGTTATTAGTAATAATGACATTTTTATCACCTCATGTATGTAAGGCTGTAACAAATCTTCCAGTTACTCTGCACCAAATACACTGGGTTCTTTATAAGTTTTCATTGGACTGAAGAGACTGAACAATGTCACCCGGCCATCCTACTGCCTCTGGAAAGACTGCATTCAAGTCATGCCAGCATGACTTGAGTCTCCTTAGCTGTGCTTTAGTCTCCTCAGTTGTGAAAAGGTCATGGTGAGGATGACATGAGTTAATGTATGTAAATTTCTTAGGACAGCGCCTGGCACAAAGATGAGGTCCACAAGGGTTAGTGATTATTAATATCATCCTTTTACATTACTCTTATAGATTGTCTCAACGTTTCAGAAAACAATACATCAATGTGTATCAAAAATCTTAAAGCTGTTCTTACCATTTGACACAATTATTTATAATTTTGAGAAATCTACCCTAAGAAAATAATTGGAGATGCAGCCACACAGATAGGTACGAAGAAATTTGCCAGACGATATTATTTTTTTGTGGCCAGACACTGGTAGCAGCCTAGAGTTTAACACCAGGGAATGATCAAATAAACAGCGGTATATCAATATGATAGACTATTTGCACAGACATGAAATACCATGTTTTTAAGGAATACTTATTTAATGTCATGGGAAATAATTAGGATTAACTAGAAAAAAAGGATAATAAAAATAGTTTCGTTTCATCCCATAACCTACAGTGACAGACCCTGGTTATGACTACAAGGCAAGAACTATTAGCTATGTCTTTGTTTTTTAGATTGAGTTATACTCAAGATAAGGGGCAGAATCCTTGGCAAATTACATATGTGTATTGAGTCTAATGGAGCAGACAGGAGAAGCACAGATGACTACAAGGACACTAACACGTTCACAAGTCCAAGAGAGGTAACAAGTCAAATGGTGTAGACAGATGGCTAATGGATTTTCCCCGATGCACTGCTCCAATTCAATGAGAATCATTGCCTGCACAATGTGTTCAAAGTGACTCTGAGACTCTGTCCCTGTTCATGAGAAAATGCACTGTGTTCAATTAGTAATGTCTGCTGTGGACTCAGAAGAATGTGCTGGCAACAGGTACATTGTGTATTTGCCATCCTTGGCACTAATGATAATGGCAGCTAAGGAATCAAAGAAAGGTGAATTTATCCAAGAAAGATCTCAAGGAAGATTCCAGATTCTTCATGAAATTAGTCTAGAACCTTTAATTGTAAATATATAACATGTCACACGGAACATGAGCAAATGATTGATTACATTAGGAAGAAAAGCTGGAGACCACGTAGGTTAGCCTGGAGACAGAGAACAGGTGTATAGAACACATTATTCACCACGTTTGTTGGGAAGTCATGAAAAGCCAAGGTTTGGGGAAATCTTTGTCAGGACCAAGGAGAGTGCTGGTAGCAGGAGTCAAGACAAGGACAATTGAACTTTATCTCTTTTAATAATCTCAACTCCTTCGTATGGTAGAAAATGTAGTCCTTATTGTACCAAGAGGAAACCAAGGCACAAAGATTTTAGGGTCACACAGCTAGAAATGTGCAGAGCTCTCTTTAATCACAGGTAGGTCAGATGACAACGACTGGAGTTTTTCTAAGCCTCCACCCACTTCTGTCTGACAATAAGGCACGGCCCACTACCCCTGGATTATGGGAGGATTTTGCCATAGGATAAAATCCAAGGCAGAAACCAGATATCTAAATATTCCTAGTTTGACTATTTCTCTAATTTGCTCTCAACACTATATTTTCTTATCAATGTTATCTGATTTGGCTAAATCAATTAATGATCAATTAATAAGTTTTTAATAGCCACTGAAATAAACAGTGATCTCATTGAATCTTCACAACCATCCTAGACAGAATGCCTAAGAGCACAATGATGGTGGAGAATACCCGGTTTTGTCCACCAAGGTGGGAGGTGAGGTATGTACTGAGAAGGTCAGAGAGAATCCTCCATGCCCGCAGGTACTAAACAAGCCCAGGGTAGACCTGAGGACCTGGCCCAGCTCTAGCTTTTCTCAGTGTGGACTCAGCAGCAGGGTTGCCAAAGGCCAAATCAGATTCAGTAAACACAGACTTCTGCGAAGCAAGTGCTCTTGCTTTCACTCAGTGTCAGCTGGGGGCTGCGTGTGCCTTGAGTACTAAAAAGTTCTGCAGAGAGGCCAAGTGCAGAAATCTGTGCCTGAGATTTTCTGCTTTTACAAGAAGAATGAGCATATGGGGCGCTCAGCCAAGGTCAACCTGGAATTGGAAGGCTGAGTCCAGGCTCAGAGGAGCCAGAGCCAAGGTGGAAAGCTCCAGGCGCTGGGAGGGCAGGGACAGGGGGCTGGAGTAGAAGGCCAAGTGCAGGAATGTTTATTGAAAAGAACCCAGCCCTCACACCTCAGGGATTTGGGAACTGGCCGTCTGCACTTGAGAGCCCTGCCAGATGAGTTCAGCCATTTCCACTTCATAAACGTCTTGGTGCAAAAATGAATGGCAAACCAAGCCATGAATGTGATTTCTAAAAGAAGATTATTGAAAAAAAATCATTCTGCTTTTTCAACTCTCTCTTCTGGTGGTCAGGAGGAGGAAAGGAGGGAGAAAAGTCTCTGGACACTTGCAGACATCCCCATCAGATTCCACAAACTACTATGCAGAACAAGGGAGTGTCATATCTTCTAAGATTTCTCACCAGAAGGAAAAGGCTAAAATCTGAGCCTAAATGAACCTGAGTATGCATCTGGTTGCCAGGAGAGAGCAGCAGGGATAGGAAAGAGGAAGAGCCATCCCTTTGTGAGCCCAAAACAACATGACCCCCAATTGCCCCCGGGTGACAGAACTTCAAGGCTTACATTAGACAAGCAGCTCGGGGAAGAGACATACTGATTACATATCTAATTTTCTGTCACTATCTGCATGACATCACATATGTCACTGTGGTTTTCCAGATTACTCTCGACCCTGTAAAGAAATATTTTCCCTGATGACTCAGTTTGAATTTTTTGTTGGCACGGGTTTCACTTCCTTACTTCCTGTTGGTCTCACTCCTTAGATCTTTGTTGGGGTCTTCAGTGCCTCCCAAACCCCCAATCTACAGGAATTTTTCCAGACTGCAGAGTCTTCTGGCATTTCTCCCTCCTGATCACTCAAAATGATATAAAGCCTCACCAAATGATCTGGCATTGCTGCTTCTGGAGATAGCTATAGCCGAGCTCCCCACACCGCAACCCCTTGATCTTTTTCACTGTGTTCAAAACTAGGCTGAAGTGAAATCATCACAACTGCTCTTTCAAGCTTAAGGAATTTGATAAATGAAGTTGTGTGGGGTCCTGGCAGGCAATACACTTGAGCAAAGCACAGTGATCATCTGCGGACCACTCTTTATCCCTTTATTGTAGACATGTATTCAAGTTAAAATTGCTTTGTTAAACTTTTTTGTGTGTCTCTCTTTTTATATTTCAGCTTTATACAATTATTCCCAAATCTTCTAAACTGACAGTGAGGGAGAGTAATTTGAAAGGACTGCTCAACTCAACGTCATTTGAAGATTTGCACCACAGCTGCATTTTTCCAATTTCCTGGCATCTATTCTGCTCTCCTGGACTTTTCAAAAACAATTGTAAGTGGATGAATAAATATAATAACTGATTCCATTGATACTCTTAGACCATCCTTTGGACTTTCTGCTTTTGGACATTTTACAGTTTAAAATTTATTTATCATCTATCGATGTTTCCCAAAGAAGGACTCAAAGTACACATTGTCAAAGATCTCATGGATCTAATTAAGGACAGGGAACAGGTACAGAATCATACATTGTCTCTACACAGAGGGGATAATTTCTGAAGGAAAGAAGAAAGTAAATTCCTTAATCACCCTTATGATTATAACTACACAATTGAATTTGTTTACTTCATCAGCTTTGGGAATAAAGTAAGGTCCTACACTTTTCAATTTTTCAAAGAAAATGTCCTGTCTTGTTATCAAGAGAGCAAATTTTCTTTTTCCCTCCCTGGGATCCTTTCCCCTCTTGTGATAAATACAACCACTGATGGTAGGTCTGATCCTAACTATCCCAGAGAATTCAGTTTAATCAGCAGAGGAGATTTCGGCTCCTGTACTGTGGGCGGCATCTTCCGGCCTCGCGTCATCCCTGGCGGGCCAGCAGCTTTGCTGCACTCAGTGCCTCAGACATGCATTGTCAACTCCAGTGGAACTGGAGCTGGGTTCTGACACTACCTGCAAAGGTCTGAGGACTCAAGTTCTTCCTTTATAAGCCAAAACCCCTTTCCTTCTGCCATCAGAAATGCTACTTCATTGGATCGGATTTTCACTGAATTAACAGGTTAATTTGGGGAGAATTGATATCTTTTCATATTGAGTCTTCCCATCAAAGAACATGATATGCTTCTGACTTTATTCAGGATTTCTAGCATGTCCTTTAGTTATAATTTTCTTCATATAGGCCTTACCTATTTATTGCTAGATTTGTTGCTATGTACTTTAGAGTTTTTGTTCCTTCTGTGAATAGAGCCTTACTTTCCTTTATTTTCTAATTGAGCATCACTATATACCCCAGATAGCATATATCTGACTACCTTGATGAACTATTTTGCTGGCTCTAAAGGTTTTTTCACTTGCACTTCTTGTGTTTTCCAGATAGATAATGTGCTATTTCCAATAAGCATACATTTCCATTTCTTATATTGTTGCAATGGCTAGGACCTTCACCATAATGTTGCATGATAGCAGCGTAGCTGATATTGCCTTATTTTCACTTTAGGGGTCTGCTTTAGTATTTCACCAGTACACATAGTTTTTATTGTGGTTTTATTGTAGCTACCCTTTATGGAGTTTGAGAGAGAGAGAGAAGTCTTTTTAATCCCAAGTTTGCTAAGATTTCTTACTAGGAAAGATGTTGAATTTTATCAAATGCAAAATCTCATGAAACACAGGGCTTTCATAACGACTCTTGGTAATTCAGAATAAACCTCATTTTGGCCACAGTTTTTTATGCTTTTGCAACCTTTCCAAAATAACTGATATCACAGCAAAATATCAAAATATCTGTAAATAAGTGTACTTCTTGGGAAAAGTGGACCTTTTTCTTATCATGATGGAATTCTGTTTTCAGAGTTTTTAGTGGGGCATGATGCATAAGGAGTGTGACTTATTGTTCTAGATGAAATCCATAACAACAAAATAATATAATATAAAAATATCAAAATCGTGAGTACTAAAACCATTATAGATATCATTTCATGCTCTGATGAAGAGAAGGGCACTTCAAATCCTGCATCTATAAAGCTAATCAATTCCCCTCAATCTGAGTCTTAAAATACTTTTTCCCTTCACAATATAATTTGTCTCTCTCCAACTCCTAACTCCTCAGACCTAGTCTCAGAAAAAGGACCAGCTAGAAAGAAAGATTGTAGTTCTCCTCCATACCCAGGAATCATACTTCACTTAAAACAAACAGTTGGTAAAACTCCAGACCCAAAAGGGATGGAACACTCAACAGCTTCGCCTTTCATGTGGAGAAGAGGGAAATAGGCTGTTGTAGAATGGGGACCAATATTAGCCGATGTCTGGAAATGTCAAAACGATTAGCATGAAATACTAAACTCATGTGAAATCAGGGCTCTAATGGTGTAACTCCTGAATGCTCTCTGTACCATATTGCACACCAGGATTAAGAAAACAGTCCTTGAGTGTTTCACAATAGTGCCCTCTTCACAGCTGACCTTGTGTGCTTTCCAAAGTCCTTAATTCTGCCACTTTCAGCATCCCTGTCTCTGTGGATTTATGATGTGTCACCAATATTATTACTTTCCCTGTTTCCACCCCTTCCACCCCAAATATCGTAGGCATTTTAAGTAACACATTTCCACAGAAGGGCGCTGAAAAGTCAAGAAGCAGAATTTCTCAGCAAGAAGAGCTTGTAGGTAAAGGGGCTCCTCCTCACCCTCTGGCTGGCACTCAGGGGGCTTTGTAGACTATAGGGAAAAATGGAGTAGAGTGAACAAAGACATCCCAAGGGAGACAAAGACACTTAAGGGAGGAGATTGCCCCCCACCATTTCCCAACTTGGTGAGTGCCAACCAGCTCTGGCAGCAAGAGAGCTCCTTGAATTTTGTACACATGATTCCCTTAGCAAGCAAACCAGTGCTCTAACTTCTGGGCCTGTGGGATACCTGGTAGCATGGAAGAGGATTTGTTCATCTGTGCCATCACCAAATCAACCTGTGCAGTGGAGAACCAGCCAGTCCTTCTAGTCCACCATCACCTTTGTGAGAAGTCAAAAACTGACCGATTATGAAATGACTTTCCATGAAAAATTTCCGTTGACCCTTTTGGGAAAGAACTGCTATCGTCATTCTTATCTCTCTCGGATTATATAAATGTGGGGGCTCTTTTTACTCTCTGGATATAAAATAAGTACTTTTTGACTGACTGATTATTCCTCCCTTGCTGATAATGCAAAGTAAAAGTAGGTCAAATGACTGCTGGGCTAATATCCTGCTGTAACCTGATAGATAATCTCAACCAGAAACTCTCTCAATTCTGCATCAGGTTGTGGCCCTTGTGGTGGATGCTAGGGTGCCCAAGCTAGGTCACCAGCCCCTTCAGGACCAAGGCTTTCAGTCCGTCTGCTTCCAGGAGTGTTGATTGCAACATCTCACAGCTGTGTTTCTAAGAATTGCCTTCTGCTGAAGGAAGCTGCCTTGTCCGAGTCTGCAATGTCTCACTGGGGCCAGCTGATATCCAATGCCTGGCCAATGGGGTGGGTACAAAGGTCTGGCTTCCTCATCTCTATGAGGACAAGTCTGAAGGGCCAGTTCAGTTCCAGAATTCCCCATGGGATCCACTGAGGCCTCTGGTGCAAAATGTGTTGCAATTTAGCTTCTCCCTTTGCCCCATTCTGCTTCTTTCACTTGCTCACAGATATTGGTCCTGCAACTGCATGCAAATTTCCATCTCAGAATGGATGCTCCAGGGTACTAAGCATAAACCCCTTCCTCCTCCTGTTGTTTGGTTTCCAATTTCCTGTCTGTTACTCCTTCTTCTTATAACAGATATCTCTATCTATACATACCTATATATCTTGTGTGTGTTTGAATTGCAGGAGTTGCAGGGACATACAGATCCCTTTCATATTTAGTCAATATCCAGTCCAATCAGGGACTGTTTCCAATGATAAAAATCTGACCTGAGATGGCTTAACAGAAAGGCTCACAGACTGGGAAAGCCCAAGAAATAGTCTGGCTTTAGCAGCAGTTTGATCAGGCATTCAAATGATGTCACTGTGACTTATTTCTGTCTCTCTATTTCTTAGTCTGTCACTGCCCTGTTGGCTGAATTCTAAAAGAGCCTGTATCAGTTATCTATTGTCACAATAATGCTGCCTAATCAGCAACCACAAAAATATCAGACGCATTCAACAATGAGCATATATTTCCCATACATCTGCCAGACAGCTGATGTCAACTGGGCTTACTCGACCCTATGGGAGGGCTGGCACGGTGAGACTCTGCTTCACATGAGCACGGAGTGGCTCTGCTTCACATGAGGCTCTTGCTAAGCTTGGCTCCTCAAGGTAGGTTGGGAATTCATCTTAAGGTCTGGCTGACAGGGCAGGAGCTACCCTGAGAGACTCTTCTCATAGCCACCGTAGAAGCTCAAAGAGCAAGCCCAATGGCACCAGCACATTTCACGCTTCTGTTGCGTTACGTCTGCTGGCATCTCATTACCCAATGCAAGTTACATGGATGAACCCAAATTTAGGGACTACTCAGATAGCAAGTCACATGGCCAAGCCCAACATCAGGGCAGTCAAGAGGAAGTGGGTGGGGGGAGGAAGGTAAATATGTAAACAATCATCAAACCTAACAGAGTCCTTCTCCCATTACAGTCCCAAAAGACACAATGTCCTCAGCATTTACCTCTTCCTAACTTCAGGTCTGAGGAGATGAATGCCTGTCTCAAGCCCCAGCCAAAGTCTCCTTGCTCCTCACTGGCCCTGGTACATCCTCAGCCCTCCCTGCACCAATCACTGTGACAAACGGGATCACAGGCACTGACTCCCCAGGCACTGACCAGAGCTGGGGAGGTGGATCACCTCATTCAGATGGCATGGGTTAAATTCCACAGATGAGTCAGAACACAGTTACCAGAATGACAGCCAACACATCTTGGGCTGCAAGAAACCACACGTGTCCACAGTAGAGACCTCATTCTGCCTGCCCCCAACCCTCAGTTCCCCTTCTGCTCTGAATGCTGGAGCTGTTTCTCATTGGCTTGTGTTCATAACACTTCCATTCTTCCCTCGGGGTCTGCCCAGGAGAACCTTGTTGGGACTCCGGGCGCCCGGGCTTAGCCTCCTTGGTGCTTGCCTCTCAGGTTGCCCTCCTCAAATATTCCCGAAATTTCTCTTTCTCTTAGCGTTTTTTCTCCAGATGGCCAATCTCAGGGCATGGATTTCTCTATGGGCCCCTAACCTGGCTCTGCCCCCTGGGGTCAGAGAGCTCGCTGACATCAACCATCTCTTCCCTGCATCATATTGACACCCAGGCACACTCCAGCCTCCCTGACACCCAGGTCTCTGGACTTTTGGCTGCCCTGGGGCCTCGTCCAGGTCTGTTTTATGGGAGAGGGATTTATTTCCTTGATGTTTTAGGGTGGGAAAAGACTTGCTTCCTGGAGATGTGCCAAGAAGGAGGCGATCCACCCAGGAAACAAACAAGAACCTTTTCTCTGTAGTCTTCCCTGCTTCCCCATGTCAAACACTCCCTGCTCCCCCTGAGTAAAAGGAAAGCTGTCAGGATCAAAGGCCTGTATTTGTGATAAACTGCTGCTGGCTGGACTCAAACAGGAAGGACTGTAAGCACTTTAACTCCTTGTTACCCACTGTGTGCTGGCTGCACTCATAAGACTTCTGAAATCACATTTCAATAAATGAAACATCTTTTTATAAGCAGAGAGCCATGCCAATTGGAAGGTTTGAAAGAATGATTAAGGACTCCAAGGGCAACAAACTGCCTTGGAGTATTTCTTGATCTCCTCTGTTGCTTTATAATAGATGATCTAATATATTTGCCCCAGAAGAGAGAAAAGACTAAGAACATGGGTCCTGGAGGCACTCCTTAGCTAGGAGACCTTAACTAAGCAGTAGCCTCTCTCTACCTCTGTTTCTTCATCTGTAAGTTAGAGCTAAGAATTATAGGGCTCATGGTGTAGTTGGGAAGAAAAAGTGAGATACTTTATATGACACATTTACCCCAGTGTCTGGCATATAATACAAAAGTGTCATTAGCTTTCACTGTGGTTATCATCATTACCATTTTCATTATTCCAAAGGAGAAGAGTGGGCAACACCAGGCTTGCTCCCTCCCTTCAAATGCAAAAATGACAAGATGTGCCCAGCATAATCAGGAATCACACAGGCTCAGAGCCCAGGGGCCTTCAGGTTCTATTACATTAGCATGTGACAGGAGCTTTGCTATGCCTCCCAAGACAATAAAATGTGATCATTTTCCGAGGGAAGAATGAGTTACAGCCTAAGATTACTAAGCAATCATGCAGGCAGAACTGGGAGGAAGACTACACCATGGATCAGCCTCAGAACTCTTGTTCCCTAAGTACCTTCTAAGGACTCTGGCTTCATGATACAGCCATGAACAAGAGGGGTTTGCAATTGAATGGAAGAGACAAATACCATAGATACATTGCTAACTCTATGTCTGTCCTGAGGGCTACAGAAATATAAATCAACACTCTGGAAGGATTTTGCAACTCTGCACTTGCTTATGGGTACTTGAAATTCTTCATTGCAGAACTCATTTTACATTACTGCTAACTCAGGGCAGAGTTAAGTAGTTGAGAAAGCACCCAGTGTTTTTGAAATCCTAAATTGTTCCATTAAATTATAAATAAGGATAAGATGAAACTTTGGTAGTTTAGCCCTGGCAACTTCCAAGACATTTCACTTCTTGTCAAATAAATTTTTTTAATTTACTTCCATGGGGTTCCAGCCATTAAACCTTTCTGATACCACCACCATCATTCAATCTCTGAGTCTGGAACTGTTACGAACCATAACACACCAAATGAGGACAGCCACAGTGTCTGAGGAAACCACAGTGAACCACATGTCACTTGTGGTTATTTTCCTAGAGCCAAATTAAGGAGAAACAGGATGGTTTCAAGAAACAAACTGTTAAATTTATGGAGTGAAAAAATATCTTACTTTTAATTATAGTCTAGACTGCCTATCTTGGCAACCATCTCCCCCAACAGAGAGTAATTTGCTGAATGTGGGGTCAGTAAGACAGCAACAAATGAGAGACCACTTGTCTTAGCACCCTGTGAGAAACCCACTTCCTCTCCACTTGCTGAACAAGCCAAGTAGATAGAAAATTAATGAAGGGCAAAATATTGAGATAAGACTCTTATCTAGAAATCCAGTAGAAATGGCAAAATGGCAATAATAGTACTTCAGATTCTTTACTTATTCCTATGATATTTATTTATTTATTTAACTTTTATTTTAAGTTTGGGGTACAAGTGCAGGTTTGTTACATAACTAAACTTGTTTCCTTACTTACTTATGGGGGTTTGTTGTACAGATTATTTCATCACCCTGATATTAAGCCTAGTATGTCCCTATAATATTTAAGTGAAAGTGAGAACTGCCATCATGACTGGACTTAAAATACTGTCAATTGGAATAACATTCTTTGTTGATTGTAAGAAAACCGCTATACTTAAGATCCTCCAATTCTCTCTTGCACCGACCAATTTTAAAATGTTAAAGCATAAAGGGAGTTGATCTATTCAAAGAATTCTGGCAGAAAGTCAGATTCAAAAAACATTGGACACTTCAGCTTTGAGAAATGTAGGCATTGATGAAGAGAAGTAACACAGCTATCAAGAGAGTCTTTCCTCACTAAAAGGCTGGAGGAGGAAGAGGAAACAGAATAAGAAGAAAAAGAGAAAAGGGAGGGGCAACAGAAGAAAAGGGGTGATGAGGAAGGAGAAAACAAGGATTCAAACAGATTAATAATAAAACCACAAAACACCTTTTTAAAATTAATTAATTAATTAAATTGACAAATTATAATTGTATATATTTATGGGGTATAATGTGATGTTTTGATATATATAAAATTATAGAAAGATTAAATCAAAACTATTGAACATATCTATCACCATGACACTTTATCATTTTCTTGTGGTGAGAACATTTAACATCTATTACCGATTTTGAAATATATAATTATTATAAACATGGTCACCATGCTGTACAGTAGATCTCTCTAAAACTTATTCTTCCTGTCTATCTGAAACTTTGTACCCTCTGACCAGCCTCTCCCCTTTTCCCATACCTCCTCAACCCAGAGCCTCTATGAACCACCATTCTACAGTCTGTCTCTGTGAGATCAACTCTTTTAAATTCTACATATAAGTGAAAGCATACAGTATTTGTCTTTCTGTGCAGAGATTACTTCATTTAGCATAATGCCCTCCAGTTTCATCCATGTTGTAAATGGCAGGATTTCCTTCTTTTTAAAGGTTGTATAATATTCCATTGTGTATATATTCCACATTTTCTTCTTTTATTCATCCATTAATGAACACTCGGGTTGCTTCCATATCTTGGCTATTTTGAATAATGTTGAAATGAACATGGAAGTGGAGATATCTCTTCAACATATTGATTTCAATTCCTTTGGGTATGTACCCACACAAAGCACTTCATTTTAATCCATTTTCTTCTATTGTGAAGTTTTTCCTGTTGCCACTAAAACATCCTCTTACAAAGAAAGACCCATGATTTAGAGAGAAAAAAATGAGTAGTAATTTACAATTCAAGGATAATTGAAGGAACATTGATTTGATACCTGCCAGACAGCCATTCAATGCCACAGTGGCAAAAGATAAGACATCTGGTAAGACCCAAAGCTCTTCATTGGTTGCATGGACCCTAAGTGAAAGAGAGCTGTGGTCAGACCTGCCACTAACTTTTTGCAGCCCTGAAGAAAGATAGAGGCACTTATACCTTATAAATAAATATTTTAAAGTTTTAAATCAAGCTCACAGACTCTTACATAAAATAATTTTCTGTTTCACAAATTTATTTCCATAACATTTGACAAATATTGCTTCATAAGAACAAAATTTTAAAATATGGGTAAATATATTTTTTTATGATGAAAAGTCAGTACAATAGCAAAAGAGTAAATTTTTTTGTTATTGGTCAGGTATGGGTATTCTATTGGTGGCCAATGATTTTAAGGTGCATAATAAAATGAAAACATACATAATTCATAATTTATTATGTATGAATTTCATAAAATTGATGGTCTTTACCTTTAAGTAAAATCTGTGTTCAATTGATAGTAATGATATGAAGGATTAAAATATAAGTAAAATCATGTTCAACATCTAGAAAATTTGGACTTTTTCATCAAAATGTATATTAAAGTAAATGTTAAATATAATTCAAATTATCTTTAATTTATAAATTCAAAAGTCACCATTGACATCCAATATTATCTCTTAAATTTAAAAAGCAAAATATAAATTATAATTGATAATAAAGTTTTAAATCATACTTATTTGAGAAAAGCTGAGTTTTTATCTAACTTTTTGAAAATCTTTTTAAAAGCAATTTTCTTAAGCCAGGTGCAGTGGCACACACCTGTAATCCCAGCTACTTGCGAGACTGAGACTGAGTCAGGAGGATCACATAAGCCCAGGAGTTGAGGGCTGCAGTACATTATGATTGTGCTTGTATACAGCCACTGCACTCCAGCCTGGGTAACATAGTGAGATTCCATCTCTAAAAAAAACAAAAATTAAAAAACAACCCACTTTATTGAGATATAAATGATATACAAAACTGCACATATGTAATATATACAGTTGGATGAGCTCAGACATATGCACATGCCCAGGAAATCATCACCATAATCAAGGCAATAAACATATTCATCACCTTTAAAAGTTTCCTTGTGCCCTTTTATTCATTTTTTATTTTGCTTGTTTTTTGTTTTTGTGGTAAGAACACTTCATGTGAGGTCTACATTCTTAACATATTTTAAGAACACAGTACAGTATTGTTAACTGTGGGCACTATGCTTACAGCAGATCTTTAGAACTCATTTATCTTGTATAAAGGAAACTTTATACCCATTAAACAACTCCCCATTCCCCACCTCCACTCCCTACCCCTGGCAATCACCATTCTATTGTCTGCTTCTATGAACTTGATTGTTTTAGATACCTCATATAAGTGGGATCATGCAGTATTTGTCCTTTTGTGACTGGCTTATTTTACTTAGCATAATGCCCTCCAGTTCATGCATGTTGTTGCACATGGCAGGATTTCCCTTTGAATGATATTCTATTGTATGTATATACCACACTTTGTTTATCCATTCATTCACTGATAGAGATTTACGCTGCTTCTATGTCTTTGCTACTGTGAATAATGCTGCATAAACATGGGAGTTCAGATAGTTATTTCAATTAGTTTAGATATATACCCAGAAGAGGGATTGCTGGACAATATGGTAGTTCTAAGTTTAATTTTTTTAGAAACCCCCATAGTGTTTTCCATAGGGGCTATATCATTTTACATTCCACCAACAGCGCACAAGCGTTCCAATTTCTCCACATCCTCTTCAACACTTGTTATCTGTTGTTTTGTCTTGTTTGATCATGGCCATGCTGAGAGGTGTGAGGTGATCTCTTATTGTGGTTTTGATTGGCAATTATCTGAGGGTGGGTGATGTTGAGTAACTTTTTGAAAATCTTAAACCTTATTCAACACTTTTCTAAAAGTAAAATTAATTTTATTAGTTTTATTAGCTAAAACCAATTTTAGCTAATATAGTGTCAATTAATTGCCAATGTAAATAATTAGAGTTTTGTTTTGTGCATTTCAAGTCAAGACATAATACATACAAATTCAACAGAAATATGCATTGTTTAATGGCATAAAATATTCCTCAGCCACCATGTGTAACTGTTGTGAATACACAAAAACTTATAAGCACTTGTGGAACCACCTTTTAGGACACAAAATGAGGCAAGTAAATGGACCCTCAGGGCTATGAAAATGACTTTTCATTAGTCGTAATCAATAGATTATAAATGCATAATCTATTGCACTCATGCCAAGAAAGAAGGATTTGAAAAGTTAGTGAAAATTGTGTTCTCCCTAACCTGGGTGCCACTGCCTCACTCCTTCCTTCATTCAGATGCAGTGTCACCTTCAATCTCAGAAGTAGAAGGAAACACAGACCTTCACAGCATTTGAACCATCAATCATTGTTCACAACAAAGGGAAAAAAATATAGAGAATCCATTTCCTGGGTCCTGAACAGATCATGAGAACAGAATTTGTTTGGGGTGGCAGGTTGTATTGTCAAATACTCAGCATCAGATTCCAAGAGACCAAAGTGCACAGTTATTTGTGATATGTTGGGGCTTCCAAAACCCAGAGCAGGATCATCTTGCCTGGGTATAAGGAAGGTATCAGTTGTGGTTCAACCTCAAGGCAAAACAAAGGAAATTTAGGTTGGATTGTAAAATTGCATATGCTCTATCTATTCTTTTATAGTTCTTTAGACTTTGTTTTTACCTATATATTTTTCCCTACATAATTCTTGCAGTGAATAGTTAATACATGAAATTATGACCACCCAGCATGGAACCTTGGGCCAGTCACTTTTTCTTCTGTTTTCCCATCTGTAAATGGAGACAGATAAACTAACTATATAATTTTTGTCTTAACATTACTAGCTTTTGAGTTGCTATCTTCTTGCTTAATAAGAAGGAAGTTTTAGTGGCGGAAAAGCAAGGGGCTGTAAAGTCAATGAGACCTCATTAGCTCTGTGATTTGCAGCAAGTTATCTCATCTTTCTGGACCTCAGATTTCATAAAATAGAGAAATTTATGACTGCCTTAGAGGATAGTGTTCAGGACTAAATGAAGTAATACGTACTAAGTGCCAAGCAGAGTGCTGTATGCACCAGCAATGTATAGCAAAGCTCACATTTGGAAGAGAAAGCAAGGAGAAATGTGTGCATGTGTTTATGTATGTGTGCACGGTATGCGCATGCCTGTACATACACATTTATTGGAAACACTGAGGACATACAGCATGGGATCTGGGGTGGGAGTGGTGGGGAGTGGCTTGGAACTCATGGAGCTAAATAAGAATTTGCTGATTTCAGAACCTCATTTTGTATTTGGAGAAAATCTCTCTAGAAATTATGGGAGGAACATCTATGTTTCTGAGTAAACTTTTTTTATTGAAATGTAACATGCACGCAGAGAAGTTAACAATTCATAAGCATAAGCATGCAGTTCAAAACATTTTCACTGAGTGAGCACACCTGTCTCAGTTCATTTTGTGCTGCTATAAGAGAATACCACAGACTGGTTAATTCAGAATGAATAGAAATTTATTGGCTCACAGTTCTGGAGGCCAGGAAATCCAAGATTGAGGGGCAGCATCTGGTGAGGTCCTTCTTGCTACACCATCCAAACATGCAATGACAAAGAGGGTAGGGAGAGAGAAAGGGATTTAACTCACTTTTTTTTTTTTAATTTGAGGCACAGTCTCACTCTGTTGCCCAGGTTAGAGTGAAATGATGCAATGATGAATCACTGCAACCTCTGCCCCTGGCTCAAGGGCTCCTTCTGCCTCAGCCTCCCAAGTATCTGGGACTACAGGTGCATGCCATGATGCCCAGATAATTTTTGTATTTTTTTGTAGAGATGGGGTTTTTTTATGTTGCCCAGAGCTCAAGCAATCCACCCACCTTGGCCTCCCAAAGTGCTGGGATTACAGGCATGAGCCATGGTGCAGAGCCACTCCTTTTAATAACAAAACATGCCCTAAACAACAGGATTAATTCATTCATGAGGGTGGAGCCCTCATGTCCTAAATCACTTTTCATTTGGACACACCTTCCAACACTATTGCATTGTGGGTGACATTTCTAATGAACACTTTTGGGGCAACATTTAAACCATAGCAACACCCATGCAACCAGCATCTAATAAAAAAATAGAACATTTTCAGCACTTACACAAGCTCCCCTTGTGACCCCTCCTACCTAGTCACCGACCACTGCAACAGCCCATGTCAAAGCTAACCTCTGATCTGATTTCTATCTCAAAGATTAGCCTATTTTTGAACCTTATATAAGGGAATTGTATAGTATGCACTCTTTTGTGCTTGGCCTGTTTCTCTGAATATTATGTTTCTGAGGTTTATCCATGTTGTTGCGTACAGTTGTAGTTTTTTCATGCTCAGTGTTATATAGTATTTCAGTGTATGAATATCTCTCTATTATATTTATATATAATAATATATAATATAGAGATACATAATAGAGAGATATTCACACACTGAAACATATATATCCCTATATCTCATTCCTCTCTTGTGACTAGAAACATTTTAGTATATATCTTTTGGTGAACGTGCTTGGGGTACACACCTAACAGTGTAGTTGAGTTATAGGGTATGCATGTATTCAACTACTACATATACTGCTGAACAGTTTTCCAAAGTGGCTACCAATTTACACTCCCACCAGCAGCATGGGGAAGTTCAAGGACCTAATTTTAAGATTCTAACTGAGAAAAGGACACCTTTGCTTCTTGTGCTGTTGGTTTTGGTGTTGAATTATAAGTGACTTTTCTTTCATTTCTCCATTTGGCTCTCTATGCCATGTGAAAACACACAAAGCCCTCCCTACAAACCTTCCCACATCCTCTGTTGCAGTGTTTGCCATTGAGTGTGTTTGTGGCAGTGGGCAGGGGAGAGGGGTCCCTCTCCACTTTCCTAAAGTTGAAAGTCCTCTTTGGTGACTGTATTAGTCCATTTTCATGCTGTATTAGTCTGGTGGCCTGTATTAGTCCATTTTCATGCTGCTGATAAAGACATACCTGAGAATGGGTAATTTATAAAGAAAAAGAGGTTTAATGGACTCACAGTTCCACACAGCTGGGAAGGTCTCACAGTCATGGCAGAAGGCAAAAGGAACATCTTTTTCAGATAAACAAACAAACAGAGGATTTACCTTCAAAAGACATTGACCAAAGAAACTTCTAAAGAATGAATGAACTTCAGGAGTAAGAAAATGATCTCAAAAGAAAGACTGAAGAAACAGGAGAGAATTGTGAGCAAAGAAATTAGCAAACATGTAGGCAAGTTGTCATTATCTTTATGTGTAGTTAGTATAATAGTGTTTATTTTGTGAGGGGGAAAAATAACGGAACTAAAAGTGTATTACAAAAATATCCAAGTTGGGAGGAGGATGCTCAATGCTAAAGTACACTAAGTTTGTTGAGTTGCTCCAGATATTGAAAAACCCAGATATTGTTAAGTTCATTACACGTAATAAATTCCAATGGCAACATTTTAAAAAGAGAGGTTATGGCTTTCTAACTAGTAGGACACAATAAGTGAAAAAGCAAAGAAAATCGATTTTTCCAAAAGCATAGCAAAAGCAGAAAAATATAAAGCACAAAGTAAGATAGTTTAAATGAATTTAAATATACCAATAGTCCTAATATTTATACATATATTAACTCAAAAGAGATTCTGAAAATTGATTTAAAAAAAGAACAGTCCCCCTACCTACTATTTAAAAGAGACTTACTAAAATATAAACTAATGGCAAGATTCAATGTAAAAGGTATGTTGAAAAAAAAATATGCCAACCTCTATCCATGTTCATGGGTTGGAAGAATTAATATTGTTAAAATGTCCATGCCACCCGATATCATTTGGCTCTGTGTCCCCACCAAAATCTCACATTGAATTATGATCTTCAGTGTTGGAGGAGGGGCCTGCTGGGAGGTGATTGGAATATGGGGGTGGATATCCCCCTTGCTGTTGCATGATAGTGAGTGAGTTCTCATGAGGTCTGGTTGTTTAAAAGTGTAGTGCTTCCCCCCTTCACTCTCTCTCTCTCTCCTACTCTGCCATGTGAAGATGTGCCTGCTTCCCCTTCACCCTCTGCCATGATTATAAGTTCCCTGAGATCTCCCAGGCATGCCTCCTGTACAGCCTGCAGAACTGTGAGTCAATTAAACCTCTTTTCTTCATAAATTACCCAGTCTCAAGTAGTTCTTTATAACATTGTGAGAATGGACTAATACAGAAAATTGGTACCAGAGGTGGGGTATTGCTATAAAGATACCTGAAAATGTGGAAGCAGCTTTGCAACTGGGTAGTAGGTAGAAGTTAGAATGGTTTGGAGGGCTTAGAAGAAGACAGGAAGATGTGAGAAAGTTGAGAAATTCTTAGACACTTATTGAATGGTTTTGGCCAAAATGCTGATAGTGATATGGACAATGAAGTCCAGGCTGAGGTGGTCTCAGATGGAGATGAGGAACTTATTGGGAACTAAAGTAAAGGTCACTTTTGGTTATGCTTTAGCAAAGAAACTGGTGGCATTGTGCCCCTGCTCTAGAGATCCCTGGAACTTTGAACTTGAGAGAGATTATTTATGGTATCCGGTGGGAGAAATTTCTAAGCAGAAAAGTGGTCACGATGGGCCTGGCTGCTTCTAAAAGCCTATGCTCATTTGCATAAGCAAAAAATTAAAAATGACCTGAAACTAGAACTTGTATTTTTTTTTTTTTTTTGAGACAGAGTCTTACTTTTTGCCTAGGCCAGAGTGCAATGGCATGATCTTGGCTCACTGCAAGCTCTGCCTCCTGTGTTCATGCCATTCTCCTGCCTCAGCCTCCTGAGTAGCTGGGATTACAGGCACCTGCCACTGCGCCTGGCTAAGTTTTTGTATTTTTAGTAGAGACGAGGTTTCACCGTGTTAACCAGGAAGGTCTCGATCTCCTGACCTCGTGATCCACCCGCCTCGGCCTCCCAAACTGCTGGGATTACAGGCGTTAGCCACCGCGCCTGGCCTAGAACTTGTATTTAAAAGGTAAACAGAGCATAGAAGTTTGGAAAATTTGCAGCCCAACCATGCAATGGAAAAGGAAAACCCATTTTCTGGGGAGGAATTCAAGGCTGCAGAAATTTGCATAAGTAAAGAAGAGCTGAATGTTATTAGCCAAGACAATGGAGGAAACGCCTCTGCGGTATTTCCAAGATCTTCACGGCAGCCCCTCCCATCACAGGCCTGGAGGCCCAGGAGGGAAAAATGGTTTCCTGGGCCAGGTGCAGGACCCTGATGTTCTATGCAGCCTTGGGACATGGTGCCCTTTGTCCCAGCTGCTACAGCTCCAGCTGTAGTTAAAAGGGGCCAAAGTATAGCTCAGGTTGTTGCTTCAGAGGGTGCAAGCCCCAAGCCTTGGTGGCTTCCACATGGTGTTGGGTCTGTGAATGTGCAGAAGGCAAGAGTTGAGGCTTGGGAGCCTCCACCTAGATTTCAGAGGATGTATGGAAACATCTGGATGTCCAAGCAGAAGTCTGCTGCAGGGTTGGAGCCCTCATGGAAAACCTCTACTAGGGCACTGCAGAGGGGAAATGTGGGGTTGAAACCCCAATGCAGAATCTCCATTGGGCCACTGTCTAGTGGGTCTGTGAGAAGAGAGCCACCATCCTGAGACCCCAGAATGGTAGATCCACTGACAGCTTGCACCATGCACCTGGAAAAGTCACAGGCACTCAATGCCAGCCTGTGAAAGCAGCTGTGAGGGCTGTAACCTGTACAGCCACAGGGGCAGAGCTGCCCAAGGCCTTGGGAGCCCACCTTTGCATCAGTGTCTCCTGAATGTGAGACACTGAGTCAAAGGAGATTATTTTGGAGCATTAAGATTTAATGACTGCCCCACTGGGTTTTAGACTTGCATAGGGCCATTAGCCCCTTTGTTTTGGCCAATTCACCCCTTTTAGAATGAGAGCATTTACCCAATGCTTGTACCCCCATTGTATTTTGGAAGTAACTAACTTGTTTTTGATTTTACAGGCTCAGAGACAGAAGGGACTTGCCTTGTCTCAGATGAGACTTTGGACTTGGACTTTTGAGTTAATTCTGGAATGAGTTAAGATTTTGGGAAGGCATGATTGTGTTTTGAGATGTGAGAAGGACATGAGATTTGGGAGAAGCCAGGAGCACGATGATATGGTTTGGCTCTATATGTCCCTTCCCAAATCTCATGTTGAATTATGATCTTCAATGTTGGAGGAGGGGACTGCTGGGAGGTGATTGGATCGTGGAGGCAGATTTCCCCCTTGTTATTCTCATGATAGTGAGTGAATACTCATGAGATCTGGTTGTTCAAAAGTGTGTAGCACTTCCCCTTCACTCTCTGTCTCCTGCTCCACCATGTAAAGGTTGTGCCTGCTTCCTCTTCACCTTCTGCTATGATTATAATTTTTCTGAGGCCTCCCAGGCTGTATTAGTCCATTTTCACACTGCTATAAAGAAATACCTGAGACTGGGTAATTTATAAAGGCCAGTACCAGTCTGTGGCCTGGAAGGTCGGGACCCCTATACTAGAAGATATGTAAAAGAAAAGAAAGTTTTATATAAGGTTGTATGTTGCAACGAAAAAATGGAAACAATCCAAATGTCCATTGACAGAAAAATAAATTTAAAAATTGTGGTTGGTGGGGCACAGTAGCTCATGCCTGTAATGCTGGCATTTTGGAAGGCCAAGGTAGAAGGATTGCTTGAGGCCAGGCATTCAAGACCAACCTGGCAAACATAGTGAGACTCCATCTCTAAAAAGCAAATTGTGGCACAGTAGCCACACAAAGAAATAGCACACAGTAGTAAAATGAATGAAATATGGTTGGAAACAAGAAGATAAATGAAACAGAAAATATTTAGTGAAAAATAACAAGTCACAGACAACACAGCATGATACCATTTTTATAAAGCACAAAATTAAACAAAGCTACATAATATATTGTTTATGGTTACTTATATATGTGATACAACAATTTACTATTTTTAGAAAATAAAATAAGATGGCAAAAAATACAAAATTCAGACTTGGAGTTACCAGTTGGAGCAGGAAAATGAAGGCAGAGGAGAAGAGTCCATACATAAAATTCATAAGTATTAGTATTGCTCTAATTCTTAAATTGGGTGATGGGTTAAAATGCTCATCTTAATATTATGCTCCAAAACTTATGTATGTATTACATTATTTGTATTAAATATTACCTTATAAATTATACTAATCCTGTATAAAGAAAAGTGAGATTCCTGAGTCCTCCTCCCTGCCTGCTGTAATCGAGTGACTTGCCCACCTCCAGCCTCACCAATGTAGGTGAAAGGAGCAGTTGTACCAGGGAAACTCTAGACTCAGGGACAGCAAGAGATTGGAGAAAAACTACATCACCACAGAGGAAAACAATAACAAACTGTTTCCCAAAATAGTTGTACCAGTTTATACTCCTGTCAAAGTAAAAACAATCAAACATGTGGAGTCACACAAAAAAGAAAAAAAAAAGGAGGAGGAAGAGAAAGAGGAGGAGGAAGAGAAAGAGAAGAGGAAGGAGGAGAGGAAGGAGGACCGCTTCTACCATGAAACCCATGGGTCAGCAAACTTCCATCAGACATAATTGACAGTTTGATGTTTCCCTGTTACTGGAACTGGACAGCCAAGGACCAGTAGGATCTTGGGGAACATCTCCTCATAGAAGACGTGGGCCTATGCAAATTGAAAAGGCACTCAAAGAAACACAATGCAGAGTGGAGAAATAAAACATTTTTAAATTATCATGAATTTTCTTAGAAAAATGAGAAAATAACATTCATTTTCTTTTTTTTTTTATTTGACAGAGTCTCGCTCTGTCACCCGGGCTGGAGTGCATCGGTGTGATCTTGGCTCACTGCAACCTCCGCCTCCCGGGTTCAAGCGATTCTCCTGCCTCAGCCTCCTGAGTAGCTGGGACTACAGGCACATGCTACCATGCCTGGCTAATTTTTGTATTTTCTTGTAGAGACAGGGTTTCATCATGTTGGCCATCTACAAACCCTGTCTTGTAGAGACAGGGTTTCATCAGTTGGTCTTGAACTCCTGGCCTCAAGTAACCCATTTACCTCAGCGTCCCAAAGTGCTGGGATTACAGGCATGAGCCAAACAAAAATATCATTTTCTTAATAAGAAAAGGATGTAAAAATGGAGCAATGAGGGAACAACAGCTCTTGGAAATGAGGGGAGAATATATGAAAGATATATATATATTACATATGTATATGAATGATAGGTGTAAAAAATTTTAAGTAAAATGGTTGTAAAATAATGAGCGAGAATTTCCTAGAAAGGAAATAAAAAGAATGATGTGATGGAAATGCAATGAAAATTAAAAAATTAAATCAGTCCTGGAAATATAACATCTGACTAATAGAAATTACAACAATAAAGAACAGAGAAAACAAAGGATAATGACAAAAACATAATATGAGAACATTTCTCAGAATGGAAGGACACATATCTCTGATTGAAAATCCTACCAAGTGCTTGGCAAAATGAATGGGAAAAAGCCTTCACTGGTCATATCATCTTTTCCAAACTCTTACAAAGGATCAGACTCTCCAGTGGATATCTCAACAGTAACCCTGGAAAATACAAGTCAGTAGAGCAATGCCTCAAAATTTGAAGGGAAAAATGATTTCCATTTTGGAACTCTATACTCTGTGGAAATACTAATAAAGTGTGAGAGCAGGATAGACTTATTTTCAAACATACCAAATTACAAAACTTTTAACCCTGCATGTGCCTTTTCATAGGAAACCAGACAGGATGTACTGTACTGAAAAGAAGGCATAAATGAAGGCATTTGGTAACAAAGGACCCAGCACAGGAGAAAGGTGAAAAGAATGCTTAGGACAATGGCAAAACAAGGATCCAGGGCATCATCTATACAGAGGATCTAGGAAGCAACCAGTACAAACTGGAGCACAGAATTGTGAAGTGTGTGTGTGTGTGTGTGTGTGTGTTTGTGTGTGTGAGAGAGACCTCAGGATGGGTATTTCTTGGAATAAAATGTAACTAGTATATTTTCTGACATATTTGGGAAAGTAGAAAAATGTTTTAGAAGTTATTTTACAAAGCTATCTGCTATGATTTGAATGCTCGCATTCCCTCCAAAAGTTATGTTGAAACTTAATCCCCAAGGCAACAGTGGTAAGAGCTAGGGCCTTAAGGGGGGTGATTAAGTCATGAGGGCTCTACCTTCATAGATAAGATTAGTGCCTTATAAAAGGGTTGGAGGGAACTAGGTAGGCCCCTTTTTGCCCTTCTGCTCTTCTACTATATAAGAACACACTATTCAACCCAGCTAAAGGACACAGCAACAAGGCACCATCTTGGAAGCAACGATTGGGTCCTCAACACAAGTGAGAACTGCTGGTGCCTTGATCTTGTACTTCCAGCTTCTAGAACTGTGAGAAATAAATTTCTGTTCTTTATAACTTACCCAGTCTCAAGTATTTTGTTAAAGCAATACAAACAACTAAGACAATGTCAGAAGATGTAGAAAAGCTTAACTAGAGAATCAATGAAAGAAGTAGTTTCATTGTTTACCTATGAAGAGAGAGTGACATGGGAACCAAGGCTCAGTAGTTGGAGTAAGGATGTTATCCAACAGGCCCTGCCTAAATTCCCACAGTACTTGTGTATTTAGGGGCACTATTAAAATGCAAATTATATCTTGGAGATATTATGATCACCTCTGTTGTTAAGCTCAATAAGTTCATATTAGAAGCCCAGAATAGCACAAATACACATGACATTGTATCGGGAGGTAGGGAAAACTTTAAAACTAATTATAACAACTTTTATCTAAAATAAGAAAAATTAAATAAAATATGCTTTGCCAGTATAGGTAGTCATCACTTTGCATGATTCCATTATGCACAAATTTTAGTTACAGCTTTATTAAATAATACTAGTCTACTAGCAACACAGCTCAAATTTCAATTACCACAGTAGATTAACTGTGAGCAACCTCATAAGGTATTAACAAATAGGAAAATGCAGCAAAGAAATGAAAAGTGATAATGCTGGAAATGAAATAGAATCCAACATAAATGGCATTATAGAAGAAACAGGGGACCATGGATGTCCACACTGCCACCCTTTGAGACACTCTAGGTTTGCAGCCAGAGAATGTAGTGAAGGCAAACTTATTGACATAAATGAGGAAAGTGGAGGTGATGAAAAGGATAAAAATGCCTCAGAAGAAGTGACACTGGCAAAAGAAAATAAAAAGTCTCCTTAGAGCACCTCTTGGAGATACTTCACAACATTGAAAGGTAAAGTGTTGGAAGTGGACCAAAAGTAGAAAGGATATGACCATTCACCCAGGCATAGAAAAGATGGTCTCTCTGCAACTGCTTTTCCTGCCCCAGGGACAGTAACTACCATAATCTGAAAAGAAGACGGTGGCAATATCAAATAAAAATGGATGGATGCAATCCCAAGCAAAAGGTGTTATCTGTGAATATTCAAAGAATAGAATTGCAAGTCAGGGCACATTCAACAGACTGGGGTGGCCCCTGGTGGGTCCAAAGAACAAAGGAGAAGGTTGAGCTTTTGTAAGGAGAGAGAAAAACTACATAAATTGTCTTGAAAGAAAGTTTGTTAACACTTGTGGCTATGCCTGAGCTGGGGAGCTCTGGTTGGCCAGTGGTGGCAGTTACTACCACAGTAAAACTAGTTTTGGTCTGGTGTGGTGGCTCATGCCTGTAATCCCAGCACTTTGGGAGGCTGAGGTAGTAGAATCTCTTGAAGCCAGGAGTTCAAGACCAGCTTGGGCAGCACAGTGAGACACCGTCTCTTAAAAAAAAAATTAAAGAATTAAAAAATTAGCTGGGAATGATGGCACGCGCCTGAAGTCCCAGCTACAGGTGAGGCTGAGGTGAGAGGATCACTTCAGCTTGGCAGGTTAAGGCTGCAGTGAGCAGTGATCATGCCACTGCACTTAGCCTGGGCAACAGAGAGAGACCCTGTGAAAAAAAAAAAAGAAAAGAAGAAAAAGAAAGAAGAAAGAAAGAAGGAAAGAAGGAAAGAAAGAAGAAAGAAAGAAAGAAAGAAAGAAAGAAAGAAAGAAAGAAAGAAAGAAAGAAAGAAAGAAAGAAAGAAAGAAAAAAACTAGTCTTGAAGTCACAACAGGTTGTTTCAATTGAAGTGGTCCCCTTGTAACCTGCATGTTTTTTTCAAGGCCTCTTGACTCTATTTTAGTTGGATGTGACAGTAATGCCTCCACTTTGTATAATAAATTTTCACAATGGTCACAAACTAAAATGTATTTACTGAAAGTAAATGCAATTGGAAGATGCAGACACAGCATGGTGAAGATGTGAAGAAGCAAGTATTCCAACAAATTATATAGTGCAGAAATTTCCTTTACAGTTGCATTAAGAGTAGATGTTTCTAGCACATCTTGGCTTATGGTATTTGCTGCATTTGTTTCAATAATGCATAACTTTTTTGTGTGAGCCAATAAAGAAAAGATGGAAATAATCAATTTAATAAACATAATGCTTTATGGCAAACTCTGTTAGGTGTGGCCACCAGTGAGGGGGCTGCCTTGGCTGGAGTGTTGGGGAAAAGAATGTTCCATGAGATTCCAGATTCCACAAGATTCCAGAATCCATTCTTTCCAGATTCCATGAGAAGGTTCTGGAAAGGGTGCTGCATGTGAAAATCATCCAGTGCTTTATTTATTTGTAGACAAATGCTCAGCTGAGGGATTGAGGCCAGAAGTGCTACTGTGTATGGTTAATTTTAGAAATATAGGTCATGGAAATACAGTCAAATCTTTATAATACCTTGCAGTGAGATAAATAATAGCTATGAAAATATTTTATACTTGCCAGCTATTTCATGGAAGGGTTATCATTCATCAAGATGAGTTCTTTTTAAGAGTTCCAAGAAAATATTTTATACTTACTGGGCCTATTTCATGAAAGGGCTAACAATCATAAAAATGAGTTCCAAGTTAAAATTTAAAATTTAAATTTAAAAAGTTTAAAAGTTGCAAATTTTCCAACATTTTCTGTGATGACAAGCATCTGCCAGTAGTGTGCTATTTAAAAATTATCTTTGAAAAATACATTCAATCCATTCCTTTCAGGTAAAAATGCCATCTCAACAATGAATAATTGCCGCTGCTTTTTTTTTTTTTAAAGAAAATCAGATCTGGAGAAAATATTTTGAACATGAATGTTTGGAACTGTTTCCATTGTGTGATTTTTTATTGAAGAAAAAGATGTTTGTGTCTTACCTTAAAGAATCTCATGTTTGGGCCTTACCTTAAAGAATCTTATGTTTGCGTCTTACCTTAAAGAATCTTTCATAGCTTCATGCTCAAAAAACTTGAGATCAGAATTTTAAAACCTGGTTTTAATGGTGTTCAATGGCATTTGAAAATTTTTCAAGTATTTAAAAAATACCTTTGAATAATTGTCAGTCATACTTATTGACATCTGAGAATATGAAGATCTGCTAGCCAAAATTCCACATACACCATTGTACGCCAGCATTTGAGATTAAAAAATGAATATCATGATCTGTAAGCAAGCCTGTCATGCACCTTTCCATGTGGGACATTGTTGTAGAATGCAGTTTTCAGTTATGTCAGCCACTTCAGCAAATATTAAGATAAATCGAATTTAGATTCAGACCTTTAAACACTGTTTCATAAATTCTTAAACCCAGGTTTTAAAAAATAATAATGTACTCAAATCACACTGCTGTCATTAAAGATATTATTAACATCTTTTTATTTTAGTAAAGGTAAACATCTTTATGCCATCTTAAATAACATTAAAATTACTTTAAAATTCATGTTTTAAAATTTTTTTCTCATCTTTTAAAATTGTTCACTTTTGCATGTATTTTAGAATTGAATACTATATTACTTTAGTGGTGAACATACATAATTTAAAAGTGAATGTACATATTAGCTGGACATGCTAACATTTTTTATTTATATAGAGGTGTAGGACCAAAAAGTTTGGAGACCTCCATTTAAGAGTATAGGCGTTATAGTCAAATGTCTTTGCCGGATGCTTTCTAGATACATAATTATGGTGAAGTTATTTGCTTCCTTGTGCCTCTATTTCCTCATCAGCAAAATAGGGATAATAATATTACCTACCACAGGGGTTACAAACCAAATGTCTACAGGAGATAGGTAGGTTTTTTTAAAAAAAGTCCTGTGGCCTTCATACTGTATATTTATTTTTCCATTTTGGTAGAAGCAGGGATACAAAATATTTGCATATTTTAAGAAACAATGAAACTGTGCAGATATAAAGGCAAATGGGAGCCCATGGGAAATGGCAAGGCTTGTGGCAAAATGGAAATGTCATCCTCACCTCAAGTGTGCAGCTGCCACTTGGCACTACCTGGAAGCTGCCCAGAACTGCCAGATTCCCTCTGTATTCCAAATAATCAAAAAAGTGGGGTTTTGATGTGAGATCTCCTGGTTTTTAAATATTGGCAAAAAGATGTACTAACAGAAAGTCAAATATCACATGCTCTCACTTATAAGTGGGAGCTAAACAATGTGTACACGTGAACATAGAGAATGGAGTAATAGATGCTGCAGACTCAGGCATGTGGGAGGGTGAGAGGCAGGTGAGGGATGAGAAATTACCTGTGGGGCACGATGGACACTATAGATGACGTTTACACTAAAAACCCAGACTTTGCCACTATGCAATATATCCAAGTAACAAAACTACCCTTGTACCCTTTAAATCTATTTTTAAACATATGTTTTTAAGAAGATTCAGGCAAAGAAAGCTTGCATTAAACCTCCGGTCTGTGACTTCTGTGTTGCCCAGAAGACTAAATGAGATCATGAATGTTAGTATGGGTCTAGCCTTTAATAAACGCTGGGGGTAGGTGGTAGCTATTTTCTAGCAGATTAAGCTTCTAGTTCTCTGCGCATTGCTCAGAGAACAGATCTACATGGGGTATTACAAGAAAGGATAGGATAAGGCAAAGAAAATGAGAGAAAAGAGAAGTGAAAATGAATTTCACCAGCTATTTTGCTTAGAATGGATTCTAATTACCTTTTGTTCCAGATATTGATTTATTCAAAGTGTTTTTCCTCAACAGGAGCTCCAAATCTGGTGAGGGAGACAATTATTCGAAGTGATGAACTCTAGAATCAAGACCTGAACAAGTGAGAGTGGGAATACAGTCACTTAATGATGATACATTCTGAGAAATGTGTTAGGTGATTTTGTTGTTGTGCAAACATGATAGAGTATACTCAACAAACCTAGATGGTATAGCCTACTGCACACCTAGGCTATTTAGTATAACTCATTGCTCCTAGGCTACAAGCCTGTTCAGCATGTTACTGTACTGAATACTGCAGGCAATTGTGACACAGTGGTATTTTTGTATCACAACATACCTAAACATAGAAAAGTAACGTGCTGTGCTATAACTACTACAACATCAATAGGCAATGGGAATTTTTCAGCTCCATTATAATCTTAAGGGACTATGGTCACATATGAGGTCCGTCATTGACTGAAATGTTATTGTGCATCACGTGACTGTACATTTACGCCAGAGAAGGAAAGGAAATTGGCAATATACGGCATGAAAGAGATGCTATTGGAGTCTGGATTTGAGGGATCCTTGAAGCCTATGAATCAAAAAAGGCAAAAGGACATTTCAGGCAGAAAGCATTATATAAAAGGATGTGCCACCTTCTGTGCGTAGTAAGAGTCTTCAGTGAGGAAGAAGTGGTGAGAGAGGAGCCAGGACAGACAGGTTGTAGCCAGACTGTGAAGGGCCTCTGTAGACTCAACTACAGTTTGTCTGCACCACGTCCTACAGTGGATGCCAGGTGCCCAGATTTATAATTTCAAAAGGTCACTGGCTTCATTGTGGCGGCTGGGAGGAGGGGAGAGAGCACAGAGACAGGAAGCCAGTTTGGCAATGCTGCAGAGGTCCAGATAAGCTCATGATAGTCTGCCCTGAGAAGAGGGAGTAGAACAGAGGTATAAGCAGGTACGAAGGACCTTACAGAGTCTGCTTTCTTCTTAGATGTGGGATGCAAAAATGGAAGAAATGGCACGGAAGCCTCTCCCTAAGTTCCTCCTCCTCCTCCTCTTCCTTTGGTTGTCTCTCTCTGTATATATACATACAAGGTATGCTTGTATGTATGTATGTATGTATGTGTGTGTATATATGTATAGGTGTCCATAGACAAACACACATACATATATATATACACATACATGTATGTATACACACACATACATACATACAGGCATACCTTGAAGATATGCTATGTGTTCAGTTACAGATCATGGCAAGGAAGTAAATATTTCAGTAAAGCAAGTCACACAAATTTTTTGGCTTCCCAGTACATATAAAAGTTATTTTTATACTATTGTGTAGTCTAGTAAGCCTACAATAGCATTATGTCTAAACATCGTACAAACCTTACTTAAAAATACTTTATTGCTAAAAAATGCTAATGATCATCTGAGCCTTCAATGAGTCATAATTTTTTTTGCTGATGGAGGATCTTACCTCAATGTTGATGGCTGCTGACTGACCGGGGTGGTCGTAGCTAAAGGTGGGAGTAGCCATGGCAATTTCTGAAAATAAGACAGTGGTGAAGTTTGCTGCATTGATTGACTCCTCCTTTCATGAACAATTTCTCTGTAGCATGCGATGCTGTTTGATAGCATTTTACTCATAGTACAACTTCTTTCAAAACTGGAGTTAGTACTCTCAAATCCCACTGCTGCTTTATCAACTAAGTTTATATAATATTCTTTTGTTGTTGGTGTCATTTTAGTATTTTTAATTTTTGCTCTTTTTCCTATCTATGTAATTCCTTGTAAAAGTTTATGTAATGTTCTAAATCCTATATTGTAATTTCAATAATGTTCACAGCCTCATCCCTGGGAGTAGATGCCATCTCAAGAAACCACTTTTCGCGCTGGATGCAGTAGATCAGGCCTGTAATCCCAGCCCTTTGGGAGGCAAGATGGGAGGGTAGCTTGAGCCCAGAAGTTTGAGACCAACCTAGGCAACATAGCAAGAGCCTGTCTCAAAAAACAAACAAACAAACAACAACAACAAAAAATCACTTTCTTTGTCATTTGTAAGAAGCAACTCCTCCTCTGTTCAAGCTTTATCATGAGATTGTAGCAATTCAGTCACATCTTCAGACTTCACTTCTAATTCTAGTTCTCTTGCTATTTCCACCACCACCGTAATCTGCAGTTACTTCCTCCACTAAAGTCTTGAACCCCTTAAAATCATCCATGAAGGTTGAAATGAACTTCTTTCAAATTCTTGTTAATGTTGACATTTTAACTTTCTCTCATGAGTCATGAATATTCTTAATGGCATCTCAAATGGTGAATCCTTTCCAGAAGGTTTTCAATTTACTTTGCCCAGATCCACCAGAGGACTCACCGTCTATGTCAGCTATAGCCCTACAAAATGTATTTCTTAAATAAAAAGACTTAAAAAATTACTCTTTGATCCACGGGCTTCAGAGTGGATGTTGTATTAGTAGGCATGAAAACAACATTCATCTCCTTGTATATCTCCATCAGAGCTCTTGGGTAACCAGGTACATTGTCAGTAAGCAGAACTATTTTGAAAGGATCATTTTTCTGAGTAGTAGATTTCAACTGCAGGCTTAAAATACTCTGTAAACCATGATGTAAAGAGATATGCTGTTATCCAGGCTTTGTTGTTTCATTTATGGAAAACAGGCAGAGTAGTTTCAGCATAATTCTTCAGGGTCCTAGGATTTTCAGAATGATAAATAAGCACTGGCTTCAACTTAAAGCCACCGGCTACAGTAGACCCTAACAAGAAAGTCAGCCTGTCCTTTGAAGCTTTGAAGCCAGGCATTCACTTCTCCTCTCTAGTGATGAAAATCCTAGGTAGCATCATCTTCCAATAGAAGGCTGTTTCATTTACACTGAAAGTCTTTTTTGGTGTAGCCACTTTCATTAATTCCCTTGGCTGGATCATCTGGATAACTTGCAGCTTCCCCATCAGCACTTGCAGCTTCACCTTGCATTTTTACATTATAGCACTATTATATTACACCTGGCACTCAAACCTTATGAACTACCCTTTGCTAGCTTCGAACTTTTCTTTTGTGGCTTCTTCACCTCTTTCAGCCTTAATATAATTGAAGAGAGTCAGGGTCTTGCTCTGGATTAGGCTTTGGCTTAAAGAAATGTTGTGGCTGGTTTGATCTTCTATCTAGATGACTCAAACTTTCTCTGTATCAGCAATAAAGCTGTTTTGCTTTCTTATCATTCATGCATTCCCTGGAGTAGCACTTTTAATTTCCTACAAGAACTTTTTCTTTGCATTCACAACTTGGTTAACTGTTTGGTGCAAGTGAACTAGCTTTAAGCCTGTCTTGGCTTTCGACCTGCCTTCCTCACTAAACTTAATCATTTCTAGCTTTTGATTTAAAGTGAGAGACATGTGACTCTTCCTTTCACTTGGACACCTAGAGGGCATTGTAGGGTTATTCATTGGCCTAATTTCAATATTGTTGTGTCTCAAGAAATAGGGAGGCACAAGGAGAGGGAGAGGGACAGAGAAATGACTTGTTATTGGAGCAGTCAGAAAACATACAACATTTATTAAGTTTGCCATTTATATAGACTCAGTTGGTGGTGCCCCAAAACAATTATGAGAGTAAGATCAAAGATTACTAAATCACAGATTGCCATAACAGATGTAATAATAAACACTAAAAAGTTTGAAATATAGCAAGAATCACCAAAATGTGACACAGAGACATGAAGTGAGCACATGCTGCTGGAAAAATGGCACCAAAAACTTGCTTAATGCAGGGTGGCCGTAAACCTTTAATTTGTAAAAAATGCACTATATGTGGATCACAATAAAGTGAAGCACAGTAAGATGAAGTGTGCCTGGATATATATACATACATGTTTTAAGACACATATATATATATATATGTCTTAAAAGGAGAGGGGGGAAGCAAATGGAAAAAAGCATCTTATGAGATGATCTTAGACAACAACTACTTATCAAAATAATCAGAAATGTGTTTGAAAAAGTTACAGATCACACCCCAATTGTTTCTCTGAACCACCTTGTTTTCGTCTCTCCTATGTGAAAGACTACGTAGTTTTCAAGACCCAGCTGCACTTTCATCTCTAAGTGAAGTTCCTTGACTGCCACTCTCCCTGCTTCATCCCTTTTCTAGGGGAGGATAATTCATCCTTCTCCCAGTTGAGTTTTCATTACATTTTATTCACACTTCTGCATAACCCTATGCAACATGCCAGTATTATGCATAATTAGCTGCAGGTCTGTTTTTCCAGCTAATTGCATGACGCAGGGAGTCTTATTCAGTTTGGGGTTTCCTGTGCCAAGCATGGTACCTGGTACCCTAGTACGTGCTCAATAAATCATGCTGAATGGATGAACTCCATATACTAGAGGGATAGGCTGGAAACAGAGATGGTAGTTGGCTTTGTTTGTAATTTTTATTGTTGTTGTTCTTTGTTTTGTTTTGATGCTGTTGGTTAGTAAGGTAAAGTTTGTGATAGTACCTAGCAGGGTAAAGATTTAGCATTTGTAAAATTTTGACATGATCTGCAATCCATATTAGAATTCTGGGATTTGGTAGTGAGGAAAAAACACTGAGGAGATTTGAAGAGATCTCTGTTTCTTCCCTAAAGTTTCCCTGTCTTTTCCCTAAGGGCATAAATAGAAGCCTTGGGCATAAAGAATCAGGAACCCCACTGGCCATGTGTGGGCAAAAGGCCCCTCCTATGTAATTGGATGTAAAAAAAGAAAATCTCTTTTAGACAGGCACAGGGTTTTGGCTGAAGTTCAGCGACATACCTATTCTAAGCTGAATTCGGGTATAGCCCTAATAATTACAGTTACTCTTTAGAGAAAGAGCCCAAGAGGTTTACCTGGAGATTTTTTCCAGATGTAAGCAGGTATGCGAGAAGCCAGTAATAAAGATGTAAACCGGATGAGGCCATTTTGTGCCCCATAGTCTTTCCTCCAATCGTTCGAATGCTAGGAGATGTTCCCCAGCAATCATAAGGATGATGCAACACAGCCGTCTAACAAACACCAGATGCCTGAATAGCCTTATAAGCTCTGGTGTTAAAGAGAAGGGGGGTAAAACCCCAAGTTTGAATGCCTCTGCAGTTATCAATCTGTCATGAATTGTAATCAAACAGAAACAAACCTCTTTATTCCATCAGTTCCTGGGATAGGTCCATCATGTGTCCTGCAGACATGCTCTGAGTGTGGTGAGAGCCCTCACGAACCTGTCCTCCTTCTTCACCCTCCCATGGTAGACTCTGACTTAGTGACATTGGTAAAGCCACCCCACCCCCACCACCTGGGCTTTATATCTTTTTGGATGAGAAAGGATGAGCTGGATCAGCTATGCCAGAAACTGAATATTTTGGTTAAATGCATCTTTAGTATCACCTCTATTCTTTCTTTTTTCTATATGAATCCAGAATAGGACTTTTTTTGCTGTGGTAGTTAAAATTCTTAGGAGTGTTACTTGGGTGATGGATGCACTAAAATCTGAGAATTTGCCACCATAGAATTCATCCGTGTTAGCAAAAACCACTGGTACCCCAAAAGCTATTGAAGTAAAAAAATTGTTTTAATTAAAAAAAAAAGAATTATTAGGAGTGTTAAAGTTAGCCCTTTGAAGAAAAATATGAAACTTTCTGTCACCAAAGTGTAAGAAAATCAAGACGTACGAAGGCTTAATTAGGCCTCTCTGAAATAACACAGTCACAATGCAGAATGTGTTTCGGAAGTGTGAATTGCAGTTAACTTGAAACAAATAAGAAATGCTATATACATTTTTCCCCCAGGTTCAAACCCACCACAGCTGAACACTATCCAAGTAGCCAGTGTCCTACATGGGAGGCAGCCCAGAGTGGAGCTAGGGGCTCAGTGTTTGAAGTCACAGGAACTTGGATTTCAATTTTAGCTTGGCCATGGACTAGCTATGTAATTTGTCTTAATTTTTTGAGCTGTTAGCACTATCATCTGTAAAATGAGGATAAGACTACCTACCTCACAGTAGAAATAATGGATCAAGTGCCTGACTTATTGACAGAGGTTATTCAATCCACAGTATCATTAAGGTAAAAAGAAATCCTGTGGTGGGATTGAAGGCCATGGGAATAAAGTTCAGGCAACTGCAACTTAACAATTATGACTCTCTCCTGGGCTGTATTTATACATAAAACCTCTTTTACTTTGCTTTCTAGTTATTTACGCTTCTATACCTTGCCCATGTCGGGGCTGTGCTGAACTAAGCACTTATTAATTTCTGACTGACTTTCCCTTCTGCTTATTCCAGAAAATTTGTCTGGTTCCATGATAATAAGGGTGAGTGAGTATATGCTTACTGGGAATAGCAGGGTAGACACTGCAGGGAGGAGCGTTGAAAACCTTGAAATAAGAATGAGGCTCCTTGGCTGGGCATGGTGGCTCACACCTGTAATCTTAGCACTGTGGGAGGGCGAGGTGAATAGATCACATAAGGTCAGGGGTTCAAGACCAGCCTGGCCAAGATGGTGAAACCCCATCTCTACTAAAAATACAAAAATTAGCCAGGTATGGTGGTGCCCACCTGTAATCCCAGCTACTCAGGAGGCTGAGGTGGGAGGATCGCTTCAACCTGGGAAGCAGAGGTTGCAGTGAGCTGAGATCATGCCACTGCACTCCAGCCTGGGCAACAGAGCAGTGAGACTCCAAAAAAAAAAAAAAAAATAGAGAAAGAAAGAAAGAAACTAACTCCCTGGCATTCATAATCTGACAAGTTGGTATGGTTTTGTAATCAACTAAAAATTAGGAAAATCTCATGTGGGCTAGGAATCTGATTTGGCTACCAAATTTCAGGTCACCATGGTTTTATTTCATGATGGTTCCATAAAAGCTCTTTACACCCACAGGACAGCCTTTCAGGTGTTTTGGGCAAGGGGTGTCAGAGCTGCCTCATTCAGAGCTTACAGTCATTTTTGGGCCAATTCCTCCTAGACTGGCCCACAAGACTGACCTCTTGGGAGTAAGTGTATGGGAAGCATTCTTGCCAGAATATTCTTCTATGGCAGAGGGCTTTTTCAGGTAAAAAATCATCAAAATATGGTGAAATTTCAATCTGCTGTGTAAAGAACCATGAGCTCTGGTTTGAAACCTGTATGGGGTGCTAGTAAGCTTGTCCCAAACACAGTTTTTAAATTCAACCTTTTTCGAATGTCAGTATCTTCCAAAAGTCGTTTTGTTGTTAAGATCTAGGTAACAGCAGTTTTCTGACAAAAAGAAAGAGTTGAAGATTTGGGTACATGGCACCTTTGAAGAAATATCTTAAATGGTTAAAAAAAATGATGATAATTTTGAAAGGAAGTATAAGAAAATAGAAGAGATGAGAAAGGTGATATGTAAATTTATACACTGAAGTCTGCTCTCTAATTCTTGGAATTACTGTGATGAACCCTGCCATGGACATCCTGTGGTCTAGAAAGGCACTGGGAAGCACCACTGGGCAGCCCAGGCTCAGTCCAGAAATGCTAATAGGAATTAAAGTGGTGCTAGTGAATGAGGACAGACTAGTCCTCCTGGACAAGACAAATGGGCAGTGAGGGACGAGAAGCGCTACAAGGCATGACATTTTGGAAAAACTATCCACCCACCCCTATAGAAAGAAAAGGACTGATGAAAAAAAAGTCGTTTTCGAGGGTCAGATATAAATGCTTTTAAAATTAATACTAATTGAAGTTTTCTCACTAAAAGTTCCAAGGCAGTGGTTAAGCACAAGAATCACATGGAGGGCTTTCTAAAATGCAGATTGCTAAGGCCCCAGCCCAGAACTTTTGATTAACTTGTATTTCTGGCAAGTTCCCAGGTGATGCTGATACCTCAGTGTCTGAGGACTACACTATGAAAAGCAGTGCTCTAAGGTATACTACATAAAGTTGCTGGCCTGTGAATTTTAAGATACCAGGAGTATGACTTAAAGAATTGGCTGAAGAACAAAAGTCTTCATCATCCCACTTCTGCCTCCTAAAGTAAATAAATCAACAATACAAAACAACTCAACATTTCAACAACAAATAATACAATACCAAAACTTATCTGTAGAGATGGCTTTTATCAGTGAAATCATCTGTAAGCAGTGGAAAGCTCCTAATATACTTCCACAGAGAACAACCCTCAATGATAGTGTAAGTTTCCTGTCAAATTTTTTAACAGAAGCCAAGGCATCAGCGTGGTATCATTCCTGCATTTTTACCCACAGAGTTTTATGGTGGAACTCCCAAATCCATATTTTAAGCAAGAAACATACACAAGCTGCTGAAGATTTTGCTGAGGTGAGGTGAAGGTTGAGTAATTCTGCAAATGTTTCCCTTTCCTCCAGTCTTTCAGATCCCTGGAGGCCTCTCCCAGGGCCTGTGGTGTGGAGAGTTGGACTTGACCCTACTGTAAGAGACCCAACTTCCAAAGACTGCATCAGATGAAAGGCTCTCCATATAGACTACAGACTTGTCAGCTGGTTAAGGAGGCAAACAGAACAGTCTGCTACAAACTCCAGTCCATGTATCTGTGCTGAAAATAAAAGGAGTCTTCAGGAATCAAAGAAGAAAATATTTTTATAAAGAAATTTTATTGCATAATTCTTGTATACAATAAACATAGGAAAAGGGTTTTTAATGAAAATTCATGTCATTTTTCAAAAGTGTTGAACTGTCTGGAGAAAAATTATTACAAAGCTATCTAAGGCAAAAATAATATTTAACCATCTAAACAAAAGATAATCCCCTTTACCATTTGTTTTGTATTTAAAGCAAGACATTTTAAACACAAGTAATACGGAGAAGTTTTCAAATTGCTACGTCATTTGCATTAAGAATTTAAATGCATCTAAGAAGTGAAGAGTTTAAACACATGGGAATGTTCTCTAGTAACAGATATTGCTGCTTTCTTCAGATCCATTCTGCTTGAATGTAAGGCTATACTTTTTGCACACCAACAGAATTCTGCATCTTCTAATGGTACAGTAAGAGCTGGAGTGCAGAGAGGGAAAGTCCCATGCACTTCCTATGTTAAATGGCATAACTCCCACAGATCACATACACCTTGCCATATTGACTCAGTTCATTGCACTCCATATCCTGCAAAAATAAATCTAGTGCTTGACAGCTGACATTATTGCTCACTGACGTTTTAGTAATATATTTCTTTCACATAAGACAGAAATATACTGAAATTTGATACCACTTAAACCCAAAAGCAATCTGGAATTAAACCACATGCATACACCCCACTTTTTTTCAATAGATGTTGCATTTTTCTTAAAGTCGATCCTGGAAAATGTGGTAGAAGAAAAACTGGCTTTCCTTGAAACAAAGACTAAGGATTAGAAAAAGAGGGGCTTTTTTTTGAGTGAAATGTTAAGCCCTACGATATAAATGAAGGAACAATGACAATCCAGTCTCTGTGGAGAGGGAAGAGGCCTCTCACTGATCCTCCTTGTCTACCTCAACACTGTGGCCCGCGTCCCACGGACCCCAGGGGAGGCTATCCTACAGAGCTGGAGCAGCCGAGAGGTGCTGTGTGTGCCTCTGAAGGATGGGCTGGAGGCTGTGGCAAAGCCCTGAGAGACCTATTTCTTTGGCCACCCCAACGTGGAATCCTGGGGTCACTGGGAAATACTAGGGCTTTCTCTGTGAGATTGGGAAAGACTTCTAGGATGGTCTGGACGCTGATGGCTGAGGTCTGGTCTTAAATTTTACACGTCATTTCTAGAGAGACGTGAAGCCTACGAATTCCAGAGTGAACCCAGGGCCTGGGGTGAAATGTCTTGGAACCTGAGGGAACATCTGGATGCTCAGATAGAAACCTCTTATCTGAGCATCCAGATAAGACCAGAGCTCATCTGGAATCAAGTGTACATGACTATAAAGAGTCCACCGGGATGTCAGGCTTCTTAGAGAGGTGCTTGTAGAGAGAGACATGTAGGAATGTGGACATGGCCACACTGACGCTGTTTGTCACAGATTTTCATTCTAATTTCTTGTTGTTTCTTTAAAATTGTCAAATGTCCCTCTTTCTTTTTTTTCTCTTAGTGCTTACAAGGAAAGCTGTCAGTCTTCATAAACTTTCAAAGAGTTACAAAAATACGTATTTTTTAAACTACAATTCAAGATTAGCATCCAAACCTACAAACATGATGTACATTCGTCACACACCATACAACCTTCACACCTGGCTACAGCAATGTTGACTTACATCACCATTGTTTATACTTGTGAAAACTTTATTGTGCACAGTGACATCCATTCCGCCAGACTTAATGTTATAAAGCAGCTGAGCAGAGCTTCTCAAAGTAAAACTAGCCGTGTTGCTACAAAGGGAAATTCTGGCTCTTGGCCCAACTGTTTCCATACCAATCAGCTAAGTCAGCCTCCTCTCTGCTTCTTTCCATTTCAAATGCCTGGGCTTTGGCCTTTGAGGCAATTAGAACCAGATCAGTTTAATTTTACAACACTGATCTCAACTGTATAGCAATATAGTGAATTTGCCCTGAGAGTATCAATACATTTTACAAATATTATGAGTCCCAGTTTATGCATGAAGAAATAGGCACAGAGAGGCTACATGGCTTGTCCTTTGTCACACAGAAGATTATGTTGAGTATGAAACTTGAGCTTCCGTTTTAGCTTTCCATGTGAATGCCCATGTCTCTCCAGAGGTCACCTGGAGCTCTGTGCACAAGGGCCACCCCACTTGGATTCTGTTTGTTACTTGTACTGCCCTGTCAGTTTTTCTGCCCAGCACTGAATTTTTCAGTACCCAAGACTTCATCCTTGATCTTCTCTGCTCTCTCTCATTCCTGCTGCCTTGATGAAGTGTGTTGCCCCTAATATTTTATTTTACACAGTGGAATTTGTGCCCTTCCAGCTGCAGCTGCTTTTAGGTGTGGAGAGAAGGACTTATAAAAAGGCGATGGACAGGCGTTCTTCTTTTTGAATTTTAGACCAAGTGGGGCTCAATATTTTACAGTTGTCTTACATTTGAATGCTGCTTTCTTTTTCTTTTCTTTTTTGACAGGATCTCACTCTGTTCAGGCTGGAGTGCAGTGGTATGAGCTCAGCTCACTGCAACCTCCGCCTCCCAAGTTCAAGCGATTCTCCTGACTGAGCCTCAGGAGTAGCTGGGACTACATGCATGCGCCACCATGCCCAGCTAGTTCTTATATTGTTATTATTATTATTTTTTGAGATGGAGTGTCACATTGTCATGTAGGCTGGAGTGCAGTGGCATGATCTCGGCTAACTGCAAGCTCCGCCTTCCGGGTTCACGCCATTCTCCTGCCTCAGCCTCCTGAGTAGCTGGGACTACAGGTGCCCACCACCACGCCTGGCTAATTTTTCGTATTTTTAGTAGAGACGGGGTTTCACCATGTTAGCCAGGATGGTCTCCATCTCCTGACCTCGTGATCCACCCGCCTTGGCCTCCCAAAGTGCTGGGATCACAGGCGTGAGCCATTGCACTGGGCCTCCAATGCTTTCGATGGAAAATAAAATAAAATAAAGGCCTAACAGTGTGGTAATGTTTACTTCTCTGCCACAACACTCAGTATGCCCCTTTGGATCTGGCAACAATTTAACATAAGGAAAGACTTTAGACCTTCACACCCTTTCAGTGAGAAAAAAAAAAATGACCTTAGCTCAAACTTTCCACAAAGCTGAACAGTCTCATTAAAACATCACTCCAACCTTATCTTAGGTGGGTCTGTGCAAAGGCCTCAAGGCCATGTGTCTTGCAGGTCTCCATGCCCTGCACTGCCCAGCTCTGGTCTCTACACTGCAGAGGAGATCTCTATTTTCATGTTTGAAGACCATGAACCCTCTGCTTCTGAATCAAAGGGGGAAAAACTGCAAAAGAAGCCATGTGCTCAAAGAAAAGAATGCCAAAGGGTATAAGTGGCTTGTGAAGAAGTTTCACAAAGCTGTCTCCATTTGCTAAAGCTATAAACAGTTCTTGATCTAGTCAATTGCAAAATACATGGATGGCCAGGGCTTCTGTTTAAGCAAAAGAAGAAAAAATATCAATAGCACAAAACTGCCCTTATAGTTTTTGAAAAAATATATCTATTAAGATAACAATTTTGATTTTTTTAATAAGCTGTGCATTAAGTACACTTTGTTTCCATCACTCTCCATTACTCTAGAGCTCCGCTTTGTCTGCCTGGGCCGGGCTGGCGACCCCACTGCCTCCCTCGGCGGTGCCACTGCTATCCGCAGGTGTAAAAGACAAGGCAGCCGAATTTATGCAGTATCTTTTCCCAGTTGGACGAGGCCCATCATCAAAAATGTGCCCAAGGTGAGCACCACACTGAAAGAGAAGAACAAAACGTCAGGGAAAAGCATGTACAAAGCAGGCTTTGAGAGGAATTCACATTAAGCAGTTTAAATGGATGACCAGCCTGTAGAGAAATGAAGGAAACCATCGTGGATGATTTCTAATCCGCCTGTCAATAGCCGCAAAGATGGTTTCTGGCAGGCTTTGCGCCACATGCTGAGAACAAAAAACACTAGAATTGTGCATATCAGAAATCATTTAGGAGCCACGTATTTTTTGATCTGTGAAGTCTCTCAGCCAGCTGAAAAATGACTGCAGTAATTTTATGAATCAAGTTGACCCTTGATCTTCCCTTGTAAGAAACATGGCAGCATAAAATCTTTCCCCCGGCATTACTTTTGGCTTTGGATGGGTGGGTTTCAGATATGCAGAAGTCCACTGAAAAGATACTGTTTAACTGGCCATGACAGAGGTGATGTTTGCTTTCATGGGCAGTAAAACTTAACATCAGACAAGTATTGGATGTTCTTGGAACCCAGCGAAGCAATGGCAAGGCTCAATAGATTTATGTCACAGTCACCAGGGCTGCAAATGTAGCAAAAGGAAACATCTCTAGCACACACAATTGTTTTTTTCCTGGCTTCCAACAAGTAGTGTCATGCTGGCTTCTTTATCCAAATGAACTCTAATATAAAGAAAAGCAATAAGCTGTTTAGCTAAAATCAATTTTACTGACTATTCAAAAAGCTGGGGAAGAAGAGACCTAAGGTCTAGACAGAGGCAGAAGGAACATCATGTTGGTGTTTGAGAGAAATAAAGCCCAGAGAAAGTTTCTCCAAAAAGGCTGGCTCAGTGAACACCCCTACACTAACTGCGTTGATGCTGGGTACAGCTCCAGGAGATGAAGGTACATGTCACACTTAGATATCTACTGCCCTTTTCCATCAGGGATGGGGCGAACGAGATGGAGACACTGGTGCACCATATTCAAGCAGGCTGTGAAAATCCATCATTTATCATGGATCAAAGAAACCAAAGCCTGGGGTAAATGACTTCCATTCATTCGTTTATTAATGGAGTGCCTGCTATATGCCAGGCACTGTTTTAGACTCTGGAGTACAGGCAACAATCCCTGGCCTCATAGAGCTTACATTCTAGTGGGAGAGACAGACAGTACACAAGAAAACAAGTGAACTATAAAGCATGGAAGGTAGAAAGCAATGCTAAGGGAGCAAAAAAGGAAGGTGATATGAAATGTTAGATAGGGTGGTCAGAAGAGGCCTACCTGGGGTGACTTTGGAATAAGGACCTGGAAGAAGTGTATCTCTAGGGGAGGGCATTTCGAGAAGAGGGAAGAGTCAAGATTTAGGTAAGAGTATGAGAGAAAAAGCATATCAATGATTTGTTAATTCTCACTGTGCTGATTTGGTGTATAAAACACTTATAAGTTTCAAGGAAAGAGTATGAATTCACAAGGGACTGGGGATGAGACACCAAATGGAGATGAAGAGAGAAAAATGAGAGAAAGTGCTCATTACAATGAAAAGCACTAGAATCTTAGTTTCCCTGTTGAACATGCTAAGCTCAATTCTCAAGTATTCCCTAGTTATTAATAAATAGCAGAAATAGCAACTTTGACTGTATGGCACTTCCATGTTAAAAGTGCATTCTCATTTCACTGCCAGCAAACTCTGTCAGTTTATTAAAGAGCTAAAAATGAACCCTGAACTGATTTGATCTATTGCCTAGAAAATATGAAACAGGCCTAAAAAACAAATCTTGTATTATTTTACCACATTCGATGCAGGTTTAGGTAATATCAAGGCTGACAGGTCAGACTGCTTTTCCTTTCTATAAACAATTGATGCCAAATTTTTAGGCATCCACAGCTAAGATGAACCAGTAAAAATACATATGCTTGCCCAACGGACACAGGAAACACCCATTTCTGCCTACCAAAATAGTCAAGGTGCTGTCCAACAGGAACCAGTGCTCTCAGTGACCAGTGTGTGTGCACAATTACTGATCTCAGATGCAGCTCCAGCACTTGGATCACTTGGCATTTAAGAGATGAAGTTTTCATATACCTAAAAGCCTTAGGGGTGTGTGTGTGTGTGTTTAATGAGAGAATGCAGCTATCTGGGAAAAATAAATGATATTGCCTTTGCTAATAATCTCTTGAGCATCTTTAGAAAATATTTCTATTTATTCTACACCAAAAATAAAGCATAGTGAGGATATATTTGAAGGTGTTTAAGAATGAGTTATATGGTCTTAATTTCCCAAATCATATTTTAAAAATCCAAATTACAGTAATTGAATCTGTTGAACTGGGTGAGTTTTCAACCTGTAGTTTCATTTGCTAATCTGGTACTAGTATTCTGGTTAAATAGAAAGGAAAACACTGATTCTAGGTGTGTCCCTAATCCAAGGCAAAAAAAAAAAAAAAAAGTGAGGAAGAGAAATTATAGTTAGAAAAAGACTATGAAAACTATTTGCTAACAAATATATGGGTTGAGGATGGGGGTAGAAAAATCCTCAGAAACGGTTTGAGTCCCCTGAAAATGATAGTTATGGCTTCATTATACTTGCCACAGGGTGTTCTGGAAGAGTCATAGCAGCCTTAGGTTACTAAGGGAAGAGCATCATCTCAAAACATAGAAAGGTGTTCATCTGTATCTGTGGCACCACATACATCCCCGCCCCACTGCCGGCAAAGCCATTTGTCTGAGGGAAGCCTAACCACGCAGTGCCATTCGAGCCTCCTCCCAGGTAAACCTAGTCTCCCAGAAAGGACTGTTACCCGGTTTCTTTGAAAAGCGCACAAGCCTTGAAGGCTCCTCCCTGAGAGTACGCGCACGGAGCCCATTCTTTGCAGCTTCTAGCCTTGGGAAAGCTGGGAGGATAAATGGAAGTTGCCAGAGGAGCATTGTTTCTTTAGCTGCCTGCAAGCTCTGCCTCCCAGGCCCCAGCCAACTGGCAATGTGTTGGGGTTTCTCAGTACACCTGGTTGTAACTGAAACAAACTGGTTGCTCGATGAAGAAATCTCTGAGACCTGCTGTTAATGATTTATTTCAGGATAGAATCTTTAGTGTGCATTTTGAATGTTGTTTTTAATGGTTATGTGTTTCTTTATTTCACAGGTAAATGTACCTGAATATACTGGTCTTCATTCTGAAGAGCATCAGATGATTGTTCAAAAGAAAAAATTTGAATTCTCACAACAATCCTTTATCACCTAAGCCTCCCACTCAGAAAAGCTGGCAGCTAAAGAACCTGCAGAGAACCAAGGGAAAGGACCCCCTAAAATAAGTGTTTGAGCATCAAGTTTAACATAATTCCTTAAAATCTGACTGCAGTTCTCAATTGTATACATAAGAAACACAAATAGTGTATTCAACACAGTTACATTTTTCTGCACTGATGTATTTCCCACTGTCTTAGAGGTTTTTCTCCTAGCTATTCCTAGGATGTTTGGGCTTTATTATTGTCATTTTCTCTTAAGTGTTTGATCTATGAAATGAAGCATTTTCAAAGCAGGGCTTTTACACTTGGACACATGGGGCAGGATGGGAAAAGTTTTAAGAAGAAAAGCAATTTACTTTGCCAGTAGTATTCTGTTTTCTCCCACTGTTATTGAAGACACTTGTGTGTAAGTGGGGGCTTTTTTTCCTCTGTGCTTGTGATATTAATCTTTTGCCAAGGAAATGACTGTGAAGTCACCAGTTTAGCATTATGATTTTACTGAAAGATCAAGAAAAAGAGAGATGGGCTGTGAGTCTGAAGCCCTATTGTAACACATGTGTATCTTTAATCATCAGCAATATGTGAGTTGTCATCTGTAGAAGATTAATAAGGTTTGGGGTTTTTACCAAAAACTGCTTAACTTTTGAAAAATACTTTCTATTGGTGCATATTTACCTTTCTGTTGATTTGGCTGACTTAGAACAAATTAATAATGATCTTAAACAAACTTAAGGGACTATACCATAGACTCAAGCAGTAATAGCAGCACTCATAAATAGACTCCAACGTGGGTAAATTCAGAGATCTGATGGTTTCCTTAAAAAAATATTACAAAAAGTTAAGTGATTTATTAGTCTCCCATTTGCTCCAGCTGGAGGATTTTGATCTGAAGAAGGAAGAATTCCCCAAGTATTCTAGAAGGAACTTACTTCACTGAACTGCAGGTTAAACTGTGGAAATCTTACTTCTTTGCACTGAATTTAAACTCCTGACAAAGCGTTGCTTAACAGGCTGGGGTTGGAGGATTAGGGAGAGGCTGTTGAATAATTATTCATAGTAGTCAGTGAAACTGGAATAGAAGCAATGTATTTTATCACTAGTTGAAAATATAAATTAAATCAAGGAAAATTCTTTATAGCTGAAAATTGTTACAAGATGGCTGCAGCTGGAGGGAAAATACATGTGCCCACCAAAGCGAGTAAATTTAAGATGAAGATCCTCTTTGGAAGAGATAACTGAAATGTAATTCCTCAATTCAGTAGGTGGAATAACAAAAGAGAACAAGTAAAATTGCAACAGAAATCAGAATATAACAGGGTACCCATAAGCAACAATTATAATGAAGACAGTGAAGAATCTCTCCGACCCTTGCTTGTTTTCAGTGCTGTCAATGCAAAGATTAGGCAGTGTGCTGTTTCCTACACAACAATTCTTTTAGAAGAACCTCACTGCAACACTTCTAGAAAAAGTGGTGATAGGACTGAACCAATCTGAACTCTCTCAGTAAATCTTTACTAAAAACATTATCTGAGAAGTCACTGGACACATGGACAAACCTCTTTACAATGTACTGTAAAGCGGTGGTAGGCTATTGGCTCCCAATGAGTCTACAATTCCTATGCAAATATGAGGCCTAATTCACTGTATGCATGGTGTCATCCCTACCACAATTTTTTTTAAAAAAGGATCCTAAGCACTGAAGTGAGAATTAGGTAGGAACCAAAAGAACAATGAAATATTGCCATATTGCCAAACTGCTGATCAGGTTGAGTTGATTCAGGTTTTGTCCATGAAGGCTCAGTTCATTTGTAGAAGTTGGCAGTTAAAGGTTCTTCGTATTTAGATATTCCATCTTTACCAAAAGGAAAGAAATACACCACATAACACATCCGACTGAAAATGTCTACAACACACTAAAAGCATCTAATAGATTTTTTATAACACAAACCATATTGAGGCAACTCAGTCCAGAGAAAAGACAAGCCACGTAAATTAAGAATACAACAAGAATTTTAGAAAGAGAGCAAACCAGAATAGTTTCCCACATTATCTCACCAGCAAAATAATAATAATAATAATAAAATAAAACTCTTAAAAAATGGGAGAAGCTGGCTGCATAAATGTCTTCTTTTGAGAAGTGTCTGTTCATATCCTTCACCCACTTTTTGATGGGTTTGTTTTTTTTTTTCTTGTAAATTTGTTTAATTTCTTTGTAGATTCTGGATATTAGCCATTTGTCAGATGGATAGATTGCAAAAATTTTCTCTCATTCTGTAGGTTGCCTGTTTAGTCTGATGATAGTTTCTTTTGTTGTGCAAAAGCTCTTTAGTTTAATTAGATTCCATTTGTCAATTACACCATGGAATACTATGCAGCCATAAAAAAGGATGAGTTCATGTCCTTTGCAGGGACATGGATGAAGCTGGAAACCATCATTCTCAGCAAACTAACACAGGAACAGAAAACCAAACACCACATGTTCTCACTCATAAGTGGGAGTGGAACAATGAGAACACATGGACACAGGGAGGGGAACATCACACACCAGGACCTGTCAGGTGATTGGGGGCTAGGGGAGGGATAGCATTAGGAGAAATACCTAATGCAGATGATGGGTTGATGGGTGCAGCAAACCACCATGGCACGTGTATACCTATGTAACAAACCTGCACGTTCTGCACATGTTTCCCAGAACTTAAAGCATAATAAAAAATAATAAAATAAAATAAAATAAACGGGAGAAGTTCTGAGCAGAAGAAGAGACTACATGAACTGAAAAACTGTAAGGTAAAAGAAGATAAACAGATAATGAAAAAATAGTGCTAAAAATGAGAAACTAGGAAGTAAAATACAAGTGACTGCTCTAGCATGGGAACTACTAAATCTTTTATTTTATCAAGTCAAGGTAAAAAAAGATGCCTGAGAAAAAGGAAAATTTTAAAAAAAGAAAGAAAATTATAAAACAAAAGGAAAATAAACGTGAATGGAACACACAAATAAAAGACAGAGAAATTGAAATGAAAGATACCCAGTCCACTTGAATTCAGTACGCTGTTTTTGTGCTTAGGTGGCAGACACCCCCTCCTCCATCCACAAGGGCAAGGGTGTGGCACACATACCATTCGTTAGTGCTGGAACCTCATTCTCTCCTGCATAGAACTTACTTTACTCCAAAGCGTGTATTTTCATACATGCCTTAGCGGAACAAATTCCTCTCCCTCTTTTCTTTAAATTTAAGAGTTCTATTTAAGAAAGAGTCAAACACTTTCTAAATATGAAAAGTGAAGGCTGTGGAAAAAGAAGCCAAAAGGGAGCAGGTCAGTGTTGGTTCATCACACAACTGTTAGGAAAGAACAGGAACAGTCACCTTGGGCTTTAACTGAGGGGCCAACAGCTATGCTTGGTTTAGCCTGACTTCTTTTAGGAATGTTGCCTAATTTTGGCATTGTTTGTGGGTTTCATTTCTCTTTGGTCACTGTAGGACATCTTCATAATGATCTTTCCTAGACTACTACTGATGTTATCTATGTGACTGGCACAGAGAAAGAAAGAAGCTTATTCCAACAGTGAATTATAAGAATTTGTCACAAAGAGGTTAGAAAGTAGGGCCATAAGTAAAGTTAATATCTTATGCTTCATTTTTCTGTGCCTTTTAAATTTAGTTTTCATAAGATTCAATGTTTGAAAATGGGTTCTGAGTGAAAACGAGTTAAAACGATCACGTAACAGCATTTGTAGCTTGAAAAAGAAAATAAAAGAAACAACGATTAGTCTTAAAAGAGGTTTACTAAATACTGTGTACCTAAGTTACAAATTAATGTAAGCCATCCTACTTATAGTTTACCTTTTTGTGACAGTTATAAAATCATCAATCAAATTTAATTGAATTTAAAACTAAATTGCAGGCTGGGCACGGTGGCTCATGCCTGTAATCCCAGCACTTTAGGAGGCTGAGGCAGGTGGATCACTTGAGCTCGGGAGTTCAAGACCAGTGGGGCAACATGGTGAAACCCTATCTCTACCAAAAATACAAAAAATTATCTGGATGTGGTGGTGTGTACCTATGGTCCCAGCTACTTGGGAGGTTGAGGTGAGAGGATTGCTTGAGCTCGGCGGGTGGAGGTTGCCGTGAGCCAAGATCATGCCACCACACTCCAGCCTTGGCAACAGAGTAAGATCCCATTTCAAAAACAAAAAAAACCCCAAACTATATCGCATTAAGCCAACTGCTGGAAAATCATGAGATTTTTAAATTTTAATGACTCTTTTCAACCTGTCTATCTATCTGGGCACCATAAAGAGCTCTGGAGAGTACCCCAATTCAAGTCTCAGCTCTGCCACTTAAATCCACATAAGCTGACCCAAGTTTAATTGCTCTCTTTGTGCCTCAGTTTCCTCAACTGTAAAATAACAGAGAGAAAAAAGGACCTACCTCAGAAGGTTATGGTGAGCACTAACCAGAGGAGCTTTTAAAAATGCTGCTCCCCACACTAAACCTGTCCAATTACATTAGACCCTCTGTGGGTGAAACCCAGCACCAGAAAGTTCCACTATCACCATCAGAGACTCCACTCTGAGAAACAAGAGTGAGCTGAAAATGTGATTCAGATAAAATATGAAGTCTAATTTTCAAGAGAGAGAGTAGTCCTCACACTTGAAGGACAGGAGACTTGCCAGTCTTTTTTTTTTTTTTTTTAATAAAAACAAAAATTCATCAGAAGGTTAGGTTCAAACTAACCTCCCTCCCTACTTGGTAGTAAATATGCCACCTACTCCCTAAACATTTTGTGCCTGGTGGAGGGGGTTAAAGAAAAATGGATAAAGGGCAGGTAAAGAATGCTGAGGGAGGCCCATATGGCAATCACTTTGCTATTACAGCTGCCTGATCATGCTCCTGTACCTCTGATATGTCCAACAGATTCCCCAACAAAATACCCTGTGGTGTCAATAACTTTCAATGCCACAATATTGCAGACTTTACATTTCACTTATTTAAAGCAGGTTGAAAGAACAAGATTGCCTTCCATAGAATATGCAGCTGCTCTTATTCCATGTAGATGGAGATTCTATGTCTCTGTGTTTAAGCACAAAATACCCACAAGTTCAAGTCTCTCGATTGTGGGTGTCAGATTAACTATTTTTGCCTCCTCCTCAACACATGCTCATTTGCTTCCTTAGAGCCAGCATTAATTTGGTTAAAGCAGATGGACAGAACTAATTAGGAAATTATTGGAAATGAGGATGTCTGTATATCAGGAGAAGCAGAAAAGGAATTACCTTATCTCATGTAGCCAACCTACCACTGAACTTTCACTTCCTACAGCCTCTCTTCAACCACCTTCCTCACACCCACCTAAGAAAAGCCATTTCTGAGGTCTTCCTTGATTGTGTTTGGATCACTGCCAGTAGAGGCATTCTGACTGAACAGTGGGTACACAGAACTGCAAGGAGAGGGAGATTATCAAAATATCAGGTTATTCAAAGCCACATAATGAAATCTTCATATGCCCCAAGAACAGCCCACTCTTCAATTTACTGAGCCAATTGAAGATGATATTTTTCCTACCAATGATTTTGTTTAATAGTGGTGAAGCCAATAACTGACATTTTATTTATTTATTTATTTATTTATTTATTTATTTATTTAATTTATGAGACAGGGTCTTGCTCTGTCTCCCAGGCTAGACTACAGTGGCATGATCACAGCTCACTGCAGCCTCGACCTCCTGGGCTCCAGTGATTCTCCTGCTTCAGCCCCCCTGAGTAGCTAGAACTACAGGCATATGCTACCATGCCCTGCTAAGTTTTAAAATATTTTCTGTAGAGACGAGGTCTCACTAGGTTGCCCGGACTCGTCTTGAACTTCTGGCCTCAAGTGATCCTCCCCACTTGGCCCTCTCAAAGTATGGGATTACAGGCTTGAGCTATCATGCCGACCTTAACATTCCACTAGACTTGCTAAACACCTGAACATAGGCATCCATCGGACTTCATATAAACTTCGTCATGCTTGTCTGTCCTTCTTGTGACCAGTCGCTTGGCCTTAGTTGCTATATTTAGCACAACCAGGAGTCCTGAAAGCAATGTATTGGGTTTTCAGAAAGGATGAACTCACCTGAGAGCAGCTTGTTTCCACCCTGTGCATCCCATAGGAAAAGTCATCTGTGAATGTGATTGCCTCAGAATTGATCACATCGTGGAATGAAGGCCAACCTGGGACACAGCAGGCACAAGAATCAAAGCAGAGAGGAGAGATACACAGCCTTGGGTTAGAATGCATTTTAAAGAAATACTAAGCAAATAATGAAAATCCTTAGTGTATGTTTAACTTTTCAACCTGAAAAAAGAAAGGTCAAAAGCTGAAGGAAAATATATTTTGCAAGAGTACAGTTATTTTTTAACCCTTTCCTCATATTCAGATTACAGTTGCATTAGGGTTTGGTGCTTCATGAGACATTCTTAGACCATCCAATAGTTTTCTAGAGTATCCTTGAACTTAGAAGGCTCTCTCTCACCACTCTTTCTCTTGTCTTCAGAGTCACTCAGCATGGCCCTGAAGCACTATGAATCTTCCATTACGATGTTTTCCAAAACACAATCAATTGGTCTGGCTGTTAACTTTTCAACTATTCCATGCCTCCTTAGAAAGCAAGCTTTTTCAGTACCTAGTTTGGATAGTTAAAATTTTGTTTAACAAAACGACTATCCTGTTGTCACCATCCTCATCTAATTTCCTGGAAAAAGGGTTATCTGGAAATCATAGCATCTATCTATTTTTATGGGCAAGAAGCTTGTTCACTTCATAAGAGACTCATAGAGCATCAGTCCTCAGACATCTCTGGGCAGCACCTTATCTCAAAGAGCATCTAGTTCAAAGTTTTATTTATTCTAGTGATTTTAAAAATATATGCACACTTTAAGAAACTTGATGGTAAATGGATCATAGGATTGTACAAATGTTTTGAGTGTACAGTCAGGTTTTATGTTCAGTACTTATGGGCATGTTTTTATGTTTCCCCAAAATATGTCTGGAGTTACTGAGCTGAAGCCTGAATCCCCAAAATGATGAAAGAGGGGCGATGTTGCTGAAGTGCTGGTGCAATTTTTTTTTCTTTTTCACAAGTCACATTTACTTCTGCAGAAAGGAAGAAGCCCGTTAAGAACCTGGTGCTTTGTGTTAATACACCTATTGAAAGAAAACAGAATGCAAACTTCAACAACATGATTTTTAGTTTCAAACAAAACAGATTAGGCCAAATCCCCAAAGCTCCCTCATCCTCCACGATGCAAGAGTATAGTATTGATAGTCAGTGCTAGATTTAACACCAAGAGTGTTAACACCTTCTAATTCCTTGATTTGAGCTCAAAATTGCTACAAAGCACCAGGAAAACCTTAAACTTCCAGACTATAACCTTTCACAAAAATTAATTATGCTGAGACATACTAGCATTCTTAAGAAAATGAATTTCTTCCCATTTTCTAAATTCTGAAGAGAATTTGAATATATTCTAGGCTATAATATTTGGTTTACAATGGTTACTTGACACATTTAGGGGTTCTTCTTTGTTAATAATAGAAGTGCCAATTGCTAGTGAAAACAGGTTTAATGGTGATATTTGAGGACATTGAAAAATAAAGTCATTTATCTATGAAAAGAAAGAAAATATTCTGTATTTTCCTTTTTAACCTTCAAGGGCATAACTCATTTAATTGCAATTTAAGGCAACTGATATTGTGGGAGGGACACACTTGATTTAGTAGTAAACAGGTTTAGGAGTTTCATTGTTGTATTAAATTTACCATAAAGCTACCTTACCCCAGCACCACATAGTCCTATTTCTAGAGTTCAAAATAGGTATGGAGAAATAGATATACACATGTATATATTTTTCCTTTATGCTACATTGCATCTTATATTTATTTATCTTGTTCTAGGCATCACCCTGGATTTGTAATTTATTTTCATGCTTTCCTCCCTTACTAGTTAGTGAACACCTTGAAGGCAGAGTCTAAATTCATTGACCTGAGTATTCTCATTGCCTAACACAGTGTCCAGTACAAAGGCACAACTCAAATGTTTCTTAAACTGATTTCCAGTTAGCCTTAAATAAGCAAATGAGATAAACAATTACAGCACATCAGAGAGTTCCACAAGAAAGAGAGAGAATAAAATCATACTCCTTACAGACTAATTTAGGAAATATCAATGCTAGTTTCTCACTGCACTGTCCAACGTGGCTCAATCACTGTGATTACGCCTCTTTATGTGGGGGAGAGGTTTACTTCTTGTGTATTTAGGAGAGGAGAAACATGAAGTTCATAGAGTTCACTCATTTTACAGGGTTTTGGGGGTGGGAGGGAACAGAAGGATAAGTTACTTGCCAAGGTTACACAGGCAGTAAGTAGCAAAGCCAAAACTAGGATATGAATATTCTGACTTTAGGACTCTCTTCTTATGTTCCACTTTCTTCCTCAATTTTTTTCTACCTGAATTAGATATGCACAGGATTTTCCAGAAAACTATATTGAAGAATAGAGCAGGATGAGGGAGGTTGAAACAGAGTGCAGGTCTCAAAAGATTTCAGTGTTTCTGGGAAACTGTTGATGCTTGAATAGTTTGTTGTTTACCATGGCATTATTTAAACATTAGAAGAGACAGTCAAAAATAAAAATAAAAATAAATAAAGATATTTCAAAACTCCCCAAAACTCACAATGTCTCTTTGCCCTGTAGAAGAGATGGCAGTTTTCAAAATGGAATATTCAATATGTCAACCCAAATCCTGATTAGTGGAGATGGACACGAAAAACCACGCTGGAGACTGTAACTCACTGTGGTGGAACGCATTTCAAAAGAGAATCATGGCTAACTTTGGCCAATAAGGTTAACAAAGGAGAATGCTGAGTTGCTTTGCTAGACTTCTCAGAAAAAGTGACATTCTATACAAAGAGTACATCAGAAAGGTAAGTACTTAATGACAATCAAACTAAGAAGGACCTTCCCCCAGTAATAAACTGCCTTATGGCAGAGAAGCCACAGTGATGACAGCACTTTGAAAGCGGAATTCCCTCATCATGTGAAAGTATTTAAAGAAGGAACTCTTCACTGCTGTAAAAATCCTCAAAGGAAACCTTGCCCCAACTCCTAATAATAAGGAAAGTGCTTCAAAGGGTAATAGGCAGAGACTAAAGCAATCTGCGTCTTGTTGAGAAAATTATCTTGAGTAAAAGGGTGGGGGAAGGGGAGTGTGTTTATGTCAGTTTTGACATTAAAGAAAGATCATCCATCCTCCTTTCTCTAGGATTTTCCTTTTGGTCTTCTAACAAAACATTATTTGTTTTGGATGCATTCCATGCACTTTTTAAAAGAAAAGTCATGTGAAAACCTGTATAAACAGACTCAGTTCACCCCACCCCCAATACATCCCTTAGTTTCTATTTGATGAGATTGGATTAGGCCTATTATCATTTCATTTCAAAGAATATAAACTGTACTTTTTAGATATTAGCCTATTATTATCAAGGATGCCTTATTTTCAATAAATAGTTTCACCCTTCAAAGAATTACCATCTCCAGATAGCAAATAAATATATGTAGTACAACTGAAGCAGGCAAGTTGAAATATGGCTGTTCTGCCTCAATTTTATTCACCCATCAGGCCACATTCATCTGCAGATATAACGTCATACTACTCATGTCATGTGAAGCAACTCCAGAATATGCTCATTTTCATCTCAAATATAAGAGAAAGTGATCCAGATTAGTTGTTGTAGCGTCTTTGGTGCTTGCTATATCATCTACACTAGAATGGATTTTTTTTTTAGATTGCAGCATAAATAATCATTCCCCCTCCAACCCATAATGTAGCTTAATAAATCTGTTTCAAGTCTACTTGAGCCCATAATTGAATAATGGCATAGCTCTCCACAAGTAGTATTCTGTTGACAAATTCTAAATGTTTCATGCCAACTGCCTCATAAGTAAAACTTTCTTAGCTCTCCATCCCAATCAATTCCACCTTCTTTAAAAAAATCTGTGAAACATGTTGTTAAAGTTAGCAACAGAGTGTAAACAAGTTGAAGCCAATTCTATCTGTACCATATCTAGAAAATGTGGCCCTCATTGTCCTATTCTTAATTTAACAAGAATTGCTATACAGCTTCCACTTCCCCTAATCCTTCCCCACCCTAAAATAAAAATTAGAAACCTTGCTAGTCAGCTACATGACTCATCAACAGAACCCAGCAGAAACTACTCATGAATGAGAACTTATTGAATTGAAAGGTAATTACACATGTTTTGTTATTTTCAAATGTAAAGTAAGTTTGAACGCAATGAATCCCACTGGGTTTGGGTGATGGGTCAATAATGATGATACATATTTTAGCACAGTTTTGGTGAGACAAGCTGGAGGTACAGGTCTTTATTTGTGTGTGTATCAGTCCTCACAGCTCTCTAATTCCAAGGCCATATTTCAAAATTTGTAGTATTCAGATTATTTGTAGCTGGAATCTGCTAACCTCACTGACCACAATTTACCTTATTACCTAATTCAAAATAAATAATCCAACTCTCTATGTAGTCCCCCTGCTAACAAGAATTGTTTGAAACTTAGAGTCCTGACTCTTGCCAAATTATTTAATATTCACTCTGGGGGGGTGGATCATGAGGTCAGGAGGTCAAGACCATCCTGGCTAATACAATGAAACCCCGCCTCTACAAAAAAAAAAAAAATACAAAAAAATTAGCCAGGCGTGGTGGGGGCTGCCTGTAGTCCCAGCTACTCGGGAGGCTGAGGCAGGAGAATGGCATGAACCCAGGAAGTGGAGCTTGCAGTGAGCCGAGATCGCACCACTGCACTCCAGCCTGGGCAACAGAGCAAGACTCCGTCTCAAAAAATAAAATAAAATATTCACTTAACTGATGCTTCAGGTATAAAGTCTATCTCATTTAAAAAATGATTCTTTAATCCCCTTCAAAGACCCATTTGGTTGCAATATAGTCTTCCAAAAATTTAAGTGGCAATCAACCAAATATGGGCATGTGGTAGAAAATCAAACAAGATGGCTCATAATGAGACATTCCCTGTCAATTCTTCCATACCCACAGGAAACCATGATAAATAGATTTTCTGTTTCTTTAAAAATGTGCTTATGCTGCTGTCTCTTGATTATTTCATTTTAAACCTGTGCTGTCCAATACAGTAGTTATCAGTCATGTTATTGTTTAAATTTGAATTAATTAAAATTAAATAAAATTACAGTTTCTCAGTCACACTAGCCACATTTCAAGTTCTCAGCAGTTACAAGTAGCTAATGGCGACCATATTAGACAGCACAGATATACATATGGAACATTTCCACCAAGATTTCCACAGACATAGAACATTTCCATCCTTGCACAGTGCTGTTTTAGACATTATAAATTCATTTCTTCTTATGAAAGATTAAGATTTAGTACTTATACCTACATAATCTCCCCTCCATTCCCCTTTCCAATCTTTTAATACTCAGGTTATTTTTAATTTCTTTAAAACCTAATTGGGTAATGTCTGCCTCTTGAACTAGAATGTAAGTAAAAATAAAAGCAGGGAGTTTGTTTCATTTACCATTGTACTGGCAACAAACTAAAAAAGTGCCTGCTACATAAAAGGTGTTCCAAAAAAACTATCTCATAAATGAAAAATCGAATGCATGAATATCTAGCTTAAGTAGATATTTAGTAGCTTAAGATAATACCATTCAGCTCCCCACTCTGTAAGACAGCCTTAGCACCCTCATCTTCCCTCCACCTATCCTTTGCCCCACTCCAGTGACCAACCATAATTAAGTCTTCTGTGCTTTTCTATAGATTCTAAGAGCTGAAAACTAATAAACATTATTTGTGTTATTCTGCCAAATCCTTACTGCAACAAGTAATCCTAGGAGACCGAAAATCAAATTGATTTTCCATTTTTTATACAGCAACACTTGTTAAAAGGCATGCCACACTTCTTTTTATTTTTGTTTGGATTATGACTTTATTACACAACTGTACAAACTTCTGTATTCAAAATTTTACTTTTTGAGTTTTTAATGACAAACATTTCAAGCATATGCAAAAGTATACAAATAATGGACTAGGTATCCACAATTTAACAGATGTTCACTGCCCAGGTTTCACAGATACTACCTTGTTTTCTATATTGGCTTCAGGTTTCTTTCTCCCCATCTTTCTCTAACGATTACAGCAGATCTGCCTCTAACCTTGTTCCCTACTCTTATGCCTCCTAGTACTCCAAAGACAATTACTCACCTACCATTCCGACAGTTATTTTGATTAATCTTCTACACATGTCTATATCCAGAAACAAAATATACCATTTTAAATGTTCAGAATTTTATATAAATGACATTGCATTGTAGGTATTTTTTTGGCAACTTATTTTTTCACATTATTCTTACCTCTGGCTTTCTTGGTAACAGTATCATCTTATTTTATAAACAAAGTATCTTTTCAAATATTTCTGAGAATATTAACTAGAGAGTTGTTTTATTTTAGTTTTTCTATGATTCCCTAAAATATCTCTGCTCCTTCTGGGAAATTGTTCTCTTTATCTTGATTTTTAAATTTCAAGCTCTTAGTTTCCTTCATCTGTCTTTGGGGATCTTTGATCAACAGTTCCTATTTAAACATGGAGGCCAAGGTCAGTTATCCTACACATCTGATGGAGGTTTTCTCTGCCATTAGATGTAGTATGGGTTTGTATCCTTAGCAAGCCTTTCCTCTGAATATAAAAGCTGCCTGGGAACTCCAGGACTGCTGTCATCACTTGCTGATGGACAAGGCTTCATCCTGGCGTTCCCTGAATACCTCAATGGGGAATGGTTTACTCTGGAATATCAACACCTCAATAGCAACCCCAATTATCCCAGACAAGCTGTTTAATATCTTAAGAGAGCAGTCTTCCAGGCTTGTTTTCTTGTGGGTAACTAATGATCTGTCATTCTAAATATGAAGATAAGGAAAATGTAAAACTAGTCTAGTTGTTATTTAGACTTTCAGTTAAGCACCTCGTTGTCAGGTCCCCATTTTGCTCTTGTCAATTCTGAGTTCTGAGCCTTTTTGTAATTCTGCTGGGCATCGGCAACAACTCTTGTACATATTTTGGGCTGCAACTTTCTTTAATTGGTCACACCCATTAATGCATTTCCACCCATTTTTTTTTTCTTGGGAAAACTTTGAGCTTCCTTTTCTAAAGGCTCCCTACCCCACTCCAATTCTCTTTGCAATGGATTTCTTCTACTTTTACTCCTCCTACTCCTCCTCTTCTTTTTCTTACTCTCATTTTAAAGATATCTCTTGGGAGAGAGGGGAAACAAACATGTATGCTCAGTTTATCATCTTGAATAAGAAGGCAAGATTTTTTTTTTAATAAACTGCAGACTTTAGTCTCTTCATCTAATATTTCATTTGAAGAAGCAACAAATTTGACGCATCATAATTTTTCTACTAACTACAATTACATTTTAAAAATCTTGATTAAAAATATCAAAATCAGTGTAAGTTTTAGCCGCTTTAACTGGCTCAGATTTAACTCTGTGGCTAAAAACGGATTATGGGTTAGCTGTATGAGATTAACACAAACTTTTATGACATCTGCAATGGCATCTGAGTTAGAATTGGTAGGTCAGAATGGTCTCTTCATTGCCTACTTAAGTGGAAAGGAATTTCTTAGACCACTTTTCAAGTTTATATTTGCTTTGTATTGTTTGAGAATTTCTGTATTTCTTCCCTCCTGCCATTGCAAATATAAGGATGTGTCCCCCATATGCTGATGACATGATTTCATTACTTCAAACCAACAATAGTCTCAAGAAGCAAACTAGTTCAGTCCAGACAAAGAGTAAACATGACAAAAAGAAAATCATTAGTTTTGGCAAACATTCTCCCATGCTTCATTCAGCTTTATTAAGAGGTACCTGAAATAAAAATGATATTTAAAATATTTATCTTGGCTGGGCATGGTGGCTCACACCTCTAATCCCAGCACTTTGGGAGGCTGAGGCAGGTGGATCACCTAAGGTCAGGAGTTCGAGACCAGCCTGGGCAACATGGTGAAACCCATCTTTACTAAAAATACAGAAATTAGCCGGGCATGGTGGTGCATGCCTCTAGTCCCAGCTACCCTGGAGGCTGAGGTGGGAGAATCGCTTGAACCTTGGAGGTGGCAGTTGCAGTGAGCCAAGATTGTGTCACTGCATTCCAGCCTGGGCGACAGAGTGAGACTCTGTCTCAAAAAAAAAAAAAATTATATATATGTGTCTTGAAAAGTAGGGAATTTACAATATACATGAAATTAGCATAAACCTATAGACTCTAAAAATTCATGCAGATAAAAATGCAAATAAAATTTAAATACAATATACTATTCAAAAATTAACTTTATTTTGGTTACCAGTTATCCTGCTTTCTCATCTAGCTGTCCAGGAACCCAGTAGTTGTAAATGGTGGTGGCACTGCTGCCAGGGGCATTCTAGATAAAATGATGATTGGGGGCCACCTGAAGGCTTTTAAGCAGCCTAGTAACATGATCAAATTTGTATTTTAGAAAAATGGTTCTGAAAGCAGACTGGAGGGATTCGGGATAAGAGGGAACATGGAAACGTATATATCAGATGAGAGACTGTACTGGAACAGAAATAATGAAGCTTTAATGGGACTGGGAAGCAGGGGAGAGTTTATAGAGCAATCAAGAGAGCAAAGTTTACTGATTTTGGTGATTGCAGTACATGCAGGGCAGTGAAGAAGGGCAGGATCACATTATTACTAGGTTTCCAGCTTGTGTGACTAGCTGAATCATGCTAGAGATACATTTTTACAGAGAAAATAACAAAATCAGTTTCTTGTGGATCTAGGAGACAAAGGAATATGTGGGCTCAGAAATGAGAGCCAAGCTCAAGATGCAGATTGGAAAGTCATCACAACATAAAAGACAGTAAGGTCCTGGATAAGGATATGTAGGAGGGATGAATATAAACGGAGAGGAGAACCAGGCAGGTATTTAAATGTTAAGCAAAAGAATAAGAGTCAGTAGAGGAAAAGAAAAGAGCATTTCCAGAAATAGGAAGAGGACAAGGGAATCAGGACAGAGTCTGAAAAAGGAGAAAATTGCTTAAGGATGGAGGACAGACAGCAGTCACATAATCTAGAGAAAGGACAAGTTAAGTAAGACCTGAGAGACACTGCAGATTTCAACAATGAGTATTAGATTGGAAAGCATAGTGAAGAAGACAGTGAACAGAGACTACTCTTTTACAACCTGCAGGGAAGGAAGGCTACAGGAAGAACACAATGAGGTTTATTTTAAGATATTTGGAATCAAGGTCCCTATCACTCATCCCATCTTTCTCTGTTTTCTGAAGTGTTCAAATGTTACAATATTACTTTCCTAATGGAATTTTTGCAATAAAATTAGTGATATAAAAATATTTAGACATGTTAAAAAAAACTTAAGCATTACTCAAATGCTCCAAAGGATACTGAACAGAAGCCATATTTGAAGAAAGACTACAAGAATCTTTTTGATTTTTATTTTATTTTTAATTTGTTTGTTGTTGTTCCTAATTATCTTGTGGTCCACCAAACTGAGAGTCAATGGCTGTAATGCCTTAAATGACCATTGTAATCTGTTTTGCTTTTTGACACAAAGTAGGTGCTCAATCAATATGGCTGGAGCTTTAATTCTAGGTCAGGTTCCCAGGTCAAACATGTTTGCAGCACCCAGTAGTACTTTCTTTCCAAGCCATGTATCATGGTTTGCAATTATTTATTTATATGGGTAATTTTTGATTAATGTTTGCTTCTTTCACTAAGTACTATGAGACCATGATTACTTTATTAACTACTACAACTTCAACACCAAGCTCATGGAAATATTTCTTAAATGAATTATAAAGAAAATATCACATATTTCATTATTTACATTATATTTACAATATATGACTGAATTAAAAGGTAATAACTTCCACTTAGAGCAGTCAAAATTACAGAGACAGAAAGTAGAATGATAGTTGCCAGGGGATGGTGGGAAGATGGAAAGGAGCATTATTATTTAGGGGTCCAGAGTTTCCTTTTTACAGGATGAAAAGAGTTCTGAAGTTGGATGGTGGTGATGGTTGCACAACAATGTGAATGTATTTCATACCACTGAACTGTACACTGAAAAACAGTTAACATGCTAATTTTCTTATGTGTATTTCACCACAATAAAAAATCAGAAAAAAAAAATGATGATGACTGCCTATAAGCCAGGATAGAGAACCCTCCCCGGGAACTGAATCAGTGAGCTCCTTGATCTTGGACTTCCCAGCCTCCAGAACTCAGTGAAGTAAATTTATTTTGTTTAAGCACGCACACACAAAAAGATAATCACTTAGCCTGAATATGGCTATCACTGGGTCAAGTGGAAAAACATTTTTAAAAATAGGCAAAGAATTTCTACTGTTTTGCTTTAGACATTTTTTTTACAAATATCAAATTTATCATGTTTACTTTTCCTGCCTATCAAAAATAGTGCATTTCTTCAAAAAATTATTAACAAGTTCAGATGTACAAACGGTGTAGCCTTATCACCCATAATCATTTCAGGCATTTGAATCTGTTTGAGGACAATATGACTAAGGCTGTCAAGAACACTGAGGTGTCCTTGGGCACTGTGAACATCTGGTATCTATTCTCTTTGGAGATTAATAATGTAGCTGTACTGCAGCAAGCTTTACTAATTCCTTTGAGCCCTGCACAACATTTTTAAATGGTTCCAAACACACAGGATCTCTAATTGGTATGGATTTCATCCACAGTTTTCTTGCAATCTCAAAATGTCTCGGCAACTCCTAAGCAGGAATTGACAGGGGCCAGCTTCCCTATTTCCCTTTGTGAAGGCAGCTATTAATAATATTTTTTCAGGTTCAATAAAATTACTGAACTCAAACCATTTCAACCAAAAACCTGGAGAGGGAGATTTTATTTTCCCTGGCCTGAACACTGTCTCTTGCTACTTTAAATCACAGTTAATGTTTTTAAAAATACATCTTACACAGAAGTCAGTTGTAGACCTTTAGCATCAAAGGACCTGAGCTACATCACATGTAACAGCCTGATCTTTAGCCATAATTTCTAAGTGCCATTAAAAAATGTCTCTCAAAATGGTTTCAAATTTAGTGTTGACCTAGTAACCTTGATCCAAAAACATTCAACTTTAGATGATTATTTTATTTTGCTTCCAAAAGCTCTTCAGTCCAGTGAGGCATCCATTAGGAAGCTTCACAAGGAGTTTGAAGTTTGCTTAGAATTTATTAGCTACATCAGACAGGAAGATGGTGATGTGGGTTGCTTGCTGAGCAAAGATTATTTACTGTGCTTAACTGACCTTAAAAATACCAAGTGAGATATAGGATGGGGAAATTCAAAGAAATACAGATTCTACTCCCAGCAACATGCAATTCAGACTAAAAATGAAATAATGATCCATTCAACTGCAGTTCTCAATTAGGGCTATTCACTACAAAGCATTATTTGGGACTCTAAGACAAACTATTACTTACATTTTTTGGTTGGGTACTTATCAAAAATGTCAGAGTAATTCCTCTCATAAATATATGTACCTGATGAAAATGTAAGATTACTTCTGAGGGGCAGTTAAGTCTCAACATTCTTTCCCTTATCTAAATTTTCTCCTGACATTTTTCTCTAACTGAAACCTCTCCAACTTCTGAATAGGCTTTAGATCTTTATTCTATTATATATATTTTAAGTGCTAAACCTGAATTTCCCTGTTTTCATAAATCTTCTATGATCATTCACTGATCTACAACACCTTTTTATGATATGTCAAAACTTAGTCCACCTACTAAAATTTAAATTCTGAAAACCATTCTTGAAAATACAGTTTTCAACTATCTTTAGAAACAGAACAGATTGCTCAGAAAAGCTATTAAGAACAAATATTTTAGGACAAAATAATTACTTAGAATTGTTTATATGACAAATGGTGTTTTGCCTTTGTGGCAGGCAGATACATGGCAAAATTGAAGCAATTTAGCAAATACTGTACATTCCCTAATATATTAAATTTGTTTAATAGATTACATCGAAAAGGCATGAAGGAACCTTCATCGAACCAAAGCATACTCTATTACCACCCCTTCTTTTTAAAATCCTTTAGGGAAATCTTTGCCAACCCCCAATGCTCTATTTTGTCACATATGTATCACTTTCTAATATATCATAACTGTTTATTATGCTTTTTGTCTCCTGTCTTTATTTTCCCAGCTAGAATGTAAGCTCCAGGAAGGGAAAGATAATTGTTTTGTTCCCAGTGTATTCCAAACTCCTCAAATACATTTTGGTTGAATGAATTTTCTATATACGTTCCTGTTACTCTGGAAATCTGGAATTTAAAGACAATAGTAGCTTTGGTTTTAAAATACACAGATACAAGTCTTTGTAGCCGAATTAGTTACAGAGTCTCCAGGTAACTTATTAATATTTGTTGAAGAGTTTAGCACCTGATGACAGTCTTCTCTAAATCCCAAACAACTGCCTACATTCCAGGAAACCTCATTGAAGGTAACCTACTTACCACTCCTCATATTGACAGCTCTAGGAGCACCTCAGAGAACTACAACTAAGTTCATAGAGCCGGGGTCCTGCATCAAGACCTGTAGGTACAAGGAGCCCTTGCAATTTGATGGTTTCAATGGCTTTAAAACTGACCACTGACAAGCTTAAAATGCATTAAAATTAGATGTCATCACATGAAGAGTGTTGAATCTCAGACGGATAAATTTGGCAAAGACACTATGGTACTGTAGTCATATTTAATGTGTCCACCGGACCTCTGTTACCAAAAAAAAATGAAATTCAATAAAGGTCCAAGCATACCCATAATATAATCCATGACCTACACTTTGACATATTATTTTGTCAGTTGGGCAGTAATATTTAAGTCTTACTCCACTAAATGGTAAATGATTAACAGGCAAAAGATATAGCTCCTTAGTACTGAGTAGGCACTAAATAGATAACTTGTTAAATAAGTGAGCCAACCTGGGGCTGAAGAAAATATTAACAAAAATTGTGAAAATGTTATTACAATCAATCAATGTATATATTTCAGATATTTGTAATAAACATCACCTCTCAAGTATTTATTACTACTTATGTCACTAGACCAGAGTAATCCATAGGTTACTATTTCTTGGTAGTATACTGTGGGCACCTATGAAATCTCTGTTGGGTGGCACAAAAGTTTGGAAGCCTTAGTCAGCATCCACAAACATAAAGCACTGTAGCACTATTATAGCATTATATAGTCTTTTGATATTTGGCTTCCTTTTAGTGTTTAAAAAATTACAAAAGTCTCAGGAAGGTATTATTAAATTCTTATGCATTGTTATTTGTAATGGCTGTTTCACACAATTAAGAAGAAATTGTTTTCTTCTTAATTTTCTTAATTGATAACAGTTTTCTTCTTAATTGATAACAGTTCTTTGTAAATTACAGATATTAATTACTAACATCTGCATTATAATTATTCTTCTATATCTATTGTTACTGTATTTGACTTTGCTTTTGATTATTTTATTCAAATATGCCTGTCCTTTTTTTTGCGGTTTCTGGGCTACCAGACTTAGTTAAAAAGAGTTCCTCCCCCTGAATTATACATACAGTATCCTATATTTTCATATAGGATGTTTGTTTTGCATTCAGATCTTAATCAGGAATTTCACTAAGTATATGCTATAGTATTATAATTTTATTTTCTTCTAAACAGAATACCAATCGGGCTACCAATAAGTTTTAAACTGTTCATTTTTGATTGAGTTGAAATACCATGTTTATAAACTGTCGTTTACACTGTTGTCTACGAGTCTGCTCTACTAATCTATTTGTCTATCCCTATGCCAATGTAAGTTTATTATGGTGGCTTCACAGACTGGTCTTATATCAGGAAAGGCAAGTATCTACCACTGTATTTCTTTTTTGTAAATATCATAAATATTTCTGCTCTAGGTTTTTTTCTTTAACCAGGTTTATTATGAGTTAATCTATTTTTTTGATCTTTCAAAAAACCATCTTTGGATTCACTTATTCTTTCTACTCGTTTGATGTTTTCTGTTTCATTAGTTTTAGCTTTTATCTTTATTCCCATCTTCCTAGCATTTTTATTGTTCTTTTTATAAAGTTCCTTTATTTTTCATCTTTTTTCTATAATAATGAAGGTATTCAAGATTACAACATTTCCTTTAAGTTTAATGTTTATTGTACCCCATAGAGTTAGATATTTATCTCTAGTTTCATTGGATTATTATAAAAATATGGGCTATACGAAATCTCTACTTTCTAAAATTTAAGATTTTCCTTGTAGCCACATACATGATATATCATCTTCTAATGTTCCATGAGAATACAAAATTATATTTCTTATTTGAAAGATGTTTTTTATTTGAAAGATACTTCATCTATTAAAAAAAGTTGATTGTACTATTGGGTTATCCTCTATCCTTATTTAGTTTGACTACACATATGTCTCAATCTGAGAGAGAGATCAAAGTTATCCACCGTAACTATGTATTTTTAAATCAAGTTTTCTTTCATTTCTAAGATTCTTATTCATATATTTATTATTTATGTTAATTTATTCCTGTAGGTTTATGATTGCTTTGTACTCTTCATGAATAGTACCTTTTTATTATCATATAATTCCCCTTTATCCTCTGTACTTTTTAGCTTAATTTTCACTCCGTCTGATATTAATATTGCCATTTCTGCTTTCTGTTTTGTTTGCCTTGGCCTAGTATGTTTTAACCATAAAGCTTTCTTTATACTTTGTTTGCTTCTTGTAAGTAGCAAATAACTAGAACTTAACTCAATCTCTGACAATCTGTCTTGTAATGGGAGAATTCAGTTCATTCATATTTGACTTAACAAGAGACATACCTATTTTCCTTTCATTTTTCCTTATATTTGTCCATTTTATGTTGTGCTTGTCCCCCTTTTTCTGCTATTCAGATGAAATTCCTATTCATTCCATTCTTGCCCATTATTACAGGATTTTCCTTTGTGTGTGTGTGTGCTCACAAACAAAGAATTATCTGCTGTTATTGGAAAATCAGATACCATTTCCTCCATAAAGACCCATTGTCTTCCATATCAAGATGCTATATCCTCCCTTTTCTGCTTCCCTTTCCTCCCACCCAAGTAAAATAAAGCCTTTGGAAAACTCTCATTTTCCTCCACTCTGCCTTCCTCTCCTGTAGATGTTATCTGTAGATGTTATCCTGTTGTCTTTCTATTTTCCAGGATTGCAGATGAGAAACTGAATGCTAACCTAACACTTCTATTGTAAATTTGGAAGGTTATAAGATTTTGTGTTTATCCTTAAAGTTCGGGAGTATCATCTTGCTAGGCTTTACCTTCCTCATTAATCCTATGTAGAATTTAGTGAGCCTATTCAGTCTGTAGACTTGAGTTCCTCTATAGGTCCCCCAAAAAAGTTTTGATTATTTGCATGTTAAGCCTCCTGGATCTATCTTCCAAGTCTCTTAATTTTTCTTTCAAGATTTATACCTCTTTGTGTTTTTGCTCTGTGCTTTGAGATATTCTTCCATTTGATCTTCTAGGCAACAAATTTTGGTCTCAGCAGTGGCTTCCTTCAACTCACCTACTGAATTGTTTAGGTGGGAAATCATGATCTTTTCAAATCTCCAAAACACTTTTTGGGGACTAGACATGAATTCCCTTAATTGTATCAGAAAGAATTTTTCAGCTGCAAGAAATAAATAACACAAATAAAAGTGCCTTACACAATAAAGGAATTATTGTTTCACATAACAAGGAATCTATATTTAAGTGGTTCCATGTTGGTCAAGTCAGTGGCATAATTATCTCATCAGGGACAATGTCTGCCCTCCTCACAATGTCAGTGATATCCCCCTCATGGTCACACAACGGCTACAGTAATTCCAGACACCACAGGCAGACAAAACAACATCTAGTGAAAAAGGGAGCACTTCAGCCAGTGTGTCTCATTTTGTTAGTTAGCAAAACTTCTAGCAAAAATCTCTCAGATCCAACTGATCAGGAATGGAGCATCTGTCCAACTGAAATCAACCACTGACAAGGGAAATGGAATTTTATGATTGGCTTAGATCAATTATTATTCATTCACCTGGGGAATATTCACTTCTGCCCTGGCAAAAGGGATGAGTATAACTGGATTAGGCAAACAGTGTCATGACAGCTGGCTTTTTTTTTTCTTGGTTTAGTTGTCGTCTGTCTACTGTAGGCACTCTGTTTTATCAGATATGTGTCTATTTGTTCAGACTGATCCTGTCTCACTGCAGGACTCACTTAGATATGTTGTTATTTTTCTTTTTTGTCTCACTTGGGTTCAGGCCTGGTTATTAATATAATCCAAAAGCTGGTAGTCCTACAGGTAGTGAAAATCCAGACACAGATGAACTACCAGATCTTGCTGAGAGAATAAGAGGATAAAGAATAAGAAAAAGCCTCCTGTATCCAAAATTCCTGTCACGAACAGTGATGCAGCTCAGATGTTTAGCCGCTTCTTAGTCTCCGGGAGCAAGAAGGCTGAGTACACTTAGAAGTGGCTATGCCGATCTCTACTCTTGAAGTCCATAAATCTCCTTAAGTCAAACTCCTTCCATGATCTGTCACATTCAAAATCCTGCCATCATGCTTTTTGACACTGCTCTCTGGCCCCTTAGTCCACGGGGCAAAAACTTTACTCAAGTTGTCCATACCAAAATTACTGTCACTATTTAGCTCAAGAGGTTCAGAAAAACTGGAATAGAAAGTATAAGGCCACACACAGGACCATCTCCAATGAGTATTATTGTTATTATTTGTGATGTTATGCTAAGTGCTTTACATTTATTGTCGTATATATTGTGTACACATCCTATTTATTCCCATTTTACAGGTAAAGAAACTGGGGTTTAGAGATTATTATGTACCTTTCACAAGGCCACTTTACTGTGCACCGTTAAGTGAAGTTGGCATGTAAATCCAAGATTGTCTCCAAAATTCTTTCTTCTAAATCCTACACCAAACAATCTCTGTGGCAGCTCAGAGAGTTGACAAGTTGAGACAGTCTATTACAGAATATAACTAGTGATGAACAGAAATAAAATAGTAAGAAGCTAGAAACATTTCTGAAAGCTAGAAAAGTTCACATTCTACCAGATGATTAATGATTTTTGTAAATTTTCTTCTCAATAAACAACATTATGTAATGAAATCCTGAATTGCTTAATGTTCAGTGAATTAAAAAACTCTAGAAATGATGAAATGATGCTATAACACCCAAATCAGGGTTTCTTGAATTTTTATTGTTGTTCCAGACCCTTTGGAAGTCTGGCAAAGCCTACAGGAAAATGTTTCTAAATGCATGAGAACAAATATATGGGATTACAATGGAAAAATGATCTTTAAATACTGCTATCAAAATACTGAAAAAAAACAAATGCGTTATATAGTAAATATGTGCTTCTTTATTAACACATTACATAACAAGCTTTAATGGTGGATCTACTAATTATCATAATTTGGAAGTAGTAATTAGTGTAAATGTTATTTTGAGATATCTGTGATGACTGTATTATGATATGAAAACATTTGTGGTTTCTATTGGTGACAAACTTATAGGTACTTCTGTGGGTTATCTGTAACATATATCATAATTCAAGGAAATTGTGATTAGTGAAAATAAAATACGGATTTTTTTCCCATCGAAATTCATGGATCTTCTAAGTTTAATTCAAGGACCCCAGGTTAAGAACTCCTTATCTAAAGCCTATGCCTGAATATTCCAGGGACACTATATTGAAACTTCTCATTCCTACCTGGGGTGTACTACCATGACTTTTCCTAGAATATAATCATTTTTCACTATCTAACTTTTCTAAGTAGGATGTATTAAATGGAAAAAGCATGGAAGATACAGTTTAATTGTATGCCACATCTATTATTGAAAAAATGGACAAAATATCTGGACTCTCCCTAGAAAAAAATTAATCCAAATACATATACCAAGCTTCAGGGTTCACAGACCTTGGGTTACTAACTCTAGCCTTATCTTTTATTGCTACTTTGATAAATTCCTTTCTTATGAGAAATGAATGTCAAGACCTTTACCTTTCAGAGTAGAAGAAATGTTGCCTCCAAGTCTATCAAATCTTTCCTAGAAATCTCCACAAAATGTTATCAAAATCTTTCAAAGTGCTTTATAGAAAATATAACCTGAATCTGGGTCATCAGTGTAGTGTAACATTATACTGCTGTGAACAAACAGGTGTACAAATTTTAAGAAACTTGATGTACTACTCTTTGTTCAAAATCAATATTGCTCAGACTATAGCTCTGACAAAATATTATGACCAAATCTGAATTTAACATCAGAGAGACACGTGGAGAAGCTGGCAAAGATTCAGAAAACAATCACAAATATAATAAAGCATTAAAAACATCCCTATAGAAATGGCTAAATAAACTAGCAACTAGGATTACGTAGCCTGGCAGAGAAAATACTAAAGAGTAAACTCAAAACAGTCTTGAAACATATGAAAAACATTTTAAAATATAGATTTGATCTTGGCCAAAAGATGGAAAAGCAACAAAAAATTTTAAACAAGGTGCAATGAGTCAGAAAGAGATCTTTACCACCTCTTATACAACAAAAGAAATGGGCTTCAAATTACAAATCAGGGACTTGACTTACATATATGTTCCTGTCTCTTAATTATGGCATCACAACTCTTTCAGTTACCAATATTCAAAGCACATATGTGGTACTCCTATATCCACTTAGTCATTAAGTGCCGTGGAGTCTACCTCTAATTTCCATCCCTTCCTCTCCATTCCACAGCCACCATCAAAACTTGGAGCCTCACCATTTTCTGTGTAGATAACATCTAACTGGTCTCCCAGACACAAGATTCTCACTGCCTAAATCGATCCCGGCTCTACTATGCATGAGCAATGAAATTTCTGGCAAGATACTTAGGATGTGATTTACTCATCTGTGATTTTACAAAGCTGTTACAAAGACCAAATGATATAATTATATCAGTGCATTTAAAATAGCTAATCACCACACAAATGTAAGGAATTTACATGATAGTAACCTCCAGATGGAAACAATCTTTAAGAGCCTCCTATTTACTATCTCATTAATGGAAGGAAAATAGAGTATTTTGAGGAAATCTTCATTGTTGCATCCATATGCCAAGCTCCTTCCCACCTTCTTCCGTCATTCATGTTCCTTCACTGGACTGGAATTTTTACAACTCCAAGTCCCAACGCTTATTAATATCTTTTTCAAGTCCCATCTGTTCACTGAAGCTTTCCATAAATATTCTTCACTATTTCTGAATGGCTATGACACCTATCAACACCTATTATACAATAAAACTTACTTGGTGATAGTTCATATTATTGTCTGTTGTCTTACCATGTTAGACTTATCTTCTCAACTAGATATTAAACTGCCTGCACCCTGGGTGGACAAAGTGATCTAAAGGATATTCTAGAACAGAGGTAGACGGGCAGATCTCAGCCAAATCCTATAGGAGACAGACACCAGAGTTGGGGCAGAAGGATCAAAGGAGGAATGCCAATTCCAAAGGAGCTGGACTGAAATTAGGGGGTTGAGTCAAGAACTTGAAATGAAATGTAGACATAGATGTGTAGGTCTAGCTCCTAGGTGTGGATACAAAGCAGACAGTAAGATTCTACTTGTCTAATTTTCAAAAAAAGAAAAAATGGAGAAAGGACGGACCCCATACACTAAATGAGGAGCCCTTAAGCCAAAAGATTCCAGAAAAGACTGCTGCAAGGGTAATTTGTTCACACTTAGAAAAGTAAGCACCTCAAAGTGCAAAGACTCTCCACCACTGAGGATTTCAAAAGAATATGCCAAGATCTTTGAAAATAAAGGAAGAGATCAAGTACTCCCTGCAGATCAGGTGGTTCAGAAAACCTGAACTGCCACATCTAGTGAGGCACCAGAGATATACAAGTGGAATGGGTCGTCTCTTATTGGGCTGCAGGATAGGAAGCTAAGAGAGAATCTTGGAGACATGCAAAATATAAACCCAAATAGCAACCCTGGGGAAGGGAGCAGTGTAGAGACTTAAAGATTTCCCTAAGCAGAAACTAAATGAAACAAAATGAATTTTTGAAAAGACAAATATTTTCTCAGTCCTGAAAGCTAGGAAAGCTATCAATATCATACAACAACCTTGGAGAAAGACCATCACAGTGAAGCAGGAGGGTGATGAAATTCAGAAAGGCCAGAGTGATAATTCCCAGGTCTGTGGGCCATGGTGTAAAGTATCTCCCTCACACCATTCTGTGCATGATGGTGTGAGGTACTGCAGAAGACTGAGACCAGAAGAACTACTGAAATTTGACATTAGAAAATTGTGGTTGCACTGAATACCATGGACAATTAAAAAAATTTTTTTTTAATTCTAAGAGGAACTTGGAGAAAAAAGATGAAGTTTTTTTCTGGAAGTTTTATCCCAGAAAACAGAAAAGAAATCAAACCACAAATACTTCACACTCTAAAGAAAATTTTAACAGAATATGACTCCATAAGAAATTTTAAAGAAAGATAAATTTGTAACAGAAGAAACTAAAATGAAAAGAGTCAAGGAAAAAAATACCTTTTGGCTACTATGAATAATGCTGCTATAAACACTGGAGAAAAAATACTTGTTTGAGTCTCTGCTTTCAATTCTTTTGGATATATAACTACAAGTGGAATTGCTGGATTATATGGTAATTCTATGTTTAATTTTTTGAGGAACTGACATATTGTTTTCACATTAAGTGTACCATTTTACATTCCCACTAGTATAAGATTCCAATTTTTCTACATCCTCTCCAACACTTATTATTTTGTTGTTTTTTAATAATAGCTATCCTAAGGGACTCAGAATATATTTTTAATGAGTCACTGACAAATTCACAAATCCCTTTATCTCAGATTTACTCATAAAAGGATTAGAGGTACAATATTTGTCTGGAGAAAGACCTTTTCCACTGCATAAAAACGCTCACATTGGCTATCTAACATGTGGCCCCAGCATCATTAGCAACATACTCAAAGCAATTAAGCCAACAGGCTTGAACCACTGCTTCTCTGACTGGTACAGATCTGTCTCTAACTGCTTTAAGAACTAACTATTCTAACTAATGGAAAAAAACATCTGTAAAAAAAAAAGCTACAAATGGGGATGGCGGGGGATGGGGAGACAGGCTGTAATGCCAGATATCTTTGTTCCTATCTTCATCTGCTAAAAAGGTGAGTCAATCCATTTACCTTAGTCAGGATTAGAAGAGCTAGGAGGGGATATAGATAAAGAAGGAAATTAATTGCTTTAATTGTCAGCTTGTGTTAACATATATATCTCTAAATCCCCATTTCAACTCTTATTTTTTGTGGAACCATCAAGCTTTTCCCCCCTTTTAAAATTTTGGAATCCATTCATCTTTCCTTGCCACAAAACAGTCCTGTGCCAGAATCTGGTTCTTTTCTCAAGGGTATAACATTTCAGCTTGTTATAAACAGCATATGGATATAGATTATGTAATGATAATGTGTGCTACATTCCAAGGACTTACATTTTCTGCATATATGTGAATAGCAAGTAATTTTGCATTGATTTTTTTCTACTCTCAAAATAATATACTAATCAACTAAAACATTAACTTGGTGTATTCCTTTGTGTTTTATAGACAGAATCCCTTCTTTTATTGATTTAAAAGTTTAAAAAAGTTATGTGTTGAAGGAGCCATAATACAAATAATATATAACTACCTAGCTTTTGGGGTAAAATTTTAGATTTGTTCTTAAAGAAACCAAAGATACTGAAGTCCAGTGAAAGATTTCCTAATAACCAACTTCCGAATAATTTGTTAGTGTCAATATTCTACTAGCCTTACATTTTGTGTTTGTCCCATGCTGTTTGAATGTAGCCAAATAGCACATCCAGACTTAGACTTCAGTCTCTTCTGTGCATACTCAGCTACTGCCATTTATAAACAGAAGAGTTAGGCATTATCTTTTAAAACACACAAAGACTTGTGCATGCAGATGAAGCTCTGCACATAAGCGGAGTGTGTATTATAATAATCACTAAGAATTTCTGAAACTCGCATGTCAAAAAGTATCATGTTCACTTCCCAGGATTTTTCAAATAGGAACACACAATGGTTCTGGCTTTCCACTATAACCTGACTTTCACCTCCTTCAAAAAGAACTTTAAAAAAAGAAGAAGAAGAAAAAAGTAAAAGGATATCTGAAGACATTTCTCATCGATAGCTACATGGTCCAGTATATTTGTAATTCTATCCCCTTTTCCTTTATACCAAACGAGTGATGAAAACCTGACAGGAAAGGCAAGAAACATACTAACATTAAATCGCTGGGATGTATTCACAGAAATAGACAGAAACGGGCCTAAGTAGGCACAAAAAAATTAATGCTGGAAACTGTATAGGCAGCAAGTGAAAACCTCTCTGTCATGACAGGAGGAGGTTAAAAAGTTTAAGAAAATTTCTGAATAAAATTACTAAGACTAAAGCAATGAAAGAGATTGATTTTTCAATTTTCTTGAAAAACAGGAGTCAACCTGTGACCCAGCTCCCCAGGTATTACATGCAGGCCTCAGGAATACAGTCATTTAGGAAGTAACTGCTTCAAAGAGTCCAGCTAAAACTACAAAGACGTGAAATTCCAATCAGACACCAGAAATTCTTTGGGGAATAAAAGAATTTTATGACTCATAAGATGAAAATCTCCTGAATACTCACTAAAGTAATCTAATGAAGTATTGTCACTAGGAAAGGAGTTTGATGAATTTATGTGTTATGTAGGCAAATTTTAAGCAAAACAAGAAATTGAGCAAACTTGAACTTGTATTCATTTCTAAGTTTTCCTCTCAGGGTAAAACTAACTTTAAGGGCACCAGACTTGCCTGTATGAAGTGGCATTCTGTAGGATGTCACATTTTTAACTTCTAGGATTCTAAGCAAAATTTCACATCCATTTTTAAAAACTAGAACAGGTCAGCTTAGGAGTAGGTCCAGGATTCAAATGTGAGTCATTTTGAAGGTTCTTAGTCTTCAAATTTAATACAATTTGAAAGAAGCTATAAGAATTGAAGGCAAAGGCTTAAGACAGATGCCAACGTAATAAGAAAGAAGGAGGTCAAGTTTTTCCTGAGGAAATTAACAAACAACAAAAACTAGAGATGCGATCATTTTCTTGACTTTCAGATGATGCTTAAGCATAGGAGAAAATCAACACCAAGGAGGCTACCCTGACCTTACTACTTTTTCCATTTATTTTTAACTTAATTCCAATTCAAAATTTTGCCTGTTCTATATGAAATTCTTTTCTAGTAACAGGCTGTAAAAATACAGCAAGCAATGAAAGCCCTCTGTTTAATCTTTCCCAGGGACAAACAGAGTATAATGTACAATATGTATTATAACTATGTGTTAGATTGCAAATTACTCTTATTTAATTTAGTCTAGTGCTTAGCTTCACCTCTGAAATATCAGTCTGCATCCTTCTATTTTGGTTTGATTCTATAGTCCACTTAAAACAGTAAATGTTTACATTAAAAGGACAAGAGAATGTGTGATGTATTTTAACTGTCAGAAGTGTTGTGAACAGCAGCAGCTGGAAGAAGAATGTGTCGTCCACTTCACTGTTACCCTGAAGCCTTTTAGATTCTTCAAACCAGCACTTACATCCTTCAGTGCTCAGGAAAGAAGGAAGGAAGGAACAAAGAAAGAAGGAAGGAAGGAAAGCAGGCAATTCAATTGTCATCTCTGAAAAAAAAATGTAGTAAAATTTCTAGAATTTACATGTGATCTTTGCATTGGATTCTACACTAACTTTCTGCTAGTGCAGGGACTGAACTGGTCACTGGAAATGGAGCTCTTCTTTCATTATTTTAGGTTGCTGGATCATACTGAGATAAAAACCAGAAGCAAATGAAACAAGCTCTAAGCTTTACTTAGAGGTCTGTATGAACTGTGCATATCCAGTTCCTCTGCAATCATCATTCACATCATCCTGAATTCATTATGATATAGCTGTTGTTAAAGGCCTACTCATAAGACCAAACACTGAAAACAATTTCCTTCCTTTAATATTTCCAGATCTGGTAAAATCCCACTAATAAAACTGGAGAGAAATGTATGACACTCTTACTCTTATTGCAGTGGGCCCAGTGGGAACATGGCTGGAGAGAAATGAAGCCTAAGGATATGCTGGAGGATAAGGACAAAATATGCAGAATTTGATTTCAGGCTTGACACATTCAGTTCAAGAAATATTTGAAGGTGGACAAAAACCTGCATGATCCAACTCCTGCCTACCTCTCCAAACACATCTCAAACCACTCTTCCCCTTGTGCTTCAACCACACTGGTCTTCTCTTGGTTGCCGTAACATATCAAATACTTGCTTTCTCTTCTGCTTTGAACACTCCCCCAAGCTCTTTGTGTGGTTGTATTCTCATACTTTCGACCTTGGCTCAGATATCACCTCCTCAGTAGGCTTTCCCTGAAATGCCTATTTAAATGAGCGTCTCCCTCCACCTACCACCATCATTCCCTATCATGGGATCAACAATATCAAAGGGTTAAATAGATCCTTTCTATTTCCTGCATAGCTCCTATCAAATATCATCCCATTTATTTGTTTCCTTGTTTAGTAACTCCTTAATAGCAGGAGCCCTGTCTGTTTGCCACTGTATCTCCTGTCCCTAAGGCAGTAGATATTGACTTAATGGATGTGTTTAAAACTATACTAGAGGCCAAGGGTAAAACAAGAGGCAACCATACAGTCCCACCCTCAAAAAAATTATAAAGACAATAGAGACTGGTAAGTAATCATAAGAGAGCTGTTTTACAAGGGGCATATAATTCTAGTAGAAAGAAACCCCATGTCTATCTTATGGGGAAAAAAAGGATATTCCAAGGGAGGACACCCCATATGTAGGGGCACGAAACAACAATAACAGCACAATGCATTCTGGGGAATTAGTTTAGCGTTTTCTAAAATACCAATTGCTAAAGATGGGGGTGGGAAGTAGAGAAATTGAACATAGACAGAGAAAGGTCTAGGTCATGAAAGCCTTTGATTGCATGCAAAGGGAGGGATATTTCATCCCATAGTCAATTAGAAGCCCTTGGAAAAACTCTGGGCAGAGGGGTTACATGATTAGATTTGCTAGTGCCAATAATGTCGTACTCCTGTTTGTAAACTTATTTTAAAAACTCACTTAATTAAGGAAGGGCCTGAGTCTATGCTGTACCATATATACTCAATGCCCAGTCCATTAGAGCAAGTGTTGAATTGGTGTTTAAAAGAATAAATGAATAATAGGGATGTAACCACAATGGCAGAGTAGGAGATATCAGCTTTCTCCCTTTAGCACCCCCAAAATAAACATAGACAGCTATCTCCAAACAAAATAACCCCAGAGAGTCCCCAAGATCCTATTTAAGATTTTGCAACAATACAGTGGAGCAAAAAAAAAATATACACACAGAAAATAAATAACTGGTAAGATCAGTATACCTGAGATGCCAGGATATTGCCCAGAACAAAGAAGAATAGCAGAGGTTGTCTGAATCAGCCATGTGGTGAAAACCACCATGGTCCTCAGCAGCCTGCTCTGCAGATGACAACAATATCTTTTGCCACTGAAATAACAAACCATTATTCTTCACAGGGAACCCCAGAGAGGAAGACACAGCTACACACACCTCACCAACCCAAGAAGTGGCCACTGTTGAGCTGCTTTGGGAAAGAAGCCACCAACTCTCCAAATCCCCTAAGTGCCTCAACTCTGGACACCTCTTGAGTCCTCACACTCTAGACCTGGGTCCTGTGGCTGCACTGGGTTTGTCCACATTTCAGACACTGGAGCATTTCAGACACTGGAGCTTACTAGCAAGCTAATTTGTACTCCAGAACCTAGAGTTAAGCTCTTGCTGTGCATGGCTGCACTCCAGGCACCAGCTCAGCCACCACAGTGAGCTAGGCCCTGCTCTGACTCCAAAACCACTGTAACTACACACATTTGTGCTCTAGTTTTTGACTCCCCGGCTACTTTACAAGAATCTGAGCTTTACATACTGTTATCAGTGTGGCAGTGAGAGTGCCTGCACACTGGACACTAGTGCCATTACACCCCAGAGCCCAGAGCCATATTCCTTCCTTTTGTGCCTGTGCTTCAGGCCTCAGCTCCATGGCTGCTCCATGGGCACCACTCATCAGACACTAGTGCCACACCAAACTGCGAGTGGGCCTGCAAGCCAAATCCAGTGCCAAAAGAAATCCCCTCAGCCACAACTTCCTCAGTGAAAGAAAAAGAAATCAGGAGGCCCTTAGCTGCCATTATCATAGAAAACTCAGAAACCCTCACTGCCACTGTGGACAATCCTCACTGCCACTGCCACTATGGACACAGAAAACCCAGAAACCCTCACTGCCACTGTGGTATCAGCTGCTGAGTATCACTGCAATCTCCATCAACAATGACCTCAGCTGACAGAGCTGCAGAGACATACACAGCTGCACCTTCACTGGTGCTAGAATTGCTACATCCCCCACCCAGCAAGTTCCCTGGAAGCCCCCAATAAAAGAAGGACTTTCCACAGCAAAGCTAGCCCATAAAATCTAGAAGAGGTGACTGTTCCACCAAATGTGCAAAGATTAACATAAGGCAACAAGAAACATAAAAAACCAGGGAGACATACCACTACCAAGAGAACACAATAATTTCCCAGTAGGTGACCCTAAAGAAATGGAGATATGCAAACTGCCTGACAAAGAATTCAAAACAATTGTTTTAGGAAAGCTCAGCAAACTTCAATACAATATAGAGAAATAATTCCATAAGATTAGGAAAACACTGTAAGACCAAAACAAGAACTTTAACAAAGATTAAAATTATATTTAAAAAAGAAATTAGGGAGCCAAAAAATACAAGGAATGAAATTTAAAACCCATAGAGAAGTAAAAAGAACTGATTAAGCAGAAGAAAGAATCTATGAACTCAAAGACAAGTTATCTTAAAAAATACAGTCAGAGAGAATAAAAGAAAAAGAATGAAAAGGAATAAAACCTTAAGGGATTTATCAGATAGCATCAGAAGAGCAAATATTCATGCTATAGGATTTGGGGGAGAATAAAGAGACAAAGAGCCAGAAAGCTTATTTAAAGAAATAATAGCAGAAATCTTTCCAAATCTAGGGAAAGATACAAATATCCAGGTATAGGAAGGTAATAAATATCATCAATCAGATTCAATCCAAGTAAGACTACAGCAAGACATACTATAATCAAACTGTCAAAAATTAAAGACAGAGAGAATTCTGAAAACAGCCAGAGGAAAGAAGCAATCACATTTAAGGGAGTTCAAATAAGGCTAGCAGTATACTTCTCAGCAGGAACCTTACAGGCCAGGAAAGAGTGGGGTGATATAAGTGCAGGGGGAGGACGGGACTGCCAACCAAGAATGCCCAGGAAATCTGTCCATCAGAAGTAAAGAAGAGATAAACACTTTCCTAGATAAGCAAAAGCTAAGTGAGTTCAACATCACCAGACCCTCTTAAAAGAAATGTTAAAGGAAATACTTTAAACTTAAAAAACAGACAAAAAATAGTAACATAAAAACACTAGAGGCTGGGCGCAGTGGCTCACACCTGTAATCCCAACACTTTGGGAGGCTGAGGCGGGCGGGCAGATTGCTTGTGTTCAGGAGTTCAAGACCAGCTTGGCCAACATGGTGAAACCCCCTCTCTACTAAAAATAGAAAAAATTAGCCAGGCGTGGTGGCACATGCCTGTGGTCCCAGCTACTCAGGAGGCTGAGGCAGAAGAATTGCTTGAACCTGGGAGGTGGAGGTTTCAGTGAGCCAAGATCACACCACTGCACTCCAGCCTGGGCAACAGAGCAAGACTCCATCTCAAAAAACTAAAACAAAAATTACAGTATGAAACTCACAGATAAAAGTAATTACATCCTCAAATTCAGGATACTTTTATAATGTAATGATGGTGTAGAAATCCTTTAAATTTTTAGTATGAAAGTTAAAAGACAAAACTATTAAAAATAATAGCTACAATAATTTGCTGAGGGATATACAAAAAAAAAGATGTAAACTGTAACAGCAAAAGTATAAAATGTGAGAGAGATGGGTGAGGCAAAAGTGTAGGATTTTGTAATACAATCAAAGTTAACTTGTTATCAGCCTTAAAATAGCCTATTATGACTATAATATGTTTTATATAAGTCTCATAGTAGTCATAAAACAAAAAGCTACAGTAGATATACAAAAGATAGAGAGTGAGAAATCAAAAATACCACTAGAGAAAATGATCCACTTACAAAGGAAAGTCATAAAAGAGAAAGGAAAAAATGAATCTACAAAACAACCAGAAAATAATTTTTAATGCCACTAATGAGGCCAAACCTATCAATAATTACCTTGAATGTAAATGAACCAACTTCTCCAATCAAAAGACAGATTGGCTAAATGAATAAAAACACAAGACCCAACTATATTCTGCCTACAAGAGACTTACTTCACCTATAAGGACACATATAAATTAAGAATAAAAGCATGGAAAAAGATATTCCATGTAAATAGAAACCAAGAGAGTATGTGTAGCTATATTTATATCAGATAAAATGGATTAAAAGTCAAAAACTGTAAAATGAGACAAAGAAGGCCATTATATAACGATAAAGCAGTCAATTCTTCAAGAGCATATAACTACTGTAAATATATATAATATACATATAAAACCAAAACCAGAGGACCTAAATATATATATATAGCAAATATTGAGATATATATATATATATAAAGCAAATATTGATACAAATGAAGGGAGAGATAGACTATAATAGAATAATAACAAAGAGTTTCAATATTTTCACTTTCAATAGTGGACAGATAATCCAGACAGAAAGTCAATAAGGAAACACCGGACTTGAACTACACTTCATACCAAACAGACCTAACAGACATGTACAAAACGTTCTATCCAACAGCAGCAGAATACATATTCTCTTCAAGCACAAGCGGAACATTCTCCAGGACAGATCATATGTTAGGCTACAAAACACAACTTAACAAATTTAAGAAAACTGAAATTGTATCAGGCATCTTTTCCAACCACTATAATATGAAACCAAAAATCAATAATAGGAGGAACTTCAGAAAATTCACACATGTGAAGAAGTTAAACACATGCTCTTAAACAACCAAAAGGTCAAAGAAGAAATTAAAAGAAAAATTTAAAAATATCTCGAAATACACAAAAATAGAAACACAACATCCTGACACTTATCGGATGCAGCAAAATCACTTCTAAAAGGAAAGTTCTTAGCAATAACTGCCTCCATCAAAAAAGAAGAAAGATCTCAAATAAACAGCCTAACGTTACATCTCAAGGAACTAGAAAACAAACAAACTAGGCAAAAAGATAGCAGGAAGAAGAAAATAATAAAAATCAGAGCAGAAATAAATAGAGACTAGACAAAAAAGAAAAGTTCAATGAAACCAAGTTGGTTTTTTAAAAAGGTAAAACAAGATCAACAAACCCTTAGGTAGATCAGGGAAAAAAAAAAGACAACAAAATCAGAAATGAAAAAGGAGGTATTACACAAATAGCACTCAAATACAAATGATCATGAGTCTACTATGAACAGTTATATGCCAAAAAATTGGATGACCTAGAAGAAATGAATAAATTCCTAGACACATACATCATACTAAGACTCAATCATGAGGTAAAAGAAAATGTGAAGAGACCAATCACAAGGAAGGACATTGAATAAGTAATAAAATGTCTCCCATCAAATAAAATCCCAGGATCTAATTGCTTCACTACTGAATTCTACCAACCTTTTAAAGAAGTACTAATAACAATCCTTCTCAAACTCTTCCAAAGAATTGAAGAGATGGGAATACATTTAAACATATTTATGAGGCCAGCATTACTCTGATACCAAAGCCAGACAAGACATTACAAGAAAAGAAACTATAGGCCAATATCCCTGATGAATATAGATATACAAATTCTAAACAAAATATTAGAAAACTAAATTCAACAACACATTAAAAGAATGATTCATCATGACCAAGTGAGATTTTGAGGTGCGAGGATGGTTCAACATAACCAAAACAATAATATGATATACCACATTAACAGAATGAAGGACAAGAACCATATGATCATCTCAATAGAAGTAGAAAAGGCATGGAACAAAATTCAACATCCTTTCATGATAAAAGCTCTCAACAAATTAGGTATAGTAGGAATGTGCCTCAACACAATAAAGGCCATATATGACAAGCTTACAGCTAAAATCAAACTCAAAAGTGAAAAGTTCTTTCTAAGATCTGAAACAAGACAAGGGTGCCTACTCTCACTACTTCTATTCAATATTGTACTAAAAGTCCCAGTCAGAGCAATTAGGCAAAAAGATGAAAAATAAAATACACCCAAATTGGAAAGGCAGAAGTTTAACTGTCCCTGTTTGCAGATGAAATAATCCTATATATAGAAGACCCACCAGGCACTGTGGCTCATGCCTGTAATCCCAGCACTTTGGGAGGCTGAGGAAGGCAGATCACCTGAGGTCAGGAGTTTGAGACAAGCCTGGTCAACATGGTGAAACCCCATCTCTACTAAAAATACAAAATTAGTCAGGCATGGTGGCACACACCTGTAATCCCAGCTACTCAGGAAGCCAAGGCAAGAGAATCACTTGAACCCAGGTGGCAGAGGTTGCAGTGAGCCAAGATTGCACCATTGCACTCCAGCCTGGGCAACAAGAGTGAGACTCTGTCTCAAAAAAAAAAAAAAAAAAGAAAACCCTAAAGATGCCACCAAAAACCTGTTAAAACTAATAAATTCAGTAAAGTGGGTGGATACAAAATCAACATACGAAACTCAGTTACATTTCTATACACTAATAATGAACCACTCAAAAAAGAAAGCAAGAAAACTATTCCATTTACAATAACAAATAAAATACTTAGAAATAAATTTAACAATGGAGGTGAAAGATCTGTACCCTGAAAACTATAAAACATTGATTTAAAATATTGAAGAAACAAATAAACAGAAAGATATCCTATGTTCACGGATTAAAAGAATTAATATTGTTCAAATATTCATACTACCCACAGCCATCTACAGACTTAATGCAATCACCATCAAAATTTCAATAATAATTTAATTATACATTTAAAAATACCTAAAAGGGTATAATTGGATTGTTTCTAACACAAAGGATAAATGCATGAGGTGATGGATACCCCATTTACCCTGATGTGATTATCACACATTGTATGCCTACATAAAAATATCCCATATACCCCATAAATAAATAAATAAATATATATATATATATATATATATATATATATATATATATATACTATGTACTCCCAAAAATTAAAAATTAAACATTTTCAGGTCCTAAATATCTTTGTTAATTTTCTACCTCGATTATCTGTCTAATACTGGCAATGAAGTGCTGAAGTCTTACCCTACTATTGTGTGGGAGTCTAAGTCTCTTTGTAGGTCTCTAAGGACTTGCTTTATGAATCTGGGTGCTCCTGGGTTGGGTGCATATATATTTGGAATAGTTAGGTCTTATTGAATTGAGCCCTTTGCCATTATGTAATGCCCTTCTTTGTCTTTTTTGATCTTTGTTGGTTTAAAGTTTGTTTTGTCTAAAAATAGGATTGCAACCCCTGCTTTTTTCCGATTTCCATTTGCTTGGTAGGTTTTCCTCCATCCCTTTATTTTGAGCCTATGCATGTCGTTGCATGTTAGATGGGTCTCTTGAAGAAAGCATACCATTGAGTCTTGTTTCTTTATCCAGCTTGCCATTCTGTGCCTTTTAAATGGGAAATTTAGCCTGTTTACATTCAAGGTTAGTGTTGACATGTGTGGATTTGATCCTGTCATTGTGTTGTTAACTGCTTATTATGCCAACTTGTTTGTGTGGTTGCCCTGTAGTGTCACTAGTCTGTGTACTTAAATGTGTTTTTGCATCAGCTGGTAATGGTCTTTCCTTTCCATATTTAGTGCTCCTTTCAGGATCTCTTATAAGGCAGGTCTGGAGGTAAAAAAACTTCCTCAGCATTTGCTTCTCTGAAAAAGATCTTATTTCTCCTTCACTGAAGAAGCTTAGTTTAGCTGGATATAAAATTAAGTGTAAAACCCAAAACTATAAAAACCCTGCAAGACAACGTAGGCAATACCATTCTGGACATAGAAACTGCCAAAAATTTCATGATGAAGATGCCAAATGCAATCACAACAAAAGCAAAAACTGACAAATGAGATCTAATTAAACTTAAGAGCTTCTGCACAGCAAAAGAAACTATCAACAGAGTAAACAGATAACCTACAGAGTGGGAGAAAATATTTGCAAACTATGCATCTGACAAAGGCCCAATAGCCAGCACCTGTAAGAAACTTAAACAAATGTACAAGAAAAAAACAAACAACCACATTAAAAAGTGGGCAAAGGATATGAACAGACACTTTTCAAAAGAAGACATGTATGTGGTCAACAAGCATGAAAAAAAGGTCAATAGTGCTGATCATTAGAGAAATGCAAATCAAAACCACAATGAGATACCACCTCACATGAGTCAGAAAGGACATTATTTAAAAGTTAAAATATAACATGCTGGCAAGGTTGCAGAAAAAAAGGAATGCTTATACACTGTTGGTGAGAGTGTAAAAGAGTTTAACCATTGTGGAAAGCAGTGTGGCAATGCCTTAAAGAGCTAAAAGTGGAACTACCATTACACCCAGCAGTTTCACTACTGATATACCAAAGGAATATAAATCATTCCACCATAAAGACACATGCACACTAATGTTCACTGCAGCACTATTCACAATAGCAAAGACACTGAATCAGCCTAAATGCCCATCATTGGTAGATTGGATAAAGAAAATGCGGCACATATATTCCATGGAATACTATGAAGCCATAAGAAAACAAGACCATGTCATATGCAGAAACATGGATGGAGCTGGAGGCCATTATCCTTAGCACACAAGAACAGAAAACCAAATACTGCACGTTCTCACTTATAAGTGGGAGCTAAATGATGAGAACACAAGAACACAAAGAGAGAAACAACAGACACTGGGGCCTACTTGAGGGAGCAGGGCAGGAGGAGGGAAAGGATCAGGAAAAATCACTATTGGGCACTAGGCTTAGTACCTGGGTGACAAAATACTCTGTACAGCAAGCCCCTGTGACATGAGTTTACCTATATAACAAACCTTCAAGTGTACCCCCAAACTTAAATAAAAGTTTTTTTAATTAAAAATTTAAAAAAATAAAGATTTTTAACAATTCCAGTGACATATTAAACAGAAATAGAAAAAAAAAATCTTAAAACTTGCATGAAACCACAAGTGACTCCCATATAGCCAGACCAATCATAAGGAAAAAAAAAATAGCTGAAGGCATCACATTACCAGATTTTAAAATCTGCTACAAAGCAAGAGTAAACAAAACAGCATGGTACTGGCATAAAAACACACACATAGACCAATGGAATAAAATAGAAAGTCCAAGTTTATGCTCAATTTATTTTTGAAAAAGATGCCAAGAACACACAATGAGGAAAGGATATTCTCTTCAGTGGTGCTGAGAAAACTAGATATCCACATTCAGAAGAATAAAATTAGAGCCTCATCTCACACCATACAAAACTCAAGGTTATCAGCAAAGCCTGAGTCCTCTCTTCCCGCTCTCTTCCCCAGACAGCATGAGCTTCACCACTCGCTCCACCTTGTCCACCAACTACCTACCCATCCCTGGGCTCCATCCAGGTGCCCAGCTATGGCACCTGGCTGGTCAGCAGCACAACCAACGTCTATGCAGGCACTGGGGGCTCTGGTTCCCGGATCTCCATGTCCTGCTCCACCAGCTTCCGGGGCTGCTTGGGGTCCAGGGGCCTGGCCGGAGGGATGGCTAGGGGTCTGGCAGGAATGGGAGGCATCCAGAATGAGAAGGAGACCATGCAAAGCCTGAAGACCGCCTGGCCTACTACCTGGACAGAGTGAGGAGCCCAGAGACCAAGAACTGGAAGGTGGAGAGTAAAATCTGGGAGCACCTGGAGAAGACAGGACCCCAGGTCAGAGACTGGGTCCATTATTTCAAGACCATCGAGGACCTGAGGGCTCATATCTTCACAAATACTGTGGACAATGTCCACATTGTTCTGCAGATCGACAATGCCCATCTTGCTGCTGATGCCTTTAGAGTCAAGTATGACACAGAGCTGGCCATGCGCCAGTCTGTGGAGAGCGACATCTATGGGCTCTGCAAGGTCATTGATGACACCAGTGTCACTCAGCTGCAGCTGAAGACAGAGATCGAGACTCTCAAGGAGGAGCTGCTCTTAATGAAGAAGAACCATGAAGAGGAAGTAAAAGGCCTACAAGCCCAGATTGTCAGCTCTGGTTTGATCTTGGAGGTAGATGCCCCCAAATCTCAGGACCTTGCCAAGATCATGGCAGACATCTGGGCCCAATATGACGAGCTGGCTCGGAAGAACTGAGAAGGGCTGGACAAATACTGGTCTCAGCAGATTAAGGAGAGTACCACAGTGGTCACCATGCAGTTGGCCAAGGTTGGAGCTGTTGAGATGATGCTCTCAACAGATGAGCTGTAACATACAGCCCAGTCCTCGGAGACTGACCTGGACTCCATGAGAAATCTGAAGGCCAGCTTGGAGAACAGCCTGAGGGAGGTGGAGGCCTGGTACACCCTGCAGATGGAGCAACTCAACGGGATCCTGCTGCACCTGGAGTTGGAGTTGACACAGACCCGGGCAGAGGGGCAGCACCAGGCCCAGGAGTAGGAGGCCCTGCTGAACATTAAGGTCAAGCTGGAGGCTGAGATTGCCATGTATCACTGCCTGCCAGAAGACATCAAGGACTTCAGTCTTGGTGATGCCTTGGACAGCAGTAACTCCATGCAAACCATCCAAAAGACCACCACCCGCCAGACAGTGGATGGCAAAGTGGTGTCTGAGATCAATGACACCAAAGTTCTGAGACATTAAGCCAGCAGAAGCAGGGTACTCTCTGGGGAGCTGGAAGCCAATAAAAAGTTCAGAGGTTAAAAAAAAAAAACTCAAAATGGATTAGAGATGTAAAAATAAGATCTGAAACTGTAAAACTACGAGAACAAAACAGGGAAAAGCTCCATGACATTGATCTGGGCAATAATTTTTTTGGATATAACTCCAAAAACACAAGCAACAAAGGCAAAAATAGATAGCATTATATCAACTAAAAAGTTTCTGCACAGCAAAGGAAACAACAAAGAGACAACCTATAGGATAGAAGAAAATCTTTGCAAACCTCACATCTGATAAGAGTGTAATATACGAAACATAACATAAGGAACTCCAACAAGTCAATAATAAGATAACAAATAACCCAATTTAAAAACGGGCAAAGGACTTGATAGATAACTTCCCAAAACCCTGTTTCTACTAAAAATACAAAAATTAGCTGGGTGTGGTGACTTGCTCCTGTAATCCCACCTATTTGGGAGGCTGAGGGAGGAGAATCACTTGAACCTGGGAGGCAGAGGCTGCAGTGAGCCAGGATCATGCCATTGCACTCCAGCCTGGGTGACAAGAGCAAAACTCCGTCCCAAGATCCAGTGAAGACGTGGAGAAAAGGGAACCTTTGTACACTGTTGGGGAGAATGTAAATTAGCACAGCCATTATGATAAAAAATTGAAAACAGATCTACCATATGATCCAGCAACCCACTACTGAGTACATATCCAAAGGAAATGAAATCAGTCTGTTGAGATATCTGCACTCCCATGTTTATTGCAGCATTATTCACAATAACTAAGATGTGGGAATCAACCTAAATGTCCATCAGTAGATAAATGGATAGAGAATGTGGTATATAATCACACAAGGAAATGCTATTCATCCTTTATAAAGAAGAAAATCCTGTCATTTGAACAACTTAGAAGAACCTGAAGGATGTTATGTTAATTGAAACAAGCCAGGCACAGAAAGACAAATACCACATGATCTAACTTATATATGGAATCTAATAAATTTCAACTCACAAAAACAGAGTAGAATGGTGGTTACCAAGGGTAAGAGGAAGGAGTTTGGGGAGATGTTGGTCAAAGACACAAAATTTCAGTTAGGAGAAATAAGTTCAAGAGACCTATTGTACATCATGGTGACTACAGTAAATAACAACCTATGGTATGCTTGAGAATTGCTAAGAGAGTAGATTTTAAGTATTTTCACCAAAATAATAAATATGTGAGGTAATGCATATGTTAAAAATAGTTTGATTTAGCCATTCCACAACACATACCTATATCAGAACACCATGTTGTACACCATAATTATATACAATTTTTACTTGTCAGTTAAAAAAGGAAATTAACAAAATAAAATAAGCTATTTTAATCTATTATCTTCTTATTAACACAGTAAAGGTTAGAGATAGAGTTCTCAAGGACTATTCCTCATTTTCCTACCTGCTAATGTCATTAATTCCCTTAATGAGGGGCAAACACCAATTAGACTAAGTATTATAGGACAAATATCTGAGGCAGAGGTAAAATACTGATTACAATTCATAATAAAAATAAATAAACCATGATCTTATAGTTGAACAAATGTGTCTTGATTTGGAAAGTAGTAAAGAGGGTCTTCTAGAATCAGAAAGTAAACTAGAATCTATTAAAAAGGACACAGTACTTTTTCATTTTATTAAAGAAAGAGGTACATTGTGTCTGTAGTGCTTGTGTTGTCTGAGCAGGGGATAAAATGGATCATATATGTGACTTCACCAATACAAACCAAGATGTACTGAAACCCAAGCAGGGCCAAAATAGAAAGAGAATCCAAGGCTACACACTATCGAGTTGGCAATAGAAGGGCAACTGTAGGCCTTCACGTTTCCCCACCAGTACATATTCCTATCATAAGTGTCACAAAGGATTACATGCTAAGTAACAACAGTTAGGTCAACTATGGACTGCATATATGATGGTGGTACCGTAATATTATAATGGATCTGAAAAAGTCCTACACCTAGTGACATCTTAGCCATTGTAACGTCTTAGTGCAATGCATTACCTTTTCTATGTTTAGATCTGTTCAGATACATAAAGACTTAACCAGTTACAACTGCCTACAGTGTTCAGTACGGTAACATGTTGTGGAGGTTAGTAGCCTAAAAGCAATAGGCTATACCACAGAGCCCAGGTGTGTAGTAGGCTATCCCATCTAGGTTTGTATATGCTCTCCAATGTTCACACAATGACAAAATCACCTAATGAGAGACTTCTTCAGACGTACTCCCATCATTAAGCAACACATCTATACATTGTTACATGGGATCACAAAGATTCCTGCAGTACCTAATGGATAGGTGTTTTTCAAATTCCAGGACTCTGTTTAGAACGAGGAGATAGAATCACAACCAGGGTAAGTCTTCCTGTGTTCTGAGCAGTGGAGAAGAGATGTATGTACACAGGCAAGAATGATATGGAGCTAGCAATTAATGGGGAACATTTCCCCAGGTGTTGATTTAGAAATGGGAAAAAACAAAGGCAAAGTTGTACCAAAGGATTGGCTTCCTTTAAGATGTATCCAAGTTGACTAAGACAACAAGCAAACCATTTGTAAGATGCCTCTGGGCTGCTTCATGCCTTATCCTCTGTAACTGTTGACTCACTTTGTATATATAGTGAACTTTGTCCACCTCCCTGGAGATCCCACCTTACCCAAGCACACACACAAATAGTGCTAGATTTTGACTTGGCATTGCTCTCTGGACTTTGATCTGGTGGCCAGGGATGCAATCCTTAGGTGTTGGTCTTAGAGTTTGCAAACCACAACTTGGCACTATAAGCCTGCCAGGGGCAGAAGTGAGGGTTAAATCCATCAGTCTTTTAAGGTCATGAAAGGCAGTTGATCTAGGATGGGGCTGGTAAACCCTTCCAGGGACTATTCAGTCTACCTTTCTTTCAGTCTAATTTTTGGACCAGAAAACAGAAGAGAATCACACCCTTGACACAATGGTAGAAGCATATTGAGTATACAACCTTATATTTTACCAGTTCAACAAATGCTTATTCCAATTTCCCTAAATTCTCTTGTAAGACCAGCAGAAATTTCATTTACCAGTTCAACAAATGCTTATTCCAATTTCCCTAAATTCTCTTGTAAGACCAGCAGAAATTTCAATCTTGTGCCTCAGGACCTACACAGTCTGAAACAGTGTTGATCAGGACCCTAACCCAGGTGCTATCTATGGGATATATGAATCTGTCCTTCCTGTAGGTTGCTAGCTACAAACTTCAAGAGTCTATGGCCTTCTGTCAAACATCTCTCAAAACTCCAGACAGCCATCTGAGGCTGCTGTCAGAACAGGTGGAGAGACTCTAAATCAGCTTTCTCATAGCTCATGGAAAGAAATTCCTCTCCTGAGAAACCAGGAAATTCAGTAAAATTGCAATGACCTCACTTGGAAGCAGAGGGGTTTGGTCAAATTATAAAGCATCCTAAAGAGTATGAGCTTACCACTTTTGCTTGGAAGATACTGTTGTCTTCTTGAATTTCCTCCTATCTCACAGCTACTCCCTCCCTGTATCCTTTGCTGGTTCCTCCTCTTTCCCCAACTTCTAAATATTGCAATGCCCCCAGGCTGACTCTGATCCTGATCTCTAACAAAAGCCTTTCCCCAGTGGTTATCTTAGTCACTCTCAGGGCTTTATATATCACCTGTATATCTTATGACTCTCAAATTTTTATCTCTAATTTTCTCTTCTAAACTCCAACATTTATATAACATTTCCATGGGGATGACTTATAAGCACCTCTAAATTAATATGTTCAAAACTGAATTACTGATTTCCCTCACCACTCCCCCAGGCCCCACCTGAACTTATTCTACCTGAAATCTTCCTCATTTTAATTGCTGCAATTTCATATTTCTGGTTGCTGAGGCCAGAAACCTTGAGGTTTTCCTTGACTCCTTTCTCACACAACTCATTTCCTATTGGGAAATACTATTGGCTCCATGTTTAAATTACAGTCACATGTTGCTTACGGATGGGGATGTGTTCTGAGAAATGTGCTGTTAGCCTATTTTGTTGTTATATAAATGTCACAGAGTAAATTTACATAAACATAGACGGTATACCTGCTACACACCTCGACTACATGCTATCGCCCATTGCTCCTAGGCTACAAACCTGCACGGCATGTTGCTGTACTGAATACGGTAGGTGATTGTAGCACAATCATAAGTATTTGTGTATCTAAACATATCTAAACATAGAAAAAGTAAAGCAAAAATATGATATTATAATCTTATGGGACCACCATTGTTATATGTGGTCCAGTCATTGACTGAAATGTGATTATGAGATGCATGACTGTCTATCTGGAAATCTACCATACCTCATTCCTATAGCTGCTACCATCTGATGTGAGCTACCATTCTCCCCAGGCCGTATTACTGTAACAGCCTTCTAATTATTCTCTATGCTTTCATATGTAGCTCTCTATAGCCTATTCTGTATATAACAGCCAAAGTGAGCTTTTAAAGATAGAAGTCATACCATGTCACTCCTCTATTCAAAACCATCTGGTGGTTTCCTGTTTTACTCAGAGTAAAATCCAATGTGTTCACAGTGGCCTAAAATGCCCTACAGGACCTGACCTTCATTTCCTCTATGACCTCCTGCTACCCTCCTCCACCTCCCTCAACTACAGCAATACTGGCCTGCTTCTCTGTTCTTCTTAAAAACCAGGTATACATTTATCATAAGGCCTTTGTACCATTTTCCCCCAGAATATCTACATTGTCAGCTTCCCTTTCTTCTGCATATGTTTGCTTACATGTCTTCTTCTCCCTGAGACCTACTCTGACCTATTGAAACTGTGACTGTACCCCTGTCTTCCCTAGCATTCCCAATCCCCCTTACTCTGCTGGGTTTTTTTAATAGCAGTTACCTCCTAATATGTTGTAAAATGTAGATATTTAGTATGCATTTCTTTAATTGTCTGCCTGTCTCCTGCCCCCAACTAGAATTTAAGATCCACAAGTGAGGAGATTTTTGTCTGTTTTGTTTACTAACGTACATCAAGCACCAATAACAGTGATTGTCACATAGTAAAGCACTGAAAAAATATTTAGGATTACTGAATGAGGGATGAAATTAATCTATGAAGAAAGACTAGAGTTCATGGAGCAAAAGAAGAGAATAAGCTAAAACAGGAACGAGAACATCTCAGAGCCAAAGAACAGTACTAAAAAGTTATCCCAAGTTATATCCTTTACTGAGGGCTGTCAGGCAACAACTAATCAGGCATTTGCTTTTATCATAGGAGGCCAGGCAACCAAGCAAAGAAGGATGCTGACCTCAAGAGTATTTATGACAAAGCACCTACTATCTGCTAGATATTCATGGAGTTAGCATAAAGATGATGGAAGCAAATATCTTGGCCTTTCCACATAAGAGATATATGCCACTAAACACTGGTAGCTTAAGCCTGCCTTTTCTCTCAGTCAGGAGATGGGTTCATCTTAATACCTTATGTACATTCTGACCTTTTAGCAATTTGAAGAGACACTGTTGACATAGGGTAAGCACTAATTACCAAGAGGTGAGTGTAGGATTTCTTAAGAACAACTGATATGGTTTGGCTCTGTGTCTGCATCCAAATCTCATCGTGAATTGTAATCGCCATCATCCCCACGTGTCAAGGGAGGGACCAGATGGAGTTAACTGAATCGTGGGGGCAGTTTCGCCCATGCTGTTCTCATAATAGCAAGTGAGTTCTCAGAGATCTGATGGTTTTATAAAGTGCTCTTCCCCCCTCACTCGGCACTTCTCCTTCCTGCCACCTTGCAAAGAAAGTGCCTTGCTTCCCCTTTACCTTCCGCCATGATTGAAGGTTCCTGAGGCCTCCCCAGCCATGCTAAACTGTGAGCCAATTAAACCTCTTTCCTTTATAAATTACCCAGTTTTGGACAGTTCTTTATAGCAGCATGAGAATGGACTAATAGAACAACTTACCATAGAGACTGCCAAACCATACACCTCTCAAAGAGTGGGAAAGAAAATTACTAGGTTGGTGCTAAAGTAATTGCGTTTTTGCCATTCTTTCAATGGCAAAAACCACAACTACTTTTGCACCAACCTAATAGTATTATCCAGGGGGTACAATGATCAATGTAATTACACAGAGCTAGCTGTATTTTTAATATGTTGTTTAATAAGAAAGATGCAGCTATTAAAACATCATTTTCAATCTTAACTATTGAGCCCAACTTAACTATGATGGTCTTGAGTTCCTTTGAATACAGCACACAATTTGAAAGTCCACAACAGGCATGTGGCAGGACACCTCCTGAAGGGGATAGGTGAAGGAGAAATAAAGTAACTACTTATTCTTCTATTAGGGCCATAAGATGGGAATATACGTAACACTGCAAGTACCAGGGTGGTTGTTTTTGCACATTTTCAGTGAAAGCAACCTTAATTTTTTTAATAGCTTCAGTGTCTAATAAGATGGCTCTTGTTTAAAGGAAATCTGTCAAGTTATTGAATAGGAAAATCTTGAACTGGCTTAACCATGTAAAGAAATAACTATGAAATTAAAAATAAAGTTAAAATAAAAAGGGCTTGAAATTGAGTGAAAACATGACTATAGTCATAGGAAGTGCGGTCTCATGAACACAGCCCTGGATTCTTCAATAGGTTCTCCCACATGAGATCTTGAGTAAGCTATATGCTGCCTGTCTAAGCTTATTATTTATAAAATGAGAGTGTTGTACTATATGATCTTTTATGTTCCTTTTTCAAGCACTAGCATTCTGTTCCTGTAAAAACAAATAATGAAAAATCACATCCTATGTTTTTTATATACATATAAATCTAAATATTAAATAAATCTATATAAAAACATAAGTATATAGTATAAATTTATAGTCATATTACACATATTATATTTTAGTATATATTAAATATAAATATACTGTATATATATTATAAATCTAGCTTAATTCTGCATTAATAGACTGAGTAGCAATACAACAGTGATTCTATCTTACTTCTATTTCATCAATAACCAATGTTTTTTTGCCTTCCATAAGGCATGAATGATTGAATGCCTGAAAACTACAAACAGCTTATAAAGAGAATTTCATGAGGATTTAACCGTTTGCTAATCTAACGATCATAAAGATATGGTGATTATTGCAAGTTTTTCAAAGGTAAAAGAGTACAAATTTTACATTCCTTTCTACTTGTGAGGTTTTAAAAAGGAGATCTGAGTATAATGGGTAGCATATGTACAAAAGTTGCACTGGTGGTCATAGGAAGGACATATTTTATTCAACCACAGAATAGACAGATATGTAAAACATATAAAAAGTAACAACACAAGTAAGACTTCCCCATGGAAGGCTCACATTCCCATTCCTCTAAACTTTTGGAAGAGAAAAATGTCACTAATCAAAAAAATAAGTAAGGTCTTCATGGCATATTCAGAGCTGGAAACACCCGTTTATTCACTTGATGTATGTCCCACTTCAATAATTGCCACTGTTATATAAGTAGGAAAAGAAACTTAGTTAAAGTATACACTGAATCTGAAAACAGGCCTCTATTTACTGAGCTTTATTTACATATTTGAAAAGTATACCTAAATGAAAACCTACACAAAGAGTATTCAACACATTCCCAAGACATTAAACAAAATGAGAATAAGATTATATATCAAATACGCTACCCCATAAAAGGGTGGGGGTGGGGTAGTTTCACAGAGGGAAAGGTACATGTGAAAAGGCCAGAGAGGGCAGCAAATATAACTTACATATTCATTAATTTCACATCATTCCCTTTATTTCTGCTTTGGTCACTGTTTAAAAATATACAAACAGTAACAGCCAGAAATGATTGAGTGTTTACTAAATTATGACAGATATTATGCTAAACCTTTTAAGTAATCTCTCTCAACAACCCCATGAAGTTGGCACTATTGTTTTATATCAGTTTTAGCAAGAGCTAAAAGTTATTAAGCAATTTCCCAAGATTACACAATGAGCAAGTTGCTGAGCTGGGGTTTCTTTTTTGAGACAGAGTCTCACTCTGTCACCCAGGCTGGAGTGTAGTGGAGCGATCTTAGCTCACTGCAGCCTCAACCTCCTAGGCTCCAGCAAGCCTCCCACCTCAGCCCCCCAAGTAGCTGTGACTATAGGTGCATGCCACGACACTCAGCTAATTTTTTGTATTTTTTTGTAGAGACAGGGTTTCACTCTGTTGTCCAGGCTGGCCTCAAGTGATCCGCCTGCCTCGGCCTCCCAAAGTGCTGGAATTATAGGCATGAGCCACCACACCTGGCCTGTGCTAGAGTTTGAATACAAAGTCCATGCTCCTAACCATTTCCCTAACAAAATGCCAACAAGCATTGATCTGGTGCCAAACAGAAAACAACATAAATAAATCTAAAAACATATCAACCAGATAAAATAAGATGATCTAATATCCTTAATATATAAAGCAATCTTACAAAGCAATAAAGTACATAAATACCCCAATAGAAAAATACACAAATGACATAAACTGGCAATACATGAAATAAAAAAAGTTGAATAATTACATTATAAAATTTAAACTCAATAATTAAATAATGCAATTAAAACATAAATGACAAACTAGGTTTCAAATACAACACGCCAGATATCATAAAGAATGAAAATATTCAATATTGAAAAAAGAGGGAATGGAAAAATTGAAACACCCATAAAATCCAGATGGAAGTTAAATCAGCACAAATTTTCTGGAAAAGAATTTGGCAACAATTACCAAAAGTGTTTATAACAAGGCATGGAAGTACTCATTACCACTCCTGTTCTGATTCTAAGCATTCTGTTTCTTAAAAATCAGAATATAAAGCTCAAGTAGATGACTTACTAAGGAACAGCTATGATAAATAAAACTCATAAAAGTTATTTTTATAATAAATCTAGATAACTCTTGATAATATGGCTTTGAAGTATAATGTAACACATAAAAAGGATTGTATAGATGGATGAGGTATTTTGTTAAGAAAAAAATTACTAATAATCTGGAAGCAAATTCTCAATTATTTTAAAGAACCTGAAAAGGCAAAAGAGAGGAAAAGGTAAAATTATACAGTCATAATGCCACATAATGACATTTCAGTCAACAACTGGAACCACATATACAACAGTGGTCCCCTAAGATTATAATGCCATATTTTGACTATACTTTATCTATATAAGTGTATCTTGTGTATCTATATAAGTATAGATACACAAATACTTAACACTGTGCTACAATTTCCTACAGTATTCAATACAGTAATATGGTATACAGATTTGTAGCCTAGGAGCAATAGACTATATTACATAGCCTAGGTGTGTAGTAGGCTACACAATCTAGGTTTAAGTATACTCTATGATGTTTGCACAATGACAAAATTGCCTAACAACGTGTTTCTCAGAATGTATTCTGATGATTAAATTATTCATGACAGTGTGTATGTGTATGTGTGTGTGTGTATATACACACACAAACACACACACACGTATATAGATATATAGGTATAATATGTATTTTGTGTATATATATATATAATATATTGCTGTAATTAACAGATTGCTGGAGGTTCAGTGTGAGCAAGTTTAAGAGTTTAAAACTCCAGAGAGGCCCATTTTTGGAAGGAAGGGACACACTTTCATATGTTTTACCTCTAGAAGCCCTACCAGGTTGTCACAGTGAAGATCACAGAAAAGTCCGCTTGTGATTCCAGCAGGGGGAAGGGGAAAGTAGCCATTTTTAAATACACCCAGATGATTGTGTTATTTTTAACAAGGCCTGCCCTCATGAGAAAGTATTTTACCAGAGCCTAATCAATTTGTCATTTATTAGAGCCTAATCAATCTCAGAGAAAGAAAATACCCAACTCCAGCCCACTCCAGCCTTCTCTGTTGGGGAAGGGAAATAACCAATTCTGGCCCTTTCTAGCTTTGTTGTCTCATCAAATGGGGAAGGGTGAGACTGAGAAGTCACAGCCCAAGGGCGCAGGCTCACTGAAAGTCGGAGACCTAATTGTGGGTCTATAGAATGCACTCCCCGTCCCCATATCTTACCACAAGATCAGAAGGGCTCCTGTATAATAACAAAAGATTACAACCGAAAGAACTACACATCTCAAACCATATTTAAGAAGTCTCTAGCCACAGAAAATAGTAAATGCAGTCTACCTCCTAGTCAGATAAACATGAAACTTCACACTAAAGGCCTACTACCTCAGTTCCTTTTATCCAGTATATCAAATTCAGCTTTCAACAACAAAAAAGATAAGGCCGGTGGCTCACGCCTGTAATCCCAGCACTTTGGGAGGCTGAGGTGGGTGGATCACGAGGTCAGGAGTTCGAGACCAGCCTGGCCAATATGGTGAAATCCCATCTCAACTAAAAGTACAAAAATTAGCTGGGCATAGTGGCAGGCATCTGTAATCCCAGCTACTTGGGAGGCTGAGTCAGGAGAATTGCTTCAACCGGGGAGGTGGAGGTTGCAGTGAGCTGAGATCGCACCATTGCACTCCAGCCTGGGTGACAGAGTAAGACACCATCTTAAAAAAACAAAAAGCCATACTAGAAGACAAAAGCACATTTTGAAGAGATAGAGCAAGCATCAGAACCAGACTCAGATAGGACAGAGATTTTCTAATAATCAGACCAGGAATTTAAAACAACTATAGTTAACATGCTCTAATGGAAAAAAAAAAAGCAACGTTGCAAGAACAGATGATAATGTAAGCAAAGCAATGGAAACTCTAAGAAAGAATCAAAGAAAAATGCCAGAAGTCAAAAGCACTATGGCAAAAATGAAGAGTCCTTTTTATGCGCTCATCAACAGACTAGACACAACTGAGGAAAGAATCTGGGAGTTTAAAGAAAGGTCAATAGAAACCTCCAAAACAATAAATGCAAAGGGAAAAAAGTGAAAAAGACAGAACAGAATATCTAAGAACTGTGGGATAATTTTAAAGGGGTGTCACATTTATTTAATAGGAATAGCAGAAGGAGAAGACAAAAAGGAACAGAGAAAATGTTTAAAGTAATAATGGCTGAGGATTTTCCAAAATTAATGACAGACACCAAACCATATATCCAGGAAGCTCAGAGAATACCAAGAAGGATAAATACCAAAAAAATCTATGTCTGGCAATATCGTATTCAAATTGCAGAAATCCAAGACAGAGAAATTTTTGAAAGAAGCTAGAAGGGAAAAAACACTTTACCTACAGCTGGAACAAGGATAAGAATTGCGTCAGACTTCTCCTCAAAAACCATACAATGAAGAGAGCAGAGTGAAATATTTAAAGTGTTAAAAGAAAAAAAAAAAACATACCAGGACAGAATACTGTACTCTGAAAGATTTTAAATTGAGAAAAAATGTGAGAAAGTAATAAAGACTTTCTTAGACCAAAAAAAAAAATTGCGGTTTTTCAAAACCATTTATTGAAAAGACTGTCCTTTCCCATTGTGTGTTTTTGGCATCTATGTCAAAAGTCAATAGACTATAAATGCATAGATTTAGTTCTGGACTCTCTACACTGCTCCATTGGCCTATGTGTCTGTTTTTATGCTAGTACTATGATGTTTTGATTAGTATAGTGTCTTAGCCCATTCCCACTGCTATAACAAAATATCTTAGACCAGATAATTTTATAAAGAACAGAAATTAATTTCTCACAGTTCTGGAGGCTGGGAAGTCCAAGATCAAGGCACTGGCAGATTCAATTTCTAATGACGGCTGGCTCTCTCTGCTTCCAAGATAGTGCCTCGGGTGCCAGGTCCTCACACAGTGTAACACAAAAAGGCAAAATGGACCTAGCTAGTTCCCTCTAATTCTTGTATAAGGCATTAATCCTACACTTGAAGGCAGAGCTTCCTAAATGACCCCAGCTCTTAACATTATGGCATTGGAGATAAAGTTTCAACATAAATATTGGGGAGGACACAAACATTCAAACCATAGCATAGATTTGTAGTAAATTTTGAAACCAGGTGGTGTGATGCTGCAATCTTTGTTCCTTTTGCTCAAGATTGCTTTGGTTATTCAGGGTCTCTTGTGCTTCCATATAAATTTTAAGGTTATTTTTTCTATTTCTGTGAAAAATGTTATTTGGATTTTGAAAGACATTGCATTGACTCTGTAGATAGTTTTGGGTATACAGACATTTTAACAGTATTAATTCTTCCAACCCATGAACACAGGATATTTTTCTATCTAATTGTTCTTCAATTCCTTTCATGAACGTTTTATAGTTTTCAGTGCACAGACCTTTCACTTCTTTAGTTAAATTTATTCCTAAGTATTTTAGCTTTTTAGTAGCTATGGCAAATGGGATAGTTTTCTTGATTTCTTTTTGGATAGTTTGTTGTTAGATTATAGCCATGTGGCAGAATGAAACTGGACTCATCTCACACCATATGCAAAAACTAACTCAGACTGGATTAAAGACTTAAATGTAAAACTTGAAACTGTAAAACTACTTGAATAAAACACAGAGAGAAAGCTCGATGACACTTATCTGGACAGTGTGTTTTGGATATGACTCCAAAAACACAGGCAACAAAAGAAAAATAAACAAATGGGATCACATCAAACTAAAAAGCTCCTGCACAGAAAAGAAAGCAATCAACAGAGTGAAGAGACAACCTATAGAACAAGAGAAAATATTTACAAATTTTATATCTGATAAGAAGTTAATATCAAAAATATATAAAAAACTCAAATAAGAAAATAAATAACCCAATTTAAAAATGAGCAAAAGACATGAATAGATATTTCTCAAATGTAGACATACAAATGGCCAACAAATATATGAAAAAAATGCTCAACATCACTAATCATCAGGAAAATGCAAACCCAAACCACAAAGAGATATCATCTCATACCTGCTAGGATGGCTATTATCAAGAAGGTGAAAGATAAAAGTGTTGGTAAGAATGTGGAGAGAAGGGAACACGGTACACTGTTGGTGGGAATTAGTATAGACCTTACAGAAAACAGTATTGAGGTTCCCCTAAAAATAAAAAACAACTACCATATGATCCAGAAATCCCACTACTGGGGTATGTATCCAAAAAATATGAAGTCAGTATGTTGAAGAGATAGTTGCACCTCTAGGTACACTACAGCATTACTCATAATAGCCAAGATATGGAATGGAATTATATTGTTCTCTTTCAATGAATGACTGGATAAGGAATATGTGGTGTATATATATATATCATATATGATATATATATATATGATAGAATACTATTCGGCCTTAAAAAAGAAAGAAACTCTGTCATTAGGGACAACAACATAGACGAACCTAGAGGACATTATGTAAACTTAAGCCAGGAATGGAAAGACAAATACTGCATGATCTCACTTATATGTGGAATCTTAAAAAGTTGAGTTTATAGAAGTTAAGTAAGCCAGGTATGGTGGCTCATGCCTGTAATCCCTGTACTTTGGGAGGCTGAGGCAGGCAGATCACTTGAGGTCATGAGTTCAAGACTAGCCTGGTCAACATGGTGAAACCCATCTCTACGAAAAATACAAAAAAATTAGCCAGGCATGGTGGCGCACACCTGTAATCCCAGCGACTTGGGAGGCTGAAGCAGGAGAATTGCTTGAACCCAGGAGGCTTTCAGTGAGCCAAGACTGCACCACTGCACTCCAGCCTGGGCAACAGACTGAGACTCTGTCTAAAAAAAAAAAAAAAGTTGAGTAGAAGGTTAGTTATCAGGGGCTGGTAGTCAGGGGTTGGGAGGAATTGGGGAAATGTTGGGCAAAGTATACAAAATTTCAGTTATACAGAAATAACAAGTTCTAGAGCTCTATTGTGCAACATGAAGACAATAATTAATAACAATGTATTGTATACTTGAGAAAATTGCAAAGAGAGTAGATTTTAAGTGTTCTCACCACAAAGAAGTGGTATGTATATATAAATTAGCTTGACTTAGTCATTCCACAATGTATACATATTTCAAAACATCATGCTATACACCACATAGAACAAAAATTTTTTAATTGAAGTAATTTGTTGCCAGTAACCTGACTTGCAAGAAATGTTAAAAGACATTCTTCAGAGAAAAGGAAAATGATATAAATCAGAAACTCAGATCTATGTAAACAAAGAGCATTAGGAGGAATAAATGTAGGTAAGAAATGTTTTTCTTTTCTTTATCTAATGGATAGCAGTTTGTTCATAATAATAATAGTAAATACAAGTAAATCACTTGCATTCAGTGTTTATAACTTACTGATGAGTGAAATGAATGACAGCAATGACAAAAGGGATGACAGGAAATATTTGGGAATATTCTGCAATAATGCATTTTGTTACCCACAAAGTGGTATGGTGTTATTTGAAAGTGGGTTTGGATTAGTTGTAAATGTATATTGCAAACTCCAGGGCAACCACTAAAAAAGTTAACCAGAGCTGGGCACAGTGGCACACCTATAGTCCCAGCTATTTGAAAAGGTGAAGCAAGAAAATAACTTGAGCACAGGAATTTGAGATTGTAGTGCACTATGATTGTACTTGTGAATAGCACCTGCCCTCAGTCTGGGCAACATGGTGAAACTCTATCTCTAAAAAAGAAAAAGAGGTGGCTGGCAAGATGATCAAATAGGAACAGCTCCGGTCTGCAGCTTCCAGCGAGATCAATGCAGAAGGCAGGTGATTTCTGCATTTCCAACTGAGGTACCTGGCTCATCTCACTGGGACTGGTTAGACAGTGGGTGCAGCCCATGGAGGGGGAGCCGAAGCAGGGTGGGGTGTCACTTGACCCAGGAAGCAGAAGGGGTCAGGGAACTCCCTCCCCTAGCCAAGGGAAGCCATGAGGGACTGCGCCATGAGGAACGCTGCACTCTGGCACAGATACTGCGTGTTTTCCATGGTCTTCACAACCCACAGACCAGGAGATTCCCTCAGGTGCCTACACCACCAGAGCCCTGAGATTCAAGCACAAAACTGGGTGGCCATTTGGGCAGACACCAAGCTGCTGCAGGAGTTTTTTTTCATACCCCAGTGGCACCCAGAACAAGAATGAGACAGAACTGTTCTGTCCCCTGGAAAGTGGGCTGAAGCCAGGAAGCCAAGTGGTCTAGCTCAGTGGATCTCACCCCAATGGAGCCCAGCAAGTTAAGATCCACTGGCTCAAAATTCTCGCTGCCAGCACAGCAGTCCGAAGTTGAACTGGGAAGCTTGAGCTTGGTGGGGGGAGGGGCGTCCACCATTACTGAGGCTTGAGTAGGCAGTTTTCCCCTCACAGTGTAAACAAAGCCGCCAGAAATTTCAAACTTGGCAGAGCCCACCGCAACTTGGCAAAGCCACTGTAGCCAAGACTACCTGTCTAGCTTCCTCCTCTCTGGGCAGGGAATCTCTGAAAGAAAGGCAGCAGCCCCAGTCATGGGCTTACAGATAAAACTGCCATCTCCCTGGGACAGAGCACCTGGGGGAAGGAGCTGCTGTGGGCACAGCTTCAGCAGACTTAAACGTTCCTGCCTGCCAGCTCTGAAGAGAGCAGCAGATCTCCTGGAGCAGTGCTTGAGCTCTGTAAGGGACAGACTGCCTCCTCAAGTGAGTCCCTGAACTCTGTGCCTCCTGACTGGGAGACACTTCTTAGCAGAGGTCGACAGACACCTCATACAGGAGAGCTCTGGCTGGCATCTGGCGAGTGCCCCTCTGGGATGAAGCTTCCAGAGGAACGAACAGGCAGCAATCTTTGCTGTTCTGCAGCCTCTGCTAGTGATACCCAAGCAAACAGGGTCTGGAGTGGACCTCCAGCAAACTCCAGCAGACTTGCAGCAGAGGAGCCTGAATGTTAGAAGAAAAACTAACAGGGAGGAATAGCATCAACATCAACAAAAAGGATGTCCACACCAAAACCCCATCCAAAGGTCACCAACATCAAAGGTAGATAAATCCACGAAGATGGGGAAAAACCAGCGCAAAATGGCTGAAAATTCCAAAAACCAGAATGCCTCTTCTCCTCCAAAGGATCACAACTTTTTGCCAGCAAGAAAACAAACTGGATGGAGAATGAGTTTGATGAATTGACAGAAGTAGGCTTCAGAAGGTGGGTAATAATAAACTCCTCGAGCTAAAGAAGCATGTTCTAACTCAATGTAAGGAAGCTAAGAACCTTGAAGAAAGGTTACAGGAAATGCTAACTAGAATAACCAGTTTAGAGAAGAACATAAGTGACCCCGATGGACCTGAAAAACACAGCGCAAGAACTTCGTGAAGCATACACAAGTGTCAATAGCCAAATCGATCAAGTAGAAGAAAAGATATCAGTGACTGAAGATCAACTTAATGAAATAAAGCATGAAGACAAGATTAGAGACAAAAGACTGAAAAGGAATGATCAAAGCCTCCAAGAAATATGGGACTATATGAAAAGACCCAACCTACGTTTGACTGGTGTACCCGAAAGTGATGGGGAGAATGGAACTAAGTTGGAAAACACTCTTCAGGAAAATATCCAGGAGAACTTCCCCAACCTAGCAAGCCAGGCCAACATTCAAATTCAGGAAATACAGAGAACACCACAAAGATACTCCTTGAGAAGAGCAACCCCAAGACACATAATCGCCAGATTCACCAAGGTTGAAATGAAGGAAAAAATGTTAAGGGCAGCCAGAGAGAAAGGTCAGGTTACTCACAAAGGGAAGCCCATCAGACTAACAGCAGATCTTTCTGCAGAAACTCTACAAGCCAGAAGAGAGTGGGGGTCAATATTCAACATTCTTAAAGAAAAGAATTTTAAACTGAGAATTTCATATCCAGCCAAACTAAGCTTCATAAGCAAAAAAGAAATAAAATCCTCTACAGACAAGCAAATTCTAAGAGATTTTTGTCATCACCAGGCTTGCCTTATAAGAGCTCCTGAAGGAAGTACTAAATATGGAAAGGAACAACCGGTACCAGCCACTGCAAAAACATACCAAATTGTAAAGACCATCAACGCTATGAAGAAACTGCATCAACTAATGGACAAAATAATCAGCTAGCATCATAATGACAGGATCAAATACACACATAACAATATTAACTTTACATGTAAATGGGTTAAATGCCCCAATTAAAAGACACAGACTAGCAAATTGGATAAAGAGTTAAGACCCATCAGTGTGCTGTATTCAGGATACCCATCTCACGTGCAAAGACACATATAAGCTCAAAATAAAAGGATGGAGGAAGATTTACCAAGCAAATGGAAAGCAAAAAAAGCAGGGGTTGTAATGCTAGTCTCTGATAAAACAGACTTTAAACCAACAAAGATCGAAAGATACATAGAAGGGCATTACATAATCGTAAAGGAATCAATGCAACAAGAAGAGCTAAGTATCCTAAACATATATGCACCCAATACAGGAGCACCCAGATTCATAAAGCAAGTTCTTAGAGACCTACAAAGAGATTTAGACTCCCATACAATAATAGTGGGAGACATTAACACCCCACTGCCAATATTAGACAGATCCACAAGACAGAAAATTAACAAGGATATTTGGGACTTGAACTCAGCTCTGGACCAAGTGGACCTAATAGACATCCACAGAACTCTCCACCCCAAATCAACAGAATATACATTCTTCTCAGCACCTCATCACACTTATTCTGAAACTGACCACATAATTGGAAGTAAAACACTCCTCAGCAAATGCAAAAGAACAGAAATCATAACAAACAGTCTCTCAGACCACAGTGTAATCCAATCAGAACTCAGGTTAAGAAACTCACTCACAACTGTACAACTACATGGAAACTGAACAACCTGCTCCTGAATGGCTACTGGGTAAATAATGACATTCAGGCAGAAATAAAGAAGTTCTTTGAAACCAATGAGAACAAAGACACAGTGTACCAGAATCTCTGGGACATAGCTAAAGCAGTGTTTAGACGGAAATTTATAGCACTAAATGCCCACAGGAGAAAGCAGGAAAGATCTAAAACCGACACCCTAACATCACAATTAAAAGAACCAGAGAAGCAAGAGCAAACAAATTCAAAAGCTAGCAGAAGACAAGAAATAACTAAGATCCGAGCAGAACTGAAGGAGATAAAGACACAAAAAACCCTTCAAAAAAATCAATGAATCCAGGAGCTGGTTTTTTGAAAAGAATAACAAAATAGATAGACCACTAGCCTGATTAATAAAGAAGAAAAGGGAGAAGAATCAAATAGACACAATAAAAAATGATAAAGGGGATATCACCACTGATCCCACAGAAATACAAACTACCATCAGAGAATACTACAAACACTGCTACAAAAATAAGCTAGAAAATCTAGAAGAAATGGATAAATTCCTGGACATATACACCCTCCCAAGACTAAACCAGGAAGAAGTTGAATCTCTGAATAGACCAATAACAGGTTCTGAAATTGGGGCAATAATTAATAGCCTACCAACCAAAAAAAAAAAAAAGCCCAGGACCAGATGGATTCACTGATGAATTCTACCAGAGGTACAAACAGGAGCTAGTACCATTCCTTCTGAAACTATTCCAAACAATAGAAAAAGAGGGACTCCTCCCTAACTCACTTTATGAGGCCAGCATCATCCTCATACCAAAACCTGGCAGAGACACAACAAAAAAAGAAAATTTCAGGCCAATATCCCTGATGAACATCAATGTGAAAATCCTCAATAAAATACTGGCAAACCAAATCCAGCAACACATCAAAAAGCTTCCCCACCATGATCAAGTCGGCTTCATCCCTGGGATGCAAGGCTGGTTCGACATGTGCAAATCAATAAACATAATCCATCACATAGAGAGAACCAATGACAAAAAACACATGATTATCTCAATAGATGCAGAAAAGGCCTTTGATAAAATTCAACACCCCTTCATGCTAAAAACTCTCAATAAACTAGGTATTCACAGAATGTATCTCAAAATAATAAGAGCTATTTATGACAAACCCACAGTCAATATCATACTGAATGGGCAAAAACTGGAAGCATTCCCTTTGACAACCAGCACAAGACAAGGATGCCCTCTCTCACCATTCCTATTCAACATAGTATTGGAAGTTCTGGCCTGGGCAATCAGGCAAGAGAAGGAAATAAAGGTATTCAAATAGGAAGACAGAAAGTCAAATTGTCTCTGTTTGCAGATGACATGATTGTATATTTAGAAAACCTCATCATCTCAGCCCAAAATCTCCTTAAGCTGATAAGCAACTTCAGCAAAGTCTCAGGATACAAAATCAATGTGCAAAAATCACAAGCATTCCTATACAACAAAAATAGACAAACAGCCAAATCATGAGTGAACTCCCATTCACAATAGGTACAAAGAGAATAAAATACCTAGGAAAACAACTTACAATGGTTGTGAAGGACCCTGTCAAGGAGAACTACAAACCACTGCTCAAGGAAATAAGAGAGGACACAAACAAAGGGAAAAACATTCCATGCTCATGGATAGGAAGAATCAATATCATGAAAATGGCCGTACGGCTCAAAGTAATTTATGGATTCAATGCTATCTCCATCAAGCTACCATTGACTTTCTTCACAAAATTAGAAACAACTACTTTAAGTTTCATATGGAACCAAAAAACAGCCCTATAGCCAAGACAATCCTAAGCAAAAAGAACAAAGCTGGAGGCATCACACTACCTGACTTCAAACTATACTATAAGGCTACAGTAACCAAAACAGCATGGTACTGGTACCAAAATTGATATATAGACCAAGAGAACAGAACAGAGGCCTCAGAAATAACGCCACACACCTACAACCCTCTGATCTTTGACAAACCTGACAAAAACAAGCAATGGGGAACAGACTCCCTATTTAATAGATGGTGTTGGGAAAACTGGGTAGCCATATGGAGAAAACTGAAACCGAACCCTTCCTTACACCTTATACAAAAATTAACTCAAGATGAATTAGAGGCTTAAATGTAAGCACCTAAAACCATAAAAACACTAGAAGGAAATCTAGGCAATACCATTCAGACATACTCATGGGCAAAGACTTCATGACTAAAACACCAAAAGCAATGGCAACAAAAGCCAAAATTGACAAATGGGATCTAATTAAACTAAAGAGCTTGTGCACAGTAAAAGAAACCATCATCAGAGTGAACAGGCAACCTACAGAATGGGAGAAAATTTTTGCCATCTATCCATCTGACAAATGGCTAATATCCAGAATCCACAAGGAGCTTAAACAAATTTACAAGAAAAAAACAAACCCCATCAAAAAGTGGGCGAAGGATATGAACAGACATTTCACAAAAGAAGACATTTATGCGGCCAACAAACATATGAAAAAAAGCTCATCATCACTGATCATTAGAGAAATGCAAATCAAAACCACAATGAGATACCATCTCACACCAGTTAGAATGGTGATCATCAAAAAGTTAGGAAACAACAGATGCTGGAGAGGATGTAGAGAAATAGGAATGCTTTTACACTGTTGGTAGGAGTGTAAATTTAGTTCAACCATTGTGGAAGACAGTGTGGCAATTCCTCAAGGATCTAGAACCAGAAATACCATTTGGCCCAGCAATCCCATTACTGGGTATATACTCAAAGGATTATAAATCATTCTACTATAAAGACATATGTACACGTATGTTTATTGCAGCACTGTTCACAATAGCAAAGACTTGGAACCAACCCAAATGCCCATCAATGATAGACTGAACGAAGAAAATGTGGCACATATACATCATGGAATACTATGTAGCCATAAAAAAGGATGAGTTTATGTCTTTTGCAGGGACATGGATGAAGCTGGAAACCATCATTCTCAGCAAACTAACACAGGAACAGAAAACCAAACACTGCATGTTCTCACTCATAAGTGGGAGTTGAACAATGAGAACACATGGACATAGGGAGGGCAACATCACACATTGGGGCCTGTCAGGGTGTTGGGGGCTAGGGGAGAGATAGCATCAGGAGAAATACCTAATGTAGATAATGGGTTGATGGGTGCAGCAAACCACCATGGCACGTGTATACCTATGTAACAAACCTGCATGTTCTGCACATGTATCCCAGAACTTAGAGTATAATAATTAAAAAAAGAAAAAGAAGTAAAGAAGTATAATTGTACTTTTCCAAATGATTATGGTAAGTGTATAGAGAAAATGGAATCATACAAAATGCTCAATTAAAACCAAGATAGGCAGGAAAATAATGGAAAACAAAAGAAAAAACCAATGGCAATAAACAAAATACAATGACAGATGTAGTAGATATTAATCCAACTATGGTGGATTACAAGTAGCAATGCAAGTTTGCTATTACTAAAGTGATTATATCAATAATCACTTTAAATGTCAATGGTCTAAAGATGCCACTTAAAAAGCAGAGATTGTCAGAATGGTTCAAAAAACAAGACCCAAATATATGCTGTCTACAAGAAATCCACTTTTAATATAACAAGAGATACAGATAAAAATGAAAGGAATGAAGATACACATATCATGCTGACACCAATCAAAAGATAGCTGAAGTAGTTGTATTAATTTTTGACAGAGTGAACTTCAGCTCAAAGAAAATTATCAGGGATAAGAGGGGAACTATACAATCATAAAGGGGTCAATGCTCCAAGAGGACATAACAATCCTTAATGTGTGTGCACCTAACAACAGTGCATCAAAATACACGAGGCAAAAACTGATAGAACTTCAAAGAGAAACAGACAAATCCATTATTATAGTTAGAGACTTCAACACCCCTCTATTAGAAATGGACAGACCCAGCAGGTAGAAAATTAGTAAGGAAATAGTTGAACTTAACAACACCATCAATCAACTGGATATAATGAACATCTATAGACTACTTTATCCAACGACAGCAGAATACACAGTCTTCTTAAGATGAAATATTTACCAAGATAGACCACATCTAGACCATAAAACATATCTTTGCTGGGTTTTCTTTCTTTCTTTCTTTCTTTCTTTCTTTCTTTCTTTCTTTCTTTCTTTTTTTTTTTTTTTTGAGATGGAGTTTCACTCTTGTCACCCAGGCTGGAGTGTAATGGCATGATCTTGGCTCACTGCAGCCTCTGCTTCCCGGGTTCAAGTGATTCTCCTGCCTCAGCCTCCTGAGTAGCTGGGATTACAGGCATGCACTGCCACACCCAGCAAATTTTTGTATTTTTAGTAGAGACAGGGTTTCACCATGTTGACCAGGCTGGTCTTGAACTCCTGACCTCAGGTGATTCACCCACCTCAGCCTCCCAAAGTGCTGGGATTATTGGCGTGAGCCACTGCACCCAGCCCATAAAACACATCTTAACTAATTTTTAAAAATAGAAATAATACAATGTCTGCTCTCAAGCAACAGCATAATTATAGAAATCAATAACGGAAAGATAGCTAGAATATCAGAAAATGCTTGGAGATTAAACAACATACTTCTAAATGGCACATGGATCAAAGAAGAAAATGCAAGAGAAGTTTAAAAATATTTTGAACTAAATGAGAATGAAAATACAACTTATCAAAATATGTGGGATGCAGTGTAAGCTGTGCTTATAGGAAAATTATAGCATTGAATACATTTATGAGAAAAGAAGAAAGGTCTATAACCAATCATTTAAGCTTCCATCTTAGGGAACTAAAGAAGGAACAGCAAACAATCTACAGTAAGCAAAAGAAAAGAAAAAAAATTAGAGCAGAAAGCAATGAAATTAGAAGTAGGAAATCAATAGAGAAAATCAGTAAAACCAAAAGCGGGTTATTTGAAAAGATCAACAATATTGATAAGCCTCTTGCTAGGTTAACTAAGATAAAAAGTGAGAAGGAGAAATTAGTAAAACCAGAAATGAAAAAGAGGTCATCACTATTGATCCCATGGACATTAACAGGATAAGAGAATATTATGAACAATTCTATACCCACAAATTTGATAATCTAGATAAAATGAACAAACTCCTTAACAGATACAATCTATCCAACTCACACAAGAAGAAATAGATAATCAGAACAGGTTTATATCTATTAAAGAAACTGAATCAATAATTAGTAACCTTACAAAACAGAAAGCACTAGCCCTATATGGGTTCACTGGTGAATTTTACCACAAATTTAAGAAATTAATGATACATATTTTCTACAATCTCTTCCAGAAATACAATTGATTTTGTATAGATCTTTTATTCTGCAACCCTGATGAACTTGTTATTATTTTTAAAGCTGGATTCCTTAGGATTTTTTTTTTTTTAGATGGAGTCTCACTCTGTCACCCAGGCTGCAGTGCAGTGGTGCAATTTTGGCTCACTGCAACCTCCGCCTCCCAGGTTCAAGTGATTCTTCTGCCTCGGCCTCCTGAGTAACTGGGATTACAGGTGCTCACCACTATGCCCGGCTAATTTTGTATTTTTAGTAGTGACAGGGTTTCACCATGTTGGTCAGGCTGGTCACAAACTCCTGACCTCGAGTAATCCGTCCACCTTAGCCTCCCAAAGTACAGGGATTACAGGTGTGAGCCACCATGCCCAGCCAGGATTTTCTATATACAAGATCATATCATCTGCAAATAGAGATAGTTTTACTCACTCCTTTCCAATCTGAGTGCCTTTTCTTTCTTTTATTTTTTTTCCATTTTCTGTTCTTTTCTTTTTTCTTTTTTGGCCTAATTGGCTAGAACCATCAGCATAATGCTGAACAGAAATGGTGAAAACTGACATCTTTGTTTTGGGGAAAGCATTCTGCCTTTTCACCATTAAATATGGCATTAGCTGTCGGTTTTCATATGTCCTTTATTGAGTTAGGAAGTTTTCTTCTATTCCTAGTTTGTTGAGTGTGTTTATCATGAAAGATTGTCAGGTTTTGTCAAATACTTTTTCTGTGTCTACTGATACAATCACCTTTATTCTTTTGGTGTAGCATATTATATTAATAGACTGTTCAATGTCAAACCAACCTTGCATTCCTAAGATAAATCACACTTGGTTATGTTTTAAATGTTGCTGTATTTGGTTTGCTAGTATTTTGTTAAGGATTTTGTGTATGTATTCATAAAAGACATTGACCTACAGTTTTCCTTCCTTGTGATCGTTGTCTGGATTTGCCATCAGGGTCATAGTGACCCTGTAGAATGAGTTGGGACATGTTTCCTCCTCTTCTATTTTTTGGAAGAGTTGTGAATAATTGGCATTAATTCTTCTTTAAATATTTCACAGAATTTATCAGTGAAGTGATACTGGCTGGGAGTTGTTTTTGTGGGTAGTTTTTTAAGCACCAATTTAATCTCTTTACTTGTCTATTCAGTTACAAGTATATCCTATTTCTCAAGTCAATTTCAGTAGTTTCTGTCTTTCTAAGAATTTGTTCATTTTATCTAAGCTATCTAATGTGTTGGCATTTGCTTGAATATTTTAAATGAATGTGTTAGTTTTATTTTTTATTACGTAAGTAAAACAATTATATCCTCTTGAAATTTTGCTTGAAGTTCTAAAATATCAAGCAAAAATGTTTTGAATAAAATAAAATTAAAATTCAAGCATAAAGAAGTCTTTGATAAATATACGCAAGCATATAGAAGCATCTAATTCATATATATGCATACATACAAACATGTTTTATATAAATGGTTTCATATTCCATATATAATTCAGTAACTAGATAATCTTTCCACCAGTCTACATATTCCTACTTAGAGTATAGAGTAATTTACCTTACTTATTTATAAATACCTTGTATTAAAATGTATTTTAAAACCATAAAGGGATATTATGGATAAATATTTAGTGGCATAAATATTTAGCAGGTTACAAAGCAATATACTCAAGATAAATTCATTTTTATTAAAAAAATTTTTTAAAGAATCTAGAAGTACCCACATCCATACCCACACATCAACAATAACACTGAGTCATAGGATTACGGGAGATTTTCTGTATTTTATAATATTTGTATTATATGTATATGTGTGTGTATGTATGTCCTTTGTAAACAGGTAAATACACACACACATATATATACACAAAACAAGAACAACAAACACAAACCATAAAATAAGATGGTAGTCATTTTTTTTTTTTTTTTTTTTTTTTGCGACGGAGTCTCGCTCTACTGCCCAGGCTGGAGTGCAGTGGCGTGATCTCGGCTCACCGCAAGCTCCGCCTCCCAGGTTCACGCCATTCTCGTGCCTCAGCCTCCCGTAGCTGGGATTACAGGCGCCCACCACCATGCCTGGCTAATTTTTTGTATTTTTGGTAGAGACGGTGTTTCACCGTGTTAGCCAGGATGGTCTTGATCCCCTGACCTCGTGATTCACCCACCTCGGCCTCCCAAAGTGCTGGGATTACAGGCGTGAGCCACTGCACCCGGCTAGCATTTTTTAAAGTGTCTCCCTTATAATAAAACGAAAGGTTGAAATTCTTCAATTTGAAAATAAATATTCTCATAATGGATAAAAAATAAAAATCAAAATTCAGCTATATTATATTTCTAAGAGGCATGCATAAATTTAAGTGACAAATATGGTCAAATATAAGACAATAGCAAAGGTAAATGCATACAACATAAAGAAAGTAGGGATAATACTATCAAGAAAAAAAAATGAATTCCAACAACAGTGACAAAAATAAAAAGGAATATTTTTAATAGAAAGGAATAATTCACAAGACATAACACTAAAGAATTTTTATTTACTATAGAGCAGTAAATCATATAAAACAAAAACTGTTAGAAATACTAAGAAACTTTGTAATCCTCAAATATTGTGGGAGCTGTTAAAGTACATCTTTCAATACAAAAAATAAAGGTAAAAAATGAGGAAGAAAATATAAATAATATAATTAACAAGCCTTACTGAATAATAGAACTCTTTCTGTGCATTTACAACTACAATTCGTTCCAGAGCAACAAGTCAACAAGAGGGAGCATGAAATGGAAGAAACAGAACACACTCTTGAGGAATCTTGGAGAAAGTAGTACTGAAGAAGTCAAAACGTCAGCCAAATTTACACGCTCGCAACTACTTGGCTGAGATTCAGGGGCAAGATTTCCAAGATTCTGGATCTTAGAAAGTGAGTCTGACTTGAGAGGATCGCATTTCTTGGCAGGTTCCTGACAACAATGACTGAGAAACAGTAACCAAACAAGAAGGACTGAATTGGGGTACCAAAGGTATTACTTGGGAATCAGACAAAAGACCAGTTGTACAAATTGAGACACAGTCAGTAAAGGACTAGCCATAAATTGTGCCCTAATGCTGAACTGTAATATATGGGATTAGAGCTAGTTAAATCCACTCATTCCTCAGTCCTTGATTCACTCTTTTATTCAAGCAAATATTCATTGAATTTCCATTAATAATCAAGAAGTATGCTAGATGCAGAGGTAAAATGGTAGAAAAAATAGACATCCACTATTTCTACCCCTGTGTAATTTATTACTACTTCTAAGGCTGACCAGCAGTTCACCCCTCCTTCTACATGTGCATTAGAATAATCTAGGGAGCTTTTAAAACAATGCCAGTGTCTGGGCTCCAACTGCAGAGACTTTGAGTTAATTGATCTAGGATGGGCCCAGGCACCTCTGTTTTCAAAAAATTCCTCACATAATTTTTATGTGTGGCTAAGATTCAGAAAATCTGTTCTAAATGCAATTTGACCTGGTAACCAAAGTTAGGGTTTGGCTTAAAGTGAGTGTAAATACTAACAATTCCAGGTGCACGTAACAGTACTACTGTAGCAGGAAAATCAGGCAGGCCCTTGAGAGTTTTATCATTCAAGGAACTCCACTTTGGAAGTCTTCAATTATCCTCTTCTCCTCTCCATCTGTGGATTCCTGGGACACTCTCCCATTTTCTTTTAGCACTTGGCTCAAATTTTCTCTTTCTAATCCAACTTTTCATGATCCTCTATGACTTCAACAATTATATTGATAACTCTTCCAGCACTCTGGCTTCTTCTTTAAGTATATTATAGGTTAAAAATATTTAGTGAACTAGCCTTAAAATCTAATTTTTCTGTTATGTTGTTTCTATAGTAAAATGTACTCTAAGTTCAAAACAACCAACTTACAAATGAACTTTTGAAAAACAAGCTATTCACCTTTTTTGAGAACATTCTGTTTATCACTTACTGGCCATTATTTGATATGACAGTATTACTTGTATGAATATAAATTACAAACAAAAAACAGAGCCAGGGGACCCACATAATAAGTTTCAGTCTACATCTGTAAAGTCAGAAATTAAAAGTCTACAACCAGAAGCACATATCCTGGATATCTCTGTTTAACCAACAGCAGCAGCTTCTTGCCTCTGAAGAGAAATACTCTCCTGTCACTAATCACTTTCTCACATTTTCTGGGGAAGGAGCCAACTCATCTTTACTTTTAACTAAAGGCTGTTTGACTGTTAGTCTTATATTCAGTGAAAATATTATGAGACAATCTACCCATTATTGATGTGAACCTACCTCCTCTTAGCTTGAGATGATTGGTTCCCTTGTTTCAGGTTGGTTCTCTTCCTTCTCCTTTAATGCTTCCGCCCATCATTCACTGAAGAGTTCCTCTTTTCCTCCTCTAACACTTTGTGCAGGTCAACATGTTCCTATCGTTCAAATACTTGATGGAAAACCCTGTGCAAATCACATTCCCTGTCCTTTTCATCATGAACATCAATACTACATAAAAGAAAATTTAAAAACAACTGGAACATACTGAAAGCTTATGGACATACAAACACTGTTTCACAAAAATTCCTACTCCATTCTTTTGCCAAAGACAAAGACAGTGGGGGTAGAAGGATTAGGAATTAATATATATACCTTTTATATTTCTGAATACATGTTCTTGTAAATTAAACTAGAAAATTATAGAAAACTATAAGAAAGATAATAAATCAACTGCAATCTTACCACAATGAAATAACTACCATTAAAATCCAACAGGGATTTGGATTTTTTCCATGTAGAGAGTATGGTACCTTGCCTGCCTCTGTTATTGGACATTTAGGCTGTTAAGGGTTTTTTTGCCACAATAAATAATGTTCTATGAACATTCTTTCACTTTTATCTCTGAATATTTTCTTCATGAAGTCTCCCAAAGTGGAATTACTGGTTTAAACAATTACCAAATTGCTTTTCAGAAAGATTGCATCAATTTATATTCCCACTAGTAATATTCAAGAGTAAACATCTCCCCATACTCTTAAATCCCTAATTTTTGAGTAAATATTCTTATAGTTGATGCAATTTGCATTTCTATGAGTAATAGTGAGGCTAAACTTTTGCAAATGCTTATTGGCCTTTAGTAATTCTTCAGTTTTCCTTTGATTTTTTTTTATTAGGTTATTCCTATGAATAAAAGAAAATACAAACAGCGTAGTGTACTGAGAACCTTAATTCCAGTGGAAAGAGGAGATAAGAGTTAGAAGAGGACAAAGCTGAAGGAGTTGCGTTTGGGGTTTTGTTTGATTTTCTTTTTAAGACAGTATGACTTGAGTTTATCTTCAGGCTGTAGGGAAGAAGTAAGCAGAATTAAAGAGCTTCAGGAATTAGAGTAAATGACTGATGGAGTAACATCCCAAAGGAGAGAGTTGAGATGACTACTTTGAACTAGAAAAGAGGACATCTCTTCCTCCAAGCATATAGAAAGGAGGTTCAGTGTAGATATAAACGTTTGTTAGTTTCAGGAAAGAAAAGCTCAAGCTTCATAGTGTTAAATTTCTCTATGAAATAGGAGGCAAGATGATTGTTCAAAAAGAAAATGGTGGTAGAAAAGGGGATTTGAGAAAAGTGATAAAGACACAGAAGGACTGCAGAATAGTGCCAAGGGGCAACCTGAAATTGAAGACCATAAATCTTTAGTGGCAATTATCCCATAATTATACTCTTTCCTCCAGCAGGGCCATGCAGCCTGTGTGAAGGAGCTACAACTGAAAGCAGATGGTTGAGGATTTTTCCGGGGAATTTAGCATAAGGAAAACAAATCCAGGACCCAGAGAGCACTGGCAAAGGTGAAAAATGGTCACCATAGAGTCTAGGATGGATGGGCAGGGAAGTAAAATGATGAAGTACATAACAGACTGGGAAGAAAGGGAAGGGATCGGGACATGGAGGTTGAAGACACTCAGTTGTTGATTGGACGGTCCACATGGTCACTGAAATCACACGTGAGGATAGCAAGAATTAGAGTGGAAAACTAAAATCCTCAATAAATGAAGGGCATTACCAGGGAGCTAATAAATCACAGCAATGATGAAAGTTAATAAGTGGCTGTGTAAGGAGTTCTTACATGAGAAAGGAAAAGTGAGGTTCTGAAGGAGGTAATGAAGAGTTATTGCTTGTACTCTTGCAGCTGCAAGAGGGACCTTGGGAGAGAAACAAGTCTCAATTAAAAAAAAATGAAGAAAACATTTTGTGAAGAGATTTGAGGATAAAAAAGAATGTATTTACAATGGAATCACAGCTCCAAAGAGCACAGTAGAAATGACTGTGAGGATAGTAAGAAAGAATCATGCATAGGAAGCTATGGGGTAATATAAGGGCAGGAGAGAGGAACACCACAGGATGGTTATGTACAGTTGAAGGGTGAGACTTCTGCAGAGCACATTTTGCTGGATACTCCACACAATGCTGATCAATTTACCCATAACAATGAAGACATGAAAAAGGGCATGGCCCCAGATATGTCATTAACATCATTATTTACGAGGAGGAAGAAGCCATCCCTTAAGAGCTCATGGATTAATAAACAAGGTAGAAGAAAAGAGGGAGGCATATTTGTACCAGTGCTCTCTTGCTTTTTGCTCACAATATTCAAATTAAAAAGCTTTTCTCTTCTCTTCTCTTCTTTTCTTTTGACAGGGTCTCACTCTGTCACCCAGGCTAGAGTGCAGCGAACGATCATGGCGCACTGCAGCCTTGACCTCCCTGGGCTCAGGTGATCCTCCCACCTCAGCCTTCTGAGTAACTGGGACTACAGGCACCCACCACCATGTCTGGCTAATTTTTGTATGTTCTTGGAGAGACGGGTTCTCACTATGTTGCCCAGGCTGGTCTTGAACTCCTGGGCTCAAGCCATCCGCCACCTCAGGCCCCCAAAGTGCTAGGATTACAGGCATGAGGCACTGCGCTTGGCTTCTTTTCTTTTATAAAAGTGCCTGGATAAAAAGCTGCTCAATTTAGTTGAATTACACAAGTGGATTTAGATAAAATAATCATTAATTTCTCAAACTATTTCAAGAACCATTTTGAGATAACACTGAAACACAGTCCCATCTGATAAAGTGGTGCACTCTGGGCAGTGCACAAGGAACCTGGTGGAAGAAACAAGTGGGAGCTGAACTCCGGATCCTGTTCCCCTCACTGCCAGGGCTGTGTACCTGCCTTGACCCACAGGAGTCATTTAGCTGCAGTGTGGGCAGGGGTGTGGGGGTGGGAAGGAGAGGACCCTTTTTCTCATTCATTGGCCCAAACACAACGTCATTTTCTGGTGGACACAAAAGCACTGTAGAGAATAACAGAGACCCTTCCTAAATATACAAATAATCTAGGGGAATGTATTGTCAGTCTTAAAACATTTTTTTTTAAACTTGTTAAATATGTGAACTAATGTTTCTGGATTTCTTCAACAACAGTGAATGCTAATATTTTCCTAAAGAAATAGAAAGATTACAAATTATTAGTTTCTTTCTTAGTCTGTGTAACTAAATTTGATGATTCCATTTAGAACTCAGTCACATTCAAAAACACTTTCATCATATTTTTATACTCTTTGTTGTGAAGAACAATTTTCTTAGTATAAACCCTAAGTAAATACCATAAAAGAAAGAAAAGACTGACATACACTAATTACAATTATTTTTTATTTTTGTAGGAAAAAAAAATCAAGCAACCAACTGGGAAAATATTTCCAGCTTTATGTCTTATCAGCAGCAGCATCATTAATGTATACCAAGCACTTTGCTAAGTGATTTCACTCTATGTTATTTTATTTAATTCTCATAACATTGAGGTAGGCATTATAATTATAAATATTGTTTTACAAATGAGGAAATTGAAGCTCAGAGAGTTTATATTATATGCCCCAAGTTACATAGTGCTTAAAAGACAGAGCCAGGATTCAAATGATGGTCTGTCTGACTCAAGCCCTGCTCTTATTTCCAGCCTCACCAAAGAAAAATAAGTTAATAAGCAATTCACAAAGGAATTATAAACAGTCAATGTACATAAGAATAAAAATATTCAACCTCCCTAGTCATCAAAAATGCAAGTTAAAATAATGAGATTCTACTTTTTACCTATCAGATAGGCAAAGAAAATACAGATAGAAATATTCAGAGCTGGAAAGAAAAAAGATAATAGTAACACTCAGCGACTGTCAGTGTGTCCAAGGGGGAAAAAAAATACTACACACAGTGGTGAAAGGAGAAATTGGCACAATTTTTCTGGAAGGCTATTTCACAGTAAAAGTTAAAAGTCATAAAAATGTGTAGACTCTTTAGCCATTATTTGCATTGATTTTATATTTATTTATTCATGTTGCTGATTTTTTTATTTCCCCTTGTTCATTGCCTTTCATTCTCAAACTATATTCTTTGCTGTGTCAAACTTACTCCCTGAGTGTTTTTAAAATGAGATACTGCTGTTGTACTGTAATCCTGTCACCCATTAGCTCTACAATAGCCTTACATAAATAAACTCAGAATTGAAATAATGAGATAAGACCAAGAAATATCAGGATATATAGTCTATATTAAAGGTGCATGTATCTGTGTAACCAATAATTCTACCCTTTCACTTATGACAAAATTGACATGAAAGGTCTTTGCTACATTAGTCTTTGTAAACTACAAAAACAAAGTAAAATCCTGTGATCCTTTGAATTGCTCTAACATGTTGTTAACTAAGTATCCAGACATGGTAATAACATTTAAAAATTGATGCAATGTGTATTCTGATTTAATCAAAGATGATACTGTTTCTTTAAAATTTAATTTGTATGTATTTAATTTAAAAATACTACTCTTAAAGAAAAAAAAGAACCAGCAAGCTCAAATTTAAGCTACAACATGAAAAGATGCATATCTTAACACGCTAAACCAGGTATCTATTTAATATGTTCCTTCTCAATACTGGATATTTATTGCATGGAAAAGATGCCTATGAAGTATTTGTTTAAGTGTATTTTTAACCATATGATACCTAACAAATTCCTTCTTTTCTCCAAGAGAAAAATTTTAGAAAATGAGTTATAAACTAAATTTAAAGCATACCTATAAAAAAGTTTATCATTCAAAAGAAAAAAGAGTCCACCCTTAATGGAAGCAACATAAAGATCCCAGAATCATGTAAGTTCTCTTTACCAATAACTACTCTTAAAGAATACATGTGTAATGGTGTGTCTTCTGCCTCTAATCCTTTCTGATATCATGAGAGTTGTAAATAAACAATCTGCATATAAAATAACCCAGATATTTGCTATCTAGAACCATTTCTGAAAGAATAGCCAAAGAAGAACTACAGCACAATGAAAAATAAGTCTAAAAAAGGTAAAGACAGGATACAAGAAACAGTAATGAGTAAATAAATAGGTAAAATTAAATAGTTAAGTTTAAACAGGAGTTAACAATGATGCTGTAATGCTTAATGGAATTCTTAAAAAATGATTTTTAAGTAAGTAGAGGCATAATGGGAAACATGCAGGGGTCAGAGACAAAAGTGTACTAAAGTTCTCATGCTGAAATGAAGGAAGTTATAGATATTAATTAATTCCCAATATTTACAGAAAAAATACAAGGTCAAATATGTTTGTTAGAATTAGATGGTAGACAGAATAAACAGAAATAGTATATTTAACATATACCTAGAAGTTTTCTTAAAAGGGCAAAACTTTAATCCAACTAAAGGAAAGAAAAAGACCACAAGGAGGCATAATAAAGAGGAAACAAGATGGCAGAAGTAACACCAAATATATTAGTTTTCACAATAAATATAAGTAAGCAAATGTAAGCAATTAAAAATTAATTCATTTTAATTTTTTTAGTGCTGGGGATAAAAGTAACAGATAAATTTAACGGGCCTCTGTCCCAAAAGAATTCACAGCGTAGCAAATTAAAGAAAGCTATTTTATTTAATTTTGTGGGAGTTTAAATTTAGAAATAATGAAAATTAAAAGCAGATATAATTAAGAGAAGGTAATACATTCTTTTTCCCATACTGGAATTATAAATTCATACATATGGCTTTCCAGAAAATGGTGCTATAAGATATCTAATTAAAGATTAGCTTCAGATTTCTGTCAGAAATCAATACCAGTTTTCCTAACTATGAAAATAGGAATGAATAAATACGCAAATAATAATGAAAATTAAGAGGTGCTGTAACAATGTCGGGTGGCATTGAAGTGATTCCCCTAAGCAGAAACAATCAGAAAAATGTAACCAATTTTTAAAGGGATTTAATAACAGTTCATATAATTTGCCACATATTTTTGCTTTGGTCTTATCCATCCTCCTCCTTCTCCCACCAAATAAAACCCATATCGCTATCCTTTCGGAGACAGGCTGATGTATTTGTTTAAGATGAATGGTATCTTTAGACAAAACAGACTTCCTTCTATTTGCTGTTTTATGTAGTATTTACACATAACCTCAGTGAAGGAGAAAAATGAGGGATTAAAAAGACTTCCTCTAGGTAAATATGACAGAGATTGAATACACATCATTATCTTTGGATAAAAAAGACAGAGCCACTAGAATCAATGGGCAAAACTCCAACATTAATACTTATACATGCCACCTATTTATGCACTTAGAAAACATTTAGAGTTAAACTTTCTAAAATGGCCTGTTTCCAAATGATGAAGATCTGCCTAGCTGTAAGAATAAATTTTAAAAAATTACACACTGACTGAAGTGTTACCCTAATTGAAAACATAATCTTAGATCTTTTATGTTAAACCTAGTAAATATTAACACTTTAATGAATGTATTTAAGAATATCACAAAAGCTATATTTCAGTTAAAATTTGTTTTACATTTATGCTATTTTTGGCTAAAAAGAAGGCACAATTTGATAAGGTAAAACACGACTTCAAGAGGATTATGAATGATATATTTTTCCTATAATATTTTACTAGTTGTAAATTTTAGGGTAGAAACTTAAGATAGAGGTCATTAAAAACAGAATGTGAAAATATTTTAATCTTCTTCAGTCATTAATCATGTCATTTTTACCAGATTGCCCTGCTAAGTTATTTGAAACAGATTAAAACATTTTCTAAACCACAGCTTTCCTGTTTCTGATCATCCTATATAAAGCCATCCTGTTGACTCTTAGTAACAAATGTAGATAACAGATAAATATAGAAGCTTTCATCTTTTTGTTACATAGACTCATTACTTGTATGGTGACACATAATAGATATCAAAATTCATATGAATTGGGAAATATCTTTCGAAAAAATCATGCCAAAAGAGGAAAATTATTAAATCTACCAGTAAGAAGAATAAAATAGAAAAGGCAGTTCCTATCAATCTTTTTATAAAAGATATAATGTCCTTTGAATTTCTACAAAATAAATTAAAGTACTTTGAAAATGCATAAAATATTATTTCTTTAAAACTGGTTACAAAATAGGGATTACATTTAATCACATTTAAGAATATAATCTGTCTTTAAACATTTCCCTCAAAATATACAGCCATGTATAGTAAATAATAAAGCTGATTGTTATCGAGCAGCATATCTCTACATTTAAAATAATTCAGCCGGGGGCAGTGGCTCACGCCTGTAATCCCAACACTTTGGGAGGCCGAGGCGGGTGGATCACCTGAGTTCAGGAGTTCGAGACCAGCCTGGCCAACATGGCGAAACCCCATCTCTACAAAAATACAAAAATTAGTCGGGTGTGGGGGCACATGCCTATAATCCCAGCTACTTGGGAGCTGAGGCAGGAAAATCACTTGAACCAGGGAGGCGGAGGTTGGAGTGAGCCGAGATCATGCCACTGCACTCTAGCCCAGGCGACAGAGTGAGACTCCATCTCAAAAAAAAAAAAAAAAAATTCTACTAACAATGCATCTCTTTGTTCATTTATGTGATTTCCTACTTTAGATAAAAACATCCATTTATTGTTACCCATACCACCAAGAAATTTACAAATACTAAAATACTGTGAACAGTAAATAGCTGTTGAATCAACACTTAAATTAATGGCATAATTAAAGTGACACTGGGATCTGTGATTACTTTTTCCTTAGGTATGTGTAGGCATGCAAGCAAAAAATAATCAAAAGTCTCCCCTGGCCTTGTTAACTACAAAATAAACAGGCTTCAGAAAGAGGCAATCTTCTTTCATACTTATCACAATCATGAAAGACTACCCTACCATTAGTATATTTCTACACCAAGAGTTATTTCTGCTAGGCACTAAACTATTTTACAAATTTTACAGCTAGCTTGTTCAAGGCAATGCACAAAGCTCAATCAGAGTGTGTGATCAACAAACATTTGTGAAATTGAGCACGGGTAAATTAAAATTACAAATTCATGAAATCACATTCATTTTGACGTTAAAATTTCCTTTTTGATTTGTACATTTGATCATAAAAATTTATATCATTTTAATAAAAAATCATAATGTACATATAGTTCTATGAAGTTGCTTCCATATTTGACATAACTATATTTGCTAGTTATAAAATTCTTAAATTGCATAAAATGCATACTAATTTTGCAAAGAAAACTTTTGGAAAAAAATCATATTTCATCATAAATAAATTTAACCTGATTTTAAAACGTTTGGGAGGAAATTTTTATTCACATATATATCCATATATACACACATATATGCATGTATATATATACACGTGTGTGGTGGGGGTGTGTGTATAACATATATGCTGGAAATTATAGGCAATTCTAAGTTCTAGATATGTAGTATTCTTCTACAACCCTGAAAAAATAAAACCATATAGCTAGAAAAAATAAATATATTAGTACATTACTTAAAACAACAAAAAAAGCCCCAACAAATCTAATAAATCAGTAAAAGCCACATATCATCACAATATTTCAAGGGATACTGCTAACTAAACAGGTGGTCGTGATGAAAAAAAATTGAATAAATTCCTAAGTAGTATAATTGAAAAAGCAAATATGTAGATAAAAAGTGATATCAAACAAGCCACAAAATACAAGAAATTTAAACAAATTCCTAAAAAGATAATTCTACTGTATAAATTTAAATGAATTTTAATGCCACTTTCATTCACACTGTAAAAATGTATTTTACTATTACTATATAACAACACAGGGGAAAATAATTTTAATAGACTATTCTAACATAGAAATAAATTTAAATCTAAGAATAAAACTCCAAAGTCTATTTTTGATTGACTGGGGAGGACCTGAGGGTTACTATTTTTGGTAGAAAAACCACTGATAGGCCATAAAACTTGAATCTTTACATTGTTGTTTTGTGTTCCTATGTTCTGCCACAAAATATTTTTGTTGTCATTAAATTTTCTTGTCTCTTTTATCTCTCACCATCTACATATAGCCTTCCATCCACAATGTGAATCATTTAGATGCAAGGTAATATGGTAATATATAGACAGATTTTGTGAAGAAAGGGATGATATTTGTTAGCGTCAAATATTTCACATTGGTTGGAAATGGCAAAACATTATTCTATATGTCATTCATTCACTTATGACTTATTCAATAAACATTATTACATGCTATTGTGTGAAAATATAATGTCAATTATACATCTTAAATATATATCAATTAAGTATGTCTTTAATATTAACAAAAACAAAAGTACAAGTATAATAGAAGTTTACTAATTTGCAACATCGAATACAATATAGGCCATATGGCTATTTAAGTTCTTAATTAAGGAATAATACTTGAATATCTAAAACATAGATATTCAAAATTCACTAAGACTAGCAATCATTAAGCAAAAATTTACTTTAAATGTGTTAATTTTTTACTCCTATCCTGGGAAATTAATGAAAAATCAAAAGAACCTCTTATAAAATGTTCTTAGGATAGTTCTATAACACAAAAGACTCGAAGAAAAATTTATCAAGACATAAGAACTAAAAAGTCATTATCATTTTAAAGGATTTTTACTAGAATATTTTGATACTATAAGCAAATAACTGATAGTTTTGCTACATTTGTACATGTTCCTTAATAAATAAAATACTTTCATACTGGAGCAAGATGTTAAAAATCTTAAGCCTGCAACCAAGTAATGTGCTATAGCAAAATTTTCTACACATTGCAGTTGAATGTAGCTTATTTCTGCCCAGGAATGAGCAAGATATCTCAATTATAATGAATAGCCAAACAATCCTTGTTCTGCTGCCCAAAGAAGGTGACCATGATCATCGATTCATTCCAATTTATAAATATCTATCAGTACAAGGTAAGTACTTTCACCTCCTGTCAAAACCATAGTAAACTGTATTAATTGTATTATGTTAATTTTGATCTATGTTAAAAATAAAGCCTTAGTCTAAAACAAATTATTATAAATTCTCTAGAACCAGTTAACTCTTCCTTATCATTTCTTTGCAACAAATCCTTCATGAATATCTTTCTCAGCAGGAAATTTAATGCTGGGGGAATAAATGCATGTTATTTTAATTAAAATTCTTACAGTACCTTCAAAATCTATTTCTCAACAGACTACTGAATCCGAGTAACTACTTGGAGGGGGAGAAAATTTCTGCAACTACATGTGACTGTGTGAGCAAGTATGTCATGTGGGAATAGGGTGTATGACTAAAAAAGCATAAAACATTGTTTTCATCCCATCAACTCATATTATAGGTTTTTATACTGCATATTGGTTAAGACTCTCGAATCGGACTACTTAGGATCAAATCCCAGTTCTGTCACTTACTAGCTATGTGACCTTGGGCAAATATCTAAACTTCCTGTGCTTTGGTCTATTCATTTATAAGATGGGAATAATAATGTATGGTCTATGCAAATTAGATGAGTTAATAAATATTAAACACTTAGTACAGAGCATATTACATATTAGGCAGAAAATCAATTTTGTAATTGTTTTGCTGTCATTGTCGTTATTATTATTGGCCACAGAGTTAAGTACCAATTCTTTTTCTTTTTGAGACAAGGTCTCACTCTGTCACCTAGGCTGGAGTACAGTGGTGCGATCTTGGCTCACTGCAGCCTCCACCTCCCGGGTTCAAGCAATTCTCCACCTCAGCTTCCCAAGTAGCTGGGATTACAGGGGTGCACCACCACACCTGGTTAATTTTTGCATTTTTAGTAGAGATGGGTTTTCACCATGTTGGCCAGGCTGTTTCGAACTCCTGTACCTCAAGTGATCCAACTGCCTTGGCCAAGCCTGTGGTTTCTAATAGACTCCCAACTATATCAGGACCCCCCAACAAAAATACTCCAGTTCTGGCAAGTTGGTTTACTTACTGTTCCTCAAATACATTTAGCAATTACGTCTCTGTGCCTGACCTTAAGGGGCCCTCTATTTAAAATTATCTTCCTCTTTATTTATATCTATCCATATTCTACCCTTGATTATTTCAGTTCTACCTCCACCGTGCAACTGCCCCAATCAATCACCATACTCTAAAGTAATTCATGTCTTCTAAATTCTTTTAGGACTCCATTGCTGAAACCATTCAAATTACCCTGAACCTACAGATATCTTCATATGTATATATCTCATCTCTTTAATTAGATTATAAGCTCCACAAATGTAGAAACTGTCTCATACTCATATGTCCTTCGCCATGTCTTAAATAGAGTAAGTGCTCTACATGCACATGCAAATTGACTGACTGATCATGACTGATCACTGAGTCAAAGTAAAAATGCCTACACACTGGTTCAATATATTAATAGCAGTCTTCTGGACCTGAGAATATTAGAAACCAAGACTGCTCAGTAAACACAACTGCATCAATGGTAGCCAAACTTGGAGCAAAATATACTTCCCAATTTATACTACTCAGCTATAACTATTGATAACGTACAAATAACATGAATAAATCTCAAAAACATGATATGGAGCAAAAGCCACCATATAAAAAAGAGTATATACCATATAATTCTATTTTATATGAAATTCAAGAACAGGGAACTTTAATCTGTGGTGACTGAAGTCAGAAGAGTGGTTACCTCTGATGAGTGGGGACTGACTGAAGAAAGTTATAAGGGAACATAATAGGTGGAAATGTTCTATATTTTGATCTATATACTGACCTTGTTCTACACGTTAATTTAAGTATACTGACATGATTTGTTAAACCACTAAAATTTTAATATTTATTTCAATAAGGTAGGAAACATTTAAACTGTAAATTGTCAGCTCTACAATCGCTTCCAAGGTCTGCTCTGTGAATTTGGAAACAAGGTCTTAGGCAATGAATTTGCAGTATATTGTCCAGGTCCAACAGCAAGGCTATCTTTTATATAGATGGATGGGTAGATGGTGGATGGGTAGATGGATGGATGGATGGATGGATGGATGGATGGATGGATGGATGGATGGAAGGATGGTTGAATGAAGTTGTGGCCAATTAAATTTAAGTCATAAGAGGTCTCACTAGCCAGGACCATCCCTATTTGGAGATAGATAATTGTTAACTTGAACTCATAAAACTAAACATTCAATTTGTTTTCTTTGTTCTTAGTCTGTACTCAACAGCAATCCTCCATTTTGATTCGACTTCTCAAAGATATCTAGCTTTAGGCTGATATATGTTACAGTAAGGAAATTTCAGTCATTAATGATTTATGTTGGTAAACTGATCAAGTGAATTTTTCTTGCGATTTTGTGTCTCATATAGCTGGATTACTTACAAAAAAAGAAGACACTGATCATGCAGATGTAAGTATTCTCACTCATGTGAAAATTACATTTCTCATTATAAAGAAATACATAGCATTCTGGCTTCATCCATCAGTCTTCTGGGTTTGTCCATGTGAGCCCATCCCTGAGAGATAGTGAAACATCTAGGTTTCTGAGCCTGAAAGTTAATAGCCAGATACTAGACACAAAAAATTCACCAAGGCCATTAACGCTACTTTTTGTGTGTGGCCAGCAACCTTTTTAATGGCCTACTAATGGCCACATCGCAACCATATACAAACCTGTATGTACTACATTTTATATTTTCAAGGTGTTTTATAATCATATCATTATGTGCTTGCATAGTTGGGCTTGCCCTCTTATCTTCTACCATCATTGACAAGTGTGGAACAGACCTGGACCCAACCTGCAACTAGCATGTGCCAGCCAACACCCAACCAACCCATAGACATGTAAGCATGAATAAATGATTATTGTTTCAAATCACCACTTTTTGAGGTGACCTATTATACTGCATTATTGTGATAATATGTAGCTGATAGGCTTGATGACTATATAGAACATAGTATTCTATTTTTGTATGATCCTTGGTTTAAAGGATCATCTTCAGGTTAGATAATGTAATTCCTGGCCACTCATTCAATCATTTATCCAAAAACTATCCAGGGATATTTGCCACTAGATAATAATTACAGGCAAATAACTTTTTGCCAAGGACTAGTCTAAGCACTGGGCTAGTCAACGTAAGTAACACTAGCTGCTATAATAAGTGATAGAAAAATCTTAGTGGCTTATCATAAAAAAATTATTTCATAATATATGAAGTCCAATGAAGATATTCTAGGATGAATGGCTCTCCTGCGTGGATCTCCTCCAAGTATGATGTATGGATCCAAACTCCTTCCACACTGTGATGGCATCATGTTCAACATGTAACTATGAGTTAACCTCAGAAGAGGAAAAGTGATATAAGGAAAGCATATTGGCTACTTAATCCCCTTAACCTAAAAATGACATACATTCTACTGCAAAAATTAGTTACATGTCTCCACATAGATGCAAAGGGCCTGGAAATTGTCAACTCTGGCCCTGTAGCCACTTCCCAGCAGCAACCCAACACTATAAAAGGGGAGAATAAATCTTCCATCATTAGTTATGTATTTCTATTACTATTAAAGAACAAAAATTTCCAACTTCATGGAACTTTTATTTATTGAGTAATTATCTCATATAAGACATCAAGACTATAGACCAGGCGCTGTGGCTTATGCCTGTAATCCCAGCAATTTGGGAGGCCGAGGCAGATGGATACCTTGAGATAAGGAGTTTGAGACCAGCCTGGCCAAAGTGGTGAAACCCCATCTCTACTGAAAATACAAAAATTAGCCAGGCATGGTTGCAGAAGGGCGGGGGACGGAGGAGGGGGCAGGGCGCCTGTAATCCCAGCTATTGGGGAGGCTGAGGCAGGAGAATCGCTTGATCCCAGGAGGCAGGGAGCCAAGATTGTGCCACTGTACTCCAGCCTGGGCAACAGAGCAAGACTCTGTCTCAAAAAAATAAAAAATGATATCAAGGCTATAAAGGAAAATGAGACATGGTTCTTGCCTTTAAGAAATTCACAGACTTGGAGAGAGAGAAAAGATCCACACAAATAACTACTGCAGATGATAAGTGCTACAAGAGTCAGCATTTGCACAAAGAAACAGATGGCTGACTGCTGGGAAGGTGTCAAGGAAGGCTACATTTAATTGATATAGTAATGTTTGAGGTGAGCATTAAAAGGTAAATAGAACCTTGCCAACAAGATGGAGTAGTCGGGGGACGATCTTAAGTGGAGAAAACAAACATTTGAATCATATAAAGTCTCAGAGCCTCTTTCCTTATAAAGCTATGAGATATGAGGGAGGAGGAGAGCACTTGTATTTACAGGTGGTAATTGCAGCAACTTCTTGCTTCACATATGAGTTTGGAATAATATGTTTCCTCTTTGCAGCAGCCTTCATTTCTTTCTTTCTTTTATATATATTTTAAGTTCTTGGATAAATGTGCAGAACATGCAGGTTTGTTACATAGGTATACACGTGCTATGGTGATTTGCTGCACCTATCAACCCGTCATCTACATTAGGTATTTCTCCTAATGCTATCCCTCCCCTATCCCCCCACCCCCTGACGGGCCCCTGTGTGTGATGTTCCCCTCCCTGTGTCCATGTGTTCTCATTGTTCACCTCCCACTTATGAGTGAGAACATGCAGTGTTTGGTTTTCTGTTCCTGTGTTAGTTTAGCAGCCTTCATTTCTATGAGCATTGCTTTGCAGTAATGTTCTCTACAAGGAGACAAGTGTAACGCATGTCCCAAGTAAATTGGCTGCCACCAGACTTATGGAGTATGTGGAGCTGACAACACAGGGATGGTAATATCTAAAGAAGCAGAATTCAGGTAAAATAAAAAATGACAATCCCAGCACTTTGGGAGGCCGAGGCGGGCGGATCACGAGGTCAGGAGATAGAGGCCATCCTGGCTAACACGGTGAAACCCCGTCTCTACTAAAAATACAAAAAATTAGCCGGGCGCAGTGGTGGGCGCCTGTAGTCCCAGCTACTCGGGAGGCTGAGGCAGGAGAATGGCGTGAACCCAGGAGGCGGAGCTTGCAGTGAGCCGAGACGGCGCCACTGCACTCTGGCCTGGGCGAAAGAGCGAGACTCCGTCTCAAAAAAAAAAAAAAAAAAATTACAAACTCATTCCTTTCACTGTCCTTGTCAGATAAAATAAAAACCAAATAAATAATGATACAAAGGATTAATTATCATGAATCAGGTTGTCTAATAAATGTCCACTGAAGCCTTTACATTGCAGAGAATGTAGTTTTCCAACAAAAAAGCCACAAAAATTAAATACATGGGAGGCCAAAAAAAAAACTTTAATAAGTACTGAATAATAGACTTTCTAAAAAGTAGTAAGGCCAAATTCTTTGACTACCAAACAATAAAACTGAAAAACATTAATAAAAGTAGAAGGTAGAAAATTTGGAAATTTAAAAAAAAAAAGCTTCCTAAGTAACTATCATGTCCAAAAGAAAATCAAAACTGCATTTATTTAAAATACAATATTGGGCTGGGCACAGTGGCTCATGCCTAATTCTAGTGCTGTGGAAGACTGAGGCAGGAGGATTGCTTGAAGCCAGGAGTTTGAGACTAGCCTGGGCAACATGGCAAGATCCAGTCTCTACAAAAATGTTTTTTAAATTGGCCCGGCATGGTGGTGTGCACCTGTATTCCCTGCTATTTGGGAGACTGAGGCAGGAGGTCACTTGAGCCCAGGAGTTCAAGGTTATGGTGAGCTATGATCGTGCCACAGCACTCCAGCCTGGGCAATAGAGACCCTGCCTCTAAAAAAATAATAAAAATAAATAAAATATTAAAACTCTAGGACTCAACTAAAGCTCCAATGAAGGAAATTCATAGCTTTTAAATGCTCCAGTTCTAAGAAAAAATACAAAATGTAAGTATGTGACATAAGGGTACATATGAAATCTGAGAAAATCAATAGAAAATTATTCGAAAGAGAGACTTACATCTATCTGACCCAAACCTCAGCACTTAGCCACTATGCCTTGCTGTTTCCTGGTCAAGTTAGTTTAGAAAACGGGATGAAGAGCCGTGTCCCCTCTACTTGATTCTATTCAATCAAGAAAGATTGATATAGGCCGGGCGCGGTGGCTCACGCCTGTAATCCCAGCACTTCGGGAGGCCGAGGCGAGCTGATCACGAGGTCAGGAGATCTGACTAACACGGTGAAACCCCGTCTCTACTAAAAATACAAAAAAAAAAAAAAAGCCAGGCGTGGTGGCGGGTGCCTGTAGTCCCGGCTACTCGAGAGGCTGAAGCAGGAGAATGGCGTAAACCTGGGAGGCGGAGCTTGCATTGAGCCGAGATCGCGCCACTGCACTCCAGCCTGGGCGACAGAGCAAGACTCCGTCTCAAAAAAGAAAGAAAGAAAGATTGCTATAGAGAAGGTTGCCTGATTTTTCAGGCTAATCTTGAATAGGATCCTGTAAAAGAAATAAACAAAAACAAAGAATAGAACGGTATTCACAAATATTTGTCAGTGTGTTCTCATCTAAGTTGATTTTTTAAAGATGATAATCAAATGGAAAATGTCACTCCTTATTGAAAACGCTAGAAAAATTACACCCTAACCATTAGCATTATTAGGCTGTTCTCTTAAAAGTCTGTGGAAAACAGCATGATATCGCTTGAATACAGTAAAGAAAGGTGAATTTGTCTAAATCTAAAATAAATTGGCTTATGTTTAAATATCAAGAGGTCTTTGACTCACCATTTAGATTTAAGTTTTAGTCTTGTTAGGCCTCCTCAGTTAAGTATGCAGGTAAGTTCATGTGAATTTGTATAATGGACCATGGACCAACCAACCAGCATAAGATTCCATGACAGAAGGAATTGTATCCACCCTGTTCACAGCTATAACCTCAACATCTGGCATATGGTATGCCCAGTAAATATATGATGAATGAATGAATAGATGAATAGTCAATATTTTTCTTATTTCTGCTGATAAATGATGCCCAAATGCAGATTTCAATATTCTTATATAAATATTTATATTTTATTTCCTTGTTCTTCAATGTTATGAGTTTAAAATAAGAAATTTAAAATGAAGAAATTAAACTGTATGGCTAAAAACTATTGTCAACATATTCTCATGCTAACAAGAACTGAAAATATTTTCCTTATTAATAGTTCTTGAGGAAAGTTTACTATGTTAGGCAAATTCTCTCATTTGTTAATAAGCTTTCAAAACTCTATTTCTACTACATTCAAATTCCTCATTTCCCTTCAACTTAGTGACTACCTTAACAGCCCCACTCTATTTTTCCCTGCCCTTATGTTTTTGCCTCAAGCTTTAACTGATTGTGTTCTTTGATTTCCTTACCCTGGTGTAGATTCCTTTTTAACTACAGATCCTAAAAGCGACACTAGCTGCTTTTTGTTCCTTGGATTCCGCCCTCCCTCCTTCAGCATAATTATATTCTGTTGTGCCTTTTATAATCATGTCTTTTAGGATCTCCTAACCTTCTACACTCTCGGCTTTATTTAATAGTGAGCTCCCTCCTCAACTCCGCACACTAAACCATGCTCATTAGGTTTCTTAATCCTCCATAATTCGCTTTCATGAAATCTTATACCTTTGAGTTGCTGTGTTCTATGAGCCCATTTCCTTAGTATAGCTATTCCAAGCAGCCCAGAATCAACAAGCACTAAACATAAGCTTATTCACTTTCTCAGCCAACATGACTCTATAGAAAAAAAAAATCTTTGTTTTGAATGTTTATGGACCATGAATCTATACCATTTAACTTGGTACTTCATTTTCTCACCCAAACATTGCCTGATAAGGTTGGGACCACAGAATTACGGTACAAGCTGTCCTTCACATCCAGTTATTAACTTATAAATAAGTTAATAAGTTAAGGTTAACTTATAAATAAGATTCTTCTTGGTCAGAAAGCTATTCTACTTTATTGGAACAGAAATAACAATATCCTGATGTTATATTAGTGACTAGTAAATTCCACCTATATCCTTATACCCAGAATTCAGAAGAGAAAAACATCTTTTTTCAGTTATTTTGCAAGAGCTCTGCTTTTCCAAATGGCTTGTGTTTGAGAGACGTGCATGTTCTTGAAATTTGGCGACAGAGCCAACTCCTGGTCTTTTCACCCTCATCCTTCACTTTTTCTTCCATCCTACTCATTACTAGTCCATTACTCTTTGCCAATGGATATGTACAGAGGGCCAAGAGAACAAATATTTTGGATTTTTTAAAAACTTCCCAGAGACTTTGGTTTTTGAAAGTATAGTTAGCAGTGGATTGAAAGAGTTAATGAAATTTCCAAAGGTGCCTAGCTTATTTAAGCAAAGTTTATACTTCAATCCTGTGCATGTTAACTTGTGATCCTCCCCATCCAGATGATAGAAAGCAAAGCCAGTAAGTTCTTTTATTTAATTGGTTTGCATCCACACACTGACCTCCAGGGCTCTGTTTATATAGCCTATCATGCAATATGCTCCACAGTTCTCTGCCTCTTTCAAAAGCATGTTTCTCCTGAAATTTGATATATGGCTTTCATGTTTAATCACTACATTAAACTCAATGCTCTGCTTCCTCCAGCATCAACTAACTTCCCTTCTTGGGAGGTGGGGAGAAGAGTATAGCTTCTTGCTACTTCTGAACATAAAAGGAAGTCTGTTTTACTCTATTAGTAAAATCACCAACTCCACACAATCCTAGGCAAGCCAACATTAGTACATCAACTAGGAAAAGGTATAAAATGGAAACCTTAAAACTCCTTTTAAAAAGAAGGTAAGCTGACTGTTCTCAATTGGCAAAGCCAAAAACTTTAGGTGATTGAGTTATAAATCAACAGAAAAGGTTTTTAGTCAGTATATTACTCAGTACACAGAGACCACAGCTAAATGGCAGCTGACATTTTAACTAATTTTGAGAATAGAAAATTTCTGGAGTTCTCAGGTCAGAATTAATTCAGGGCCTCTGCCTTCTGGTTGAAGGTTTTCTTAATTATACAATTCACCACAAATAGGACTTTCAAAGAGTTTTCAACTGGATGTGGACATGAAAATGCCACGATCCTTTACACAATGACGTGTATGTCACTCAAATTTCTAAAATAGATGAAAACCTCAAAACTTTAACGCCTTTTAATAAGTCAAGACCATCTATAATTTCTGGATTGTAAAAATCACATGAAATGTATGTATTTTGCTTTAAAATATTTCAAGCAAAAAAAGGTAAAACAAATTCGGCAAATAATTAACAAAAGTAACATTTAGAGGATGACTATATGGGTGCTAATCACACTATACTTTCTACTTTTATACATGGTTGAAATTTTTTGATTATAAAAAATTGTTAATTTAAAAAGCACAGGAGGTTGAGGATTTGCTTTTGTAAAAAAAAAGAAAGATGCAATTCTGATCAGAAAAAATTTAAATCAATTTCTAGGATAATCATTTGGTATACATTCAACAAATGAAACTTTTTACCATGTGCTGGCAATGAAAACTTTCCTTCCTTTCTCATGAATCTCACTCCACAGGCTAAAACTCATTTACCTAAACTAAAAATGTTGTGCGGTAAGCTCTGCATAAAGTTGGGTACTTTCCTTGATATACTTTGTGTGTGTGTGGTGGGGGTGTGGGTGTGTGAGTACACACACACACACACACACACACATAAAATTTAACTTTGAAATCCTTTCCGTTATGGCTGGTCACTGACCATAGTATTTATTTTTTATGGTTTTGTTTTTCCTAGTAAGATTGGCATATTCCTTCATTTAAAAATCTTGCTTTGTCAGAGCTGTATACAACATTAGACAGACCTAGTTTACTTTCTGTATTTGATGCACAATAGAGAATCTGAACCTATTTAATTGTTCCAATATGCTACCTTATTTCCTTTTTTTTTTTTTTTTTTTTGAGATGGAGTCTCGCTCTTGTCGCCCAGGCTGGAGTGCAGTGGCAGAATTTCGGCTCACTGCAACCTCTGCCTCCTGGATTCAAGTGATTCTCCTGCCTCAGCCTCCTGAGTAGTTGGGACTACAGGCATGTGCCACCACGCCCAGCTAATTATTTTGTATTTTTAGTAGAGATGGGGTTTCACCATGTTAGCCAGGATGGTCTCGATCTCCTGACCTTGCGATCTGCCTGCCTCTGCCTCCCAAAGTGCTGGGATTACAGGCATGGGCCACTGTGCCCGGCCCTATGCTACCTTATTTCTAACCAAAATTTTCATGATATAGGATGCCAAAGAATACATTTCTAGCTTCCTTTGTCATGATTCTTTCAGTCATAAGCTAAAAGGAGCTTATAAGAAAAAATAATTCCGTTTCTTAATTTGAAAACATCTGAATTCTTTCCACAACATATTTAAGTTTAATATTAAAAGAACAAATAAACTTTTAATCAGTATTCCCCTTTAAGACTTTTCAGAGTACAGAACTTTGTAGTTTTCAAAGACATGCAGATGTTGTCCATGATAGATTTTTTTTAAATAAGAACTTGAAAAAAAATAAGTCATGCATAAAATCTTTGGTCACAAGAGTGAAAGATGTGTGCCTGTACAGCTGTTATAACTATTTTCATGATAAATACTTACCTTCAGTACAGGAATTTAGCAGCACACTTTAATTTGGATTTGAAAAGTTAACATAAATTGTCTGACTTTGACAATAGCTGCCTAATATTTCAGTTTTGTAAACTACTTCCAGGTTCTACCTTCAATTCTACCTTCAAGATGAACCTAGTGGACGTATTCATTTTTAAAAGCTATATTCCAGACCCTGTACCCTAAAACCAGTTTCTGACTTGATGTTTAGGGAATTACATCAGATCATAATGAAGTGGGTTCTTAATTAATATTTGGTGACTGGCAGGGAAAAAAGAGACATGTAATTTTTAGGTAAAATTACACTCTCCATCAACTTTATTCATTTATTTTTAAATTATACTTAAAGATTTTAACTTAAAAAATGAAAAAGATTTTTCGTCTTATTTTGAGCCATTTGTGAATCAAGGAGTCAAACAGTTGACACAATGCCATCCCACCTTTAGTCTCTATATAGTCAGCGTTTTCAACCAAAAATGTTTATCTTATACTACCATTCATACATCTGATTCAGAGGCTGCAGAAGACACAGGATCCAAAGATTTCTGGAGTTACCAAACTAGGTAAATTTGTTAACTCAAATGTATAGACTTCATAGTTAATGAGTCTCACCAAATTCACAAAACCATACAATAAAAGAAAGAAAAGGCTTATAAAGAAGAAAAAGTGTGTTGTCTCCTTAACACTACTATCAAAAGGAATATATAGCACTTGTTCCTTTGTGAATATAATAAGTAAAAACATTTTTAAAGTTACCATATAGTGAAACTTGAACCAGAGTAAAAATGTTACTTGTAAATTCAACAAGTTATATATTTTTCTGTAAATTATTTTCTCCTGGAATTCAAAAATTAATGTTTATTTATCTGTTAACAGTCTACCAAAGGGCATACGTAATTCCTTTGTATGAAATATGAGGCAATTTTTGTGCTTTAATTGTAAATGCCATCAGAAACTTTGAAGCACATAAATCTCAGCAAGTGACATAATGACATAGTCAAACCTGAGAATTATATAGCTACATTTCATGCTTAATGAAAAGAAAATGTCTAAAGAGGCTGATATGCCACTGCTTGTGAGAATGTAAATTTTGTCTTAATAGATTCAAAATAATGGCTTAAGGTGACCTTCATTTTCTATCACCCATCTAGCAATAAAACTTTTTTAAGAGAAAACAAGCTAATAAACCATAGACAAATTTCTATTTCTATTGGCTTGAACTCTCTATAGTTTGCTGAATTAAATGCATCCATCTCCCACATTTGGTGACAACCTAAAGAGAATTTTCAAATCACTCAGGATGCTTTGTCCACTGAGAAAATAATAATCTACTTTGAGCAATTAGTATGTATAACCCCCACTTCTGCTTTTAAAATGAAACTCTGCAGATATAGGTCATGTAATGCTTATTGCAGAGCTATGAAGACTCCAAAGTGAACACCTCAAATTATGATTTGATGCAGTCAATAGCCCTGCTTTGAGGTGGGACTCACATTTTGGAAAGAAACCGCCTAGTCTGTTTAAAATCAAAATGGTTCTTGATCTGATGATTTACTCCTCAGAGAATAATGTAAATAAAATATATTCAGAAGAGCATTATTAATGTAAACATACCTGAACCGGAGTCAAATTTGGTTTCTGACCTGCAAAGAGAAAGAAAGTTTTTACAATATAAAAACTGTTTGTAAAAGAACAATTATTTCATGGGGGGGGGGGGTGTGGTTGGGAGGGGAGGTAATAGTTACATTTTTCAGTGTATATTTCTAAAATGTTAATATATATGTATTGTAATCATTTTATATGCATGCATTACCCTAGGCCCTCTAAATATGCAAATATCAATACAGATAGCACAATATGGAAAAGACATTAACTTTTTAAATTTGTTTTTGGGTGAAACAGGATACAATACGGTTTTTTAAAAGGCACCTGATCTTTACAGATTAACTTGTTTCAGTAAGATAATAAAGCAATACAAAACCAAATTCATAATTATTCTCTTTATTATTCAAGGTTTGAAATTATTCAACACGAAGTAACTTTTCACTAAGTTCTTAGCACACAGCAAATGAACCTAGTAACCCCATACATTTAATAAGAAGGAGAAAAAATTCTGAGCTCTTGTGGGAACATTATGTTTCAGATATTGGTTAATACTGGTTGTAAATTCAGAAGCCTTTGAAGCTCTCAGTTCGGCTGTGGGAAAACTTCTGTTAGGTAATTACTCTCAAGATGCTGCTGATGTGCTGTCAAGCAGAATTAACCCTATGACTAGGCCTATCTACACAAGCTACTATAAAACAGCATTGTCTATATCTAGCTCTCAAACCAATTAGTGGGCATGCTCCAGTCGGATTTATATCACACATCAACAATCAATAGTATATATGTTCACAGCTGCCACAGCAAGATACAAGAACCAACCAGCGGGAGTCCTGTTAAAAGGATGTTACATTGACAGACAAGACTTTTTTTTCCTGGAGAAATGTAGTTAACTAAGTGGGAAAGGAGATTTCTTTGAAATTATGCCAGGGTTCCAAAGCACTTTTGGAAGCGGTGGCTTTCTGTACCTAAATTAGCCTCAAGAAAAGTCATCAAAGGAGGAAAGGGAAGGATAAGCAAGAAGCTTCCTTGGTCATAAACATTCATTTTCTGAAGTCCTCCCAAACAAAGTTTCAGCTGATGCTTATAATTGTATGATTGTGTGTATGTGTGTGTGTGTATATGTATATGTAAAATATATACACATATATGTGTAATATGTAATACACACATATACATGTACACGTAAAATTGCATCCATGGTTACCAATCACCACTGCCGTAATCCTGGTGCACATTTTCCCTAAGTCCTGGCCCTACCATAGTCCTCATCTCAACCTTTGTCTTCCATGTCCCTGCCTTCTATTTCAGGTACAAACCCATTTTCACATTTTGCCCTCTCTCCAATTCTGCAAAGCCTTGTCTCATGCCCTCCCCTGTGTTTCCACCATCTCTTAGCACAACTCTAACAACACTTGCCACATGTTATCTTGCTGGTTTCCTTATCTATCTCCCCCACTCAACTATAGCCATGCCTTATTAACCTCTGTAGCCACAACACCTAAATTGTGACTAGAGTTTGTGTTCAAATGTCTGTTAAGAGAATTTTTTGCATCTATGCATGCCCTTTCTCCTTCTTAACTGTATAGAAGCCAGAGGTGTTCTTCCTTCTGCTTAAGCTTCCCTCCTCCTGGGTCCTAAAATGCATCTCTCATCTCCTTTGAAACAAGGCTATATCAATTACTCCTTTTCTCTGCCATATATTCAGTATCTGGTTCTCCACAGGTTCCTCTTCCCTTCATCATATAAGTGCTCCAGAATTGTTTTTAAAGGCCTCCTTCAAATCTGTGCCTTGCTTTGTTATCCCTCTTTCATCTGGCTTTACAATCAAATTATAATGTAAAAAAGATGTATAGACTATATCCTATATCATCTATCTCCCTTTCCTAATCTCCCAACATATTCGGTCCTTGAATCAGTGCAATCTGCCTTTGCTAAGGTTTATCAGAAGCTTCCCAATGTTAAATGCACAAGCCGTGTCACTGTCCATACTTTACTAAACCTCTCTCTTTCATTGGACATACTGCCCACTTCTTTCCAGTGTCTGTCTGTCACTTCCCCTCCTCCTCCTGTCCCTTAAGTATTGGTGAGCACCAGAGTTCAGCCCTCAGGCCACCTGAAACACTGTTCCCACTCTCTAGGGTACCCATGTGTCTCAAAATCACCGCAGGAGTTTGCTCACCTGCAGACTCCCAGGACTTCTCCTGGTGATTCTGATTCAGTAAGTGGGGCCTAGAAATTCCCATCTTAACAAACTATCCAAATGAAAACACTTCTTTGACCATATCTTGACCCATATTTCCAAATAATAAACAAAATACTACCTGAATGTCACACTGTGGCCTTAAATGGCACTCATCAAAAATGATGGCATTATTCTAGATTTCTTCTGCACCCCCAATATCTAATTAGTCATCAAGATCTGCGGATTCTACATCCCTCCCCTCCTCTCTATCTTCACTTTCACCATCTTTAGGCCTTTCCTTGGCTGAATAACCTCATAACCAATGTTCTCCTTCCCTTTAGATCCACCAATGATGAGCAAGAAGCTTTTGCTCTGGCCTTCCTCTGCCTGTGCTGTTTTCCACCAGCCAGGAAGTTCTCTTTTCCACCTGAATCTCTGACTACCAGCATCACCATCATTCTCTACCCAAATGGCCTTAAGTTGCTACTCTGACCTACATGGGCCCCTTCTTCAGGTCAGGTAGTACTACTAGCATGTGTGTACCTCCAGTCCAAGGAGTGGCCAAAAGTTGTCAGCTGAATGAAAGAGCCTGGACCTGAGGGCTGGAGGGACCCCTTGGCCCTAAAAGATGGGAAAAAGGTGTGGCATAGAAAGCAGGGGCCCCCTGTCTCAATACTTCTTCACATTCCTGCTCAGAGAACTCTTAATGCAAACCCTCCTGTGAGGGTGAGTGGCTGAGAGCACCTGGGGGCCAGAGGTTGCCCTTGGACTGGATTGTCATGGACTAGATCACTTTGGAACTCGATGCCTGGCTGTTGGGTATAGAAGGAGCAATGGGTGGGGGCCCAGAGCCTCTGGCAGAAATGAAAGCACCCCTCCCCCAAAAAAGAGCAAGAGAAAGGAGGTATTTATCTACAGATTCCATGGCCATTGGAAGAGAAGGCTGAGTGAGCCTTTCCCTCCTCTCCCCCAGCTTGGCCCAGTTACCACTGTCCTGGCATTTCCTCAGGGTAAATTCATAGTCTTTTGGTGGAAGACAAAATTAATTTTAAATTTGCATTACTCTCAGTCATTTGGTATCATTTTTCATTATAAGGTGTATGTGTCAAGATAGGTTGGTATATCCTTTTCTAACAGTTTTTTGCCTTGAGTTTTAACTATTTAGCTATACAGTATGTATCTATGCTACCATTTGTCCTCTTGCCCAGGCCCTGCAAATGTTAGGTCCAGGCCTAGTAATAAGTCACCATGTAAAAACATATGCATTACTATGGGTTGTGGACAAAAAGGTTTGAAAGCCACTGACCTGGCGACATTAAGTGCCCACTCCTCTGCATGGCGTATAAAGGGTCCTCCATGATCCAGCTCTCCAATCCATCTCTAACTCACACTTTGCATGTATCACTCCCATCAAATGGAACTATTGCCATATTATTTCTCAACAATCAAGGCTCACGTGAATCATGTCAGCATCCCGCCTGCCCCCATTGCCTCACAAGCTCCTTTCTTCCCCCTCAGTTACCCCACAGTGGGGGCCTGGCACAACACTCCCCACATGGTGTGGCATTGACACGAAGCTGAGTGAGGTGCACACTGGGTCTCATGCATCCTCATGCTCCCAACACTGAATGCAGCACCTGAGACTTAAGAATTATTAAAAAGGTGTAGTATAAATTAACACACGAACAAATGAATCTGTATATTAACAGAAGGCCAAAAACAAGATAAATGATCAAAATGTCTATAGAATACCTAATTCTGAGATACAAAAAAAAAAATCATGTCAGAACACTTTTATTCCTCAGATTATCTTATCTTCTCCAGGGATAGCTGATCAATACATAAAATATACACGTAAGGTGCAGAGAAAACATCTTCACAAACCAATTAATGGCCTTGGGTATCAATTTAAAAAAATCTGCAGAATTCTCAGATACAGTACTGAACACTCAAAAGAATACAGCTACTCTATTGATAATTAAAACATGATAATAGAAGTTAAAACTGTCAATTTGGGGATAGGGAAAACTGGTCCTTTGTTGTTTTAAGTTAATTCAGATTCCTATTAGATTTTACATACAGACTTAAACACACAGAGATACAAAGTACTCCTCTAACATACTATGAACTATGATCACCTCGACTCTTAAATCCCCTTTGAGAAGGGAAGTGAAATATGGATAAGGATGAATATACGGCAAATGTAAAAAGAAAGATACATATCTAATAAGGATTGCACAAGAAAAGAAAAGAAGGATGGTCATTCATTCCAAACATATTTTTACGTGTTTATTTTTAGTAGTATACTATGCTAGATGGTAGGGATACAAAATTGCATAAAATAGGGTATAACATGCATAAATATAATTGTGTCTCCACAGACACCCATTTTACCCCAAATTATATACTCACATCTAAGTTCAAAACTATTCAACCGTTTCTTTTGGCAACTGCCAAAAGATGGTGATTATAGCACAGAATGTTACTGCCTTCCAATATTCATCCTCCCCCTTTTAATTTTAGAAAATCTCTGAGTTTTAAGTGGGCACACAGACATATTTCCACATTATTTCCCAACTGCCTTGTTGCTAGTTGTACCCATATGACTAAGTTCTTGCCAAAAGGATACAAGCAAAAGTGAGGTGATAACATCTGAGTTATTCCCTTATAGGGAAGGAATGTACCCTTCCCTTCTTTCTGTTTCTTGCCACTGGCTGGAATGTGAATGTAATTCCAGGAGCTGAAGTAGCCATTCCTAGATCATGAGGGAAAAACTGATATTAGAATAGTAAATCAATAAGATAGAAGGCACCTATGCAACTGCCATATGAATCTCCAACTGTTATTTTGTTTTTTGTGTTTGTTTGTTTGTGTGTTTTTAAGACAGAATCTCACTCTGTTGCCCAGGAACATGTTATGAGCTCAATGCAACCTCCACCTCCCGGGTTCAAGCAATTCTCCTGCCTCAGCCTCCCAAGTAGCTGGGATTACAGACATGTGCCATCACACCCAGCTAATTTTTCTATTTTTAGTAGAGACGGGGTTTCACCATGTTGGCCAGGCTGGTCTTGAACTCCTGACCTCAAGTGATCCGCCTGTCTCATCCTCCCAAAGTGCTAGGATTACAGGTGTGAGCCACCACGCCCGGCCCCAAGCTGTTATTTTTTTTTAAGCCACTATTATTTTGGAGTCTTGTCAGAACAGTTGAGCCTGTATCCTATCCACCATAGCAATATTGCCACATTTTACAAGATTTAAATAAAAACTTCCAAATTTTTAAACATGAAAATGAAATTTTCATGAATTGTAAGCCAGAAAGGGTAGACACTAGGAGAATTCGAGTATCATGAATGCTTTTTAAATAATTAAATTATGTAATATATGCATTCTTTTGATAATAGAGTTGCAAATTTTCAAAAGAGGTCACTTTTAGTCATTGGTTACAGCTGTATACTCCTGGACAAATTTATAAAACTACCATTTTATCCTTGCAGAGAATAGCCCAGTGTCCACAAAAATTCTATGTGTATTGAAGCCAAAAGATATTTTATTTTATTGTCTCTCTGGGGAAACCCACAAAATCTCAGAGAACATTGTTTTTCATTTAATGTTCAACTGTATCAAAAATTTTAAAATGGGAATCATGTAAGTATCAAGTACAGAAATTAGCATTGCAGAAGGTGTCAGAGAAGTGAGGGTGCTGTTCTTAATGTTTTTAACTGATATCAACTAAAGATTCTAGCTGCAGGCAACTGTTAGAAGGAGCAGGGGTGACAGCCTGATTTTTGTCTGTAAGCGCATTATATATGGCAACTCTACAGCAAGAATTTTGTAAAACAATCCAAGTCAAATAATCTGCTCTGTTGTCCCTTCAACACATGGAAATTTTTCAGAAATTCCAGTATTTCAGCATCCTACTTGTAGACCTACAAGGTCTACCAATTTCTTCTACCCCTAGAAGTAACTCAAAGGCCTTCACCGACCAGTGACTAGTGAGAACAGCAGTGAATATTTATGTGCCCTTTCAATTTACATGAACACAATATGCTTCCTCTGCGTGGAATGCTTCCTCCTCCCTCCCCCACTCTACTATACCTTAACCCCTTTGCCTACCTAACTTCTGAAACTTTCTCCACATCTTAGCCTAATTATCAATTATTTGAAGAAGAGTGGGCAGGCTCGATTAAATCCCTTTCATTTCATAGCACCAGTCATTCCTTTGCACTCATCAGAGTTGTAATTGTACATTTGTGCATAATAGCTATTTGATCATACTAAAGGAGTTCAGTAATAGTGGCAGACACTATTAATTGCCTACCTAATAGCCTGTCTTAAAAACAGAATTCCCATTTTGAAGAGTGCTAAAAAATGTGCACTCCCCAGGGATGAATCACGATTGGACTAAGCCAATCATGGCAACCCTATTTGTTGTCAGTGACTGGTACAAGGAGAAGCACTTAATCCAGTCCTGAGCAGTGAGAGGAAAGGTAAAGTCTGCTGGTGATGCTTCTCAGAAAGGATTTTTCTGCATGAAAATGAGAGAGATGATTTAGGGAGAAGGCCCTTTTTCTATCTTTCCCTCTTTCCTGCCTTTGAAAATACCACATAAGGATATGCCACTTAGAACTGCTATAGCAATCTTGCAGCCCTGAGAGGGACACCAAGAGAATCACAGAAATCCCAGCCCACAACTCTGATATCATTTCTATTCCAAACCTGCCTTTCTCTAGAGTCCTCACTGAATTAGATAGTAGGGTCTGGCATTGCCAGTCCACTTTTACTTGGGTATTTCTATCCTTTTAACCCAACATATTAACTAAGCAGCAGTAGGTTATGAGTTAGCTATTCACTGTGTTTAAAACTTAGGCCTCTATGTTACATTTCGATAATAATGATTTAAATAAAAGGTGCCCATTAATTTTACGGTTAATTTTTTAAAAAACTGAAAAAAATAGAATTTTAAAACCCAGAAATTTAGAAATCAGGATAATCATGAGCAAAAGAACAGCAAGAATTCAGTCAAGCCACTTTGAAAACATGATACAATTACAACTATTATGACAAATCATGTGGTTTAACAAAATATAGTATTATACGTCTTTTAACTTTAATGTGAAAATGAGATTTATGGTTGTTTGGTTAAGATATATCACTAAATTAAATCACGCCAAAGTCTTAAGATTTGCCAATATCAAGAAGGAATAAATCATGTTCCAAGAAGAAGTCTAAATTCATTACAAAACATTAATATCTGGGAGAACAAATTGAGACATAAAAATGACTCAAAGAAACTAAAAGAGCAAAAGGTATATAAAAATATATTTAGAAGCTGTGGGCCACATTCATTTTTCCACAAATTGACCTCTGAGGAAGCAGGCTCTGTGTAGGCATCAGAGGTACACATCGTAAGCAAATAGGTCTATTTCTTGTCCATATTCACGTAACAGTTGTGGGAAAGGAGCCAACAGAGACAAACAGAACAAGCTAAGTCCCAGCTCTCCCACTTTCCACCCTATGCAACTTTAGAGAAGTCAATGACCATTTTGAGTCTTACCATCTATAAAACAGGTAACATATTCACCTTTAAAAACGTTTGTGTGGATTAAATGAGACGATACCATAAAGTACCTAGGTGGTCCTGACACATATTAGAAGTTGAGTAAAAGGTAGCTTTCATCGAAACAATGATGCTAAGTGAAGTTTACCTATGGCCACAAGTACAATTAGTAATATCATACTTGTGGTACAAGTACTAGTAAAGCTAAGTTTAAAAAAAAATAGCACTATATTATAAAAGAAAGAATTATTACTTTGGTTAAGATCTTATGTGAGGCGAAACTTTAATATGGATGCCAAAATTATGTAGGAAAAAAATAAGAGAATAGTAATAAAAATAGCTGAAGAAATTGGAAATGTTTAAGAGGGAAGGCTAATGGAAAATAACACAAATGACCTAATTATGCAATATGGAAAAGCAATCTTATTTGTTCTTAAAACACAAATAAAACATTCTCCCACTAAAATAGTGGCACAATGCACTTGAGTGCATAGTGCAGTAAGAATCAGAAGACCTGGATTCTAGGTCAGAAACCTGGACAAATCATTTAACTTGTGAACCCCATTCTTCTCATTAGTGAAATTAAGTTACTGAAGTGAGGCAATGTTGCCCCACACAAGCTATCCCATTAAAAAGGTAAATTACCTACTTTTTTTCCCTGCATTCCCAGGAATAAAGAAAGAGGAAAACAGAGAGAAGGGAACAGAGGAAAAAGTAAGTGTGAGGGGACGAAAAGGTGCATCTGTAGAACTCAAACCTACAGATAGAGAATGCTGAAAAAATAAATAATTTGTAAGGCCATTTTTGGCTCCCAGCTTCTACAATTCTTCCCTAGGCCTTGTTGATATTCACCTTCTCTGAATTCCTGTCTATGTGATTTATGTTTCCTCTAAAATAATGTAATTGTTTCTTGTGTATATTTATATCTCCACAGAGAATGAGGCTTTTTAAAGTCAAGGCCTTTTATCTACTGAGAATAAATTCACAATGCTAAGAAAATAACACTAAAGAGAACAGAGTATACCTTCATGTTATTGGATGAATTATGTTCCCCCAAAATTCGTATGTTGATATTTTAACCCCTAATATCTCAGAATGTGACTGTATTTGGAAAAAACATTTTTAAAGAGTTAATCAAGTTAAAATGTCATCCAGGGGGACCCTAATCCAATGTGACTAGTGACCTTATAAAAAGAGGAAATTAAGACAGACACACACAGAGACAAGGCCAGGGGAAGACACAGGGAGAAGATAACCATCTACAAGCCAACGAGAGACCTCAGAAGACATCAGACCTGGTGACATCTTGATCTTGGACTTCAACCCTCCAAAACTGTGAGACAATAAAATTCTGTCAAGTCTCCCAGTGTGTGATACTTTGTTATGGCAGTCCTGGCAAACTCATACATTTCACTTCTTCTACAGTCAGCCACTTAGCAACCCCAAACCTCCAATAAAAGCCAAAAACCTAGAAGTTAGCCAAATCAAACAAAACGTATACAGTTCTTCCACACTTTAACTCATTTTACAAAATGTGTTTTACTTCCCTACTCCTCATCACTATTTTCAAACATATTCTGCCAAAGTGCTTAACCTGAATTTTGGCCATTGGGCAGCTGCTTCTGCAAATTACTGGAGACCACCAGTAGCATACCAGAAGATTCTAATCAATGGGATCTTTGTCTCTTCATATCACTTTGTGACAATTTCCAATGCATTTATTTGCTTATGCATTTGTTTCTTGGTCTTGTCTTTCAAGATTGGTGTTGTGTACACACTTGCCATGTGTTCTCTGGGGGATGAAGCAGATTAGGGGTTAGTAAAATTTACTCTACCAGTTTTATACATAATATTTATTTTCTTATATTCCCTGGAAATTTTCATTTCTGCCTTAGGTTGTAATCAGGAATAGAATAATAGAAGTTATGGCTAGCGGGCTAGTTCTAGACACAATTACTGACAGACTCTAAAAGTTTAAAGCTGTAAAAATCTCAGACAAGAGCAATACAGAGTTGACTAGCACTTTGGACACTTCAATAGCCTCTGAGGACATAAATGTGGATGAGAAGATAAAGGAGGAGCATGCTTTTCACTTTACAGAACTCTCTAGAATTATTTAGAAGGCAAAGAGAGTCCTATGTAGCTCATTAGGGCCTAAACGCACCATTGTTATATAACTTATTATATATAATGGTAACTATAAGTTATAAAATTGATCATTACATTATTCCTTTTAGTAAGGAAGGTAATACTATTTAGACAATACTACATTAAAAATCATTAGTTAATAATTTGGGGGTTAAAATTAGGAAGAGGGGAGGGGGAAGAAGAAAGAAAAAAGGCAGGGTGACGGGAGGCCAATGCATCCAGGAAGGAATGAATGAGACAGAGAATGCTAAGAGATAAAATCATAGAAGCAGGTAAGGGTAGACCACAACTTTAAACACCATTGTAAGGAGTTGTGATTTTGAAAGATATAAGGATAACCCATCACAGGTTGCAATATAATTTAAATGTACTTAAATCTTCACCCTGTTATGTGGAGAATGAACTACAGGGGAAAAAGTCAAAGCAGAGAGGCCACCTACCATTCAGATTTTGGTTTCCAACACTACTCTCTAATAAAGAAAACCAGGACTCCTTGAAGAAATGGCTGATTCTAGGACTAGGGCAGGAAATATACAAGATAAACCTGGATCATCAAGAAGTGCCAAAAAGTAAGAGGCACTCAAAAACACAACAAAAAAAATACACCCCACATTGATGGGAATACATCAAAGGGACAAAGGAGCCAACTGAAAAAGCTCTCAATGGCCAAACCTGGAACAATATGAGCAACAAAAATAAATAAAGTAGTATTGATTATAATTCAAAGTATAAAATTAATATCCATGAGTCTATACTGATATAAATAAGTGATTGATTAAATAAAGAAAAGACTTGAGCCCAGGAGTTCAAGACCAGCCTGGGCAACATAGCGAGACCCCCTTCTCTATAAAAAAAAATAAAAAATTAGCTGGGCATGGTGCTGCACACTTGTAGTTCCAGGTACTCGGGGGGTTGAGGTGGAAGGATCACTATAGCCCATGAGTTTGAGGCTGCAGTGAGCTATGATCATGCCATTGTACTCTAGTCTGAGTGACAGAGTAATACCCTGCCTCTAAAAAATGAAAAATAATGATAATAAATAAAAATAAAAGAGAAAAAGAGACTTCTCTCGCTTGTAGAGGAATTCCAAATAATTTATGTAGAGATACTCTGCCTTCAAGGATGGGGAACATAAATCCCTACTCTTTTTTAAGTGTAGGCTGTGTGTAGTGACTTTCTTCCTAAGAATACACTAGGAAAAGGAGGGGAAAAAAGTATGTTTACAGTGAAGAAACCTAACAAACACTACCTCAGCCATGTGGTCAAGGTCAATATCAAAAGTGATGACGTGTTGTTCGCATATACCTTTAATATGATGTGATGAAAATGGTACTTAACCTCTGTGATCTTCCTCCAAAAAAACCATAACCCCAATCTAGTTATGAGAAAAATACCAGACAAATTCCGGCAGAGGAGCATCCTGCAAAATGCCTGATCATGACTCCTCAAACCTGCCAAGGTCATCAAAAATAAGAAAAGTCTGAGAAACTGTCACAGCCAAGAGAAGACTAAGGAGACAGAAGGACTAAATGTGTGGTATCCTGGATAGAATCCTGGAACAGAAAAAGGACATTAGGTAAAAACTAAGAAAGTATGAAAAAAATGGGCTTTAGTTAATAATTACGTACCAATATTCATTTATAATTATAACAAATATTCCACACTAATGTAAGATGTTAATAGGAGAAACTGGGTGAGAGGGTATATGTGAACTCTCTGAACTATCTCAATTTTTCTGTAAATAGAAAACTGTTCTAAAAAATGAAGTCGATTTTTTAAAAAGCCAAAGAAGACAGGCTTATAATAGTTCAGGTCAAAGCGGATAAAGATGATGGTGGCTTAGACTAGAGCAGGAGCAATGGATATGAAGAGGAGTCAGACTCAGGATATATTTTGAAGGTGCGTGGAGGTGGAGCAAAATGCATTGGTAGACTAGATATGGGAGGTGAGGGAAAGAATAATTAAAGATGACTGCTAGGCTTTTTGCTCCGGTAACTGGGTGGATAATGAGTAGTACCTTCATTTAGTATATGGGGAAGAAATGAAGGAAGAGTAAGTTTTGTTCCTTTGGAGTCATTTGCCACTTCAATTTGTTCCTTATTCCTGGTTTATTCTCGTGAGCTACTAGGATCAATAAGAAAACTTCAAGCTGCATGGTCCGACACAGGATATTAGATTCATATAATTTTCTTGTTTTTAAAAAAATCATAAGGATACTAAAAGCCTACTTTATAATAGAATAGTATATAACTGCCTTGAAAAGAGATAGTATAAAATGTTTCTTGACTTAACTTGGGGACAGAAAATCTGTACTAAACCACTTGTTCCCTGGGCCCAAATCAATAATTCAAGAACATGTATTATTATCTGAATTACATTAACCTTTTGAAAAGCACAATTGAAGAATTTGGAAATCTATACTTTTAAGTTCTCTAGCTAATCCTGAGAACCACTAACCTGAATGTTCTTTTAAAGCTAAGAAAATCTCACCTATTTAAAATAGAACATTCTATCTTTCTAATTACTCCAATTTGTTTATATTAGTAATTTCCAAAGTAACTTTTTGCCTAATGAGGAAGTAAAATATGTCCCCTCACCAAAATCCCACAAATCACCACTAAAGAACTTACTCATGTAACCAAATACCACCAGTTCCTCAATAACCTATGGGAATAAATTTTTTTTAAAAAAGTCCCCTCACATTGTATAAACTTTCACATTGAAAAGTTTTTAAGCAGCACTGTTATAAAGTTGTCTTTGTGAGAAGCAATGAACTAAGAACCAAACAAGTGAAAAATCCATCAGAAAAAGACCCAGCCCCGAGGCAAAAAATAATACATTTGCTACTTTCTTGGTGAACTTATTAAAACTATTATTTTATTTTTCAGCTATTATCTCTGAACACATGAATCAAATTATAAAACCTTAGATTCCATTGATTACTCAGGCAGGGCCAACAGACCACCTAAAATAATTCATCACTAAAAAGATAAATTTTCTGTGGTCAGTAAAATTACACTATAGTAAGCCCCCAAGCAAAACTAATAAGAAAGACAAATATTCAATATCAAGAACCCTTCCTTCAAATCTGGAAAGCATGAAAAGAAGTTCACTGGAAGGTCTAAACATTCATTAAGTCATAGTCAGTCAAGAGCATTTATGGAGTGCTCACTATGTGCAAAGCACTCTATTTGAAGGAAGAGGTCTTGCTTAAAGTATCCATAATTCAGCCCATAAAGCCCTTTATAGTTTAAGATCCACAGTTTGAACCTCAATCAAGAGCAAATGGATAGCTCGTTCATACTGAAAGATGCAGGTATATTTGGTCAGTCAGTGCTGCTGGGTTTTCTTAAGTTCAATGGGTCTTTGCAGTCTGTGTAAATTCAGACTTCTGGGTGGTCTTCCAGAGCAATCTCAAAGGGGCATACTACAGAGGTACTGGAGTTAATTTATGCTTATGCAGACTATGAGTCATGCGACTGCCATTAACACTATGTACTTAAGTGAGTACATAGAAGTAAAATGTGCAAATCTCCAGCGGCATAAAGCAAGTTTCCTTAGAATAAAAAAAATTGCAACTAGAATGACCACTGAAAAACAAATCAAGACATGAATGAACAAAAGTATAGGTTGTTTCAAGTACAATGCAAGATAATGAAGATGAAATATAAACAGCAGAAGGAATCATGGCCAGCCAACTTATGATTATGAAATGCAGTACTGATAAACCAAATAGAGTTAGTTATCTGGTTTGACCTTAATGGACTCTCTTTTGTCTACTCACTGGTGGTGGTAAGAAGCAGTAACATGTTCAAATAGAGAAAATAACAGCACCACTAATGAGAACAGCCATGTATTGAACTCCTACTCTAGGCAAGCATACTTGACACTAATACACAAGCTAAGAAACTAGCTAATCCAAAAAACGGAATACTGAAAACTAATCTCATAGATTGACAATTATTAATCTAAAAAAATCTAACACAATTATTCATCTAAAAAATTTCCTATCCCCCAGAAGGAGAAAAATTAATCTCCTTTTCTAAAGTTTATCCTACATGTTCTTTAACCTCTTTCCCTCATTTCTAGCACCTTATATGCATCTCTCTTTACACCTTTTTTCAGTTTATCCAAAAAATTAAAATCTTTCCATGAATCTACTTCCCCTCCTATTATAAGGAGTTAGCTTTACCACTCCTACTTTAACTATAGTAGCATAACTATAATGACTACGTTTTCTGGGATAATTCCAATTTTAAATATTTTAACACATTGTCTCCATTTCAGCTTGTGGTTTGAAAACATGAGATTGTATCCTAACATCTTCAAAATCTTACTTTCACTACTACTTCCACTAAAATTGCCTTTTCTAAATTTTCTAATATTGCCAACTCAAATGACTGGTTCTTATTCTTGTGAGTCTCTGCAGCATTTCACTGCCTTATTCATTCCTTCCATGAAACCTATACATCTACCTTTGGCCTTTGTAGTAAACTTAAAGATCTTTCTTAAAAAAAAATTAAACGAATGGCTAAATAGAATAACCAATGCCGAGAAGTCCTTAAAGGACCTGATGGAGCTGAAAACCATGGCAAGAGAACTACGTGACGAATGCACAAGCCTCAGTAGCCGATTCGATCAACTGGAAGAAAGGGTTATCAGTGATGGAAGATCAAATGAATGAAATGAAGCAAGAAGAGAAGTTTAGAGAAAAAAGAATAAAAAGAAACGAACAAAGCCTCCAAGAAATAAGGGACTGTGAAAAGACCAAATCTACGTCTGATTGGTGTACCTGAAAGTGACGGGAAGAATGGAACCAAGTTGGAAAACACTCTGCAGGATATTATCCAGGAGAACTTCCCCAATCTAGCAGGGCACGCCAACATTCAGATTCAGGAAATACAGAGAATGCCACAAAGATACTCTTCGAGAAGAGCAACTCCAAGACACATAATTGTCAGATTCACCAAAGTTGAAATGAAGGAAAAAATGTCAAGGGCAGCCAGAGAGAAAGGTCGGGTTACCCACAAAGGGAAGCCCATCAGACTAACAGCTGATCTCTCGGCAGAAACTCTACAAGCCAGAAGAGAGTGGGGGCCAATATTCAACATTCCTAAAGAAAAGAATTTTCAACCCAGAATTTCATATCCAGCCAAACTAAGCTTCATAAGTGAAGGAGAAATAAAATCCTTTACAGACAAGCAAATGCTGAGAGATTTTGTCACCACCAGGCCTGCCCTAAAAGAGCTCCTGAAGGAAGCACTAAACATGAAAAGGAACAACCAGTACCAGCCGCTGCAAAAACATGCCAAATTGTGAAGACCATCGAGGCTAAGAAGAAACTGCATCAACTAACGAGCAAAATCACCAGCTAACATCATAATGACAGGATCAAATTCACACATAATAACATTAACTTTAAATGTAAATGGGCTAAATGCTCCAATGAAAAGACACAGACTGGCAAATTGGATAAAGAGTCAAGACCCATCAGGGTGCTGTATTCAGGAAACCCATCTCACATGCAGAGACACACATAGGCTCAAAATAAAGGGATGGAGGAAGATCTACCAAGCAAATGGAAAACAAAAAAAGGCAGGGGTTGCAATCCTAGTCTCTGATAAAACAGACTTTAAACCAACAAATATCAAAAGGGACAAAGAAGGCCATTACATAATGGTAAAGGGATCAATTCAACAAGAAGAGCTAACTATCCTAAATATATATGCACCCAATACAGGAGCACCCAGATTCATAAAGCAAGTCTTTAGAGACCTACAAAGAGACTTAGACTCCCACACAATAATAATGGGAGACTTTAACACCCCACTGTCAACATTAGACAGATCAACGAGATAGAAAGTTAACAAGGATATCCAGGAACTGAACTCAGCTCTGCAACAGGTGGACCTAATGGACATCTGCAGAACTTTCCACCCCAAATCAACAGAATATACATTCCTTTCAGCACCACACCACGCCTATTCCAAAACTGACCACATAGTTGGAAGCAAAGCACTCCTCACCAAATGTAAAAGAATAGAAATTATAACAAACTGTCTCTCAGAACACAGTGCGATCAAACTAGAACTCAGGATTAAGAAAATCACTAAAGCTTTGTTCTTTTGGCTTAGGATTGCCTTGGCGATGCGGGCTTTTTTTTTGGTTCCATATGAACTTTAAAGTAGTTTTTTCCAATTCTGTGAAGAAAGTCATTGGTAGCTTTATGGGGATGGCATTGAATCTGTAAATTACCTTGGGCAGTATGGCCATTTTCACGATATTGATTCTTCCTATCCATGAGCATGGAATGTTCTTCCATTTGTTTGTATCCTCTTTTATTTCATTGAGCAGTGGTTTGTAGTTCTCCTTGAAGAGGTCCTTCACATCCCTTGTAAGTTGGATTCCTAGGTATTTTATTCTCTTTGAAGCAATTGTGAATGGGAGTTCACTCATAATTTGGCTCTCTGTTTGTCTGTTATTGGTGTATAAGAATGCTTGTGATTTTTGTACATTGATTTTGTATCCTGAGACTTTGCTGAAGTTGCCTATCAGCTTAAGGAGATTTTGGGCTGAGACAATGGGGTTTTCTAGATATACAATCATGTCGTCTGCAAACAGGGACAATTTGACTTCTTCTTTTCCTAATTGAATACCCTTTATTTCCTTCTCCTGCCTAATTGCCCTGGCCAGAACTTCCAACACTATGTTGAATAGGAGTGGTGAGAGAGGGCATCCCTGTCTTGTGCCAGTTTTCAAAGGGAATGCTTCCAGTTTTTGCCCATTCAGTATGATATTGGCTGTGGGTTTCTCATAGATAGCTCTTATTATTTTGAAATACGTCCCATCAATACCTAATTTACTGAGAGTTTTTAGCATGAAGGGTTGTTGAATTTTGTCAAAGGCTTTTTCTGCATCTATTGAGATAATTATGTGGTTTTTGTCGTTGGCTCTGTTTATATGCTGGATTACATTTATTGATTTGCATATATTGAACCAGCCTTGCATCTCAGGGATGAAGCCCACTTGATCATGGTGGATAAGCTTTTTGATGTGCTGCTGGATTCGTTTTGCCAGTATTTTATTGAGGATTTTTGCATCAATGTTCATCAAGGATATTGGTCTAAAATTCTCTTTTTTGGTTGTGTCTCTGTCCGGCTTTGGTATCAGAATGATGCTGGCCTCATAAAATGAGTTAGGGACGATTCCCTCTTTTTCTATAGATTGGAATAGTTTCAGAAGGAATGGTACCAGTTCCTCCTTGTACCTCTGATAGAATTCGGCTGTGAATCCATGTGGTCCTGGACTCTTTTTGGTTGGTAAACTATCGATTATTGCCACAATTTCAGCTCCTATTATTGGTCTATTCAGAGATTCAACTTCTTCCTGGTTTAGTCTTGGGAGAGTGTATGTGTCGAGGAATTTATCCATTTCTTCTAGATTTTCTAGTTTATTTGCATAGAGGTGTTTGTAGTATTCTCTGATGGTAGTTTGTATTTCTGTGGGATCAGTGGTGATATCCCCTTTATCATTTTTTATTGTGTCTATTTGATTCTTCTCTCTTTTTTTCTTTATTAGTCTTGCTAGCAGTCTATCAATTTTGTTGATCCCTTCAAAAAACCAGCTCCTGGATTCATTAATTTTTTGAAGGGTTTTTTGTGTCTCTATTTCCTTCAGTTCTGCTCTGATTTTAGTTATTTCTTGCCTTCTGCTAGCTTTTGAATGTGTTTGCTCTTGCTTTTCTAGTTCTTTTAATTGTGATGTTAGGGTGTCAATTTTGGATCTTTCCTGCTTTCTCTTGTGGGCATTTAGTGCTATAAATTTCCCTCTACACACTTCTTTGAATGTGTCCCAGAGATTCTGGTATGTTGTGTCTTTGTTCTCGTTGGTTTCAAAGAACATCTTTATTTCTGCCTTCATTTCGTTATGTATCCAGTAGTCATTCAGGAGCAGGTTGTTCAGTTTCCATGTAGTTGAGTGGTTTTGAGTGAGATTCTTAATCCTGAGCTCTAGTTTGATCGCACTGTGGTCTGAGAGATAGTTTGTTATAATTTCTGTCCTTTTACATTTGCTGAGGAGAGCTTTACTTCCAACTATGTGGTCAATTTTGGAATAGGCGTGGTGTGGTGCTGAAAAAAATGTATATTCTGTTGATTTGGGGTGGAGAGTTCTGTAGATGTCTATTAGGTCCGCTTGGTGCAGAGCTGAGTTCAATTCCTGGGTATCCTTGTTGACTTTCTGTCTCGTTGATCTGTCTAATGTTGACAGCGGGGTGTTAAAGTCTCCCATTATTAATGTGTGGGAGTCTAAGTCTCTTTGTAGGTCACTCAGGACTTGCTTTATGAATCTGGGTGCTCCTGTATTGGGTGCATATATATTTAGGATAGTTAGCTCTTCTTGTTGAATTGATCCCTTTACCATTATGTAATGGCCTTCTTTGTCTCTTTTGATCTTTGTTGGTTTAAAGTCTGTTTTATCAGAGACTAGGATTGCAACCCCTGCCTTTTTTTGTTTTCCATTTGCTTGGTAGATCTTCCTCCATCCTTTAATTTTGAGCCTATGTGTGTCTCTGCACGTGAGATGGGTTTCCTGAATACAGCACACTGATGGGTCTTGACTCTTTATCCAATTTGCCAGTCTGTGTCTTTTCATTGGAGCATTTAGTCCATTTACATTTAAAGTTAATATTGTTACGTGTGAATTTGATCCTGTCATTATGATGTTAGCTGGTGATTTTGCTCGTTAGTTGATGCAGTTTCTTCCTAGTCTCGATGGTCTTTACATTTTGGCAAAGCTGGAGGCATCACACTACCTGACTTCAAACTATACTGCAAGGCTACAGTAACCAAAACAGCATGGTACTGGTACCAAAACAGAGATATAGATCAATGGAACAGAACAGAGCCCTCAGAAATAACGCCGCATATCTACAACTATCTGATCTTTGACAAACCTGAGAAAAACAAGCAATGGGGAAAGGATTCCCTATTTAATAAATGGTGCTGGGAAAACTGGCTAGCCATATGTAGATAGCTGAAACTGGATCCCTTCCTTACACCTTATACAAAAATCAATTCAAGATGGATTAAAGACTTAAATGTTAGACCTAAAACCATAAAAACCCTAGAAGAAAACCTAGGCATCACCATTCAGGACATAGGCATGGGCAAGGACGTCATGTCCAAAACACCAAAAGCAATGGCAACAAAAGACAAAATTGACAAATGGGATCTAATTAAACTAAAGAGCTTCTGCACAGCAAAAGAAACTACCATCAGAGTGAACAGTCAACCTACAAAACGGGAGAAAATTTTTGCAACCTACTTATCTGACAAAGGGCTAATATCCAGAATCTACAATGAACTCAAACAAATTTACAAGAAAAAAACAAACAACCCCATCAAAAAGTGGGTGAAGGACATGAACAGACACTTCTCAAAAGAAGACATTTATGCAGCCAAAAAACACTTGAAAAAATGCTCACCATCACTGGCCATCAGAGAAATGCAAATCAAAACCACAATGAGATACCATCTCACACCAGTTAGAATGGCAATCATTAAAAAGTCAGGAAACAACAGGTGCCGGAGAGGATGTGGAGAAATAGGAACACTTTTACACTGTTGGTGGGACTGTAAACTAGTTCATCCATTGTGGAAGTCAGTGTGGCGATTCCTCAGGGATCTAGAACTAGAAATACCATTTGACCCAGCCATCCCATTACTGGGTATATACCCAAAGGACTATAAATCTTGCTGCTATAAAGACACATGCACACGTATGTTTATTGTGGCATTATTCACAATAGCAAAGACTTGGAACCAACCCAAATGTCCAACAATGATAGACTGGATTAAGAAAATGTGGCACATATACACCATGGAATACTATGCAGCCATAAAAAATGATGAGTTCATGTCCTTTGTAGGGGCATGGATGAAACTGGAAATCATCATTCTCAGTAAACTATCGCAAGAACAAAAAACCAAATACTGCATATTCTCACTCATAGGTGGGAATTGAACAATGAGATCACATGGACACAGGAAGGGGAATATCACACTCTGGGGACTGTGGTGGGGTGGGGAGAAGGGGGAGGGATAGCACTGGGAGATATACCTAATGCTAGATGACGAGTTAGTGGGTGCAGCGCACCAGCATGGCACATGTATACATATGTAACTAACCTGCACATTGTGCACATGTACCCTAAAACTTAAAGTATATAAAAAAAGAAAAGAAACTCACTCAAAACCGCACAACCACATGGAAACTGAACAACCTGCTCCTGAATGACTACTGGGTACATAACGAAATGAAGGCAGAAATAAAGATGTTCTTTGAAACCAATGAGAACAAAGACACAACATACCAGAATCTCTGGGACACATCGAAAGCCGTGTGTAGGGGGAAATTTATAGCACTAAATGCCCACAAGAGAAAGCAGGAAGGATTTAAAATTGACACCCTAACGTCACAATTAAAAGAACTAGAGAAGCAAGAGCAAACACATTCAAAAGCTAGCAGAAGGCAAGAAATAACTAAGATCAGAGCAGAACTGAAGGAAATAGAGACACAAAAAACCCTTCAAAAAATCAGTGAATCCAGGAGCTGGTTTTTTGAAAAGATCAACAAAATTGATAGACTGCTAGCAAGACTAATAAAGAAGAAAAGAGAGAAGAATCAAATAGATGCAATAAAAAAATGATAAAGGGGATGTCACCACCGATCCCACAGAAATACAAACTACCATCAGAGAATACTATAAACACCTCTATGCAAATAAACTACAAAATCTAGAAGAAATGGATAAATTCCTCAACACATACACCCTCCCAAGACTAAACCAGGAAGAAGTTGAATCTCCAAATAGACCAATAACATGCTCTGAAATTGAGGCAATAATTAATAGCTTACCAACCAAAAAAAGTCCAGGACCAGAGGGATTCACAGTCGAATTCTACCAGAGGTACAAGGAGGAGCTGGTACCATTTCTTCTGAAACTATTCCAATCAACAGAAAAAGAGGGAATCCTCCCTAACTCATTTTATGAGGCCAGCATCATCCTGATACCAAAGCCTGGCAGAGACACAACAAAAAAAGAGAATTTTAGACCAATATCCCTAATGAACATCGATGCAAAAATCCTCAGTAAAATACTGGCAAATCGAATCCAGCAGCACATCAAAAAGCTTATCCACCATGATCAAGTGGGCTTCATCCCTGAGATACAAGGCTGGTTCAACATACGCAAATCAGTAAACGTAATCCAGCATATAAACAGAACCAACGACAAAAACCACATGATTATCTCAATAGATGCAGAAAAGGCCTTTGAGAAAATTCAACAACCTTCGTGCTAAAAACTCTCAATAAATTAGGTACTGATGGGACATATCTGCAAATAATAAGAGTTATCTATGACAAACCCACAGGCAATGTCATACTGAATGGGCAAAAACTGGAAGCATTCCCTTTGAAAACTGGCACAAGACAGGGATGCCCTCTCTCACCACTCCTATTCAACATAGTGTTGGAAGTTCTGGCCAGGGCAATTAGGCAGGAGAAAGAAATAGAGGGTATTCAGCTAGGAAAAGAGGAAGTCAAATTGTCCCTGTTTGCAGATGACATGATTGTATATCTAGAAAACCCCATCATCTAAGCCCAAAATCTCCTTAAGCTGATAGGCAACTTCAGCAAAGTCTCAGGATACAAAATCAGTGTGCAAAAATCAAAAGCATTCTAATACACCAATAACAGACAAACAGAGAGCCAAATCATGAGTGAACTCCCATTCACAATTGCTTCAAAGAGAATAAAATACCTAGGAATCCAACTTACAAGGGACGTGAAGGATCTCTTCAAGGAGAACTACAAACCACTGCTCAATGAAATAAAAGAGGATACAAACAAATGGAAGAACATTCCATGCTCATGGGTAGGAAGAATCAATATCGTGAAAATGCCCATACTGCCCAAGGTAATTTATAGATTCAATGCCAGCCCCATAAAGCTACCAATGACTTTCTTCACAGAATTGGAAAAAACTACTTTAAAGTTCATATGGAACCAAAACAGAGCCCACATTGCCAAGGCAATCCTAAGCCAAAAGAACAAAGCTGAAGGCATCATGCTATCTGACTTCAAACTATACTGCAAGGCTACAGTAACAAAACAGCATGGCACTGGTACCAAAACAGAGATATAGACCAATGGAACAGAACAGAGCCCTCAGAAATAATGCTGCATATCTACAGCTATCTGATCTTTGACAAACCTGACAAAAACAAGAAATGGGGAAAGGATTCCCTATTTAATAAATGGTGCTGGGAAAACTGGCTAGCCATATGTAGAAAGCTGAAACTGGATCCCTTCCTTACACCTTATACAAAAATTAATTCAAGATGGATTGAAGACTTAAATGTTAGACCTAAAATCATAAAAACCCTAGAAGAAAATCTAGGCAATACCATTCAGGACATAGGCATGGGCAAGGACTTCGTGTCTAAAACACCAAAAGCAATGGCAACAAAAGCCAAAATTGACAAATGGGATCTAATTAAACTAAAGAGCTTCTGCACAGCAAAAGAAACTACCATCAGAGTGAACAGTCAACCTACAGAATGGGAGAAAATTTTTGCAATCTACTCATCTGACAAAGGGCTAATATCCAGAAACTACAATGAACTCAAACAAATTTACAAGAAAAAAACAAACAACCCCATCAAAAAGTGGGTGAAGGATATGAACAGACACTTCTCAAAAGGAGACATTTATGTAGCCAAAAAACACATGAAAAAATGCTCACCATCACTGGCCATCAGAGAAATGCAAATCAAAACCACAGTGAGATACCATCTCACACCAGTTAGAATGGCAATCATTAAAAAGTCAGGAAACAACAGGTGCCGGAGAGGATGTGGAGAAATAGGAACACTTTTACACTGTTGGTGGGACTGTAAACTAGTTCAACCATTGTGGAAGTCAGTGTGGCGATTCCTCAGGGATCTAGAACTAGAAATACCATTTGACCCAGCCATCCCATTACTGGGTATATACCCAAAGGATTATAAAACATGCTGCTATAAAGACACATGCACACATATGTTTACTGTGGCACTATTCACAATAGCAAAGACTTGGAACCAACCCAAATGTCCAACAATGATAGACTGGATTAACAAGATGTGGCACATATATACACCATGGAATACCATGCAGCCATAAAAAATGATGATTTCACGTCCTTTGTAGGGACGTGGATGAAGCTGGAAACCATCATTCTCAGCAAACTATCACAAGGACAAAAAAACCAAACACCACATGTTCTCACTCATAGGTGGGAATTGAACAATGAGAACACATGGACACAGGAAGGGGAACATCACACACCGTGGCGTGTTGTGGGGTGGGGTGAGTGGGGAGGGATAGCATTAGGAGATATACCTAATGTTAAATGATGAGTTACTGGGTGCAGCACACCAACATGGCACATGTATACATATGTAACAAACCTGCACGTTGTGCATACGTACCCTAAAACTTAAAGCATAATAATAATAAAAAAAAGATCTTCCTTATCTACTTTAGCATTTCCTACGTGTGTTATCAGGAACATTAGCTTCACAACATTTCGTCAATTATAAAAATTTTCTGTGGTGAAAAAATTCTGAAAGTGCTACATATGTATTACTCCTGGAGCTCTACAATGAACATTAGTGTGTTGTAGGCTCCATGAGTTTTATGATAAAGCAACCATTTGACTTATTTTAATTCGGTGTTTCCCAATGAGCCATCTTTTATTTTCCTAGTCCAATGACACTCATTTTTTTCACAGAACACAATATCAACATGTCCTGGGACTAGCATTATGTAGATGTAATGGTCTGATGAAACAAATATTCAGTGGAACACACTTTGGGGAAGACTGATATACCTGAAATTTTATGTTAAAATCTCAAATCTATCAGGCTTCCAAAACTGAATTCATCATCTTCCTTTCCAAACTAGGTTTTAAACATCAAATTAATCTTTAGGAATAGCTTTTCACCAATCTCGCATTCAGACAATTGATAAATCTTTTCAGCTCTCCATGCCTATTGTTTGTAGTGTTTGTTGCATGACTACTGACATCACCCTAAGGCAGGGCTTCCTTAACCTTCGCCTGGACTCATGGGAACCAAGCATAAGAATTATGGGAGAGTTTTAAAAAGAAAATTCTAGAATCCACTATAATCTTGCTACATCAGAACTTTGAGGAGAGACTTGGAATGTATGGTTCTAATGGACAGTGAGGTTTGCAAATTACTGAAGTAGACCCTGACAGCTCTACGACTTTTCCCCTTGAGCTAAGCCTTTTCAGTTCTCTTCCATTGTCTTTTCAAAGTGACATGGTTTTGAGTCTCCTAACCATCAGCTGCTCTTCCCTGAATGTAGCTTTTTGCCCAATGGGGAAGTAAAAAAATGTCTCTTCACACCGTATAAACTTCCACATTGAAAAAGCATCACTGTTACAAAGCTGTCTTGGTGGGAAGCACTGACCTAAGCACCAAACAGGTGAAAATCTAGAAAAAGACCCAGTTCTGGGAAAAAATAATACACATACCACTTTATGTCTATAAACCTTTTAAAGTGAGGGTCTCATATTGAACCACACAGTGCTCTGGATGTAGGCTGGCCATTTGGTAAGCTATTAAAACTATCAATTATCCATTGTCTCCTGAGTTTCTCTAGATCTCTTTTTACTCTAAATAAGCAAAATTGCTCTTTTCCCCACCCACCCCTGCAGCAAATTATTACCAGTTATCATCAACACCAATCGGCAATAACCAGAACTGACCCAGAATATGACCAATAACAGAATATGATGCAGTAAACAAACAAACCTTCCCAGAATTTTAAAGGAGTACTTACCTAATAGATCTCCAGTCTCTATTCCAACAAGCAGCATGCCTCCCTTTCACTGATGAACCTTTGTTCTGAAAACTACTGTGTATACCAATCCTTACACTGTTCAGTATCAATGCTTCACATTTACAGTGTTTTTTCCACTTACAAAACATTTCAACATTATTTACTTAATCCTCTCAAAAGTTCTTGTGACAAGGGTATTATCCTCATGTTACAAACGAGGAAATTAAGGCTCATAGAGGTTAAGTAGCTTATTCAAAGTCACACACAGTAAAGTGGGGAAAGTTGTGACTTTAAACCTCACATGTATTACACCTTAATCATAGCTTTTTCCACTTTAAAATCCAAGTATAGTCATTGGCCATTATCAGAAAATTAGCACCAATTAACACCAGAGTGTGATAGCTACCAGATGGTGAATTACTCAGCAAAAAGAAGAATCAGCCAGAATACAGGGAAGCATTATAACATAATATTGAGCTAGGGAAGGGTGCCTTAGGGGCCAGACAGACATGAATCTATGTCCTAGCTCCATCTCTTACTACCCGTGTTACCTTGAGCATATTACATACCCTTTGTGAGCTTTGATTTTCTATTTAAGTTGTAAAAAATAAAGGAGACAATTTTCTTTAAAGTGCTTAGCAAAATGCATGGTAATTTCTCAACCAATGGTGGCTTTAAAATATTCCCAATTTTAAAATATTCAAACATGATAAACAGTTAAAAAAAATCAATCCATTTGAAAATAAATGCAAATCTAACTTTGGTGTCCCGCCCTTCATTGATTGCCTCTAGGCTTCTGGGAATAGGACAGTGTAAGTGCTACAGGAAGATGGAAGGTAGTCATGAGGAGGGAGAAAATTTGAAACCAGAAGGTTTAAGCAGTTTAAGCTTCCGGTGGCTACCTTTCATTAGGAAGTCATCACCATTACCAGTCACTTAGGGATAAAAAAGGAAAGAAGCAGCAACAACTTAGAAGAGATGGCAGTGGGCAAAGTATCTACCACGAATGTGAGTAGATGGGCAATATGGATTTTGGCCTTTAAAAATAAATGTGGAACTACATTCTAATTCATTCTTTCAAATTATTATTGGGAAAAGATAAATTTTGTCATAGAGAGATGATGTGTTTAAAGTCAGTTTTTAAAATAAATTGTTCAGTGTTTGTAACACATTGAGCAAAGGTAATATTAAAATAATTAGTGTTTTTCTGATACCCTATAAATACTTGCTAATTTTAGAAAAACTTAAAAGTACAGATTTTAAAAATCACCTATAATTGCACCATCCAGAGATAACTACTGTTAACATTTGGTACAAAACCTTTTAAACTATTTCCTATGCATATATTTATAGGTATGCATATTTCATAGATATGGGATCATATGTTAATACTCTTTTAGACTTATAAATGTATTTTAAATCTCTTTCCAGATAATTAAATGTTCTTTTGCACTATTATCTGAAATGTCAGATATATTTTCACCATATAGCTCATTTACATAGACTCCTATTTTGGACATTGAAATTATTTCTTGTATCATAAGAAGAATGATTAAGAACATTCTTGTAGCTATATCTTTATGCATAAAAATGATTTTTGGAATAAGTTCCTAGAAGTGTAATTGCTAGACCTATGGCATGCAGAATTCTAAGACTTTTAATAATTTATTACACTGCTATCCAGAAAGGTACTACCAATTCACACTCTACCCTGTAGTATTTGAAAGTGCTAATTTCCTATACTCTGACCAATACTTAATTTGACAATATTGGAAATCTTCACTAATTTGGTAGGTAAAAAATTATTCATCTTTTTACCTCATTTTTTATTATTAAGAGGTGAAAGATTTTTTCCTAAGTTTGTGGATCATATGTATTTCTTATTCTGAAAAGTATCTGTTTATATTTTCTGCCCATTTTTCTGAGGTTTGTCTTTCTCAATTGATTTTGATATGAATCTTTTGTCCATCAAATGGATTGCATATATTTTTCCCAGTTTGCTTTTTTGCCACTGCTGTTGGTTTTTTTTTTAATAATATACTCTATGGTGTTTTTGAGCTATAGAAAAGTAAAATATTTAGTAGTCCAATCCAATGTCTTTTATCTTTTTATTTCTGCTTTGGGAATCTTGTTTAGAAAGGCCTACATCACCCCAGTGTTATACAAGTTCCCACTTCTATTTTCCCCTAGAACTTGTATTGTAGTAGTGTTGAGTGGTGAGAGACAACAGAAAAAAACACTTTGGTTTTTCTTCTATACCCTTACAAATGACTTCTTAGATTTAATGAAACATAGTATTCATTTATACTAAGAGGTTTTTAAATTAAAGAATACATTTTGAATGTGTATAAAATCTCTTCTGAGTACATATTAAAATGATTATATTTTTCCTAAGATGTCCCAGTATTGAACCATTTGTACATCCCTGAAATAAACCTTACCTTGTCATGACATGTTACTTGTTCAACATATTGCTATATTCCTTTTACTAATATTTTAGTTAAGATTCTTACATCTATTTTCTTTTTTATTTTTAATTTTTGTGGATATATAGTAGGTATATACTTATGGGTTACCTAAGATATTTTGATACCAGCATGCAATGCATAATTACCACATCGGGGTCATTACTGCAAGCATTTATCCTTTGTTTCAAACAACCCAATTATACTCTTTTAGTTTTTTTTTTTTAATGTACAATTATTTTTTTACTACAGTCTCCCTGCTGTGCTAGCAAATTCTAGGTCTCATTTAGTTTTTCAATTTTTTGTTCTTCATAACCATTTTTTGTACCCGTTAACCATCCTCCCTTCCCCCCAACTGTTCCAGCCTCTGGTAACCATCCTTCTACTCTCTCTCTCTCTCCATGAGTTCAACTGTTTTAATTTTTAGCACCCACAGAAAAGTGAGAACATGTGATGTTTGTCTTTCTGTGTCTGGCTTATTTTACTTCACATAATGAACTCCAGTTCCATCCATGTTGTTGCAAATAACTGAATCTCATTTTTTATGGCTGAATACTACTCCATTGTGTATATGTATCACATTTTCTTTATCTATTCGTCTGTGATGGACACTTAGGTTGCTCCCAAATCTTGGCTATTGTGAACAGTGCTGCAATAAAATGTGAGTGCATTTTATTTTCATAAATCAGATAGGTCTATAGTTTTTCTTTGATTGAATATCTTTTTATCAGATCTTGATTTTAGGAGTACTTTACATTTGTCAATAAGTTGATAAGATTTATTCTATTTTCTTTAATTGATACAGTTTATAATAGCATAGGAATAATTTATTTTTGTGATAACTCAATTTCTTCTGAGGTTGCTGGTCTATTCAGGTCTTGTAACTCTTCCTGAGTCAAATTTTGTATATTATTTTATTTTTAGAAAATTACCCACCTCACTGAGATTTTTAATTTATTAGAATTGGGTTATACATAGTATTCTCTTACGTTAAAATAGTTTTTTCCATCTCTGTGGTTTTATCTTATTCTCATTTCTAGTGTTTTAAACATTATACTTTTCCTCCCTTCTTTCTTGACTACACTTGACAGAAATGGTCAACTTTATTGGTCTTTTCAAAGATCAACCTCTAGAATTTATTTAACAGTTCTACATTTTTTATTTTTCATGTTAATTTATCTGGATGTTTTTAAGATTTTCTCCTTGCCTTTGATTTTTAGCAGTGTGATATAATAAGATATGGTTATTCATCCTGTTTCAGATTTCAAGCACTTTCTCAATCTGTAGCTTGAAGTTTTTTTCTAAGTTTGTGAGTTTGAGAAAATTCTTGGCAATTATCTCTTCAAATATTGCTTTCCCATCTTCTTTTCCCTCCCTTTCTGTGGCTCTAATTATATACATGTTATAACTGAAACATATTTCTTATCTATAATTTTTTCTTGCCCTCCTAGCTTCAGTCTGGATATTTTCTACTAACCTGTTTTTTGCTGTTGCTGTCTGCCAGTCCTACTTTCTTGTGTGTCTAATATGCTGTTAAATTCATCTGTTGTGTTTATACTTTCAGTTATTGCATTTTTCAGCCCTAAAACTACTTAACTCTTTACAATAGATTCCAGCTGTCTGGTGAAATTCTCCATCTTGTCATCTATTTTCTTGGATATATTAATCACAGTTATTTTAAAGCCTAACTTAAATATCTGTATATCTGGGCTGTGTATAAACCTGTTTGTTTTGTCAATTTATTTCCCTTGATCCTGTACTTTGGTATGCCTGGTAATTTTTTATGAATGCCAGGCTTTGTGCATGAAAAATTGCACTCCAGATAATTTAATCTTCTTCCAGAGAGGGTTCATCCTATCCTCTGATAGCCAGCTAGACTGGGGAAAGGAGGTGAAAGATCACCTTAATCAATTTGGGGACTGAGCTGACTGGAGGCTGGATTGCAGTTTTTGTTAAGTTTGGTCTATCTTTTGTTTGCCCCCATTACAGTGGTGTGCTGAAGCTTAGGAGAATCTATTGTTATCATTTAAGGAACCTGTTGAGCTAGCTGCTAAACATAGCCATTATTAAAAATAAATTACGTAAATTTATAATTAAATGAATTATATTAAAAACAAAGAAAATAAATATTCAAAATTCATCTCTTCCCAATTATTTAACTACACTTAACTACATTATTTACAACTGTCATATCTGTATTACAGAAATACTGTGTAATGGTGTTACCAAACATCTCTTCCCAACCCCACATTTAGTGATGTCATATCTGTACTTGAAATAGCCCACAGTGGAAGTATCTGCACCACAGAAATCAGAAAATACTAAAAGTCAGTGTTTGATTTATTATTTGTTGATTTAGAGCTAGATTTACCATTCTGTTGGTTGTCTAGATCAGCTGTTCTCAACAAGAGACAATTTTGCCCCAGGGAATATTTGAGAATGTCTGGAGGAATTTTTGTTTGTCACAAGTGCAGAAGAAGTGGGGACAATGCTACTGGCATCTAGTGGAAGGTCAGAGATGCTACTAAACATCCTACAATGTATAGGGCAGCTCCCCGCAACAAAGAATTGTCCATCCCAAAATGTAAATAGAGCTGAGGCTGAGAAACACCTTTCTGTTAGTATGTCTGCCTCTTAGCAGTATGTCTCTGTCTGGAATGTCTGGAATCTTTTTATTTTTATTTTTATTTTTTTGAGACAGAATCTTGCTCTGTCACCCAGGCTGGAATCCAGTGTCACAATCTTGGCTCACTGCAACCTCCGCCTCCCGGGTTCAAGCAATTCTCCTGCTTCAGCCTCCCAAGTAACTGGGACTACTGGTGCATGCCGCCACACCTGGCTAATTTCTTTTGTGTTTTAGTAGAGACAGGGTTTCACCATGTTGCCTAGGCTGGTCTCGAACTCCTGAGCTCAGGCAATCTGCCTACCTCAGCCTTCCAAAGTGCTAGAATTACAGGCATGAGCCACCGCGCCCAGCCTGGAATCTTTACCTCTCTTCTCATGCCTAGAATTGGCAAATGCCTGGAGGAAAAACGTGGACATTTTATCCCAATTTCTTTTATTGATTTTGTTGTTATTTTTCTAGCACTTTGAGATGAAGATTTAGTTTCATTATTTTTAATCGTTCTTATATTTGATAATAAAAAGGCTCGACTATGAATTTTTCTTCTAATGTAGCTTTGGGTGGTTGATCCTATTTTTTGTGACTTTTTGCTCTATTTACTGTTTTGTTGTTAAAGGTCCTAGCCATAGACGTCGTCATCACTCCCTTAGGTGAGACAGGTACAACTTTACAGTTGCAAGCAATGCTATTGTTGTAACAAGCATCTACCAAAAGTAAGTTCCAGGAGTAGTATATTAAAAACAAAGATAATAAATATTCAAAATTCACCACTTCCCAATTATTTAACTACATTTGACTACATTATTTACAACTGTCATATCTGTATTACAGAATACTGTGTAATGGTGCTACCAAACGTCCCTTCCCAAACCGACATTTAGTGATGTCATATCTGTACTTGAAATAGCCCACAGCAGAAGCATTTGCACCACAGAAATCAGAAAATACAAAAAAAAATTATTCAGAAAACATGGCAGGGAATTAATAATTATGGGAATCCAGTACCAAGTATCTATTTACATTTCCGCCATCTTAGTGTCAACTTGAATCATTTTCAGGCAGGTTATTGCTGTTATTCTTATCAGGATTAAACTGTATTTATTTAACAAATAGTCAAGTACCTAGGATTTGCAAAATCCAATGCCCGTGTAATGGAGTAGAGGTGGGGGCTACAAAAGCCCTATATCATAATCTATTATCTCAAAAAGTTCATAGTTTTGTTGGGGAGAGAGATTTGCAAATGACAAATGTATTAAAACTCTGAGTTACTCATGTAAGTTATATAATTTGGAGAATTTAAAATCCACACTAAAATATTTTTAAATTATTCAACAGAAACCAGAAATATTTTGGATGAGATGGATCACTGTGTCAAATAATATATTATAAAATATGCAATAATGTTGACATCAAAAGCCAGTTATACCGACTTAGTTTTGAGAACTTCAGATTTGCATGCTGTTTATGGCTTACTGTGTACATTTATTTAAAGTGGCAGTTTTCACAAATCTTACTTTATACTTCCAACTTTATATCTTTTCTAGCATGTTTCTGTGATCCTTTCCTTCGATACGGTAGGGTTATGAATTAGAAACAGTTGATGTTATTCTCACTATTAACAGCTGAAAAAAAATGAGATAGAAAGTTAAAATAACTTGACTATGGTTATGCAACAAATTTGTGCTGAAACTTTTTTTTTTTTTTTTTTTTTTTTTTTGATGTAGTCTCACTCTGTCACCAGGCTGGAGTACGGTGGTGTGATCTCGGCTCGCTGCCATCTCTATCTCCCGGGTTCAAGCGATTCTCCTGCCTCAGCCTCCCAAGTAGCTGAGACTACAGGCATGCATCACCATGCCCAGCTGATTTTTGGTTTTTTTTTGTTTTGTTTTGTTTTTTGTTTTTTTTGAGACGGAGTCTCGTTCTGTCGCCCAGGCGGGAGTGCTGTGGCGCGATCTCCGCTCACTGCAAGCTCCGCCTTCCGGGTTCACGCCATTCTCCTGCCTCAGCCTCCCGAGTAGCTGGGACTACAGGCGCCCGCCACTGCGCCCGGCTAATTTTTTGTATTTTTAGTAGAGATGAGGTTTCACCATGTTGGCCAGGATGGTCTTGATCTCTTGACCTCGTGATCCGCCCGCCTCAGCCGCCCAAAGTGCTGAGATTACAGGCGTGAGCCACCGCGCCCAGCCTCTGCTAAAACTTTTAAGACACGATGTTTCCAACTGGTGAGCTGGATGGCTTCTGTATCTTTGTTTGACAATGTTATGTGATGGGTTCTTTATCCACGTGTAAAACACACTGAAGATATCTATCTGATTAAAATTTGTGCAATTCTTAATAACTATTTTTCAATAAAAGAATTATTCATTTACAAAAAAAGCTTTGTGAATTACCTCTGAAGTACTTGCTAAAACTTGCACATTATTTTTTATAAACTGCCTTTAAGTAATTTCAAAGTTTGTAAACTGGAATAATATTAATTTTCTGATTCATGTTTATTCAAACAAGATAAATGTACATGAATTACAGTTAAAAGTTTTCCCTATTATGTTTCCCAGTTTATTCTAACTATCCATTCTAATTCACTGTGAAAAATGTAATCCATTTGGAAAATTAACTGAAGAACTAAGATTGTTATTTAGGTAATACGAGGCAAGGCAAGATTGTTCTTTCCTCACTTTCCTTTCCCCAAATAATACACATACACACACAACTTCACACACCTAGGTATTTTTGTATCTATTGCTTCAGTTCTTTTCCGTGTGTATATAACTTTTTAAAAAGAAAAATGCAGTTATAATTATCTTTGTATATTGTTATACTTTGAGTCATGCCTTGCGATAGTTTTCTAGTTTCTCAAATGGAGTTGTTCTTTCCTTTTCTTATGCCAAGCTTTTATGTTCTTTTCTTTCTTCTAAAGTCATGCTTTGGCTGTGTTTTTACTCCCTGTCTCAAGCAAGTCCTTTTCTTCCAATCCAGCTGTAGTTTTTCTCTGAGTTTTCAGTTGAGTTGAAGATAGAAAAGTAACTGTCTGTATTACAAATACTTTTCCTATAAATCATTGTATGGGGACAAGACAGGAAGGGTCAGTGGGCTGAGAGAAGTCAATTTTATATTCTCTTCAAAATAATATATTACTTACTCAGCTATAACACAACTTTAAGTAAGCCACCACTCAGAACTCTAGTTTATTTCAGAACAGTTTCTTTATACTGGAAAGCTTTCTTCGTTAAAGGATTTTGAATAAGGTGAGAGGCAATTCAAATCTTTTAAAATTCAAGTTAAATGTACTTCGTTAGAGGTTAAGAAACATTTTCTGGAATTATGAGCAATTTCCAGCTAGAGTTCCACAAAAGAAAGCTTAAGTTAAATTCATGTTACTCTCCATAACAGAATTCCACAGTGACTGAAATGGTTGTTAAATATCGTAAGGAGAGTTTTAAAAGGGTTGAGGAGACGGGATTTGAGTAGAGAGGAAAACGGGAAAACTCTTATCTTCTCACTGTGCTCTTACATCCTCCCCCGCCACACACACACACAAAATTGCATCACAGAGGGAAAAGTTCATGTTGAAAGTCTCTTTTAGTGGTGAACAGAATAGCATGCATGAAGTAGCACAGTTGAGTGAACTGTGTGTGGCACTGGACTGGAATTTTCTCAGTGAAAGGGCTTATGTTCTTAAAGAGCTGAAAAATGGCTTAAATTTTCTGGTAGCCTAGAATAAAATTGCACAGGAGGCTCATGTGAAATGTAGCATGTGTGAACAGTCTTGCAGCAGAGTTCCATTTGAAATGTAGCAACACAGCTGGAGCTGTGACTCATCACACTAATATCCACTGTTAACAGACAGACCCTGTCTAATAAAGCCTGTACTTTCTCACATTGTAAGGATTTTTTAGGCTGCTGTGATAGTATGATATGTTCCCAAAACTTGGACAGGCCACTTGTATTTAACATTTGTTGAATACCTGGCATATTCGAGGCATTTTTCTGCATTTAGTTTTTACACCTGTTTGGTGTTATTTACCCCATTTTACAGGTGATGAATCTGAGATCACACATCTGGCCTGATATTCAGCAGGCGCCACTAGCTGCTGTTAGTCAGTGCCTGTTCTGATTGTTTGATAAAGATGAAGGGACACAAAAATTTCCAGTAGTAAGATAGACATTTACAATAGTTCGTGTCAGTTGGCATCAATCTTCTCAAAAAATGTAGAGAGAGGATTTTTTTAAAGAAAAGATTAGTGAAAATTTGGAATGCAGCTATTTGAGAAAATGTGACAGGGAGTCAATAAGTGAAAATAAAATGACCTCCCAGTTTCAATTACTAAAATCCTGCCCACAAATCCAGCTGCTGCCCTAGCTCCCAGATGTTGAATGGCCTGATGACTTCCTGAACATTGGCTCCATTTTCTTGTCAGGATTCCAAGGGACTTCCCTAAGGACAGATAATAACCTGCCTGAAACTGAGTCCTTCTTGATGACCTGCCATGATGGATCTCATTACTTTTGGGCTAGCCCTTCCCACATTGAGACACTTTTCAACTTTCAACTTAAGTACTTAAGTACTGTGACAAACAGATTTTTCAAACAATTGAGAGATGTGTGTGTGTGTGTATGCATGTTTCTGTGTGTTCCATTTGTTCCAACGATGCTAAGTGAAATAACCAGAGTGACTAAAATAAAATATTAAAATTTCATTCTACTATAATTCTTTAACTTTCTTCTTTTTTAAATGTTTGAGTGCTACTATTCTAAATCCATTTGTATACTGGCTGTGTGATCTTCACAAGTTACTTATCCTCTCTCAGTTTCCTCATCTATAAAATGTGTTGCTGTGAAGATTAAATGAGTTCACATATATGAAGCACTAAGAACCATGCCTGACATATGGTAAGTGCTGTAGTAAGTGTTAGCTATTGTTTTAGCATTATTATCATTATCATTAGTGAACCTATAGAAAATGAGCTATTCAGTGGAAGGCCTGCTGAATAAGTGTATACAAAATATTAAAATGTCCTATGTGGTTCCTCAAGGTCTCAAACAAAATTATCAGAAGCTGATTGCACATGCATAGTGTTGAGGTTTATCCGCTAACAAGGAAAAAAAAGAGTTCCCACTGAGGCTGTTAATTAACATCCCTATTTCCTTCTTTTTCCAATCCCAGAATCTATCTTGTGCACTGTTATGGCTTACATCTCATTTTCATCACGCTATTACCTCACTATCTATCTAACAGAGTTCAGATATGCATGTGATCAACAACTACGTATTTGGTGATTATTATGTGCCGGGGCTATAAATATAAATATGACTAAGGTATGGCTTTGCCATTGTGAAATTCACTCCAAGAGGGTAGACAAGCACATAGACAGATAATTATAAAACAAAGTAGAAATTGCAATGATGGAAGCGCATTCAAAGTGCTATGGAGCAGAGATGAGGGACATTCACGTTCACACTAGAAGGATCAGATAGGGCTTTATGGAGGAAAAGATTCCAAGGCTTAAAAGATTTCTAGTAGGAATTTAGATGCCTTCTCTGGCATCCAAGGACTTCCTTAATTGGTCCCCTGTAACTCCCCAGCCATATTTCCCATTACTCCCAACATAACCCACCTTCCCACTCCTATTGGACTAGTGTTCCATATCCTTGAAAAATCCACTTTTGATTCTATCTCTGATTCCTCTTCTCATATGGTATTCTCTACTAGGCATCCTCCACCTGGGAAAAACTGAACCCCTCTCTTGGCCTGGTAAAGTGTGTTCTCATCTCCCCCAAGAAGTCTTGCCTGAGTTTGATGTAGTCATATTCCTTCCTATTACATACAAAAGCATTTCAAACAGGCACATTCAGAGAGACACTAGCATTATTTTGTCATATTTTATAATGGTTTGTTGTGTTTTTCTTACTATGCCAAAAAAGTAAGTACGTTGAGGAAAAAAATATTTCATAAATTTATTTTATTTATTCCACAATACCTAGGAAAGTGTCAACCAAAGCAAAATATAAATGGTCAAAAATACTTTCTGAATTATTTTCCCAGTGTTTTCTTTGGTTTATCTGATGTGCAATAAATTCACTTTATGAAGTTTTAAAAGTTCAAATAACCAGAAGAGAAAACATTCTTACTTCTGTCAGTTAATTTACTAACTGAAAGTCAGTAGTACTATATGAGAAATAAACTAGCTTGGTAAAATTTGTAAATGTGAAGAAAATGTGAACCATGGAATAAATTATACATTAGGTTTATAAGAAGGCTGTGAATGAGGTTCTTGTACTTGGTAAGCAGTAAGAAAGCAGTATATTGTTCAGAGAGGAAATGTATTTAGAGTACAAGTTTGAAAATGAAATGAGAATAATTGAATAGCCTTTTTTGTGAGGAAGTAAAATACACACAGCAGTCAAGTAAATGATGAGGATTATGCTCGTATATGCATGCACACACACATATACTTTAAGTGTGAATAAAATAACAGAAATAGCAGTGGGGGAAATGATCTTTTCTTTTTTTTATTATACTTTAAGTTCTGGGGTACATGTGCACAACGTGCAGGTTTGTTACATATGTATACATGTGCCATGTTGGTGTGCTGCACCCATTAACTTGTCATTTACATTAAATATATCTCCTAATGCTTTCCCTCCCCACTCACCCCACCCCACAACAGGCCCCGGTGTGATTAGATACTTGAAATTCAGCACTCTTCTTATTTCTTCTGTATTATCTATTTCCCTCCCACTAGTATTTCTCATACGGTTCCTCTAGTTAATCTGTTCTGTCTAGTTTTCTACCCTCACTCCTTTCTAACAAACGGAAACTCCACACACTTTTCATACACACACACACACACACACCTCAATTGTTTCCTACACTTTTGTTCAAAGCATAAAACCAATTACCTACAGGGCCCCTGATAGTGACATTAATTTACTAGACTAGTGAGTGGTTTTGAAACTTTTGCTCCTGAACCCCTAAAAGAATTTTGATATTAAAAAATAGACTTTGTGCTCAAATAAAGTTAGAGCCTCTCGCCTCTAAATCCATCTTCTTTGCCTGCTCTGCTAAAATGGGGCTGGGCCCTTTAAATACTTCTTTCTTTGTCAGCCAGCATGAGGTCTAACTTTGCCAGCTGAGGGCACAGGAGACAGACTCCAGGAGCAAAAGCCCTTTCCTTTCTGGTTTCAGGATGCTTGCTTAACAAGCTCCTCTAGTGCTTGCAGCATATTTCACATCCAGATCCCACAGCCCATGCAGTTTCTCTGCTTCCAGGCTTTTGCAATGTGGGCAGCTTCTCTAGTGCCAGGCTCCTGTTATGTGACTGGACTCTCCTGCACCCATCTCCTCCCGTGTACGCAGCTTTTCCAGCAACCAACTCCTGCAGAGCACACAGCTCCTTCTGCACCCAGCTTAGGTAGCATACTCTGCTTTCCAGCTACACGAGTGGCTTCTTCAGTGCCAGGTGCTGCTTTCTGTGCACAGCGATGAGCAGCACCCAGCGGCTAGCAGCTTCCCCTGGCGCTCCGCTCACATGGTTTGGTAGTGGAGCGCCTCCACTGAGATGCCCTGCAAACAGCTTTCCCCAGCATCCCAGAGGGTAAATTTCCAGCAAATTTCAGATTTCAGGAAAGCTCCAGCAAGTTGCACCATCATGGCACCATAACAACTTCTCTGCTGTTTAGTGGCAACAGCCATGCCCTCTCCAACAAGGTCTAGCCCTCAGCCCTGTGTGTACGGAGGGGTGCAGAGGATTCCTAGGGCTATCTATCTCAGTTCCTAGGAGTCATGATTGTTTCTTATGTCTGCTATTCCTGTATTCTTTAGAATTTCTTTTCATTTCTTACTACCCAATCCCTTATTACCACAATCCTCTCTTACAGTTCATAATTCTGTAAACCTTACTGTTCAAAATACTGTGTATTCTGTGTCCTGACTGGGTGCTGACTGATACATGCTTCCTCATATATTTAAATTAAGTTAAAATGTCTTATCAGAAATTTTTTAAATTGCAGAAGATTAATTTTCTGGTGTTTTGTGTACTTTACACATACGTAAAATGTAGATTTGACAAAACCTTAGAGATACATATTTAGATCACTGAGCAGATGAAGTCCACCATATAATTTACAAAGCCAGTCCTCACTGTCAAATTAATCAACCAAATCGGATGTATTCTGTGTCCGAAAAAAAGACTTCCAATTATTTCGTTTTTGTTCATTTGAATAAAGATATGAATACATGTTCTCATGGCAGCCTTCTCACTTAAGTAGGCTAGTAGAAAATGAATGGACAGTCAGCAGATGGAGAGACAGACAAGCAGGCAGACAGGGAGGTGGACTGTGCTGTGCCAGGAGCCTTGCCAAGGTGAAATACGATTTCACTATTTTTTACCAACACTTTTTTAACCTTGCTTTCGAGTCTCTTTAAAGTTGCCGAACTGTCATTTTGTTTGATGCCCTGGAGATTGTACCCCAGGGCAATACATGGTAAGATTTGGGCTGGGTGAAAGGTATGTCATCTTTTGTGAGGTGGGAGAAGGGTGGTCATGATAGAGGAGATGGGAGGAAGACGCAGCCAACCACAGACTCTCAGACATATCAGTTTCAGGAAAGTACACATACAGAAGTTGGCACTAGACCAATGAGCTACTCGACTACATTCTCCAGTGAAGGATACAGCAAGGAATTTTTCCCAAAATAGACAAGAAAGCAAGTAAAAAAGAAGCAAACAATTAAAAGAAGAAAAAAGTAGAATGAAAGTATTAAATCACATTCCTTATAAATGTGGAAAATAAAAGCTCTCCTTGTAAGCACAGAAGTAGATGAAATAGAGGCAATATCACATCAAATGTGAAACCTGACTCCCACTAGCATCTATGTTTGGATAAGGGTCTTGCTTTTAGGATTTGTGACTCAAAAATCTCACAAGGGTTAAACCCTTCATTTACAGTGGTTCTGTTTCTTATTTAAAACAGTAAGTTTTCTTTAGATCCCATACTTTAGTGAATCACATGGTAGGGAAGGGGATGGAGAATCTGAATCAAAAAGTAAAGGGGATGTGGCCAATTTTTACCATTTGGGATATTAACAAGTTTAACATGGCTCAGCAACTATCTTAAGTGTTATATCAACTATTATGACATAAGCTAAAGGTGTTGAAACATTATATACGGAGTGTGTTTTCTGAGAGGAAATGGGTGACAATTTGAAGGGTCGGTTTTTTAACAGAAGGAATACGTAAGAATTCAGAACAGATTCTCAACCAATGGTAATGTTCAATAAGGTTTGTGCAATGTAAGAAACATTTTTTTAATTTCAAGGAAACCACTGTTTCCTGTTATTTCTGGAAAATCAGTAAATGCTGGTTTTTTAAAAGAGAAACATTTATGGAGAGATATTAAGTGTGTTTTAGCTACAAGTATCAGATCCTTGTTTATTTATTTCCCCTAAGAAACTCTGTAATTCCATTTTAAATAAATGACATTTACTTTTTTTTTTTTTTTGAGACGGAATCTTACTCTGTCGCCCAGGCTTGAGTGCAGTGGCACACTTGGCTGACTGCAACCTCCGCCTCCTGGGTTCAAGTGATTCTCCTGCCTCAGCCTCCCGAGTAGCTGGGACTACAGGCGCACACCACCATGCCTATCTAATTTTTGTATTTTTAGTAGAGATGGGGTTTCACCATGTTGGCCAGGCTAATCTCGAACTCCTGACCTCAAGTGATGCACCCGTCTTGGCCTCCCAAAGTGCTGTGATTGCAGGCCTGGGCCACCACACCCAGCCAATGACATTTACTCCCAATTAAGGTTTCTGCCTTTTTATTCCCCCAAGTCAGCAACCCATGGGAAGCATAGGGCTTCTAGAATTTTCTCCACCTAGATAAATAAGTTTTTGGTAAAGATTTCCCTTTCTTGAATAACATCCATAATCTCCAGAATACACTATCTGAATGAACTATTTTAGTCAGAAAGTCCAGTGTGCTGCCTGTTTTATGGTAAACTGTTGGGATCTTTAAAATAAAGATTTTGAATCTATGCAAAAACTGTTAACCTCATATTACATAATTTGCTTACCTATGTAAAGGTATGTTCCCATGTTACATTCAATACAGGTATTTCCCTTCATTGCAAAAGTATAATCTACTTGGTGGATTTTATTCAATGTGAAGTATATACATGAAGAACTTTTCATTATGTTCCAATAAATATTTAAGGCTGTCATTTGAAGATTTAAAAAATCAGTAAATGCATAAACATTTCTATGCTTGCCAAAATCTCTTTCACAGCTCTGCTAAGCACCATGGTTACTGACATGAACAAGTTAATGTTGGGTATTTTAAAGATCCAAGTAGTGCAAAATCAGCCAGTCTGTCACACTGGTAATTTACCATGAAATCAATAATTACTTTTGTTTTGTTGGGGGTAAATGGAAATAGAAAAACAAACAGAAGAAAATTCAGCAATGGAAAGATTCTAAGATGAAAAAGCAATAACTAGTTTGCTGCCATCTATGATACAGCCATACCTATAGGTTTTCAACATACTTACTTAAACAATGGAGTTCCACAAACAACACATTTATATATTCCAGGATCTTTGTGATGTGTGTATTCTCCTTCAAAGGCACTGATAAATAAACAGATCATTTAAAAAATTAAAGTTAGCATTATTTCTTACAGAATGTATTTGCTTAAAATATATTTCTCTAATAAATCTTTCAAGGGCTTTTTGTACTAGAATGAAAACAAACCAAACATATGGAAATCTGAACTTTACTAATATATTTCAAATCTATATAATAAAATGTGCATATAACTACTCCAAACTAGTGCAAGTTACATAAAAAAATCAAGCCATCTAGTTATGTAATGCTTAGAAAAAGATTTTTTTCTATTAAAAAAAAAAGCCTGTAGTTTAGATTCACAGAAAGAACATTACATAAGATTTTGCTACTTTACAGTGTGCAAGAGTATATACCAGAAAATGCAGAAGGGTCCAAGACTTCAAGTGGAAGGAGTCTTATTTTTTGGTTTGAAAAGGAATATTGCAGCTTTAAGGGAATATTTTTCTAAGTTAACAATCTTAAAGGCTAGGAGGTCATTCAGCTAATACAAATCAGCTGTGCTAGCCCAACAAAAAGTCTATGTGCTCTGCAGCTTGTTTTTATTATCCTTTCACCCTCTTTATGAGGTCCAAATTTTTTATAAACAGAATTTTTAAGAATGACCTAATCTCTGGTTGTTTGTGTGCATTAAATCATTTTGCTAGTCATGTACACAACAGAACGGATAGAAATCCTCGCAAGCTGAGACTGAAGTCCACTGCTAGCTCATTGTATGCTAAGGTTGGACTTCGTCAGAGATTCAACATTTGGTAAATTCAGTAAACAGTAGATACTGTGACAGGAAGAGAGTGTTGCCTGTTAACAGGGATCCCATGTGTAGTAGAGAGCTCTTTCAGTTCATGAATGAAAACAAGAAGTTACATCATTAATAAATTTGGATCAGAGGTAAGCTACGGTCTTACGCCAAGCTCCATGGTATAAATTAGACAACAAAGTCGTCGGACCTTGGCAAGTTACCTTTGAGCTGGAATCAGCTGAGAGAGGCTTTATTCACTAAAAACAGTCTTGGAAGTGAACAAACTCTTTTTTCAGGACTTAGGGCGAACTTCCAAGGACCAAAGCCATGTGAGGGCAGTTATTGAAAATTTTTGACATTCCAACCACAAATGAGCCAATAAATACTTTCTCCACATGTGCTTCAAAAAGAAATTGGAGTTGGGTAGAAAAGAACTAAATTATGCTACCTTCTTTTTGCAGCCAAAACGTCTATACTTACAATGGCCACCTTCAAAATTTCAGCATCCTGGCATAGTGCCAAGTCCCTCATGGTTTTGCTTACTGTGATGTCTTCCCAAAAAATGTACCTAAATCGCTGTTACTTCCACACATTTTGTAGTAAACTAAAAACAGGCCCTTAACAAAAGCTTTGTGACTTTATATCAGATATGCAGTATTCATTAAATGGAGAAAAGAACAAATAAAACTTAGTCTTAACCTAAACAACACCATTTTAACCTTTTCAAGGATACTAATTCATAGACTTTAGCAAGTAAGTATAGAATGCTTTAAATTAATTGGCAAGGAAAAGCACTGCAGAGGGCAGGGGGAGAAGAAATCTAGCTCTTAATGACTTTTTATTAAAGCTCACCTTACCTTTCGGTCCCTTTCTCCTGAGTGACATGGTACTGCAGGGGTGTTAGCCGCTTCCTCAGTTCCTGCTGGGAAAAGACCACCTTACAGTTCTTTTTATCCCTACACGACCCTGAAAAGAGAGAGGATATGGGAGAAGAAGCCTTTTTAGCTTGAATCCTAAATAATTGCTTTGGCTGACCGCCACAGCACAGCTTCTGCAGTCACTTGTCAATGACCAGACCAGTCTCTAATGCACTGGAAATGCTTACCTGAACTGCAGCTGATTATTTCTCTACGTTTAAAATGAATGTTTCTTAAGATTCAGATGATTCCACTGGAGCAGTGACAATATGCTACAGCCAGTCTCTAGCATGTGATACTAAAAATTCACTGATCATTCACAAGGTACATGCTTTATAACTCCCAGTATCCTGAAACCCTTTTTTTTTCAAATAAATTCAAAAGCATAAGTCTATTTACAAACATTTATACTGTATATATAAAATGATGGGCATATTATGTTAAACCGTAAGTCTGCAATAATTTTGCAACTTAGTAGAATAGCCTGAAACCATCAAAATTCCATTTCCATTGTGGATGATTTAACTACCATCCTATTTTTGAGCCCTAAAAATATATTTTTCTATGACCAGGAATTACTGTTCTCCATGATTCCATCAGAAACTTCACTAGATTCTGTATACTCCTTCAAAGTATAAAGATTCTGTATATCTCTTCAAAGACTGTATCTTACCATGTTAAATGGGCAGCAAGAAACTTTCAATAAACTACAGGAGAAGGCATTTTCACTAATGCAGATTCAAGAAGTTCCAAAGAAAGAGTGGGAAAAACAGAAAGGGAGAAAGACAAAGAAAAAAGGAAATGTGAATATTTTTAGAAACCTACATTTTCTTTTTGCAAAGTATATCTAGGAAGACTTTACTGATTAACTGTATTTGAATGGTGAAATAATTCTAATGTGATTCTAATAACAATGGCAGCTTTTATTTCAACCTATACAGCCTGCAGTAAAATGTTCAGACAACACCTGTTTATATGTAGTATTTTATTTTACATGAGCAAATGACTGAAAAGAAATATAACTCCAGGACAGGGTAGCCATTACTCACTGCAGTAAAATTGCTTTTCTTTGCCATCCATCACAGTGGGAAAGAGGCCTGCAGATGGTCCTAAATGTAGAGAGTTCTTGCCATGTTTTGAAGTTACTAGAAGAAAGCTTGCTTAGTTTCCCAAATACTAAACGCAACTTCTTTTGAAATATAAAGAAATATGATTAGGAGTGGAAATGCTTCCCGTTTTTTTTACGTTCAAGGTACCTAATGTCATAGTATGAGATCGCTGACCTTAAACTAGGAAAATATTGTCTAGCCGGTTACCCTGACTGTGGTGTTGAAGAAGGATATCAGCTTGCAGAATCCGGGCCACCAAGATAGAGCGGTTGATTCTCCACAAGAGAAAATGGAGGCAGCAAAAGAGCAAGCCAGACCCAAAGAGCAAGATACACCTTGGAGTGGGCCTGCAGGTTGTCAGACAGCACCTCTGCTGACCTTCCACAAATACTTCAGCCCTTCCCTGGCCTGCAAAGATCCACAGGCACAGCAGGCATGTCACTAATGGCATGTTGATCTCTCATCTCACTGGACCCCGTCTTATCCTAGGCTTTATCCAAATACCTACTACTTGTATTTTTGCTGTTATCAACGGTTAGGTAGAAATGTTTCCCTGAGAAATGTCTGTCCTATCAGAACAAGCCTCTCAATAGCTTGAATGCAAAGTGGCTCTTTCTTAAATAATCAGTCAACAGTGATAGGTGAGTTTCTGCTTAATTCAGTACAGACTTCTTAAAAATTATTTTATTCTCATGTGTTTGTTGGAAGGGTTGTATCTTAGTTAATACTGTCACAAAATCATTAAATGCAAACTTAACATGACAAAATGACTTGGTTAAAATTATTCTTTTCAATGGCATAATTAAAATATGTACAATTAAAATCAAACAATTCTATCCAAAATATTTTTGTTAATATACGTTCATTCATACAAAAAGACCAATTGTGTTCCCAAAGTTGAGAGAACTAAGCTACCCATCTGTATGTCATTTAGTACAAGAGAAGCAACTGCAGGTTTAAATTACATGGTATTGGATTGCAATTTCCTAACATTGGATGCTTTTCTGCCTTTTTACCTTGAGTCATTTACTAAGGAGTGTTCATAAAAAGTAGCTTAAAGCACAGATGCTTGCAAATCATTTAGGCAAAGATGTTTCTCTCTTTTTCATTCTCCCTCTCTCATGAATCTCTCTTTTCCGAAGAGAATAAAACCGTTGGTCAGTATTGATGAACCATGTCAAGTATTTGTACAAGAAAAAAAGGTAAAATTGAAAACATCTGATTGAAGTAAATAATACAAACATAAAAGCTTTACTAGTGAATGAAGGGTATTGAAGAGACTTTATTTCATAGATTAGAAATTACTTTTGATCTAAACATTCTTAAAAACAGATTGTTTTCCACTATGAAACATCTCATTAACTGTGCTACAGAGACCTCGTTTTAATGGCAAGCCTTGAAAGAGTGCTGCTGTACTCCTTTGTTAGTCTCCGTCTTATTTGGGAGGGGAATAAAGATTTCATTCCAGCTTTCTTTGTTTGTCTTTCAAGAACCACTAAAGCAGTATTCACACAAATTTTGTAGGAATGTGCCCTATGTCATAGCCTACAAATTATTTGGTTTTGGTGCACTTAAAGGTCATCTTCCAAATTAGCAAAATTTTTTTACATCCTGGCTTTTCAACCTTAAGTATAAATATTGTTTCCTAACTGTAAGTGAGGTTTGTCCTTTAAGAAATACTAGTGATTATTTAAAGTTGTCAAACTTTGTACATTTTCATTCTTTGGTTATACTATATTCTCAAAATAATTAGGTTTTCAAAGTATATCTAATACCAAAAGGAAATATATGTAGACTAGAAACAACTATTGTGATTTTACATTAAACAATTCAATGAGAAGTTGGTCAGATTTTAATAAATATCTTGCCACACCATTTAATAATAATAATATACTTCCTGGACAATTTAAAGCTATACTATTACATTAGCCCTTCTATCATCAGAACCAAATATTGGTATATATAAACACAGAAAAGCTTCACTTTTGTCTCTTATTTCCCTTCTCCCTATCAGACTCACTTTTCTAAAGTCATATGGTGCCACTGTTAATCTTGAAAAAATCATTTCATTTTGAAATTCTGGAGTAATTCATTGGATGGTTTCCCTTTACTATCTTCACTTAGGTACTGTAATTTTCTTATTACACAGGGTAATTTAACATTAGTATTATATGACATCTGTTCAATGACCTCTAAATTGGCTTAGAAGTATGTTTGGGAAAGATTTTTCCCTTTATTTAAATGTTTAATAGTGTCTTTTGAAGGCACAAGTGAGTGTGTGTGTACACACATGTAACACAATTACATATTTGAGGAGATAATATTGCCATTTTGGTATCTAATCATAACACCGTTCCTTACAGAGTAACTTTGAGATAGATCAGTTCCATCTTGAACATAGTCCAAGGATATTTTATTTATTGAAATATGTCCAAAGTCTCTTTTTATAGCGAAGCTTGTCCTGTGTTGTTGCCTCAAGGCCAGTATTGTTTCGAAGCCCCAGTATGAAGCTCTTGCTATTAGTACAAATAAACGTACAGCAACAGTTTGCTTTGTGGCTCTGCCTGCTTCCCAGCCACGTGACCTGAAGCAAGTCACCTTTGCTATGTGTTGCCACCCTCAAAGATCTGCTATAAGGATCACAGCCATTAGCACTTACTTCATTTTGATTACAGTGAATTCTGAGGTTAAAATTGTATTTTAAAAGATAGCCAGGTCCAGTATTTAGTGTGCAGCAATCTTTTATTGGTAATTCTTTTTCTATAATAATTCCCTGGGAACAGTATTTTCCTCACACCTTATCTTGTTTTTATGATTAAAGTGGGAAATGAAGGAAGAAAATAAAACTAAAATTTGAGTCCTCCTACATGCCAGGCACATGTCTAGGCACTTTCACATAAATACATTTAATCTTCTCAATAATTCTAGAACGTGGCTGTCATGCCCATTTTACAGATACAGAAACTGAGGCGTGGAGAGGTTATAACATACCTTATTAAGGACAAACAGCAAGTAGACTTATCAACTCAAACCCAGGGCTGTCTGACTGCAAAACTCATAGTTGTTATATTTTCTTTCTTCTTCTTTTTTTTTTTTTTTTTTTTTGAGATGGAGTCTCGCTCTGTCACCCAGGCTGGAGTCCAGTGGTGTGAGTTCAGCTCACTGCAACCTCTGCATTTCGGATTCAAGCGATTCTCCTGCCTCAGCCTCAGCCTCCAGAGTGGCTGGGATTACAGACGCCCACCACCACACCCGGGTAATTTTTGTATTTTTGGTAGAGATGGGGTTTCGACATGATGGCCAGGTCTCGAACTCCTGACCTCAGGTGATCTGCCCGCCTCGGCCTCCCAAAGTGCTGGGATTACAGGTGTGAGCCACCACACCCAGCCAGTCATCATATTTTGTCAGGAAAAATTATGTAACAACTTTTCTTCTTTCTTCTCTAACTATACAATAACTTTCAGCTTAAAAACTAACAAAATAATAAGGGGGAAAAAGTAATAATCACCTCAGTACATCAGAAAAGTTACATACATTTATCTATTAGCCAATGTCTCTTTTCCCTGTATTTACTCCTTCAACATAGGGTCAGTGACAAGTTTCATACAGGATTCTCACAAAGTCTATGAAACGTTGAAAGGCTTTTTTAACTTCCTATTAAGAAGTAAATTAGATCTGTTACCTAAACCTTAGAGTACTTTTAAGTCATAAATTTTATATTTCGGTGTGAAAAATCAAAACAAAACAAAACCTAAGGATCCCATAACTTTAATTTTGGTTCTAGAATCAGAAAAAACGAAACTATTAAATATTTTCCCAAGATAATAAATGAATAAGAGATAAGAATGTCTTGTTTTGCTTTGAGTTTAGTAGGTTAAAACAGTAAAGTTCATGTTGAAATACCTTGCTGCTATATTTAAAGGTGGTATACTTTATTTTTCACTGTAAATTTGGTTGGTTATTAGTTTGTCACTGGAAAACTAAGCAAATTTTTACTTCAGGCATAGTATAGTGTTAGAATTTCTAAATAATTGGCCATTTGGAAAAGTCAAATTTAGACCATTTTTTAGAATAAAATATAAAATATATACCATAACTATCATTTTTTGTTTGTTTGCATTCTAGTAATTCAATAAAGGCTTTAAGATAAGACAAACCTACAAAGCATGGAGGAAGAAAAGCTCCTATATTTGTAGAACCATACCTAATTCTGATTTTTCTCTCAAAGTAGACATATATAGGAAAAACATTCCTGAGATTAACATACAGTCTAAGATGTCAGGACACTTTTGCTTCAGTCCTCTGGTTTCCACAAAACTAGAGCTGCAGGGTTTACTTTGAGGACCACTGATCCAAGATTTTTTCTTAAATTAAGTCATCAAAAATGTTGAGTGTTTACAAAGTGTCAGACACTATGCTAAGTAAGATATATACATTAGTTCAATAATTATTTATTGAGTACCTATTATCTGCTGGCACTATTCTAAGTACTTAGGATACTTTCCTGGAGTACTAAATAGATCTAAGTACTTAGATCTACTTTCCTGGAGCTCCCATTCCAGCAGGAGTAAGGGAAGACAGACAAACTACAATGAAAATAAGTAAGTAAATTATATAGTCTCTTAGAAGGTGGTAAGTATTCAGGAAGGAAAAAGGAAAACTGGAGGACTGGGAGTGAAAGGAATAAGGATTATAATCTTAAATAGAGTGGCCAAAGAAGTCTCACTGAGGTGATATTTGAGCAAAGCCCTGAAGGAGGAGAGGAAGGTGTCTGTGCTGATCTCTGAAGGAAGAGCTTTCCGAACACATGGCAGGAATGATCAATGCAAGAGATGAAAACACTAACAAGTTCATATTCCAGTGGCAGAGACAGAGACAGGTAACCTCAGTGAAAGTGCTAAAACCTGAATATGAATAGATAAGCAACAATTTAAATATATAAGACATATGCTTTTAAACCAGGAAATTTACAACTACGTATCTTAATACAGGCATTGTTTAGCATTACCTTTTTTTACTTCCAAGAGAAAGTTTAGTGAATATCCATTTAGCAAAGTGCTACCCTCAAAATAGCTCTCGGAAAGTATTTTTCTGGCTGAACTTTCAACGTATGATCAGAGTGCAGGTTCTGCTAATTTGCTTTGTCCACTTAAAGTCATCCTTTTTAGACTACAGATCATCATTCTCAACTTGGAGTTATATCTGAGAGGATACTCAATGGCTGTTTCTGGTGATGAATTTTGGATGAGCCTAGAGAACAAAAAACCCTTTGGCCAAACAATGCTGTTGCCCTTCTGAAACACTCCAGTAACTCTCCCCTTCAGAGTAATCTTCTGGCCATGGCAGGAAACATCCATAACCAAAGAAAGTATAAAATTAGTACCTGTTCTATTTTTAAAAAACATTCTTAATTTTTACATTTTGTTTCAGTTTTATTTCATCTGTTCTCCAAGCCCTAAACATAACACACACAAAAACAAATCTATGAGTTCTAGGACTCAGAAAAAAGATAATTGTTTCTTCTTAAGGTAAAGATTTGTTCTTTTCTATATGTAAGAAAAATCATATCTTTATATGTCATAATAATAATCACATTTAATGCCTTCTTGCTGTTTTACTTCACATAAGACAATTCCACGAGATCAGTTTCAATTATATTCTATAGATGTATGCACAGAGTTCTAATTAACATCAATGGATATTATAAGCATGCCAAGGCAACATACCATTGTAAACTTCTTGAATTAAACAAGACCATATGTTTTAGTGCTGCATAGTTGAATGATAAAAATGGCCTTCAGTGTGGTTCTCATACTGAAGGTTTGAATAAATACACTCAGAAGACGTTGTCAAGCAAGTTTTCCTTCCAAGGCTACACATCCTGATAAGTTCACCGCTATCAGCACTTTTAGTATTAGTGTATTTACTCTGCAAGGTACTACTTAAATGGGCAAATACAGTATTATGCAATTATTCTCAAACATCTTCATTCATTTCTGCTTTATTTTCCCAAACACATTGTAAATTCTTTGAAGATAAAAACTGTTGAGCCTAATATTAATTTATACTTTCTACAACTATTTATTAAACATCTACAGTGAATCAAGAACTGTGATGAGCACTGGAAAGTTAAAAATAAATAAGGTAGTGTTCCTGCTCTAGGAGAACACATATTTTAGCAGGAAAGATAAGAAAAACAATCTATACAATGTGCAGTCTTACAGTAAAGGTATGTGCAAAGTTTTGTGTAAAGAGAGTTAACAAAAAGGATGTTAACACTTTAAAATTTTTCCCACCTAGATTTAATCATATCTGCTTATAAATGAAATATAGAAAACTCAAATAATACCAACAGCATTCACAGGGTGCCAGAAAAGATCCAAACAGAAAACTACATCTAGACATCCCAATAGATATAGTATGATCAAATGTGCACAAGTCAAGGTGGTCATTACCCTATCCTGATGAAAAGTATGCAGTCTTTCATGTAAGAGTAGCAGCTAATTTAACAAACCAAAAAAGAAACCAGGATAAAATGTAGGTTCAGATTTGAAAAGGGAGAAATTGGGGAACTGAGAAGTAAGGCAGTTTTAAAATTAAGGGGAAAAATGTGCAAACATTTTCTTACTGTAAGTCAAGGGGAGTAAATGTATTTTTCACAGTACTGAAAGGTTATTAACGTCCTTTAAAGTTCTAACCTTAATAGTAAAATCTCATTCATGAAGCTACATTATTTTCTTGTTGGGAAACAATAGAAGTTTAGCACTACATTCATCCTGATGAAACATTCATTAATAATTCACCCGAATGACTGTACGATAGAAGCCACATTTTACTTTTCTATCTTTCATTTGTGTTATAAATTTTTAATTGTTGAATTCATGTGTAGTAGTCATTTTATTAGTATTCTTTAAGCACCATAAAAAAACTAAAGAGTATCTTATCAACTCTTCAAAATTTAATGCAAATACTGAGAGCAACACTTTTTGTGTTAATGTGGACCACAAAGCCTAGAGTTTAGGGAAATATTTTTAAAATGTCTTGATCCAAAGAGCATTTTCTTGCTTGCAAGGCGTATAAATAAGAAGAGAATTTTTAAAGGCACTGCCATCATCAAGTGACAACAGTGGAAGAGAAAGTCACTTTACTTCAATTCTATCTGATTGCATGTGAAACGTCTGACAAACTTGGAGTTCCCTGTTTTTAATTTTTTTTTCCAGTATGGGTCTTCACTAGAACATCATAGCCCATAAAAAAAAATTAAAAACAGACAGGCTCATTTCCATTCTACATTTCACATGCAATCAAAAAGATCTGCAAAAAATAGCTCGCTCTCTCATCCTCCTTCTCCCCTTGGGAGCACCGACTGCTAGGGAGATGAGCGGTAACCACCCACAAAAAGGAAGGAAAGGAGCCCTCTCTTAGATTATCATGCAAATTTTATTTAAATGTAACATTGAGTATACTTCACCAGAAACAAAATAAAATATATATTGTCAAAAACTCAGCTTTGCAAATTTCCAAAATTACATTACCACCCAAATCAAATTTCAAATATAAATTAATTAAGCAAAAGGCATAGAAAACAAGTCTTCAGTTGCCACTCAACAAACAGCTAAATCTGAATCTATATATTCCAGAAAAATCTGAGGAGTTCTGGAGAAAAAAAAAATCCACTTTACTTTTTCACTCAAATTTATCAAGAAAAGCCATGTCTTGCCCTGACACGGGAAGACATTATTCAATGTCTTCTTGAGAGACAGTGCTCACACATATTTTAGTCATCTTTGCATCCTCAGCACCTAGTAATGTGGCTGAGAAAAAGGAAGGACTAAACGGGTATATGTTGTATTTAAATACTTACTCAATTCTCCACTTTAATTATTGCTATTTAAATCTTCTTTCTAAAAGATGTTTTCTAAATAATGATCTTGGCTATGTTTCTTAGAAATTAGTTTAAAAACAGCAACAATAACATTTGCTTAATAAATCAGTGAAATTTTAAACATAAATAATGATAGAGTAAAAACATTAATTCAGTAATTCAGATTGCTACTCTGAATCCTATGTTACCTCTCTAGGGTTTCACATTCAACTCTTTTATTATAACTAATATTTGATTAATTCTCTGGATTTAAGACTATAAGATTACCTGATCCAGCATTCCTCAAAATGCATTCTCTAAAACACTGGCTCTGAAAAAAATGCTAACATGTTATTCCTCTTGCAGAGTGAGAAGGGAAAGGTTCCACTGTCAAATCAGATTAGGCAAATCTAGGTGACATGGGTTTCTTGAAGACCTTCTCAGAGATTTTCTTATGCTGATGTGCACTATTAAATATGTGGTCATTTGATACCCCATTATTTTATGCTCCACTAAAAAGGCGGGGAGAAAGTGGCCAAACTATAATACATTCTTGTCACAATGATTTTTAAGCTGCATCCAGATTACCAAGATGGTAAAATGGTAAAAGCAGTGCATCTTAGAATTTATGCAATAGGGTAGTATGTAGGGTTTCTCAATTTCATGATGAGATCCATTTTACAAGGGAAAGTTAGTAGAATTAGTGTCCCTCAGATTATAATTTGGGAAATGATGAATTTCTAGTCCAAAGCCCTCAAAAGGAAATCAGGGCCCAAAAAAGTTACTACTCATGGTTGCATACCTGGTTAATGACAGCCAGGTTCTCTTGTCTGCAGCCTTCCTCCTTTAGTTTATTTGTCCATTCTGTTTCTCTCTTGAACCCATGCTTGGTTGCACTCTACCATACCTATCTATTGCTAACCCATGTGCCCACAATCCACCCCTACCCCCATCTTCTCATCCTCCACTCCTACCACCTCCCACTAATTACATCTACACATTCCTTCAATATCCTTCAGAAGAACTGTCATTGCTTGAAATCCTATTCCGAGAATCCAGTCTGACATTCTGGGAGGAAAGAAGCACAATGCTTCTCACTTCTTCTACTCCCTGCCTCAATGGTAAAACAAAAGAGAAAGTGTTCATATAGAATCGTCAAACCTTCAAGTATATAACTCCTTTCATCCTATAGATAATAAAATTTGAACCTGAGGTGGCCATCTTTCTCACCAGAATGTAGATCCCTTAAGAGCAGAGATCACATTACTTGTAATGTGACATTATTTTGATATATAAGATGATGTTACTTATTCACAAGCATTCATTCATCCAACAAATATTTATTGAACACCTATTATGTGATAGACACAACTGTAGTTGCTGAATTGTAACAGTGAACTAAACAGACAAAAATTTCTACCTTTCTGGAGCTTGCTTTGCAGGAACCAAGGACTTTCCATAACTGAAACAGATTTTGCCTGATCAAACCCATGACATTTCCCAGACTTTTTGGCGTCCTCCCTTCCACCCCCATCTTTTTTTCCCCAATTTCTTCTCCCTTACAACAAGGCACTTAAATTGCACAGAACAAACTTTTGGAAAATGTCAGCTAATATGTAATATAATATAATATAATACAATAACCCTCACCTGAAGGTCATATCTTTTATAAAAGATTTGACAAGAATGTTACAAAATTCTCAGTTTACAGATGCAGAATAGGAATAAAAGGTACAAAACAAAGATTCCTGGGGCCAGAAAGCAAGTTGGTGGTAGAAACAAACTAGTAAATACAGATCAGTGTCTAATCTCTTTCTTCATCAATACCAATAATATGATGAGAAGCTCTGAAATTTGCTGTGAGATTATCTAAAATTTGCAGAAGGAAGATTAAAACATTAATCAAGTGGAATATAATATAAACAGTTTTATCTTTCTGCGCTAACATGTATTTCTGCAACAAAACAAAATCCTACAAAGCTATAGTTACAGGATTCTGAATTTTCTTTGCTTGCCTCAAATTCAAATACTCTAGTGATAAAAATTAACATTCCATTCCTTCCTTGCAACTATGTGGCTCAATATAATAAATACATCTAGTACTGAAAGAAATGCTTATCATAAAAGTTAATACATAAATTTAAACTCTATAAAAGTATATCTCTTATTAACCATCTAAATAACTGATATCTTTTGTCATTTCATGGGTTTTTTTTTTTTTTTTTTTTGAGATGGAGACAGAGTCTCACCCTGTAGCCCAGGCTGGAGTGCAATCATACGATCCCGGCTCACTGCAACCTCTGCCTCCTGGGCTTAAGCGATTCTCCTGCTTCAGCCTCCTGGGTAGCTGGGATTACAGGCGCACCACCAGGCCCGGCTAATTATTGTATTTTTAGTAGAGACAGGGTTTCACTATGTTGGCCAGGCTGGTCTCAAACTCCTGGCCTCAAGTGATCTGCCCACCTCGGCCTCTCAAAGTGCCTGGATTACAGGTACGACCACCGCGCCAGGCCTCATGGTGTATTTTTTATAACACGCATTTTTAAATTACTAATACAAGCGTAAATATACTAAATGTTTTAAAAAATAAAAATATATAGGAAATTGAAATAAATGAAATAAGGATTTAAAATTTTCAAGTAAATCGTTGATTTCAAATGCAAAGGCACAAAAGGTAATTTCAGATAATTTATCGTTGCATCTTAATACAATCTATTTTAAAGAATGTTAAATTACAGTATACCTAGCAGAAGCAGTTATGAGAAATTCAATCTCTAAATAAAATGTTTAGGATGAAATTGTAAACTAGGAAAGGATGATAGTAAAAATTCATCAAATATCTACCCACAATATTACTGAATCTGTGAGCTGTCATTCATGGCTCATTCCTTCATTAAACTTGTGTTTGTTGAGAGCAAGAGTTAGCTCATTTTAATAAATCCTTCTACAATCTGTCACATAACATTATTGTGAATATGTTTAGATAAATAAGCATCTAATTGCCTATATGATTCCTCCAAAGTGCATATTGTCTAGATATTCTAACCCTGTAGAATTATCATTTGTTTTCAGAATTTATGTTTTACACACTGTACAGTCATTGTTAACTAATGAATTTCTCAAACAAAACTAAGATTTAATTGTTTTTTTCATGCCTATTTAAACTCTCTTGTTACTAGGTGTTATGTATTTTATAATTCTTAAGGTATATAAAGAATTTATTCCATATTTACCAGAAAATCAAGAGAATCCACACTTAACAAACCATATGCCCAACATCTTATTCATACAGTCTTATTGTTGTATAACAATTTAGCCTTAACTAATATCCATTGTCACAGATAATTAAAAGTTCATCTGGTAATTAGATGCTGCACAGCAACTTTTCAACATTAACTAAAACTTTATTATATTATAGGGCTACTAAAACAGTTTGTTTTAGAAAAATATAGCTGCATCAGAGTACTCATTTAATCAACATTTTAAATATAATTTTTCTTAGTTTTCTAAAATATTTTCATTCATGCAAAAATCGATTCATGCTTAACAGTCAACATGCTAAACTAATAACATTTTCAAGATTCTATAAAAATTCAAAACACAGCAAAACAAAATGTGAAATTTTCTTTAATTCTTGGGTGGTCTGCTGAAGAAAATTTAGCTGCATATAAAACTATAAATGACTGTTAAATCAGCTATTTGGATACAAGATAATTTATGAAAACTTGTTTCAGTTTATAGAAAGTCTACACATGAAAGACAATTTCAATGAGATGGCCAAGCATAAGGGAGTCAGAATCTTATTGAAAATGGAAAAAGGTTTTGTGCTCTACAAATATTGTTTGAACATAATATAAGCAGAAAAATTTGTGGATTATAAATCCATATGTTCTTAACTGGCTATTCCTTATATACTTTTGTTTAAGTTTTCACAATGCACCTATGTGCTAATATCAATAATCATTCATGCTATGAAAGAATGTAAACCTAGTGCCATCTACTGGAAAAAGTGGATACCATTTAATCAACTAATTGCAAATTATTTTGTGAATTACGGGTTGAAATTTGTATGTCCTTTTTTCTATTTCTTTAAAAAAAATCCTCTCCTCGGCATTTTAATATAATCAAAGAAATTAGGTAAGATAAAGTTAGGTCAGATGTTGGGTAAGAATGGTGAAACTGGAGAACTGAGGGCATTAATCTGAACACAAGGGAGAGAATTCCTTTAGGGACACCAATACAGAAATCAGAAACACGGTGTTCTGATCCGAGTTTTAGATTGGGTTCATGTGCATCTTTTAGAACAGAGGTCCTGAATATGTGGTCAAAGAACCCCCTTTGAAGAGTTTCAGAAGACTTAACAAAAAATTTCTTGAAATTATATGAAAACATGTGTAGATGCATATATGTCTTTTCTGGAAAAGAAGGTCATAACTTTTATCAAAGCACTATGTAGGTTGTCCATATTTTTCATGACCCAAAAAAGATTCTGAAGAACTAATATAGAAAGTCAATGCATTCAGTAAGTGAACAGCACACTGACGATTCTGATTATCTTTTAAGTACATCAGTTCTATTAATGAACTATTGCCAGCTCAAATTGAATAAGTACTTGTTACTGATGGATGTGGCTTTAATGTGTATCTGTAGTATTTCCTCTTTACAAATGGAGACTTTAAAGCACAACAAACAATAATTTGCTGCAAAGAAGTGATCAAAAGGGCCAGAGTTCTTAAGTCTTATGCTAAGTATACTACGTACTTATTCACCGCCTCAAACAGTTTACTACCAAAACTCAAAACTGTTTGCAAGAAAAGGTAAAAGCAATTCTGGATAACATGCATTGAATCTGTTGCCACTTTTGTTTTTTGTTTAGCTACAATGTGATTTATACCTATGACATCCCCTGTATTGTATTAATGCAATAAAGTGAGAAAAAATTGTCAGACAATAAATTCAAAAGTAAACCAAACTATGAACTTCACTTTTAATCTTCCCATATAAAGGAGTTTCAAATAAATTTGTACTCTCTTACAGCTATGACTTCACCTACACATAAACATTCCAAATGTTTACTGATTCATTTAACATATATTTATTAAGTGCCAGGCACTGTGTTAAGCTCTGGAGCCATAAGCCGCTGATTCATGGAGTTCTAGTTATACAGATGATAATCAATGACTTTCTAACACCATTTGCAAAATATCTCTAAGACTTCTAATTGCTACATTAGAAAACTATGATATATTTATAAGCTACAGCCATGTGACTCTTCAATTCATGGAAACTATTAAATATGCCAATAATGTCAAATAAGAATCACAACCACAAATTATATGTATGAGGGTAGAAAAAAAGTATAATTTATCACTCTAATTAGTACTATTTAGACAAATTTTATTTATTTCACCCTCACTTGGCTGAAAGCTATCATGATATCTAGTCTAAGCTACAATTACACTTAATTTTTATCTAGCATTAAAACTATGTATAAAATTGGGCTTCCTGATTCCTCCTCAGATAATGCTTCAGTCTTGATTAAGAGGCAAGGAATTCTAATGTTCAAACATGGAAACTGTGTCCTCCCACCACAACTCAGCAGACTTCTCTGTATAAGTTCCCAGCATTAGTTAGTACTGAGTTTTAAGATCTGATTAACCTAAAGTCAAAAGTAAAAACAAGTGACAGTTAATAAAATCACAGAATTTAAGAACTAAATATACTATCTAATTTTAATTCCTCATAAAGATGAAGAGACTGTGATCAGGAGAAGTTTATTGATTTGTTCAAGGTCACGCAAGTTAAGGACAGAGCTTTGGTTAGAGTTTTCTAACTCCTAATCCAGTGTTCTTTTAATACATTAAGGAAACTGTTGTAAGAAATTAAGAAGAAATTCTGCGAGAGAAAAATTACCTTTAATTGCAAACATGAGTGAACCATAACTCAGATGCACTTAAAAAGCTCCAAATTAAAATTATACTTTATTAAAAAAATAAGACGTAAAAAAAGTCAAAGCTGAAAAATAATAGATCACTCTTCTGGGATATAGCCTTCATGCAGGTCAATCCAGTTATAATCAACTTTAAGAGCTTGCTCCAATTATATTTTAGTTCTGGAATTATTTCATATTGAATAATACTCAAAATTAGTAGGGTACTGGTTAGGGAACAGACATCTTTTTGATTTACAGAGATTTCTGTTGTAATGGGTTTTGACCAGCAACATTATATTAAAGCAAGACTTCAAACTTTCACCTTCACTTCCTGTATTTCCAATTTTGGCCTCTTCTCTTCCCTACCTGTACAAACTAATAGGGACTAGAATTCCCATTTCAATTTCATCTTTATTTTTCAAAATTTAAGCAGTCTGTTTCATTACTGTTGAAGTTAATTTCTTCAACATTTCTATATATCTAAGAGCAAAATCCTGTTAGAGAAATTGATGATGATACAGATTTTGCTAAATCCAAGTTATAAAATATGTAGACACCCAAAGACTGACTTTCATAACACTTTAAAAACTAGTGGTGCTTGAATGGTCGAGAAATTATGGAATACTATTCTAGTCAACTCATTTTTCAAATTAAAATGGGTTTACAAGCCCTAGATAAGAAAGATGAGAGTTTCTTTGGGCTTTTACCAGTACTGGGTAGTAAGAATAAAAGAAATCTCTTGTATATTTATAGGACTTGAATTCTGGTTCAGCAGGGTGCATAAGTAAAATAAAGAGATCAGAACAACAGGTCAAGATGGTTATTCCTCAAACATAAAGTGTATTTGTGAGTCCCATGAAAGTAAAAAATAGTTAAATGAAACATAGGACATGTTTAAAAGTTTGAAAAGTCTGTTGTATTGGAAAAACATAAATCTATATTAATACAGATACATGAATTTCCATATTGAACATAGTGAAGACATATATGGTGTTTACTAAATGCCAGCCACAGGTTTAAGCACTTTTCACATCCCAATCTATTTAATTCTCACAGCAACCCTTTCAGGTTGGTACTATTATTATCTCCATGTTACAAACAAGGAAGCTAAGGCACACAGCTAGTCAGTGGCAAAGTCAGATTTTAAACTCAGTCTGACCTCATACAGAATTTGTGTGCTTAAGCACTGTACCATAATGGTTAATTTTTTAAAAACTATCAGCTTTGCTGAATTTATCTTTGAATCATTTTATCAAAATTTAAAGATATTTATATTTCAGTTAAACAATCTCATTATGAAACCCTTTAATCCATGACTGTCATATCTTGAAGAATACACTGTTAATTAATGTGGTTTCTATAAACATTTAGCCTCCCCTGTATTTGGCAAACCAATGTTACAAGAACTATGCTGGGTACTTTTACACATTGGAGCTTTTTCCAGAGGAAAACATCATTATGTATAATCTAAATAACCTCCATAGTCCACCTGTGATATGTACGGTATAGCATTGAAAAGGTTCTGCAAAGCACAAGAACTAGTGGTTGAGGTTCTCCCTCAAGGTCGTATACAATTCAACAGACAAACCTTGTCAGTTCTACAGTCTGAATCTCTCCCAATTACAATCTTTCTTTTCAACTCCACTGTAATGGCCACAGTCAAGTCTTCAGCACTTCACATGTCATTCCAGCCTCACACTCCTCCAGTACTCTTTATGGTGGCAGTGCAGGGGGATGTGGGGCTAGGGGGCATACTGAGAAGAGTGGTTGGGGCCTCTATACATTAAGCTTCATTAGCCCCTCATGTCACCATAAACAGACATAAGATCTACTTTTAAAAAAAGTGTATTTGCTATTTAAATATAGCTTCAAGACAAATACCTTACTCCTTCTAATCAGGTTGCCATCCCAGCCTCTCTCACAGAAACATCTGAAAAACCAGCACTGACCTCCTACCATACTAAATCAATAATCTTTGTAAAATGCAAATGAAGTCATGTGATTCCTGTTCATCTCCCCAAGACTTAAATTCCTTAAAACATCATATAAAGTGCTTCATGATTTGGCTACCTTTCCTTCCTTACCTCTTCTATTTGCCCTTGCACATCCAAACCAGCCATATGAATAACTGTATTTCTCTGAACATGCCTTGCTCTTTCAGGCCTTCATGTTTTCCCATGCTACTCCTTTTGTTAAAAACGGCCTCCCCACCACCCTGCTTAGAAACCAGGCTAACTGTGCTACCAGTCTGAGATTCAGCTCAAGCACCATATCCTCCATAATGCCCTCCTTAAACTTCAGAGATCTTCCCTTCCTTCCAACATTTCTTCTCCTAAAGAAAAGATCTAGGAACAACCTCCTCTGAATTACCATAACACACCAAGTATAAATACCTCTAGTCTAGTCAGGTCAACATATGATTTAATGGTCCTCACACAGTTCCATTTCCACCTTGTACTTGTTGAAAAAAATCAGCTTTACCTTATTTATCACTGTATCCTCACTGCTTAACACAATGCCTGGCATGCATAGTTAACATCTAATGAGTTGGAATTAAATTCCTTACACAATGTAGTGATAGATATGTACACTAATGGAAAAATGTAAATAATATTGATAATCACGCTCACAGAAGTAAAATATTTAGCCATTGTGGTTTTCATAATAAAATTAAAATATTAAGCTTATGATACAGGCGCATATAAAATTTTGGACTTTCATGCCTCACTTATTTAAATTCTTAAAATCACATTTTTAAAAAGTACAGTGGTTCTAATTTAAGAACCCACTGATGCATGCTATATTAGTTCTGTTTATTTGGCCATTGTTAAGTAGAACTTTCTTTCTTTTTAACTACAATAAATTGGTAACTTAATCATGCTAACATTGTTCATTTTCATTTTTTCCTAAAGGAATGACCACATGTGGAATGAAAAGCATTTTCATTATCCTTTAACAAGATGAATGTCCTATTTTGTGTGATTTGGGGCAGTTTCTTACTCAGACTGCCAGCCTCTTATGAACGTTATGATTTGCAGATGTGTAGTGTGCATTAAAGAACAAGAAGATATGAAATATTAGTGACAATTATACACTGGGCAAGGAAACTGGACAATGTTCCAAGGGTTGTAAGGATTGTGGAAATGAATGTTACTCAAAGTAGAGTGGTGATTTATAACCAATTTCCGTCTTCAAATTAGGGCCCAAGTAAAAGAAAATGAAATTTAGCAAAGCATGATGGTGTATCATTTCCTGCAGCAGAAACACCCAGTTGGCCCTGTGCCTTCACTATGTACAGTACAACAAGCAGCAACCTGAGGGAAGCCCACAGGCTCGAAGGGCTACTGGCTGGCTCTTTGTCACCAAATGCAGCAGGTTGAATGCAGACATCACTGTGATATCTTCACCAACAAAACGAGAAGCAAAGAACAGGGGCAAGAGCTGAGTAGGAGAAAAAACAAAAACAAAAATCAAATTAAAACATCACAAATATTAAACACATTCATTGCACAACTGATGGTTACAGTTTTATCTGGAACTGAACACATGCACATACTGCTAATAAATTTCAAACGCCTATTTTTCAGCCCGTGAGCTTACTTTCAATCTAGCTTTATTTGTACCTTAGAGGTAAAATACACACTACATGATAGCAGTGCAATCTGTGAACACAGTTTACAAGAGGTTGAGAAAAGAGAGGAAGTTTAAAAACAGTTGAAAGGAATTCACATTTACTGAGTTCATACCATGTGACAGGAACTGTCTGGAGCCTAATATACACGTTGTATCATTTAATTCTTACAATAAACCAAGGAGGTAGGTTTTATGCCCCAATACGTATGTGAAGAAACTGTGACTCAAAAGTCCAAGGGCACAAAGCAAATAACCAGTGGAAAAAGGACTAAAAAACCCTGCTATACTGACTGCAAAGCCATGTTCTTTCCTTACACCATGCTGCCTTCTTCCAGCAATTATTGGCAAATCTCCCTCCCTGGAGAAGACTATAAAATAATAAGATTAAGAGACACATTTTGTTAGAATTTCATTTTATAAAATAGAGACCCAGAAAACCTAAGGACAATTAAGGGACTTCACTTTCAAAACAGCGTTAAGTTCGAATAAAGCATGGCAAATATGAATTTTCATTTAATTATATGATTTATAATTTCTAGGTCAATCCTGTGAATAATATTCATGATTTAGTAATTCAAAAAGTGTAAAAATGTTTTTTAATGTCTTTGGAAATGAATTATGTGGAAGAATCTAAAAATTGTGTAGATATTAAACTTTAGAGAAAAGTTCAATTCTTAGGATTTTCTTAAAAGTTTTTTACAATATTTCAATTGGTAAAGATTAACTTTAAATGCAAATGGAAAATACTAGATTAATAAACTTCATATATGTTGTTTCAAATTAGCATTTTAAGTGACTTTAACCATTAAATGTCCAAAAATTAATATAAAATTAATGTCTTGTTCATTTCCTGACCACTTCCCCTGCTTCCCGCCCCAAAAAAAGTCTGTTCCGGACTCTTCTGACCTCCTTGAAGAACAAACATATAATAAACAGTAATATATTTTACTAAATCACTCTGGAGTATATCTGACAGAAATCTGCTTGTATTAACATGCCTGAACTCTGACTTCCCCAAACTAAACTCACTACAAGACTAAAACATTTTTGTGTTACTAACTGCAGACAAAGAGGAGGGAAAAGGAAGGTAAGTATCACAATGCACAGCCTGAAAGAACCATTAAACATAAATAAACATGTCATTTTCACGAGTGACTGCAGAGCAGGGAAAAGAGAGCATTCCTTTGGAGCAGACTACTGACTAATAAAAGATCAAAGGTCTATACCTCACAACACTATAAATAAAAATGTATTTTTTCCCTGTGACCCTTCTCTGTGAGGAATAAAGCACACACAGTAAATGTAATTACTTAGCAAAGCTGCAGTCTCACTGTGCTTCCACAGCTGACCATAAAACGTCTTCCTATTCTGTTTCATCAACTCCTGTACCAGGCAGCCTGGGCGCCTACCAACCACGGTGGCCATCTGGCTTATGTCAAAGCCAGCGCACAGGAAGAGAGGCAGTGATGTCACTCTGCAGGTCAGGGAAAGAACAAAGATGCATTCTACAATTAAAACCTGAGGGCCACAAATACCGGGAGCCCTCCAGCATGATATGACTGTGTGATTTAATATTCTGTTGCCTGTATTTCTACCCAAATAGCCAGGGCTCCATCTAGTGGCAAATTAGTTTTGCCCAGCTTTTTGAAAATAGACCCAGAAAGTACATACATTAGCACCAACAAAGTGGGGCAACTAAAATGACTACTTTTAGAGCAGTCTAGTCTTTCTATACTGAAGAATGCAAAAAGCACAATTTGTCACACTGTTCTCCATTTTCTAATCCTAAAAGAATGTGTTTCATAGGTTAGGATTTGATATTATCCGAATTATTTTAATGCCTGCATGGATAGTAGAAAAGGATTGAAGTTTGCAAAATGCATGCAAAGTAGCATTACTCATAAACCACTCTGAAAATATGTAGCTGAGACATAAAGTGAAAACCAGTTCTAAAGAATGGATGTATGCATCTGGATGCCTTGGTTACATCAAACTAATACTCATACTTCCACAGAACAAAAGAATCATAGTTAATATGGCTCTAACATGTATTTTTATACTGAAATGATTTAACAAAATTATTTTAGCTCATGTTTTCCACCTAATTAATGTTTGCGGTAAATAAAATAAAACACTTTAACAAACAGATCTAAAATACATATATTTGCATGAAAGATGGGATATCACAATGGATGTGTGTGATCCGTGAACACAGACCATCTGGGTTTGAATGCTGGTCATGCCCATAGCCAATTCTGTGACCTTGGACAACTTGCTTACCCTCTCGGGGCCTCAGTTTCCTCACTTATAAGATAATGATTAAATAAGTTAATTGGTTAAAAGTGCTTGGTACAACTCCTGGGACATAGTATATGCTCAGGAAATGTTAGCTATTATTATTTAAATATGCCAAATATTTGCTAGTTTTAAATGCATGAATTAGAAAATTGTAACAGTACATTTATATCCACTCCTTCTTAGAGTTAACAAGCTATTCTCCAAAGAATCCTATTTAGGCCAGAAAACCACTACTTGATAGGTTTCCACAGTAAATTATTCTAATGAAAACAAACAACAGAGAAATCCTAAAGATAACAGTTGACTGTGCACACAGCATGTGCCATGCACTGCTCTAAGCATTTCACATTTATTAGCCCTTTTAATCCCCACAACCTCATGAGGTATATACTATCATTTTCCCCTTTTTAGACACAGAGACTGAGGCATAGGGAGGTTAAGTAAATGGCCTAAGGTCTTACACTTAGTAAGGGGCAGGGACCTTAAGTAATTGGGTAATCTGATTGATACATGTGAACTCAGGACATTCACCTCCAAAGCCAGTGCTCTTGACCACTACACAACTGGCAATGAAAAGCCTTATGATGCACCAACCAACTCTAAATACTCTGATTCCATGTTTCCCCACTAGGTAGTATGACGAACATGTAATAAGGAAACTTAATTCAAGAAGATTACTTGATGGCCAGACGAGGTGGCTCACACTGTAATCCCAGCATTCTGGGAGGCTGAGGTGGGCAGATTACTTGAGGTCAGGAGTTCCAGACCAACCTGACCAACACGGCGAAACTAAAAGTACAAAAACTAACCAGGCATGGTGGTGGGCGCCTGCAATCCCAGCTACTCAGGAGGCTGAGGCAGGAGAATCGCTTGAACCTGGGAGGCAGAGATTACAGTGACCTGAGATTGCGTACTGCACTCCAGCCTGGGCAACAGAGAAAGACCCTGTCTCAAAAAAAAAAAAAAGAAAAATAACAAAAAAGAAGAAGATTACTTGAAGATTCTCTCCCTTGACATTCTCAGATTTCTAGACTTGATATTTCTAGTTCCACCACATGCAACTTCAACTGCTTTCAACTTCAACTTTTTCTTTAAATTCTTTGGAAATACCTTCACAATCTGTAAAGCTAACTCTATGTTAATCTACCAAAACTTCAAAATGTTGACAATGTACTTTTGAGGACCAAACAAACTAACAGCTACTTCCACTCTCAGATCACCTAAATTGAAGTTTCAATTCGGCAGCTTTCACCCGTTTGTATTCCCTGAACTGTCTGAGTGAAGGCCATTGCCAGAAACAATCCTAGTCCTGAAAGCAAAAGCTTAGCATTAAACACCCTGTAGAAATCAGCATTGAGCAAGGATCACCAGAAAATCCATAATTCTCCAAGTTTATTCTCAACTTCCTCACTTTCGCATTGCCTTTTATTCAATTAACTACATGGATGAATGACATTTACAGATAATCCATCCACCTCGGCCTCCCAAAGTGCTGGGATTACAGGCGTGAGCCACCATACCCAACCTAATCAACATGTTATTTTTTTAAAAGCCAGACAAGATGTCTCATGAATCTTCCTAATCTCCCAAAATATCTGGTAGATAATTTTGAAAATAGTGGGCATTTAAAAATACTGACTGCACAATACCTAATGAGCAGTATCACATTATGTGTTAAGAACAGAATTAGATTCCATAATTGTCTATAATTTCCTGCTTAAAACATTTTGATGATTCCCCCTTGTATATCACAGGGTTCTCCAAACCATGTTCTGAGAAACATAATATAGCCGCTCCTTCCACAAGTTTAGCAGTCAAATAGTCATGGAAATGCTAACCAATATAAAGGGTCTGAGAAGTCTTCAATAGATATGGCTGCTTAACTTCGTCTCAATTGGTGCCTCTGAAATGTTTCTCATCATACAAAACCCCTTTCTGTCCTATCACCCAGCCCCCAGAACACATTCTGATAAATCCTTCTGATAAAGCCCAAATTCCTAAACAAAGCATCTAAAGTATCTAAAGTTCTACACTCAGCTGCTGCTGAACTCTTCAGCCTTTTCCCTTGCCATACCTCTACAACCCACCGCACCCCACACTCCTGCCATACTAACATGGTGGTAATTTTTGTAATAGGTCAGCTGTTTCCTATTTTCACCTCCATGTCTTCGTTCCAGATCCTTACTATCTTTGCCACCACTTCCAACCTCCACCATTCCTAACGCCTCCAATTCTAGTCCCCAGTATAGCACCAAATACGCTATCACATCCCCTATAACAACTTTCAGGGCACTGATTTGCTTAGATCTCTCCCTCTTCTAGATTATAAACCCCTTAACGACAGTGACAGTGTCTTTTATCCCTGCATCCCAGTACCCGGCATTTATTTATTGAGTCATTCATTTATTGAGTGAAAGACTATGAAAATGACCGATTATATGTTCAGGATATGACTATATTGTTCAGGATCATCATTTCCAATGCTTCTATCTCTGCCATCTCAACTGCTAATAATGCTTAAAGGTAATAATTTGAATTAAAATATATTATAAAATTATTAGTTCCTATGAAGAGGTGGGAAGTTGCAAATGTAACCAGACTTGAAATCCAAAAATAATTCAAATGCCCTATTTTGGTCAAAAATCTCTACTTCTTCATCTCCCCCGTGAATTCTAACATCCAAAAATTTGATTAAAGTTAATCTGCTAGGGTTTTGTTTTATCTTTTTTCCCTTTTACTTTTTTCCCCGTAGTTGAACACTAATCTTCCAAAAAGAGATGGTATAAAAAGGAATCTAGAGAACTCACAAAGCTGATAATTAGCTCCAGAATAAATGAGCTGATTGTACTAGTAGTTTTAAAGTGTCAAACCTAAAGGTCGAATCCCTTCCCAATAAATGCCAAAGGAATGTCTACATCAGTGGTTTTTCACAAGCTAGTAAAATGCTCCCCTCCACCACACCCAGAACTGTAGGAGCCAACAGTTTTGAGTTTTGTCAAATAATGACCAAAAAAAAAGGCTCAAAGCCCTAATCTCACCATAATATCCGAAAAGAAAGATTATGTTGACACCAACAACTAAGAAAGCGATCTCAAGATAAAAAACATTCTTTTAAGTAGAATATATGTAGTTTTGTGGGGGAGAAGTTTCATTGTCGCTATTTTTTCATCTTATTATAAACAGAAGAAACTTCATCATGAGAACCACTAATCTAAGTGTCTACTATAAAGTTCTATAAAAAAATCTTTGTTCTTATCAACCCAGTGCCTAGCAGTTTATGCTCAACTGGCGTTTGTTGAGTGAATTGATCAACCATTTAGCTACTGCTTGAAATCCATAGCTCATTGGCTGGAATTTGGCATTCCTTTTGTTAAACAGAGATCCTTTTGTGATTGTATTTGTTTTAAGAAACAGAATCCTGGCTATTCAGAATGCTTACTCGATCTTTCAAGTGATTTTAAGAGGTAATTTTTTTTAACTTACTCAATTCATCTATATAAATTCCTACTACATGGAAAACAATGTATCAGGTGCTGATGAACATGAAAAGATGTAAGACATAGTCTGTGCTGTTAAAAAACATTAGCTTAAGTGGGAACATTAAGTGGGACATAAGCTAAATGAGTTAACAGGGGTAGAAATTAAGAATTACAGAATTTCACAGGAAAGAGAATTGCTTCCAGCTTTAGGAGAGGGAGTGGCAGGGACATATGGGAGTTTGGTACCAAAGAGAAGCTGTATGAAGGAAGACTTTTTATTTGTATTCTTTCATCTCTATATCTTTACGGTTACCCATTCTCAAACTTTTGGATCTCAGGATTCCTTACACTCCCCAAAATTATCAAGGGCTCCAAATACCTTTTGTTTACATGATTATAAATATCAATATTTACTTATTAAAAATTACAGCTGAGAAACTTTTTAGATATTTGTTTACTCCATTAAAAATAAATAAAAAATAATTTACAAAATGACTATTCTTAAAATAGTAAAACTTTATTTTAACCTGAAAGCTTAAATAATTTATAAAAATGACATTTATAGTGAAAATTAACTATATTACCCAAAATAAAAATATATGTATAATGGAAAGAGTTCTATATTTTTGCAAATCTCTTTTTATTATCTAGCTTAATAGAAAACAACTGAATCCTCATCTCTGCTCCTGCAATCAATGTGTTGTGATACGTTGTTTTGGTTGAAGTACATACGTGAAGAAAATCTAGACTCACACAAATAAGTAGCTGGAAAGTGGAGGAGTATTTTAATAACCTTTTCAGATAATTGTATGTTTTATTCTTTTGTTATCACACCGAAGATCAACAAATGGTAGTCTGAAACCATATCAACGAAATTCTCATACTGTTACATTAAAACCCATTGGTCTATCTTGCGTTTTGAATGGACCTTCTAACCTTCCATGATTTTGTAACATCCTGCACTGTTCCTTTGGAAAACATTGGTTCACCGAGTTATACAGATCTTTCTTATGTTGAAACATTTCGTAACATGGTATCAAAAAACCATACTCATTAATATCATCACTGATTTCATCAGAAAAGTTTTTAAATATTGAGAAGCTGTCAAGCTCACAGTAGGAAATGCAAGTTTTCCAAAATTTCCGTGTAGATTTTACCTATTCTTACAACTTCAACCATCATTTCTTGATAGATGAATACAAAGGTCTAGCACCAACTTTGATCCAAGCTCTAATGCTTTATCTTCTAACATCTACTAGATATCAACTTGCATTTGCACAGTATGTTATTATTTACAAGGCATTTTCGTATATGTTATGATAGTCTTATAACCTTATAATAAAGCCTTTAGTCTCCATATATATTATTTAATATTTGCATGTATACATCTATAATGAGATTAACAATAATCATTTTTGAGCACCTGTACTGTGTGTATGTGTATGTGTGTGTCTGTGTGTGTGTATATATGTGTGTAACCTCATTTAATCCTCACATCAACCCTGAGCTAGGTACTCCTATAGGTAGTAGTCATTATTACTCTGTACACAGTATTTCTGGCTCTCCATTTTCCAGGCACGTGGTAGGAATGCACTTCCTGGCCCCCTTGTGGTTGGGTAGGAACATGTGGCTGGCTAGCTCTGGGCAATAAATTGTGAGCAGAAATGATTATGTGTATTGCTTCCAAGCCAGAGTACTTAGCTGTTGGTGTGAGACCCTCCAGGGCTTTCTCTCCCTCTGCAGCAGGGAACAGCAATGTTCTATAATTAGATGGTGGCTGCTCCATTAATCACAATTCTGGGATAAGGAGATACGGGGCAGAGCTCCCATCTGAACCACAGTGAACAAACAGTACAAAGAAGAACTAAACCTTCAGCATTTTAAACCATTGGGATTTGGGGGCTATTTGTTCCAATTGAAACTGAAGCTTAGAGAATTACCTGCTTGAGGTTAAATGGCCAGTAAATTATGGAGCCAGAATTTGAACTAAACTTTATTTTAATCTCTTCTACTACATTCCAAACTCCTCAAGGGCAGGGGCCCTTGTGCCCCCAGATTGATGTCCTTGTTTTAGAAAACAACAGAGTCTGGAAGGATGAGAAGTCTAATGCCAAGGACAGTGAGACCACTTCCAAAAGTCTATAGTTTCTCTCTCATTAGTCATCCCTTCTATCCTAAATATCCCAAAGAGATTCTTAATTTAGTCAGAAGATACGGCTGCCCTCTCATATTCCCACATTAAAGGCCAGGAGACAGCTACTTGACTTTGATCACTCAGAGCTCATAAACTTGTCTCAACACCAAAAACTAAAGATTTTCCTCAGCTGCAAAAGTGACTGAGTAGCTTCTGGTCACAATAAAATGACGATGTGAAGATCTTATTTCCTGAAGCAATTGAAAGTTTATTGGACACTAAGCACATTCACTGTAGAAAGCTAGTGATCTAGCAAGTCAATGCCTAAATCCAGACCTTACAGATACAACTTTTGATTTTAAATCAATCAACAAATACAAGGAAAATCAATCCATTTGCCATGATGATAGAAAAATGTCTGTTTCTTTCAACAGCTGAGATCATGACCCTGGAACTAATGAGAAGGAACCACATTAATAGCTCACATTGTGACCTGGAAGTAATCGATGTGCACATAGTCATAACAATATAAGCTTTTAGAGACAACCTATGGACAAATATTTGACTGTGATTTCAGAACAGACTGTAAGCATTAGCAAGTTCACATTGTGAAACAAAAACTATATAGCAACAAAATGTAAAGAAGGCTGGAAAGAAAGGTGGAGGAAAGACTCAGGGTATCAGTGTCCTCCTCTTATAAAGTAGAGGGTTAGAAGACACCAACTAGACTGGAAAACGCTAACTGACCCCTAGAATCCATACTCCCTTCTTCTTATTAGTAATAGAACCCCCTGAAATTTTAACTGAACATACAGCCTCATTTCTCACCTTCCCTTGCAGCTAGATGTGAACATGATACTAAGTTGTGGAAAATGGAATGTAACTCAATGTCATGTATGATCTTTCAGCTCATCTCCTTTAAAGACAAAGTCACTTGCTTTGGATTTCCTCTTCCCTCCTGAGAAATGGCAGCAACTGCATCAGCACACTTGAACCCTGAGAAGTAAGGCACTTGATGAGGAAGACAAACCTAACAGGTCATGAGGCAGAGCTATTCACCAGCCCAACCTTGGACTAGTATATGAAAGGGAAACTTCTACTTTCTGTAAGTTGCTCCACTTGTAATCTCTTTGTCAGAGCAGCTTAGCCTGTTGTCTATTAAAGTCTAACAATGGTAAACAGAAAGGTGAAGAGACAGCAGATAAATACTTATATTCTGTAACTGGTTATTATCTGAAACTGATGCATCAATAAATAGCACTATAACTATATTAACCAAAATTATGAAAGTAACTACTAGAATAATGATTTTAAAACATGACTTCAGAGGAGTGAGACAGAAATAGAAAGAGGTGGAGTTGCAGGTAGTTTTTTTCACCTTAGTTCCCCTGTACCAAGAGCCATGTGCAGGTTTTTTATAAAAGTAAAGCTTATACATAAAAAAAGATCCAGTGCCTCAATGGGCCATTTTATCTAAAGAAAAAACCTGGTAATGCAAGCTGACTAAATCCTATGCCTGGGACTATAAACTACAGTATCTATATCACTAAAAGACTATTTTTAGTGAGCTAAATATAAGCCTTAAAAATACATATCCTTAAATCATATTTCATATATTTTAAGTCAGAACTTTGCCACCCATTCATGGAATAAAAAGTTTTAGCACTGGAAATTACAAGTAAATATCTGCTCTTGTATCTGAATTTTTGTATCCCTCCCCATAGAAAATAGAAAATTATTAAATAAAATTATAATGATGGCTTGCATCTGATATAGCAGATAAAAGAGAAGTTTTATGAAAATGGACTCCTTATATTCCACTAAAAGGTATATTTAATGACCTCTATCAACTATCCTTTGACATCATGTTGGGCTTAGGAGAGAGGAAAAGTCCTGAATGAGATCATAAAGTAGAAGAAATAAAATATTTTGCAAAATTTCTACTTTGTCCTATACTGTTTTTCTTCGTGAATTTTAGGTGATTAAAAGATGTTTTTCAAAGAATCTGAGCATTCCATATCTACTTCAAACTGCTTATTATATCCCAAACTCAATTCATTTATTACTTTCTTTCTTCACTAATTATTCTGTCTGTATTTCTTTGTTAGAAAGTAGTCCCATCAGCAGGGTGTGGTGGCTCACGCCCATATTCCCAGCACTCTGGTAGGCCAAGGCAGGAGGATCGCTTGAGCTCAGGAGTTTGAGACCACTCTGGGCAACATGGTGAAACCCTGTTTCTACCAAAAATACAAAAATTAGCCAGTCGTGGTGGCATGCACCTGTGGTTCCAGCTACTCGGAACGCTGAGGCGGGAGGATTGCTTGAACCCAGGAGATCAAGGCTGCAGTGAGCCAAGATCAGGCCACTGCACTTCAGCCTGGGTGACAAAGTGAGGCCCTGACTCAAAAGAAAAAAAAAAAAAGTAGACCCATCTATCCAGGCACTAAAATCTCAAACCTTGGAGTCACCACCAATTCCTTTCTACTGTAACCATTCATATCCAAACAATACTAAGTGCTGTCAATTTTATTTCCAAGATACTGCTCAAATACATCCCTTTCATCTCCCATCTACCATAAGTAATGGCCTCTTATTGGTCTTTCTGCCTCCAATCTAATTCCCCTCACATTCACCCTCCACACTACTGCAAAAGGGCTGTGTACTAGTTCTGACCATGCCATAAGCCTGCATAACATGCTTCTATGGCTCATTAGAACCTACAGGACAGGGGAAAGAAATCTAACCAATGTATCCTGGTATTCAAGACCCATCAGGTTTGTTTCTTTTCCTAAGTATAGAACCTCAATCCTCAACGCTCTCTGGTACACTATATGCTTCATGAACTTACTTGTCCCTTACTTTATTTCTACTACCTAACACGATGCCTAACCTTAGCAGGCATTCAGTAAATATTTGTCAAATAAATATAATGTTCTGATGATAGCCAACAATTTATAGTTTCCCATACAGTCTTGTCTACCCTCACCATATGACCCATATCCTCCATCTCATATGCAGAATGGATTCTATTTTAATTTTTATTTTTATTTTAAGTTCCGGGGCACATGTGCAGGATGTGCAGGTTTATTACACAGGTAAACATGTGCCATGGTGGTTTGCTGCACCTATCAATCCATCACCTAGGTATTAAGCCCAGCATGCATTAGCTATTTTTCCTAATGCTCTCCCTCCCCTCACCCCACCCTCCAACAGGCCCCATTGTGTGTTGCCTCCCTCCCTGTGTCCATGTGTTCTCATTGTTCAGCCCCCACTTATAAGTGAGAACATGTGGTGTTTGGTTTTCTGTTCCTGCATTAGTTTGCTGAGGATAATGGCTTCCAGCTCCATCCATGTCCCTGCAAAGGACATAATCTTGTTCCTTTTTATGGCTGCATAGTATTCCATTATTTTTTAACCTTCAAACACAGTTTAGGTATTATCTCTTCTGGGCAGAATATTATTTACAAATCATTTATATTTATGATACATTTAGATATCATTTCTTTCACAGTTGTCCCCCACTTCCTTCTCCCTATCACTTCCATGAGAAAATTAATCAGTTCTTCCTCCACACTACTTCCTACTTCAGGATCTCTATTATTGCAGTTTGAAGTTTAGGTTCATAAATCTGTTTCTCTTTTAAACTCCTTGAGAGTAGTCAGTGGTCTTTCACTTCTGTAAAATAAAGGCTCAATAAATGTTTTAGTATCACTGAACAAATGGCACTTCCTGTTTTCCTTCATCTTTGTGCGTAGTGTCCTAGTTCCCAGGGACTAGGGTATCCTGTATTGCTGTCTAGGCAGTGCAGTATACAGGAAAGAGTCCAAACTGGGTTCAAATCCTGACTCTATCACCTAACCAGCTGATATATTTTAAGCAATTTAGTTACTCTCTAAGATCCTCAGCTTCCTGTGGATCTCTATAGATCCTGTTTCCTCACTCGTATAATGTAGATCATAACATGTACTTCATTAAGTTTTGGAAGAGTTAAATGAGAGAACGTTTTTGAAAGCATCTAGCAGCATGCTCAGTGAGTTTTACTTCCCTTATGGAGATTGAAAAGTAAGACGAAGTTTAAAAGAGAGAAAGAGAATGTATGTGTGGCTGTGGTGCATGCATGCATGCGTGTGAGTGTTGGAGGGTTTAATTAATTTATTTTTGCACAGGGAAAGAATGAGGTGATTGCCTAACAGACAACTCAACTAAGATTACTTTTTCCATTTCAACAATTATGTTTTAGCAACTGTCAGAGAAATCATTATATTTGACAAAAAAGAAATTTCAAATTTTGTGACCAACTATTTCAATGAATCATATAGAGTGATGTAACTTTGTGTATGCATGAAGAAAATACACTAATAAAATGAGTATTTGACAAAACAAACTGCTGGTCAACTCCAATGTGAATAGCACAATAGAAATTATAAAACATTTATTGCAATTCAACTAAAACTGCCAATATTGCTTACTCTCATTCAAAAATAAATCTGTTCTAGGGCTTATAACTAATTGTGCATTGTGACCCTGAGAATTATCTATGACATTACAGGTCTTGAATTCCTAGCAATAACCTTGTGACTGATATAATTTATCACCTGAATTTGTAGTAAATTCCTTTTTTCCTAGGTTCTTATTCTTATAGAATGCTAGCAACATTTTATATTCCATAATTAAAATATTATTTGCTTTTAGGTTATTCTATATAGGAATTTTACAGCCTCCCAATTATGCTTCTTTGTAATCCTCCTATTAATTAAATGTTGTTTTGCAAGGGAGATTTAACATGTTATATAATAGTCTTTAATTTCCTCAGATAACAGAAGGGCTCAGGAAATAAACAGCCATACATCTTTCCCTACCAAAAAAAAAAGGGAGACATCAACTCAAAAATGTACTTTAGCCAAATGATGTATGAATCAAATATCCTTAAGGATAGTTAAATTAACATTAAAAGTTGTGGTGGTAGTCACTGAATGCAGTAAATGTTGTATGATTTAATGAAAAAGATAAAAATAATCCTTAAAAGGGAGAACGTATAATACAAAATCATATAGAATGTCAACTATTCGACAATAGTCATGTGGATCTACAGGACCCACTCTAGCTAACAAAGGCAAGGCAGAGAAAAAGACAAGAATCCTAAGTTTCTCCTGTAGAAAAGAGTCAAATGCTACTGCATTTTTTACTTTTTCAATTTAATACTTAGGTAAGGCTCAATGATGTTTTTAGATACTTTTTCAAGGTCATAGAACCTAAAATAAACCCTATGAAAGAAAAAAGTGAATAAAACATGGAAGGTCAGGCACAGTGGCTCACGCCTGTAATCTCAGCACTTTGGCAGTTGCGGCAGGAGGATCACTTAAGGCCAGGAGTGCAAGACCAGTCTGGGCAACATAGTGCCATCTCTTCTGCACATAATTTTTTTAAAAAAGTAACCAGATGTGGTAGGCATGCCTATAGTCCCAGGTATTTAATACTTGGGAGACTGTGGTGGGAGGATCACTTGAGCCCAGGAGTTCGAGGCCACAGGGAGCCGTGATCACACCACTGCATCCCTGCCTGGGCAACAGAGACCTTGTCTCAAAACAAAACAAAACAAAAAAACCCACAGAAACCACATGGCAAAAGATTGAAAACCAAGGTGGAAAAAATCACAAAAAGAACATAAAACTATAGTACAAAGAGTGTCATCAAATATGTCCATAACATAAAATATAAATGACTTAAATGTGCCTATTAAAAATAATGTCTCATATAAAGTTACAATACAAAAAAATGGCCTAGAAGGATTTTTTTAAAGCAAAGAGGAAAACAAATTGCTCGCACATGCATGTGCACACATGCACAAGGACAAAGGTGGCAATAAAATAAGTACCTTTCAAAAGAGAGCTCACCCATGTTCTTCCTCAGTCAGATTCCCACCAGTTCCCATCAAAATGATAAGTATAAAAATAGGGGAAAACCTACATCAGCATTGGAAACTAAAAGAATAAACCCACTTTGAAAAACTGCTGCTATCGTGCAGAGAGGCTATATTGAAGAAAAGGCCAACTCCTAACTCATCTCATGCACAAATATTGTTACTGCAAGTTAGTGAGATTCAGGAGATTCCCAGTGGGATTCTAAATAGGATGAAAGGCCAGAGGGCAGGTAGGCCATGAGGTATGGAGCTTAAAACTCACAGGGTCTATCTGGATCCAACAGGAGACACTAATAAGCACTTCTGACGTTGGAAGCCATATGAAACAAGGGTTCTGTGGCAATGCTCATGCCTAGATTTCAAAGGATTTGGGAAGCACTGCCATGCTGCCTCTTGAAAAAGACAGCTAACCTAAGAAATACTGGGGGCACTGCCTGGAATTCCTGGATAGCACTCCAATCAGAAAAAAGAAACTTCAACCCCAGAACACTATCTCCTTACTAGAGCTGCCTTCGAATGATGCTGCTTCCTTCCCCTCTACCTGGAGGCCACAGGAGAGCTCTGAAAGTAAACCTACAGAAAACTGAAACTTTTCTGTTCTCCTCTTTTGTCACACTGAAAGATTAAAACAAACACACACCAACCCAGCCAGAAGGCCTCTCATTCCCCAAAATGGGCATGCCCATGCTGCATTTATTCCTCACTCTATTTAACAAACAGAAGCTGGGGAGAAAGTGAGAAACAAGATGCCATGGTCCCTGCCACCATGAAGCTTACGTCTTAGTGAAGCAAAAGACATTATGAACAAGTGCAGTAAGGATGACATAGAAGCAGAGTGGGGAAGATCCTATACAACAGAGGGATGTACTGTAGCTTGTGGGGCATGAGAAAGCCTTCCTGGAGGAAGTAACATTTAAACTAAGAATAAAGGCTAAGACTGTTGCCCAGATTAAGAATAAGGAAAGAAGTATTCCAGACACGGGAAAAGATGAGCAGTAGCCCTGAGGTAAGAGTGTAGCTTATTGAAGACTGGGAAAGAAGAGCAGTGTGGTGGAGGTGTCAGTGAGGAGCAGGGGAGAAAATGATAAGGCTGACAGGTGCAAACCTTAGAAGCCAGTATAAGAATTTGGAACTTCGTCCCAAAAAGAAAGGGAAGTAAGTGAAGGAGAACATAATCAAATCTGCAAACTAAAAAGAGAAACATGACTAAAAGGTGGAAAATGGATGGGAGCGGTGTAAGAACAAAGGTGGTGAGACACTTTAGGAAGCCATTGCAGAAATCTAGGCAAAGAAATGACACAGGACATGAGATCAATAAAAAAAATTTAAGAGGACTTCAATTCTGGCTCAAGTAACTGGGCAAATAGCAGTACCATTTATTAAGCTAGGTAACAAGGTGGGGAGGCTTAAGTTCAGGCAAAAAAAGTTCAGCTTGTGATGTGTTTATGGTATCTAAGACACAGCCATTTAAATGGAGATAATATAGAGGCAAATGAATACATGGAATTCTGCTTTTACTTTTTACTTTTCTCATTTAGTACACGTTCTTAGACAATCTTATTTATTCCATGGCTTTAGTTCTGTCTGTATATTGAAGTTTCTTTTTTCTGATTGGAATGCCATCCAGGATTTCCAGGCAATGCCCCCAGTATTTCTCAGGTTGGCTGTCTTTTTCAAGAGGCAGCATGGCAGTGCTTCCCAAATCCTTTAAAATCTAGAAGAGCACCACACTACTCTTCTTTCCCAATCTTCAATGAGCTACACTCTTACCTCAGGGCTGCTGCTCATCTTTTCCTCTTTCTGCTCAGGATTGAGAACTGGGCTGAGCGGTAGATGTGGACAGTTGATTATATACAGACAGAACTAAAGCCATGGAATAAATAAGATTGTCTAAGAAAGTGTACTAAATGAGAAAAGTAAATATCAGAGCCCTGAGAACTTCAACATTCAGAAGTGAGTTGAAGGAGAAAGAACTAGCAAAGAAGATCAAGAAGGAGCAGAGGCCAAAAAAAGGAGAGGTCAAGGAAAGTGTTGTCCCAGAATGATGATGATGATGATGATGACGATGACAATGACAACGCTAGTTAACTTACTGGGAATTAACTCTGAGAATTACTGTGCTAAGTAATTCACATATATCCTCCCATTTCATGATTACAATAACCTATGTGGTAGATACAATATTATCTCCATTCTATAAGTGACAAAACTGAGGCACAGATAACTAATTTGCCTAAAATCATGTGTCTAACAATAACAGAAACCAAGAGAAAAGACAATTTCTAGAAGGAATGGGTGGTCAGTGTATCAAACGCTCTGAAGTCAGGAAGACAGGGACCAAATTGAGCTCACTGGGCTCAATGATATGAACACCATTAGTGGCTTCAACCAAAACTGTTTCAGTGGAATAGTATAGATGATTCTTCTCTTTTCCTTAGACTTTATATCCAATCAGCAAGGTCTCAGTTCTGCCACCACCACTGTGGTCCAAACCATTATCAATTCCTATCTGAACCACTGAAGTAGGCCTAAATGGTTTACTGCCTCCACTCTTGGCCCCTACAATCCGTTCAACACAAAGCAGCTGGAGTTATTATTTTAAAATGCAGATCAGATCTTGCCACTGCCTACCTAAAATCCTCTAATGGCTTCCATCACACAGAACACTATCTAAACTCCTCATAATGATCTAAAAGCCCCATATAATCTGGTCTTCTTCTTTGCCCTAAACTCTAACCATGCTCTCTCTTGCTCCTACCACAAAATAGTCTACTTACTCTTTCTACAACATGCCATGCTGGTTCCAAACTGAGAACGAAAGACCCTGAGAATGAGGTCCTGTGTTTCTCTGGTCCATACTGTAACCTCAGATTAGATAAGTTAGTGCCTGACATGTAACAGGGCTCAATACATATTTTTGGAAGGATGGCAGATAAACAGAAACAGCAAGGATGTAAGCAACTTGTAAAATAGATTGATCGTTGGGTGGGGGCAGGTTTGAGCAGGCTTTTTTTTTTTTTAAGATGAGAGATATTTAAACATGTTTAAATAAGGGATATTAGGAAATTACCCAAGAGCTTGGAAAAACTTTAAGACATCAAAAAAGCCACAGAAGCTGGCTGTGGAAACCAAGAGAAAAGACCTGTAATCCCAGCACTTTGGGGGGCCGAGGTGGGCAGATCACCTGAGGTCAGGAGTTCAAGACCACCCTGCCCAACATGGAGAAACCCCATCTCTTCTAAAAATACAAAGATTACCCAGACATGGTGGCAGGCGCCTGTAATCACAGCTACTCAGGAGGCTGAGGTAGGAGAATCACTTGAACCTGGGAGGCAAAGATTGCAGTGAGCCGAGATCGTGCCACTGCACTCCAGCCTGGGTGACAAGAGTGAGACTCCATCGCAAAAAGAAAAAAAAAAGAAAGCCACAGAATACAGGAAAAAAGATAATTAGCTAGCTACCTTAGGAAAAAATTAAAGCTGTAAAAGAAAGTTGTGTTACAAAGTTGTGGTACATCTCTGCCAATGTTTCTTCTGTAATTTGAGGGGTTTGGGTAAAATCAGTAGTTTCCAATCACTATCAAAAACTTTATTTCCCCTCATGAACTCCCTTGGTTATTTCATACTGAAAAGGAGTTCTGATTAGCAATTATATATGTCTGATTTTAAAATATTCATTACTTAACAGATGCAACTTACTTGAAAAAGTCAAAGCTCAGGAAGATTAAGTGATTCATCTAAGGTCATATCAATATTTTTCAAAAGAGGAGGGCATTGTCCAAATATGAAGAAACTAGTCCGAACACACAAAGGAAATCAAGGGAATCAATTCCAAACCACAGACCAAAAGTAAAAAACTGAAATATTTTAGAAGGATAACAAATAAGGCATACTTTTCCCCCCAGTTAGGAAAAAGAAAAGCAATAGTGAATCCCAGAGAATTTTTAAAAGACCTGTAGAACAAAATCATGGAAAATTACATTGTGTCATGGCTTTGAGCAACCGGTGTCGTACAGTAGAACCCATTTGAACATCACACTAGGGCCATTCTCTTTTGAATGTCATAGAAATGTTTAAATATCTTAAAAAGTTAAATGGGAAAAGGCATAATTAAAAGAAAAGACTACATAGGAGTCAAAGTAGTGGAATGATTACAAACACAGACTCTGGAGTCAGACTGCCAGATTAAATCACAGTCATACAAATTACTGAACACTCTTGCCTCAGTCCTTAATCTTAATATATGATTTATCATGATGATATTGTACTTCCTTGATAAAACTGTAATAAATAAATATTTAGAATAGTGCCTGACACATAGCACATATCTGTAAGTGGTTGGTATTATTATCACTATTATCATCACTATTATTATTAAATATATAGATAATGAAGCTTGAAAGTAATAGGAGAAAATACAGATTTGACTCCATAGGAAAACACAAGAATCCTAATGGATAAATGTCCAAGGAGCATAAATAAATTAAAAAGTAGAAAAACATATGGATAATAAATGCTAAGTTTTAGAAAGATGAGTTATATACACCAATATAGATAACATAAACATAATTTTGTGGGGGATAAAGAAAACATGGTACACATACATCATGGAATACTACATAGCTATAAAAAATGTGATCATGGCCTTTGAAGCAACATGAATGGAACTGGAGACCATAATCCTAAACAAATTAATGCAGGAAAAGAAAACCAGATGCCACATGTTCTAAGTGGGAGCTAAACATCTAGTACACATGGATATAAAGAAAGGAACAATCGACACTGGGGCCTATTTGAGGGTGGAAGATGGGTGAGGATTGAAAAATTACCTATACCATACTGATTACCTGGGTGACAAAATTATCTGTACACCAAACTCCCATGACATGTACTTTACCCATGTAACAAACCTGCACATGTATCCCTTGCACCTAAAATACAATTTAAAAAGATAAAAAATGCAGGTCACAGAGGATACACAGCAGATGATAACTTTTATTTATTTATTTATTTTTAGATAGAATCTCACTCTGTCACCCAGGCTGGAGTGCAATGGCACAATCTTGGCTCACTGCAACCTCTGCCTCCCGGTTCAAGCAATTCTCCTGCCTCAGCCACCTGAGTAGCTGGGACTACAGGCACGTGCCACCATGCCGGCTAACTTTTGTATTTTTAGTAGAGACAGGGTTTTGCCTTGTTAGCCAGGCTAGCCTCGAACTCCTGACCTCAGGTGATCCGCCCACCTCAGCCTCCCAAAGTGCTGGGAATACAGGCGTGAGCCACCACGCCCGGCCAATAACATTTATATAATGTTCTAACATATGCAAAACTGAACAATATGATATAGAGACATACATCTATGATAAAACTATAAAGAAAGCAAGGTTTATCAGTTATTTGTGTTCAATGATAATCACAAAATATAGGACTATGGGTACTTCTGAGTACAGGAAATGTGTGTCTCACAGGCATCTTTCACATTTCATTTCTGAAGCTGGATGAGGGTACCCAGATTTTTTTAAAATATTCTTTATACCTTATATAGACACTATATATTCTTTTTTGTGTATAAAATATTCTCTCATAAAAAGGACAAATCTTATAAGTGAATTTTACAGGCAAGAGAAGATACTTTTTAAAATCATCAAATTAGCCAAGTTTTTTTCTTTAAAACTCACAGTGAAGTTTTTTTTAAAAATAAGACCAGATTAACCAACCTTAAGAGTTAAATATATTTAATAGGGTAATCAGAGGCAAATTCCAATGGTAATATATCCTGCTAAATGAGGACTTTTCTCATCTGAAATCTATTGTCAAGCATAAATAAGCAATTCCCAGCTGTACATTTAGAAAGACATAATTTCTAGTCCTTAATACCATTACTTCAGATGGGATATTTAATATGATGCTTCTGATACATTGTAATCTATTCTTTAAATACTAAATCTTTAAAAGGGTTATGTAACTTTGCCAGTAGCTCAAATTACTGGGCACACTAGGCTACGAAGTTCAAACATAAGATCTTAGATGCAGTGTAACACTTATAGTGAATCGCACAAGATAGTCAACTTGAACAAAATATTTTTTAAAAAGACATAATTTTGCATACTGTATTAACTATATTTTTCCATTAAAAATTACAGAAAGTTGGAGACTTTAAAATAATCCTTAAATTACAGAATCTTTTTTTTTTTTTTTTGCGGGGGGGACGGGGTCTCGCTCTCTTGCCAGGCTGGAGTGCTGTGGCATGATCTTGGCTCACTGGAACCTCCGCCTCCCGGGTTCAAGTGATTCTCCTGCCTCAGCCTCCTGAGTAGCTGGGACTACAGGCACACACCACCACGCCCAGCTAATTTTGGTATTTTTAGTAGAGATGGGGTTTCACCATGCTGGTCAGGATGGTCTCAATCTCTTGACCTCGTGATCCGCCCGACTCAGCCTCCCAAAGTGCTGAGATTACAGGCAAGAGCCACCATGCCCAGCCTACAGAATCTTAAAGCAACACCAGGTATTACCCAGTCCAATTCATTCATTTTGCAGATATGAAAACTGAGGCACAAGAAGCTTAAACGACTCAGGCAAAAACAAGACTAGAAAAACCTAGTTTTCCAATTCACTGTCAAATGTTCTTTTCATAATACTACACTGACTCCCCTGCAACACAAACACATACACAAGGATGCAAATATGTAAATGAGCCTATAATTTTTCAAGTGGCTCTGCACGCAGGTAAACATGCTCTGCCCTCAACCCTCCTCTTCCTGGCCCCCTAAGGCGATCTGACTAGAAGGCATATTCACACCCCACAAAATCAGAAACAAGGGGGACTACAGTGCACTTTTTCCTTTTTGCTCTCAATTACTGTGAGACCAGAGTTGCAAAACAACTTGTGGCTTTTCACCCATTTCCCTATCTAATCTGGACTGTTACAGGAAGATATGACCTTACCTTTCCTTAGCTACACACCACTAATCTAAGATAAAATAAGTATTCACCTATAATAGGCCCTATAGTTCTCTCTCAACCCCAACCAAACTCAGGTTCTCTGACAATCAAACACAATAAAAACAAAAGAAATGTACTGGGCGTGGAGGCTCATGCCTATAATCCCAGCACTTTGAGAGGCCAAGGTGGGAGGACTGCTTAAGTCCAGGAGTTCAAGACCTACCTGGGAAACATAGGGAGACCCTATCTCTACATAAATTTTTTTTAAAAAATTAGCCATGCATGATGACACAAGCCTGTAGTCCTAGCTACTCAGGAGGCTGAGGTGGGAGGATCACTTGAGCCCAGGAGGTCAAGGCTACAGTGTGCAGTGTGCTATGATCCTGCCATGGCACTCCAGCCTGGGCGGCAGCCAAAAAAAAAAAAAAAAGAGAAATGAAAGAACAAACATAAAATTTAGGGCTATCTAATTTATACAAAGACTGTCCTGAGTTGTTTTTCGGTTTTTGGTTTTGCTTTTTTTTTTTTTTTTTTTTTTTTTGAGAAAGGGTCTCGCTCTGTCACCCAGAATGGAGTACAGTGGTGCAATCATAGCTCACTGTAGCCTCGAACTCCTGGGCTCAAGCGATTCTCCCACCTCAGCCTCCAGAGGAGGTGGGACCACAGGTGCATGCCAGCACACCTTGCTAATTTCTTTTTTTAATTTTTAGTAGAGGCTAGGTCTTCCTATGTTGCTCAGGCTGGTCTCGACCTCCTGGCCTCAAGTGATCCTCCTTCCTTGCCTCCCAAAGTGGTGGGATTACAGGCATGAACTACTGTGCCTTGCCTGAGTGTTTTTTTTTTTTTAATAGATTCTACCATGTAGCACAGGCTTATTTTCAATAATGCCTTAAGTCTTACATATGTACTGAAAGATGTTTTTGTCTTTAAATAAAATAAGTGACCCAAGAAACCATAAGGATTTGTTATGTAATTTATAGTAACAGAAGACATGTCACGGCTATAACAGAGACCTGTAGGTGTATACTCACATGCAAATCAACTAAATTTCACTTTAAAATAGCACTGTAGTCCCAACAACAATGCTCATATACCTAAAAATATAATTTTTAAAAAGTATTTATTTATTGTATCTGACTTCTAATCCATGAGACTATTTAAAAGTCCAGTCTTAGTATAAAGTACATTGTCTGGCATAACATATATAAATTTTATTGTAAGAGGATTCTGAGAAGGTGTTTCCCTGTCATTCCAAAATTTCCGCTATGGCTCAAATTTTCAAATAGAAGTTTTCCCCCATACCCCACATTCTAAAGTAAGAGGACAATGAGATACTCAAAGTTGAGACCAGAACTTCCTGAGAGTATCCATAAAGCAAGAAATCAAGTGTCCATAGACTCTATAAGTCATAATTTCCACATGTATACTTTCCAAATATATGAGAATTTTTTTTACATTTACAAGAACTTATTTCAAAGTTTTATAGTAGCTTTTGCTGTTACGTATTTTCTCAGTCAACAGATACTAAAAACATAGTTACTACTACATGAAAGGGTCTCCATTATTTTTAAAGAGTTGGAAATTACTCAATACTATATACTGTATGTAAATGTGTCACTTTAGACAAATGTTATGAATAATATACTATTTTTATAAACCTAGAATCAGGATATACCATTCGCCTGGGAACTAGACCCTAAGAAAACACTTCCTGGTTTTTTGGGGATTTTTGTTTGTTTTCTGAGATAGGGTCTCACTCTATTGCCCAGTCTGGAGTGCAGTGGCACGATCTTGGCTCACTGCAACCTCTGCTTCCTGGGCTCAAGCAATCCTCTCACCTCAGCCTCCTGAGTAGCCAGGACTACAAGCATGCAACACAATGCCCAGCTAATTTTTGTAGTTTTTGTAGAGATGGGTCTCACTACGCCGCCCAGGCTGGACTCAAGTGATCCACCCGCCTCAGCCTCCCAAAGTGCTGGGATTACGGGTATGAGCCACCAAACCCAGCCGAAAACACCTCCTATACCAGCATTCTTTCTCTGTTTCACCTATATTCATCTCCACATTTTATAAACCTCTTTAATCGTGTAAATAAAGCCCTCTCATAAAATACATTCCCTCAACTTTCCTTTAGGAAACCAAGTATCAATAAATAGCCCTGAGGTTTCCACATCAGCACAGCTGGGTAACCCAATCACAGCAATGCCCAGTAACAATGCTGCTCCAGGCTACCACGGCCAAGTGTCAGAGATCAGGGTATAGTGACCGGAGTGGCCAACTCAAGTAAGTGTACAGGAACCTTGCAGTCAACACTTGAAGAGATAAGGCAAGCAAGGAATTCTGTAAAAATGAGGGAAGTATGTGATTTATCATTATTTTTCATTTTACATTAGGAAGTTATCAATAATTATTTTATGGATAAGAACCTGACCATGGCCACAAAAAGTAACCATAAAGGACCCCAAAAAAGTATAAAGAGTACTCCATCTGGTGGAAATCATATCTTCTTCACATTCTGTCCAGTCTTGGGGAAGAAGAGTGAGGAACGAGGAGGAGTGTGAGACACAATGTGTGTTCAAATTGGTGATGATGAAGACATTTAGGAGTCAGTCCTTTATCTGAAGAAAGATAAGAAGCCACTGAGGGAGGGTTAAGCAGGAAAGAGGGGAAATGATTTTGTAGTTTAGAAAGGTCATTCTGGATGCAGTATCCTTTGTCCAACACTTCCCATGTATTATCTCTCAAGTTAGTAAATGTGATGTCCCCTCAACAAGGAAAGCTCGTGAACAGAATGCCATATACCGACTCGGCATCTTTTAAAGTCAGATCAAATTCTCTCTTCTCTATGATGCTTTTCCTGTACCCTTCCTTTTACTCCAGCTAACAAATGCTCTCTTTTTCTCTTTATTTTTAACTCTCCTTACTCATACATGTTTTATTTCCAGCCTTGATCTCTCCCTCCAAGTTCCAGTTTCACACTTCGGATTCTACTACACATCTCCACAGGAATATCCTACCAGCACCTCAAAAGCAAGAGATCTAGAACAAAACTTATTTTTACCTCCACCCACAAACCTGCTGAGATCACATTCTCTCCATCACCCAGGCTTAACATCTCATGTCACCTTTTATTCATCCCTTTCTTTCCCAATATCCAATTGCTTATTTCTGTCCAATGTACTTTAGCAACACTTCTACTGCGGTGCCGCTATTCTCGTTAGGTCTTCATTCCTTAAGAGAAACTCTCAAAACACTTCTTTATTGGTCCTATGACTTATTTCCCAATTTAATTAATTATCTAAACTATTGGATTATATAACCTATAATTCACCTCTGATTATGACATTTCAAGGATCAAAAATGTCAGTCTCATAACTTACTAACCCAATCCAAGTTCCCTAACAGCATTAAAAGCCTTCCACTTAATTTTCCATATTTGTACTTTATTGTCCCACTATTCCACTTTATACATGCTCATTTTCTTCTACACCTGTCCTCTCTATCTGATCTGGTAAATTCTGGGTGCTCAACAAAAGCTGATTTCCTTCTGTATGAGTTGCTGTCCTCTCCTTCCCCCTGCCATCTCAGTTACAGGAAAGCATCCTATCATTTGTATATTCCCTCTTCATACAGGAAATTAGTGTTCATGGAAAAGCATGTAAAATCTAGGAAACAGACAAGTATTAAGAAAGAAAAGCAGAGTGATTGAACTCCAATTTCAAAAGAAGACAGCAGCAAGCAGGATACCATAAAAGCATCAGAGTATCTGAAAAAGTCAGAATTGTTATACCTGGAACAATGGATGCTCAGAGCCTATCAGAATTCTTCTAGCTGAGTGCAGTGGCTCATGCCTGTAATCCTAGCACTTTGGGAAGCCAAGGCTGGCAGATCACTTGAGGTCAGGAGTTTAAGACCAGCCTGGCCAACATGGTGAAACCCCATCTCTACAAAAAAATACTACAATTAGCTGGGCATGGTGGCAGGTGCCTGTAGGCCCAGCTACTCAGAAGGCTGGAGTGGGAGAATCACCTGATTCTAGGGAGTTCGAGGCTGCAGTGAGCCATGAGTGTGCCACTGCACTCCAGTCTGGGTGACAGAGTGAGATCCTATCTCAAAAAAAAAAAAAAATTCTAGGTGATTCACTGACATATGGAATTTATAGTTTAGTGAAGTTGAATATATATGGACTTAACTACAACACAAGACAATATAGTAAAACTTGTACTCCAACCATGGTCCAAAACACCTTAGAAGCACAAGGAAATTACAAATTCTGTGGTATGAAGAAAATGTCACAAACTACCATCTGACAGAGGCCTTAAAGACTTCAACCTGTTGTGATAGAGAAGAGGTCCAGGCAGTAGGAACAGCCTAAAGGAAAGGTAGAGACAGAAAATGTTAGATATGTGTGAGAAATAGGAAAACAACTGATAAATTCTCAGTCCCTAAGCTATTACTGTTTCAAATATCTCTACCACTTATAGTTTTAATGAACTTATCCTAAAGAGCCACTGGAGGTCAGCATTTTATTCAGTGAATTCCTGAAAATATGCAGATGATTATTTGCAGAGTGAATTAGTTGTTATCAGAGAAAATGTTCACAATTCATTTTAAGGACTATAACCTCATAACATAAAATGGAAAAATGCAAAATCAAACCATCTACATGGCTGTACTACGTACATCAGATACTCTAGAATTAGAAGAGACTTTAGGGAAAATCTAGGTCAACCATGTGACCTAAACTGTGTCTATCAGGTTCTACCTCCCAGGAATTTAGGATCAAGGCTCAATAATATAGTCCCTCCTTATGAAGGGACACATAAATACTCAGGAGCTGCTGAGCAGCCACATCTAACCATGAAGAGAAAAAAAAAAAAAAAAACACCAGCAAAGAAAAAACAGTGAAGCAAACTAGAGACAGGGAATGTTCTAGATTTTTCCAGTCCCTTATCTCAGGCCCTAAATGAGGTCTGCCTGCATTTGACTTCCAATGGTTTTCCAACAAATTCCTTTCTTCCTTTTTGCTAAAACTAGTTCATTTCTGTTACTGCAATAGAAGCTTAAATGAGGCAATAACCAAAATCTTTCATAAAGTCAATTGTTCGATGCGTTTGTTTGATCTTTTCTATACTTTCCTTTTTTGTACTTCCCTTAAAGCCATAAACATGACTTCAGCATACTATACAGACAAATATATGAACATGGATGAGGGACTGTGCTGAGCAATTTTTTTTTTTTTTTGAGACAGAGTTTTGCTCTTGTCGCCCAGGCTGGAGTGCAGTGGCATGATCTTGGCTCACTGCAACATCCGCTTCCCTGGTTCAAGTTATTCTCCTGCCTCAGCCTCCTGAGTAGTTGGGATTACAGGTGCCCACCACCATGCCCGGCTAATTTTTGTATTTTTCATAGAGACAGGGTTTCACCGTGTTGGCCAGGCTGGTCTCAAACTCCTGACCTCAGGTGATCTGCCTGCCTCGGCCTCCTAAAGTGCTGGGATTACAGGCGTGAGCCACCACACCCAGCCTGTGCTGAGCATTTTAAAAGGAAAACCCATCATGGGCAGGAAAGAGAAAATACAGAATATTCAAAGTAAATCCTTGAGATACAGCAAGAAGAAATGCTAACTAACAACTGGCAAATTAAATAGCTGATTACCCTTCCATCCAAATCCAGTTTAATTCTGCTAAATCAGATAGGTAGATCCAATTCAATCTTCTCTGAGGTAAGATCAAAAGGTGATAACCCATTATAGGCTATTTCATCTGGAATGCTCACAGATAACTAGCCTTCCCAACCACAGAAATGTTTGGATGCTCTCTGGCGGTATCCCTAACCCAGACCTAAATAACAAAACTGAATATCAAACTGTCTTAAGGCCTGGGCTTAACTATCCCCAAAAACCAGTTAGGCATTTACCCTATGACATAATCAGCACTTTCTGCTATTAGATGAGGAAGAAAAAGTGATAGAAGCTTAACACGGAATCTGTCCAGGTATGTATGTATCTTTGTGCATGTTCCAGGTATTAACACAATCCTGAGACAGATCCGGACTCTCCAACACTGGACCACACCCATCACATCTGGCTAAGGTAGGCCAGTTTGACATGTATAGCAAGTCACAGGCTGACAATCAGAAGTTTGAACCACATGTAGTAGGTGGCTCTGAAGAGTTACATAAACAAAAACAACATTATAGGATCTTGGAGTTAGAAGAGACATGGAAACTGTCCAACTTAATAATTTTACCGAGAAGCTAAACATGGGAATCAAATTCATCAACCAAATCCATAACTATGATAAATTAATTATACAGGTGCAGATAAATTAGAGGGATTGTGACCAGATTATGACAGAACCAAAAATGCAGTGGTGTGATCACGGCTTACCACAGCCTCGATCTCCCTGGCCCAAGCAATCCTCCCACTTTGGCTTCCCAAGTAGCTGAGACCACAGGAGTGAGCCACTATGCCCAGCTAATTTTTTTTTAATTTTTGTAGAGACAGGGTATCCCTATGTTGACCAGGCCGGTCTCGAACTCCTGGGTTCAAGCAATCCTCCCACACTGGCCTCCCAAAGTGTTGCATTACAGGCATGAGCCACCACACGTGGCCTTAAAATCTATTTTTAATTATTAAATGGCATATGTATTAGAAAAACTGATGAACCTTACTGTTGGGATAGTCTTTGGATATTCTTTTGAGTTGAGCAAAATAGCAAGGATTTCTGACTTAATGGATTAACATCTTAGTTAAAATATTAGAACAAGCACTTTTAAAAACAAAAAGCAGTGTGTTGATTCAAAATCTAAATTACATTGTATGCTGCAACCTTGCCATACAAGCAGTTTAAGCACTGTGACAAAATTCTAGATAAGTAGCAAAGAGCTACTTATCTTAATATAAAAATTTCCAGATATTCATATAGGGCCCTAATAAAAGTCATCAGAAATTAGACTGATATATCAGCTGGGACCGGAATTAAAAGAATATATGTTTAAATGGTCCAAATATAAACTTGATGTTCAAAATTACTGGCAAGGGGCCAGTACAGTGGATTCTGGTCTTCGAAGGCCGTTTCACCACAAGTATTAGGTAAGTCAACACATCACTGAGGAAAAAGAAAGCATACATATGTTTCCTGGCAATAAAATCCACTCTTCACTATCCAGCACAGTATTTTTTAGAAATCCATTGAAAAATGTGAAATTAGAACCTGTTGTATTTCCCAAGAAGTGCTATTAAAGTTACTTCCAAAATATGAATCTATAAAAAACAGGGTTTTTTTGAAAAACAATACTATGCAGAAAGAAACATGAAACTGATATCACTGCTCAAGTTACTATTTACAAATTGCAAATTGAATAAAGTTAAATATTGTAAATATCTGCCATTAATCTGAACTGACAATTTTATAAGTTATATGAACCCTGAAGTTTTTTTATAGACAAAATTGTTTTTGAAAATCGATCTTGCCACCAGCGCTGCAAATGAAAATATGAAGAGATAAACCAGAGAGTACTGAATATAATCTATGCTTCATAGAGTCATGTTTCAACTAATTTATGAGTCCTAGTTTGCCATATCTTATTTGACAATTTAGTCTATTGGTAGAAAAAACAAAAGCAAACTAAAATCTCCTAAGAAATCTCAGCTCTAAGGAATTATAATTTATATTCTTCCATTCCCGATAAAATTAAGAAGCAAGAAGCTTTGACGACTACTCATCACAAACGTAAAAGTCCATGCAATTTCACATTTACCTTTATCCCTACCTTTGTACTTTAAAATAACTGCTTTTTAAAATAATAATCTGATATTAAATTCCCCCCAACAGTTCCCACATGATTCAAGAAGATTATCTTATAAAGTCTTACTGTAACGACTTCATAACTGCCACTTCCGATAGCTATTAGCCCTAAACCAAATAAGGCAGGAACAGCACTTTTCATTCATATAGTTTGACTCGAAATAGCCCAGTGTAAAACTTCAAAAATAGACTTGGATGCCTTTTTCTGCTTAAAAACAAAGCAAAACTGATACCTGGCAAACTCGGGGTTCTGTTCGATTTTGGCCTGTGAAATGCCAGGCGGGCCCGCTGGAGTCTGGCCCAGCAGCGGGGCAGCAGCGCAGGGAGGGCGGGCGGCGGGTGCGCTCCCGGGTGCGCCCCTCCCTGCCGCCTGCCCGCCGCCCCGCACCCCCGTCCTCTCCGAGGCGCGCGGCGAAAAGCGCAGGCCTGGCGGGCCGGTTCCCACGCCTCGGGCCCGTTATCTGAGCGGCAACCCCGGCAGGGTCGACGCACAGAGCAGAGGGCTCCGGGATGGACCCCTCCCCTGCCTCCCGCGGGCTGCCCCGCCAGATCCCTCTCTCCTGGGCCCGCGCGGGGCGAGAGGCTCCCGCGGGTTCAGGTTCGCTCCCGGGACAGGATAAGGTGTCAGTGAGGCTGCCAGACGCCTCCCTTCGGCGGGTGGGGGGAAACCAGCCCTGACCTCCTTCCGTTCGGCCCCTCACCGCTGGCGCGGGGCGCAACCCTTCTGCTCCCCTTCTCGGCTGAGGCAGGGGCTGTCCCCGCAGGTGGCCGAGGGGGCGCAGCAGGCGCAGAATGGAATCCCGGCTCGGGGTCACACCCTAACGTGGCAGGGTCGGGGTGGGAGGGGTGAGGCGAGGAGGAGAGGGGAGGGGAGCCCGAACTTACCGGACTGCGCACTTCCCAGAGCCGCGGCCAGGCAGAGGCAGAGGCAGAGGGAGAGGCAGAGCGAGAGGGGGCGCGGGAGGGTCCGCCGCGGGCTCATGGAAAGGCCAGGCAGCCGCCGCCGGTGTCCGAACCTCGCTCCCTCCCTCCCCGGCTCCGGGCGACGGACGGGGCGGCGGGAGGCATGACGGGAAATTCCTGGGCACGGGCAGCCGAGTCCAAATATGAGCATAGGAGACGAGCGAGGGAGGACCACGGAGCGCGCCGGCCGCGGACGGGGCCCGCTGCCCGGGGCTCGGCGGCCGCCAACTCCCTCCTCCTCTGCCCTGTCCTCTTCCTCCTCCTCCTCCTCCTCTGCACCGTCCTCCTCCTCCTCCTTCTCTGCCCTGCCCTCCTGCTCCTCTCCTCCCCCTCGTCCTCCTCTGCCCCAGGGCTGCCGGCCGCCTTCTGCCTGGGGGCATCCCTTTCCAACTCGGGACCCCAGAACACAGCCAAGCGCCCACCTGGCGTGTTCCACCTGAGACCGCTGAAGGAGTGGGAAACGGACAAACCAACACGAAGAGACCGGACAGCGAGCCAGGGACCTGTGGGAAGACGTGTCAGGGGTTGTTGAGAGCGTTGGTGGTGAGGGGATAAAAAGTTGTGGGAGAGTGAGGCAGGAGCAGGGCTGCCAGTTAGTTACTTGGCCATCCTATACATACAGAACGAGCACTCACTGTAATACGGAGAACCAGCCGCCTGCGTTCCAGGTGAGCGGGCCCTCTCTAGCAGAGGAGGGTGAGTGTGTGTGTGTTCTTGGCCAAAATTGCAAAGGTGCTCGTCCCAAACTTATATTTGAACACCATATATGGAGCCCAGGCAGGCTGGCTGAACAGTAGTTTTTCACAACAAAATGCTTAAGTTTACACCGGTCTTTCTCTCCACCTCCAATCTCTATTCATGTCCACCCCCCAACCCCCTCCACACACTTGTTTTGTATGTACCGTAGCTTGTCTAAAATGAAATGGTGTAATTCATTCAGAAGGTGCCACCTCTGATGAACAAAATGTCAGTCCTAGATGTTTAATTACAGGCCCAAGCCTGTAGTTGCCTAATTTTCCTTGGCACTGATAACTCCTTGGGTAATCAAGTCCAAATGACCCTTAGCTTTTCAAGACAACATAATTATGTCTTAATTACTATAATATATTTTTTCCCTCAAACTAATGGGACAGGACCTGGATATGTAGGGTATTAAGTAGTTACTTACGAACATTTTAAGATGCTAGATGATACAGAAATGATTTATTGATCCAAAATACTTAAGGGGTAAATGTCAAACAGATTTAGAGTGTGGATTATTTCAACGTGAACTAAAGTGATGGTAATTTGTACATCACACTATTTGTTTGAAAATGCTGTATTTGAAAATCAAGAACGTTGTTTCAAATCAAACTCAGTTCTGGCAAACTATTAAAACACATACACCAAAAAACAGTCCATTGCAAGTGGCTCCCCTCAAAACATCTGGTACTGAAAAACACCACATCCTGTGAATTACATATAGCAAATGGGCAAATGTCACCCTTAATGCATTGGCAATTATAATGGGACTAAGGGTAGATGACCCAGATAAAGTAATGGTGAATAAATTGTAATGCAATGAATAAAGGATTTAAATGACACATAACATGACTATTTAATTAGGTACCTAGAACCTAGGTAGTTGGAAATACTGAAGAAGCTCTTCAGTATTCCCTCCGTTTCCTCTTTTTTTATAGCCTTGTGTTACATAAGTGTCTGTTTTTCTACTTCCCCCACAACACTTTGCAAAGTTCTTTGCCCATAGTCCAAATGTTTGTTTAAAAACAAAAATAAAATGGGCACAGCCATTTGTAGAAAGGAATTTAGAAGCTCCCTAAGTGTAAAGCATGTTTCAAAGGATTGCAATAATTATGCCTATATTTAAAATATTTTAGTGAAGAACCTTACATACAAAAATATAGAATTATAAAAAATGCAATATCATTACAACCCAATTCATGTTAGTAAAAATAGAGAGTTCATTGTATCAACATAGCTGACATCACTGTCAGCAATGCCAACCACTATTCTAAAGGCTTGAATAAATATGCTAAGAGTGGCAGAAAAGAACTAAAGTTACTAAGTGCATGATAAGTGCCAGACACTGTGCTAGATGTTTTTTATAACTGATATCTCATTTAATTCTTACAAATATCTCTGAGATTATTTTTATCCCTATTTTACAGCTAAGGAGACTGAGGCATAGGTAAGTAATATGCTACCAGGAAGAAGTGAAGTAGTATTAGAATTAAATCCTCATTCTAAAGTGCATATATACTTTTACCATACTAATCTGTCTTATTTTCTCTACATTAAAAAAAAGTGGCATTCAAAAACTGTATTCATTGGGCGCTTTTGGTTTTAAGTAACTGGTATGCACTCAGGTTACCTCAAGTAACCAAGGTAAAGAATACATGTGGAAATAAGACCAGAGGCTTACCTGGCTTGTCAGATCATCCTTTGTAGGCATGGTGGGCGGGGCCTGTGCCTTTGAAAGCTAGGGGAATGGGAAAGGTACTACCCCCTTGACCACATTCCTATAAGTTTTGTAGTTTAACCATTGATATTTTAATCATGTATTTTACAATGCTTTTTAAATGTCTTCTTTATTATAGCCTTAATAACAATCATGTTACCATATTCCATTCAACATTGATTTTAAGGGTAAAGACCCAGAGGAGGTAGCTGCTTCTGCCTGCTTCCTACACCATCCCTCCCCCAACCCAGTGGTGTGCTGGTAAACATTTAACAACCAGATCTGGATGAAAGGGCTAGGGGCCCTGATCTACAGTATTAACCAATTCACATGGTACAAATACTCCCACCAACCAGATGTCTCTGAAGGCAGGGTTGGGAAGGGATCCACACAACCAGTTTTTGGGGCCGTAGAGCCAGCTCTGGCATACCACAGCTGCAACTCATGAAATGTCTTCAGAACACACAATAATTCAAGTTGTGTAACCACAGCTCTTTGTCTCTCTGCCTGTATTTCCACTTCTGTTCCCACAACCAGGTGCCAACTCTCTCCATATATCTCATAACCAAATGCCCCAGGGGGGAGAATCTGATTCTATCACCATTCTTATATTGAGTCTGTCTCACAAGCCACTGGCCGCCCCCGATCCAGGTGCTAGTTCTTCAGTTGTGGCTAAGATGGGAAGGTCACATGCCAACAGAACATGGCCACCCATCCTAAATAAACAGACTGTGTTGCTGTCTTTTTATAGGGCTGTGCTTGGGGCAGCCTCTTTCAAAAAGAATAGGTAAACATGAAAGGCATCTAAGCTGTAACCTGCCCAAGGTGCTATTCTCAGCTCTTTAATAAAATCTCCTCAGACACTGCACAAAGCCTTGGGACAGCCCCCACTTCACATATACCAAGAAACATCTTAGGTGGATGCCAACAACTGCAAAACAAGTGCCACTGTTCTAAACCAATTAATACTCAATTGGAGAGTGAGAGTAATACCTCTTAGGGGGATGTAATTCTTCAAACTACACTCAATACAAACTCCCCAAATTCTGCTTTCCTATAGTGGGAAGTGGGCGGTCAATACTCTCACCTCTGAGAACACTGCCTTACACTGATAGAAGCATACCTCTTGCCTCAATGTGCTACAGTGGGAATAGGGTTGAGAACTGTCCTCAACAATGTCGGGGGCACACCGTGAATACTGACTGGCTAAGGGAGACATCTGAATTTTTCTCTCAGATTCTGAAAAATGATCTCCATTGCCATGACATCATCCAGCCCCCAGTCACCAAGTGTGTTAAAATAATAAGCACTCACTACCAGGAAATCAGGTGGGATTCCTAAGCAGAGAGAGAAGACCAAATTAAAGTAACCATTGTCCTTCTTTTCACAGTAAAGTTATTTGCCTGCATCTCCGATGATGGTATTTTCTGTTTGACACAGTCGAAGCTATCCCTTTTGTTGATTAATTCTGGAGGAAGTTGAAGCCTATACTCCCGTGATTGACATGCTGCCTGACTCTGCCAGATTTTGCTTTGGATATGCTGCAGTAAGTAATAAATATTTAACAAGATTTTCCATATTATGGAGAATTAAGTAATTGTCTCTAGACCAGCAAAGCTGTGTGGCTTTTGGCAAGGTTTTATAACGTAAAGTGGAATAGGCAAAAATCAACTACACACACACAGAACAGGGCAAGGAGAAGAATTAACTTTTTAAGTGGTACAGAAGCATTCTGATAGGAGACTTGATTCTGCTCTTTATTCACTCAGTCTCTGTTCCAAAGTGCTTCTTGTATTGCCAGCATCTCACCTTATGGGTATGTATGTCCAATTCTAAAAGTGTATATTTTTCAAACAACTTGGCCTTAACTGCAGATCAGTTCTTTTATCTGTTGTTCAGCCAAAATGGCTACAATCTGGTCCAGTGGTAGAGGAAACTCTAGCTGTGTTAGGTTTCCGGGAAAATGGCATGTTGTTCTCCAAAATGGTGCCTCAAGGGATTTTCACCCTGCAAGCTGCTGTTATAGCCCAATGGCCACATAAGAGTCAGGACCACTCAGGAGTCAGGGACTTGGGCTTTGGTATCAGACACATCTATCCAAGAGTGGCTTCTACCATGAAAACTTTGGGACAGTGGGCAAGTAACTTCTCTAAAGCCTTGATACTTGTGTCTATAAAATGGAAAAGTGAAAGTACCTACCACACATGGTGCTTAGCACTTAACTCCATGCAAGCATATGGTACGTCCTTAATACATATCAATATGGTACTAATACTAATTTTTATTATTGCCTCCCAACTTTCAATCACTGCAAAGTCATTCTTTGCCTTTAAAGCCTTATCTGATATGATTTTCTCTGTCTTAAATGACTCATGACTCAGTTTCTCTTCACAGCTCAGAGTCCTACATTTGTATTCATAATTACCTCTTAAGGAAATCTGTTCAGATTTAGTAATCTCTTCAACACATTTTTCTTCAAAATTACTTTTTATATTTATACCTAAAGTTACTAACAGTAATTATTTTTATAATTTTAAAAATTTTTTAACTCACTCAAAGCAATAATGTTAGAAGACTACACACACATTTAATGATTATTCAAACTATTTTGTGAAAACCACTTTTAGAATTGCCATCAAAATATATGATGCAATTTTAAAAATATCTTCAACAAGGGAAATCATCTTTGCAGTCATTCATTCATTCACTCAAATATCTACCAAATGTTTGCTATGTGCTAGATAGACAATAAACAAGATAAATCAGTAAAATATTTAGTAAGTTAAAGAGTAGTAACTACTGATAAGATAAATAAGGCAGAAAACATTGCTAAAAGTGTTGGGGAAGTGAGAGTAATGACGTGAAAGAAGAAAGCAAGCCATTCAAATACCTGGGAGAGGAGGGAACAGCAAGCAAAAGGCTGCGCCCAAGGTGAAAGCATGCCTGCTCCATAGGAGGCCCATCCTGGAGGCCAGGTTAGGGAGTAGATGGTAAAAAGGGCAGTGAGGAGATGGGGAGAACATTAGGAGCTGTGGCCTGGGAGGCAATCTTACAGGATCTTATGGGTCATTATAAAGACTTGGGCTTTTATGGGAGATGGGAGGCTATCATAGCGTTTTCAGTGGAGCAGTGACATTACTTGACTCACATTTTAAGAATAACTCTGGCTATTCTGATAAGGCATGTACAGACTTTGTTAGGAGGTCTTGAAATAACCCAGGTGAGACAGGAGGTGATTGGAGTAGAGAATACGCAGTGGCGGTGGTGGAAAGTGATTAAATTGCAGATATATTTGGAAGGAGAGGCCCACTGGATTTGCTGACAGACCAAATGTGGAATGTGAAAGAAGAAGGAAAACTTAAAAGTTTACATTAAAATGCTTAAAATGTGGTATATAAGTACACACTGACTGGAAGTCACTTTGGAAAGCAATAGGAGTCATCATAATTTATTGGGTGGAAGAGAACTTAATGAAAGTAGCTTCTAGCCAGGTGTGGTGGCTCATGCCTATAATCCCAGCACCCTGAGAGGCCAAGGAACGAGGATCACTTGAGTAGTTTGAGAACAGCCTGGTCAACACAGGGAGACCCCATCTGTATAAAAAAATAATTTTTTTTAATTAGCCAGATGTGGTGTAGTGTCTGAAGTCCCAGCTACTAGGGAGGCTAAAGTGGGAGGACCACTTGAGCTTGGGATGTCAAGGCTGCTGTGAGCCATGATTGCACCACTGAACTCCAGCCCAGGCGACAGAAAGACTGTCAAAAGAAAAAAAAGAAAGAAAAAAGGAAGAAAGAGAGAGAAAGAAAGAGAGAGAGAGAAGGAAGGAAGGAAGAGAAAGAAAGAGAGAGAGAGAGAAAGAAAGAGAGAGAGAAAGAGAGAGAAAGAAAGAAAGAAAGAAAGAAAGAAAGAAAGAAAGAAAGAAAGAAAGAAAAAGAAAAAGAAAGAAAGAGAAAGAAAGAGGGAGGGAGGGAGGGAGGAAGGAAGGAGAGAGAAAGAGAAAGAGAAAAGGAAAGAAAACAGTTCTAAAAAATGGGCGGTGGAGAAGATTGGAAGAAGAGTAGTGTTGGGAAGCTCACCCAGGCAAGTATTGCAGATACCCAGACTTGAGATGATGAGGACCCCTAGACTAAATGGTAGCAGTGAGACTCAAGATGAACAAGGAGATATGGTAGGAAAAAAGTTGCCGGATAAAATGCAGAGTACCCAGATACATTTGAATTTTAGATAAAAATCAAAAACATTTTTTAGTATAAGTATATCCTAAGTATTGCATGGGGCAAACTTACACTAAAACATTATTCATGGTTTACCAGAAATTCAAGTTTAACTGGGCATTCCACATTTTTATTCGCTAAACCTGGCAGCCCTAGAGAGAAACTGGTAAACTCACTCACACCCCATAAGTCCCCATATTTCAGTCAGAGGCAAATTCTGAAACAAACAAAAAACTTGTGTAATGTGACCAGTGTGAAATGGAGAGAAATTCATTGTTAGTCCAGCTCTCTTGAAAATCTTGAAGAGATCAGTAAAGATGTCAGTTTTCTTTACAGATCTATTTATTTTCCAGCCAGGGCATGAGCTTTATTAGTATCGTGGATACATTCTGTTCTCAATACAGGTTTGATACTATGCTGTATAATCTTTATGAATGTGTATAAGTGTGTGCATGTGCATGTTTAATGTATGGGTTGGTTAGCAAAGGAACCCTAGGGTCAGAGTTCCTGCTGGAGGGAATATTGAATAGGAAACATGGATTGGAGGACCCACAGTCAGTTCACCAATCATCCCCCGACCTACACACATGAGCGCGTGCACACACAGACACACACACACACACACACACACACACACACACACACACACAGAGAGAGGCAGGGATATTTTTCCCAGTGTGGTCCTCGCAGCCCAAACCTGTGGCCTTACTTGATTGGACAGTGTATGGTATGGGTGGGAAGGAAGAAGGGCTCAGACTATAAGGCTCCTTTCAGTGGAGGAGTAGGGACAGTTGAAAGATTCAAAGAAGGGGATCCATTTGGAGTAATAACTTGAATCTACAGCAGGTCAAGCAGAAGCATTCAGGAAGGTGACTCTCTGTCTGAAACCATAAGACCCTTGGGTGATACAAGGGGAAATTCGAAGTAGAGCTGCAAAACTTTAACCCTTGTCTCTCCTACTTTGTAATTCTGTTCTGGAATCACCTTACCAGGCCCTGGTGTCTAATTTTGTGGAGACTGAAAGGTCAAAGCAGCAAGAAGAAGAGGTATGGTTTCCACCCACTTGCAGATACAGGGAAAGACTGTTATTCACAATTGATGATTGACAGTACCCAAGAACAGCCCACAGTAAAGCTAGAGGCCACAAAAGGCCTGCAGTCCACATCCCTGAGGAGTATTATTTCTTTTTTTTCCTGTTTTTCTTTCTTTCTTTCTTTTTCTTTTTCTTTTTCTTTTTTTTTTTTTTTTTTGAGGCAGGGTCTGGCTCTGTTACCCAGGCTGGAGTGCAGTGGCATGATCACGGCTCACAGCAACCTCCATCTCCCGGACTCAAGGGATCCTCCCACCTCAGCCTTCCAAGTAGCTGGGACCTCAGGCCCATGCCACCATGCCTGGCAAAATTTTTTTTTTTTTAGATGGAGTTTTACCATGTTGCCCAGGCTGGTCTCAAACTTCTGGGCTCAAGCGATCCTCCTGCTTCGGCCTCCCAAAGTGCTGGGATTACACCAAGTGTGAGCCACTGTCCCTGGCCTGTTGAGGGTATTTTGGACTAGACAAGTGGAAGAGAAAGTAAGGCCAACCTTCATGGCCAGCTTGTGGCCTAACGAAAGCTGCTCCTGAGCAAAAGTGAGCCATGCTCACTTTTGGATATGTGGATAGTAGAGATATAGGGAAAAACTTGGCAGGACTTGGATACTGACTGAAATCTCAATAGTAATAAAGAGATTTGCAAAGGAAGTGAGAGTCTGCCTCCTTTCGTGACTCCTCAAAGGGTAAAGAATACTTAATACATGCTGTTGACTGACACTTTATAGTGGTGGGGGGAATGAGTAAAGTGTAATTTATATGTTTCAACTCTCGTAGGGAAAACAAATAGACCAAATAAACCATCAACCACTTATTTTTTCATGGTAACATAAAATGAAATAAAAATAAGAGTTCCTCGTAGAAACCATTTATACTCTGTTCCCAGTGATAACAGTTACAAGAACAAGTAAAATTTGCTCATGTTAATGAAAATATGTAACTGTATCACAACCAAAGCTCTGAAAAATTCAAAACATTTAGTGGAAAGAGACCCGGAAGAGACATTTACTACAGTATCTGAAGTAAAAGCAAGGCTTTAAAGCAATCAAACCATCTTCCAAATGAATCAAATGGGAGTCAGCAAATTTCATGTTACTTCATATCAATAAGGAAAAATATATTGGAAACTCCATATATTAAGTAAGCATCGATATTAGCAACATGAATGAAATAGCTCTAAACTGTTTCCAACTTTGCCTCTAAAATTCCTTTGGCCTGATGGCATAACATATTATTTCCTGTTCTTCTACTCTGTGGGAAGTAACACACCCATTTCAATCTTTGTCACTCTTTTTCCTATATCAACATTCATGGGAAGAATTATTTGGAGCTGCTCTGATGATCCTCTCTAGGTTGATACCTCAAATCATATCCAGAAACTGTATGGCAGTGGGTCTCAAACTTAAAAATCAGAATTACTTTGATAGTTCGTTAATATCCTGGGGTCTTTCCCAGACACAGCAATTCAGCAAGTCTGGTGAATGGTTCAGGAATCTGCATATCTAACAAATACTCAAGGTAATTCTAAGACAGGTTGTCCACAGATCATTCTTTGAAACACTCTGGTTTAGAGTAACTGGAATAATTTTCATGTCTGCTTCCCAGTGGGGATGAGGGCATAAGTTTTAATCTCTCTTTTCTGTAATGCCCATAACAGGGGTAAGAAAGATTAATAGGAAAATACGTGAGTGTATATATGACACAGCTTTCATGACCTTTCCGAAATACATGGCTTATTCATAATCCAACTAATCAGAAAAATCAAATAACTAGAATTTTCAGTTTTATCCTACAATAAGTGAGGTTCATTATGAAATGAGGCACTGTAAGTTTCTGAATTGTTTACTAACTCATCAAAGATTAAATTAAGCTGCTTATAGTTTTAGTGCTGTGAAGTTTTTGAAATTATCTTTTAATTCAGTTATAACTCTTAGGTAACTGTAATATTAAATTTACCAGGACACATTTTTAATAATTATTCCAGGTAAATAGGAATTCACTGTACCAATCTAATACTAGAATATATTTTATTATACCAAAATATAGTTATAGTACAAACTTTTTCTGAACACAATGAAAATAGTATGGCTTCTCTAAACATTTTAATTACACAGAGAATATTTCTTCAACCAATATCTATATATGAAAAGGTTCTGTTTTACAGCTAAGTTGTGTTTTAAATACATTGTGCTGTCCTTGGGGAACACCAAGAAAAGCAATTTTGATTTTTCCATGTTATTAAAGCAGAGTAGAACACGAAAATGATAAATTTTTATACAATTAGAGTTTTAGATATAATAAATGTAAATAAATGTTATTAAAGCAGAGTAGAACACGAAAATGATAAATTTTTATACAATTAGAGTTTTATTTAGATATAATAAATGTAATTTTTGAAAATGTGCTTTTATTTCAATGTTATGTATTAAAATGTGGCTAATATTAAATGAAACAATGTAGAATTCATAATAATAAATAAATAACAGAGTAAGTGGCCAATGAACAAGGCTCATGGCTAGTTCTTTGAGTCTGCAAACGGGATTCAACAACCCACATGGCGGCTTATACAAATAATCGCTCTTGCTGTCTACTTCTCTCTTGTTTATATTGCTCCCTATTATTTTCTAGGGATGTCCGCCGTACAACCGAGCCATATTGTTACAAGATGTAATCACATGAATTAATTTTTAAGACTCCTATGGTTAAACAAAGATTATACTAGCTTATATGTTTAGAGGGACGTTAAGAAACATTTTAATAACACAGGACTGATTGTAGACAGTCAGTTTCAAGATTTAATGTCTTCTATTGGAATGCACAAACTGGTCCATTGCAGTCAGATTGACATCTCTGTAATGAGTGACACTACCCTAGTTCCAGTGATAATAATTCTTCAACACTGCCATACGTGGTATCGGATCTCAATGTTACTCACATTGAGAAAAAAGTTACATTTTGATTTTTGCCTTTTTGAAGCAGAAGCACCGAGCATAAAAGAAAGACATTATGAACACAATAGTTGAGGAAAACAATAAGATGAATCATTTAGCAAAGATGAAAGGCAAGGTATACTATTTCAAAGCAAATGAAAAGGATACAGTAGTTTCAAAAGAGCAAAAACAGTTAATGAAAAGCAACAAGTTTCAGAAATAAAGGAAAACATCAAAACTTCTGGGCATTCAAAACTGCACTCAAAAGGGATATACCAGAAAATTCACCATTAATGTGATGTTTGCTGTGGGTTTTTGGTAAATATCTTTTATCAGATTTAGGAAGTTCCCTTCTACTACCAGTTTGCTAAGAATTACTTTTTACAAAAAGATGTACGAATGTTGAATTTTATCAGATGCTTTTACTATATCTATTTGAGATGATCATATTATTTATTTCATTTGTTAATGTGACAAATTATACTGTTTCTTTTTTTCTTTTTCTTTTTTTTTTTTTTTTTTTTTGAGATGGAGTCTTGCTCTGTCACCCAGGTTGCATGATCTCAGCTCACTGCAACCTTCACCTCTTGGTTTCAAGAGATTCTCTTGCCTCAGCCTCCCGAGTAGCTGGGATTACAGGCACTCACCACCACACCTAGCTAATTTTTTTGTATTTTTAGTAGAGATGGGGTTTCACCATGTTGGCCAGGCTGGCCTCGAACTCCTGACCTCAGGTGATCCGTCTGCCTTGGCTTCCCAAAGTGCTAGGATTACAAGTGTGAGCCACTGCGCCCAGCCTGATTTTCTAATGTCAAACTGCATTCCTGGAATAAATCCAACTTGGCCATGATGTGTAATTCTCACTCTATGTTGCTGAATTTGGTTTGCTGACCAATTTGGTTTGTTTGGGATTTTTGCTATTTTCTCTATTCAGTGAGATTGGCCTGTGAATTTTCCCTTTTTGTCTTGTATTTGCATCAAGATTATGCTAGTCAGGAGTGCACTCCTTTTTTCTATTTGCTGGAATAGGGAATATGTCATTTCAAAAGGAAGCACTGAAGAGATAATACATTTTCACAAGTCTTATGTGTGAGCATCATTAAGGGGGATCACAATGAAGAACAGCAAAGAGATGTTAAAAATAAGTCATATTATCAAGTTGTTGCTCTCACAGACCAGTTAAGAAATAGTAACAGTGATATTACATGGCAGTCATTTTACATTATTTCATTGAGTTCTCTTGATAACACAATTATTACTGTTTTAAAAATGAAGAAACAAGCTATTTAAATAACTTGCCTAAGTCCACACTACCATCAGTATGTGTCAAAGCTGAAATCTAAGCATGGTTCTGATTCCAGAGACAATGCTCGTAACCACTTATCCCTATTTTCCCTTCCCCGCCTGCCACCCTGTCTCTCAATGGAAGGATTGGGTGTGTTTCAGAAGTCCTTTCCTATACCTGCTAACAATAACAACTCATGCCAGGCAAAATAAACATAGCCCTTTTCCAAAGTGCTGAAGTTATAAAAATTCTCATTGTCTGAGATTTATTGCCAAAGGTTGGCAGTAATTCGAAATATATTAGCACAGGAGATTAAATTTTATAAACAGAATGAAGACAATTATGAGAATCTCAATTAAGGTAAACATTTAAATATGTGTAATAAATATTCATGGTGAATTTTGTAAAATAGGTATGTAATCCAACAGACTGGTCTCCATTGCTAAATTTTTGAGCATTTCCTTCCAATTGTGTGTAGAGAATACACTCAAATTATTTTAAACATACAATTTTTCACCTTTTAACAACTAATATAGAAATAATACATTTCAGAATCAATGATATCTTAAAATTGTTGTCAAAATTACAAATAAGAAAATTGCTGCCTACCTGCATTAAGGTTCATTTCTGCCAGGGGGATGGATGTTTTCTTCTTCCTGGAGGGAACTACGAACTGTGAGCACTTTATTTTTTTTTTTAAGTTTTTTTTATTTTTTTTACAGCAGGAGTGAAAGTTTATTAAAAAGCTTTAGAACAGTAAGGAAATGATAGAAATGAAGGAAGGGACGTACATTTGGAAGAAGGCCAAGCAGGCAACTTGAGATACCAAGTACACAGCTTGACCTCTTGACTTGGGGTTTTAAATGTTGGCATACTTCCAGAATCTTGTGTTACTTCTCCTCACTCCTGAGATCTTGGTGGGAAGCTGCTGATCAGTTTCAGGTGTTTTGCTTTTTGCTTTTTTTTTTTTTTTTTTTTTTGAGACGGAGTCTCATTTTGTTTTCCAGGCTGGAGTGCAGTGGTACTATCTCAGCTCACTGCAACCTCCACCTCCCGGATTCAAGTGATTCTCCTGCCTCAGCCTCCCAAGTAGCTGAGATTAAAGATGTGTGCCATCATGCCCAGCTAATTTTTTATTTCTTAGTGGAGATGGGGTTTCACCATATTGGCCAGGCTGGTCTCAAACTCCTGACCTCAGGTGATCCGCCCACCTTGGCTTCTCAAAGTGCTGGGATTATAGGCGTGAGCCACCGCGCCTAGCCTCAGGTGTTTTCTATCTATTGCGCCTGGCCTCAGGTGTTTTCTATTAGAAAACTGCCTTTCTCTGGCAGTCATTACTTATTACTTTAGCAATTATTCCTTTGAGAAATAGTTAACAACCACCTGACCATCATCTAATGGTCACCCAACACTCCTGGTGTATGTGGCGGGGAGAACCCTCTCCTGTCCTGCTCATACCTACTAACTACCTACTGAAACCATCTTTCCTGATGCCTCAGAAGTTTTCAACACCATTGAACACTATTTCCCTCTGAAAACGTTTCTTTATCCTTCTACCTCATTAGCTCCTTCAACTTAGTCTCATTTGCTGGCTCCTGCTCCTTCCTCCATCTTGAAATGTTGAAATACCCAATACTCTCTTCTGCCTTGTCTGCGCTCATTTCATTGGTTCATCTCATCCAGTTATGTGGCTTTAAGTTCCATCTGTATACAGTGATTCCCAAGTGTATAACTCTATCCTTGTCTCATCCCTTGAGCAACGACTTTCTGCTCTACATCTCCTCTTGGATGTCTAACAGATATCTCAAACTTAATATACCCAAAACCTACTCTTTTTTTTTTTTTTTTTTTTTTTGAGACAAGTTCTCTCTCTGTCACCCAGGCTGGAGTGCAGTGGATGGTGCAACCACAGCTTGCTCCTGTGAGCACTTTAAATTTTCTTTTTGCTTAAGCTTTTTAGATGATGCTGGTAGTAGGAGTTGAAACCACAATCTGAACAAGGACTGATTGGTTTCTTTACAGTTCCCTTCTAGAGACAGGTCTACTTCTCATTACCCTGACCCTAACTTTATGCTAGGGTCTTCTATTACAATCTATACCTTGAATGTCATTTTTTTTGTTGTTTTCTTTCTTAAGGTCCAGAGAAAATACTGGTGCCTCTTACAATTGACAGTGTCTTATATGAAATATATTTGAGGCTAGGTGCAGTGGCTTACACCTGAAATCTCAATGCTTTGGGAGGCTGAGGTGGGAGGGTAGCTTGAGGCCAGGAATTCAGACCATCCTAAGCAATACGGCAAGACCCTGTGTCTACAAAAAAAAATTTTAATTAGCTTGGCATGGTGGGCATGCCTGTAGTCCTAGCTACTTGGGAGGCTGTTTGAGCTCTGGAATTTGAGGCTACAGTGAGCTACGATGGAGCCACTGTACTCCAGCCTGGGTGACCAAATGAGACCTTGTCTCTATTTAAAAAAAAAAAAAAGATATATATATATATATATATATGAATGATATAATATATATGTAACTTAAGCAGTTCATAGACAGTATTTTCCACATCTTAAATAATCCTCAAAGGCACTATTTTGATGATTTTCCAGAATTCCATATGATAATCTGTTATTTACTTATTACCACATCTGTAGATTTAGTTGCTTTTAATTTTTAGTCACAATATAAATAAAGTTGTGATGAACATCATTTTCATTTATCTTCATGTTATCTCTGGTAATTTCTTCAGAATAGACTCCTAAAAATTAAAACATAAGGTCAAAGGGTATGAACGTTAAAATATTTTTGTGTTACATATTGCCAAATTGACCTTCAGAAATGCTCATCACGTTACGCAACAACCAACCGTTATGTAAAGGGCCTATTTTCCCTAAACTGAAGTCAAATTTATCCAGTTTCCTTCTCAATTGCTCATTAATTTGCCTTTATTTCTGTGGCTGAATATTTCATGTATTTATTGGCCATTTGCAGTTGTTCATTTGTGGATCATCTCCTGATGTCATTTGACTACTTTTCTGTTGAAATATTGGTCTATGTTAAAATATTTTTAAAGAATATTTTTGCAATCGGCTGGGCGCGGTAGCTCAAGCCTGTAATCCCAGCACTTTGGGAGGCCAAGGTGGGTAGATCATGAAGTCAGGAGATCGAGACCATCCTGGCTAACATGGTGAAACCCCGTCTCTACTAAAAACACAAAAAATTAGTCGGGGATGGTGGCGGGCGCCAGTAGTCCCAGCTACTTGGAAGGCTGAGGCAGAAGAACAGCGTGAACCCGGGAGGCGGAGCTTGCAGTGAGCCGAGATTGTGCCACTGCACTTCAGCCTGGGCCACGGAACGAGACTCCGTCTCAAAAAAATAATAAAATAAAATTTCAATCATTATTCAGCATTAGGTAAAAATATTGTTGACAAACCTGACAAAAACAAGCAATGGAGAAAGGATTCTCTATTTAATAAATGGTGCTGGGGAAACTGGCTAGCCATATGCGGAAAATTGAAACTGGATCTCTTCCTTATGCCTTATACAAAAATTAAGTAAAGATGGATTAAAGACTTAAATGTAAAACCCAAAACTATAAAAACCCTAGAAGAAAATCTAGGCAATGTCATTCAGGACACAGGCAAGAGCAAAGATTTCATGATGAAAATGTCAAAAGCAATTGCAACAAAAGCGAAAATTGACAAGTGGGATCTAATTAAACTAAGAGCTTCTGAACAGCAAAAGAAACTATTGTCAGCATGAACAGACAACCTGCAGAATGGGAGACAACTTTTAGTACAACCAAACATGTAACATTTTTCTTTATCATTTCTTGATCTCTGTGCTTAGACCTATATCAAATGTTTTCCTCTAATTTTTCTTTTGCTTATTTTATGACTATTTCTCAAGTCTTTATTCCTCCTGGAACTTATCTGGGTATATGTAGAGGAGTATTAACAAGTAAAATTTGCAGAAGTTTGATACTAATATACATATCATATTAATGATATAAAGTCTAATATGAAAATAGAATTGAAGTGATTTAGAGTCAGAAAAAAATCTAATCCGCTTCCTCATTCATTCTCTGCTGAAATCTGTGATACTCTTCCCTAAACCAAATGACTGTGTTTGCCTAGTGATATTATTCATGTTCTCCTTGTTCCCAGCTAATTGATTAGAACAGTGCTTCCCCACCTTGTTTCAAACTTTAATGGCACTCAAAGAAAAGCATAGTAATTGGCTGGGCGCGGTGGCTCAAGCCTGTAATCCCAGCACTTTGGGAGGCCGAGGCGGGTGGATCACGAGGTCAGGAGATCGAGACCATCCTGGCTAACACGGTGAAACCTCGTCTCTACTGAAAATACAAAAAATTAGCCGGGCGCGGTGGCGGGCGCCTGTAGTCCCAGCTACTCAGGAGGCTGAGGCAAGAGAATGGCGTGAACCCGGGAAGCGGAGTTTGCAGTGAGCCAAGATAGCGCCACTGCACTCCAGCCTGGGTGATAGAGCGAGACTCCGTCTCAAAAGAAAAAAAAAAAGAAAAGGATAATAATTGTACCGTGCATTGGTTCAATAAAGGAAGCTGCTTACAACCTGCTGGAGGCAACTAGGCCTTGAGCTCCACTATCCCAAGTTCTGCCACCACTCTAAAGCTAATATTTGGGCAAATCTAACGCATTCATGGCACATCAGTTGGGAAGCTGTGTTCCAGAATAGTTCTGCTACTTACATGTTCCTCTAATAGGATCCCTGTTTCACTGATATGTTACTAGGGTTCTGTTAATCAAATGCTGGTAGCGGTGTAGAAGAGCCCAATGGTGATTGTCAAACAAAATGAGAATCCTGAATAAAATAAGCATCAGGAAACCATCGTCCTTTTGTCCTTTTGTCCTGTAAGGACAGAAGCCTGGTAAGGAGAAGAGCCTGAATTTCAAGAACACAACTAAACGTTTGTTATATTATTGGGACATAGGAAATCTTTGTGAAGGATATCCTCTGTCAGTCAAGTTTGTATGAGGAAATTGAGTGACTGTCCATGTGGAAGTTTCAATTCATTAAGATCTTCTAAGTTATTACAAGCCAAAGAGCCTGTGCCTCTTCTAAGGAAACACAGTTGCCGAAGCCATAGGCCCTGGCACTAGTAACATTAGGGCTCTAACTTTCCTCTTAATTTTTTTTCACTTTTATTGAATGATTCACTTTTCTCACTAATTTTAAAAGCCACCTTTATCATATACTAAATTCTTACATACTAGAGTATCTTCATAATTCAAGTGTTTATCAACTATATAACCTCATGTGGAGGTTATATGGTTATTTGTGGAATTACAACATAAAATATTCTCTTACAAAAGTGCTCTTTAAAAAGTCAGTACCTCCTTGAATATCCTTCTCTGCTTGACAGTACCATCTATTTCTGCCCATTATGTTAATGTCTGTGTCAGTGTCTTGCAGATTGTCATTAAAAACACAATATAAGTTCAATGAAACTCCACTACAAAGCGAACTAGCAAACTTCTCAAAATTGGAGGATTTCACAAAGTCAATAAAAATGACAGAAAACTGCTCAAATCACAAGCATTACCAGAAATGTGTCAGGGTCTGTCCAGTTAGCAATTAAAAAAAAAGTTGGAAAGGATAAAAAACAATGACAAGGAAGCCAGGCGCAGTGGCTCAGGCCTGTAATCCCAGCAATTTGAGAAGCTGTGGTGGGTGGATCATTTAAGCCCAGGAGTCCGAGACAAGCCTGGGCAACATGGAGAGACCTCATCTCTAAAAAAATACAAAAACTTAGCCATGCTTGATGGCACACATTTGTGGTCCCAGCTACTTGGGAGGCTGAGGTGAGAGGATTGCTTTCGCCCGGGAGACAGAGGTTGCAGTGAGCCAAGATCACACCACTGCACTCCAGCCTGATTGACAGAGCAAGACCCTGTCTTAAAAACAAACAAACAAACAAACAACAACAAAAACGACCACAAGAAGAGCAGAAAGGAATTATATGATCAGAGACAGACCCTTTTAAAAATGAAGCCTGGGATATTTTGCAAAATGATTCTTTGATTATAGAGCAGAAATCAAACATAAAGTGAAAATTATCATTTCATGCTTTCAAATAATTTGTCAAAATGCCACCTGGCTTTTTTGCAATAATTGAAGCATATCCCACCAAAATTATTAGGAAATGGAAGGATCCAGAATAGTCAACATGATCTTGACAAAGAAAAACAAAGTTGAAGGACTCACACTTCTTGATTTAAAAACTTGCTAGAAAGCTACAGTAATCAAGACAGTGTGGTATTAGCATAAGGATGGACATATAAATCAATAAAATATAATTGAGATTCCAAAAATAAACCTTCACATTTACAATCAGTAGATTTTTGACAAGGGTGACAAGACAATTCAATTGGGTAAGGAACAGTCTTTTCAACAGATAGCTCAGTGCTGGGATATCTCATGGGATGTTGCAAATGGATACCCACATACAGAAAAATGAAGTTGGACTACTACCTCACACAACGTTAAAAAATTAACTCAAAGTGGATCAAAGTCCTAAATGTAAAAGGAAAAGCAATAGAACTTTTAGAAGAAAACATAGGTGTAAATCATTATAACCTTGTATTAGGCAATGGTTTCTTAAATACTCAAACCATAAGCAAAAACAAAAAATAAATTGGACTTTATCAAAATTTAAAACATCTGTCCTATAAAAGACATCATCAAGAGAGTAAAGAGCCCACAAATAGGAGAAAATATTTGCACATCGAAATCTGATAAGGGACTTGTGATCTGCAACATTTAAAGAACTCTTACAACACAGTAATAAAGACTATACCCCAATTAAAAATGGGCAAATGATCTGAATAGGCATTTCTCCAAAGAAGATATATAAATGCCAATATGCACATAAAAGATGCCCAACATCACAATCCAGCAGGGAAAATGCAAATCAAACCAACACTAAGATACCATTTCATACCCACTAGGATGGCTTTAAAAAAGATAATAACAATATTGAAGAGGGTGAGAAGAAACTGGAACCTTCATACACTGCTTGTGAGAATGTAAAATGGTACAGCTACTTTGGAAAACAGCCTGACAGTTCCTCAAAATGTTAATCATTGAGTTACCATATGACTTGTGGGTTGCCACAACCTTCACTTCCACTCCTACTTATACCCAAGATAAATGAAAACCTATATCTATTTGAGAACTAGTATATGAATGGTCATACCACCATTCTTCATAATAAGCAAAAAAGTGGCAATAACCCAAATGTTCATCAACTAATAACACATAAATAACATATAGTATATCTATACATATTATTCAGCTATAAAAAGCAATAAAGTACTGATACATGCTACAACATGGATGAACCCTGACAACATTACTCTAAGTGAAAGAAGTTGGCCACAAGGGACCACATATTGTATGATTACATTTATGTGAAATGTTCAGAATAGGAAAATATGAGGACACAGAAAGATTAGTTGTTGCCTAGGAATGTGAGGGTTAAGAGGATTGGGAGTGATGGTTAAGAGGTGTAAAGTTTCTTCTTGGGGTGATGATAATATTCTAAAACTGATTGTGGTGCTGTTTACACAACTCTATGAATACACTAAAAATTACTAAATTATACACTTTAAATAGATGAACTGTATGATATGTGACTTATACCTCAATAAAGTTGAGATAAATACACCTAATATATCTCATAAAAACAAATTTTTAAAATCCTATTTTTGAGTTGATTAAACCCAGCTGAACATAAAATTAGTGTACTCAAAAATGGATGTGAAGAAGTTTCTCAGCATGTAGTACAGAAAGACAAAGAGATGGAAAATATGAAGGAGGGACTAAAAAAATGGAGTGATGATGGAGTAAGGAAGTCTAATAACTAACTCCCCTTATTAACTCTGTAGAGCAGCTTGTAGGAAGGAGCAGTGCGTCCCCAGAACCATCTCTCTGTATTTCATTATCACCCTTTAATCAACCTTTGGGCCCATATGCATACTGAGGTGTTTTTTTTAAACTATCATCCAACCTTGTGATCAAAAACCAAGTGTTGCAAGAATCTTTTCCACAAATCTGTATCGAAATTTCAAGCTAATGTCCACAACTCTCTTTTTTTTTTTTTTTTAGAGACAGAGTCTTGCTCTGTCACCCAGGCTGTAGTGCAGTTGCACAATCATAGCTTACTGCACCCTCTATCTCCTGTGCTCAAGTGATCCTCCTGCCTCAGCCTCCTGAATAGCTGAGACTACAGGCAGGCACCACCATGCCTGGTTAATTTTTTTTTTTTTTTTTAAGTAGAGACAAGGTCTCACTATGTTCCCCAAGCTGGTCTTGAACTCCTGAGCTCAAGTGATCCTCCTGCCTCAGCCTCCCAAAGTGTTCAGATTATAGGCATGAGCCACTGTACCCAGCCAGTCCACAACTCTTAGGAGGAAGACTAATTTTGCATTCAGAAAGAGACTAATTTCACATACAGAAATTAGTCTTCCTCCTGAGGAAAAGAAATTAGGCTAATTTCCTTTCTTGAGTCTTTTCCCTAATACTCTGAGCCAATAAAATGAAAACCATCATTCTCAATATATTTCACCACTTGTACTCTCCTTGCATTTCTCCCTCTATAATCTTATTAATTGCTGGAATTACTCTTCTCTGAGTGTGTCTCAGTGCTCCTCTTGCTTATTACTTGCTGGTGGCTTGAGAATTGTCATCTTTCAAAGTAATTAGAATGAGAAGAAATGGCAATGAGAGGAGAGGCTGGAGGAAACCATCTTAAAAGTAATTTCCAAATTGCCATCAGGATAGTTATCCAGTTTTTAAAGTTTGTTTAAGTAAGAGATATGCTGGTAAATGTTTTCCCCCCAGTGATTTTCAATAATACAATACAGGCATACTTCATTCACAGATAATGCATTTTTTTACAGATTGAAGGTTGTGGCAACCCTGAGTCAAGCAAGTCTATTGATGCCATTTTTCCAACAGCATGCGTTTACTTCATGTCTCTGTGTCACATTTTGGTAATTTTTACAATATTTCAAACTTTTTCATTATTATTATATCTATTATGGTAATGTGTGAACAGTGATCTCTGCTGTTACTATCATAATTGTTTTGGGATGCCACAAACTGCACCCACATACATGGCAAACTTAAATGTTGTATGTGTTCTGGCTGCTCCACTGACAGCTGTTTCCCCATCTTTCTCCCTCTCCTCGGGTCTCCATATTCCTGACAAACAATAATATTAAAATTAGGCCAATTAGGCTGGGCCCGGTGGCTCATGCCTGTAATCCAGCACTTTAGGAGGCTGAGGCGGGCAGATCACTTGAGGTCAGGAGTTCAAGACCAGCTTGGCCAACATGGTGAAAACCCGTCTCTACTAAAAATGCAAACATTAGGCAGGGGTGGTGGCAGGTGCCTGTAATTCCAGCTACTCAGGAGGCTAAGGCAGGAGAATCGTTGAGCCTGGGAGGCAGAGGTTGCAGTGAGCTGAAATCGCACCATTGCACTCCAGCCTGGGTGAAAGAGTGAGGCTCCATCTCAAAAAATAGAAAAAGGCCAATTAATAACCTTACAATGGCCTCTAAACATTCAAGTGAAAGGAAGAGTTGCACATCTCTCACTTTAAATCAAAAGCTAGAAATGATTAAGCTTAGAGAGGAAGGCATGTAAAAAGCCAAGACAGGCCAAAAGCTAGGCCTCTTGAACTAAACAGATAGCCAAACTGTGAATGAAAGGAAAAAGTTCTTGAAGGAAATTAAAAATTCTTCTCCAGGAGACACATGAATGATAAGAAAGTGATACAGCCTTGTTGCTGATATGAAGAAAGTTTGAGTAATACGGATAGAGGATCAAACCTGCCACAACATTCCCTTAAACCAAAGCCTAATTCACAGCAAGGTCAAGAAAAAAATAAAGTTCAGGCTGGGTGCGGTGGTTCATGCCTGTAATCCCAGCACTTTGGGAGGCTGAGGCGGGCGGATCACCTGAGACCAGGAGTTCGATACCAGCCTGGCCAATGTGGCAAAACCCTGTCTCTATTAAAAATACAAAAAGAATTAGCCGGGCATGGGGGCAGGTGACTGTAATCCCAGCTACTCTGGAGGCTGAGGCAGGAGAATCCCTTGAACCCAGTAGGCAGAGTCTGCAGTGAGCCGAGATCACACCATTGCACTTCAGCCTGGGTGACAGAGCAAGACTCTGTCTCAAAAAAAAAAAAAAAAAAAAAAGAAAAGAAAAAAGTAAAAAGAAAGAAAAGAAGAAAACAAAGTTCAGGACCTAATAGCTTCACTGCTGAATTCTACCAAATATTTGAAGAAGTAATACTAATCCTTCTCACACTCTTCCAAAAAATTGAAGAGAAGGGGAAACCTCCAAACTCATTTTACGAGGCCAGCATTACCCTGATACCAAAGCCAGACAAGGACACTACAAGAAAAGAAAACTACAGGCCAGTATCCCTGATGAACACAGATGAAGAAATCCTCAATAAAACACTAGCAAATTGAATTCAATAGCACATTAAAAGGATCATTCATCGTGACCAAGTGGGAATTATCTCAGGGATACAAAGATAGTTCAACATACACAAAACTATACATGTGATACACTACATTAACAGAATGAAGGACAAAAAACATATGATTACCTCAACAGATGCAGAAAAAGCATGTGATAAATTCAACATCCTTTCATGATAAAAACTGTCAACAAATTAGACATGGAAGGAGTGTAACCCAACACGATAAAGGCTATATATGACAACCCACACCTACCATCATACTCAGCGCAGTAAATGTTTAACGGTGTTTAACAACTCAGGAGAAAAAGGAACCCTAGTTTGTTGAGTCTGATTCCCAAGGTGTAAATACTCCCAACATGGTCAATTGCAAAATCAAAATGACATTTGTGTTTAACAACTAGCCGGCAAAAATTTATTTAAAATTTTATAGTTATCTCTCACAAAATGGTACAAAAACCAGATCTAGCAAACCACTGGTCTGGACTCACATCTTTGAGGGAGAAGGCATTTTAGGAAGAACTGGATATCTCAAACCTGATTTCTTAGACCATCAGGACTGATTTTCTTCAAGTGATAAAGAGTGTGTGTCTACGCACACTACATATATTCTAATTTATGCTCCACATATTCTATATTAAGTCCTGCAGGCAATTCTTCCCTACTTGAATCAATAGGTTGGTTATCAGCCTTAGTTTCAGGCATTAAAACTTTTCATCTTTTTCCGATTTTCTATCGTATTTTAGAAAGATGTTGGGAGGCACTAATTGTTAGTTGCTAATCAGACACAATCTTGCCCTGCAAGTATCAAAATGATTCTTATATAATTTTTAAAAGCCCTCATAAGACTACGGATACTTCCTCTTTTTTTAATTTTTTTTTTATTTTCTAGACAGGGTATTGCTCTGTCACCCAGGCTGGAGTGCAGTGGTGTGATCATAGCTCACTGCAGCCTTGAACTTCTGAGCTCAAGCGATACTCCTGCCTTAGCCTCCTGAGTAGCTAGGACCATAGGTATGCGACACCATGCTCGCCCTATTTTTATTTTTAGAGAAAGGGTCTTGCTATGTTGCCTTGGCTGGTAGTGAACTCCTGGGCTCAAGCAGTCCTCCGGCCTCAGCCTTCCAAGTAGCTGGGATTACAGGTGTGAGCTCTTCCTCTTTAATTTATGTTATCCCATAGGTGTAGAGAGTCAGTTAGTAAATATGTTAATATGAAGAAAACAAGGTTCTATCCTTTTCCAAAATGATTGTAGACTTCTACTTTATGCCAAGATGAAGTAACAGGGACTTACCCTCTTGTCTGGAAAAAAAACTGGATAAAATATATGAAACAGTGGTTTTTAAGACACAGGACGTAAGACAAAGGACAGTGATCCTTGAGAAACAGGAAGCAGACAAGGTGAGACCGATGGTTGTCCCAGCATAGTACCTTGAGAGTTTCCAAGCTACGAAGCAGCAAGGAAAAATGCCAGGTAGACACCAATGGCTCCCTGAGTTGAGGAAACAGAGTCAAGAGTCTGGGAAGACCAAGGTAGCTAGAGTTCACAGGACAGAATACCAGAGATGACAAAGCAGCAGAGAAAATTCTAGAGATCTATGGAGGGTTCCTCTCAAGTTTGCTACAAGGTGCTGATCAATACATGTGTGAAGAAACTACCAATTGAAAGAACCAATAGAAAGGACTAGAGGTAAGAGTGACTAAAGGTTACGTTCCAGGAATAGTGCCTGTTTTCAACAGCTGAAAGAATTCATCTCCAGCATACCTTCTCTACAAGAAAAGTTAAGTTCCTTAGGCTTATGGAAAATGCTACCAGGTGGAGTATGATCCTACACAAAGGAATGAAGAGCACTGAAAATAGTAACTAAATTAGTAAATATAATAATATTTTTCTCATTGTTGAAATCTTTTGAAAAGATAATTGTATAAACCAAAATTAAACAATGTGTTGTGAACTATATATATAATGATATCGATGAAACAAGATTAGGAAGGGAAAAATGTTAAGTATATTACTGTAAAGGTTCTTATATTATACATGAAGTGGTAAAATATCATTTAAAGGTAGGTTGTGACAAGTTAGAGATGTATATTATAAACCCTAATGAAACCATTAAAATCAAAACAAAGAGCCACAAAGGAGATAAGATGAAACCATAAAAATACTTGGTCCAAAAGAGTCAGGAAAAAAGGAAAAGGAAACAACAGATGAGACAAATAAAAAATAAACAGCAAAATGAGACTTAAACTTAACCAAATGAATAATCACATTAAATGTTAAATGTAAATGTCGTATATACCCCAATTAAAAGGTAGAGATTGAGTGATCAGACCAGATCTTTTAAAAAGATCTAATTAAATACTGCCTACAAGAAACATAGTTTAAATATGAAGATATGAATAAGTTAAAAATAAATGAAAAAAAGATGTACCCTTCTATCACTTATCAAAAGAAAGCTAGAGTGGCTATCTTAATATCAAAGTAGATTTCAGAGCAAAGAATATTATCAGGGATAAAGATCACTTCCATGATAATAAAGGAGTCAAAACACAGAGAATATAATAACCCTAATTATTTATATATGTAATAACAGAGCTTTAAAATACATGAAGCAAAACCTGTCAGAACTGCAAGAGATAGGCAAATCCCCAATTATAGTTAGAGATTTCAATAACCCTTCTCAATAATTACCAGGTAGATGGAAAATTAGTAAGAATACAGAAGACTTGAATAATACTATCAAACAACTTCATCAAGTTTACATTTATAAAACAGCCCACCAAATAACAGCAGAAAACACTCTTTTCAAGTACACATAGAATTTTTACGGAAAGTTTGTGTTGTGGACCATAAAGTAAGTCTCAACCTTAAAAGGATTCAAATCATTCAATGGATGCTAAAGGAATAAAATTAGAAATCAAAAGTGTAAGTAAAGTTACCTGGAAAATCCTCAAGTATCAGGAAACTAAATAACACATTCCTAAATAACTCAGGGGGCAAAGAAGAACTCAAAAGGGAAATTAGAATGTATTCTGGACTGAATGCAAATGAAAATACAACACATTAAAATCTGTGGGATTCTGCTAAAGCACTACTTAAGAAGAAATTCGGTCCCTGAAAGTTATATTGAACTCCCTAGAATCAAAACACAAATTTAATTTTAGATGCAGAGTAACAGAATAAAGTGTATGGGTTGATTCAAAAAATATATACTGAGCACCTAATTTAAGCCAGACACTATTTGGGGACCTAAAAATCAAGTAAACAACACAAAAATAAGACTCCCTATTCTTATGGGGATTGATATTGTAGCAAGGGATATAGGCAATAAATATGTAAGATACTTTCAGATATTAATAAGAAAATAAAACAGCAATTTAAAAGAGAAAGGCCAGAGAAGATCTCTGTGAAGAGATGTGAGCTGAAACCTGAATAAGGAGAAGCAGGTCATTCAAAGATCTGGTCCCAGGGAAATAATGTTACAGGCAGAGATCAGCAAGTGTGTAGGCCCTATAGGTAGGAAGTATACAGGAGAAATAGACGACCAGTGTGGCTGGAGAAGGTTAAGTGAAGGAGGCATAATAGGAGAGTTATCAGTAAAAGCAGAATCAAGTAAAAGTTAGGTATATAGAAGACAGGCAAGCAGTTCAGTTCAGCTGGAGCACAGGTAGATGGGTGAGGACTGGGATTTGGCTAGAAAGGTACAGGTTGGTTTAGACTTGTACTCATGGTAGCCACTGTCTATATGTGGCTATTGGCTACATGTGGGTAGTACAACTGAAGGACTGAAGTTTTGATTAATTCTAATTAATTTAAATTTGAATTTAAATTTTAAAACTTTTAAGTATTTGGGAAGAACTTGGGTATGTGAATCTACTGTTTCAACTGTAGGTTTTATATCTCAATATAGATCAAGTATTTCCAATTAAAATGTCAAATCTGATTAAGATAGGCTGTAAATAAGGTGCCCACTGTATAGCTTTTAGCACTTAAGTCATATATCCCAGGGTCACCTTAGCTATAATATATACTCCAGATTTTGAAGTATGTAAAATAACATTTTTATGACAGGTTCAGATAATCTGAATATGTAAGGTTAAACATCCAAAAAATAATTTTACCCATTTTATACTTTTTTTAGTGTGGCCATTAGAATTCTAACTATTAATTACACAACTGACATATTTCTCTGAAACAGCACCTGTCTAGATAAAGGCAGGCCTTGAAATCCAACTTGAATTTCACTATTATTTAGTAGAAAATAGTCACTGAAATTTTAAAATTCCACATTAGTAACTTTTTTGTTTGTTTTTGTAAAAAGTATTGCAACATTTGGAACTACAAAAATAGGACTGCCCTTTAAAAGTTGTATTTTTAAATCACTTCAACAAAATGAAGTCACCAAAAAAAAAAAAAAAAAAAAAAGGAAAAGAAAAAGAAAAAGCCTTTCAGGCCAAATGACTTGACTACAGTTACACAGGCTGTCTAACATAAAGCCTAAAACAAGTTTCTAGTTTTGAGTGTAAAACAAACCATTTAAGAAGAGTTCAAAAGTTGACAAAAGTCAACTTTAGCATGTATTCCTTCTTTTGACAGCCGCAGGTTTCTAGATCTATACAAAATCTCAGTTTTCTACAAACTAGGAGAATTTCTAATCAATATCAAAGAATCACAGACAATGGCAGAACATTTTATAAGTTAATTCTGTTTTGTGGAGAGGAGAGATCCTCAAAGACAGCCCCCTCTTGCCCTTCCTCCAACAATGTTCTGCAATAGACAAAGAGAAGACAGAAAGATTATTTTGCTTTATTTTGTCAATTATAGGACATCTTATCTAGCACCGTAACTGGCTTCTTGCTCCCCTCCTCTAGTGCAGTCAGCCCTGTGTATCCACAAGCTCTAAATCTGTGGATTAAACAAACTGCAGATAGAAAATATTCAAAAAAAATTTAAAATAATAAAAACACAGTATAACAACTATTTAGATGGCAATAACATGGTATTAGGTAATAAAAATAATCTAGAGATGATTTACAGTATATGGAAGGGTATGAGTAGACTGTATGCAATGCAAATACTATGCCATTTTATATATATGGGATTTGAGCATCTGTGGATTTTAGTGTCCATAGGGGTCCTGGAACCAATCCCCTGCAGATACCATGGAACAATTGTAATCTATAATTTGGGGAATGTCATCACCAGCCAACCAGCTACCCAAACCAGAAATGTGATAGTCATATTAGATTACACTTTAACTTCACTTCATTCAAAGACCTTCTCAAATTCTACCTTCTTAATTTAGTTCAAATTTTCCTTTCTACTTCACCCCATCCTCAATCCCCATCTAAGGGCCACACAGGTAAGTAAGGCAGAAATGGGATTAACCATTTGGACTCTCTGGGTCATCTAACCCACAGTCATGGTTCTAACTCCCAAATTGTACCTCCCTCAGACAGTTCTCAAAATATCTCAGAAATGTAGATCCCCCTTCACTTGCTAGAAACATCCACCTAAATGTTTTGTAGGCATGTCAAACTTAACATAGCCAAAACCCCAATTTATCATTTTTCCTATCCAATCTGTTCCTTACCATCTATTCCCCAAATGTTGGGATTTTAGATTTCCCATGCTAAATAATTAGATATCAGTTTCTCTGTCAATAATTAATCAAATCTTTCCCATTTTATCTTATTCTTCAAATCTTTTCTCTATTTTTCATGCCAACAAATCCTTATCATCCATTTCTCACCTAAACTCCCTTTAATAGCCAACATCCAATCTTCATGTGACCTACAAAGATGTGACCATTGCCTACCTTTCTTATCTATTGATGTCCTTATTCAGTCATAAGAAACTGCTTATGGTTTGTTGTTTTTTTGTTTCGAGACAGAGTCTTGCTCACCAAGGCTGGAGTGAAGTAGTGCAATCTTGGCCCACTGCAACCTCCACCTCCCACATTCAAGCAATTCTCATGCCTGAACCTCCTGAGTAGCTGGGGCTACAGGTGCATGCCACCATGCCTGGCTAATTTTTTTTGTATTTTTAGTAGAGACGGGGTTTCGCCATGTTGGCCAACTGATTTTTTATTTAGATATGGAGTCTCATTCTGTCACTCAAGCTGGAGCTCAGTGGCATGATCATAGCTTACTGCAGCATTGAACTTGTGGGCTCAAGCAATCCTCCCACCTCAGCCTCCCAAGTAGATGGGGACAAGTGTGTGCCACCTCGCCCAGCTACCTCTTTTTCTCATTTAGAGATGGGTCTAAATGTTGCCCAAGGCTGGTCTTAAACTCCAGGCCTCAAGCGATCCTCCCATCTCAGCCTCTTAACTAAACTAGTTGGGATTACACGCGTGAGCCACCACACCCAGTTCTGCTTTTAGTTTATGCATAAACTGGGTTGTTTCTCATCAATCTTTGTTCATGTGCTCTCTATACCTATATTGCCCTCTTTCCAGTTTCAGGAGCATTCTCAGGTCTCCAATGTCTACGCATGAAAGAAAAAGTAAATCTGAGTTACACAGGCTCTACTGGTTTTAAACTCTAAGAATCAATAAAATGCATATATCTTGTTGCCCCTAGTAGAGGTTCTCAGGCATAGAAAACCACCATGAGAATGCATTTCTAGCCATAACGTTTAACCAATGGGATTTAAAGGTCAAGAGCATTCTGGACACTCAGTTTATTCTTAAAGGTCAAGAGCATTCTGGACATTCAGCACAACCTCTGGTTCCTAATCATCTCAGTTCTTAAGTATCTGTTCTTCAGCATCCTTCCTAAAAGAGTGATTGCCAAAATTCTGATTGATTTAGCACCCTGTGTGAGTCATCTGGAAAAAGTGACTTGACAAGGTAAGTCTAGGAAAAAAAAAAAAAAGGCAAAAAAGCCATGTAGGGGACTTACAATAATGTGATGTCAACAGGAGCAGGGAGGAAGAACTGCAAGGTAAATCTTATTAAGGGAAATGTTCTGGGCACATGACACATCAAACCACAGTTCACTTGGAAATCGTAACTTGCCATTCAAACTGTGAATACAAGGAAAATATAACAAAACCCAACATCAGCCTTCAATATTCACAAGATATTCATGAATCTACATACCAATGAGTATTCATTTTGTAATTACACAGATCACACACATTCATTTTCATGAGCTCATCACAGTAATAGAAGCTCTCCTGAGAGCTCAAGGGAAAGGGAAATTTTATCATTGTATCTATACTAATTAAGAGGTAGTAAGTGTTCAACTGAATTAAAATAGGGCTCAGCTGTTGCCTCACCTGCCCTGAGGTCTTCTCTCTATATTAAGATGCATAAGGTGCCTTTCTTTACTCCCAGAGTTCCTCTGCCTGTTTTGCTCTCACTGTACTTTCCACATTATCTTTTATCTGCTCTGTGTTCTTCCTCTAGACTGTGACCATCTTGAGGATTCGGTCATGTGTTTTTCATCTTTGTATCCCTAACACATAACAGTACTTGGCATTTGTTAGTAATCAATAAGTGTACCACATGACTGACTAGTCTTCTTTTTACTTAACATATCAAAAAGTCTAAACCAATGCTATGTAAAGTAACTAGCCTATGAACTGTTAATAGTTTATAATGCAATAGAATTCAAGTCAGAATGTTAAAAGAAAAAGAAATGCTTCCTTTTTAAGAAAGTCTTGCTGTGAAAAAGTATCTAGCAGAACTAATGCTTTGTGATGTAGCTGATTGACATTCTTGCCCCATTTTGGTTCAAATACTTGAAAGTTGGATGAAGACATTTTCATAAGGAAAAATAAAATGCTGAGGGGAAGGATAGTTAAAATTAACTTTATGGTCTTCATTCATCTTTATAAGCACAAATATTCAGGCTGTCAAACATTTAAACTAAAGACACCTATTTTCACTGGTAAAAAAATAAATACAGACACAGGGCACTTAAAATGTTTTTAAAAAGCCAAGACACATAAAAAAAAACTAATAAATTTTTAATTAGAATTTTTTCCTTTTTTTAACAGGACAAGTAACAGATTACATCAAACTTCAGAACTTCTCAAATACCTAGTTATTATACACATTCCCATCTGTCTTGCAGGGAGGGATCTTGGTCGGCTTAACAGTTTCAGGTAAAATAAGCTGCATAATAGTATATATTACAATAATAAATGTACAATGTTTACATGAAATATGTTTTAGAAGCAAGAAAAAGATGCATCTGCATCAAAGGCGACCTTTTAAAATGCCACAACTATTTTTTACATTCACTCTTGCAACAGGTTACAAGATGGGGGTCACTAAGCTCAGATAAATCACTATGATGCACATAAAATACAGGAAGACTGGTTACTTTATATATTATATATATTTATATTTTCACACGTTAGCATCTGAGACATAAACTGAGAATTTAAAATTTATTCTCTTCAGATAACAAATCATTTTTTATTCTTCATAAACAAGGTGCCCACAAAAGCACACAGGTAAGGCACAATAGGGCTTTCTGTTACAGAATAGTGTGCATCATGTTTACTTAACCAGAAAACGTGCATTATCTGTGCAAGTTCATGCTGCAAACCCAACGCATACAATAAAACAAAAAGGAAACTGAGCTTTAAATACAACCAAAATTTGTACAATTCCAGCTGTTTCACATATTCATTTGGACTGACAATTATATATCAACAGGTTATTTTTAAAAAGCCAATTGTAGATTACAAGTAAAATTTACTCAGCAACTATTTTTATCTGAAATCATAAACAGTAATAAAGTAAGTTTACTGAAACAAATTAAATACTGAGGCACAAAGCAACAGTCAATCGTGCATTTACTATATTGCAAACTTTCATGACCCAAAATTGCAAGTATAATTTGTCAAATACACATTTTGCTGCAACAATGTGCCCTGCTTTAAACTTGACATATAACAGAGGCACTAACATATCATTAAATTATAAATAGATTGGGAAAATGACTTAACCCCAATGGTACTATGTCATGGCCCTAGTATTTATAATAAATACAGCTTTTCACAAAATATTTTTCCAATATCTGCCAATTTCTTCTTTATTGCTCACATAAATTTGACTCTATTACAACTGGTATCAGAACTTTCACACAAAATCATACTCAGACATTTTTATATAAAACCTATAAAAGATATTTTAAACTTGTATCTAATACTTCCAGGTGTTTGGCTGTTTGATCTATGCAAAAGTACAGCCATATGTATATATCTCTGTGTGTGTATATATATACATCTATATATACACACACATACACACATACATATATACACACACATTAGATTATGAATAAAATGGAAAGCTTATTTTACTGCTTTAATGCAGACATCCTCATAAAACAAGACTACTTTCACCACCACCAGCATTTATACATATATACAAAGCCAGTTTAAGTACATATACATCCACTTACACATATTTGTAACCACTAAGCCCAAATTAATTTTCCCATATTCCAGCCGTAGCAAATGAATCGCTTATAAGCAACAGAAACCTAAGGTTAAATTGGGAAATCAACAGTTTTACCACATTAGCCTGTAGGAACTATGCAGGTGACTGTATACAAAAATTCACAACATTAGTTCACAAGAAATTATGGGACTACAAGAAGCCTTTTCATCATGCTTTTGTGTGGTTATCCAAACACTTCTTGGGGCAAAAATACAACCACCACATCTGAAAATGCTTAATAAAGTCAGTGTTCCTCATGCAAAACTTTAAATGTATTGGCTTAACTGAGCTCCAAAAACTGAATGAAATAATTATCCTACCTACTCAGCATTGCTGCCTCACTGCTAAATCCCTTTGGAACCTTAAGACTTCTGGAACGTTCAGAGATGTATTCATCAATAAAAATATTACATACAAAAAGCATTTAAAAAGGAAGACAAAAAGCCAAACAGGAATTTTCCTATTGTAAATAACAGTCTTAGAAATGGAAGAAAATCTTTTCAGGAACTTCCTTGAGAATTGGTTAGGCCAGTCCGAAGACGAAGATGAGACATGGAGTTCATATGTTTATTTGATGGCTTCAATGGAGTGTTGGAAGTGAGAGCCTGGGGAAAGCGATGGTGGTATCTATCTAGTCGTAAATATTTTACTGTAACCAATTTCCCTGTTGTAAGATAAAAATAATATTTTAGATCAGTAAAACTGTTTAATATTTGCAGAAAATTAACTGTGGTAAAAGACATATGAGCACAAAACATAAATAAAGTCATCTAAAATTATTACTCAAAAAAATGCTAACCTAAATTCTTTTATTTGAAATCTGGTATAGTTTAAAATTAAACTATAACTATCTTTTCAAAATGTTTGTAGTACTCAAATTTCTTACCATCAAACCAAGAGCCATGCAATGCTTTAAAAGCCTTTCCAGCATATTCTGGAGACAGACATTTAACATATACACAACCCTGTGATATTAAAAAAGAAAGAAAATAGTCTTAGTTTAATAGCAACAAATCCAAAACATGAAATTCAATACCAAAAGTTACTTTACCTCACGTGAATTTTTGTCTACTGCAATGTGAACAATGCCATCATTATCACTGCATTTTTCTAAAATTGCTTCTTGAATTGCCAAATGCCACTGATCCCCTATTTCCCTAAAAGTTAATGAAAACAAAAATCAACAACCATATTCCTACTCGGTAAAAATTCTTCACTGTCTCTTACAACATATATATATTACTAGAATTGGTATAGTTTTAAAACCACATACGATTTTAATTGGTATTAAGTAAATGCTTGTTGACTAACAGGAGGTAGATTTAAAAATTACAATTCAGAAGTCTCAGCCCTCCTCCCACTTTCCAGTAAAAGAGTGCAGAGCGCTGGCCAGGCGCGGTGGCTCATGCCTGTAATCCCAGCACTTTGAGAGGCCGAGGCAGGCGGATCATGAGGTCAGGAGATCGAGACCATCCTGACTAACACGGTGAAACCCCGTCTCTACTAAAAATACAAAAAAAAAAAAAAATTAGCCAGGCGTGGTGGCAGGTGTCTGTAGTCCCAGCTACTCGGGAGGCTGAGGCAGGAGAATGGCGTGAACCTGGGAGGCAGAGCTTGCAGTGAGCCGAGATCACGCCACTGCACTCAACCCTGGGCAACAGAGTGAGACTCCGTCTCAAAAAAAAAAAAAAAAGAGTGCAGAGAGCTGAGGCAATGAAAGACTAGCCCACCGCTGCAGAATAAATGGATTGGGTCATTCCTATGTTTAAAAATCCTGTGTACTTACAGTAATTTCTGTTTTCTTTCTATTGTTAATAAGTACTTTAAATGAGTTGTGAACTTATTAAAGTTGTAAAAGTTAAATGTTAGTTATTTGAGACAGGGTCTCGCTTTGTCACCCAGGCTGGAGTGCAGTGGCGTGATCTCGGCTCACTGCAATATGTGCCTCCCAGGCTCAAACCATTCTCCCACCTCAGCCTCCCAGATAGCTGGGACTACAGGCACACACCACCAATTCTGGCTAATTTCTTTTGTATTTTTTGTAGAGACGGGGTTTTGCCACATTGCCCAGGCTGGTCTCGAACTCCTGAGTTCAAGTGATCCACCCACCTCGGCTTCCCAAAGCACTGGGATTATAGGTGTGAGCCACTGTGCCCAGCCGAATGTTATTTTCTTTAATTGTAATGATAGGTTCAAATTCCTAAAGAAAATTCTTAGTAAATACTACATTTGAGCTTCTCTTTTCCAAAATAATTGATACAGGACTAACATTTTGTACAGTCACCTTACTATAATGACAGTTTTAAGGTGTTTCTGCTGTAGTAAGGGACATTTGTCTTGCTTGTGAGACAAAGATGGCAGGAGAGAGAGGAAAGTGACTTCACTTCAAATCACAAATTTTCATCTTAGGTAATAAAATAGTGGACTTGCCAATTCCTAAGGCATGAGGTAAGATTCCCAACAGAGGTATCATCACACTACTAATTGTTTCTATCTCTGCAAAATAGAGGCGGTGTTTGTCTCTGTGTGTGTGGGGGGGGTGTGTGTGTGTGTGTGTGCGCGTGCCCACGTGCAAACACGTGTGCATACTGCTTCCTCACATTTCCAATTTTGCTGTCACTTATTTGGAATTTCATCAATGAGTGATTAGATGAGACTTTGGGGGTATTGTATACATATTGTAATTGCCACTGTTGGGACTTTTAAAACAAACAGAATTTGATCTGTACTATCACTGGATAGATAAGCAGTGCCCTCAGGAAGCTAATTCTAAGAACTATTACAGCTTATATATGAAATACTGTGAATTCTAAGGCAGTCACTTTTGACTGTGCTATTCTCTGGAAGCATATGTTGTTGGAATTATAAAGTCTGAAAAGTTCTTCAAATATTATATTGACAAGTGGAGACAGGACTTTGTAGAGAAGCAGGTATATACATCTTTGTAGGAAACTTTTTACAATTTGAGATTTGAAATTTGTAAGCAGCAGTGATTGTATCTATATTTTCTACTGAGGCAAAAATATTGACAGTCATGTATAATGACTTACACATTTAATAAAGGGTACTCTTTGTCATTGTGAGTCATTAATTTGCCTCAAGCATTTATCTATCTGCTATGACGATTCATAAGGAATACAAAGATTTATAAAAGTTTTACAAATCTTTATACATTAGTGTCCTTTGGCCAAATCTTTGCTTGGAATTTAATGAAAGAGAAAAACATAACATTTCTGTGGTAGAGATTCAGAAGAAAAACATTTTCAATTACAGACACACCATTATAAGAATATCATGCATTTTCCAGCCAAATATTCAGAATAAGAGTTACATGTACCCCTGATCATAATACTTACATAACGGGATCAAACATATTCCGAATCTTTAGACACGGTGTCAAACTATTTGGTGGTGAATTTCTTCTATCTAAATGAAATGCTACAAAAAACAAGTTAGTTTTACTATTTGACATTGTTCTAGTTTGTTGAAAGGTATTCAATCATTCAGTTCATTCAAAAAATATTCACTGCATGCTTTTACTAGGAGCCAGACCCCTGGTTAGATGTTAAGGTGAGTAAGACAGTCATTGCTATCAAAGAGTTTACAGTTTAATGGGAGAGACAGATGATAAAGAGTGTCATGTAAGAAAGTACAACTGTGATTAAGTCCTTAAAAAAAAAAGTACAAAAAGCTTTTTAAAAGTAACTTAACCTCATATGAGAAAATAAAACTTCCCTGAAAAAGTGAAATTTATGTGGGAACTGAAGAATAAAAATTAGCAGGGTGAAGAGAGGTGTGTAAAGGAAGATTTCAAGCAGAGGTGATTGCTTGTACACAGCTCCTGGGGCACGAAGGAGCAAATGTGGCTGGAGTAGAAAGAATAGAGATAAACCTACAGAAGATGTCAGATTATTTAAGATGATGTAGGCTACAAAAAAGTATTTGGGCATTATGGTAAGAGTAATAGCCACTCAACTGTTTTAAGGAGTAGAATAGGATGAGATCTGTCTTTTAAAACTACATATTTTAAAAATACATTGTTATGTGGAGACTCAGGTAAAAGCAGAAGTGAATGCAAGATGACCAGTTAGAAGGTTATTATTATATTATAGTTGTCTAAGAAGGAGAGGATAATGATGTGGGTAAGACAGGCCAACAGTGCAAGTGACAAGCGGATAGAATCAGGACATATTATGGAGTAGATATGACATGACCTGTTGAAAGGTTGGACAAAGAGGGATAAAGGAGAGATTAAGAATTATCCCTAAGTTTATGGCAGAATCAACTCAGGAAAGGTATCATTAACTAGACTAGGAACACTGAAGAGGATCAGGCTGGTGTACATGTTGAATCTGTGGTGCCCACCTCCTAGTACAGAAATATATAGTTGGGTACAAAAATCTGAAAACCAGACTTCATTCAAAATAAAAAATTTGGGAGTTATCCCAATATGGTAAATTAAGTCACAGCAAGACGATTATCTAGGGAGAAATGGCAGAGTGGGAAAAAAAAGATGGCCTTGAGAAACTCTAACACCTAGAGGTGAAGAAAAAGAGGATAATCTAGAAAAGGACTGAAGAAAAAGTCTGAGGTAGGAGAAAAAAAACAGAAGAAGGTGGCATCCCCAAATCCCAGTGAAGAAAGTTTCAAGGAGGGCTGAACTGTCAAACACTGTTAAGAGGTCAAGTAAAATAAGGAATTCTCTATTTTCAGTTTATAGGGAAACTGAAATGCATGCATCATTTAGAGGAAATAGTATAATCATTGGCAACATGAAAGCATCATTTTTTTAATTTAAGTTCTGGGATACATGTACAGGACATGCAGATTTGTTACATAGGTAAACGTGTGTCATAGTGGTTTGCTGCACCTATCAACTCAAACCCATCACCCAGGTATTAAGCCCTGCCTGCTTTAGCTGTTTACCCTGACAGAGCATCACTTTTATGCCATGTTTAAAGAAGCCTCTTATTCAAGCTTTTTCAAAGTGAAAATTAATTGGAGAATAAAAAAGGAGTGACTGGACTTTGTATTGCATGTCCAAAACAACTTACCTTTTCCACAAATACTATGTTTAGCAAATACTGACATACTTTTATAGGGAAAAAGTCATAATTTTCTGATGCATTGTTTTCTGCTTTTCTGTGTAGTAAAGGTTTGGGTACATATGACAGCCAATCTTCAAAACCCCCTATAAACTTACCCCTTTCTTATTTATACATGTTTTTGAAACTATGTAGGCATTAAGAAAAATATGGAAAGATACCCACAAAAGTTACTTGGCAGGAGGAATATATAAATAGAAAGGTCTTAGTAAGAGGAGGCAGGCAAAAACTGGAAAAAAAAGAGCAGTTAAAAAGTTATGACTTCACTTATATACATATATAGTTTATATATATTTTATTGTATATATAACATAAATTATGTGTCTTATTTACATAAAGAAATTAGATGAAAAGAATGCAGTTAATATATATAATACTAAGTTGCTTCATTAAGTGAAAAAGGCAAGATTCAAGGAATATTCATCTTTATTAAAGATAAACCATTTATGTTTGCATTAGCAAAGATAAAAGTGTGGAAGGATACATAAGAAGCTAACACTGATTCCTTCTACGAAACAGAACGAGAGAGTTTTGCCTTCATACATCTTTGAATTGTACTGTTTCACTTAACACATATTTGTCATTTTGAAAAATTAGAAGAAAATTACTTTTTTGATGTTTAAAAATACATACCTTGACCTTGCCATACTTTAGAAGGTATAACTAATATTTTGTCACAGGATGCAGAAGGCTGGATCCACCGCCAAACCAGAAAATCTGCACCACCTATTCTTCGTGTTTCCGTGCGAACTCTAGACTCATTAGCAGCAAGGAAGTCAACAGCTCTATCCCAGACTTTCTTCATTTTTTTCCTATCATGTGAACAAAATGGCAAATTTACTATCATCTTGGCTTGTCATCTTTTTGAAATATTAGTATCTGAGGTAATAGTTAACTCTAGCTGTTCTTACCACTACTCATGGAGTTTGTTCAAAGAAGATTTAGATGCCTATATCTCATCTCAGATTTTCTGAGTTTCAATTTCCAGAGCTAGAGCACAAACATCTGTATTTTTTTTCCCCAAAAGCTCCACTGGCTTTATGTGTTGCTAGGGTCAAGATGCTGCTTCAGGATATGGAATTATCTTTTATTTTCAAAAAGTTGCATTTTAGTTTTTACTTTAAAAGCTTCATTAATAATAAAGTTAGTACTTAAAAAACATTAGTAAAACACCAGCCACTGGCTGTCATCTATTTCTTTATCAAGATGAAATTAAAGGAAATAAGATGGAGACTAACAACAAAGAATCAAGAATGCCTAGGAATGAGAATGACTTAGAAATCCAGGTGTCACTCAAAATCAGGAGAATGGAAGAGAATTTAGAAAGAGAGTATAAAGTACAAAAACAAAGCAAAACCAAAAAAAACCTGTGCAGTAAGCAAGTCTAGTTGAGAAGGGTCACAGCTCTCAATATAATTTTCAATACTGCAGAAAGCACTTAAATTTTCTGATTTACTTGAACTCATAATGCTTTGAACACACCTGTCATGAGGCTGTATTAAGGAATCGCGTACATGTGGAATAGGCATGTAAGGTTGTAAATCTTTGTTTTCCTGGCAGGCTTCATTATGACTTCGTAAAACATCTAAAAATAAATAAAATTTACAAATGAATCAATCACTTGACATAATGTAGTTTAATCATGCAATGACTCTTCTAGAAATAGTTGAGATTCTTACAAATATCATACCTATAATCTTTACCACCATATCATACATCTGCCTTGTTTCCTCCTCTTCTTTTGTCCATCGATATTTCATGTAACGCAGAACGACACAAACCATCACTACACCTGTAATATTAATATACTTTGTATTTTAAAAATTGTGGTCAATATCATTCAATAATATTTCAGTGATTATTTTAACTGCCACAACGGAATGAACCTTCAAGACAGATGGCTGAATTAGCTATATAATTAAAACTACATAAAAAAATTTAATACTGAACATTTTCCAAAGATTCACTTTCTAGAAAAAAGCATTTCTTCCATTACACTGATAAGTGAACATTTAAATTCTAACTACTATTTAAAAATATATATATATAACTATGTTTCACAAACTTTTTTCCTTTGAAGCATAAAACGACTAGAAAAGTGAACCTCATGAGATTAAACATACTAAATCTTACTTTAAGTAAAATGAATTTTTCTTTTGTTGTTGTTGTTTTTGAGATAGGGTCTTACTCTGTCATCCAGGCTGGAGGGCAGTAGTGCAATCATGGCTAACTGCAGCCTCCAACTCCTGGGCTCAAGAAATCCTCCTACCTCAGCTTCCCAAGTAGCTGGGACTACAGGCACGTGCCACTATGCCTGTCTAATTTTAAAAATTTTTTTGTAGAGGTAGGGTCTATGCTTCCCAGGCTGGTCTTAAACTCCTGAGTGCAAGCAATCCTCCTGCCTCCCAAAGTGCTGGGATTACAGGTGTGAGCCACTAAAGCTGGCCAAAATGAATTATTTTTAAAGAAGAAAGAAAGAATGAAAAAACAACTCTCACCTAAATCCCTATTATCAATTAAAAAATGATAAAAATTTTAAATGTAGGTAAATTACATTTTAAAAACTAAATTTTAATAAACTTTATAACACTTTATTATTTAAAAATAAGCTCAATTTTTGTATTTTTCAATTCTACTTTCTAAAGTAGATTTCTATGTATATACTGACCACACTTGTTTTTCTGTGACAGTCTTATAACAAAGTTTTATTTCTACCTCTCCTTATATTACTGCTTTCTAAGCCTTTAGAATGATTCTGACATTATTTTTATTATATTTAGTGAAGACATCTAGCTGTGACTTATGTGGCAACCATCACAAAAATGAATTCTCAACTCTGGCATTTAGTGAAATACACACAAAAATTCAGGCTGCAATTTATCTCATTTCTTATCTTTACAACTTACCTAAGCATAACAACAATAATCTGTGAGTTACAGTAACAAAAGCACGTCGAAAACGACACCAAAAAGACATCAGTGGTCTTGTGGACTGTAAAAACTGCACATCAGTTATATTTGTCAATTCTTCCTCAGGGCCAAAACCAACACACCTATTTAAAAATAAGTAAGGTAGAATTTAAAGTCAAAAACCATTTCTCCCAGTACAGAATGGTCAAAGTGGAAATCAGATCCTTTACCTTATTCCAACATCTTTTCCATTTTCTAAGATCCACTGCAATGAAGTGTTAAATATACCTTCATATTCAGGACCTAAATCCTAACAAGAAAAATAGAGAAAAATAACTATTCTTAATCTACATTCGACTCTCTGTAAAGTATCCTTTATAACACACTCTATATAACATTTTTATTTTAACTACATAACATAAAATATTCATTACAGAAAATTTTAAAAAGAATGAGAAAAAAGAAAAAAAAAGTTAGCATTTTCCCACTACTCCAATATAATCAGTGTTAATATTTTGCTTTTTTATATTTTACATATTTGGGAACTGAGTCTCTCTCACTCAGGCTGGAGTGCAGTGGGACAATTTTGGCTCACTGCAGCCCCCGCCTCCTGGGTTCAAGCAATTCTCCTGCCTCAGCCTCCCAAGTAGTTGGGATTACAAGCATCAGCTACCAGGCCCAGCTAATTTTCTTTTTTCGTACTTTTAGAGAGACGAGGTTTCACCATGCTGGCCAGGCTGGACTTAAACTCCTGACCTCAAGTGATCCGCCAGCCTTGGACTCCCAAAGTGCTGGGATTACAGTCATGAGCCACTGCGCCTGGCTTGGAAGTTCTTTTTTTATCATTAGTTTATCAGTGCCATCATAAGAGTGAATTTACCACTTTTAAAAATGCAATATTATTTATAGATGAACAAATAAATGGCAAACTCTTCCAGATTTGGATGTTTCACAGACAAGTATTCTCAACACATAAAAGCAGTAAGCCTATCAACTAAAGAAAAACTGACCGGGTTACCAATTATAAGATTTGAGCATTCAAGTAAAAAGTAGAATTTTGAAAAACTAGCATTCATCTTTGTGACCTGGACAACTTCACAATACTTGAAGACCTTTCCAATGAGATTTGTGTGACATTAACAAATGCAGTTTTTTGATATGGAATAATGAAATGTGACCAATGCATCTGAAAATGACCAATGCATTTGAAAAATTCTGATTTTTATAAAAACCAATCACGCATAGGTAAAAGATCCATTCAAAGTACAAAATAAAAGGATTTTATGAGACAAGAGTACAAAAAGTTCACTGGCACAGTCTGACATTCCACATTGCAACTAACATTTAAGAAACTACTACTTATAGAGGTTTGGTATGGTATCAAAGAAAATATCTATCTACAATTACCTGAAAAGGCAACTAAAATACTTTCCAATGTTTTGACTACATATCAATGTGAGGCTGGATTTTCATGACATACTTCAACTAAAACATCATGACAGATTGAATAAAGAAGCAGATAAGAATCCAGTCACCTTTTATTAAGCTACACATTTAAGAGATTTATAAAATATATAACAATGCCACTGTTCTCATTGAATGTTTTCATTCTGGAAAAGTTATTTTTCATAAAAATACATTACGTTAACATATAATAGATTCATTTTTCTTATTCTAAATACATAAATTTTTTTCAGTTTTAATTTTTAATATAAACATGTATTTGTAATACATATTTACCATTAGAAAGTAAATATATCTTTCTAATAGAAACAAAAACATATAAATGTATATCTCCCACAAACAAAAGCCAGAGTCCTCAGTAATTATAGGGAACCAAAAAGCTTAAGAACTGCTATGTGTGGGTAGAGTATTTTTAAATTAAAATAGTAAAAATAAATGTGGTATCATATTACACATACTACTGTTCTACTTGTTTTCTTCATGGAACAAAATATTGTGTCAATGTCAGTTTACATGGAAAAAACCCTATTTTTTTCAACAAAATAGTATTCCATTGTATGATTATTCTATACTTTTAATCAACACCTTATTAATGAACATTTAGAATATGTCCAATTTTTAAAAATTTATCAAATATAATACTGTTATAAACACCTTTACCATGTGCCAAGTACTATTTTAGAAACTAGAGGTGCAGCATAAACAACACAGTGAAAAATTCCCTGTGTTCATGGAGCTTGTATTATTAGTATGTCTTTATGTCCCTTTTGAGCAAAAAATGAATTTTTTTTTTTTTTGAGACAGAGTCTTGCTCTGTCACCCAGGCTGGAGTGCAGTGGTGCGAACTCGCCTCACTGCAACCTCCATCTCCAGGGCTCAAGCACAGTCTTGTGCCTCAGCCTCCCAAGTAACTGTGATACTACAGGCGTGTGCCACCACACCCAGCTAATCACTGTATTTTTAGTAGTAGTAGAGATGGGGTTTCGCCATGTTGGCCAGGCTGGTGTCGAACTGCTGGCCTCAAGTGATCCGCCTGCCTTGGCCTCCCAAAGTGCTAGGATTACAGGCATGAGCCACTGTGCCTGGCTCGTAGAGGAAAAAATGAATTTCTAAAAACAGAAATAAAAAGTCATTTCAAATTCTCTCTAAAAAAAAGATTTTTCTAAGAAGTGTCCTATTGTATTTTATCAACAGATTCTTCAACAGCATTGGAAATTATAAGGTTTTCATTTGATCAGTATAGTTTACTTCCTAATATAAAACTGGTAAGTTATTCTAATGTATCAAATTTGCAAATGTAATAAAAAGTTTTATAAAGCAGAACTAATCTTGTTAGGCATCATTACATGAAACTACTATTAGGATTTTTAAGATGGTGAAGATAACTATAGGCCATCTGTTTTTTTAAGCTTGGGTGTTTATTATAGCATTTACAAACATCAAAAAAATTGCAGACAATGTATTTAATGATTGAAAAAAGGTTTATATATGAGATCATTTCAATGGATATTATGAACTTAGAAATAATCATGATGAGAGCTAAACAGCTATCTGCTTAAAAAAATAAAACTACAACATTTAATTTATATATACAGTCATACCTCAGTATTCACAGAGGATTGGTTCCAGGATGCCCCATGGATACCAAAATCCACAGATGTTCAAGTCCCTGATATAAAATTGCATAGTATTTGCATATAACCTATGCACATCATTCTTTATACTTTAAATCATTTCTAGATTACTTATAACACCTAATATAAATGAATATAGATAGCTGTATTTTTAAAATCTGTATTTTTTCCATTGTACTTTTTTTCTTTTTATTGCCACTAAGATTTTTGATCCACGGTTGGTTAAATCCATGGATGCAAAACCCATGTATACGTAGGGCCAACTGTATTTATAATTATAAAATATATGTACTCATATGAGTAGCACAAGAATGAGGATACAAGTGATTTTTATTTGCTTTAATATTGTTTTAAAATATTATGCAATAAAGTTACACAAAATAATTTCAGGCAATTAGTTTCAATTGTTATAAATATACTACTAGAAATCACTTTGTATATAAATGAAAATCTACAAAGCAAGATTAATATAGGTTATCAGTGTAGCTGAAGACAACATTATTGCATTTAGTCTTCTTTGTAATGTTGTCACTACCATACATTTTTAAAAAGGATTTTGTACTCATTTAGTTCTTCAAAGACACAGATGCCACATAGTACCCTTCAAATACATGCATATATTAAAAATCAATGAAATAAATGTTGTATTTACTTGTACTTATATACATGCTGTTCAGCTTGTATTGCTATGATTTGCCTAGTATCATGGCATGCTTTGCATTACTACATATAATACTGGACAAGTATAATCTAGTCTTTGAAGACCAGACTATAAACATAAGTTTCAGATAACATAAAAACAAACTCCCAAGGTTATTAGTGCAAATTTTAAATATACAAATTTTAGGAGGCTGACATTATAAATATTACTGTTCTCATCAAATATCCTTAAAAAATGTACACAATGGTTCAAATTAACAAAGACACCTACAGATCTAAAAAGCTAAGTACGAGGAGGAATGAAGGCCTTAAATCTCTTAGTTATAAAATAGTAAGGGTAAGAAAAGAGGATCTGTTGTTATTTTCCCTTTTTCTGTTTTCCTTTCCTTTATTAATATCACTTGACATCCACTCATTATCTGGAATACAAGAAAACCATGGAATGTTCATTTTATGGGTACACATTCTCAATAAACAATTGATTATTTAAAACCTCATTAAGGACTTAATGGGGTGTTGAGGTCTAAAATATGCCACTATTTCCACAAATATATATACGGCATTCTAGAGTATTAGAAAATGGAATTTTTATAAAAGCAAAAATTGAATTATTTGCTTGTGCCAAATAGTTGATGCTAATACTGTAGCATACATAGCATATACCTGATTTTAACAGTTTAAACTGTTTTATTATTCACTTTTTGTAGCCACCTGGAAAGCTGTGGGCACGGCAGGGGTTGGTCAGCTTTTTCTTTTGTCCGTAAAGGGCCAGAGAGTAAACACTTTAAGCTGTGCAGCCATATAAATTTCTTTCTTTCTTTTTTAAAAGCAAGCTTTAAAACTGTTGTAAAACCACAGCTCACAAGCCATACAAAAACAGGCAGGCTGGATCTGGCCCATAAGCCATGGCTTGCTAACCTCTAAGGTAAGGCATTCCAGCATCATAAAACAAACATTTTCCAATAACTGATGACAAAAATCAGGAAGAAACTAAGTTTTTAATTTTTAAGGCACAACTTTTATTACTATTGTTTATTACTATTTACTTATAGGCAAGAGCTCAGTCAGTATACCACTGACTGCTTCATGTAAATCTTTCTAAATTTGAAGTATATTTTCCCAAATCTTAAATCTAACACATTATGTGTGTACTCACGCATACCCCCATGAACTCTCCCAAATGTTCTTTATTTTCAAAATCGTGGGTCAAAAATGTGTACTTTAAAACCCACATCAGATGCTCTGAACTTGGATTACAGTTTCCAAGTACAAAAATAATACTGTTTCATTAAATAAGGCAACAAAACTTTAGTTAGTAAGAAGGGAAAAAGGCACTGGTATAGGGAGAAATCAAGCAAGGACTAAAAACCTAATATGGATAGTTTATGAAACTGATAATTTACACAGTAATAGCCATGCAGCCTTCCAGCTGGTGAATATTCTAGTGAACTGTGAGATGATCTACACTATGCATCAGATGGCACCTTTTAAAATTAATTAAAATATAACACACAGAAATCCACAATGCTGAACAGGATGTAACTCCTGATTCAGTAAGAATTGTATGATCTTTCACCTGCTAGAATAACAGAAAAAAACATAGTCTTTAGAATCAAGTAGACCCAGAACCAGATGCTGGCTCCATTACAGATTAGCTATATGTACAACCTTAAATGGGACAAGTGAAAAATATGCCACCTATCCAGATGTATCTACTTTGACCACTTTTTCAGATCCTAACCCTTAATAGCACCAGTCCCTTGCCCACTCAATAGCTGGAGCTAAGGATTATGAATCCACTCCATCCACTTAAGAGGCAGAACAATATATAGAAAAGAGCAAGTACTTTGGTTCTATTCCCAGTTCCATCACATAGTAGCTGGATACTCTAGTTATTAGCCCCTCTATGGTTTAGTTTCTTTATGAAATGGGTCTAATACCACCTATCTTGTTGGATCATTCTGAAATTAGAATTAACATATAGAAAGTACCACACTGTACTTTATAAACCTTAATTATTATCATAAAATTTCCCCCTCACTCCACTTCTCAGAACACTCATTTTTCCACACAGACTTTTATTAACAGTAATTAGCATTCTAGGCCATAAAAGTCTATCCAGCCCCATAATTTGACACATTTGCAGCTGTCTACTTTCCTATTATTTTCTTCACAAATCTTAAACATATTCATTGTGTTAAAGGTTAAGAAGGTTTTGAAAGCAACCTAGGAACGTAAACCCATTCATTACATTATTCCATAAAAAGTTATACAAAGTCACTACCATCTAACTTAAAAACCAATCATGTATTTTCACGGAAATATAAACTATGTATTTCTTCAATGTTCCACCAGAGGGACCTCTTAACTTTTCACAAATTAAAATAAGCTTTCAATATCAAAAACAACGAGTTTTTTAAAAAGCTCAAGAAGAGCACTGGAGTAGTTAGAAAAATAGTGTTTAAATTATTTAAATTAGTTATTAAGTTTATTTAAATTTCCTTTGAAGGAGAAAACTGGATAAAGAATTAAACATAAATAATTAAATTCAAGAAAACAAAAATATGTTACTGAGGCTTATTCACTCATTTTACTCCATCAAACATTTACTATACTCACTGTGCTTAAAATGTACTAGAAGTTGTGAAAAAATTAGCTTACACTTGTAGGGGCTCTACACATTCTTTGGTTTATTTATTCCTCAATCTAAAAACTTAAATGTGTTGCTGGTGAAACTATAGTGCAAATACATGAAAATATGTAATAGATCTCTTTCTCATAAGCAGAAGGCCCTCCATATAGATATTATAATCCTTGTTTGATATCAACTTTGTAGTGAGTTTCCTCCATATTTATGCCAGAATATGGATAAAATAACATAGAGAATTTTGGCTAGATTGTGCTAAAGCAGTCATTTTAAATTGGGAATTAATATAGCAACATATATCAAAAGCATTTTTAAAAGTTCATGCTCTTTGAACAAGTAATTTCCTTTTTAGGATTATTTCCTAAGAAATATTAGAAAATTAAATACTATATGCAAAGATTAGAGTGATTTCATAATATTGAAAAACCACAAACCAATAAAATAAAATCATACCATGAAATATTATTCAGTGATAGAAAACATTTTCAAAAATCATTCAACGGTTTTTGAAATACACACAATAATTTCAAGGGAAAGACACATGAATATTTATAGTATAAAATATTTATAATAAAGTAATATTAGCTTTAGAAAAAAATATTTATAATACTAATTAGAGGAAAATGGACCAAAATTTTACCAGTTGTTATCCTTAGGTAGTGAATTTGAAGCTTTTTTTCCTTTCATTTTCCATATGAATTAAATAATGAGTGTTATTTAATTTATTTACTTATTTTTGAGACAGGCTCTCACTCTGTCATCCAGGCTGGAGTGTAGTGGTACAATCAAGGTAATCCTCCCATCTCAGCCTCCCGAGGAGCTGGGACTACAGAGGGTCTACAGAGCCATGTGCCACCACACCTAGCTATTTAAAATTTTTTTTTTGTAGAGACAAGATCTCACTATGTTCCCCAGTCTGGTCTCCACCACCTGGGCTCACATGATCCTCCTGCCCTGGCCTCCCAAAGTGCTGAGATTATAGGTATGAGCCACTGTGCCTAGCCAATATTATTTAATTTTATGTTGAAAAAATAAGCATTATTAAAAATAGTACTTTAAGACTTTTATATAGACCTTAAAATTACATTTTTGGGGGAAAAAAATCCTGTTTAAAGCTCTCTCTGTTTTGCTTTTGACAGTACAAACTGCGTCTATGGTGGTGACAAACCACGGCAGGTTTTATAGCATTTGAAAAACATGAAAAATGAGATTCCAAAAAGAAAAGGTAACAAAAACACACATACATAAACCTAACTATAAAAAAAGAGTATTAACATTTTACATAATTCTTTAAGAATGAAATTAAATTAATCCATAATCTTATAAAAATATGCCACAGAAATTCTACTAAATTAAGACAAAACCGAATATGAAACATAAAATAACTCAAGATAAAAAAATCTTCTAAAGGCTACAGAGTTCACTGCAGAAAAAGCATTTAATACAATGTAACATCTCTTCATGATAACTCTCAACAAACTAGGTACTGAAGGACACAATAAAGGCCATATATGGCAAACCCACAGCCAACAGCATACTGAATGAGAAAAAGCTGAAAGCTTTCCCTATAGGAAATGGAACAAGACAACAGTGCCCATTCTCACCATTCTTATTTAACATAGTATTAGAAGTCCTAGCCAGAGCAATTAGGCAAGAAAAAGAAATAAAGGGCATCCAAATTGGAAAGGAGAAAAATTGTTCCTATGTGCAGATGACATGATGTTAATGTGGAACACTCTAAAAGTTCCACCAAAAACCTCTTAGAACTGATAAATAAATTAAATAAACTTGCAGGACAGAAAATCAATACTCAAAATCAGTAACATATACCAACAAAAAACTAGCAGAGAAAGAAATTAAGAAAGCAGTTCTACTTACAATAGCTACAAAAATAAATAAATGAATAAAATACCTACAATTAAATTTAACCAAGAAGGTAAAAGATATCTAAAAAAAAACCATAAAACACCATAAAAAGACATCCCATGTTCACAATTAGAAGATTATGAAAACTACACTACCAAAAATAATCTATGTATAGATTCAATGCAATCCCTATTACAATACCACTGACATTCTTCACATAAGTAGAAGAAAACAATTCTAAAGTTCATATGGAACTATGAACAGTCAAAGCAATCCTGAGCAAAAGGACAAAGCTGGATGCATCACACTATAAAACCTCAAAATACACTACAAAGCTATAGTAACCAAAACAGCATGGTACTGGCATAAAAGCAGACACACAGACCACTGGAACAGAATAAAGACCCCAGAAATAAATCCACGTATTTACAGCCAACTGATTTTCGACATAGGTGCAAAGACCATTCACTGGGGAGAGGACAGTCTCTTCACTAAATGGTGCTGTGAAAACAGGCAGAATGAAACGAGCCCCCTTATTTCTCACCATACACAAAAATCAACTCAAAATGGATTAAATAATTAAATGTAAGACCTAAAATTATTAAAGTACTAAAAGATAATACAGGAGGAACGCTTCAGGACATTAGTCTGGACAAAGGTTTTTATGGAGAAGACACAAATGCAAAAATAAATGGTGTTATAGCAAAATAAAAGATTCTGCACAGCAAAGGCAGCAACAGAGTGAAGAGATGACTAGTAGAATGGGGGACATTTGCAAACTATTCATCTGACAAGGGATTGATATCCAGAACACACAAGGAACTCAAAGGGCAAATGAGCTTAGCAGACATCTCTTAAAAGAAGACATACAAACAACCAACAGGCATATGGAAAAATGCCCAACATATGAATCATCAGGGAAATACAAATCAAAACCACAATGAGATATTCACTCACCCCAGTTAGAATTGCTAGTATCAAAAGGACAAAAAATAACAAATGCTGGCGAGGATGCAGAGAAAGGGGAACTCTTATCCACTGTTGGTGGGAATGTAAATCAGTACAGGCATTGCAGAACATAGTATGGTGGATCCTCAAAAAATTAAAAATAGAACCACCATATGATCCAGCAATCTCACTACTGGGTATATATCCAAAGGAAAGAAAATCAGTAAGTGAAAAGAGGTATCTGTACTCTCATTTATTGCCGCATTATTAACAATAATATGGAATCAACCTAAGTGCTCATTAACAGATGAATAAAGAAAATGTGGTATATATACAATGGAATACTATTCAGCCATAATAAAGAATAAAATTATGTGATTCACATCAACACCGATGCACTTGAAGAACATTATGTTAAGTGAAATAAGCCAACCACAGAAAGACAAATACCATATATTCTCACTTGTGGAAGACAAATGAGTTAGAAGTCCAAGTTAAGGACTACTAAGAACTTGGCTTATTTTACCTTTGGGGAAACTAAAAAGTTGATCTCATGGAGGTAGAAGAGAATAGTGGTTACTAGAGGCTAGAAAGTGGCAAAGTGGCAGGTGGAGGGTCTGTAGCCAGAGGTTGGTTAAATGAAATTATAACTAGGTAGGAGGAATAAATTCTAGTGTTCTATAACACTGCAAGGCAACTATAATTAACAATTTATTATATATTTTCAAATAGCTAAAAGAGCAAATTTTGAATGTTCCCAACACAAAGAAATGATAAATGTTTGAGGTGATGGCTCATTTATCCTGACTGTATCATTACACATTGTATACATGTATCAAAATATCACACTATACCCCATAAATATGTACAATTATGTCAATTAAAAATAATAAAAGTGGCCAGGCACGGTGGCTCACGCCTGTAATCCCAGCACCCTGGGAGGCTGAGGCGGGCAGATGACGAGGTCAGGAGATCGAGACCATCCTGGCTAACATGGTGAAACCCTGTCTCTACTAAACATACAAAAAAATTAGCCAGGCGTGGTGGCAGGTGCCTGCAGTCCCAGCTATTTGGGAGGCTGAGGCAGGAGAATGGCATGAACCTGGGAAGGAGAGCTTGCGGTGAGCCGAGATCTCGCCACTGCACTCCAGCCTGGGCAACAGAGCAAGACTCCACCTCAAAAAAAAAAATAAATAAATAAATAAATAATAACAATAATAATAATAAAACACAAAAAGCTACAGTTCATTAATATCTTTTTTTAAGTAGATATAAGCAGTTTCCAATTTAACTCATGCAAGAGTGCTTCTAGTAACTTTTTTGCTGCTAGTCTTCAGTAGAATTAATCTTATACTCTATTGCTGCCTGGCTTAGACTTTGACTTACCCCAACCCCGCATCTGTGTCCCTTCTTTTTAACTTGTACCATTGCTGACCCACAGCTACAAGAAAATGGTTGGAAGAAGTGAAAGAGAGGTTAATAATTCCACACCAACCCCTGCCTCTTCCTCAGCTCCACCTTAATTACTGGTCAGGTCCTATCTTGTCCCCAGTCCCTATCCCATTTCTTCAGTCCTTCAAACACAGTACAGTCAGTCCTTTTATCCATGGGTTCCACCTCCATGGACTGAAATACTGAATAGAGTCAATATAGTCTATCATGAATCAAAAATATCTGGGAAAAAAACAGATGATTATGTCGGCATTAAATTTGTACAGTCTTTTTTTTTTTCCTTATTATACCCTAAACCAGGAGTGTCCAATCTTTTGGCTTCCCTTGGCCCCACTGGAAGAACTGTCTTGGGCCACACAAAAAATACATTAACAACAGCTGATGAGCCAAAAAAAAAAAAAAAAATCGCAAAAATTCTTATGTTTTAAGAAAGTTTACAAATTTGTGTTGGGCCGCATTCAAAGCCATCCTGGGCTGCAAGTTGGACAAGTTTGCACTAAATGATACAGTATAATAATAACTATTTACATACAATTTACATTGTATTATCAGTAATCTAGAGAAGATTTAAGGTATATAGCAGGATATGCATAGGTTATATGTAAATACTACAGTATTTTATATAAAGAACTTGAGCATCTACAAATTTTTGTGTCCATGGGGGTCCCGGAAGTAATCCCCAGATACCAAGGAAGAATTAATCCTATTTCATATGCTTTAAGAGTCTCAGCATTCTTCTGAAAAGCAATGAAACTTGCTCCAGGAATTTATGACCAATCATAACACAGATCTACGGTATTACCTCTCAGAGATCAAATCTCAGAGGTTTAACTACCTAACAAAAAGAAAACAGGAAAGAAACACTGAATGGGATAAGATAGTCCTACTACTAGAAGTGAAAACCCATTCAATTATTTTATAAGGAATAGTTTGCTTGCTTTGGATTCTCACTATGCCTTTCTTCATGGAATATTTTATTCTATGTCTCCTTTAGCCTCAATCCAATCCCTTTTTTTGCCTGCACCCTGACATTCGTCCATCCCATAACACTGAGCCCTATAATCATAACTCCTCCTTAGTCAAGATCTTTTTGAATTCTGATCCTTTAACTGTCCAGTCTATTAGCTATTACACTATCCATAAATTTTACTGTCATTAATGTTCTCATCTAGGTCAAAATTGAAAATAAAGACAATAAACAACCTTAAACAAAATTTCTGTGGCATGTTATTAGAGATTACTCGCTAGAGTGGCACTGATTTAATTAGAAAACACAGAAATTGAATTTATTGGGAAGCTACTATAATCATCAGGCACTGAGCTAGGCATTTTATATACTCAAGTCTCCCAACAACTTTGACAGGTATTAACGGCAGTCCCACATTCACAGAGAAACATGTTCAGAAAAGTTAGAGACTTTACCAAAATGTAATAGCTTCTACTGGCAGTACCAGAATTTGACTCCAGATATAATCTCCTTATTATACTGTCTTAGGATCTTTTTGGTACCTACATATAAGTCATGCATTAAGTTAAAAACTCAGTCAATATTTCTCTTTGTTGACAAGCATAATCACAGGAGACTATTACCAAAACTTTGCTGAAAGCCTTAAAACATATACTACATTCTTAATTTTTAAAAAGTGGAGGAGTGACATCAGCAGAATAGGAAGCCCCAGACCCTCCTTCCCTCAATGAGACACCGATTCAACAAAAATACATGGACCAATTCCATTTGTGAAAAATCCAGAAATTAGTTAAAAGGTTCCTGCACCTAGGCAAGCACAAAACCACCTGTATCAAAGCTGTTAGGAAAATTCATATCACTCACTTCCCAGACACTCTCATCACCCCACAGGGCAGTGCAATAGAGAGGAAACTCCCAACTCGTGGCTTCCTCCTCAGAAGGAAAACAGAAGACTAGAACATACATCTAATGATCTGACTTTTCGGGGCAACTGGTTTCTGTCATGTCTGAATCTAATAGTTGAAAGACACCAAATTAAGGACTACTAAGAACAAAGGCAACAGCACTCACTCACCATTGTCCCTACCCCCAGCTCGGCATGAAGAAAGTTGAGAAAAACCCCAACTCTTGGCTTCTCCCTGGGGAGGAAAAAAGTTAGACATGCATCCAAAGTTCTGACTTCACAGGGGCAAGGAGTGTTGCCTCGCTGGCTTCTGCCTCACCTGATTCAAAATGCGGATAGGACTCAGTATACTCCAGATGCCTGGGGGCCACTAAGAAGAAAAAAGAGCTGGGCCAGGAGCAGTGGCTCATGCCTGTAATCGCTGCACTTTGGGAGGCCAAGATAGGTGGATCACAAGGTCAGGAGATCGAGACCATCCTGGCTAACATGGTGAAACCCCGTCTCTCCTAAAAATACAAAAAATTAGCTGGGCATGGTGGCGGGCACCTGTAGTTCCAGCTACTTGGGAGGCTGAGGCAGGAGAATCGCTTGAACTAGGGAGGCAGAGGTTGCAGTGAGCTGAGATCGTGCCACTGCACTCCAGCCTGGGCAACAGAGCAAGACTCTGTCTCAAAACAAACAAACAAAAGAGTTGGATAGCTTATGGCAGCTCCAGATAATCTACAGACACCAGGGATAACCTACAGATACCAGGGATCAAAAGATTATAAACTATGAGAAAATAAACCAGCAAAACTTCTCTAATTGGAAATTCACAGGCAAAAATCCAGAGAGGTCACAACCACAACCACAGAAAAGATATCTAAGAAATCCAGAATGTCTACACAGACATATTGGTAAAAGACTTTCCCCACACAAAGTCTACAAAGGTGGCTGTTTTTTTTATTTCTGTTGTTGTTAAATGCACGAATCCCAACACAAAGTAACAAGGCACATGAAGAACCATGAAAACATGGTCAATCAAAGAAACAAAATACACTTCCAAAACATATCCTAAAGAAGTAGAAGTCTAAGAATTACATGACAAAGAATTCAGAAAAAGCCATCATAAAGATACTCAACAAGATCAGGAAAACAATGCATGAATCAAGTAAGAATATCAACAAAGAGACAGAAAATATTTTTAAAACCCAGAAATTTTGGAGCTAAAGAATAACTGAATTTAAGAATTCATTAGAGGGGTTCAAAAGCAGACTGGATCAAACAGAAGAAAGAATCAGCAAACTCAAAAGAAGGTCATTTGGAATTATTCTGTCAGACAAGCAAAATGAAGAAAGGATAAAGACAAGTAAAGAAAGTCTAAGGACCTTAATGGGACACCATTAAGCCAACCAATATAAGTAATATGGAAGTTTCAGAAAGAGAAGAAAGAAACAGGCAAAACAAAACAAAACAAAAACAAAAACACCATGTTATTTGGGGCCCAAAACTCCCCAAACCTGGGGAAGAAAATGGGTATTCAGACTCAAGGAAGCCAATGAATCCTAATGAGGATAGACCAAAATAAGTCCATATTCAGACATGTTATGTTCAAATTGTTGAAAACCAAGGAGAAGAAAGCAGCCAAGACGCAAGCTACTCATCACATACAAGGGAGTCCCCAAAATACTTTACAAAGCAGGAGAGAGTGAAATAACATATTCAAAGTACTGAAAGAAAACAACTGCCAACCAAGAATACTGTGTGTGTGTGTGGTAGGGGGGAGGGGGGAGCAGTACATCGTACTATTAAAAATGGTATACAATTTTTTATTTCTGGAATTTTCCATTTAATATTTTCAGACCATAGTTGACTAGGTGTTACTGAAACTGTGGAAAGCAAAACCATGGATAAAGGGGACTACTACATATCCAGAAAAACCATCCTTCAAAAATGAATAAAGATTTTTTCAGAATAAAAGCCAAGGGAGTTAATCATCACTAGAACTGCCTCACAAGAAATGCTAAAGTGACTCCAAGTTAAATGAAAGGATGCTACCTAGCAATGCAAAAGCATATGAAAATATAAAGCTTGCTGATAAAGGTAAATATATAGACAAAATCAGAATACTGTAACACTGTAATGGTGGTGTGTAAATCACTTAATTGTGATATACAATTTAAAAGACAAAAGTATAAAAAACTTTATAAAAATATGTTGATGATACACAATATGAAAAGATGTAATCTGTGACATCAATAATATAAAGGATGAAGAGAGATATAAAAAAGTAGACACTTTCCATGTGACTAAAGTTAAGGTGTTATCAGGTTAAAATATTACTGTGAATATAAGATAATTTATATAAGCCCCAATAGTAACCACAAATGCCTAAAAAACACACGTAAAAGAAAATGAGAAAGAAATCACAGCTTGTCACTACAAAAAAAAAAAAAAGACACAAAAAAGAGTAAGATATGGAAAAGGGGACAAAAAAGCTACAACACGGAGAGAAAATATTCAACAAAAAAGGCAATATAAGTCCTTTCCTATTAGTAATTACTTTAAATGTAAATGGACTAAACTCCCAAATCAAAGCACACTGAGTGGCTGAATGAATAATTAAAAAAAAAAGCTCCAATTTTATCATGTGTACACCTTAGATTTAAGGACACACACAGGCTGACAGCCAAAAGATGGAAAAAGATATTCCATGCAGATAATAATGAATAAAGAGTAGGGGTAGCCATACTCATATTAGACAAATTTTTGACTTAAAGGCAACGTAGTGAGATCCTGTCTCTACAAAAACTTTAAAAATTAGCCGGGTGTGGTGGCATGTGTCTGTAGCCCCAGCTACTTGGGAGGCTGAGGCAGGAGGATCACTTGAGCCCAGGAGTTTGAGATTGCAGTAAGCTATGATCTCACCACTGCACTCAAGCGTGGGTGACAGGCCTAGACTCTGTCTCAAAAAAAAAAAAAAAAAAAAAATCATCACATGAGACAAGGAAGGATATTTATTATATAAATGACAAAGGGATCAATTCATCTGGAAGATTTAACAATTCTAAATATGTATGTATCCCACATTAGAAGATCAATAAGGGAGCAGAGGACTTGAACAACAATTATAGATCAAATGGATCTAACAGAAATATACAGAAAATTCCACCCAACAGGAGTAGAATACACATTCTTATGAAGTGCACATGGAACATTCTCCAAATCAGATCATATGTTAGGCCACAAAAATCTTAACACATTAAAGACGACCGAAATCATACCAAGTAACTTTTCACACCACAATGAAATGAAACTAAAAATCAAAAGCAGAGAAAAACTGAGAAATTCACAAATATGTGTAAATTAAACAACATTCTCCTAGAACAAGCATTGGATCAAAGCAGAAATCAAAAGAAAAATTATAAATGTATTAAAATAAAAAAATAAAAAACACAACCTAACAAAATTTATGAGAAGCAGTAAAAGCAATACAAGAGAGAGGTTTACAGTGGTAAGCCTATGTTAAGAAAAAAAAATCTCAAATGAGAAATCTAACTTTACATCTCAAAGAACTAAAAAAAGAACATACTAAGCCTAAGATTAGCAGAAGGGAGGAAATAATAAAGATTGGAGCAAAAATAAATTAAATAGAGAATTTAATGAATCAATAAAACTGAGAGTTGATTTTTTGAAAAGATCAAAATTGACAAACCCTTAACTAGACTAAGAAAAAAATCAGAATTCATTTCTGAGTTTATTATCTATTTTATTAAAGAAGAATTAATGCCAATCCTATTCAAATTCTTCTGAAAAATTGAAAAGGATGAAACAATTCCAAACTCATTTTATGAGGCCAGCATTACTCTGACACCAAAGACAATGATACTATAAGAAAATTACAGACTAAAATCCCTGAGATACAAAAATCCTCAAAAAAACACTAGCAAACTGAATTCAAAAGCACATGAAAAGGATCACACACCAGGATCATATACCTCAGACACAAAGATGGTTCAACATACAAAAATCAAAACTGAGTATGCCACATTAATAGAACAAAGGATTAAAATCACATGATCATCTCAATAGATGCAGAAAAAGCATTTGACAAAATTAAATATCCTTTCATGATAAAACCATTCAATAAAGAGGAATAGAAGGAAATTATCTCAACATATTAAAGGCCATACATGGAAACCCTTAGCTAATATCATACTCAATGGTGACAAACTGAAAGATTTTCCTGGCCAGGCATGGTGGCTCACACTTATAATCCCAGCACTTTGGGAGGCCGAGGTGGGTGGATCACGTGAGGTCAGGAGTTCGAGACCAGCCTGGCCAACATGGTGAAACCCCATCTCTACTAACAATACAAAAAAATTAGCCAGGTGTGGTGGCACACACCTGTAATCCCATCTACTCAGGAAGCTGAGACATGTGAATCGCTTGAGCCCAGGAGGTGGAGGTTGTATTGAGCAGAGATCACACCACTGCACTCCAGCCTGGGCGACAGAGTGAGACTCTGTCTCAAGGAAAAAAAAAAAAAAAAAAGAGAGATTTTCCTCTAAGATCAGGAAGAAGGCCAGGGTGGCTATTTTTCCCATCTCTATCTCTCATAGCACTAGACATCCTAGCCAAAGCAATTAGATAAGAAAAAGAAATAAAAAACATCCAAATCAGAAAGAAGTAAATTTATCTCTCTTAGCAAGTGACATAATCTTATACATAGAAAGCCCTAAAGATTTCACCAAAAAAATCTTGTTATTTGGCTGGGTGTGGTGGCTCATGCTTGTAATCCGTGCTTTAGGAGGCCAAGGCAGGAGGATAACTTGAGCCCAGGAGTTTGAGACCAGCCTGGGCAACATAGCAAGGCCCCTATCTCTACTAAAAAGAATCTTGTTAGAATAAACAAATTCAGCTAAGTTGGAAGATATAAAATCAATATACAAAAATCAGTTACATTTCTATACACTAACAACAATCTGAAAAGGAGGTTAAGAAAATAATCCCATTTATAATAGCATTAGAAAGATTTAGATACTTAGGAATAAACTTAACCAGGGAGGTGAAAGACTTATACACTGAAAACTACAAAAAAAAAAAAAAAAGCTGAATGAAATAAAAGACACAAATAAATAGAAAGACATCTCATGTTCGTGAATTGGAAGACTTAATATTACTCAAATTACTATACCACCGAAGGCAATACAGCAATACAAAATCCCAATAGCATTTTTTGCAGAAATAGAAGACATAATCCTAATATCCATATGGAACCACAAAGGCCTCACACTGACTTTAAAACATATGACAAAACTATAGTAATCAAAACAGTATAGTACTAGCATAATAATAGACATAAATGGACCAGTGGAACAAAATAGAGAACCAGAAATAAAGCCACTGATGTATGATCCAACAATCTTCTACAAGGGTGCCAGACTACACAATGGAGAAATGACAATCTCTTCAATAAATGGTGCTAGGAAAACTGGATTTCCACATGCAACAGAATCAAACTGGACCTTTATCTTATACCGTACACAAAAATCAACTCCAAATGGATTAAAGACTTAAATGTAAGACCTGAAACTATATAACTTCTTGAAGAAAACATAGAAGAAAAGCTTCTTGACGTTGATATGGGCAATAATTTCTTGGACATGACACCAAAAGCATAGGCAACAAAAGCAAAAACAGAAAAGTGGGACTACATCAAACTAAAAAGCATATGTGCAGTAAAAAAAAACAGTGAATACAGTGAAAAAGTAACCTACAGAATGGGAGAAAATATTTGCAAACCATATATCTGACAAGGGGTTAATATGCAAAATGCATAAGAAACCCCCACAATTCAATAACAAAATAAATAACCCAACTTAAAAATCAGCAAAGAACTTGAATAGCACTTCTCCAAAGAAGATATACAAATGGCCAACAGATAAGGTATTATATATATGCTGTATACATGCTATATATACACACAGATGTATATGTATATAAATGGTATATGAAAAGATGCTCAACATCAGTAATCATCAGGGAAACACAAATAAAAACACAGTGAGCTATAAGGCAAATAAGTGTTAAGGATAGGCAGAAACTGGAATCCTACTATACTATTGGAAAGAATGTAAAATGGTACAGTCAATATGAAAACAGTATGGAGGTTCCTCAAAAAATAAAAAGTTGAACTACCATATTATCTATCAATCCCACTTCTAGGTATTTGTCTAACAGAATTAAAAGTAGAGTCTCAAAGAAGTACTTGCATTGCCATGTTCATTGATGAATTATTCACAATAGCCAAGAGGTGGAAACAATCTAAAAGCCCATCAACATGACTGGATAAAGAAAATATATGTATACATACAATGAAATTCTACTCAGCCTTAAAAAATGAAGGAAGTACTGTCATGTTACAATATGGATGAAACTTGAAGATATTATGCTAGGTGAAATAAGCCAGTCACAGGACAAAAATTGCAGGATTCAACTTATATGAGGTATCTGTTAATCACACTGATGGAGGAAGAAAGTAAAATGGTGGTTGCCAGGGATATGGAGCAGAGGAAAACGGGGGCCTGCTGTGCAATGGCTATAGAGTTTCAGTCATACAAGATGAAGAAGTTCTAGAGATTTGCTGTATAAGAATGCACATATAGTTGTACGGTATACTTAAAAATATGTTAACAGATTTCACGTTATATATTTTTTACCACAATTTTAACAAGGGGATGGGAGGCATGAAATTTGTATGGCATGACTTGTCCACGTTCAAATGCCAGCCACCTTCCAGGGATCAACGTTTCCATTTGCAAGAACTCAGATCTTTATGAAATTATCTTTATGGAACTGGACCGACAACAAGCTTTCCTGTATGGTTTTCAAATGCCACTTTCCACTTCTGAGAAATCAGAATGACATTTATCCATCTTTAATCTTTTACTACCTTTCATTAAGATTTTCCAGAAATTATTTACAGTAGTTTAGAAAATTCAACAGCAAGTTCTCTTAGTATTTGGAGAAGAAACTGATGTGGGACAGAAGATTTTAAATAAATGGTTAGATATTTACCTGCTCTCTTACATGCTACTACTCACCTATCTCAATTTCCCTATGACCAATGTTTCTTTGTACCCTTTCCAAATTAATATGCATTCTCTCATAGAGAATGTTCTAAAACAAACTAAAAAAAATTGAACAGGTGGCTCACGCCTATAATCCCAGCACTTTGGGAGGCCAAGGCATGCAGATCACTTGAGGCCAGGAGTTTGAGACCAGCCTGGCCAACATAGTGAAACTCCATCTCTACTAAAAATACAAAAAACATTAGCTGGGCGAGGTGGTGGGTGCCTGTAATTCCAGCTACTCGCGAGGCTGAGGCAGGAGAATCGCTTGAACCCCGGTTGCGAACGTTGCAGTGAGTCGAGATCAGCCATTGCACTCCAGCCTGGGGAACAAGAGCGAAACTGTGTCTCACAAAAAAAAAAAAAAAAAAAAAGTTGAACAATTTTACTTTCTCATAACTGCTCATATTATACCAAACAGCAGGCCCAAGCTTTTAACAGTACAATTAAAATAATCAAACATATGATTCTTACAAGTAGCAATGATTTATATAATTTTTTAAAATATAGCTATTAAAATTCTAATTTCATTGCTTACTTTTAAATACGCAGCTGCCTCTTGAACAGAAAGCGTTCTTTGACTAGAACTGCCACATTCATGATCTCCTGGAAAGATTAGCATATTATTAATTTTGAATCAGTACTCTCTTAAACAGAAGAAAACAAACATAATTAATTCAAATATTTTATACATTATACAATTACAGGTTATATTATTATAATCAGTAAAGAAAGAACATGAACAATATTATTTATAATTTCTAGAAGAAATTCCAGTAAGAATATAAACAAAGAAATTCCAGTAAGAATATAAACAAACAACTACCATTACATTAACCACAACTTTTAAATGCATTTCAGTCCAAACAAGAACTTATCTTCCTCTTATATTCCCAACTAAACTGTAAGCTGGTATAGGAACTATGTCACACTGATGCCTATCCACAGATCTTGGCACACAAGACGCCCTCCAGAAATATGTATTATTCCTAAAAGGGAAAAAATTCAGCATATTCATTGTGCTAACTTAACTTACACATCTATTCTTAAAGCTAATCATTTAAGGGTTCAAATAAGTTTGAATTTATTAATGAATTAAAGTATGTGCATTTTCAGAGTATAACTAATCCTATCTTTAGCAAGGGGTGTGCATGCCTTAAAAACTGTTATAACATAACCAGGTGTGGTAGTATGCATCTGTTGTCCCAATTATTCGGGAAGCAGAGGCGAGAAGACAGCTTGACTCCATAAATTTGAAGCTGCAGTGAGCTGTGATCACCCTACTTCACTCCAGCCTGAGTGACAGAAAAGATCCTGTCTCAAAAAAATCTTAAAAAACAAAAATTGTTATAACAGACCAACAGGGAAATCAGGTACAAGTTTCCACCTATGATCTGGTTTCTACAAAGGGATGTGCTCATATAAATCTTTGGAAAACTACATTTATCTTTTCTTTTAATTGTTGATAAGAAGCGAATTCAGGGCTTTTTCTTTAGACTATAAGTGGTTATTAGAAATAAATTATCCTCATATTGAACTCCAATTGTCATGTTTTCCCTTCCCTGTGTCTTTCAAGTAGTTAAAAAGCTTGTTAACATGAAAGTAGAATAATTAAAGTAAAATCCTTGCCAAATGTTTCTAAAATAAAAGCAGCCATGTTCTCATTTCAGTTTTGTTCAAGTAATCATTTTAATGTCAGTAGCTATAAAAAGGGGAGAAGTACCTATCAGATGAACAAGTCTTGAAAGTTTATTAGTGCATCCTCAGAGATTTAGATCCCATAGATTTAGAGCAGAGGTCTGCAAATTACAGCCCATGGGTCAAATCTGGCCTACTCTGGTTTTTATAAATGAAGTTTTACTGGAATACAGCCAAGCTCATTCACTTATGTAGTATTTATGGCTGCTTTCATGGTATAACATAACTGAGTGGTTGTGACAGAGGCAAACTAACCTACAAAGCCTAAAATATCCACTATCTGACCCTTCACAGAAAAAAAGCTTGTTGACCCTTACTCAAGGGGAAGGAATCTGTATCTTTAAAAGCACATCAGATTATGCTGATTTAGCTGGCCATGAACCATACTTGATAAAACAATGCTACAGAGATAGCTGTAGAAGCTTGTGTTAGCAATATCCCTAGCTAGCATAACTAGCATATACTTAACCTATCTCTGGGTGCTACAGCATACCAAATAAATGTCATTAGCTTGAAGTGTGTGAATGACAATCAAAGCAAAGAAGGCTTTTAGCGATATAATACAGAATTAAAAGCTTAAAAAATTGACCAGAATTAAGAACCCAATGTACAAAACAAAGAGAGATCAGAGGATGGGAAACTGTCAGGATCCTAAATACCTCCATTCAACCAGAGAAGTTCCATATTTACCTATAGGCTGCTACCAATAATCTGGTTTACACAAAAGTTCTGCTACATAGAAAAGTTTGAAAACTGCATTTTTCTTTTCTTATGCCTGCTTACAAGAATCCAAGTCTCTTCTTTCAGATTATATGTTTAAAAAAAAAAAAGAACTAAAAAAAGGTAATAGATAAGCTGCTACTGCAGTTTACATGTGCTAAACTTGATACTAATTAATCTATAATAAATTATTCCCATTTCGGACAAGTTGACTACCTTAGAGCTCTCAAAGAATTACTAAGAGCAGACTATGAGGAAAATGCAATTAATCCGGAGAGAAAATTACAGGAGAATAAATTTACTTTATCAAACAGAATGATACCTATACAACCAACAAAAGAAAATCTGCATTTGTATATTTAATCCAAGATTTTAGTTAATTCACTGCTTACCTAATTCCTCTGATACTTAAGCTTTCCAGATTTTTTGTTACCACTGATGCAATAAAGAAATTTGATCAACTTTATAACTATATTATATATATATATTACCTCTAATACAGATGGCAGGCAGGAAAAAAGCCTTCATTAAATACATATGTAAAAATCAAAAATCACTCTGTATAGGTAATGAAAACTTCTAAAGAAAAATATTTCACAAATATAACACTGGACTTGGAAAAATATTTTCTACTAATAACATGCTACATACATTTTTCAAAACATTTTTAGCAACTATAAAAGTTAAAACAATTACCTGCAAGCTGTGCCAATCGATCATGAAGCTTATATAATGTGTTCATCATAAGAGTTTTTTCACTTTCCTAAAATTAAGAGAAGTTATTATGAAATACCCAATTACAAGAAAAAAAACACCAAATAATTCTTAATCAAAAAAAAAAAAACAGTAAATTTAAAATCACAGAAGCCACATAATCTGAAAGACAAATTCACATTTAAGTAATGGGCACCATATTTTTAAGAAACCTTAATCTAAGACTCTAAATTATTACTCTAAATATTTCACTTTCTGGAGAACGATTTAAAAATTGGCATAAGGTTAGTGCTAAAAAAAAGGTCTCACAGACAATAAACTCCATCAATCACCAAAGCAATGTTCCCAATCCCCCTCTGCACAGTGTATTCTTATGTAAACTGTTCATATGAGACTGTTTTCTTCATCAAGGCTGCCCTTCATGTCTTGTTTTAATCTAACTCAACCACATAAAACTAAGGGAATGAGTACTGGCACGTTGACTGATACTCAGTCCTCTCCTAGGCTCCCAAGGTGCCCCTGTATAAACTTATGAACTGTTAAAATGAAACAAACATTAAATAAACATCTACTAGGAGTTAAGAACTGTTCTCTCAGCAAAGCGAGAGACCCAGTGAACAAGATGGTTCCTGTACTCAAGGGCAAAAAACATATTAAATGTTATACAACTGCAGAGTAATACAGAAGATTCTCTTCCCTCCTTCTTCTGTAAATATAGAAGGAGGGAAGGAGGGAACAGAATTTATGGAACAGAATATTTGAGTTTGATTTAAAAGGAAAAACTAACAGATCAGCATCCTAGGCAATGGGAAAGACCCTGAGCAAGGGCATGAAGGCATGAAAGCATTGGTTATATTTCTTACATAACCAGTAGCCCTTGTTTGATTCTGCAAACTACTAGAAAAGTTGTTTAGTATTAACTACCAGACAGCCTTGGATAGCAAGACAGAGAGTTTGACTTCATTCTGAAAATTTAGCAGGAGAGTAAAACAGACTTGTGCATCAGGAATACTACCCGGGCCAGAATGTACAATGTATAGGCTGGCTCGGAAGCAGAAATAATTGTATGAAAAGAGTCCAGATAGAGAATTATTGCAATGGTACAGCCTAAGTACCTGCCAAGTAGTCTAAAGCAACAAGACCTCCAATTTAAGAGCAATTACGATCAGGAGGGATCGACATAAATGATGGAGGGTAGGGTGGGGAGGGGGTAATAGCTTATTGCACTACCTAAAATAAGTCCATGATTTATCAGGGGGCTCTGTCTTTATTACTTTCTTTCTTCCTGAAGTTTCCAACAAAACAGATTTACTGGATGAACAGATCATGGAGCAAATTGAAGCAAGATATAAAAGACTGGAAAAGTAACATTTATATGTCTAATAACATGCAACCTCATCCATTTATTTTGTGGTGTATGTGCAGGGACAGAAGAGAACATGTTTGCACACTATGGGTGGCATGCTTTTGTCATTGCAGCTTTAATCGGTTATACTAAGAGGAAAACTCATCAAAAGTGCCAAGATCCTACCACCAGAATACCTGGTTTTATGTCAGACGGTTGACTGAGATAAGTTACTTATTCATTCAGTTTACTACTTGCCTTCCTACGTATATATATATATTTTTGCCTCAATTTTATCTTAATCAGATTCTGAATCAAGCCAGTCCTTATCTTCACATAAGATCAAAAATTCAAACTGCAAAATTAGACATCAAAAAGTAACAGTAGGCTGGGTGTGGTGGCTCATGCCTGTAATCTCAGCACTTTGGGAGGCCGAGGAGGGTGGAACATGAGCTGAGCGTGGTGGCATGCACCTGTAGTCCCAGCTACTTGGGAGGCTGAGGCAGGAGAATCACTTGAACCCAGGAGGTGGAGGTTGCAGTGAGCGGAGGTCATGCCACTGTACTCCAGCCTGGTGACAGAGCGAGAATCCATCTCAAAAAAAAAGTAAGAGCAGGGCTGAAACAGGATTCTGAAACCTAAGCATTTGTGATACATTAAACCACAAAATCATTTTTAATAAATATCTTCAACATAATAGGATGAGTAGGTGTTCCAATGACAGTGTAGCTTATGGATGTGACACATAAAAACCAAGGTGAATCTAGTTAAGTTTTGGGATTAAAGCAATGGAAAGTTTTGTGTTTCTTTTCCTCTCATCTGGAAAAGAGACTTATTTTCTTTTTGTTTTATATGTACTATCATACCCTTCCTCACTCCCCTTTCAAAAACAAAACAAAATTTGAACATTGGCATCTGTCCTCTGATTACATCTTTAATAAACATAAGAGGGACCTGCGAATAAACTTTAGCTTTTGATTCACAGATACTAAACATTGGACTAGATAAATAGAAGTAACAACACTTAACCAGATGGAACTGATCTCATACTGGATGACATACATACTGTTACATTCTCATACAAATAACTTAAGAACTCAGAAAGCTCAACTATAGTTTTTTACAAGAATTATCTTTCCAATGAAAATTTATTTAAGGCCGGGTGCGGTGGCTCACACCTGAAATCCCAAGTTTGGGAGGCTGAGCCAGGAGAATTGCTTGAGCTCAGGAATTTGAGACCAGCCTGGGCAATGTGGCAAAACCCCATCTCTACAAAAAAATACAAAATTTAGCTGGGTGTGGTGGTATGCACCTGTAGTCCCAGCTCCTCAGGAGACTGAGGTGGGAGGATAACTTGAGCCCAGGAGGTTGAGGCTGCAGTGAGTCGTGATCATGCCACTGCACTCCAGCCTGGGTGATAAAAATGAGACCTTGTCTCAAAAAAACAAACAAACAAACAAACAGTTTAAATGACCGTCTATATACTAGAAGGGCCTCAACTGCTATCCAAATGACCAACTAAATTATAATCTAAGTAGGTGTTTATGAGATATACTATTTACTTTATCTATCTATCTATCTATCTATCTATCTTTACAGTCTTGCTCTGTCACTCAGGCTGTGGCAGAGTGCAGTGGCATGATGATACATGCTATTAAGTGAATGAACACATTTTGAGAAAGAAACAAAGGTTTTGGTTCAGTTATCTTTAGTACAAGTACACTAAACTAGCAGTAAATCTGAAAAGTATACAAATCAACTTTTAAACTTACTTACTGGTTTACAGTTTGATTACACTCTTCTTCCATTTTGACTGCTTTTCAGATTGTCTCCTAATATTTCAGCTTAAATGTCTAACTACTGGCTTCCCTAATAATTCTGCAAACTAGTTAAAGTTCCACAAGTAAATACATAAAATAAGCTTTCAAATAATCTTTCATTAAATAAAGGCAATTTTGTAATTTGAATTAGCTACTTTCTAATTGTGTTTTAGTAAGGCCCAGACTATTGTTTTTCATTTTGGAGGGAGAAAAATCTATAGGGTGACTCTATCCAATTTTCTCATATATTGTCACCATTAAATATTTCCCTCCTCAATCCTCAGCCAATTTTCTCTTCAAGGAATTTTTTTTTTTTTTTTTTTTGAGATGGAGTCTCACTCTGTAGCCCAGGCTGGAGTACAGTGGCACAATCTTGGCTCACTGCAAGCTCCGCCTCCCGGGTTCAGGCCATTCTCCTGCCTCAGCCTCCCGAGTAGCTGGGACTACAGGCGCCTGCCACCACGCCCGGACTCTTCAAGGATATTTTAAACTGTTTGCCTTATGCCTTTGATTAAATAATAATGAATTTTAACACTTGTGATATGGTTTGGCTCTGTGTCCCCACCCAAATCTTACCTTGAATTGTAATAATCCCCACGTGTTGTGGGAGGCAGTGGTGGGAGGTAATTGAATCATGCATGGGGTGGGTTTTTTTCCCCATGCTATTCTCGTGATGAATAGTGAATAAGTCTCGTGAGATCTGATGGTTTTATAAAGTGGAGTTGCCCTGCATATATTCTGTTGCCTGCCACCAGGTAAGACATGACTTTCACCTTCCGCCACGACTGTGAGGCCTCCCCAGCCGAACTGTGAGTCAATTAAACCTCTTTCCTTTATAAATTACCCAGTCTCGGTATGTCTTTATTAGCAGCATGAGAACAGACTAATACAACTTGGCAAGGGGCCCTGTACAGAATGAGCATTTAATATAAGTAAACAGCCACTATCTTCATTATAATTGTTACTATTATTCAGAAGTTCAGAATTTCAGTTTCTTCCTTGGGGAAAATTAAACAGAAGAAAATAGTCTTCTATTTCTAATGTTCAGTAAGTATACTGTACCAAATTTAAATTATGACACTGTAGCAGTGTTATACTTAAGGCAACTGAAAAAGCCAACTTTGTTTTAAACAATTATCACTGCAATAGAATATTACTAATCATTTCAGAGTTCCACTTTAACAACAGAAAGTAATATTCTATGGATGTGATTACACATTATTACACATCCTTCAGTACAACAAATAATGTTTTCTATACAGGTCTATATAACAGTTCCTATAATAAAAAATTAATAACTAATTACAAGCTTAAACATCTTAATCTCTGAAGTCCCTGTAATGATGGGTAAGTGAAAAATATTTTTATATAAGTAAAATTTAGGTTAAAATTAGTATTATAGCACTCTTTAAAAAATTAAAGAAATAGCCTGAAGGATATGCTTCCTTTCTAAGTCCTTTTGATGGTCGAATAGGCATGCCAATATGCAGAAGATCCAAAGAGGTAAAATGAGGGCAAAACGGACAAAAACTGCTAAGGTATCCAACAACTACAGGCAACAGGCATACTTCTAAGTGTAAGACAAGATCCACTGATGATATGCCACTCCCATTTTACTTGGCAGTAGTCTTTTACAGTAAAGTGATAAACAGTTCAGCTCTTAAGAGAAAATCTGTGTCAGATTTAATTATACGACAGTTAGGGAATACTCAGAATAAGAAAGCCTATTGTTTTAGACTAAAATAACCTTAAAATTACTATTTTTTTAAGTTGATAAAACCTATTGTTTAAGACTAAAATAACTTTAAAATTACTTTTTTTTAGTTGATAGTCATTCTCATGCTTTTATCATATAAAACATGACACAAAATTATCAGTATTATGATCGTTTACTTACTTGTATTTTTCCAAATGTTTCACCAAAGGGGTTTTCTACTATCAAGGAAGGAAAAAAAGACAAGTATTAGCATCACTTACGAATTAAAATCCCCCAAACAAACTCTCTGAAATGCCAGCATGTACTTTGCTAAAACTGGATATAAATATGTGAACCAAATGTAAACAAACTGGTGATAATAAAGGTTAGGGAAGTAATTTTTCAGACTTATACTTATCATTCTCACTTTGAATTAGTGGTTTTCCTCACAATCATTGAGATCAGGTGCTCTGGTATCACAGAAGCTGAGTTCAAGTCCCAGCTCCACCTCTACCACTTATTAGTAATGTCTCTTTGAACTAACATCTAATTAGCTACTCTAAATTGTAGTTTCTTCTTTAAAGGAGTATGGATAACAATGATACCTACCTTATACAGTTGTTGTCAGGATTAAATGAGATAAACAAGATAAAATGTTTGACACAGTGTCAAGCACTTAATATGTACTCAATACACACTATCCATTATTATTACTGCTAATGACTATATCATTTGTTTCTACCTTAATTTGATTTCTCTTCATAATATAGACTAAGAAGCAGTTAACTACTGAAAGAAATCTACAAGATGCTTTAAAACTGAATAATTCATTTAGAATTCTGACTTCTAATGATTTTTTAAAAATCCACCTTCCTAATCCTTGCCAACATCTGAAAAAGTGGCAAGAAAAAAAAATACAGATCAAAGTAACTAAGAATTAAGTCTCAGTATTAAGCAATTCCAAATTTACAATAAAATATTACATAATAAGGAAAGGATTTACCACTTTCCATCCAACCCCTATGCCCCTCCTTCATTCACCTCTAAATTAAGATACAAAAATGTTTACGGCTGAATATGTAGCACCTCTCAGGGTTTTTATTCAGAGTCTTCTCCTTATCATTTTGTTTATTTTGATATTACATACGAAAATATTCAAAGCTTTCAGATACCTGTAAACTTTTATATTTTATATAGACTATATATCTATATAATCCAGGCCACAACTAAGACTAACTAAGACTAACTGATCTTACAAAGTAGTTCACACTGACCAGGTTTCCTTTCTGAGATGCTTTTCTATTTTTATTTGAGAAAACAGGAAGTCCCATAGGAACCAGGAACTGCCTGATTCTAAGAAAGTTCATGTGAGACCAGCTTAACAAGGTACAATAAAAGAGCAAGGAAAAAAAAATGTATCCTGTTATCATCATAAGGGATTTTGCTAATGGATTTTTAAACGACATTTCTCTATACATCAAAAGGGTTTTAATGTTGGGAAAGAAAATGTTTTGAAAGATATTACAGAAAATCAAAAGTACTCAAAAGGGGAATAGGGAGAAGAAATAATATAGCTTCAAGATTAAATAAAATGTTAAGGATCAGAACACATGGACTAAAAAGATACCCTTTTTAATAATATTAATTTTTCAATATAAACATTGAACAGCTATATTTAGCTCAACGTACTACCAAAAAAATGCCTTGTCATTTGGCCAAACAAATGACAATAAATTAGCCAAACAATACAAAGTGTAAAAGGTGTTTTATTTGCTCTTTATAAGAACAATTCTTAAAAATATAAGTGTGCAGTTCCAAAAACAAGTTTTAATGTCTATGAAAAAAAGCTATGCTAGTATTGCTTTTTTGATTATACACAAAATTACTTTTTGTCAAGACTATCAAATGGAAAATCAGCTCTGTGAGTAGCTCCATAAAAGCATAACTGTAAATTATCAATGTTCACCACACTGCTCTACTGTGGGCTTCTCAAGACAGGGAGCGTGTGTTATACACATGTGCATGCCCAGAACCAAGCATAGTACTAGATATATAGTTAGTGCTTGAAAAATGCTTGTTGTGCTATCTCGGCACTCTTCTTTATTTCACTTTGTGTGTTAACACTGAAGCAAAAGTGTTCAATTTTGCAGGATGCTGGAGGAGGGTATGTTCTGAGCTACTAAAAAGGGAGAGGGATAGGGTAACAGAGAAAGCTGAAGAGGGGGAAAACAATTTTGCTGAAAATATTGCTCTACCCCTAGTATCCTTCTAGATTTCTGCCTCTTGCCTTGTAGTCTAAAATACCTGGAGTATAACATACCTAAAAAAGCCAAGAGTATACTTTCTGCCCAACAAAACTTCGTTAAAATTTTTTTCCCCAAATGCTCATGATAATTGCCACCTATTAAATGAACAGAGACCTATTAACAACAGCAGAAGTAAAACATATCCTTGGGGTTAAGTTTTTACAAGAAAACACCAACCAAAAACAGCAACTCTAACAAATTAAAAGCCCTCAAAGTTTTCAAAGTATCTTTATACATTTTTTCTTTCCCCAAATCATTTCAGTATTTCTAAAAACACACCAATATCTTCTATCACATCCAAATTACCTAGTCTTTAATGGAAACAACATATACTGTTACCCCTAGTGAAAATATATAACACCCTCTCCCAATTAGGTAACCGAAGAGAAGAAACCTTGTTTCAAAAGCATCCCACAGCAAAAATTTGCCACTTCATTCTTTATTCAGTCACTAGAAAACTAGGGAGGGACCTGAGAGTGAATTACAGCTCTTATCCCTTATCCTAGAGCAATGATAATACCAAGACGGTACTTCAAAATTTACTCTTCCATCCCCTAAAGGCAGAGCCTTGCAGCCATTTTTGATCTGTTGTCCTCCTTTAACCCTACACTCCCAACAGCCTCTCACTATTGCTTTTTTGGACATTTCTTCTTCAATACTTTAGTTCAGATTATTTCAAGCCTCAAATATACCAAGCTTTTCTTTGTAAAGGTCCTTAATATTTTGACTTCTTTTCCCTTTAAACTATTCTACTAACTGTAAAAATCAAATTCCTTAAATGTTTCATTAGAATCCTCAAAATTTTCCAATGGTTCCTAATCACACCTTGTTGCAAGGAACAAATTATCTTGTGATAATTTCTTATAAGACACACAATGCTTCTCCTCCAAATCCCTCCCTTCCTCTACCCCCACCAATTCCAAAAATGTTACTAGTTTTACTGATCTTTTCTCAAATGTAAACTGTTTTCCATTCTCTTACACAGAAATAAAGTTTATCATGTTATGAATTCTCAGATAAAAAGGAAAAACTTGCAAACACATCTATACGTTTATAAACTTCAAAGTATATGCTTTGCTAGTTTAAGAGTCCTAAGCATTTGGAGAATAAAGGATATGCTATTTATGAGTCAGGAAAACAGGCAATAGTATATTCAGGATGCTTTCCTACGCTTTCTTTGGATCAACACAGCCAGCTTCAGTCTAATATGACAATTTTTTGTTCTGTATACATGGAACCACTGTCAATTACAGCACACAAAAATATTCTCTCAGAAGACTGAGCACTTGCTCTTTCTGGTCTTCTTTAGGCCTGAATGTTTTTCTTCTCCAATTTGCCTTGAAGGTTCAGTTCGCAGCTATGCTACCACCATGAAGGATGCCTAATCACTGCAGTTTATCGTGACCTCCTTCTCAGAATCCCCCTTCTCAGAATCTCAGTAATGTACTACCTTTTATCATGATTTCAATATTTGGTGTTCTACTCCTCACCCCCACCCCCAACAAGACTGCAATATCGCCACATATCTCAATGCCTTTGCAGATACTGTGTACTATGCACATGCTGAACAAATAGAAACTTGAGGGCATACTATGGTCTCCTAGAATAGCAGCTTCATCAATGCCAGAAAAAGTACTATAGTCTTGATTACTACAACCCTCTCCGTTGAATAAAAAGGAAATTATGTTTACTGAGTTCCTAATACGCGCCAGGAATAATGCTGCTGCCATGTACTCAAGAGGTACCTCATTTCATCCTCATAACACTACCGTTTAGAGTGGTATTAGCCCTATTTTTGCAGACAGAAATATTGAGACATGTTGAGGTTAAGTTGCTTCCTTGAGGTAAACAATTTAGTAAGTTGGGATTAAAAAATATGAGATTCAAACCTATTTATGTCTGACTCCAAAGCATACATAACTCTCATCATAGAAATAACTACAGAAAATAAAATATTGGTTTTATATAAAGAAAGCATGCTCTAAAACTTTCCAATTTTGAATCATTAATTTGGTTATTATATAATGCATCAAAAATGACAAAAATGGGGATATGGAGGGAAAACACTGCTGTTGGAAAATACATTATTTTCTCTTAGATGAGGAAAAAAATTCTCTTCAAAACAAATTCTCCAATTGTAGTCTAGGGAAGTATTTTCCGTGATACATAAAAATATAAAGTATCCCGTGATTTCCATGGACATGATTATTCACTCTCCCCTTCTCTCTCAGGCCATGGCACTCTGTTCATGACTACTATAGAGTGTACCACATGGCATCAGTTTAAAAAAATTATAATTTCTGATTTAGTACCATACTAAAAGATATTTTCATTTGGCTTCATCTTCCAACATAAAATATTCGCAAACATATAAAGTGCCTACTTGTCCAGGTGTTATGTTAGTTACAAGAGATTTAAAAATAAATATATATAAGCCCTGTCCTCAAAGACAGTTCAGTCCTGGAGGGCAGCAATTCTACAGACAGGAGTTTTAAAGGCAGTCTCTTGTATCTAAAACTCCATGACCTTAAGGCTAGTGTGACCTTAAGGACAGTTTTAATAAATTCATCTAGGCAGTTACATTCAGATGCCTGAATGAGCAGTTATTTCTCTGTATTACATCTTTATGTAAACAGACATTCAAATTCTCAAATCCCATCTTCTAGTATTAATGGTCTAAGCACAGCATAATTTTATGTGAAGAAAGCAAAGGGGTTGTGGGTGAGGGGGAATGTTTCCAACAGCTGCAAAACACTGCACCTGTGTGGCAAACACTTCTGCATTTCACTATCATCCAGACCAATCTAAAAATGGACAGGGTGAACAAGGCAGGACATGTTTTTGCAACATAGCATTATGCCCATTTGTTTTCTGAAAGTTCTCTAATTGTTTCATGGCTTTATTAAATAGATGGTCATTCTAGATGACAGGAACAGTTCCCTTGATGTATACTTAACAAATTATGAATATTGAGATTACATAATCAAAATAGGAAAAGTTTTATGGACAAAATTATCTATTACTGTCTTCCATACAACTTGCCTAAGGTAAACTCTTGTACCACCACCCTTGTATTCATTAATAACCTTTCAATTGTAATCCCACCTATTGATCTGAATTTCGAGATACAAACCTAGATGGGGATAATCAGTTAAAGAGAAGGGAAAGGGCAAGAACACAAAAGCCTCTCCACTTCTGCTCTCCTACAGAACTCCCAATTTTCACCTGTCCTTGTTTGAGAGGCAAAAATCCCATGCTGTTTTCAAATAAACTATTCTTTAAAAATAACAGAAAGTACATACTGATTTTGTAAAAAATAAAAACTTTAAACATGGCTATCAAAGCACTAAGACTATAAAGAAAACTGAAAACAATGTGTCTAAGGAAGTAAAAGGTCAAAACTCAGAATCAAGTTTTCCATTATCCTTATTACTTAGCTGGTTCTTATTCTTTATATATGATAAAAAAAAATTATGGTCTCTTTCAACCTTGTAATCATCTGAAAGTCTCACACTTGCTCACCATAAAAATGGAGATTCTTGAGGGGGGCAGAAAACTGTTATCAGACTGATATGGTTAGGCTCTGTGTCCCCACCTAAATCTAATCTCAAATTGTAATCCCCATGTGTTGAGGGAGGGACCTGGTGGGAGGTGATTGGATCATGGAGGCAGTTTCCCCCATGCTGTTCTCATGATAGTGAGTTCTCATGAGATCTGATGGTTTTATAAGTGGCTCTTCCCCATTTGCATTCTCTCTCTCCGGCCGCCTCACCTTGTGAAAAAGGTACTTGCTTCTGCTTCTCCTTCTGCCATGATTGCAAATTTCCTGAGGCCTTCCTAGCCTTGCAGAACTGTGAGTCAATTAAACCTCTTTCCTTTATAAATTACCCAGTCTTGGGTATTTCTTTATAGCAGTGTGAGGATGGACTAATACAGAGACTATAACTGAAATTACTTATATTTACTCAAGCACTAATTCCACATTATAATTGTACCCTCAGTTTGAGATATCTGTAACAAAAGCTGTAAGAAAGACTTCTAACCACAGGTTTTTCAACAAGTCCTTATGAAGTATATTCTGGCGAGGTGTGGAGAAAAAGGAATGCTTTTACACTATTGGTGGGAGTGTAAGTTAGTTCAACCATTTGACCCACCAATCAATTACTGAATATACCCAAAGGAATATAAATCATTCTATTATAAAGATATATGCACACATATATTCACTGCAGCACTATTCGCAATAGCAAAGACATGGAATCAACCTAAATGCCCATCAGTGATAGACTGGATAAAGAAAATGTGGTACATATACACCATGCAACACTATCAGCCATAAAAAGGAACTAGATCATGTCCTTTGCAGGGACGTGGATGGGGCTGGAGGCCATTATCCTCAGCAAACTAACACGAGAACAGAAAACCAAATACTCTATGTTCTCACTTATAAGTGGGAGCTGAATGATGAGAACACACAGGCACATGGAGGGGAAAAACCCACACTGGGACCTGTCAGAGGGTTGGGTGGGGTGAGGGAGAGCATCAGGAAAAACAGCTAATGGATGCTGGCCTTAATACCTGGGTGACAGAATGATCAGCGCAGCAAATCACCATGGCACACGTTTATCTGTGTAACAAAACTGTGCATCCTGCACAAGTACCCCTGAACTTAAAAAAAAAAAAATGAAAAAAAAAAGTGAGTTTCTTAGAAGCTATTGATGACATTAAGTCTGACTTTGAACATCAACAGTTTAAATGCACCAATTAAAACATCAGTGTGGATAACAAAACAAGACCCAAGTATAAGTTGTCTGTAAGAAATCCACCTCAAATGTAAAGACACATATAGATTAAAAGTAAAAACATGGAGGAAGTTATACCATGCTAACACTAATAAAACAAAGTAAGAGTAGCTGTATTAATTTCAGATACTGCAAAATTGAAAGCAAGAAAAGTTATCAGTGACAAAGAGGAGCATTACATAATGACAAAGGGGTCAATTCTCTAAGAAGACATAACAATATCTAATGTTTATGTACCTAACAACAAAGTATCAAAATATGTGAGGCAAAAACTGATAGAAATAAAAGGAAAAAAAGGAAGAATCCACTAATATAGAGACTTCAACACTGCTGTACCAGAAATGGTCAGATCCAGCAGGCAGAAAGTCAGTAAGCATAGTTGAACTCAACAAATCATTAATTAACTGGATATAATGAACAAAAGACTACTTCATCAAACAACAACAGAATACACAGTCTTCACAAGCTTACATGGAATGTTCACCAAGACAGACCACATTCTGGGCCATAAAACATGCCATAACAAATTTAAAATAGAAGTCATATAATGTCTGCTCTCAGGCTGCAACTGAATTAAGAAATCAACAGAAAGATAAATGCAAAAATCCCAAAATACTTGGGGATTAAACAACACTTCTAAATAACATATGGACTTACAAAGAAATCTTGAGACACTTTAAAATATTTTGAACTAAATGAAAACAAAATGTACCAAAATTTGTGGGACGTGGCAAAAGCAGTGCTTTTGAGGGAAATTTATTAATGTCTAGTGTTCCATTATTGGAACGCTAAGCATGTGGGAGTTATTCATACCCTACTGCACAAGATCATTGCCAAGGCCTGATTGCAGAAATTCAAAAAATTGCAACTTAAGGCATAAATGACTTAATGAATGCATAAATTAGAAAAGAAAGACCTAATATCATTTATAAGCTTCCACCTTGGAAAATTAGGAAGAGAATAAATTAAATCCAAAGTAAGCATAAGAAAGAGTAAGAATTAGAGCAGAAATCAATGAAATTAAAAAACAGGAAATCTATAGAGAAAAATCAATGAAACCAGAAGCTGGTTCCTTGAAAATATTAATGAAATTAACAAGCGTTTAGGTGGGCTAGCTAAGAAAGAGAGGAAACAAATTACTAATATCAGAAATAAAAGGGGACATTACTATGGATCCCATGGATATTAAAAGGATAACAAAAGAATACTGTGAACAACTCTATGCCCACAAATTTGACAACCTTGATGAAACAGACCAATTCCTCGAAAGACACAATCTGTCAAAACTCACAGAAGACACAACCTGAATAGGACTATACCTATTAAAGAAACGGAATCAGTAAGTAATAACCTTCCAAAATATAAAGCACCAGGCCCAGATGGAGAATTCTTCCAAAGATTTAAAGAAAAACTTATACCAATTCTCTACAATATCTTTCAGGAGAGAGAAGTAGATATGAGTTCAGCATTACCCTAATACCAAAACTAGACAAAGACATTACACGAAAACTTCAGACCAATATCTCTCATGAATACAGATGCAAAAGTCTTCAGCAAATAGCAAATTCCATCCAACATAGTATAACAAGAACAGTATATTACAACCAAGTGGGATTTATTGCAGGTGTGCAATCTGAAAATAAATTAATGTAGTCCATATCAACAGGCTAAAGAAAAAAAAAATCACATGATCTTATCAACAAATGCAGAAAAAGCATCTGACAAAAGGTCAATACCCAGGCCAGGCGCAGTGGTTCACGCCTGTAATCCCAGCACTTTGGGAGGCTGAGGCAGGTGGATCACCTGATGTCAGGAGTTCAAGACCAGTCTGGCCAACATGGTGAAATCCCATCTCTACTAAAAATACAAAATTAGCCAGGTGTGGTGGCAAAATTAGCAGGTTGGGTAGCTTGTAATCCCAACTACTCGAAGCAGGAGAATTGCTTGAACCTGGAAGGAAAAAGTTGCAGTGAGCCGAGATTGCACCATTGCACTCCAGCCTGGGCAACAAGAACAAAATTCCATCTCAAAAAAAAAAAAAAAAAGTTCAATACCCACGCATCAAAAAAAACTCTCAGTAAAATAAACTAGGAATACAAGGGAATTTCCTCAACTTAATAAAGAATACAAAACAAAAATAGAAACACCTACAGTTTACACATGCTTAATGGTGAGAAACTCAAAGCATTCCCATTAAGATGAACAATGAAGCAAGGATGTCTTGTCTTCTCTCACCACTGCACTGCAACATCATACTGCAAGTCCTAGCTAATGCAATAAGAAGAGAAAGAAAAAGTACAGAGGTTGAAAGAAGAAATAAAACTTTGTTCACAGATAATATGACAATATATGTAGAAAATCCAAAAGAACTGATCAAAAAAAACTCCTGGAACTAATAAGCAAGGTTGCAAGATGCAAGGTTAATAGACAAAAGTCAACTACTTTGCTATATGCCAGTAAGGAACAAGTGGAATTTAAAATTTAAAACACAATACCATTTACATTAGCATCCTCCCAAAATGAAATAGGTAAATCTAACAAAACATGTACAAAATCTACATGAGCAAAACTACAAAACTCTGATCAAAGATATCAAAAAGAACTAATTAAACTGAAAGATAGTTCATGTCCATGGATAAGAAAGCTCAATATTTTCTAGATGTCAGTTCTTCTCAACTTGATCTATAGATTCAATGCAATACCAATCAAAATCCCAGCAGATTATTTTCGGGATACTGTTAAACTGATTCTAAGGTTTATTTATATGGAAAGGCAATAGACCCAGAATAACCAACACAATATTGAAGAACAAAGGTGGGAGACTGACAGTGTCTGACTTCAAGACTTATCTAAAGTTACAATAATCTAGACAGTGTGGTATTGGTAAAAGAACAGACAAAAAGATCAGTGAAACAGAACAGAGAGCCCAGAAATAGACCCATATAAATACAGTCAACTGATCTTTGATAAAGGAACAAAGGCAATATAATGGAGCAAAGATAGTTTTTTCAACAAATAATTCTGAAACACCTGGATACTCACATGCAAAAAAATTAATCTAGGCACAGATTTTATACCCGTCCCAAAACTTAAGTCAAAATGGATCACACACCTACATATCAAACACAAAACTATAAAACTCCTAGAAGATAAAAGAGAATCTAGATGACCCAGGGTTTGGCAATGACTTTTTAGATACAACAGCAAACACATAATCCATGAAAGAAGTGATAAGCTGACATTCACATTAAAAAATTTCTGCTCCATAAAAGACACTGTTAAGAGAATAAAAAGAGAAGCCATAGACTGTCAGGAAATATTTGCAAGACATATCTGATAAAGTACTGCTATTCAAAATAGATGAAAAAAATTCAAGAAAACAAATCCTATTAAAAAATGGGCCAAAGAACTTAACAGACATCTCACCAAAGAAAGTATACAGAAAAGATGATCCACATCATACGTTATCAGGGAAATGCAAATTAAAATAATGAGATACCATTACATACCTATCAGAATGGCTAAAAACCAGAACACTGACATCACGAATGCAGTGAGGATGTAGAACTATTACTGGTGGAAGGTCTTGACTATGAGTCATCCTGGTTCTTGGTGTTTTGAACAAAGAATTGGACAAAACACACAAAGCAACAAAAGAATGAAGCAACGAAAGCACAGATTTATTGAACCAGAAGTACACTCAACAGAATGGGAGCAGGCTCGAGCAAGTGGCTCAAGAGCACTGGTTACAGAATTTTCTGGGGTGTAAATACCCACTAAAGGTTTCCCACTGGTTACCTGGTTACACCCTATGTAAATGAAGTAGTGGGTCACAACCAGTCTGATTGATGGTGGAAAGTGACCAATCAGAGGCTTAAGTCACAAAGTTACATCTTTATGCAAATGAAGACTAGGCCGGTGACCAGTCTGATCAGTTGCAGGAGCGGACCAATCAAAGGTACTTTCCATTTCTCATCTGCAATGCAGAAGGTGGCAGAGGGGTTGGGGGTGCAGGGGTTGCACCCCCAACCCCTCTGTTCCCTTGTTACCTGGGCATGGAAAGTTGGGGTTTTCCTTTTGATTCAGTTCTAGGAAGTCAGCGTCAATCAGCCTTAGGTTCCCTGCCTCCAGACGCTATTCTCCTGCCTCAGAACTCTCATTCATTACTGGTAGGAATGCAAAATGGTACAGCCAACTTTGGAAGACAGTTTGGTGGCTTCTTACAAAACTAAACATAATCTTCCCACATGATCCATTAATCATGCTCTTTGGTATTTACTCAAAGGAGGTGACAACTTTATGTCCATAAAAAAAACTTGCACATGGATGTTTACAGCAGCTTTATTCATAATTCAATCTAAACTCTTTATAAATTGAAAACTGAAAAAGAAAAGTTCCCTCTCTTTTGCAAAGACCTAGAAGATTCATTGTAATGTAACAATTTTTTTTTGGTTTTAGAATGATGTTTAATATAGCCTTATTTTTAGAAATTCATATAATTTACATTAGAAATAAGATTTTATTTTTCCTAAAATTGTCAGAAACATAGCATATCGAAAAATAGCTAAAATATAAGATCTTGTGTCTAGAAATTTTTAAAATATGTGTCTGAAAATATTCATAAATTTTCTAAAATGCTTAACCTATTGAGTTGGAGGTGATTCATCTGTCAATGATTTCATAAGCATGGTTTCATTTATCTAAATAAAATATTACTAAATTAGAAAGTTAGATCATTAGCAAATCCAGAAAATACCAAAATAGACATTTAAGACTTTAATGACAGTCTGTTCCTTCCAAAGATGAATTCCGATATCTTTATAGAGCATCCACAACTCAAAAAAGAATGTTTGATAGAATTATTCTTCCTGAATCTGATCAGTAACTAAAACTGAAGTCCTCATTCAAAAAAAGTTTAATCTAAGAGAAGACTCTTAGATGTTAAGTAAATATCAACAATTTACTCTAAGATAAACTATAAAGTTAATAATGAATTGCCTGCTTCACCCGTCCCACAAAGACAAAAGTAAGTCCCGGCAGCTCAAAACTCCAGAGGGAAACAATTAAGGTGCTGCCTCTATCTAATTTGTCAGCTAAAGACACCCCTGTAGTTTACCACAATGTTGGGAAGAAAGGTAGTGGTGATAGCCCTCTGTATCCGTGTGTTCTGCATTCAAGAACTCAACCAACTTCAGATCAAAGATACGTGGGAGGAAAAAAACAAAACAAATGCTAACAATATAACAATACAAAATAATACAAATTTTAAAAACAATACAGTATAACAACCACTTACATAGCATTAACATCATATTAGGTATTATAAGTAATCTAAAGATGATTTAAATTATACAGGAAGATGTGCATGGGTTATATGCAAATTCTACACAATTTTATATGAGGGACTTGAGCATCTGTGGATTTTAGTATCTGTGGGGGTTCTGGAATAAATCCCCCACGGATACCGAGGCACTAATATACAAGGATCAGATTCAAATAAAGACAACGCAATATGTCTACTTAAAATATGGGAGCTTTATCTTACTATATTGCTCAAGGTAGAAAAGTTTGAGCAACCTAACTCTTAGAAGTTTCAACAGATCTCTTCCTGAAAATTATTTTTGTAATTTTTATTACTTAAATAATTATGCTACTGCCTACTGCATGGTGACAAGTGAACAGAAAAACAAAAGCAAGTCAACTTGTAAAGGTTAGATACAAATCTATAAATAATACAAAGCATCTGTGCAATAGCTAACTTGGCACCCAAAGTAATTTATGCTAATGAATACTATAATTTATTAAACATGGTGACAGCTCACTGTAGGAAGAAATTTTAAACATTAACTGTTACACACTGGAGACTATAACAGTTCCTCTAAATTTACACTAAAAGATACAAGTAAAACTTTATTATAACAAAGTCAATTCTGAAGGAATAGTGCTAAACAAGAATTTGGAGATCCAAAAGGGATTTGTGATGTGCACAAATGTGCACATCATTTGGAGATGTGCAATGCAATAAATATAAATTTCACATACAATTAAATACAATAGGTCTTCTACTTTGTAACATTCAAAATTACAATATATGTATTTAACATCTTCAATGATTATCTCCAGTTTTAGTTTTGAGTGGCATAAAAACAGTATGCAAATAAGAAAACTGGAGAGAGCAAACGCACAGAGAAATAAAATGAGTAAGACTTAAATAGTAGTAGTTTCCCCTCCATTCACTGAATGGGAATAAAGAGCAGAGGTCTGATAAAAAAGGAAAAGGGCATTATACATACAGACAACATATAGAGGTGGAAGAATGACCAGAACAAACATATAAACTGAATTTAAAGAAGTTCCCGTCATTGACTTTATGAGAAATGTGCTTAAAACTGATATATATGTTTGGTTTTACCTCTGGAAGAAAACAGACACAGATGAAAAGTCATTCAGGAAACAGAGACACTTAAGTATGTCATCAAGTCAAAAACAAAACTACTTGGTAAAATAACAATTTAAGTAGTTACATTATGTGGTAAAGTAGGCTAAAGACATTTTTATTTATTATAATATATGGAACCTTGAGAGTAAAAACCATGCTTCCCCATGAACACAATGGACAGAATGTTCAGCATATACTGTAGTCATATCAGATTCTCACTTAACATCTACTCTAACTTCTACAACTTCTACTTGTAGTGGAGTGAGAGAATATACACGAATATGTGTGAGTGAATGCTAAAACAATGATACCTACAATTTCCCACAACCATTCTACTTGGCTATTACAGACAATAAACATGTGCTTCAGCCACACCTTGAGATGGGAAATATGACTACTATTAAAACAAATCAGATAGAAGCCATTAGCCTGAGCTCTGTAAAATGGAGCTCCTACGTTAAGCAAATCAAAACCCAATTCAATGTAAACAGGATAATGAAACTTAACCTCAACCACTCAGAAACCATCAACTAACCTCTAGCTAGGATCTTGCCACTCTAACCAAATATATTTTCTTCATCTTACTTCTGTGTTCAGGCTATAAAAGTACACTGCCCACATGCTTCAGAGCAGAACTCTCTCAACCTCTTCTGGTTCTGAGTGCTGCCCAATTCATAAATCATTCTTTGCTTAAATAAACTCTGCTAAATTTCTTTTGTCTAAAGTTTTTCTTTTAATAGTTCTAGTGTTAGAAATGAGGGTCTGAAGGAGATCCCACCAATGATAACCCACAGGAGCAATGAGTAACAGGCATAAGTGCCCCCACTGAGCCCCTTGAGTTCATCACTTTTTGCTGCGCATTTGGAGGTCACCATTGGTAGGTCCCTCTCAGGTACAAGCTTAACTACTTGTTTTGAATTCTCTTGACTATGAGCATTTCCGATCCACACTGGGCCTGTAAGTCATGACAGAGACTATATTGGGTCTAGCAGGAGGCCCAATATAGTCTTATATAAGGTAAGTTAGGTAAGTTTGAGAAGGCTGTGAATCATGGGTTCATCTGCAGACAAGGACTCTAGAACTCCAACCATCTGGAACGTCAGCCAATTTTATGTTTAAGAACTAAGGGCTCAGAACCTGTGATTTTTTTAGAGAAATGAGTGAACCTTACCAAAGGTAACTCAAGAGTTACAGGGGCCACAGTGATAAAATTTCATTTGCAAGGCACATTAGAAAAACAGGATCCAAAATACCTCAGAAACAAGAGTTCTGTTTGGGGTTTTTTTTGGTGTGCAGAAGAAGCTCCTAAAAGACTCAAAAATTGCCTCTCAAAGACTCCCTACAAAAGGCAAATGAAAAGCTTAAGCAGTTGATTTTTTTTTTAATTACATGTTGACTGACTTAACTCTGACCCCACCACCCCACCCCATCCTCTGCCTATTCTTTATCTACTAAGCTTTTAGCTCAGTTATCTTCCCAACCCAAAGATGAAAAGCTAGACAAATGCTTTATAAAGTTAGGCCCACACATCAACCAGGTCTGTATCTTTAACCACCTTTATGCCTTGGTCAAAATCTTGAGCTCAGATCAAGCAAAATTTTCTCTGTCCCAAAGGAAAACCCCCAGAAATTTGCTGAGGAATTCAGAATTCTCATTGGAGGACAAGATCCAGGACTTCTTGATCCTTCTAGCCAAATTAGTCTCCAAAATCTGCCCTACTGGCATAAGGACTATTTTTAACCAGTTATTTTTAGACTGTTTTGTAAGGGAAATTTACATCTATAAAAGAAATCATTTGTCTCTCTCTCTGCACCAGAGAGAGAAGGACTGAATCACTAGGAATTCTTAGAATGGAGAAGGCAATGACTTAAACCTATATAACTAGCTTTACCCAAGCATTTAAGAAGCTTTTCCTGGCCATCTTGTTGTAACTGGGGCTTTACCTACACTCGTCTTTCCTTGTTTCAGTAAATGACAGTATTGAAGCCTGAAGCCTTAGCTCTGTGCCTTTGAGATATAAATGCTCTACCTAGTCTAACCTAAGAGCAATCCCTTTAGACATGCAAATTTAGGGAAGATGACTCATCAGAAGAGGAAAACAGGGGTACAACTATTTGGAAATTGGCAAATAAAAAATCTTCAGTCTTTTTCATAAACATCAATAAGAAGCGTAGCCATCTGGCCAGATACACAACTTGAATCTAGCTATTTTTTTTTTTAATAAACAAGTGAGTTTTGTATTTAGACCTGGCACACGACTAAAATTTTAGAATGAGAGCTATATGATGTTTATATCTGCCTATATATTTACGTACATGTGTTACATTTTTGTGATATTTTTCGACATCCGGATGGTATTGCCAAAGACAATTTATAAAAGAGCTCCATTTAATCGGCTTAAAGAAAAGTAAGTGCTTATGTAAATTAAGTATAGCTGGCCCACCATAACCACAGGTTCTGCATCTGCAGATTCAACCAACCATGGGTCAAAAATACAGTATTTGCAGGTTGCAGAACCCAAGAATGAAACCACCTTTGCAAAAACTATAACAGTAAGAAAATTATGACATTGAAAGGGATCTGATCTAACCAACTCCCATCTTGCCTTCAACCTCCAAAATGTCTACTTAGTCATTCCTGGGGCTTGGGCCAAGCTAACTTTGGGAGAAATTTAGATTACAATTCAATAATTTAGATTATAATAATTTAATAATTATTTTATTTTAATTTTATAAATTATAATCTAAATTATAATTTATAAATTATAATCTAAATTATAATTTATAAATTATAATCTAAAGTATAATTAAGATAATAGTTTAAATACTAACCATTCCCCAAAACTAAACTGCCTATGTAAAACTAATGAAAGACCACAAAATTAGGAAGATGAGAGGAGCCCAAATTCTGCTAAGGTATAGATATCAATTACCAGACATTATCCTGGCGATCACAAGATTTACAATCTCCCCAATTACTCCTACATCAGTATTGTAGAGCCTAAGACTAGCCTTTTGATACGTCTTTTCAAGCTTTTATGTTTCGGACCACCAACAGCCCCATCCAGACCCACGACCCTTGACTCAACAGGTCCTTGTAGCCCCTACCTAGAAGCAGACTCAGCACACAGGGACCATTTCCACACCGCTATGATTGCATCCACAACCAATTAGCAGCACCCATTCCCTTGTCCACCAAACTATCCTTGAAAAACCCTAGCCTCCAAATTTTCAGGGAGGTGGATACGAGAAGTAATAAAACTCCAGTCTCCCATTCAGCTGGCTCTCCATGAATTAAAATCTTTCTCTATTGCAATTCCCCTCTCTTGATAAATCAGCTCTATCTGGGCAACAGGCAAAATGAACCCACTGGATGGTTACAAGAATACAGTGGGCTAACTTTTTGTATGTACAAGGCCAACTGTGGAACTTGAGCATCTTCAGATTTTGGTTTCCACAGGGGGTCATGGAACCTTGACAGAAGGAAGACTGTATTACTTAAACTCTTAAAGACAATGGAACTAACCCAAAATGTTTTTAAAGTTCACATAACTTGGGTAAATCTTGGGTAAATAAGACTAGCTCAATATTGTTGGTTTAATACAAACAGCTGTGTCTTCTGAGTTACCAGCTTTAAGTATAATACGAGCATAACATTTTATTTTACCTGCTTTTACTAGTCAAATAAGTTTGTTATCTTTACTAGATGTTTAAGATTATAGAACTATGGGTTCAACCTAAGAACAAATGTGCAAGTGAAAGTGCAACGTCCAGTTTCCAAGTGCCTTGTTACAGTAGGTAGCTAGTCAGGTATAAGCAGGGCAGGAGAGGCCCCCTCCCCCAACACACACACACACACACACACACACACACACACACACACACAGCCAGTTATGTTAGGCGACCATCAGGAGATGGCCAGGCAGTTGTTAACTGTCTCTCTAATAATTGGTTGCAGCCAGAGCCAGGGATCCGCAGTCTCCCAGTAAACAGAAACACCTGAAATTGGTGATCAGCAGCTTTCCAATAAGATGTCAGGAGTCGGGCGAGTGGGCTCCAGCATATGCATTAAGAAGCAACATGGAGGATTTTAACTGATATATGACCTTCCAGGGACATGTGAGTGGTAAGGGAAAAACACCTCAAAAGAGCATGCATACAACTCCAGTAAACACACTGCATAGGCTGGCCCCTTCCAAGTGCTAGCAGGCCACTGCACATACAAACAGCCCACCCCAAGGGAAGAATCATGGGAAAAGGGATGCAAGACCCCAGAAGCATGCCACCATATAAAACCCCAAGTCAAAAGGTCAAACCGCACACTTAATCTCTCAAGTCACCCACTTGGCCCTCTTCCAAGTATACTTTACTTCCTTTCATTCCTGCTTTAAAGCTTTCACTCCTGCTTTAAAACTTGCCTCAATCTCTCCTTCTGCCTTATGCCTCTCAGTCGAATTCTTTCTGCTGAGAAGGCAAGAACTGAGGTTGCTGCAGAGCCGTATGAATTCGCCGACAGTAACATACTTTGGTGCCGTGTCTCTGATACGTTCCGCTGCTAACAGCATCATGTATTATACAGCACAGCAGTAAAACAAACAAACAAAAAAAACATGTATTTAACTTAAGATTCTTGCTTTCACGATGACTACCTAACATGCACATGCTGTAAAAATAGCTAACAAGGAAATAACTTGATAATGGCTAGCTTTGTTTTATGTTATAATACATCTACTTAAAACCAGTTTCCAAAATCTGTTAACTTACACTATTGGAGTTTTGCTAAGTTAAATTAAATGACAGATATTCATTGAATATCTAGATCATTTCCACATAGATAAAATACTGAAACATTAAGTGCTCAACTTAAGTTATCCACTTTTGGCTTATTTCAGAACGAAAGATATTCAGGTCTGTTAGTAATCATGTCCTGTGTCCCACTGAAAAACTGTACCATGAAGAAGCACATGCTTCTAAAAATTAAATTTACAAATTCCAATTACTATATGGTAATTAAAACTAGAAATAATAAGGTAAACAACTCTGTATGGAGGAAAGTAAGACATGTTTTTGGTTAAAAAAAAAGCTATTAAGGTATAAAAGATGTGTTTTTGTTAAGGGAAAAAGTAACTTCCATCCTAAAGAAGAATGACTGGTTGTGCACAATGGGAAGGAAGACGGGTATAGGGCAAAACCTATACCCACACAGGCAAAACCTATACAGGTATAGGACAAAACCCGTGCCCTATAGGGCATTCATATGAATGCATATGAGAAAACTGTAGACATGTAGAAAAGCAACCGTGAAAAAGGAATTTTATGTATGGTCAAGGTGGCTAGGACGTGAATGAATTTTATATTTAAAAGTTACTTTAAAAATGATGACCCTTAATATCAAAAGTACAGTGGTAACAAACTTTTCTTGAAGTATTGGTCTGTTCTTGCTTTATTAGGTCTTTGCTTAAGAAAACCGAATTCTTCATATTAAAAGAGCTAAGGTGCTTTTTTTTTTTTTTAAGCAACTGTGTAACTTTCTATATTTGTCTCTAAATTACCACTCTGGTTAAATCAGTAGGTATTACTTCAAGTGATCTGTGATCTACTTTAATCAAGTATTTTTAAACCTCTGATATTTTTGACAAACTTTCCCAAAATTCTATTCCATTATTCCGTCTTTTTTTTTTTTTTTTTTTTTTTGAGACGGAGTCTGGCTCTGTTGCCCAGGCTTGAATGCAATGGTGCGATTTCGGTTCACTACAACCTCCATCTCCCAGGTTCGAGCGATTTTCCTGCCTCAGCCTTCTGAGTAACCGGGACCACAGGCATGCACCACCACGTCCAGCTAATTTTTTAATTTAGTAGAGACAGGGTTTCACCATGTTGGTCAGGCTGCTTCCTGCCTCAGCAAACATCTGCCTGCCTTGGCCTCCCAAAATGCTGGGATTACAGGTATGAGCCACCATGCCCAGCCTCCATTAGGTCTTTCTCACCTTGAACTAACTTCGGTAGTTTCCAGGGGATTCCTAGAATATCTCAAAAGAATCTGTTCTCTCTCCTCATAAAAAGAGAGATGTTAAACTACCTTATTCAGTATGTTAAATTTACACGGTAAGCACTGTCAAATAAGCAATGATGTTTAACTTTCCTTGAGTTATATTTGCCTGGGTATGTTACTGAGTGTTCTAGAAATGGTATGAAATTCCTACAAATCTGATATGTCCTGTTATGATGTTACCAGTCATAATTTTGATTTTTATGTTAAAATACTGATGTCACAAAAAATAAAATTTCCTTGTCGATTGCATAATAAATTCTTATCATAGCCATTTTAAGTCCTGTCATCCAGAGATAATTTTTACTCTGATGCTTTCCTGAAAGCTTTTGCAAGCAACTATAATCCTAAAGTGTTTCGTCTTCAAGGAGATTCATGGAAGAGACTCTGAACAAGTACAGGTTTCTTATAACTTTAAGATTATACCATTGCTCTGGCTAAGAGTTTCCACAACACTATTAAAGAAACTGGTTCATAAAATTGTTAAACTGACATCAAGCAGAACAGGAATTACATGAGACTGAACGACTGATGAAGAAAAATTATAGGTTATTTTTATGGCCTTTTTGTTTAAAACACTGCTGATTCTGCAATGTTGTGCTTTGCAGATTTAAGGAAACTTTTTTCTTTTCTCTTAAGCTATCTCTACAACTTTCAACAATTTGGTAAACTATACCTTTGTGAATGAAGATGAAACACCTTTTCTCAACTATCTGATCCCTCCAGAATTCAGAAACCGTAACCAAGTATTTCTATTTTTATGGCAATACAATGTAGACCAAAAAGTAACTGAGACAAGTCTCAATCAATTTTGAAAGTTTATTTCGCCAAGGTTAAGGACCCACCCATGACACAGCCTCAGGAGGTCCTGTCAACATGTGCCTATGGTGTTTGGGGTACAGCTTGCTTTTATACATTTTAGGGAGACATAATACATCAATCGAAACATGTAAGATTTACACTGGTTCGATCTGGAAGATGGGGAAAACTCAAAGCAGGGGCTTCCAGGTCATAGGTAGGTTTAAACATATTCTGATTGGCAATTGGTTGAAAGAGTTATGATGTATAGAAAGGAAGGGGTTGCAGAGACCTAGGTTTTTATCATGCAGATGAAGCCTCCAAGTAGCAAGCTTTAGAGAGAATAGACTGTATATGTTTCCTATCAGACCTAGGGTCTGTGTTGACATTAATACTAGAGAGGTATAAATGAGACGTGTCCAACCCCAACATAAATGAGGCATGTTCAACCCCCACTTCCCATCATGGCCTGAAGCAGTCTTTCAGGTTAAATGTTAGGGTGCCCTAGCCAAGGAGGAAGTCCATTCAGATGGTTGCAGGGGGCCTTCGAATTTTATTTTTGGTTTGCAGTAAGTTACTTGCATAAGTTCAATAAAAATCTGTTCTCTTTGTAACAAGTTATAACTGGAAACACTGGTTATAATACCAAGGCTTTTGACCGGAAAGTCATATTTGAAAATGTACATAGAGCTGGATATGGCCAGTTTTAAAGAACTAAGGTTTACTTTATGAAGCCATGAAAGCCCCTTGGAAAAAACTAGTGTGGTACGAGGCTTTAAGGGTTTCCTGGCCTTAAGAGTTGAGTAAGGCAGGCCCAGTAACTTTAAAAATATTTTGAGGACCTTGAGAAGAGAGGAATTCATCCAAATCTATAGGTATTACGGGCAAAGTCTACTGGTAAGTCTTCAGCATGGCTTCATAGCCTAGAGAGGCTTTTAAAAGTCTAATCTGAGATGCCTTTAAAAATTCCAGCAAAGCAGATTTAAAGAGAGCCTATATGGTCCATCACTACTCTCGCTGCACGTATGTGAACTATCAAGCCAAGTTTAATGAGACTAGACCTATTTTGCAAACAAATTAGTCTTATTGTGATTATCTTTGATAGAAATGGGAGCAGCTGTAGAGAGAAAAATTATGTTTCAGTAGAAAACTACAGGGCACCCTTGTGCATATCAGATTCTAGTCCTGTTCATTGTCCTTGACATTGTATCTATAAACTGCTTGGTTTCTGACGCCCTACAGGCGGGTACTGGGCAACACTCATCCCTGCTGATGAATGGGCCACTCAGGGAGTTCACCAAAATGCCCATTGCCATAACCAGAAACATTCAAACTGCAAACCAGGGAAATATGCTTTGAGCTCAAATCTAGAAACCTTGACCAACTGCCCTCCGGACACAGAGAGTGAGTTTATGGTTTGTTCTAGCCATCAACCTTTTTATTTTACTTGGTTCTGTTCATGGAGGCCTTGGCTAAAGAGCATACACCAGTCCTTTGATGACAGTAGTCCCTCCTCCCTCCTTATGGCAGTTTCACTTTCTGCAGTTTCAGTTACCCCTGGTCAACCATGGACCAAAAATAGATGAGTACAGTAAATAAGATATTTTGAGAGAGACCATATTCGCATAACTTTTATTAGTATATTGCTACAATTCTATCATTGGGTTATTGTTTTAATCTCTTAACTGTGCCTAATTTATAAATTAAACTTTATCATAAGTATGTATTACAGGAAAAACATAGTATATATAGGGTTTGATAGTATCCATTTTCAGGCATCCACTGCAGGAGTAATGGGAGTCTTGAAACATACTGCCTGTGGGTAAGAAAGAACTACTATTATCCTCCTGATAGTGCCCATTGTCATCTCCCTGGTGCACTGTATTCTTTCTAGTGTCTTAAATGAATGTTTGCAGCCATCAGCAATATGCCAAATGGTCTCACTGCAATTAGAGCAACAAAAATAAGATGAACAAGAAAGGAATACTTCTTCCATGAGCCTGACATCATGACTTTTGTATTCCATACTGAGACCAAGTAAGTCACTATAATGGTGACAGAAAGTGTCAACAATGCTCAAAGTTTTAGTCAAGCACTCAAGATGGAGAGGCTGACAAAAGGAGAAAATTGTTAAAGCAAGTAAGGAGGAAGCCATTAGCCTGAAGATTTTCTCTGTGAACAGAACTCCTCTGTAAGCAAACCAAAACCCAATCCCGTGTAAACAGTAAAACAAAACTTAAGCATACCCAATCAGAAACCACCAACTAACTTCTAACTAGGGCCTTTCCACTTATGTTTTGTCTTACTTCCACATTCAGCCTATAAAAGCTCACTGCCCATCACTGCTTTGGAGAGGAGTTCTCTGGATCCCTTCCGGTTCTAAGTATTGCCCAATTCATAAATCATCCTTTGCTCAAATAAACTGTTTAATTTATTCTGCCTAAAGTTTACTAGGCTATCTCTCCCCGCCTTCAGCTGCTCTCAGTTTCCATGTAGCTTATATAGTGTACTTCAACCCTGCAGTATGATTTTAATGTTTAAAATGTATAATGTTCCCTAATCCTTTATCCAATATTAAAAGAGTCTTTATACTATACTGGAGGGGGAAAAAAAACTGGCCTTTTTTAGACACCCTACTGTAGACTCTAAATGCTGAATTTTGCTTTATTCTCTGATTTCAAAAACCTAACTTCAAAAAACTTGATTCATAAAATTTGAATCTGCCAGAAAACAGTTTTCTGGACCAAGTCAGTAAGATTGATCCTTAACACCATTTTAAATAAACAGTGAAAGCATCTTCAAATTCCAGATTAGGACTAAATTCAAACTTATTTTCCTACATACCATCTCTATTTGTTAAGGTCTGTTCAACAAATATTTATTGAGTAACCAAAAACCAGGTGCTAGGGAATACAAAGATAAGAACTCAGAACCTTCCCTAGAGCTGCTGATAGTACAGTGACTCTTACTACTTTGAAGGACAGAGATCCTTTTGAGAATTTAATAAAATTTATGAACCCTCACCCTGCAAAAATGCATACATATTCAAAAATGTACATATAATTTCAAGGAGCTACTGCTTACCTGGAGTCCATTTATCTCTTCCTTAAGATTGATGGACCACTGTTTAAGAACTCCTAGTCTAGTAGAATGTGAGATTTTTTTTTTTAAAGGGGGGAAGTGGGAATAATTCCAAAGGAAATTTAAAAAACAAATACATGAAATACAAAATTGTGCAGATAGTACAGTACAGGGACAAAGATCCCATAGTGGGAGTCAGATTATCTGCACTCAAATCTGGTTCTGCCACTTACTGACTTTGGATGAGTTTCTTAACCTCCCTAGGCCTCAATTTTAAGAATTAAGTGAAACAACCCAAGAAAAACTTAGCACAGTACTGAGAGACAGAGGCACACACACAAGCACAGACCTGGAATCCCTTGAATTGAATTGTTAAAGTCTCTACAGTTGAAGTCTACACATATCCTCATAGTAAACACTCACTTTCTTAAAACTATCCTTATAACCAAAAGAGCCCAACTAAAACATTATCTCCCTCAAACCCCTGAAGTAGCTAAAGTAGCTAATATTGCCTAAAGTAGCTAATGGCTTCTAAAACCCTTTTAAATCCTAAGATGATCTTATATGGCAAAACCATTGATTTTAAGTTTATCTGCTTTTATTCATTCAGTGTATCCTCCCTTCCTGCAGAACAAGGATTAGGAAAAATAAAAGTATGGCAACAACCCTGTAATAAATTGGTAAAGCTGATTGTGTAAGAACATATGTAAAAGTCCTTGCAAATTAAAGCATAAGTAACTTATTTATATTCATATCATGTCTGTTCTAGCTAGCATATGGTCTTAGCAGAATTTTGACTTGCCACTTTAAGTTGTTTTTTTCCCCAAATTTCCCAACATACTACTATAGCCTATTTAATCTTGCATTTTAAACATCAAAACCCATACACTATGCTTATATATTTTTACTTACTTAACTCCTGTGTTTGTACTATGGTTCTTCATCACTACACACTTACTGATGTAATACCAGTGTCTTTTATTATTTTAACCCTTAAATAATTTATTAGCCAAAAGGAATTTTAAAGAAAACAGGTGTCGAAAAAAAAAAAAAAAAAAAGCAATCTAAACCAACCTTGCAGCATAGTATACTCCTATTTTTTTAAATGCATTTGGACTGATATTCTGCCCAAAACAAAACTCAGGAAAAGACTCTCCTAAATCATCCTAGTTTCTCATTTCCTAACCCAAATATTAGAATTTTTTAAAAGGTACTGAATATTTTCAAAGTAAATGAGTAATATTTTTATCCTTTTTCATTCTTGGATAAGATGGCATTAATATAATTTATAGCTATTTTGTATTAAGTTCAACCTTGTACAATTTTTTAAAAATTAAAGAATTTAAGTTGTTAAAATTTAAGTAAAATACAAATTTTGTTTTAAGTAATGCTTGCTCCGCAAGTTATATCATTTAGATGAATAAGTATCTCTTCACAATAAAAAGCAACGGGCAAAATGTAAAAGAAAAAAAAAATCTCTTGAGGCAAGAAATACTAGCTCCAAAGTTTATGACTTAGAATCTCAGGCAAGTTACCCTCTGTGGGACTCTAGTTCCTCATTGTAAAATAGGATGTTTTGTAACTATGCCCAGCAGCATGGAGAGAGATAACCTAATATATCTTAGATAGATTAATAAGTTATCTTTTCCCAATCTCAGCATGAAATAAAAAATAGCACGTTTATAAAATAACACAATATACTGCTACTCCAACCTTCATCTGTCTCTACCATAGAGCTACTGGGATAAAATGACAGTTCTTAGAGAGATAGAAAACTCCAAGGCAAGGCTCCCCAAGTCTTTTATAATGCCTGAATTTTTCACTTACTGCCAAAAATGTTTTACCAATCAAAGATATTAATAGAATCTGAGTTAATCAAGATCTTGTACAATCACCTCTGAGATTAAGGGGTTACCAGCTGGTAAGTCAGTCAGTCATTTCAACACTACAACTGATTCTGTGACATTAAGTATGAATGTCTTGAAAATAAATGCTATATATATTATATATAAAATTTATATATAATTTCCTTGTAACATTCTTTAAGTAATGATTCTCCACTCTTAAAGCAAAAGGACTTCATTTATATCAAGATATTCAGATTCCCCATAACAGTACTTTTGATATCCACTTATATTAAGAAAATATGACCAAATTCTACCATGCATATAATATTTTATATTTTAATCACAGCAGTATTGAAATACCATTGAAAAATAATAGCACAGTATGAAAGGCAAATTATTTATTAGGTCTTCAGACAAACTTTATAATGGGCACAGTTCCCAAAATGTTCTCAGTCCACAGTTGAAAACTACTGCCATAAATTCTAACAGAAAATTGTAGAATTGTAGGCAATCCAGCTACTACACATTTAAGGATAAAGAACAATTTAGAGAGGCAGGGCTAAACTCTGATTCCATATTGGCTCAATCCTCACTAAAGATAATCACATTACCAAATTTTATCATAAAATCATACAATTTTTATGAACAGAGCTCTACAACATTATATTATGAATTCATTCAATCAAATGGCTTACCCTAACATTTAGTTTAAAGTAGATGACTGCCAGACTTGGTGGTGTGTGCCTGTAGACCAGCTGCTCAGGAAACTGAGGTGGGAGGATTACTTGAGCCCAAGGCCCGAGTAATTACTTGAGGCTAGCCTGGGCAACAGAGCAAGACACATCTCTTTCAAAAAGAAAAAAAAAGTATCTGAATTGAGGGAATAGGGGGAGTTGGAACTTAGTAAAGAGAGAAAGGAGAAGAGGATATGTGAAAAAGGAAAACAGTATGTCCAATGGTTAGTGGATGAGCTTTCAAGTCATGTTGCTAAGGTTTTTACCCAACAACGTTAACTCCATAACTCCTCTCCCTGCCCTATAAACTTGGACAAAGTGATTAACCTAATCCTCAGATTCCTCATTAATGATGGAAAACTAGCCCCTACCTCATAAAACTCTTAAAACTAAATGAGATACGAATGAGCATAAAACGTTTATTTGCCAAGCACTCAACAAGTAAACCTATTCCATACAGAAAATTTTGAAGTTATTGAGCACTTAGAAGTTATTGAATCTTTTAAAGTTATTGAGCCAAGATTATAGTAAAAGAGCAGAAAGCTTAGGCCAGTATAAGTTGGAAAACAGAAATTAAAGAGATGAAAAAGTATAAGAGAAAACACTAAAAGCCAAAAATAAACTTACTTTCTCCTCCAACTCCCACAGAACACGATCCAATGCTCTGATTCCCTAAACTTAAACCAACAGTATATTAGTGCTAAAATAGGATGTGGTTTTAAATAGGCTTCTGTGGGCTAGCCCAGGAACTTAAAACCAGTGTAGTAAAACATGCTCCAAGTTCAAACAACTGTTTTACACACAATCTGGAAGACAACGTATTCAAAAATTAGGGACTGCCTGTTTTTCCTTTTGAAATGAAAAAGTTTGTGAGAAAATATTCTCTAGGAATCCAAATGTAATTCAAAGAAATTATTCAAATTAAATAGAACATGCTGCTAAGTATTAATCCACAATATAAAATCCTGTAAAATAACTGAAAAAATATTTACAATTCAAAGAGCATGATGAATAAGAACTTCTCAATTCTTTCTCAGAATGAAGTACTGAAACCCTTAGAAAACTTCTTCATCCAGACAAAAGTTTTACTAGACATTAGTTTTCACTTTTGCCAATAGGAGCTGAGCTTTCCCTTATCTGCCGCCACGGTCCTGTAACAGACTCAAAGAGCCATCTCTCCATTCTACATGTTTAAAGAATTGTAGAAAGCAGTTTAATGAATGGGAAATGAGGAACAAGTATAAAGGAACATTCCCAATCAGGAATATGAGCAAGGACTTAGAAGATACCACTTCCACTCTAAGCTAAGAAGTCCTTTGTGCCTAAAAATAAGGAAAAATTAAATCACAAGTCACTGGCTGAGCAGTGCCAAAACTACACCTCACCCACCTACCTGCCCAAACGCTAGTGGCAGTGCTTTAAAACAGTGCAACAGAAACAAAAAACAGGACAGCGGTTTTAGGGTCAGATTTAGCTTTAAATCCTGCTCCTCTACAGACTACCTGTTTAATCTTAGACAAATTAATATCTCCATACCTCACTGTCTATGTCTAAAATGATAACAAAACTGACATCATAGAGTTATTACAAAGATCTTCTGAAAATATTATAGAGAACACTATACATGGCACATTACAGGCATTGTAATGCTTGACTGTCATTAGGTCTCATTAAACCAATAATATAACTCCATAACTCAGAGCGGTCCAGACTTGCACTACCCAACAGGGTAGTCAACTAGCCAAATGTGGCTACTGAGCACTTGAAATATGGCTAGTCTGAATTGAGATACACCATGAATGCAAAATACATATCGGATTCTAAAGCCTTAATTCAAAAAAGAGCATAAAATATCTATCTCATCAAAAACTTTTATATTGATTATATGTCAAAATAATATTCTAGGTATACCAGATTAAATAAAATCAATTATTAAAATTAATCTCAACTTTTTTATGTTTTAACGTGGCTACTGTGTGGCTTATATTTCTACTGGACGGTTCTGGTCTAAACCATCACTGGTAACAGTTTCAAATGCAAAATGGGATGGAAATTTCATTATGTGCTTCGTATGACTTATCTAAGAGACTGAAGATCCTAATGTACTTTAAATACCTTCTAATTTAAGTACTATTAATATTCACCTATTGCCTATTCATGGGGACACATGTCATCTTCCCACTTTGATAATAACAGTACTCATGGTATCTTACAAACTAGCTGAAGAACGGCATGTGACAAGCCACCTTTCTGTATCAACTGTATGCATTGTCTGTTCTTCACACAGTATTAACAGAAGCTTACTCCAAGACCCATCCTCATTCTTAAAAAATGTTTTTCCGTCTCAAATTCAGTACTACATTTTGGATTAAAGCAATGTAACCCATTTACACTGACTTTCCTATCAGCAAATCTACCTTTTAGTGATCAGCAAGGCTACAATCCAGTTTCAAGTTGTGTCATCACCTGTTTAATATAGCTGCAAAAAAAAACCACATTATTTTTCAGTCCTGGAGATAAGGAAGGCACTAATTATGTAACGTGAAAAGATAACTCCCTTTTATCTGCTCAGACAGCTTGAAAGGTTTAAATACTGATAAGGACTATAAATTTAGCCAACTCTATTACTTATTAACATTACTGACAGGACATGTCATAATGCTGAACATGTGTTGCTTAAACTACTATAGCTGTTAAGTCCTATCTTATAATATTAAAATTACAGTTATATATCACTCCAAATTTCTCCAAAGCATTTCTACAGACATTATCACAGCAGTTCCCTACAAAAATCACTGGCTGGAAGTAAAGTTGATTTTACTATACCCTCATTTAACAGACACAAAAAGCAAGGCCCAGAGGTTGTGTTTATCTTGCTTGCCCAAATAAAGCCTGTAGCTAACGATAAGATAAAGTATAAAAAAATTCTACTGCTGCCTGGTAGTTAATACTGTGAACTCTAAAGTTAGATCTTGGGTTCAAATGCTGGCTCCAACACCTAGTAGCTGTGGGACCTTGGACAAATCACTTGTAACCTTATTCCCTCTATCTTTCCGTTTTCTCACAGACATAGTATGAGTAGTTACCCTCATGAAAATTAAAATAAAATGCTCACACACATTGAAAATTCTCAATAAATGTTTGCTCTTCTCACCTAAGGCTTTAAAATCTGAAAGACGGGACATTTAGAGATGAAATTAAAAAAAAAAAACAAAACACTTCTGTCAAAAGGATAAGAATATTTCTAGAACATCTTGAACCATAATCATAAATGTTCAGATTTTATAACATTTTCATTTTTGGCAAATTCATTCTTCATGTCTCTTCCTTTTTTAAAAATTACTCCTAAAAACCTGCAAAAAATAAAACCTACATTTATTAAAATTGTGTGGTTTTTAAAGGTAGAATTCCCAATTGAGAAAATGGTAATACAGAAAAGGTGAAAGGAATGATCAACACACATTACTTCAATTAGCCAACTATTTCTTTTGTGTATATATACACTGTGATAAGCTTTACCAGATGGTATACTCAAATTTACAGAAACTAATTTTTAAAGTATGTTTCCCAAGTCACAATATATAAATCTGATACACTGTTGCATGGTAACAAAATCCCAATTCTGAAGGCTAGCTAGTGCAGAAATATTTAGGAAAAAGAAGAGAATGCCAGCCAAAGCGTGGGGAGAGTGTCACTCCTATAGTTCTAAAAGGTATGATATATACTTATCTTCTGCCATTACCTGGTACATAGTATAGGTGCTCAATAAATAATCTGGGTGAATGCGTGACTGAATGAATAAATGAGTAGGAGAAACTTAATGTTTCTTCAAATGAACTAAATCAAACAAGAAAGCATTTGTGATCCCATGGGAGATACACTTATAAACTAAGGAAGTCCTTAATAAGGCTGACCAAGGTTCCAAGCCATAGCTCAGAGGCTAGAAGAAGTAGATATCCCAAGATTCCCCTCACCTCCTAATTAATTTCAACAATCCTCTTCATATGCTTTGAAAATTTTACCTTGGTGAATTCCTACAGAGCAAAAGCATCCTTTGTAAGTACAGCATGCTTTCAGGAATTAGCCATAGTCAGAAAATTGTGTGTGTGTGTGTGTGTGTTTGTGTACATACTCAGATATATATGAGCTAACTGAGAAACAAAATTAATTTTCTGCTATGTGCTAAAATATCCATTTGCTACTAAAGGGTTTTTTCTATTCATGTCATATTCAGGGCAGAACAGCAATTGGTGCATACTTACTACCCAATTAGTTCAGGAGAGCTGAACTACACTCTTGCATAGTTTTACAACCAAGCCTTGTTTTTAAACTTTAGCTTGCCATTTGATAGTAACATAGCTGTAAAGATGAATTCAGAAGTCATCTTGCAAAAGCATTTTAAGTAAAAAGCTGTGCAAAAGCACAGAGCAATAAATCTAGCACCCAGGAAAAATTCAGTGGTATAATTTTAAACTATACCTTGACATAAAAGAAAATGAAGACATATGAAAAGTAATTCATGATGGCTTCCATATGATAGATGCATTATTCTATTTTTAGAGATTACCTCTGTTACTATAACTTTTATAACCTTTTTGAAGAGCTAATTTCCTAAGAAATATATTTTTTAAATAATGATATTAAACATGCAAAATAAATTATTAAAACCTAACTTATTTTCTTCCTGGTAAACTCTTGTTTAAAAAAATTTTGGCAATATTGTTAATAAAGAATATTATTAACTATATATATAATATATAATATATAAACTGATGCAGTTTAAAGCATAGATTATTAAAACAGTGAAATCCAAAGGTTACTGCTCAACTATACTGTTACTGGTTCACTTTAAAATCTATGTTAGGGCAGGGCACGGTGGCGCACACCTGTAACCCCAGCACTTTGAGAGGCCGAGGCAGGTGGATTACCTGAGGTCAGGAGTTTAAGACCAGCCTGGCCAACATGGTGAAACCTCATCTCTACTAAAAAATACAAAAATTAGCCGGGCGTGGTGCCATGTGCCTGTAATCCCAGATACTTGGGAGGTGGAGGCAGGAAAATCACTTGAACCTAGGAGATGGAGGCTGCAGTGAGCCGATATTGCACCACTGCACTCCAGCCTGGGCGAGAGAACAAGATCCTGTCTCCAAAAAAATAAAAAATAAATAAAATCTATGTTAAAAATAAATCTAAATATGAAAATCAAAATCCAAAGTTATAAGCAAATAACTGTTATAACAATTTCCACAATTAGTATTAAGCTATGTTCCCATATTAAATGGCAGCAATTTTTAATGTATAATCAATACAAGATTAAAATACATCTTTTTTAAAATGTTATTTTAAGTTCTGGGATACATGTGCAGGATGTGCAGGTTTGTTACATAGGTAAACGCGTGCCATGGCAGTTTGCTGCACCTATCAACCCATCACCTAGGTATTAAGCCCAGCATGCATTAGCTATTTTTCCTGATATTCTCCCCACCCCTAGAATATATCTTCATTCGAATTTAGATTATATCATTAGTAATAAAATTTTCACAAACAAGTTAGTAGTACTTATTTATTAACAAATACATTTTGGAGAGTTCCAACAGTTTAAGGTGTCCTTCTCTTTTAAACAACTTACAAACTATATAATTATCTTTGCACTGAGGCTATAAATTTCCATTTATATAACATATTTTTCAGATAGGGAAAGTTAATATTGAATAATCAATGAGCAAGGAGAAGCAAGCTTTAAGAACTTCCCAACTCTTAGGAATCATGAAAATAATTTTTCATGATTATTTTAGTGTCCCTGAAATTATCAAATGCATCATTTCCATTAAAACATATATGAGTATAAAGGGAAAATATGAAGTTTATTCAAAAGGAGCAAAAAAGGGAGATCAAATGTATGAAAAGTTCTTTATATCCTAAAAATGAACAACAGAAAGAACAAGTTGTAATTGGTAATACAAATCAAAAGATCACTTTCCCTACCAGTTTTGAGACTGCAAATATTTTAAAAATTAGAAATAGTTTTAATATTGTATTATTGTTCTATGTATTATATATTATAGTTTGCTTCATAGCAGATGCCCCCTCCCCCTTAATTAATCTAAAACCTTAAGGATAAATAGTTCCATGTGATTCATAATTGTTGAATGAATACAACTTTTCCTAAAGTTGTTAGGTTTCATAGATTATTCCTGCCACTTCTAGGATTTTATGAATCTATACTTGTCACAGTTTTCTGAAAATAAAGACAATAATAGTAGAGAACATATATCAAGTCCTTATTTATACATATTAAAAGGCAATCTAGAAGAACAGTTAAGAGCCACTGTCTGAGTTCAAATACTGCCGCTTCACTTACTAGCTACATGACCCTGGGCGAGTTACTTCTCAGTGTCTCCATTTACTTATAAAATGGGATAAGTACCTACCTCATAAGGATTAAATAATAATTGTTTAGCTCAGTGCCTGGAACACAGTTAATGCTACGTAAGGGTTAGTTATTATTATTACTATGTGCCATGTATGAGTTTTACTTTACACACATTACTTCATTCTCATTTAACCTATTTTTCATATGAGGATATTGAGGTTTACAATGGCTAAGCAACTTGCCTTAGTGAAAAAAAGCTAGTAAGTGGAAGGGCCAATATTGAAGCCCAGGTTCTCTGATAGCTATGCCAGTGTATCCTCAAACTAGTCTCCGTGGATATATCTGTAGAGATTCACAAGTTTTTCCTCATTATTTTTAATTTAAATCATTCTAGGGAAAATTTTCAAATGAAAAACATTTTCATAGAGTAGACTTTAATTTCTGAAATCATCAAACTGGTATATGCAAATCCCTGGCATTCACGGGAATATTCTCATAGATCTAGGATTTTTTTTTTTTTCTTACAAAGCAGTCAACTCGTAAAACTTCAAACATAACATGGAGCTTTCATTCTTCAAGAATGAGAGAATAGGCCGGCTGCTATGGCTGACACCTGTAATCTCAGCACTTTGGGAGGCGAAGGTGACAGGATCGCTTGAGCCCAGGAGTTCAAGACCAGCCTGGACAACAAAGTGAGATCCTGTCTCAACAAAAAATACAAAAAATTTGCCAGATGTGGTGATGCAGATCTATAGTCCCAGCTACTCAGGAGGCTGAGCTGTGAGGATTGCTTGAGTCCTGGGAGGTTGAGGCTGCAGTAAGCCATGATCACACCACTGCAATCCAACCTGGGTGACACAGCAAGACCCTGTCTCATATTGAAAAAAAAAAAAAAAGAATGAGAGCAACAGCTATTTTTCAAAATCCTTATTCCCCATATTCATTTTAGATACCAAGTTCGGGACCTTTTGGCTAGTCTACTTTAAGAAGTAAAAATATTTTTTAAACGACAATGACATTAAAACATGTTACTTCTTTGTAACAACTGGTCTTGATTTTAAAGAAAACAACAACACATTAAAAAAACAAACATTTAAAAGTATTCCCTTAGTAAACAGTACTAGTACTCACATTCAGCACCAGTCTCTCATCTTTACTCCAATTCTGTATCTACAAGAGCCTACAAGAATTTTTCACTTGAACAACTCAAATAATAAGCCCCAAGTAAACTCATTTTCCCTAGACCACTTTTCCCCAAACAAGATCCCTCTTCCACATCTCTAATTCCTCCAATGATATTATCATTCTCTCAGTCATCCAGGCTCATGGCCAGAATAATCTTTGACTCCTATCTGTCTCTTATTCTCTATACTCAAAACCATATGTCTTTCTTCAAATGAATTTCATTCATAGGCCCAACTCCATTCCCACTTATCCACCTCCTTCAGGTGTCATCACCCTACTCCTTCCCTCCAACCCTATCACTGTCTAAACCATCACCTGTTTATCCTTCTTAAAGGACCAATTCGATCATGCTTGTCCTCTGCTTTATAACCTCCATGAATTGCCATTACTCAACCTACAGAATAAAATCCAAATGTTGAATTTAGAACTTTTGATCATGTAAGACTGATCATTTGAGAATTTACAGTGAATTCTCCCCTTTTATAAAAGTGTGTAACCACATAATATCCTGTATGTTTCTTAGCCATTTCCTATTACTGTTATTAGTGGTGTGGAGGCTTCTACAGAAATAAGATTTCTTTTATATATCCTTACCAGATACTAAGTAGATAACCAATTACCGAGTTAGATACTACCAGTTAACAGTGCATATATCCTGAGTACCTGATATGTGATCATTTATTCAACAGATATTTGCTGAATAATGAATCTGTGCTGAAGATACTAATGTGACTTCCATCTACTAAGAGATTTCCATGTGCCAGACAACACTAGTTTAGATGCATTATCTCACTTAATACAAGTCATCCTCAGATAGTATTATCAATCTCATTTTTAGTATGAGGCAATTATATCTCTAGTATAGTCTACTTTAAAAAGTAGAGCCAAAATCAGAACTGAGTAAAAAGTTTGTACTCTTTAACACTGTATTCTACTCCTATAGAAATATTACTCTAAAGAAAGGAGCTGTCATCTATTTGGCATGGTGGACACACAAATATAATACTTTGTCCTAAATACTATGAAGGATGCAATTAATGTCTTATTTGAGCACAAAATGATGGGCCAAACTCTAGGGTAAAAAGATGGAGAGTCAGAGATATCTGGAGATGACATGTTTAAGAATGAATCACAGTTACAAAATAAAGAAACATTCCCAAAAAAGGGGATAACCTGTGCAAAGGTAGAAAAGCACAAATTTCATGACTTACTCAGAAAACAGCAAACAGTTCAGTTTTCTAGAAAGTAAGTGTGATAAGGGAGACTGGTAGAAAGGGCAAGCATAGTCAGATCATGAACAGTTTAGCCAACGAGTTTAGATTTTGGCCAATAACTAAGAGAAAGCCATTGTGTAATTTTAAGCAAGAGGGAATGATCACATTTGTGCTTTAGAAACGCTGCTCTGTACTGACAAATGGACTGGAAGAGCTACAGCCTAGAAGCAGGGACACCATTTTAGGTTACTGAAAGAGTTCAGGCAAGAGACTAACCTAGAACAGTGGCGAGGGACAGAAAAAGATTGATTCAAAAGATATAGAGGAAACAGAACTACAGGACTTGGTATCCAATTAGGTTGGGGGTTTGTAGGAAGGTGAGGGAAAGGAAAGAATCTAGGTAAATCCAAGGTTTCTCTCTTGAGCTCTGTCTGGGTGGATGGAAGCACCATTAACTAAACAGGGAGGAGGAGCAAAAACAAGGTAAATATAAAGAAAATGTCAGATGGTATTGGTACATACTTCTAGTATACCCAAAAGATGTCTAGTAAACAAATAGGTATACCTAGATCTCAGGAGAAATCCAAGGTAAAAATACAAAACTGGAAGATAATGACAAGGAGAGTGAATGAAACTTCCTAGAGAAATGTGTGCAAAAGGAGACAGCCAAAGATCAAGTTGTGGAGACCACCAATATTTAAAACAGGCAGACAGAAGTATGAAAACTAGGAGAGAGTAGTGATACAGAAGCTTAGAAAGGAGAAAGTTTCATGAAGAAGGGAGTTGTCAATGCACTAAATGTACCAAAGAGATGAGGATTTGAAAATTGAGTAACTGGTGACTTGAAGAAGAGAGGTAGCAGAGGAATGGCTGGTAAAGAAAGCTAAACTAGACAGGGTTGAGTGAATGGCAGGGAAGAAAATAGAGGCAGAAAGTTTGAGAAGAGTAACAACTAGAGAAGAAAAGAGCACAGAAGAGCAACATTTTTAGAATGGTAGAGATTTTAGTATTTTTATAGGATGAGAAAGGGACTAGTGGAAAATGAGATTTTAAAATTATACCTCTGTACTTAAAATTAGTATATGGAAAAGTTACCCATGATACAAAAAACAAGTTGCAGAATATGTATGCTATAATATCACTTAAAATTCTGACTCCTTTCAACGGCCCTCAAGGCGTTTAGGTCTTTATGATCTGGCCCATACCTACCTTTAACTTCATGGTATGCCATTTTCCCCTTCATTCATTATGTCCCAGCAACACTGGCCATTCTTTTTGGTCCTTCAACACACAAGCCTGTTTTTGCCTCAGGAATTCTGCACTTGCTGATACTTCTGCCAGAATGCTCTTCTCCTGATCAAAGGCTAGTTCCCTCAAGTCATTCATATCTCAGTTCAAACATCCTTCCTCAGAGAGGTCTGCCTACCTTTATGTAATATTGCATATCTCTTCACCTCAGCCCCCAAAAGTTACCAGCAATACCTTGTGTTAGCAACTACCATTATGTGAAATTCTTATTTACTTGTCCATTCCCCTCCTAGAAATGTAAGCTCTGTAACAGAGATTTCATCTTCCACATATGCAACATATTGTTCACCACATATCCCTGCTGCTTAAAATAATACCGGGCACATAGTAGACACTCTGCTGTTGAATGAAAATCTGTACACACACACATACACACACACACACAGAGATGTATTTACATGAAAAATACTAAGAAAGGTCAGAAAGGATCTAATACTTGAACTTATTTATATGGGGGCAGCATGAGGCTAGGAAGAGAGGCATACAATAACCATTCACTGTTTCCTTCATCTCTATTCAAACTTTCTGCAGAAGTCATGTCTTTTGTAATTGAAAAAAAAATTAATAATGATCATACGAGCCTAGGACAGTCAATCTATTCTGCTTCTCTATTTTCGTTTGGTGGGCTATAATGATCTAATCACCTGTGGAACAAGCGACTACTCTGATTGCAGGTTGATCCTTGAGTTGTTTTGGTATGGCAGTTCAAAGTTAAAATCTTAAATCTTGGAGCTGGAAAGAGCTTAGGGATCATCTAATCCAACCCCCTAGTTTTATAGATGAGGAAGAAGAGACTTATAGCAATTTAATTAATAAAAAAATAGGGCATTGATGAAAAAGTTTCAAAGACTATATGATTAAGAACAATTTAAAAGACTAATCTACTATATGTTATATGTAATTTAAATAATAAAAGCCTCCTAAAAGTTACTCTCACATATAACCTACAATCTTCTGGTGAAAACTATTACTCAAAGTAAACGTATTTCCCTAAGCATACTATTTGACCAATGAACTCTACAGTTAAAGCATCATAATATAACAAAGGATATGGAATACGTGTATGTATGTGTGTGTATATATATATGGAGTGAAAATATTATTCACTCTTGATACCCTAACACTGTTAGGTGTGCAGACTAACTGAAGTTAGCAGGCACTTCTTTCCACAGGGTAGACATACAATACATCAAGTGTATCATACATTTAAGGATTCATTATACTTTGATTCAAATTTCTGTATTAATTTCTATAATGTATATTTAATGGGATAAAAATCAAATGTTAGGTTAAGAAATGCACTATACTATGTCATTTATAGAAATGTCTTAACTATTTATCTCTCTAGATATACTGTAGTTTACCAGGAATACAACAAATTTTGTCCAAATTTCTGAATAATACCACCTTATGTTTAACACACTGTCTCACCTGACCCTCACAAACAAACCCAGAGACAGCAGATATTATTACTTCCATTTAGTATATAAAAATGAGGCTCAGAGATTAAGGAGCTTGACCACAGTCATTCAGACAAGTCCTAGAACCTAGATCCTCTACTTCTTAGCCATTGTTCTTTCCAACGCCCAGATTACTTCACATTTACCATTTACTAAAATGTAAATATAATTTCCTTCCTTCCTTATCAGTGAAGGTGAAGAGTACCAAAATCCTAGCATTCCTATCCTATTCTACCTGAACTTTTAGTACACCACATTAGTCATTCATCTTAACACTGATGAGAAAGATGTGAAAGTCACCTTAACTGAGAATTGTGCTTATCAATAATTCTGTATGAAATCCTACCAAATAGTCAATTACTTTCTTAATCATAATAAAGGTACCCACTTATTTAGAAAGCTCTCTACAAACAATAACCAAAACAGTGTTAAAATGGTCTTTCTAGTTGGAAATAAAATCTGAAACCAAATCTTAGCCCTACTACTAACTGTTCAACACTCAGTGCATTTCTTAACTTAGTATCATCCTCATCCAAAAATGAGGATACCACCACCTGCTTCTGTGAGTTGCTGGGAAGATTAGATGGTACAATAGGTGTAAAGCAATTAGCTCTTAGAAAATGGCCAGATCTGCTAACATGGTGAAACCCTGTCTCTACTAAAAATACAAAAAAAATTTAGCCAGGTGTGGCGGCACGCGCATGTAGTCCCAGCTACTTGGGAGGCTGAGGCAGGAGAATCACTTGAACCCAGGAGGCGGAGGTTGCAGTGACCAGAGATTGTGCCACTGCACTCCAGCCTAGCGACAGAGCTAGACTCTGTCTAAAAAAAAAAAAAAAGAAAAGAAAAAGGCCAGATCTTATAGTTGTTAGAGACACAGATGCAGATAGCTACTGCTGATAGGTAATGTCATTTAATTTATGTGAACTTTTACTTGTTTAACTTCTAGTGTGCCCTTATTTTTTTTCTCCCAAATATTTGGGGCAGGACACAATACACTCATGCTCCCAGGGAATAAACTAAAGTGAGAGCTGAATTTCATTCTTGTTTCAACCCCTGTAATTAAGCAACAGAGTAAAAATCTATTATTTGACTGTCTCGGAATTGGCTATATCTAAATCTAAGCTTACATTATTTTGACTCCTACTCTTTATCTGAGTTGGCTAACTGCATCTTTCACTCTATTTTGAAATAAAACTAATAAGCCAATTTTATAAATACAAATAAAAATACAGTGAATTCATCTTGGGTGAAAAGAGTAGGAAGCCTTCAGGGAGAATGCAGAGAGGGACCTAACACTGAGAAATTATGTATTCAGAAGTCCATTTTGTCCTAATTTACTTTCTCTTTTAATCTTCACAAACATTCTAGTCAATAGAGGCCTCATCTTATAGATTAGGAAAGTTCAGAAGCTTTAACTCTGACTCTCTCCCCTTTGCTCAAGGTGCTTAACCACTCTAACCTACAAGAAGGCTCTTGCTCAACTCAAGGCCTTAATCTCTGCTCAGAATGGTCTACTGTTTCTCCACAAGGCTGTCTCCTTCTGCTTCAGGTCTCACCTCAAATAGTACCTCCTCCGTTCAATCTAAAGTAGTGTACACCTACGTCAGTGTAGTCTGGTAAATTTTTTTAAAAAAGGAAAAAAAATAAAGTTGTGTACGCCAATTACTCATCTTTATTTCCTTCAGAGAACACAAAATGGTCTGTATTCATCTTCTTTTTGTGTTTAAGGGCAGAGATACTTTGATTATGACAATGAACACACCTGCCTACAGTCATTTAGCAAGTAAATAGTAGGACCTGGAAACCAATCCAAGGAAATCTGACTGCAAGCTCCTGCACTGCCCTACCACTACTTTTTGTACAGATGATAGGGAAAGTGCTTTGGGCTGGGAAATAAATTAAGAGGTGTGCCTTGCTGCTTTTTTATATTCATTCACTATAAAGAAATTATACATACAGTTAATACCACAAAATATTTAATCCGAATTTATGCATACAGTTAATATTATAAAATAATTCGAATTTCAAGAGCTATTACATTGCCTATTAGAATCACAACTCAATTTGGAAAAACACTACATTTATAATGTGCCTTATCCTAATACTTCAAATTTGTTAAGTAACTGGCATCTGCGCAAATAGTCTTTCAGGGCTAAAAGAGAATTGTCACATATACAAATGAGTTTTACTAACAAGCTTATAATATTCTTTTAAAAATTGTTTTGAATTTCACAATACATCATGCAGAAAACTTTTAAAACCAGCCATATGACATCATTTCGATAATGGTGTTCTTTAAGAAAGATGACACATGCACGCACTGTTGCGTTTTTGCTGTTAAACCATATTCTTGCAGGTAAGTCACTTCATGTAAAACGCTAAGCGCGGCTAAAGCGGACCACTAACAACATTCTCTTTGTTACCTTACCCACAGGATTTAATACTTACTGCTGAGTTCTCCATCCTCAGATACTCCTGTCCCTCTCATTCCTAGGTAAGTCAGTCCCAGTATTAGGAAAAATAAGCAGGCAGCAGTTAAGAGAAACATCGACAAGTAGTGGGCACTGAAACTCCCTGTTGGGGACACCTCCTCCCGTTTAAATTGCTGGAGAAGTTCCTCTTCGGGTTCGGAAAGCTTCGGTTTGTTGTATGTGTTTTTCAGGTAGGTATGATTGGAGCCCGTATGATTGGCGTGATTGATCCTGAGTGAACTAGAGGCGGCCACCGCCGCACTGGGAGGGAGACTGTTAGAATAAATCCTGGGGGAGTCCACACTGAAGGCCCCACCGCCAATATGATTATTGGTTTTCAGAAGGGAGCCTGTTGACGAATCCAAGGTTGAGTCCATGTCAGTAAGTGGCGGGGGCAGGAGAGGGGTCAGTTTCTTAGCGTTAACACGGTATCTAGGAACGGGGCTGGAGTCCACTTGATCACACCCTCCTCCCTGCTCCGCGGCCGCCGCCTCTTCGAGGTTTCGGCTCCTGTCTAGACTCCCGGCAGCCGCCGCCCTGTCATTCATCGCGAGTCCTCCCCCTCCCTGAACTGAAGTCTCCAGCCTGCCGCCGGCCGATTTAGCAGTCAGCGGGGGGAGAGGCTTACTATGGGTTCGTCTGGGCCGATGCCGGGAAAGGGAGTCGTCCTTTAATACCTGTCTGCTGGAGGCCACGTCGTCGTCGTCCTCTTCCTCTGAGTCCGAATAGTTTTCCCGGCAGCTGTAGGGGACAAGCCGGCTGCCATTCACGGTCCGGCTCGCCCAGAGCGGCTCCTCGGTCTCCGGGTCCCTCTCCTCACCGTCCTCTCCCTCCCCTTCCTCGTCCTCCACTGCTCCATCTTTCCCCGGCGGGGTCTGCAGCTCGGGGCCCGCCGGCCTCCTGGCCCCCCACCACGAGTGGGGCTTCCTTCGCTCTGCAGAGTTGCTGTTAGTCACCTCGCTGGCGGCCAGGGGCGCCGGCGGCGCTTTGAGCCCGCGGTACTGGAGCGAAGCCCGGTCTTTCCTCCCGCCGCCGCCGGCCTGGTCCCGGGGACTGGCCTCCACGTCCGACTCGTCCGAGCTGAAGCCCAGCAGCACTTTGCTGCCAGCCGCGGGGGCGGCGGAGGCGCCCCCGGGCCCTCCCAGGAGGCTCTCTGGGCCAGAGGCCGAGATTCGGCACAGGCCCCCAGGAGTCCGTAAGTAGGAGAGGTCGCCCGAGACCGGCCGGACCCCCATCCCCGCGGCCGCCGCCGCCGCTGGTCCCGCGGCTGCGACCGTGGCGGCTGCCGTGTTATTGTTATTACTGTTCCGCGTCTTGTTGCCGCGGCCCCCTGACCGGTGCTGTTGCTGCTCTTCCTCTCGAAGCTTCTTCAGCTTCTTGAGGTAGACCGGGCGGGTGCTCTCCGTCACTGGTCCGGGAGACAGGCCGTAACGGCGGAGCTGAGAGAAAAGCTCCTCATCCGAGAGCTGCTGAGGCGCCGAAGCTGCTGCCGCCGCCATTTTCTCTCCAGGGTGTTTTACAAGCTCCGCGCTACCGGAAGTGACGCGCCGCCCTAGACCCTGAACTAGACCGCGCTGCGTCGCCCTCCCAGCGCCGCGGGCATCTCGGCCAATGGGAGGCGCGGGAGGAGCTCACCTGAGCGGGAAAGAGCCACCTGAGCAGCGCGCGGCTCCCACGGCGGAGACTGTTTCTACTCTCTCACCTTGAGGTGTCGGCGCATTCTCCCCCTGCTCTCTATCTCATCTCCAGCTGTTCTCCGCCCTGCCCTTCCAAGTGCCGTTCCCGGGAGCTGTCTCTTACTAAACCACACCTTGACCTCACCTTCCTAGGTTCCTGCCACCGGGCAGTAATAACTGAAATCTACCTTGAAGTTTATGGCGTAAGTTTTCTTTACATCTGGATTCCCAATGCCGAGGGAGCCTAGACCTACTGAAAGAAATTCTGCTGGCCAGACTAGATTGGCAGCTTTCCCGTCTGACTTCAGGTTGTCTATTTTCAGTTCGTCTTTAGCTTGACCTACCAAAAAAAAAAAATTTTTAAGTGACTTTCTCTCGCTGCTCTTTTTGAGAAGCCTCACCTCTCTCATTCTGAGAAGATACGGAGTACACCAATCACAATACAATTTTCTTCTAGCGTAATGGCTGTTCATTCATTAGTTAATTGTAAGATATTATCTTTTTTTCCTTTTTTGAAACCTAATGACTTTACTACGTCAGCACTTGAAAGTGAAAGAGCTTGTCTGCTTCATTCTAAGACTCTCAGAGACATAACACATGATCCTATTTATTTCCTTCTTAGCACCTTTCCAACCAATAGTTATTTATCAGTTATTAATAAATATTTGTTTACTTTCAAAATTATTTATTGTCCTATCCTTTTGGACTATAATAAGCTCCATGTGTGGAGGAACCTTGCTTCTGTTACTCACAATACTAGTAGAAGCTCAATAAATATTTGTTGAATGAATTAAAGAATTGCAAAGAGAGGATAGTATGAGATGAATATTTTGAAATAAGACTAGTGCCAGGTGAGGTGGAGAAACCTTCACACAAAGTCAAAAAAACAAGGACAAGACCTGGAACCCCAACTCTGCCATTTACAGAATAGGAAATGAATCCCAGAGAGGTGAAATGTGCCCCATGTGGTGAAGATCTTGTCCCATTTTCCCATTTCCCCAAACCTTGGCAGACAGACAATTCTTTAGTACTTCAATCCTAGTAGCTACAAAATACTACAATAATTTTTTGTTGTTGAATGAGTTATTTTACCTATTACATTACCCTATACACCTGTACAGAAAAACGTTAGTCAAAAGCATAAATACGGCCGGGCGCGGTGGCTCACGCCTGTAATCCTAGCACTTTGGGAGGCGGGGCGGGGGGCGGGGGTCAGGGGACGGATCACGAGGTCAGGAGTTTGAGACCAGCCTGGCCAACATGGTGAAACCCCGTCTCTACTAAAAATACAAAAAAATTAGCCGGGCGTGGTGGCAGGCGCCTGTAATCTCAGCTACTCGGGAGGCTGAGGCAGGAGAATCGCTTGATCCCGGGGAAGGCAGAGGTTGCAATGAGCCGAGATCGCGCCACTGCACTCCAGCCTGGGCAACAAGAGCGAGACTCCGTCTCAAAAAAAAAAAAAAAAAAAAAAAAAAAAGCTTTTCTGTGGAGGACACTTCCTTGTCCTCTATCATTGAGACTTTAAGATTTATAAATGTTCCTGAATCTATGACTGTTATGCACTTATAAGAGAGTTTTGAACAGTAAACTATAGTGGCTATGATGATGATGACCCAGATTTTATTGCCATAATTATCTGGGTGGGAACTAAAATTATTATAAACTTAGTGGACTTGTGTCTCCATGTAGCAGAGTGGTTAAGCTGTGAGCTTTGGAGTTAAACAAAACTAGATATGGACCCAGCCCTGTCTCTTACTTTGATTCTTGGTTCAACATTTGCTTTATGCCATACTGGCTCCTCTGATAGGAATCATAGAGCTCTGTTGGCTCAGCCTCTGATTTTCATGAACCTTTAAGTGACCTCCTATAAGGACTGTTGAACCAGTTATGTTTCTGCCTGTGACTTTGGGCAAGTTAATTCATCTTTCCGAGCTTTAGTTTCTGTACAAACAGAAGACGGATGATAAAAATTCCTCAGAAGGCTGTTTTAAGGAGTAAATAAAACTATATGTATCTGCATAATGCCTAGTACCATACGTAACACAGTGTGCACTCAATAAATGTTAGTCAATAATATAAAGCTAAGCATTGTGTGCAGCCATTTCAGTAGCATGGCTCCTGAGAACTCTATGTAATAGCAGTTAAAGAAAATGCTACTCCATAGACAAAAATGGAAATGGTCAAACTTCCCTCAAGGCATTAAGTAAGTCCAATTAAGAGTTAATGAAGATGAGCCGGGCGCAGTGGCTCATGCCTGTAATCCCAGCACTTTGGGAGGCCGAGGCGGGCGGATCACCTGAGGTCAGGAGTTGGAGACCAACCTGGGCAACATGGTGAAACGCCATCTCTACTAAAAAAAATACAAAAATTAGCCGGGCGTGATGGCGGGCGCGTGTAATCCCAGCTACTCAAAAGGCTGAGGCAGGAGAATGGCTTGAACCCGAGAGGCGGAGTTTGCAGTGAGCCGAGATAGCACCACTGCACTCCAGCCTGGGCGACAGAGGGAGACTCCACCTCAAAAAAAAAAAACAAAACAAACAAACAAAAAAACTACAAAAAAAAAATTAGCCAGGTGTGGTGGTGCATGCCTGTAATCCCAGCTACTCAGGAGGCTGAGGCAGGAGAATCGCTTGAACCCGGGAGGCAGAGTTTGCAGTGAGCCAAGATCATGCCACTGCACTCCAGCCTGCGTGATGGACCAAGGCTCGGTCTCAAAAAAAAAAACAAAACAATTTTTTTTTAAAATGTGGATGATATTGCCTACCCTACCTGGCAGACAATTCAATCAATATTTGTTGAGAATGATGAACGAACACTGTATGTGAAAATGTTGTTCAAATATTTTGTTTACAAGTTAGGTATTATCAGATATTAATAATAACGACAACTATGATTGATATACTACTTTATACTTTTCAAAGAACTTTCATATACATGACCTTGTTTGATCTACAAGAAACCTTTCCTCTCTGAAGATACTAGAGCATGATTTATTTCATGGAACTATATGGGTTTATAATTACCCTTTGTTTGGTGTTTGAGAAGACCCAACGCTTTTTCAGGAGAACCTTCACTGCCTCAACACTGTCACTGCTCACTTCCAACATTCTCCTCATTTGCTAGTGGATCTTGCTCCTGCTTCCAGACTGGCTAACACTTAAAGTATGAGGCTCTATTCTTGACTGTACCCAGATACTTGACAGGGAGTGCAATCTCAAACTCAGTCCTGCTCCATAACTTCCAAAAATCTGAGGGAAACAATTTTGATGGATTCTGGTCCAACTCTTCTTTGAGGTGCTTTTAATTTCATTTCTGCCTTAAGCCTCCTTATGAGAGACCAATGTAGCTTGGGCCACATTACTAACACGCTGTTCCTCCTACTCTCTTTCCCTACCCACCCTGTTCCCAATAGAATACCTTTCACCATGTCACCCTTTTAGCCTTGACATCAGTTTATATTGAAGAATGATATGAACGCAACATTTTGTTCAAATAAATATATTGCTGAGAGTTCATTTCATTAAAGAATGTCCTTTCTGGTCTCATTATTAGAAATAGTTGTGTTTTTCCAGAGCAACTCATTTGTTGTTGTTTTAATTTTTACTGAAATGACATTCATATAACATAACATTAATTGTTTTATATTATTTTATTTTTGAGACAAAGTCTTGCTCTGTCACCCAGGCTGGAGTGCAGTGGTGCTATTTTATGGCTGAATAATATATTTCATTGCATGAATGTGCCACTTTTTATTTATCCATTCATCCACTGATGAACATTTTGGTTGTTTCCACCTTTGGTAATTGTGAATAATGCTACTATGAACATTGGTGTATAAGTATCTGTTTGAATAGCTGTTTTCGTTTTTTTTAGGTATGTACTTCAAAGTGGAATTGCAGATTATATGGTAATTCTATGTTGAACTTTTTGAGGAATCACAAAAGTTAATTTGTTTTTAACTTTATGGATGTGTTCAAGCAAATAAGGAAGCCATTAGGCCCATGCGGTGCCTCACACCTGTAATCCAAGCACTTTGGGAGGCCGAGGAGGGATCACTTGGGGTTAGAAGTTCAAGACCAGCCTGGCCAACATGGTGAAACACATCTCTACTAAAACTTCAAAAATTAGCTGGGTGTGGTGGCCCGTGCCTGTAATCCCAGCTACTCGGAGGACTGAGGCAGGAGAATCGCTTGAACCCAGGTTGCATGAGCCGAGGTCGCACCACTGCACTCCAGCCTGGGTGACAGAGCAAGACTGAGTCTCAAAAAAAAAAAAACAAGAAGGAGGCCATTAGCCTGAGGTTGTCTCTGCACCTAGAGCTCTTATATAAGCAAACTGAAACTGAAGTGGAAGCAGTTCTTGTAATTAACTTAAAAAAAAACAAAACCCACCAGCTTCTGCCAATCACAAACAGCCAACCAGCTGATTGGATATATAACTAGAGACTTCCCATCAGACCATACCCAAATAAGGCCAATGCATAGCTGTAGCCAATCAGGTAATTTCTTTACTTTGTTTCCATGTTGTGGCAAAACAAACAAACAAACACCTCCCTGCTTTGGCTGCTAAGGCTGAGCCCATAAACTTTTTGGTTTTGATGCTTCCCAATTCATTAATCATTATTTTCTTTAAATAAACTCTGTCAAATTTATTTTGTCTTAAGTTTTCCTTTTAACAGATGGACACTGTTTGGTGACTTGCCATGTTTCTCCCTTTGAGATGACAGCTAAGAAGTTTATACTCAAATTTGCAGTCCAGTCAGAGCAAGTGTATAGGGCTACATAGCCTATATTTTATACATTAACCTTATTGCTGAGTCCATCTAAATTTCTTAACTTTATTTTTGTGTACCTCATTTTAAAATATTTTTATTTTATTTTGGTCAGGCATGGTGGCTGATGCCTGTTATCCCAGCACTTTGGGAGGCGAATCACTTAAGCTCAGGAGTTCAAGACCAGCCTGGACAGTGTAGCAAGACCCCATGTCTACAAAAAGTTAAATAAAATAAAAATTAGACAGGCATGGTGGTGTGCACCAGAGTCCCAACTACTTGGGAGGCTGAAGCAGGAGGATCGCTTGAGCCCAGGAGTTCAAGGTTGCAGGGAGCTGTGATTTCACCACTACACTCCATCCTGGGTGAGAGAGCAAGAGCTATCTCTGAAAAAAAGAAAGAAAGAAAACAAAAACAAAAAATCTTTAAGATGTTTTTAATGTTTACTTTATCTTCCTAATATGCATCTTTTTAGCTGCCTTAAATCATTTAATTTATATAATTTTATATAATTCATCTGACAACCCAACGGGTAGGTTTTCTTAGTCTTCATCTTCTACAGATGAAAAAACTGATAGCTAGCAAAGTTACTTGACTCAAGTCTCGATAGATAAATGAGAAACTGAAACCCAGGACCTCTGAGTCCAAATTCCTTGTTCTTTCTACTATACCATACCAATCTTGAATACCTTTGTTGAGTCATACAGTTATATGGTGGTAAAAAGAAACTTAGTTCCCTCTTTTCTCACCCACCCTAAAGAGGAAGGTGTCTGTAATGGGGTGAAGAAGAGGACAAAGGCTTTTACAATTAACCTGTTTCTTTTCTTTGTTGCTACGTGCAACAACTGGAAAGAAAACTCAAAAATATAAAATTGATTATATCACTTACCATTTTAGCAGATCAAAGCAGTAACACAATATTATATTGATGTTATCACTTCGCTCTGTTGCCCAGGCTGGAGTGCAGTGGCATGATGTCGGCTCACTGCAACTCTGCCTCCTGGGTTCACGCCATTCTCCTGCCTCAGCCTCCTGAGTAGCTGGGATTACAGGCACCTGCCACCACGCCCGGCTAATTTTTTTGTATTCTTACTAGAGACGGGGTTTCACTGTGTTAGCCAGGATGGTCTCAATCTCCTGACCTTGTGATCCGCCCGCCCCGGCCTCTGGGATTACAGGCGTGAGCCACCTTGCCCGGCCGATGCTATCACTTCTCTTAAATACCTCTAGGATGTGTTCACTAGTTTTGATCTACAAAGTTCCTGATGTTTATTTTTCTTTTTAATTGCTCAACACTAACACTGCTTATAAGGAAGAAACCAGAATACAACTGAAAAAACAACACGTTATTGAGAAATGTTGGATAAAATTTTTATCCTATGTTACGGTAAGAATTAGCCAAGAAAGTTTTGTAGTGAGAGCATCTGTTTTATTTTTCTATATATAACTCAGACAGGTGGGGAATTGTCATAGGATTCAAGTAAACAACATATGTATGCGATGATTGATAATTATATTCTACTCTAACTATGCAAGTGAGTGAATTGCCTAAATTGTTAACTAAAAGTCATGGAAAAACATTTCACTTTAATACCTGATGGACAAGGGTCTGAAAATTTGGAGGTTTGGGTTCTATTCCCAGTTCTACAATTGTAGTAATATTTTACATTTTTATTTTGCCTCATAGTCTATAAAACTCTTTTATTGTCTCATTTGATCTTTAACCAGGATAGAAGGCTTTATCATTTGTCCTTTGTGAAAGCTAGCAAGGACTGAAATTCAAAATCACACTAGGTTCTCTGACCCCTAAGTCCACTGTTCTTTCTAACCCACCCTGCTGTCCCATGTACTGCATGAAATGAGTCATTTAATCTTTTGGCTTTCAGTTTCTTCATGTCTAAAATGAGTAAAGCTACTATACCATTTAGATCCCTTCCAAATCCAAAACTTTCTGAGAGCATTGTCTTATAGTACTTATTATTGTACTTTTTATTATAGTCATACGCTTGCTTTATTTTGCCCCTTAGACTCTACATTCCTTGAAATAAGGGTCTATGCCTTTTTGAAATTTGCATCCCTCCCATCTCCTAGCTTATTGTCTTATGCACAGTATTCTATACAAATGTGTTGCATGAATAGTAAAGAGTTACCACATGTCACAAAATGGCATTAGGAAGACTTTGAGTTATACACAAAGAAATACATTAGGAGTAGGCCTCCTGTAGGATTATCTAAAAATAAGAGAAAAATATGAGTCTACAAATTAAGCATGAAATTTAAGGAATACACCTGCAAAGAGGATCATGGTCCAGGGTGCTCTAGAGGTTTGGTTTCATTAAGCAGCAGAAAGCATTTTAATACCAATGCTTTCCTGTCCCACATCATATGATCAGTGGTGTAAACAAAGAGGTCTGAGCACCTCTGTTTATGATTATGCATTCTTATTAACAGAAACCTTTCTTTAAATGTCATTTTATTTGTTGTAAGAGAACTTCATATGAAACAGGCATCAAGAATCACCAGGTTTTGGTTTAATAAGACTTTTAAACTTTGGTTTATTTATCCCTTGATGTTTCTTGTCTGTTCTTCCCAGAAGCTTAAGCCTTCTTAAAGGAGAAAGGGGATAGAAGGGGAGAGGGCCAATGTTAGTTTTTATTGATGGGCTAGAAAGCATTCTCTTCCATTGCCCATGGCTAAGACCTGCTCCTGACCTCTGCTGCTTGCCTCTAAATGAGAGTATTTTCTGCCTATCCATACAAGAGGAACGTTTCTGAGTGTTGTGTATCCTTTCATTGTTCCTATGGCCCTAAAGAACAGGTTTACAATAAATGGCAATGGTCATTGGGCTCCTCCTTTCTGGTACACAGCCTGGAACTTCTCTCCTGACAATAAACTGGGGCAATCTTAGCCTCACCTTATTTGTTTCCCCTCTCTTGGGGTCACTGTCCTTTGTTGCGCATTGTCTTGAAACTTGTTTCAGGCTACAGAGTAAATCCAGTCCCTCTTATTCCATTTTGACAAGAAGCAGAAATCCCAGTACGTGGGTGTTTAATGTACTAATCTTTCTACTTTTTTACATGTTTGAAATTTCCCAAAATAAGTTTTAAAAAAAAGGTAGAGACCAGATGCCTGGTAGTGCAGAAGGTTTTTGAAGCAAAACAAAGGTGTGTAATGAGAATTTTATTTGGTTGTATTATGTAAGATATAAATTCTCCTTTGTGACCCCCTAAGAAGTCTCCAGTATGGTCTATATAACTAATTTTTTTGTTTTGACATTCAAAACATTAACAGTAATATCATTATATGTCCTCATTACCATCCCCTCAGTTAACAACCATTCATTTTGTAGTATGATTTTGGTATTTATCATTAATATGGATCATCTCTTTCCTCTCTCTCTCTTTCCTCCTTTCAGTCTCTCTCTCTGTCTCTCTCTCTGTCTCTCACACACACATACACACAATATGTATATAAAACATTTTGATATCACATTTTACATATATAGTCTTCTGCAACTTACATTGTCGCTCAATATTTTGTGAGATTCAGCCATATATAACTCTAGTTCAATTGTTTTCACTGTATTAAATCAATGAATAGCATGTTTACTTTTACCTGCCCCTGTATATTTTGTCTAAGTCTTTGGTTAAGACTATCTGGTTCGTTTATTTATTTGTTCAACAAATATCTACTGAGTACTTACTTTGTGCCAAACATTGTTCTAGATGATGGGGATACAACAATGAACAAAATAGACATCCTAGATCTTACATTTTAGCTGAAGAAGATAGACATTAAGTAAATAATATGTAATATGTCAGAGATAGGTGCTAAGGAGAAAAACGAAGGAAGGTAAAATGGGATAGAGAGTGAAGGCTTCAGGTGAATGGTGCTATTTTATTTGGGTGATTAGGAAGACCCTTCTGATCAGGTGATATTTGAGCAGGCATCTGAAGAGAGTGAGGGAGTAAGCCAGGTGGATATCTAAGGGAGAAGGGAATGGCAAGGGCAAAACCCCAGAGCGGGAATATGCAAGATGGGATTATTCTTAGAACAGAAAGGAGGCCAATATCACTGGTATAGGATGGGGAGTGGGGCACCAGCCATGGGAGATAAGATCAGATCAGTGGTGGAGGAGAAGTGTAGATCTTCTAGGACCTTTTAAGCCATGATAAGGACTTTGTGTTTCACTCCGAATAAGATGGCAAGCCTTTGTAGGAGAGGTGGGGGTTGAGGACTGGAGCAATGTGATATAGTTTACATATTAAGACCTGTTGTTTCCAAAGGTAGACTTTAGAAGAGGAAAGAAAAAAGCAAAGAGACAAGTTAGAAAGCTATTGCAACAATCTAGTTGAAAAGATTATGATTTGGAGCAGGATGGTAGTGAGAGGAAGTGAGAAGTATTGGGATTCTGAATGTATTTTAAAGGACTTCCTTACAAATTAGATTGTGGATGTGAGAGAAAGGAATCAAGAATGATTCCAAGGCTTTTGGGCTGAGCATCCAGAAGAACGAAGTTGCTATTTACTGAGATATAGCAGCCTGGAGTACAGTAAGTCATCAGAGAATTCAGGGGATTCATTTGAATATGTGATTTTTGGGGCTTCTAAGAAAATGAATTTGGGAAAAATGTACACATGAGCTTGGAGTTCAAGAGGGAACCTCTGGGCTAAAGTCATAAATGTGTGTCAGCAGCAGAGAGATGAAATTTAAAGCCATGTAAATTAGCAGGATAGAAAAAAGAAAAGGTCTGATAACTGATCCCAGAAGTACTCCAACATTTAGAGATGGAGGAGATGAGAAAGAGCCTGCAGAGGAGACTGAGAACAAGAAGGCAGTAAGATGGAGGAAAAGCAAGAGAGTGATATCTGGAAGCTGCTAAGCTAAGTTCCAGAAGGTTCTCCTCAATCATATACACTCTCTATGGATAATGGACTCTCTGTACAAAGACCTAAGGGTGGTGATTCTCAAAAAGTTAAGGAACTCAAATATATGCCTATAAGAAGTAATAAACAAAATTTTAAAAATAGTTGCATTACCATAGTGGGGTTATAAATAATATATTTATTTTAATTGTCAAATATTTAATCATGTCAGGTTTTCAATAAAAATATGCTTCATAAAACTGGAATTAATATCCCAAGTTGTCATTCTTTTCTATTGCTCATATTAACTTAGGTTCTTTTCTTAGCATTTAGATTTGTTTGCATAAAAGTTCAAGTGGTACTTTTTTTTGTAAAGGAAAGAAAAAATAATTGATTGCTACTGTCTGAATCTTTTAAATTTCATATTAAAAGGCTGTTTTTATTCAAGCGGGATGCATTATTGTTATTAAAGTCTTTAGTACCATAGGTGGTGACCTGAGCTATAAAACTTATATTCAGTGAGTAAAAAATTCTTTCTAGTTTAGCACAAGTGGTTGTTTGAATTACTTGAACTAAACCTTGTTGGTTTCATTTTGGTATTTTAGGACTCCTTGAAAAGCCTTTTGCTCGTATAGGGACTGCGCCACTGCTCCTATTTGAAATGCAGCCTAAATATTATATCATAAATAAAATAATCATGAACGCCACTAGAGATGTACCTTGATAAAGTTAAATGGGCAAATAAGAGTTATGTGATTCTTGAGTGTGGGCCAGCATGACAGATTTTTAAAAATTCAGAGAGCTGAGAGGCATCTTTAAAAGTATGTAGGTAAATCCTATTATTTTTTAGGTTAAGGAAATAAAGCCTATCGGGTTGTGTTATTTGTCCAACATTACTCAACTAGTTAGAGAGAAAATTGGAGTTAGAACCCAGGTATCCTAAATTCCAGACCAATTCTCTATACTGTGGAACTATGCTTTAATGAAAAAAAGTAGCAGAACAAGAGAAGCTAGTCTGATTATAACTCAATTTAGGGTCTCTGGTCATTTTTCTTGTTTTATATCAATACTCCTTTGGCACTTCTATGATGTCATTGAACTTTAAAATAACCCTATTCAATAGTAGATGCAAGTTATCAACATTCTTATTTTATACAGGTGATGAAATTGAGAAATAGAGTTTAATTTACTTCTGCAACATCACAAAGCTAGTAGATGGGATAGTACTCAGGCCTTCTGAATCCTATTTAACTTTTCTTTCTACAATTAGTTATATTAGGAGAAATATTTAAATGATCTATCAAAATAACCTGGCCAGGCATGGTGACTCACGCCTGTAAACCCAGCACTTTGGGAGGCCGAGGTGGGTGGATCACATGAGGTCAGGAGTTCAAGACCAGCCTGACCAACATGATGAAATCCCATCTCTACCAAAAATAAAAAATTAGCCAGGCGTGGTGGCGCATGCCTGTAGTCCCAGCTACTTGGCAGGCTGAGGCAGGAGAATCGCTTGAACCCGGGAAGCAGAGGTTGCAGTGAGCAGAGATCGCACCATTGCACTCCAGCCTGGGCAACAAGAGCGAAACTCCATCTCAAAGAAAGAGAACCTCGGCTAAAAAATAAGAACAACAACAACAACAAAACAAACTTTCGTGTTACATGCCAGTTGGAAGATAGGAAGGAAAAGCTGATGAGAAAATGTAATGGCTGAAAAAATAGTAACAACTAACAATGTTGCCATAGTAGCAAAACTGAGCAATTAAAGGCATTGATGCAAATTTCTTTGAACAAAAATAATTGAATTCTATGAAAGGAGATAGTTTTTTGGTCAGTCCTTCCATAATTTCAAAACATCAACTGCCTAAGTGCAAGGGTAAGTAGATTTGAATTAACATCAGTTGCTAAGTGAAGATGCGGGAATTTTCATTAACTGGAAACAGAATGTGATCCAATGTTATGACACAGCTTCCAAAAAAGCTAATGCAATCCTAGACTGCAGTGATAGAGGTATGTTTGGAGTAAACTTTGCTGGTTATACAAAAGTTGAGGCCAGGCAGGGTGGCTCACACTTGTAATCCCAAGTGCATTTTGGGAGGCTGAGGCAGGAGGATTGCTTGAGCCCAGGAGTTCAAGACCAGCCTAGGCAACATGGTGAAACCCTGTCTCTATAAACAATTTTTAAAAATTAACAAAATAATTAGCTGGGTGTGGTGACACAACCCTTGTGCCCAGCTACTTGGGAGGCTGAAGTGGGAGGATTGCATTGAGCCTGGGAAGTCAAGGTTGTAGTGAGCCATGATCGCACTACTGCACTCTAGCCTGGGTGACAGAGCAAAACCCTGTCCTCCAACCAAAAAATAAAAGTACTATGTTCCCATCTTGTTGCCACATTTTAAAGACACTCAATAACTAAAATTCATATAGAGGAGGATAACCAGAATGGAAGTCTGGGAGCCATTTCCCAAGATCAATGTTTGCCAACTCAACCAACAGGTTGCGTTGCAGCACAGCCTGTTCTGAAGCTGTTGTTCTGGTTCCCTGCTAACTAGGATAGTGCATTCTTTTCTTGCGATGGAGACTCTGGCACACCTGCCTCCCCAAAGACTTAATTTCTTATCCCTAAACTAACTGTTTATCTCTGCCTCTGCTAATTACTGGCTACTGAGGCCATTGTTGAATGTCTGTCCTTACCGTGTTTATCAGGCAGGGTTCAATGCTGGAAAGAGAAACCATCTGAAGTATTTAAAACAGATTTAATACAGGGTGTTAGATCATTATAAAATCACTGGAAGGGCTGAAAGAGTGGGTTATAAGCTGAGCTCCAGGAGTGATTCCCTGAACACCATGAAACTGACCTCCCAGAGGAGTTACCTCCTCTGCCATAATCGGGAAGGTCGGTATTCGAGAATCTGCCATACAGCTATTAAAGTTAAAACAAAACAAAACAAACAAAACACTGTAGCTGCAATTCAGAGCTCAAGAAGCTGATGCCGCTGCCACTGCAACTTCCTCTTGATAGCTATGAAACAGGAGATCAGGCACTGCATAAAACCCCCACATTTCTATAACCATGTTTACCATTAGTAAATAGTCAAAAGCAGAATTAAGGGGACTTCCTGTTTAGGACCACTTTTCAAAATGTGTGTAGGTGCATCAAATTGGTGCAATCTAACCAAATGTGGAACCCTGGTGGCAAGGAAGTCAGGGAAATGTACTATTTTGCTTTCCATCTACTTCAGTACAGAAAGTCACACTCAAAGGAAGTGAAAATAAATGCTGAGTCATTTGTAAAATCAGAATGAAAAGAGAAAGAAAAAAAAAGAAAAGAAGATCCGGCCTCAAGCAATCCTCCCATCTCAACTTCTTAAGTGACTGGGACCAGAGGTGTTCACCACCACACATAGCTAATTTTTATTTTTAATCTCTTATAGGGATGAGGTCTCACTATGCTACCCAGGTTAGTCTGAGCTCAAGTGATCCTCCTACCTTGGCCTCCCAAAGTGCTGGGATTATAGGCATTAGCCACTGTGCCCAGCAAAAAATTTATTAGATACTGCATATTTTCAAAGATTCAAAGGGCTTTGGAATCAGGTAGACTTTACCTCTGCCACTGATGATGTATATGCTTTTAGTATAATAACTTTTTTACTCTAAATCTCCATGATATGGTTTGGATCTGTGTTCCTGCCCAAATCTCATGTGGAAATGTAATCTGCATTGTTGGAGGTGTGGCCTGGTGGGAAGTGATTAGATCATGAGGGGGATTTCTTATGAATGGTTTAGCACCATCCCCCTTGGTGCCGTTCTAGTGAGTGAGTTCTCATGAGATTTGGTCGTTTTAAAGTGTGTGGCACCTCCCCCCTCACTCTCTTGCTCCTGCTCCAGCTATGTAAAATGTGCCGACTTTGCCTTCATCTTCCACCATGATTGTGAGTTTCCTGAGGCCTCCCCAAAAGCAGAAGCCACCATGCTTCTTGTACAGACAGCAGAACCATGAGCCAATTACACCACTTTTCTTTATAAATTACCCAGTCTCAGGTTTTTTTGTTTGTGTTTGTTTTTGTTTTTGATGGAGTCTCACTCTGTTGCCCAAGCTGGAGTGCAGTGATGTGATCTCAGCTCACTGCAACCTGTATCTCCCAGGTTCAAGCAGTTCTCCTGAATCAGCCTCCCAAGTAGCTGGGACTACAGGCTCATGAAGCCACGCCTGGTTAATTTCTTTGTATTTTTAGTAGAGACAAGGTTTGGCCATGTTGGTCAGGTTGGTCTCAAACTCCTGACTTCAGGTGATCCATCCACCTTGGCCTCCCAAAGTGTTGGGGTGAGCCACTGTTCCCAGCCAGATATTTCTTTATAGCAGTGCTAGAAGAGACTAACACACCCGTTTCTTTAGTAAGGCTTTTTGTAAAGATTAAGTGAAATATTTTATGTATGGTATTTAGCACACTACTCATTGCATATTATGTACCCAATAAATATAGCTACTAATATAAACAAAAATGGCTGTCACATTCTTGGACTTTGGTAAGATTTTCCTGGATTCTAGCCCAATTTTACAATTTGCTAGCATCCCAAGTGAATAATGGATAGGTAGAAAGCCAAAGCTGAGGCTTGCATTTTCTTAAGGCTGGAGTCCTTAAAACTTTGGTCACTAAAGAAAAAGTGAGAAGTTGCATGTAATTTGCATGTAAAACTAAAAACTTCTGCTCTTTGAAATTGGCATCACCTCTGTTCTTTTGCTTCAGGTGATGCCTGCTCTTTAAATTACATGTGAAGCTAAAAACTGCTCTTGGAAAACCATCTTTAATAAAATGAAAAGGCAAACCACAGATGGAGAAAATATTTGTAACACAACTGATAAAGAACTAATATATTACACTCATAACTAAATAATAGGAAGGCAAAAAATTAAAAATTTTAATTTATAGTATTTGAACAGACTTTTCTCACAAGAAGATACACAAATGGTCAATAAGCGCATGATAGTATGCTCAACCACTAGTTAATAGAACAAAGCAAATTAAAACGTAATAAAACTACACACCTATAAAAATGTCTAAAATTTTAAGAAGTGATGATATCAAGTGTTGGCCAAGATGTGGAGCAGTCAGTACTTTCATCCATCACTGGTGGGATTGTAAAATGGTACATCCACTTTGGATAACATTTTGGAAGTTTCTTATAAAGCTAAACATATACTTACCTTATAAACCTAGCAATTCCACTCCTGGGTATTTGCCCAAGACAAATGAAACCGTATGTCCACACAAAGACTTACATATGCATTTTAATAGCAGCTTTATTCATAGTAGGCAAAAATTGGAAAAATATCAACAAGTGCATATATAAACAAATTTTAGAGGAACTACATTTGAACTACTCAGTAATGATAAGGAATAAAGTACTGATACATACCAATCTGGACACATTTCAGAAGCACTGTCTAGTTAAAGAAGCTCAGAACAAAAGAATACACACTATATGACTCTATTTACATAAAATTTTGAAATAGAAAAAATTAATCCATAGCAAAAGAAGGCAGAATGTTTGCCTTTGGTGAAGGGTGGAGAAAGAGTGACAGTAAAGGGATGTGAGTGAACTCTTTGGGTTGATGAAATTTATCTTAATTGGGGTAGTGTTTATATACTTTTGAAAAATAATCACCTAACAGTACACTTCAGTGTATGTATCTTATTATACAAAAATGACATTCTAATAAAGTTTATTTAAACGGTAAACACCCAAACTCCATAGTATATGTGCCTCTGATCATGAAACCAATTCTATTTTATATTTCCCCCAGGAGCATATAACCATGTCTTTTTTTTCTACACTGGTAACAACCGCTCAGCCTCCCAAAGTGCTGGGTTTACAGGCGTGAGCCACCATGCCTGGCCAGGTTATTTGATAGATCACTTAAATATTTCTCCTAATATAACTAATTGTAGAAAGAAAAGTTAAATAGGATTCAGAAGGCCTGAGTACTATCCCATCTACTAGCTTTGTGATGTTGCAGAAGTAAATTAAACTCTATTTCTCAATTTCATCACCTGTATAAAATAAGAATGTTGATAACTTGCATCTACTATTGAATAGGGTTATTTTAAAGTTCAATGACATCATAGAAGGGCCAAAGGAGTAACAACCCTGGGGATGATAAATCCTTTAGATATTTTTTCCATTTGCTATGCAAAAAGAGTTCTCTAATGGACACACTACCTAAATATCAGTGAATTGCCTGAAGTACTAACTTTTAAAGGAGGAAACAAAGGAAGAGAAATTGATATATTAGACTAACAAGGAACAACAAGCTACCCACAGGAGTAAAGGGAGTAACCTTTCTACTTGGGTCTTTTTCTCTTTGTCTCTCTCTCTCTAGTCTTACAGTATTGGGATTTTATTTAGTAAGCAATCCATTGTAATTTGTTGTTGTTGTTTCTTGTTCGGTTGGCTTTGATCCTGTGAACACCATCATAGAGATGTGCTTCCAGAAAGTTAACCACACAGCAGGGAGTAGGATAGATTGGAAAGAGACCCTAGTGGTAACGGCTTAGCTAGCCTACTTAGAGTAGGAAGAGGTCAAATGAACTAACATGGCATAAGTAATGGAAAGGAGGGAAATGATGCTGATGCAAAAACTATTAAAGGACCTGTAAATGATTATGATGATCAAAATAAAGGAGATACCAAAAATAGCTCCTAAAGTCTTGATGCAGAGAGAGGAAAGAGACTGAAAGCGTATCAGTATTCAAAGTACTTTAAAATTAAGATGCAATCTGCTTTCCTAGATTTATATTCCATTATTTTCTTATATCTACTCAGACTGTACAGTGTGGTAGTTCAAAGTTGTTATTATTATGTCTGTATTAACAAAGGCAACATTTCTTTTTTTCCCCCCCAAAGGCAACATTTCTAAGTAACCGTATGCAATAGCCAAGTATTTCTAAATAACTGTATGCAACAGGCAACCTCTGGCACTTCATCAAATATTCAGAAAGACTTCTATTCATATGCCACAGCTGTTTCTGTGGTCTGGTTTTCTTACAAAGTACATGTTTCCTTCAGGTCTACCACCATAAAAATGGTGTATGCTTCTCTTGTGTTATTCAGAGTCATATTTAGCTAGTTCATTCTCCAAGCAAAGATTCACTTATAGAAATAGCCTTTCTTTACTTAAACAAGTCTGTATTTTATATAGTCTGTTTCAGAGACCTTGGTTATGCTTTCAGAATCATCCCTTTTTAAGATTTATTGAGGTATCCTTGACAAGTAAAAATTGTATATATTTAGGATATAAAACTTGAGGTTTTGAGAGAGATATATACAGTGAAATGATTACCACAATCAAGCAAATTAACATATCCATCACCTCACATAGTTACCATTTTCTTTTCTTTTTTTCCTGTGGATTGAGAATACATAAGATATACCCTCAGAAAATTCAGTTATACAATGTGGTACTGTTAACTGGAGTCACATTGTTGTGAATTAGGTCTCCAGAACTTATTCATCTTGCATAATTGAACCTTTGTACCATTTGACAGGCATCTCCCCATTTCTCCCATTTTCCAGCCCATGGTAACCACCACTCTACTCTCTGCTTCTGTGAGTTCAGATTTTCTAGATTTCACATGAGTGAGATCATACACTATTAGTCATGCTGTACCTGGCTTATTTCACTTAGCATAATCTCCTCCAGGTTTATTCACATTTTCTAAAATAGCAGAATTTCCTTTTTTTAAAGGCTAAATAATACACCCATTTTTTGTTTATGTGATATATATATATATCCGTAATCTGATATATATATTTTGCTGATATATATATATCAGCAAAAAATGTCACCGTACTGTTTTCAATAATTGTTGTACCAATTTACATTTCCGCCAACAGCGTACAAGGATTTCCTTTTCTCCATATTCTTGCCCACACGTATCTTTTGTCTTTCTGGTAGTAGTCACTCTAACAGGTGTAAGGTGATATCTCATTGTGGTTTTGATTTGCATTTCTCTGATAATTAATGATGTTGAGTATTTTTTCATATACATGTTGGCAATTTTTATGTCTTCTTGTGAGGATTGTCTATTCAAGTCTTTTGCCCATTTTAAAATCAGGTTATTTGTTGCTTTTGCTATTAAGTTTTCTTTGAGTTCCTTCTATATTTTAGATATTAGCCTTTTATCAGATATATGGTTTGCAAATATTTTCTCCCATTCCATTGATTGTCTTTTCACTGTTTTGATTGTTTCTTTTGCAGTGCAGAAGCTTTTTGTTTGATGCAATCTTATCTATTGTTGCTTTTGCTGCCTGTGTTTTTGGTGTCATATCCAAAAAATAATTGCCCAGATCATTATCAAGAAGATTTTCCCCTATGTTTTATTTAGCAGTTGTGTAGTTTCAGGTCTTATGCTGAAATATTTAATTCATTTTGAGTTGATTTTTGTACACAGTATGAGATAAGGGTCCAATTTCATTCTTCTGCATATGGATATCTAGTTTTTCCCACACCATGTGTTGGAGAGACAATCATTTATCTTTGCTTTGCCTTAAATGATACAGCCTCTGTTAAACTCGACAAATATTTATTGAGTGCTAATTTGTGAAATATGCTACACTAAGAATGGCCTACAAAAATTTAAAGTAGAAGTAGGGCAAAGCCCTTTATAAATCTTATAATTGGGTAAATGATTAAGATAAAAAATCCTGAAAATCTGTAATTTAAAGAAAAAATATTTTCATCACTACAAGAGACACATAAAATGCTATAGTGATTCATAGAAGAGGCAAATCATATGTGGTGTGTGAATTGAAGCTTTTTGACAAGAGTGGTTTTTAAGAAGGTCCTGGAAGGATGGGTAGGATTTTGATAGGCAGAGATGCTTCAAGAAAGCTTTGTGGGTAGAAGAAATGTCAAGGATAAAACCACGCTATTAAGAAAGTGTTTGGTGTTTTCAGGAAAGCAGCAGTGTGTCATTTTAACAGATGCATACTGTCCATAAAGCAGGAAGTGGGTGATGTAGTTTAGACCCATGTCAGTAAAAAGCCTGGAGTGGTGGCCTGAGTGGTTTGGACTTACGTTCAAAGCAACAGCCAGTTTGGTGGTATATAACAAATGTATGATTAACGCTATGTTTGAGGAGGATTAACCTGCAAAAATAGTAGAAGGGAGAAGAAATTAAAAAATAAGGAGGAAATCTGGGAGTCTCACTCAATTATTAGAGTAAAAAAATACATTGAGAGGAGGCAGCCATAATGGGGAAGATGAATAGAAGCGGCATTTTTATAAGTTTTTGCAGGGCTTAACAATATATTGAAATTAAAGGAGAGGGAAGAAGGCAAACATTAAATGAGCACCTGCTTGATATAGACACTGGGCTCAACTGTCATGCTGAGGGCAAGTCGAAAGGGGCAGCAAACGTGTCCCCAACATTTCAGATGAGTAAAAGGAAAGAATGCTTGTTTTGTGAATGGAAATTGGGAAGTTAGGAGACAGACTAGTTTGGATGTGTTGAGCTTGATGTTCTGGTGTAATATCTAAGTGGTAATCTATAGTGGAAATGGAAAATAAAACAAGGGAGCTCCTGAGCAGAGTCAAGGTAAGTTTTTCATCCAGGCAGCAGTGACAGTAAAAGCTGAAGATAAGGTCACTCTAAGAGACCTTGTAGAGAGAGAAGAATGGCTCAGTGCAGAATGACAGTAATACTGATACTCTTCATCATCATTGCAAACATTACTGAGTGATTAGTATGTGCCAGGCATCATACCAAACAGTTTAAATGCATTAATTATTGCAATAAATACTTTGGAAGTTATCATTATGACTAATTCATTATTAATATGCAATGTAAAAGATAAATTTTGTAGAAACAAAAGCCTAAATGATTTCAAGATGGGAAGTACTGAGGAGGGGGCTATAGAAGGGATATGGAAAGAGCACTAAAGTGTAATGTCTTCTTTGGCGCATGTTTATTCACTTCAACTATTGATTATTAAAATAGAAATTCAATATGTATCAAAAATTTGGAGGGGATATACTTTGTCCTCTAATCACTGCAAAAAAAATAGAATAAAGGAAATAAGTGACCATGAAGATGTAATAGTTAGCATTCCTTATGGTCTAACAACAGAGTTTCAAATTACATGTTTTTTTTTAACTGTTAGAAATACAGAAATAATCACAAATCCACAATCATGGTGGAAACTATCAATAAACCCTCTTATAAACTTATATATCAAGTAAGTAAAAATAAACAAGGATTTAAATAACATGATTTAAAAGTGTGAACATACATAGACACAAAAACATAGATGATTATAGATGAGAATTGTTTTCAAATGTCTATGGAACATCAAATAAACGGATTTTGGATTAGAGAACAAAGATGATTTCAACAAAATCTATGCATCAGAACTCACAATGTCACATTTTCTAATCATGTAATAAAAATGCAACAAAAGGATAGGCAAAATTTTTAAATAACTCTTGATTAAAGAGGGAATTTAGGCTGAAATTATAGGTAACACTGCCCAAATTGCCCTATAGATTTATTGCAATCTTTGTGAAAATCCCAGTGGCTTTTGTGCAAAAATTGAGAGGCTAACCCTATGGAAATGCAAGAGACCCAGAATAGCTAAAACACTATTGAAAAAGCCAAAAGTGGAGGACTCACACTTCCCAATTTCAAAGCTCACTACAATGCTACAGTAATCAAGACTGTAGTACTGGCATAAGGATAGATACATAGGCCAATGCAGTGGAATCATGAGCCCAGAAATAAACCTAAACTTGCATGGCCAATTAATTTTTGACAGGGTGCCAAAATCCTTCTATGAGGAAAAAATAATCTCTTCAATGAATGGAGTTTGGATGACTGAATACCCACATGCAAGAGAATGAAGTTGAATTCCTATCTCACAATATATACAAAAAACGTTAACTCCAAATGGATCAAAGACCTAAATGTAAGATCTAAAACTATAAAACTGCTGTACAAAACCAAAAGTATAAATCTTCATGACTTTAGACAGTATGTCCTTATATATTACATCAAAACCACAAACGAGAAAGAAATAAATTGGACTTAATAAAAACTAAAACCTTTGTGTTTTGAAGGATACTATCAAGAAAGTGAAAAGAGAAACACAGAATGAGAGAAAATATCTGCAAATTATATGTCTGATGAGAATATATATATGATATATATACATATATATGCACACATTGTGTATGTATACACACACATATTGCTTGTGGAAATGGAAAATGGTAGAGTCGTTTTTGAAAATAGTTTGGCGATTCTTCAGAAAATTAAACATAGGATACCAGTGCACTCAAAATCCCAACATTTCTTTATAGAACTTGACAAGCTGGCCGGGTGTAGTGGCTCATGCCTGTAATCACAGCACTTTGGGAGGCCGAGGCGGGTGGATCACTTGAGGTCAGGAGTTCCAGACCAGCCTGGCCAACGTGATGAAACCCCGTCTCTATTAAAACACAAAAATTAGCTGGGCGTGGTGGTGGGCGCCTGTAATCCCAGCTACTCGGGAGGCTGAGGTGAGAGAATTGCTTGAACCCGGGAGGCAGAGGTTGCAGTGAGCCGAGATCGCACAACTGTACTCCACCCTGGGTTACTAAGCAAGACTGGTTCTCAAAAAAGAAAAAAAAAAAAAAAAAAAAAAAAAAAAACAGAAAAAAGAACTTGACAAGCTAATTCTAAATATCCTTCTAAGTATTGATAAAGGCCGGGTTGAAGGAAGTGACTTAGGTGTATGGCAACTGAGACTCAGAACAAGGCGTGCTTACCCGCCCACTCCAGCATCCCAGGCACAACTGGAAAACCAAGTCCTCCTCACAACGACCCCAGTGCTGTAAAATGCCGATGTCATAATGCAGCGGACCAAAATGTATTCCCTGTAAAGAGAAAAAAAGAGACAACTGAACTGTGTATGCCTGTTTCTTACCCTAAACTCACTAAGCAGAGAAGTCACTCCATCTTCCCTGGGGAAGTTTGAGGCCAGGAGCTATACAAACAGGCTGAGGAGTGTTTAGGAAAAATCTTTCTCATAAAAACCAGAGGACTGTAAAAGATGCAAGAGTGTATAATTTATGTTACCTTTGACAGATGTGCCAGCCACTACAAGTTGCCTTTGCAGTTTCCATTCTCTCCTTTTTTTGGTAACAGAATTATAATTTAGGGGTGTCAGTGTGCCCTGCTTATAAATTCTTGGCCTCCATTGCGACTATGAGTGGCTGTATGATGTGCTTCTTAACAATGAGATGTAAAACAGAAGCCTGCCAGTGATTCCTAGAAAGTTTTGCTTTCTTAATTTAGATGCCATCCCTTCTGCTTTGTTTCTCCCTTCTTTTTTCTGCCTGAAACACAGAAGTGATGTCTGAAGCTAAAGCATCCATCTTGTAACCAGAATGAGAGCCACATGCCAAGGATGGTAAAACAGAAATAGAAAAGTACCCTGAAGACATTCTTAAGCCTCTACATCAGCCCTGCTATGTCTTTTCTATGGAGCGCGCTATTAATTCATACCAAGGGACAATACTTTTTCTGTTGAATGCTTTCAGCTTTGAATTATATTTGTCTTCTGTATCTGTCTGGTTTGTATTTACAAATTATTTTATTTTAATCTTTTTGTAATCTTTTATTTTAGATGCCTTTCTTTAAATAACTAGATTTCATTTTCCATTCTAATCTGAGTCTTTGACTTTTTACTAAGAGAATTAAGCTCATTTACATTTACAATCATAATTCTTCCAGTTGCGTAGTACGTGGTTGCAAGATGTAGACATTTATCTCAAATTAGCTTAGGCAAAATGGAAATTCACTGGCTCCTACACGAGTGCAGCTAGAGACCCATTGAGCCAGACACTTGATACCACCAGTATTCTCTTACTCAGCCTCCCTTCTTTGCTTCTCTCTGATTAGTTTTCTCCACATACACCATGTCACACATCTCTCGGCTTTATCTCTTTAGAGAAAAAAAATGCCTCCCCGCAGATCCAGTTGAACAAACCCTGAAGAAGGAGCATGATGGTCACAGTTTGTGCCAGATGTCTATATGCCTCTGTGCTGTACCAGTTTATAGGGCCGGATGGTGAGTGGGTGAGGAAGATGATGTTCTATGATTGACTCAGCTTAAGTTAGAGGGTCACTTCTAGATTATCTAGACTGGGGAAATAAGATCATCTAAAAACCACATTGGACTCCATTTGGAGTCTATGATTACAGTGGGGATGGGGGAATGGAGTGCTTTTCCCAGAAAAATGCAGAAATGCGGGGCAGAAAAATCAGCAAATGACCATTTTAATTGTTAAGAAATAAAAAGTCTTATTTTATACTTCTTGAGTTTTAATCTCTTTCCTCTTCTTAGGTATGGACTATTAATTTGCTCTTTTTCTCTGCAATAATTGAGAAATAAAGCATCCTGTTTCCACTAAACCATTCTTAGGCCATTAGCATCTAATTATTAAAATCAAGGGCAATGTAAGAACTTGACTTCCTTTTTTGAAAAACGTTTCACCCAGGGCTTTGTCTCCCTTTGTGAAATTCCTCCTTTCTCTCCTGTGTTTTTGTTTTTGTTTTTCTCTTTCATTTAAAATGTAGTCATAAACTGCATAATTGTCTTTGTACTAAATAGTATAAATAATATGTTCCAAGTAGCTTTATTTCAAATTTATAGACCATTTGTATAAATTCAATTTATCTCTATATATTTAACTCATCTTATTGATCACTCCAATTCATTTAGGCCACCACTTTTTTCTTCTTGAATCTAAATTTTGATTAATATCTTGGGGTCCTAAAGTAGGCCTTCAGGATTTTTACCTGGGAAGACAATCTGGTTTCTGAGTCCTTGGATACCTGAAAATGCCACCCTATTACTTCCCTATGTGATAATAAATGACCTAGGTAACTAAGAATAAGTAGAACTTTGATAACTTTAGTTACTGAGTCATAGTCACTGTGGCACTGAGTAATGTTCAGGAAGAAAGATTGCCATATTTCAATCCTACTTCACAGGTAGGTAAGAAGGATAATTTTGTTTCTTAACAGAATCTGACTCTATCTTTTATTTTACCTTATGTTCATAGACAATTTCCCTCATTTCATATATTTTCCTGGTTAGTTTGGTGGGAATTTAGAAGAGAATTTTTATTGTGTTCTTTATCACCATTTTAGGCAAAAGTTCTGTGATTCTATAGCCAGGCATGGCATCTTTTGAGTATGAGCAAAGAAAATATTCAGTAGAGATTTCCTTGCTTGAAGACCGGCAAACAGGCTATGCCACAGAATCCAGGCCAATGTTCAAACAAGTGTGCTACTGGCAAGGCTGGCCATAGGGTCATACTGGGTAGGAAGGCAAATGGGTTGCAGTGGGTAGGTAGGTATTCTGAAAGAACAGAGAAAAGTAAAGAATTGGAATTTATTATTTGTACAAATAGTAGGTTTGGTGGTCATGAAAGAATGGGATAATTAGAATATAAGGATGCTGTAATCAAGACAGAAAATATCAGAATTGGAACTATCATCACGTTTTAATTGCTCATATCCTTCAATTTGCTGTTCCATTTTCTCCTACATTCAAATTTTATTTGAACCCTTCAGTCAATATCAGCTTGATGCCATTAGTCCACTATTGTGTCATCTTTCTGCTGTATAATTTTTCTTTATCATTTTATCTCTGGCTCACATCAATGTTGTCCTGTACATTTTCTTTTCATAAGCTAGATTCCTAAGCAGCCTTTCCAGTCTTCTTTATGAAAACCCACCATAATTAAGAGTCAGGGTATTCTGACTTTCCCTCTAAGAATAATGCCACCTCTGTTTTAGCCATCAGCTCTGGTTTTTGAATATTCATTTTCAATGTAACCAATATTCCAAAATTTTGTAATTATGCCTGTGCAATGGGAACAATGTGTATATCTGTTCTGAATTGGAGAAGAATTGAAAGGACAGACTAATGTTAACTCTGACTTAGTAAACACATACTTGCTATTATGCATGCCACAGAGCATTTAGACTCTAATTAAAAAGCTTTTCATGATTCCTTGATTACATAATTGAGCTTTGTAATTTACATTCTACTATATCCTCTGCAAAAAATTTTATGAACTGCTTAATTGTGGTTATGACATAGCCCAGACTCCAACTCTGGTGTTTTCATTCCAAGTTGTGTTTTTTCTACGATTCCACATTGCATCCTTGTGTCTTATGTTTCCTTCTAGAGTGTCAATTTTTTGAGGGCGGGCTCTCAGTAAATATTTGTGGATTACACTTGTCTGAATCCATGTATTAAAACGGGGTCATATAGAAAATGGTTGTGACATAAGGAATTAATTCCATTGCTAGAATAGAATTCTGACTCTTTTCTATTTAACCATATTTATATTTTATGTAAAATGCAGTATTCATGCTGATACCAATTGGAAATAAGTGAGAAAAAAATCTAAGTAGGAATTACACTTTTGGTTCAAAATATTCAATCAGAAAAATACAAATACACCAGCAAAGCAAATCCTCCTTCAATAAACTACACTCTCTTTCCAATTTCACCTCAATTTAAACCTTATACCAGCATATCCACACATAATTAAAAAATTGGGAATGTTCTCTAAGTATAGTTTTATATCTTATTCTCATTTAAACATCATGAGTATTCCACAGGTTAGTCAGTATAGTTATGTAGTTAGTCACTCATAAGTGTATAATATTCTAAGTTTCCCCTGTTGTTGAACATATACCTTGTTTCTAATGTTTTTGCTATTGCAAATTATGCTGCAAAAACACATCCTTACACATAAGTCTATGTCTTCATCTTTGATTATTTCCCCAGGACAAATTTCTACATCAGCCAGGGTTTTAGCAGGAAACTAATGGCACATGTTCAAAGTGTTCAATTCAAGTGAATTAAATGAAGGGACTGATTACAAGAGGTGTGGACAGGATTATAAAGGAATCAACAAGGAACGGTGAAACACTTAGGGATTGTCAAAGAAGCCCTTACCTGCACCTGTATCTGAAGGAGAAAGCGGAGGCTATAGGGTCACTGGAACACAGAGAAAGTCTCAGCTGAGGAATCGAGACCGTCCCAGGAGAACTGTGGCTTTAATGCTGTGCTTCTCCAAATGTAGTGTTGTGATCAGCAGCACCAGAAATATCTGGAACCTGTTGAAAATGCAAATTCCTGGGCCCTGTCTCCATCCTACTGAGTTAGGAAAAAGGCCCCAAGATGATTCTGATGCACTCAAGTTTGAGAAGGACTGGCTTAGAGGAATGATGCCACTCACAAAACTACGGCTGCAAGGAGGGAGCAGTTGGGGGGAATAAATACTCCCAAATCTCCTTTCTTCCCTCTGAGCTCCTTTAAGTGCTTTCATTGGCTAAGCCCTGCTAGAAGCTAGAGAGCAAGGAATCCTGTGAATCTAATCTATACAATACATAGAGTAGGACAAAGAGGAGGTGGAATGGAGACATGGATGAGGCAAAAGAATTACCAGCCCAATCCCTAAATGCAGAATTACTGGATCAAACCATGTAAACATTTTAAAACCTTTTAATAAATATTAGTAATTCATTTTTCAAAAAGAGCTCATGACTAAACACTTTTATCAGCAGTGGCTAAGACTACCAGTCTATTGGAATTCTTGCTAACTTTGAATATGATTTTTTTAAAAGCCTGCTCCAGTTTTGTAAATTAAAAATGGTATCTCAGTCTTGTTTCAATTTGCATTTCTTCATTTGAAGTGAGATTATTTTTTAAACATATACTTATTGCCATTTACAGTCTTCCTAGGTATTATGTATTGATGTTCTTTGCTTACTTTGCCATAGGGATGCTATTTTTTTTTAATTTGGAAAAGCTCTTTATCAATAATAATGGCATTTCTTTTCTGCCATATTTATTGCAGGTGTTTTTCACAGTATGTCATTTGTCTTTTATTTTGTATATATGGAAATTTTACCTAGCACCACTTATTAATCTTATTCTTAGTGATATATTCTTTTGCTTGCTCAGCCTTGTCCTCTTTAAAAACTGCTTCTTTGACCATGATGATGATTGATAACTTGGCTTCTGTATTAGTTTCCTATTGGTCTTGTAACAAATTGCCATACAATTGGTGTCTTAAAATAACACATTTATTGTTTTATGGTTCTGGAACTCAGAAGTCCAAAATGGGTCTCACAATTAAATTAAATAGGTCTCACAATTAAAGTGTAGGCAGAACTGTATTCCATCTGGAGGCTCTAGAGGAGAAACTGTTTCCTTGCCCTTTCCGTTTCCAGAGGCTGTCTGCATTCCCTGGGTTGTGATCCTTTCCTTTATCTTTAAAGCTCATCACCTCAATCTCTGCTTCTGATGTCACATCTCCTTCTCTAACTCTGACTCTCCTGCTGCCATTTTCCAGTTACAAGTACCCTTGTAATGATATTGGGCACACAAGGATAATCTCACCATCAATATACTTAATCACATCTGCAAAGACCCTTTTGCCATATAAAGTAACATATCCACAGGTTTCAGATTAGGATGTGGACATATTTGGGGACCACAGCTCCTACTACCCCATCCTAGCCTCCTGCCCAGCATGGTTCATTGCAGAAACCCACATAGAAACACTACTCTTACTCTCCATCAGGTGATATTTTCCAAGCACTCTTTCCAGGTTGACAACACCCTGTATTCAGAACACTTTTATCATCCCCTTTCTTTTTAAAAACACTCACACAATCTTAAACTCTCTTATTGACTATGATCATTTTCTCCATAGCCCAAAAAGCAGTTTCTTTAACCAAATTCCCCATATTAATAGCCCATTTTATTTCAGACATATTATTTGGCTAGATCTCATTTAGCCAAATGTCTACAGCTAATTTATTTGTGAAGCTAAATATCTTCCAAATACTGCAGTATCTCTTCTGCTTATATGATAACTTCCAATATCTATCGCATTTAAAGCACAAACCTCATTTTTAGGAGCCCATGATATCCAAAATTCAGAATTTAAGAAGTAAATCCCTATTCATGGGAATGAATATTTGCTCTTTCATTCACCAGCACTGTGCTTAGTATTGAGATACGAAAAACAGGACATCATCTTTCCCTTAAGGTCAAGAGAAAAACATGGTTCCAATCATTTTTGTTGTATTTTTAAAAATTGAAAACAAAATCAAAAGTTCACGTTTCTTTTTTAACTTCTAAGTTCACTGAGAACTTGGATTCCATGTATTTTGTATGTATTTGTATGTGTATGTTTCCAGATGCACTATGTATTCTGAAAAGAGAATATATTATAATATAGTAAGACATGGATTTAAGTGTTGGCTCACCATCTATTTGCTCCATTAGTATATATGAGTAATTTAGCTCTGTGAGCCTTAGTTTCCATATTTGTAAAATGTGGGTGATAATGCCTACCTCACCAGGACTTTGTAAGAATTAAATGACACAACATATGTCTGAATGCCCCTTAAAATTCATGTGTTGAAACTGAATTGCCAGTGTGATAGCATTAAGTGGTGGGGCTTTTAGGAGGTGATTAGGTCCTGATGGCTCTGCCTTCATGAATGGATTAGTGCCCTTATGAAAGGGCCCGAGGGAACTAGCTAGCTCCCTTTTGTCCTTTTTGTTCTCTACCATAAGACACAGTGTTCAAGGCACCAACTTGGAAGCAGGGAGCAGCCCTCACCAGACACCAAATCTGCTGGCACCTTGACCTTAGAATTCCCAGCCTCCAGAACTGTGAGAAATAAATTCCTGCTCTTTATAAATTACCCAGTCTCAGGTATTTTGTAATAGCAGATTAAATGGATTAATACGATGTGTAAAGCACTTAGAATAGCCTGGCATATAGTAAATCCTCAACTGTGTGGGCAGGGTCAGAATTTAAAGTAGGAGTTATTTCTTCATATTACAGAGTGACTAAGAGCACATACTCTGGAATCAAACTACCTGGTTTAAAATCCCAGCTCTACCATTTATTAGCTGTGTGACTATAAAATGAGGATAATGATAATAATTCTCACCTCATGGGGTTGTCATATAGGTTATATGAGTTACATACTTTAACACATGTAGAATGCTTAGAAGAGTGCCTGTCACCTGGCAAATGCTATATAATTGTTGGCTATAATTATATATCTCCCTAAATTTATAGTTCCTCAAAATAGAGCATTACAGTTATATTTGTTATATAAACCAAACTTACAATTTCTCAACATAAGGTATTTCAGCTTCTGTTACAATGTGATATAATGAAAAGATCAGTGTCTTTTTATTTATAAGCAAAGCTGAACGAGATGAGCTGGTATCTTTTTCTGTGAAATGGCAATACTAATGTTTACCTAACCCAGGGCTTTTTTTTTCTTATCATCAACAAATTAAGAAATATAGTTATCACAGACCATCTAGGTTTGAATTCTAATTACTAGATATTTTACCTTGGAGAAGTCACTTAACCTCTTTCTTTCTCTTCTTTGTATACAGTTAAAAAAAAAATAGAGACAGGGTCTTGCTTTTTTACCCAGACTGGAGTGCAGTGGCACAATCATGCACTGTAACTTTGAACTCCTGGGCTCAAGTGATTTTCCTGCCTCAGCTTCCTGAGTAGCTAGGACTACAGGCACACACCACTATGCCTGGCTAATTTTTTTAAAGGCGGTGTTTTTTAGCGATGTGGTCTTGCTATATTATCCAGGCTGGTTTCGAACTCCTAGGCTCAAGTGATCCTCCTACCTTGGCTCCCAAAGTGTGAGGATTGCAGGCATGATTCACTGCACCCAGCCTTTATGCGTAACCATTTTTTAACAGAGAAAAATTATTTCTATGGTTGGCAACATAGTTCTTAAAGTGGAAGAGAGCTATTTTTATTTAGGAAATTATCTTAACAAAGAGTTGTAAGTGCAAGTAGTTCCCAACAGTATGTATTGGAAGGAGAAATTTTAACTAAAGAGAAGGCTAAACTGTACTTAATGAAGAAATAAACAGAAATTAGGAATGAGGGAGAACACAGGAGAGAGAAGAGAAGAAACAAGAAGCAAATGACCATGGCTGAAGCCTGGAGCCTGTGTGAAAAGAAAGCCAGTTTTAATTAAGGTGAACCAATATAGAACTTTTAGGAAAAGGAAGTCTAATAATCAAGTCTATTTTTGCACTTCCTTAATGTAAATGTCTTTCTCTTACAAGTGCTGCCAATCAAAATAAAACAGGAAAGGGAGATTAGGGAGTATCAGAGCATGGTGGGAGGAGGGTATGGTTTAAAAAGCAGAGATAGGGAACCCTCAATGCAAAGACGAACTTGAGCAAAGACCTGAAAGAAGTGAGGGAGCAAGACTTGTGATTGGGAGAATTGTAGGTAGAGGGATTAGTTGAGGCCAAGGCCTTGATCTGGGAGTATGCCCAGCATGTTGGAAGATCCTTGAGGAGCCAGTGTGGCTAGAGAGAAATGGGTTCTGGGGAAAGTTGTAGAAGAGGTTTTGGGGGATGGAGGGATGGGGGAAGATTGTATGTGTTGGGTAAAGCTTGATGGGTACAGGGTAGAGGTTCTGAACCCTGACTGCACATTTGAATCCACCTGGAGAACCCCCAACTTGATGCAACCAATCCTGATTTCATTGGGTTGAAATGGGACCTAAACTTCAGTAAGTTTTAAAAGGGCCCTAGGTAATTCTAATATGCAGCCAGGATCGAGAATCACGAATGTGAGCAATGTAAGCAACTGACAGGCTCTTTCCTGGGAGGGAAAGGAAGCTCTTGGAAAGTTTTGAGCAGAGGCGTGCAATGATGTGTTCTGACTTAGACATTAAGATGATCCCTAGCTGGAAAATGCATGCAATCAAGTTATATCCAATGTATCTTTGAAAACACTTTTAAAATCCTTGTCAAAACAAATCAGGGAATAAATTAAAACAAATAAAGCTATGTTCCTGTTCATGAAAGTGCTTGGCACATGATATTTGCTAAATAAATATTAATGAATTACCATATGAAAGGGCTTTGTATGTTTTCATGAAAATATACAATGTTAAAATTACTGTATAACGAAAAATGCTGTGTGTCTAAGGCAGTATATTTGGTAAAATACTGTTGAATATTATCTTTCAGTTTCTGATGGAAATTTGAGTGATACCTAGTGAATTAGAAAAGAAAATGCATATAGACATATTTTGTTTCTGACTTCTGAATATGAGAATAGCTTAGGCGCTTATCTACAAAACTTTACTGAGATTGAAAATAAAATAATACCTATCTGTGATAAACTGTATGAAATTATTGTAAGAATAAATAATAGAAAGGAAGTTAAATGATAAAATCTTTTCAATACTGGGCTAAATGTTATTTATAGCACTTGTGAAGTGTTTTATTGTCATGTAAATTATATGCCTTTTTATCAAATTGCTTTTCTTTTTTTATGAAAAAAGAAAAAATTCTGTTAATAACAAAAAGCATTCTTTTCTGTTCTGTATTATTTGAAAAAAAAGCTATAAAATATGAGTTCCAAACAGTGTTTCAATAAGTAGTAATTCTAGGAACTCTATAAAACTGAAATCCACCACTGTTTTCCAGAACTTAATACCCATATTCACCAGGAGAATTATTAACCCTCCCTAATACCCCTAGGTATCATTATTTCAAAAATGTGTGTATTATAATCATTGTAAGAGAAATTAGAGTAATAAAGGAAGAAAAGATTGGTCTCTATAAGACTGATAATGCAAAAATAGTAAAGCTATTTTTGTCTCAAAATGGGTAACCAAAATAAGTGATGAGTATATTCAGTGCAAACACACACACAGACAAGAGTCTTGTTTGTCTTAACACATTTCTCACTTCTCAATTTTATTATTATGAAAAATCTCAACAATAAACAAAAGTAGATAGAATAGTATCGTGAATTGTCCTTTAGCGGTCACCCAGCTTCAACAATTTCTCCACTAATATTTATAGTCCTGAAGCTGATTTTGTCTGATATTAAGAAATCCACTCCAGTTTTCTTATAAATTGTGTTTTCTTGTTATATGTTTTTTTCTATCCTTTTACTTTTAACCTATGTGAGTCTTCATATTTAAAATACTGTTTTTTGTAGACAGCATCACTGAGTCTTCCTTTTAAAAATCCTGACAATCTCTGCTTTTTAAATCGGGAGTTTGGACATTTATAGTTCCTGTAATTAGTAACATGGTTACCTTTAAATCTACCATTTGACTATTTTCTGTTTGCCACGTCTGTTCTATGTCCCTTTTTTCCTTGTTTTAGATTAATTGACTATGTTTTAGTATTCCATTTAATCTCTAAGAGTAGCTTATTGGCTACACTTCTTTCTTTCTTTCTTTCTTTCTTTCTTTCTTTCTTTCTTTCTTTCTTTCTTTCTTTCTTTATTTTTGGTACTTTATCTAGGATTTTTTTTTTAATGGAGTTTCATTCTGTTGCCCAGCCTGGAGTGCAATGGCACAATCTCAGGTCACTGCAACCTCTGCCTCCCGGGTTCAAGCAATTCTCCTGCCTCAGCCTCCGGAGTAACTGGGATTACAGGCGCTCGCCACCATGCCCGGCTAATTTTTCGTATTTTTAGTAGAGACAGGGTTTCACCATGTTGGCCCGGCTGGTCTTGAACTCCTAACTTCAGGCAATCCACCTGCCTTGGCCTCCCAAAGTACGGGAGTACAGGAAAAGGCCACCACGCCTGGCCTTTTCTAGAATTTATATCTTCATCTTTAACTTAACACATTCACCTTCAAATAATATTGTACCACTTCACATATAATAACCTTCCAATGGATATTTCTATTTCCACCCTCTCATTCTTTGTGCTGTTGTTGTCATAGCCTTTACTTTTATGTATTATGAATTTCACAATACATTGTTATTATCTTTGATTTAAAAAGTCAATTCTTTTTCAAGGAAATTTTAAAAAGAGAAAATATTATTTTATATGTATCCACATATTTAGCACTTCTGATTTCTCTCTGGTTTTAATTTTCCTTCAGCCTGAGACCTCCTTTTGTATTTCTTGAAATGAAGGTCTTCTGGCAACAATTTTTTTTCAACGTCTGTTTGAAAATTTTTTATTTCATATTAATTTGTCAAAGGACATTATCATTGAAGGTAGAATTCTAGATTGACTTTTTTTTTCTTTTGGCACTGTAAAATTCATTTTTTTCTAGCAGATATTTTTAAGCTTATTTCCCTGTAAGTAATGTGTCTTTTATTCTCTGCCTGCTTTTAAGATTTTTCTCTTTTTATCACTTGTTTTTAGCAGTTTGATTAAGATGTGCTTTGGTATAGTTTTTTGGGGAGTTATCTTGCTTGCAATTTGTTGAGCTTCTTGGATCTATGAGTTTATAGTTTCCATCTAATTTGGAGATATTTCAGAAATTATCTTTCCAAATATATTTTTTCTGCCTTCCTGCCCTCCCTTTTTCCAGAAATTCAAATACACATATGAAAGTCTGCAAAATATTGATCCACAGATCGCTGAGGCTCTATTTTTTTTAACAAACTTTTTTCCCTCTATATGCTTCAGTTTGGATAATTTCTAATGTTATGCCTTCAAGTTTATTGATCTTTTCTTCTATAGTATCTAAACTACTCTTAAACCCATTCAATTAATTTTTTCATTTCAGATAATGCATTTTTCAGTGTAGAAGTTCCACTTGTATTATTTTTATATGTGTCATCTCTGTCCTCATTATATTCATATTTTCCTTTAAATTTTTTTTTATTTTTTTGAGATGGAGTCTTGCTCTGTCACCCAGGCTGGAGTGCAGTGGTGCAATCTTGGTTCACTACAACCTCCGCCTCCTGGGTTCAAGCGATTCTCCTGTCTCGGCCTCCCAAGTAGCTGGGATTACAGGTGTGCACCACCATGCCCAGATAATTTTTGTATTTTTAGTAGAGACTGGGTTTCGTCATATTGACCAGGCTGGTCTTGCACTCCTGACTTCAGGTGATCCGCCTGCCTCAGCCTCCCAAAGTGCTGGGATTACAGGTGTGAGCCACTGTGCCTGGCCTCCTTTGAATTTTTGAGTATATTTTAAATAGGTGTTTGAAAGTCCTTATCTGTGAATTTCATTATTGCTGTCATTTCTTGGTCTTTTTCTATTGATTCATTTGCCCTGTACTTTTTCCTGCTTCTTCACATGCCTACTAATAATTTTATGTATACTGATTTTAGTATACAAATTTTAGGCTTTAAATGTCTGCATTTAAAAATTTCTTTTCTTTTACTTGTATTTTAATTATGTACATAAATAGCAACATGAGAATGAGGAGTTCTAAGGCTTATACGTTATCTTTAGGTGAAAGGATTTCAGATTAGTTTGGTTGTAGGACAGCATCACCCAAGATAACAGAGGCCTAGATTTTCCTGAAGAAGAATGCAAATTTAATACATTCAATACTGATTTCTCTGCCATTTTTCTGTAGAAGCCCTGGTTTATTATAAGGAGATTCCAATATTTACCTATAACTGATTAAAATGGGCAAAGCATGGCGTTTTCTACTTATTTATAGGTGAATTCTCATTTCCTGGCTTTTGAAAGTGCTCCTTCCATATATCTTCTATGACTATATATCTTTGTAAACCCCAATAATATAATCTCTCCCCACTGACCTGGGCAAACACAATAGCTTGTTGTGGGTGATAGACAGAGGCAGCTAATGCCATGAAACCAGGTGGAGCTTCTTTCTGTTTGAACCTCTAGCCAAAAGGAGTCCAACAAGGCCAGCAAAATTATAGCACCATGTCTTGGAAAAAAACCCAGAGGATACATTTTGGAGATATTCATAGCTGTCTAACCCCCACTGAACCAAACTTTGCATCTTGGGCTTAGTCTGGGAGTATGTTTCCTGACACCAACTTGTATGTGGCTCACGATAATGCTGGAGCTGAGAGATGCTTTCTTCCAGCTGGGTTCTTAACTCCTCCACGTATTTATATTGGCCCTTGGGAACTGAGTAGAATGAAAACTCATCAGCCTTCATGGGATTTTTTGGAGGTGAGTCCTTTTTTGGAGCTGCATAGACTTTGAAGGTGAGAAAGCTCAGGCTAGCTGGCCCCATGCACCTCTGAATTAACCTTGGACATGTTGCTGGCAGCAGCGGCTCCAGAAGGAAAATTTTTCTTTAAAGTGAATTTTGTTTTGAAGGTAGTTAGTTTACCTGCAGAGTATCTTTATTCTTTTGAATCTTTTTGGAAAGCTTTGTTAGGGTTGGTCTAGGGAAGCCTTTACTCTAGAGCTAGTTTAACCCTACCAGTAAAGGATTATCCTTCTGGAGTCTCTACTAAGTGCCCCAGGTGTTCAATAAGGTTTTTTTCACTTTGGTTGGTTGGAACTCAAATGTCTCCTAGTTCTGTGGGTGCTCTGGGAATTTTTCAGTTTATAGCTTCCCAGCGGTTCTTTAAAAAGCATTGTGAAGTTTCCCTTTATGAATATTCAGCCTAGTATTTAGAAACAGATGCAAGGAGACTGCTACACAGACTCCTTGAGCTCTTTTCTTTCCTTCCTTCCTCCCTTCCTTCCTCCTTTCCTTCCTCCCTTTCTCTCTCCCTTCCTTCCCCCCTCTTCCTCTTCCCTTCCTTTCTTTCTTCCTTCCTTCTTTCCTTCCTCCCTTCCTCTCTTTCTTCCTTCTACCCTTCCTCTCTTCCTTCCTTCCAGCCTTCCTCTTTTCCTTCCTTCCAGCCTTCCTCCCTTCCTCTCTTCCTTCCTTCCTCCCTTCCTTCCTTCCTATCTTCCTTCCTTCCTCCCCTCCTCTTTTCCTTCCTTCCTCCCTCCCTCTCTTCCTTACCTCTCTTCCTCCCATCCTTTCTTACTTCCTTCCTCCCTTCCTTCCTTTATTTTTCTATCTTTTCTTCTTTCTTTCCTTCCTCCCTTCCTTCCTTCCTCCCTTCCTTTCTTTCTTCTCCATTCCTTCCTTTCTCTTTCTCTCTTTCTTTCTTCTCTTTTTTCTTTCCTTCTTTCTTTTCTTTCTTTCTTTTCTTCCTTCCTCCCTTCCTTCCTTCCTTCCTTCCTTCCTTCCTTCCTTCCTTCCTTCCACAGCTCTATTATCTAAGTTCTTTGCTCTACAAATTACAGTTGCCTCAGCCTCCCCACTCTTGGTCCCCTCAGATACTCCAATTTTCTAGTTGTTTGCAATAGGAGGACAAGTCCAATACCAGTTATTCCATCATAACTAGCAGGAGAAGTTTCAGCTTATATTTATCTTATTGAGTATTCATGGAGAGTCTTATTTCATCTATACTTCTACCCCACTCACCCCCCTGCTAGATAAATCATGGAAACTACCAATTTTAAATTGATGGTGGACAGGATGATTGCAAACTCAGTCATGAGTAGCTGAAGTAGGGATACCTCTTGAAGGCTGACTGTGTGCCACAGATACTGCAATGTGCAACATGGGCATGAAGAACTCTCATCCTGCCTTCAAATCCATGATTCAGTTTACAATCCATAAAGGTACATTTTGTTTATTATTTCTAAAATATTTGAATTCACACTCAATTCTAGTGTCAATTGCTGTGAAGCGAATTTATTAAACCAATATTTATTTGGTTCTTCTTTTAGAAAGCCAAACATACTGAATTTGAATTACAGGTTCTTAGCATAGTTACCAATTAATAGTCATCTAAATGTTATATTCTTGCTACTTACTCATGTGGCTTAATTGGTTGAATAGCAGTTTGGCAAGTCAGTTTTAAGAGCTATTAATTCATCATTTTGACACCTATTATTTGGATATTATCCAAATTAAGACATTTTATTAGCTAATGTTCCTCCCTTAACTATTTTAATTGCCTGCAATAAGTGAACTAAACATTTCTACATGTTAAAATTTCTCAAAGCAGTTTTAGAAGGCTACAGAATATACCGTAAATGGCAAAAAGCGTTAAACACCATAGCCAAAACACTGACCTATTGTAAACACCTGATAAAAACACAAGAGACTTGTATTTTTTGTCAATAGAAGTGACATTACAGTACACTTTTCTTCTAGGAATGTGAATGCTAATGTTATTAAGAAAATCGCGTTTTCTTTTTTTTTCTACTTTCTTAGTAAACTCAGGTGGCACTATAATGTGAGTAATGGTATTTTATTTTATTTTATTTTATTTTACTTTAGAAGGGTAATGCTGGCAATGAATGGAAAAACTTAAGAATTCACAGTATTCTTCCACTTCAACACAAAACTAGTAAGGCAGTATAGCGTAATAAAAAGATCACTAGAATTAAGTAACCTAAGTTTTCATTCTAACTGCCAATACGTTGATGGCTTTGGTTGAAATATAGTTCATTCATTTCTATGAATTCAATAAAAAAAGATTTTTTTTCTCCACATAGCTGACACTAGTCACAGGAGAATGAAATTGGCCCTGACGGGAATAAGTAGTTCATTTACTAGAGATGTTAACTGTTTCTGGAGGCAGGAAAATCATGGGTTTCAAAGGCATAGTTTAGTGGTTTTTAACATGAGACTCAATGCCACCATTTTGGTTGTTTTATTTTCTGGATTTTATTTCCGTTTGTCCTCCAGTTTTTAAAATTATTTAAATTTATTTTAAAATTTATATACAGTAAAACTCACTTTTTTATTGGTGTATATGTCTATAATATTTGACAACTGCAAGTAGTCATGTAATTACCACAATAGTCAAGATTCACAGCAGTTAACATTGACCTCCCCCCAAAAAAATTCCTTCATGCTACTCCTATGTAATCAAACCCTCCCCCAAACATTTAGTCCCTGATCACCATTGATGTCTTCCCCTTCTGTTGATTTTCTAGAATGTCACATAAATGGAATCACAGAGTATATAGACTTTACAGGATGAGCCAAAGCTGCCTTTTTATAACAGATATTCTGCTCTTATCTATTTATAATCTTCAAATAGAATCCATAAATAATATTATCTACTTTGACAAATATAAATTCAAAAAATCAGTACACTACTGTAACATAAATAAAAGAAGCAAAAAAATCAAGTAATAAAATAACACGTATTCACAATGAAAATGGTTGAACACAAGTGAAGTAATGAAATGCTTACACCTTCTTTGATGAAAAAGTTTTCATTTTAAGGGAAGTAACAAGATCAGAAGCTGTTCCGCATTAAAAAAAATACAGGAAAATAAAAAGAAAAAAACGGATGTGTGATGATGTGATTTTTATAAAATACGAACAATTCTAGGTAAGGTTCAGAACAAAACCAAGTAGAATTTTACTTTCTTACTTTTCAGAGAATCTTATTATCCACAAGAATTGTAGTTCTGGAAAATTTAGTGTATATGCCTGTAATCCCAGCTTCTCGGCTGAGGCAGGAGAATTGCTTGAACTTAGGGGGCGGAGGTTGCAGTGAGATGGCACTATCGCACTCCAGCCTGGGCATCATAGGGAGATTCTGTGTCAAAAAAAAAATGTGTTTTTTAATGCAAAATGCAGTTAGGTTTCTAGGGTTCGGATATGTATGAATAGGTTTTTCATCTACATGAATCTCCACTGAGGCAATCAAAAAATGTGTAGACTTGGGACAATTCTAGTGTGGTCCTATCTCAAGCATAGCAGGACATCTACCATCCCTGGCTTATACCTGTAAGAGCCCAAAGTACTCTCCAGTCTCAACAACCAAAAATTTTCTAAAATGCTTCCTGGTGGGCTACAGTTGAGACCCACTGGCCAAGATGAAGTATCTCTTTGCCATCTAGTAATCTCATGCTGGATGATCATCCTGGATTAATGTTCGCCAATCTTCTGATTACCAGTTGAATTTCTCAGATAAGTTCACACTAGGAAAGGAATATCTTGAAGTGCTACTTCTGTGTTCTAGTGTCTAGAAATTTCTCCTTTCTTGATGATAATAATGTCTCATAAATAAAGCTTTTTTTAAAAAAATTCTTTTGTCAAAATTTGTTAAAAAAATATTCTCAAGTCTCCTATTTCCAGTGTCAGACAACATTCCTCGTTGAGGTCCCCACAGGACCGAGAGAGCTGTAACCAAAAGACTCATCTCTTAGCAGTGCAAAAGACAGATGAGACCTTATCTAAATTATACAATAAGCTTTAAACCATTTTTCATCTACTAATAATTTACTGTTAATTACTTTTGAAGCTTAATTTTAAAATAAAGCAAATGCCCATATATTGAAGATTTTTAAATATAAGAATTTTCTTTTAAAAATTTAGATTCAGGAGGTATATGTGCAGGTTTGTTTCATGGATATATTACACGAGAGCATTGTTTCTAATTCTTTAATATTATAAAGTTTTCCAAAAACATTTTTGTTCATATGTTTTAAGCATATCTTATTATTTCATAAATCCTCAAAAGAAAAAATTCTTGTTAAAGAGTATACCCCCATCTAAAATATTGATACAAGTTACCATCTTGCTCTCTGGATAGATTGCATCAATTCATACTCTCAATAATGAGTGTTATTTTCATCTTCACTTTTATGAAAGGTAACAAAAGAATATCTCATTGTTTTAATTTGTATTTCTGTGATTACCAGTGAAGTTAAACATCTTTTAAAAAGGTTAAATGACCATAGTTTTTCATTTATTTGAGTGTTGTGTGTATGTGTGAATTACCTGGAGCTTTGCCCATTTTTCTATTGGAATATTCATCGCTTTTTTAAAAAAATTATTTCAGGTTTATCTCTTTTTTAAAAATTTGGCAAGTTATATTAGGGATTTTAACCCAACATTTTCCCCTGAGGACATCGTGTATCCTTTAATGTTGTTTCTTTAATTTAATTCTTTAATGTTGTTTAATTAATCCTTTAACGTTTTTCTGCTGGAATCACTGAGTATATCTATACCTATACCAATACCTATATTTATGTATCTGTATCTATGTAAATAGAGGTATCTATATAGATATGTACTATATCTAGGTAAATAGATATAGATATATAGATATGCACATATACAGAAACCACATAAAAGGCAAAGATAGATGATAGACTATCTTTTATGTGGCTTCTGGCTTCAATATTTTTGTTTAGAAAGATTGCCAAATGCTTACCTAAATTTCTTTCTAGAATGTTTATAGACCATCACATTTTCAATATTTTTTTCCCACATAATATACGAACTAGATGTTTTCACCCCACCCCTCAGCTTTTTGCCATTTCTCAGCCTCATCAGACACAGAAAATCTCAGGGAAAGAAGAAATGAGGGTTACTTTGTGGCAGTGGCAGGCACGTTCCTATTGACACCAAAACAACTCTGTCAAAAAGATGGGTGAAAATGGCGTGCCCACTCCCTTTCCAGGCAAAATGGCCTCATCAAAGCAATATGTCAAAATTGTCTCATTTCATTATTTGAGGTTTATTCTGAATTAAGTTCCTTTATATAGTACTTCTGTTACCCACGGAATTTTTTAGTGCTTCAAGTGTCTGCATTCTAGGATGTCTGTGTCTGTGATAACTTTCTGAATGTAGGAATGGGTAGAAAGCTAGAACTTAGATTAGAAAGAAGTCAGTATATTTCAAGTATATTCATACTCCTAGCAGTGGAATTATTGAGTCAAAGGATATATGGATGTTGAATTTTTATGGATATTGAGAAATAGAACATTGTTCTCCAAAAAAGATGAACCAATTTACACTCTCACCAATAATGTATTATATTATCTGATTCCTATATTCTTGATAATATTTATGTGTATTTACTTTTTAATTTGTTTAATTTTATATTTATCAATATTTTATATTTGGGCAATCTGTAAAACAAAACATTTCTCTTTCATTATGAATGAAGTAACTTTTTGTCTTTCTGTTTCTGTTAATCATCTATATTTCATCTATATCCTTGTCCATTTTTCTACTGGATGGCATACTTACTGGTTAGTACATACATTTTAGAAATTTAGGAAAATTTCCCTTTGTCATGTTTTTGCAGATATTTTCCATAGTATTTTGTTTACAGTGGGTTTTGCTACATAGCTATTTAAAACTTTTTTCAGGTCAAATTTATTTATCTTTTTTCTTTTTTTTTTTGAGACATAGTCTTGCTCTGTTGCCCAGGCTGGAGTGCAGGCAAGTGATCATAGCTCACTGCAGCCTTAAATTCCTGGGCTCAAGAGATCCTCCCACCTCAGCCTCCCAAGAGCTAGAACTACAGGCCCATGCCACCACACCTGACTATTTTTAAAACTTTTGTGGAGATGGGGATCTTGCTATGTTGCCCAGGCTGGTCCAAAACTCCTGAGCTCAAGCAATCCTCCCACTTCAGCCTCCTGAAGTGCTGGGATTACAGGCATGAGCCACTGCACCTGGCCAAATTTATATATCTTTAAAAAATAGTTTTTGTCTTCCTTAGAAAGGCCTTCCCCATTCTAAACTTACAAGTACATTTGCCCATGTTTTCTTCTAGCCCATTCTTGATTTTTTCTAATTTTAATAAATGTTTTATTAAAATATAACATGCATATAGAAAAGTATGTCAATCATAGGTGGACAACTTACTGAATTTTCACAGAAGAAACATTCTCATGTAGCCAAGATTCAAATCAAGAAACAAAACATTACTAGTACCACTGAAGCCTCTTTTATGTCCTTTCCAATCATTACCACTCTTCAAAGGTTATCATTATCTTGATTTCTAATATCATAGATTAGTTTCTTATATTTTTGAATTTTTTAAATATGGAATCATATTTAAAGCCAAAGTATGTACATTTTGGCTTTTTTAACTCAACATGATGTTTTCAAGAGTCATTAATGTTGTAATTATTAGGATGGGGCAAAAGTAATTGCGACTTTTTACCATTGTTTTTAATTGCAAAAACTAATACAATTTGTTATTCTTATTGCTATGTAGTATTCCATTTATAAATATGTAACAATTTCTTTATCCATTCCACTGTCAATAGATATTTGGGTTGTTTCTATTTTGGTGCCATTATAAACAGGGATTTTATAAACATGTCTTTCGATGACTATATATATATATATATATATATATATATATACACACACACATATTTATATATTACTTTGGATGACTATATATACATACATACATATATATGTATATATATACATATATATGTATATATATATACATATATATATGTGTGTGTGTATATATATAGACATATGTCTTTTTTTGTTGGGCTTATACCTGAGAATATAATTTCTGGGTTCAGCTTTAGTACTTCTTTTCAGTTTTCAAAAATGGTTGTACCAATTTACATTCCTGCCAGCAGTATATAAGTTTTGTTTGCTTCATATCCTCACTAACCTCATATATTCTTTCTATTTCATTTTAACCATTCTGATGGGGCTGAAGAGGTTTCTCACTGTAGTTTTAATTCACATTTCTCTGATGGCTAATAAAGTTGCCATTTTTAATGTGTTAATTGGCATTTAGGTATGTTCTTTAACGAAGTGCCTGTTCAAGACTTTGACCGTTTTTCTACTGGACTCTCTTTTCACTTGTAGATTTGTAGAAATTCTTTATATGATCCGGATAAGAGTCTCATACATCCACATATCTTCTCCCATTCTATGGCTTGTCATTTCACTCTCAATACTGTCTTTTGATAAGAGTTTCTTAATTTTAATATAGTCCAATTTACCATTTTTTTCTTCCTGATGAAACACTATTTTTTAAAATTTCTTTAAAACAGGTTTAATTAAATATAGTGGACATCCAATAAACTGCACATATTTCAAGTGTAGATTTTGCTAAACTTTTGGGAGTGATAGGTAATATCTATTATTGTTATTGTGGTGATAGATTCATGGTTTAATATCTTTCAGAACATCAATTTTAATAGTTCAATAATACTTCTTCCTATGAAGATATTCTAATTTGCTTTCTCATTCCTCTACTATTGGGCAATGAAATTGTTTTCCCTTTCTTCCCTATCATATAAAAAAAACCCTTCATTAAATGTCATAAGGATAAAACAGCATGGATGAACAGAAAAGAATAGACATGGTTTTTGGAAGACAAGATATGCTAGGTTGCTTGGCAATGCCATCATGTGAAGAAAGAAGGGCAAGAATGTCACATAGGATGATGAGGAATACTCCGGCTGTGCTGTGCTTCAGTAATGAGCTGTCATGTGTTGTGATGTGCAGTTCTTAAGTGGTAAAGTGTGCAAGCCGCATAGCGAGAGGTGCTAACCTAGGTGTTGACAGCTCCTTACTTCAGGAGAAACCGACTGAAGCAGGCATAAAACAACCTTTTTCTGTTCTTTAAAATGGTTTTTAATTACAAAAGCATCTTCTAATTTTATTACGAATCAGAAAATATTTGTGCATAAATGGAAAATCATTCCCTATCTGTGTTCCTACTTCCCATAGGTAACCACTAGAAATATTTTGTTATATAAACTTTCAGACGTTATAGAAAAGGTAGACAGTTATAGTCTATCCATAGTTATATATAGCTATTATATATGGTAGTATAAGAAGAGAGTTTGTTTTTTAAGCATAATCCTCGCCAACTTGCCCTTTTCATTTACTATCTCATGTCTCCCTCTCCACAGCAGTGTAGTACAGGGGTATCTTTTCCTTCCTTCTCCAAGACACAGCTTAGGGTGCAGCTGATATGCACCAGTCTCAGTCCCAATGCCTGCAGTCACCAAGATAGTTCTGGCAACTTGCCTGGGTGAATGAATGGCTGGACACTGACAAGACCTACCTCTAGAGCTGTGTTGCCCTGGTTCCCACACAACTGCACTTCCAAGATGAGCACTGGCTTCAGCCCCCTCAGATACCTTCTTCTTCCCTGTCCCTCCGGGTCTCCTCCAGGATATGCATGGCAAACTCAGGAGCCTACAGAAGCCTAGATGGTCAAGTAAAAGAGCAAAGCATGCTGGATGGAAGAGTAGTGCAACTGTAACGACTGGGCACGCTAGTCCTCTTTGAAGGGCAGTCACTACTCACACCATCTGATTCTTTCTAAGAAGGGAATATTGTCAGATCTCTACATTTTCAAGAGCAGCCAGAAATCAAATTTTTAATTAAAAAATCTGCTTTTCAAATGTCAGCAGCTAAGATTTTTTAAACATATTCAAGTCTTGATCTTTAATTTTTAAAATAAGCTTTATATTTTAGAACAGTTTTAGATTTACAGCAAAAATGGCAAAGATAGTACAGAGAGTTTCCATATACCCCCACACCCAATTTTCCCTGTTATTAACATCCTATATTAGAATGGTACATTTGTCACAATTAATGAGCCAATATTGATACAGTGTTATTAGTAGTTGACTTACATTTCCTTAGCTTTACCTAATGTCTTTTTTCTATTCCTGGATGCTGTCCAGGATAGCACATTACATTTGGTAGTCATGTGTCTTTAGGTTCCTCTTGGCTACGAGTTTCTCAGACTTCCCTTTTTTGTTTGATCACTGACAGTTTTGAGGCATACTGATCAGGAATTTTGTAGAATGTCCTTCAGTTGGGTTTTTCTGATATTTTTCTTGTGACTAGACTGGGGTTATGGGTTTTCAGGAGCAAGATCACATAGGTAAAGTACCATTCTCATCACATCATATCAAGGGCACATACTATCACATGACTCATCACTGTTGATGATCTTGATCACCTAGTTGAAGTAGTGTTTGTCAGGTTTGTTACTTTCCCCACTTTCCACACTGCACGCTATAAAAGGAAGTCACTCTGCACATCCCACACTTCAGGAGTGGGGAGTTACGCCTCGCCTCTTTGAGGACAGCGTCTCTAAACAAATTATTTGGAATTGTTCTCAGCACAATCTTCCATAACCAGGTCCTACCTACATTTTGGGCTTCATCCCCAGCTGCTCCCTCCCTCTCCCATTCCAGGCTCATCATACTACAGGTCAGCACCTGCAGATCCTGCATGGTGCCATTCTTTCTCATGTCTCTTGCTCTCACTATTGCCACTGTCTATGCATGGATGTTCCTTATCTTTCCCCCTTGCATGCTCAATTCCCCTTTGACCTTCAAGACTGCTCAAGTATGCTCTACTCTAGAAAGTCTTCCCAGAACCCAGTCTGCCTCGAAGGATTTTCCTTGAGTCCCAAAATACCCTGTGCATTTTCCCACCATGGCGTTCATTCCTCTCTATTGTTTATTCTCAACACACTCCCTTGTTAGACTGAGAGTTCTTTGACAGCAGGGCTGTCTTTTTACTTACCTTTCTATCCCCTGTGCTTATATACGGCAAACATCAGACACCGGGTAAATATATTTTGAATGAATGAATGAACAAACAAATGTGCAGAATTCTAGATACAAGATTTCTTCTATGAATTTCCAGTCATTCTGCCTTATCAACAATCACCACATTCTGCCTTGTATTATGGTTGTTTAGGTACTTGTCTTACTTATTTTAGTAGCTCTATTGCTCTTTGAAGGCTATGATCATGTTTTATTTGTACTATAATTTCCAGGTCAGTGTCTTACATATAATAGCTGTTTAATAAATCTTTGTTGAATAAGCAAATGAGTTAATGAACAAATAAATGAAGCTGCCTGCACACATAATTGATGAGAGGGAATCGCACAAGGAAAGGAAGCATAATGAACTGGAAAATAAATGGCAGAATTTTCAAACGAAATGAAGTTGACTTGCCTAGCACATTATTTCCAAATTTTTATCATATGCTAGTAAATATTGTCACATGTTTGTTTAAAGAAATTTAAAAACTTAAATCAATTCTTAATGAAATAGCTACATAACTGCTCCTTAACAACAGAAAGGAGAGTCAAGCCTGATTCATCTCTTAGAGATAGACCTCCCTACAAAAAGAACCACGCTGCTACCCTTAAAAATCACTGTTGTATAACAAAACATGTGTTCCTTTGTCCCCTTTAATAACCAAACGAGTTTATATCAAAAATTTTTTAAATAGCATTTCTCTTTATCTATCTCTAATAAAATATAATTTTTCTAAGTGTCCTGTGCTGGAGAGAAGTAAACAGAAAACAACCATTCTGGAAGAAAAAAAACGTCCTTATAGCAAGATAGATTACCATTGTTATCAACACCAAATTCAACTGCTGCAGAAGAACCTCACTCAGAGGAAACCGAGTTAGGAGAGAATTTAGTTCCTCTTTTTCTTGCACCAAAAAATAAATTTTATGAATATTTCTCAATTAGTATTTGATTAGGAAAACCTGTAGAGGGCGTCCTTGCACCAAGAGCCATAGAGGTTTGCGCAGAACTAGAAAAAAATGTTAAAACCACTCGCTCCGAGTTAAAGAAAATGCCTATTGTGCTGTGAAATTATTATCTTTACCTGGGTGACACTGGCATTATAACATTAAAGTGTTTTAAAAGTAGCCTAATGTTCATACATTATATACATGAATATTCATAGAAATAAAAAATAATGCAATGTTGGGAAACAGGTAAATATTTTTATTGTAAAGGAAGAATCACTGTGAAGCTTTGGATGCAAATAGACTTAATTATGATTTATTTATCAGTATGAGGTATAAGTTACTAAGAGAATGGGCTTTGAAATCAGAGTGTCTGGGATTTGAACCCTTACTCTCATTTACCAGCTGGATATCCACAGTCAACTTACTGGACTTTTTGAGCCCTCTTTCCTCGTCAGTAAAATAAGAATAATAGTAGTACCTACTTAAGAGTTGTGAGGATTAAGTAAGCACTTAAAATAAAAGTACTTTAAAAATTAAGACACTGCAAGTTCAAATCAGTCATAGACTTCTTGTCTAATTCCTTTTTTCCTTTTTTTTTTTTCTATTGGTTGGTTGTATAGCTGCAAATATTTCCTCATTGGAAATCTATATTCTCAGAACCTAACACTGATTTAACTTGATGCCTGCACATGTCCACCATCTCTTCTGTTGTTTCTGTTTGTTTTTCCCTCTTGAGGCATCTGCTACTCTATAAAGGACTGATTGAAACACCACGCCCAGCCCCAGACATTTGATCCTTGAGGCATTTGTCACAGCTTCGGGTACTAAAGAACAAACACAAGTAAATGAACCTTTTATGAGTCCGAAGGCTAAGTTTTTTAATTAAAAACAAAACAAAACAAAACCCTTTTGCTTCCGTTTTCTTTGTGCATCCGAGGAATTAGGCAGGAGGCAAAAATCAGTTCTTTCTGCTGGGCCAGGTGGATAGGTTATGCTGCAGCCCACTGCCGGCCAAGCATGCTTCTCACAGACGAGGCCAGAGCCTTGGTTTTGCCCCCACGCACCTGTGAATTCGGCAACTTTTAAAAAATTATTTTATTTATTTATTTATATATTTTTTGAGACGGAGTCTCGCTCTATCGCCCAGGCTGGAGTGCAGTGCCACGATCTTGGCTTAATGCAACCTCCGCCTCCCGGTTCAAGTGATTCTCCTGCCTCAGCCTCCCGGGTAGCTAGGACTACAGGCCCCCGCCACCATGCCCAGCTAATTTTTGCATTTTTAGTAGAGACGGGGTTTCACCACGCTGGCCAAGCTGGTCTCGAACTCCTGACCTCAGGTGATCCGCCCGCCTTGGCCTCCCAAAGTGCAGGGATTACAGGCGTGAGCCATCGCGCCCGGCCGAATTCAGCAACTTTTAAAAAATATCAGCAAACGTGAAGATATCCACGATGTTAGAGGAGCCCTACCCCGGAGGGTCAGGTACAGCTATCGTCCAGGGCCCAGGGCACTCTTCCGGGCACTGCCGGGTTATCAGGGAGACAGACGGGAATCCCCAAATGCTGGGTGTCGGGCAAGTACCAGCTGGACGCCCTGCGCCTCGAGCCAAGGCCAGCGCCTGCCATCGGCACCATCGGACAGTCGAGCCTCGAGTTTTAACTGCTTGGGAGCGCGCAAAGTGCCAGCCTATCGCAGAACGGAGCGCATAGGGTTGGCGGAGAGAGGAATCCTACTGGCTGAAAGGGAGACGAAGGGCAATTTGCGCCTTCAGTGAGCGCCGGAGGAGGAACAGGAGTCATCACCTCATCATCATCATCATCATCATCATCACCATCACCATCACCATCATCAGCACTCAGTCAAGCCCAGCGTTGTCTGCTCTCCCCATTTCCCTCCCCCGAAGCCTCCCTTGGCCCGAGGAGGTGGCGAGTGATGTCCCAGGGGTCTCTGAGTGCCCTTCTCCGGGTCCGCCAGCCCTACACGCCCACTTCGCGGGCGCTCCACTGGGCGCACCGCACTGTGAATGCAGCCTCGGGGGTCCCTCGCGGCCCCGCCCCCGGGGGGGCCCCACAGCGCCCCCAAGTGGCGGCCGCCCAGGCCTCGCGGGCCCCACTCCTCGCTCGCACCTCGCTCGCGCCAGCCCTTCCCGCTCTTCTGTTCTCGCTCTATTTGCCCCGCTGACTGCTGGCCTCGCCAGCTTTGCCAGTCTTACGTCTCTGCCGCCCCCACTCCCGCCCGCGCCCCATCTTCTTGCGCGACTCGCGCCCGCTGGTCCCCCCCTCCTCCTCCCGCGTCCTGCCTGCCCCCTCCTCCTGCTCTCGCAGGCTCCTTGGCACCCAGGCCGGGAGGCGACGCGCCCAGCCGTCTAAACGGGAACAGCCCTGGCTGAGGGAGCTGCAGCGCAGCAGAGTATCTGACGGCGCCAGGTTGCGTAGGTGCGGCACGAGGAGTTTTCCCGGCAGCGAGGAGGTCCTGAGCAGCATGGCCCGGAGGAGCGCCTTCCCTGCCGCCGCGCTCTGGCTCTGGAGCATCCTCCTGTGCCTGCTGGCACTGCGGGCGGAGGCCGGGCCGCCGCAGGAGGAGAGCCTGTACCTATGGATCGATGCTCACCAGGCAAGAGTACTCATAGGTAAGGCCCCCGCCTCCAGCGCCTTCCCCTGCCTATGTCCTCCTCTCTCCACTCTTCAAGAAAGAGGGATACCTGCGTTTCTTGTGTTTTAAAACTTAATTTCCACAAAAGAGTGTTCCCCTCTTTTAATTAGATATTTTCCATCTGAAAGCTTATAAACTTCTCTTTTAAGAAACCAAAGCTGATCTAGTGTTCTGATCATGCTGTTGTTAATTTTTATAGCCCTGCGTTTTTAGGTGCACCCGGCATTTTTTTGCGTCGGTTAACTCCATGTCCATCCCTTTTCCCTGAAAGCATGGGTCTGTTGGCATCATTCTCATCATCCACAGAGAAAAATTAATCTTAGTAGCGTTGATGGTACTGAAGGCAGATGCTTGTGAACAGAAATGACCCACACTAATTCTTTGGTTTTCTTTTTGCTTGAAACTTCTGATTTAGATGATTTCAAGTCTACCTGGTTTGATCGTTTTATTATTTTAAAAACCAGGATTTGAAGAAGATATCCTGATTGTTTCAGAGGGGAAAATGGCACCTTTTACACATGATTTCAGAAAAGCACAACAGAGAATGCCAGCTATTCCTGTCAATATCCATTCCATGAATTTTACCTGGCAAGCTGCAGGGCAGGTAAGTTCTGAGAAAATTACCCTTTAATATTTCCACTGCCTTATGGCAGGTGGAAATAGTACTGTATAGTGTGTAGCCTGGTACATTTTACAGTTATTAAGAGAAATTTCTCATCTGATTGCCAAAGCAAATAAAGAATTAATTTCCATTTATTTCAAGTTGCCATATCAATTAATGATCTTCAAAAGAAAAGAACAAGCCTTGTGCCTAAGCCCATTATTTTGATAAGACTCAGTGTCCTGAGGCTGCTGGAAATATAAAGACCTCCAATACCAACATCACTGTGTTTCTGTGATCATTGACATTAAAATTTAACATACTTAAAGGACTCTTTTTGCATAGTAGTTTCTAATCACTTGTGACATTCTTCATACTTTACAACAAATTTTAAAGTTTGTAAGTATTTTTGACATTGTGCACTTTTAAAAAGTCAGTATGTTGAATGTTATTCACTGGAACGTGAATGTTGCATATTTCTGGTAGAAGTTAGACCCAAAAGGTGTCATGTAAGAACGTTATAAAATATTGCAGCCTATGTTTTCAAGTTACCATTTTAAATGCTTTCATATGGAAAAGAAAACTGGAATCTATTTTTTATGAAGAAGCATTCCTTTTATTCCTTAGCACATTAGCATCTTTTATATGTTACCTTTTGTACATTTTTATGGCTTCTAATTTTAGAAAGAAAGAATAAAATGCTTATGTAAATTTAATTTCTTTTGTACAATTGGAGAATTTACTCTAGAGGACAAATGGTAAGCAATGCATTCTTCAGCTTATTAGTTGGTAGAATGTGTCTACTATGAAAATCATTATAATTATAATTAAAACCACATTTTTCGGTCTTTTATTCTAAAGTTCCTTAAATGATTATTTTCAAGAAGAATGTGATACCGAAAACACTTTATAAAAAATAACTATTTTGAATTGAGAAACCACTTTGTTTCCCTCTAATTACCTGTTGTGGTATAGACATGACCTTTTTAGCTGTCTTTTTCCCTTCAAGTCTGTTCTCTTTTTCTTCTTCTTCTGAAATAGATCAAATCTAGAACCTTCAACACTTCCATTGCTATGTGGTTAAAAAAAATTGAGGTTTTGGATTCACTGAGGTTTATAACAGGAAAGTCATCTATTGTTAATACCCCCATTTTGCAGATAGGTTCATCGAGGTTTCCATTGCTCTATAGGGAGATTATTCCTTTTCTCCCTACAAGTCCCTCTTCATAGATACTTCATAAACAATTAAGTTGGGAATATTGTGAAATCAGTAATAAACCAACGAATGGCCTTTCATTTTCTCCTTTTCAGCTGAATCTGTTTACTTATGGCTGACCGCTCATCAGATGGTCATTAACTAAGTGGCCAATTAATTCTATATTTTTGAAAAGACATTTTTTAACCTATACCTTTATGGGTTCGTAAGAATCAATAAAAGGCAGTTTGAACTGCACCCTTCCATCTGAAAGGGTTTGGTAACTGGTTAACTGTAGGAAAAGCAGAAAGTGCCAATAGCTCTCTCGTGCGCACTCTCTCTCTCTCCCCCTCTCCCTCCCTCCTCTCTCTATCTCTTTCTCTCTCACTTATGTTTGTCTGTTGAAGAATAGAATTTGAAGCAAAGGCTTAAATTCCATGTTGCTTTTATCCTATTGCTTAACAGTATAATGCATGTTTGCAAATATTGGCATACTGGTGAGTACAAAATGGACTGACATGTCATACAATCTCAGGAATATGTCCTGCAGGGAATTAGGGAGGAGAGTGGAACTGGCATGAAGAGGAAGTTTGTAATATTTTTTTCTCCTGCTTAAGTGTTGCTCACCTATGTGGATGATCTAATGATGCAGGACAATGTTAGCACCTCAATTAAGCTACCTTTCTCTCTCTACTCATTCGGCTTTGAATAGGTTACCACAACTAACTACATAAAATCTGCTTTCTGGGGAAAGGGTGGTGAGGGGGAAGAATCTACACAATACCAAGCAGCAAGATGCTTTAAAATATTATTTTTTTATGTTTAATATTATTTAAGTATGGCTAATTTTGCTTACTAAAGTTATGTGATCCCAGCACCATAATTTTTGAAATGCACAGAAATTCTGAAGATGGGAAAAATGACTTCAATACCAATTAGTATTTTGAAAGGTATCTATGGCTAAAGCCAAACCACATCAAAACATTTACATGGAAAATGAAAATTTCATTTCATTATCTGATTATTTCATCCAAATGATATCAAATATTTAGGCATTTCAACAATACATAAACAAAACACATAGCTCATTAATGAAGTTTTAAATTTTATATTTAAGTGTTTTAGCAACATGTGGACAACATTAAAATAACCTCAGGATTGAAGACCTTATAGAAGCAGTAAGGTGTTATTTACTTCCAATAAATTATTAGTCCAGTAACGAAGGATCCCCAACCTCTGGGCCACAGACCAGTGCTGGTCCATGGCCTTTTGGGAACTGGGGAGCACAGCAGGAGGTGAGTGGCAGGCCAGTGACTGAAGCTTTGTCTGCGTTGACAGATGCTCCCCATCCCTCTCCTTACTGACTAAGCTCCGCCTCCTGTCAGATCGGCAGCAGCATAAGATTCTCATAGGAGTGTGAACCCTATTGTGAATTGCACATGCGAGGGATCTAGGCTGCACACTCCTTATAAGAATCAAATGCCTGATGATCTATCGCTGTCTCCCATCACCTCCATATAGGACCGTCTAGTTGCAGGAAAACAAGCTCAGGGCTCCCACTGATTCTACATGATGGTGAGTTGTATGCTTATTTCATTACATATTACAATGTAGTAATAAAAGAAATAAAGTGCATGATAAATATGATGTGCCTGAAGCATCCAGAAATTATTCCTCCACCGCCCGGTCCATGGAAAAAATGTCTTCCACAAAACTAGTCCCTGGTGCCCAAAAGGTGGGGGACCACTACAGTAATCCAAAGTGTTCTTGGTGCCACTTAAAATGCATCTCGTGTTCCACTTCAAACAAATGCAAATAAAAATTACAGTGAGATTCATTTCCCCACATCAACTTCGTCAGATCTTTTAAAAGTGGTTTTAGTATGTGGAGAATAGTGCATTATCATATGCTGCTAATGTGCATGTAAACCTTTTTGCAGGGCTGTTAGACTCTGATGGCAAAAGGCAGGGTATAGACTTTTTGACTGGACAATTTTACATCCAGAGATTCATGCCAAGGAAATAAGCATGGATATAAATAAAAATTTAGGTCCAAGAGTGTTCCTCATCATGCTGTTTATAAAAATTAAAAAATAGATACAACTTAGGGTCCAGCAATAGTGGCAGAATAATAAAATGAAGCAGTTGTAAGGATATTCTAGACATCCATTTGGGGCCATGGGAAGAGTCTCATACAAATTAAGTAGTTTATAAAAGTGGTCCCCAACCATTTTGGCACCAGAGTCTGGTTTCACGGAAGACAATTTTTTTTTTTTTTTTTTTTTTTTTTTTTGAGACAGAGTCTCACTCTGTCGCCCAGGCTGGAGTGTAGTGGGGTGATCTTGGCTCACTGCAACGTCTGCCTCCCAGGTTCAAACGATTCTCCTGCCTCAGCCTCCTGAGTAGCTGGGATTACAGGCACGTGCCACCATGCCCAGCTAGTTTTTGTATCTTTAGTAGAGACGGGGTTTCACCATGTTGGCCAGGCTGGTCTTGAACTCCTGACCTTGTGATCCACCCGCCTCAGCCTCCCAAAGTGCTGGGATTACAGGCGTGAGCCACCACGCCTGGTGGAAGACAATTTTTCTATGAACAGGATGGGGGATGGTTTCAGGATGATTCAAGTGCATTACATGGATAGTGCACTTTATTTCTATTATTATTACATTGTAATATGTAATGAAATAATTATACAACTCGCCATAATGTGGAATCAGTGGGAGCCCTGAGGTTGTTTTCCTGCAACTAGATGGTCCCATCTGAGGGTGATGGGAGACAGTGACAGATGATCAGGCATTAGATTCTCATAAAAGGTGCATAACCTAGATCCCTTACATGTGCAGTTCACAACAGGGTTCACAGTTCTATGGGAACCTAATGCCGCTGCTGATCTAACAGAGGCAGAGCTCAGGCGGTAATGCGAGTGATGGGGAACACTCGCCCACTGCTCACCTCCTGCTGTGCGGCCTGGTTCCTAACAGGCCATGGACCAGTACTGACATGTGCCCCGAGGGTTGGGGACCCCTGGTGTATAATATAGTATATTCTGTTTGATTCCATTACAAAATATGTTGGCAGATATAGAAAAAATTAACATCTGATCTTCCAAGATGTAAACACCAGTTACATCTTCATCTATTATGTTTTGGTTTTTCTACAATGAATTCATTTGTAATTTAAAAGATTATTTTACATCAAATGTGTATAAACAGTGTGTGAGTTTAAAATTGTATGATGTTTTGTATTATAAATACTTTATTATCTGGTATCATTTTTACACTACTTATCACTCAACAAAATGATAACACCAATGATTTTCATGGGTCATCGTAACTATGGAGACCAAAGAATTTATTAATGCTCATCAGATTCTCATCAATTTCTTTTGAGGTCCCCCCAAATCTTTCTTGCCTGAAATCATTTTTCCTGAATTCTCCCTCTCCCTGCAATTCCCATTTTCATGGACAACTTTGCCTCCATTTAACCTTCTGATACTCATTTTCTGACATGCCTCCTCTCAAGGCTTTTAGATGAGAAAAGAATTTCTACTGCAAAAGCTTAGCCTTAATGGATTTTTAGTAATTAATGGAAAATACTCTTTATTCTTGTATAAAACTTTTCAATAGATGATATCTTTCAATGAGGCATGCTTTATTATTTTTCTGTAAATTTGAGACAGGCAGGGGCCATGAGCAACAATTTTAGTTTTCTAAATAAGGCACTAATTAAACATTTTATTTGGAAAATAACCCTTTCTAAGCCCAATGGCTTTCAAGTAAAAATTTAATGAGAAGTTTTGTTAGACAAATCAGAATCGAACATTAGGATACCACTACTGATTTCCATATGAACCAATTTGGTGTAAGGCCAAAAGGTTTTTATTTATGTAGATTATATAAATAGATCTTTACTTACAAAGGTCACATAGATTTGATCTTGATAACTATAATATGTTCTATCACCTGCATAAATATGCTAAGGTACTAGGAATCTAGTACTTAGTTAATAGGGCATCCCTTTTGATGTTGCCTTTTTTTTTTTTTTTTTTTTTAGCAATGACAAAGGATTTATGCCGAGCCATCTGTACTAGTTTTCCAACCTCCTTGTGACCAAGGGCCTGGATTTCTAAGATAGATGGCAAGGGTTGGGGTGAAATTGGTGTCTATGGAATAGAAATTCTCTGGGTGATGATAATCAACCAATATTAATTTCAAACCAAACACCTGGATTGCTAGACAAGCTCTAGACATCTGTACCAACAGGTCCAGATCCTAAAGTGTGCTTTTTATCATGTATAGTGTGCAGAATTCTTATAACTACTAAAAGTCAGTGGGGTACCTTCATTTTTCTGAATCTCCACATGTTTAAAAACAAAACCGAAGTGTTGCTGTGGATACAGGAAAAGAACAGGAGAATTTTGTCTGCTGCCCTGGGGATGTGGGAGGTCATGTATATACCGTACAATAACTGACTTTATTGAGTTAAACTGTAGGAATGTGTTTGTTTTTATGTATAACCACTGAAAATAGAAAATATTAGATATGCTCAAGAGAGAGCGTATCAAGTGAAACATTTTCCAACATGTAAGGTTTATTACAAATGAGTTAGTGACACTAGCGTAGCTCCCTATCAATTTAAAAAAACTTCTTGAATTACTGAAAACTATCAGAAGTAACAACAACAATAATTTAAAAATCAAATATAACAAAGGCTTAAGAACTTTGTCTGGATACTGGTGTCTTTGTGAATGATTCCATTCAGTATCATCCAAATTCACCTTTAAAGTGAGAAAAGTACCACTGGAAAAAAGGGAAAACAGAAACAGGCCATTTCTCTGACAATGGACTCACATATTTGCTAATTTTATAAAAAACAGAATCATCCTACTGATCTGTTTCTGTAATATGGTGTTTGATGTGATGTAACACTGGTCCCATTAAATTGGCTACAGTTTGCACTCTCAAGTTTCCCGTTGGACTGGAGTTAGAGACTTATATTAAAAGTGTGGTTTTTTTTCCCTTTCTCCCCTTGACGTAAACCAAAAAAAAATAAAAAAAATAGGGTAAATTTTAATTCAAGAATTCCCTCTCCAACTTCAAAGGAACTGCCAAACACCCTTAAACACTTCTTTCCAACCCTGCAGTTATGGTAACACTTATTATTACTATGGAAATCCCTTAATGTGTACTGTCTACATTTTTTCCTAATAGAGTTATGATTGTTTTGGTAGTTATGACCCAAGTGGTTTCATACCTTTGCACTCCTGGGGTTTGCTGTCATACCTTAGTGGTGGTTTTATGTCACCAAATGGAGGAAATGCCTCATTTTCTGACCCCTGTTCCATGGTTTCAAAGTGGGAATGTGAGTATGTTTACATACTGTGGGCATGATTTTTTTCAGGAGGTACTCATATCAAAAGCACAGCTTTCAACCTTTAACGTTTAGATTCTGCTATGCTGTGGTATTTGCATTGTGGTGTTGTAGACATGCCACTAGGGATCAAAGAGTAATTCTGCAGAGAGCCCATTTCATTTAGCAAAGCAGGCATGTGCCAGCCATCTGTTGTATCTGCTGATAGAAAACAGCAGTAAGTTTCTCAAACTTTTGCCAGAAGGAAAAAAAAAAGACTTTATTGCTTAGAGGAGATGAGTTACAAGGTACCTTGTAAGCCACATCTGGTTCTATGGCAATTTACATGGCATAAATGTAAACTCTGCTGTGTCTTCCTTTCACGGTGGTATAAAAGCACATAAACAAACCCTCTGCTGGCACCCTCCCTATTTATTCTGATTCTAAATTGCTCGCACAAATAAAATCTTTGAAATTGTTGTGGTGAAGCAGAAAGGTATGATATCCAATAAAGCATTTTGTTTTGGATCAAACTGATTTAACTTAACTGTCCCTGATGAATAAGATGGGTGTGGTTAGGGAAAAACTTTGAGGACTGAGTTCAGCAAAAATGTCCCTTATCCTGTTGCCGGACCTCTGGAAGAGGCCTTATCAGTTCAGGGCTTCTTCTACTGCAGTAATTTAGCCAACTCAATAAAGTCACATGTGAGTAACTTGCTTACATTCCTATAGAACCTTGGTGGATGGCAAGTTGTTCTCCCGTGCAGCCTTTCTCTCCGACTCAAGCACTCAATCAACAAATACAGAGCCAGGTGCATAGCATACAAAGAGAAATAAACCCAGTACCTGCCCTCTGGGAGCTTGTACTCTAGAAAACAAATATTAATCTCACTCATCCAAATGAGGTTAGGAAGTACAGGATTGGCTGGGTGGCCAAAGGAAGCCACTCTTCTTCCTGCCTGGGGAAGGAAGGGAGCCAGGGCTACTTCACTGAGCTCACTGAGCAAGTGATGTTTGAATTAATCCCAAAGAATGAGTCCCATCAGCAAGGGAGGAAAATGCCTTCCCAGGGAAGAGCTCAGGATGTCCTAATGCTTGGAGGTCTTAGAGGGGAAAATATATTCTGGGTGATCATAAGGGGCTTTGTATCTCATCTGAGATGTAATGGAAGCCCAGTGAAGGGAGGTCAGGGCCAAATAATGGAGAGAGAGTCTGGGGGAAAAGAAGTAGAAGATAGAAACAACTCAGGGAAGTTTCTCTCTTCTTGGCTATGGAGAGAGTGAACTCAACATGTTGCAAATTTGTATTGAGTAAATCGTTGAGTATGTGTTGGGTCGGCAACAGTTTTTCCACAACCCTCATTTAGCTCTTCTTTCTTAATAAACTTTCAAAAGAGTTGCAATGATTAGTCTCAGCTCCAGGATGGTGTGTGTGTGTGTGTGTGTGTGTGTGTGTGTGTGTGTGTGTGTGTGATTAGAGCAGGGAACTGTAAAAAAATTCTTTTTGTAAGTGCATAGAACTAAAAATAATTTCATTTTTAATGGAGTCTAGAACTTTGAACATAACATAAAAGGGAGCTTAAATAAGGAAAATAATATGTTAATTGGAAAACATTGACTTAGCATCTATTCTCAACTTCTACACTACCTTTTTAAGTACCAGGAAAAGTACAAGAGAAGTGTAGAAATTAAAGTTGGCAAGTGATCCTTAAGTTTACAAAATGAGAAGCTGAACACTGGAAATGGATTTATTTAAAATAAGCCTGCATCTTCAAATATTTGATTTCCTTTTAAAACTTACTATTAGCACAAACTCTAAAGTCACAGGACAATTACTGTCCTTCCCTGTTTTTCTCAGCTAGACATATGGATGTCTGTCCTCCTGAGCTGTACATTTTATCTTCTCTTTGGATTTTCTGGATGAATGTGATGAAAGAATCTTGGAAATTGTTAGGCATCTCTTGAAACCCATTCATCTGAATAAAATCTCACAGGGTAGCTATGTGTTGTAGGCCTGGGACAAAGGGACAGTGGCAGGAGGGTAAGTTCCTAAGCTGGCAGCATGAGAAAGGAGATGAATGTAGTTTGCTTAGCTGCCCTGGGCCAGAACACAAATCATGCCTTGGGGGTAAAACATGATTAAGAACCAGTTATCTGCTCTTGAGAAAATTAGAAGCTAACTGGAGAGACAGCTATATAAACATATCCCCTTAACAATTCCTGGAAAGTGGAAGTACTGAAGTATTCCCAGGTGATGATGTGGGCACAGAGGAAAAGTAACTCCAGAGCTGAGTCTCACTATTGAGTTAGCCAAGCAAAAATGTGGAAGAGGGGATGGTTTTTAGGGAAAGGAAACAGCTTGAGGCAAGGCATAGAGACCAGAAATATAGTTTTCTGGGGGAACTGGTACTTTGGTGTGGTTGGAGTGTGTAGTACAAGGTAGGAAGTGGTGAGGTAACCAGGGCTATCTTCTAGAGGGCTTTGTCCATCATGTGAAGGCACCTGGGACTTTAGTCTATAGGCAGTGGCAGGTCAGATAATGAAAAAGTAGAAAGGAGCGGAAAATGGGGTTGGAGATACATGTTTAGATTATCTCATCACAGGGTGGAGGGTAGTTTTGAGGGTAGCTCAACTGCAAGGAGAGAAATCTGGGATTGAGAGGAGATCAGGGGTAAAGAGGAGGTTAGAGAAATATTTAGAAGATAAAAATCTGGAAATCTTGGTGCCAGGAACAAGGAGTGCCTCATTTTCTCTGCTCTGCTTCACTGACTTGGCAGTAGCCCTGTTAGCTATCCTATCCCCTGACCCCAGGCTCACCTTTCCTGCCTCAGGGCCTTTGCACGTGAAGTTTCCTCTGCCTAGAATGCACTCCCTTCAGATTTCTGCAGGGCTTGCTCCCTGGCTTCCCCCATGTCTCTGATTAAATGTCACTCCTCTCAGAGGCTTCCCCTGACTCCCCTCTCTAATAAAACAGCCACCATTCTTTCCATCACTCTGAGTCTCCTACTCTGCTGAATATTTCTTCATGGCTCTTAGAATAATGGTAATACTTGATTATAATAGGTTTTAATTGATTAACTTTTCCATTCAATGTAAGCTCATGAGAGCAAGGACTTGGTCCTGTTCACCATATATCTCCAGGTCCCGGAACAGCTCCTGGCACATAGTAGGCAGCTGAAAATTATTTGTTGAATGAATAAGTGAGGTAGGTCTCATTATGATTCCCTTTGGACAGATAAGGCAACGGAGGCACAGACGACCAGGGTCACACAACTAGTAAGTGTCAGAGCTGGGATTTAAACCTGGGCAGCTAGGATCCAGCCCTTGCTCTGATAAGTGTGAAACAGATGTATGAACACAGAGCTCTAGGAGCACAGAGGGGGATGCAGCTAGTTTGGGCTGGTGGAGTAGAGGAAGGCTTCACCGAGGAGACATGTAACAGTGGAACTGGAGCTCAAAGGATGTTCGTGAAGCTGTTTAATGAGCTGAGATGGGAGGAAGGCACAGGGAGAAAGGCTACCACAGGCAGGGTCAACAGAGTTGTGAAAGTGCATTCTGGGAAATGTTAATGAGGCTGGGGCTTGTTGTGTGGAAAGGAGAATATTGGGGGCCAGGGGAAGGGGGCAGGGGGCAGGGGAGGGATGATGACATGAGGCTGGACATGTGGTCAGGGCCAGATGGAGAAACACTGTGGAAAAGTCACTGAACCCATTTAGGCCCTAACACTTTTATGTATAAGAAAAGCAGTTTGGATTATCTCTAAACTTTCAAATTCTAAAATATTATGATTCTATCTCTGAAGTAAAACAACTTCAGTCATTTAACATTAATGGTAATATCTTTATACAAATGCAAGATCTGTCTCCAGATTTACAGAAATCAAAGCATAAAGATTCTCTTCTCCAAAATTGTATTGTTTGTTGCCAAATTTAAAAAGATTCACCTCCAAATACTCTTTGTGTATCCTATTACTGTCATTAGTTACATGGTATATACTCTGAGCCGGGCACTCTTCTAAGTGCTTTACAGTGAATCTTCAGTGAATCTTCATAGTAACCCTGAGACAGGCATTTCTTATTCTCCCCAATTTGTAGACGAGGAAACAAGAGAAGAAAGAAATTAAGTTACTTGCCCAAGATCACATAGGTAAGAACACTTATGCACATATTTATATACTTCAGAGACTTTCCTCAGATCTGCTCTGACAACTTTTGGAATATCTTCTCATTCCAAAAAGTAACAATTCAAAGAACATTTGTCAGTGCTTAGTATGTCCTTGGTCCTAAGAATACAAGCTTTAACTGATCTAACTGGCTTCAGGAAGTCACCAGCTGGGGAGAAGACTGTGGCATCAATAAAGCAATCATAATAACTGTGGTATTATGTATGTATATGGGAACCCAACCAAAGGGGCAAGTGGGAGCTGAAATCCAGCCCATACCTCACTTCTCAAGTTTGGATACAGAGCTGCCTCTGTCCAGAGGGGGCACTTCCACCTAATTTGTAGAGAGACTTCATATAGGCCATAATGCCCTAAGAAAGATGCTATGAGAGTATAAAGCTAGAGGATTTTGCTACTGATCAGGTAAATTTGCAATTACTTATCTGCTGGAGAAGACATCACCAAGGAGGTAACAGCAGACCTGAGTCATGAAAGATGTTTAGTAGGCAGAGTGGCCAAGGAGGGTGGGGCTGAGGTGGGCACTTTAAGTATAACGAATAACCCATAGGGAAATACATATAACTGAGAATCATTGGTGTAGTTGGAAAATGACAATTATTTAGAACAGTTAGGTTTTATGGAACAGAACTGAGGAATATGGGTCTAAGAAATAAGTTTGGGAAAGATTATGACAACTTAGGTATGCCACAGTTGACTTTGTCTTATAGATAATCAGAGCCATCGAATGCTTAAAAGTAGATAATAATGTTGTATCTGAATTCACAGAATTAGCTGGTCTTTGCACGGGAAAAAGTAGGAGTAAATGAAACAGAGTTACTACAGGAGCAATAGAAGGGACAAGTTAGCATTTCAGAATATAAATGTAAGGTAGGACTCTAAATGTAAGCCTATTGACTGGTAGAGTCCAGGAATATTCAACAGTTCTGTCTATGAGTGGTAACTTTGGTGACGGATGGAGGTAGATGATGGGATGCTTGACTAAGGACAAGGAGCCAATTAGGAAATTATATGAGATACCATGAAAGGTGAGGAGCACCTGAACCAAGGAAGGCAGTGGAGAGGGAGGGGAGGTGTAATCGACAGGACTTATTGAGCATGGGTGTTAATGGAAATGAGGGAATAGAGATGACTTTGAGATTGTTGCATGGATAATGATGTTGTAACTAAGAAATCAATAACTAGAGCAAGGGCAGAACAGTTTGGGCTGCAAACACATGGGGATCCATTTGGAAATTCCTGGATACATATTTTCTACTGAACATTCAGATGGCAAAGTCTGGTAGACAATTGAAAAAAATTTGACTCTGAAGCTAAGACATGAAGTGGAGAATGGAAACATTGATTTTGAAGACTGAATCCTCCTTCCCCTTCTCATCTGCCCTATCACCCTTCCTTCTTTTGACCTCCACTCAATAAATATTTATTCAGGTCCTGTCTAACACCAAAGCTTAGGTTGAAAATGAACAAGACTAATGTAAATTGGATATGATGCTTGCTCTCAAGGGGATCACAGTCTAATGTGGAAACAGATATAACCCATATAACAATACAATATTAAACGTATTATAATTGCAGTATGAAGAAGGTGCTATGAAAGTACTGAGAAAGGAGCATTAACTCGGCTGGGGGAGGAGTGAATTATCTGCATAGGGTTCCTGGTGTTCTTCAGAGCATACTCTGAGACTGTCACACTAAGATACTAACAAGTGGAACAACTTTTGCTCTGCTTAACTTCATGGCTTTTATGTACTTGAGATAATTGGGCCTACTATAGTCGGCCTTCAGCTTGCCATTAATTCTTTGGAGATGAATATGACAAATGTCACTATACCACCAGGTGACAGAGCAAGTCAGTTCTTCCAAATGAAACATCTAGAACAACTCTTGAGGAAACTTGTTTGTGGGAGCTGAAGGCAGGCCTAAATAAACATATATTTTAGTGCTTATTAGGATGCCTTGTTTCCAAGGGCTATTTCAGTATCAATAATGGATGTGCCACTGGGAGGATTCGCATCTGAAGCCAAGTCCAGGTAGGAAACCTCCTACTTTTTAAAAATGTTTAACTTTTAATTTTTTAGATGGAGTCTTGCTCTGTTACACAAGCTGGGGTGCAATGGCATGATCTCAGCTCACTGCAACCTCCACCTCCTGGGTTCAAGTGATTCTCTCACCTCAGCCTCCTGAGTAGCTGGGGTTACAGGAGCTACCATGCCTGGCTAATTTTTGTATTTTTAGTAGAGACAGGGTTTCAGCATGTTAGCCAGGCTGGTCTTGAACTCCTGACCTCAGTGATTAGTCCACCTTGGCCTCCCAAAGTGGTGGGATTACAGGCATGAGCCACTGTGCCAGGACAGGACATCTCCTGCTTTAGACAATAACCAGATGGATCCCAATAGACATGTAGAATTACTCTGATTCCTGCATGTTTGAAGCACATTGAAGCAATCAATATTTTTATTCACAGTTAGAACTCAATTAGGATTGAGGTTGTATTTATATTGCTGTCACTTATAGCAGTAACCAGCAGATGGCAATGTAAAAGTTACTTCTTTATGGAATTTTTCATCTCAACATTGTTTTTTTAAGCTTGCAGGTGCTCTCTGTGTAACAGAAGCCCATTTGTGATCTTTATGTCACTCATTTCAATAGCTCATTACTATATTCAGTAGGTTGGAAAATAAAGTTTCCCAAATTCATTGCCACTGATACAATTAAAACTCCTCAAAAGTTAGAACTTATCCTCATTAAAAATGTGAATGATTCATTACACACCGATTACATATTCTTTTTCTTTTAAGTAATTGCTCAAATTTCGGCAGAAGTCAAGTTTTGAGTTATCTCTCCATGTTCATCCAATTTCTTCTTTGCCTTCTCTGGCTGTATCTTTAGAAGACACAGAAGAGCAGAGTTGGAAGAGATTCCAGAGCTCATCCAACTCAGTGAGCTCAATCTTTCTCCAAAGTATCAATTAATTGTGGTCTCTCAGCCTCTGGTTGAACATGCCCAGTGGCAGGGAGCTCATTAAGTTGGGGTTTAAAAAATATTTTTGGGATGGGCGCAGTGGCTCACGCCTGTAATCCCAACACTTTGGGAGGCTGAGGCAGGTGGATCAAGACCAGCCTGGACAACATGGTGAAACCCCATCTCTACTAAAAACACAAAAATTAGCCAGGCGTGGTGGCGAGCACCTGTAATCCCAGCTACTGAGGAGGCTGAGGCAGGATAATCACTTGAAACTGGGGGGCCGAGGCACATCACTGCACTCCAGCCAGGGTAACAAGAATGAAACTCCATCTCAAAAACAAAAAAAATAAAAAAAAATATATATATATATGATCATATATATATATGATTCTGTTAATCATAGAAAGTTGTTTTCATAAATGAGTCCAAATCTGTCTTCCCAGTATAACTTGAATATCCCTGGGCTCTACCAGCCTGTGGGCTTACATTTGGAGATTCCTACCTTGCATTTATACTCTGAAGTGCCAACCTGTCCCCTCTACTGCTCATGCAGGCATTCTGTTTCATTTACTCATACTTTTTCCCTTGCAAAGACCAGCTAATTCTGTGAGTCCTTGGAAGAGTTCCACATATGCCATCCTGAATGGAGATATCCTGACCCATGGTGCCACTGGTGAGAAGTCTGCTTCTCAGATTTGAGTGCAATCTGTCCATGCTTCTTAAGCTGTAAACACTCAAGGGTCAAGCTGGCCTGTATTCTCTACAGGACTTATGGCCTCAGAACAGCTTGGTGTCCTGTGCAGAATGGAGAAGAGTCTACCCCTTTCCTCATTTGGCATTGAACTTTGTCACTTGGTATCTAAAGCAGTCCAATGGTTTAGGTGTGGTTTGTCCCTGCAAAAACTCATCTTGAAGTTTAATTGCCAGTGTGGCGGTGTTGGGAGGTGGGGCCCAGTGGGAGGTGTTTGGGTCATGGGGGCAGATCCCTCATGAATCTATTGGTACCACCCTCACAGTAGCGGGTGAGTGCTTTCTCTCGTGAGACTGGATTAGTTTCCATGAAAGTGGGTTCTTAGAAAGTGGGTCAAGCCTTCTCAGCTACACCCTGGTGCACTAGTCCAAGCCCCCACAAAATCCTTCATTTCCCTTACTCTGCAAACACCTGCTTGCTTTCTGCTTCTCCGCCATATTGTGACACAACACAAGGCCTTCACCAGAAGCCAAGCAGATGCTAGTGCCATGCCCTTGGGCTTTCCAGCTACCAGAATCAAGAGCTAAATAAACTCTTTTAAAATTACCCAGCCTATTCTGTTACAGCAACACAAAACAGACAGGCAGCATGGCTTAATACCCTGAGCCCAGTGAAGTACACCAATGTTAAGTTCCTTCAGCCCATGTCCCCGTAGAAATCAGGCCTGGTCCTTAGGGCCAGGCCTTAGAATCTTTCAGTACCAATGTGTACCTCTAACTTCCTTCCCCCTTATTTCCTAGGCAGCTGCATAAACAAACTCCCCATTAGTGGGTCCCTGGCATCTCATGCATGCCAGTGGGTGCCACAGACCACCAGAGACACAGCTGAACCCAAAATCCCAATTGGAGCTCTACTCCTATTCTCCTGGTCACATCAGTAATTCCTGGTCTTGGTTCTCTCCTTGTCCTCTGGAGCCACTGGAGTATGTTTTAACCCCTTTCTTACTTGAAATCAGACCACAGGCATTTTAAACCAGCTCCCATCCCCTTTAAATCATCTTTTCTTTATGATAAACACCCCCAATTTCTTCAGCTACTTCATATATTCAGCTTTGCATTTCTTAAGCCCTGACTCCTAAATACTTATCAAAAGTATAAAATTGTCACAGATAGACTTTACTGGTCTTTTACTCTTTATGCTCTAATGAGAAAAGAGTTGATTGCTAGAATTAGAAATTTACTTACTTACAGAATGTTAAAATCATATTTTTGCCTGTAAACCTTGTATTATGAACTAAACAAGAAGAAGAGGTGGTGGGGTGGAAGGAGGAGGAGTAGAAGAAGAAAATAGAGGAAAATGTCTAATGCTTATTAAGTATTGCTCATGTGCCAGTCATTGTGCTTATTATTTTTCATCGTTATCTAATTTAATTCTCACAACCCTATGAGATAAGCACTACTGATATTCTCACTTTACAAAAGTGGCAACTGGATCACAAAAAGGTTGAATAACTTGCCTGAGGTCACACAGCTAGTAGGTAGTAGAGCCAAGATGTACACTCAGGTAGTCTGACTGCAGAATCCATGATGAATTGCAATTTGAGCCCTTTGAAATCAGGATATTTCTGAATCTTCATCTTTATTATTTAGACATTCTGTTGCATGCATATGAAGGGTATCCTGCTGTGTGCTGTGGAGGGTGAGTTTAAATAAAGACTTTGACCAAGAAGAGTTTATACTTGCAGGGGAAGTTAAAATAGAGTGGCTTTGGTAAATAATGGTTACACTTGCTTGAAATTGTCTTTTTTCATAGGTCAAAATGCTTGAATTTTATGTGATTTAACCTAATAATAAGAACGGGCATATATGGGGCATTTACTGTCTGCCAGCCGCTCTTCTAAGGTAATTTACGTGGATTATCTCATTTATTACTGGGATCAATTCTGTGAGCTAAAGGCACTCATTTTTTTGGCGGTGGGCTGGAGTCTTGCTGTGTTGCCCAGGCTGGATTACAGTGGCATGAACGTGACTCACTGCAGCCCCAACCTCCTGAGCTCAAGCAATCCTCCCACTTCAGCCTCCCAGGTAGCTGGGACCAGAGGTATGCACCACTGTGCCTGGCTTTTAAAATTTTTTTTGTAGAGACAGGGTGTCACCAAATCACCCAGGCTTGAAGCCACTATTTTTATTTCCATTAAACACGTGAGAAGTTAGAGGCACAAGGAAATTAAGTAACTTGCCCAGGGTCACACCTTAGTCACCTGCAGAGCCTGGGTTTGAATTCTAGCAGTCAAATGCCAAGGTACATGTACATATATGTATATTATTTTACCTCCATATTACACAAGGGTAGGCCTACCTGTCCACTCAAATCAATTTTTAAAAATGCAGTTTCATTTGTAGAGTCCTATATATATCAAATCATCATATTCAAGATCTAGTTCAGAAGCCAAATAGAACAAAATCCACTTGGCTCCAGACTAGTGGAATATTTTTGATTCCCAAAGTTTGAACATTTATCTAGTTTCTCAGTTATCTGCAGGCTTGAGTTTAGAGTTTATTGCATGTCCTATATTGTCTAGAGTTTGAGGAAGCATTCACTCATAAACTGAGAGGCAAAGTGTAAATTGGTACAGCTCTCCTGAATTCAAGTAAGACATTGTTCTATTATTCTGCTAACAGTAATGATGCCTTTCATGTACTTAATCATTTAAAACATGCTTTCATTTATTTTATCCCATTAAGTTCATTCAGTCTTCCCAAAAACTAAGGAAAAATCATGCATTGGTGAAACTTTAGATAACTAAATATGAGGAATAACTGATAATTCACAGTAAGTGGCCTTTAGCCAAAAGTAAAATAATTCAAACCTGATCTTTAATAGTTGTGCATTTTTCTATAACGCACAAAAGATTTGTGTGTTCATGATTTATAGAAATGCTTTTGCCTTTCAATAAAAATATATAAGGGCCCAGTCGATAAATGCTATTTGAATTATAAGGAAACATTTTGAGTGGAAAATATAAGTGGATTTCCATTTCATTACATAGTAAACATAGAAATACTTACCCATCATCTATTTTTGTACTTGATATTTTAGATGTTTTTTGCCATCCATTCTTTCAGAAACTCTATATATCCAAGGCTTTTCTAGAATGGTATTTACTTGGTTATAGATAGTTGTCCACCCAATATAAAACACTGCAAGCTAAGAGATGTGATTGAAACTACCCTTTTGGGTGGAACAGAGGGCCAGGACTAGGGCACAGCAAGCAAGGACTCAGGGTGCTTGTATGAGCCTAGGAATGAGTGCCTCCATAAATTCACACCCTGGGGACCTTGCCTGCCTAGTCCAAGGCCCTGAGCTGAACATACTGGCAAAAACATCATGTATGATGTTAATTTTATGTGTCAACTTGATTGGGCCTTGGGGTGCCCAGACAATTTGGTCACATACATTATTCTGTGTGTGTCTTTGAGGGAGTTTCTGTTTCTGGATGAGGTTAACATTTGAGTCCATAGACTGAATAAAGTAGATTGCCCTCCCTAATGTGGGTGGGTCTCCAACAATCAGTTGAAGGCCTGAGTAGAACAAAAAGGCTGCCCCTCCTATGGGGAGAGAGAACTCCTGCTTGACTGCCTTCGAGCTGAAACACTGGCTCTTAAGGGCCATCAGACTGGAACTACACCATGGGCTTTCCTGGGACTCCAGCTTGCCAACTGAAGATCATGAGACTTGTCAGCCTCCATAATCATGTCAGCCAATTTCCTTATAAGAAATCTCTGTATATAACTCCTATTGGTTCTGTTTCTCTGGAGAACTTTGACCAGTATACCATGTATTCTGTCTTACCTGCCCACCAGTGAGAGAAGTTACTATCAAAGAGAAGCAAAAGACAGCACAGGTTAAATCTTGATCAACTAAACTCTTGAGGGCCTCAGTTTCTTAAAGTACTAAAAGGAAATAATTAAATTACTTTTTACAATGGCAACAAAATGCAGTTGCATAATGTGTACAAAATTCTTGACACATAGTAGACAATGAAAAAGTAGGGTCTTTTCTTCCCTTTATATAAATGAGCTGTTAGTGCTAGGTGAAAGTCATTAGGCCAAAGAAAGCTGGTCCTCCTGATCCCAAGCTGGGGGATATGCTGGCAAGATGCCCAAATGCCACTCTAAGTGAATGGTGTCCCACTCTCTGAACTCAGAGTATCACACTGAGCTGACCTCAGGAGACCTGTCTCCCAGCCCAGCTCCCACACCAGCTATCTGAGCCCTCAGACAAGTATTTCACTTTTGTCCTCATTGGCAAATTATAAGGGTTTTTTATTTTCAACTCTAAAATGTCTGTGATTTATGTTCGGTCACTATCATTTCTGCATTGTTCTTAGTTTTGCATTTGAATTTAAATCACAGCAAGAAAAATAGCACGGACAATACAATTACTTGTAGCAAAAATAAAGCAAATTTTGAGCAGAATTAACTTTTCAAAATACTGTTTGCCATTTTAATGTTAATAAAATTTCTTAAATTCATTTTAGGCAGTTTTTGCCTGGTTTCTCTATTGGCTTGATTTCAGTGTCTTCAATTTGACTAATAAACAGACTTTAGGAGTTATACTCTGAGGCTGGTAGACAGAACAGCTATATTACTAATATTTATCCTGTAAGACCTCCTCAAATGGTAGCTTCTTTCTAGATATTCATGACATTTATTCCTGGCTTGGCTCTTTACAAACAACTGAGAAACTGACTCTGAGATTTAGTCCCTCTGTTACAAATTGAGGTTTTTATATTGCTAGTTGTCTTTGTAGTAATTATAACTTGCAAAACTTTTTACTCACCAAGAACATAAACTGGACTTCATTAAAGTTTGCAGTACTTAATTTCCCGGATATAACCATGTCTTTTTATGAATCCTGACTGAGTTTTAAGTTCATTACATTTTTCCATCATAAATTAGCACACCCTTAAAAATATTTGGAAAATACCAAAAAGGAGAAAGAAGAATGGGAAAAGAGCATTCATATATAGTTAACTCACCTAAGAAGATTTGTGTCCTTTTTTGTTTGTTTTTTGCTTAAGGGCAGTAGGGTAGTTTCCCATGTTATCACATACTCGGTAAACATGGTTTTTTTTTAAGTGGCTACACAATATTTTGTGGTATTTTATTATTTCTTTTTTGTAGAGATGGGATCTCAGTATGTTGCCCAGGCTAGTCTTGAACTCCTGGGCTCAAGTGATCCTTTTACCTCAGCCTCCCAAAGCGCTGGGATTACAGGTGTGAGCCACCACGCCTGGCCCTATTCTGTGGTTTATTTAACATTCTGTTTCAATTTTATATATATATATTTACTATTACAAGTAACACTGTGAAGAACAACTTGATGCGTAAAACTTTTTCTGTTTAAGGATTACTGCCATAAGACTGAGTTCCAGAAGTGGAATTTCTGAGTCAAATTGCCAATTATTCTACGGGCTCTTGGCACATACATTATTGCTGAATGGCTCGTAATGACTACTCCATACTTCCAACAGAATTATTCAAGAATCTCTTTTTTAGTATGCTTTTGTCGCTTTTAAAAAATCCTCCAAATGAAGCTTTCCAAGTAGTATTGATAATTGTTGATTTGTGCCTACATTTTTGTTCAGTTAGGACAAGTTTTTCTCAGTGGGAATTTTATACTGTAGGGGGCAGTGGGGGATCAGTAAGTGGTGGGTGAGTGATCTCCCTTTTCATCAGGGCTGTTAAGATCCCTCAAGTTTAGAGGCTTTGCATGGGCATGACTATAATTGTGAACACGGGACCCATCAGATAGATGCTACATTATAAATTATACTTCTAGCCTACAAATACAAAACTAGTAGGTAATTCCTAAAAAATAAACCAAATAATTCCTTTTGAACATAATAAGGAAGCATATTTTCTACTACTTTTAAATGAATGAGTAAAATATTTTTATGAGTTTCTTTGTATGCTTCATATACATGTGCACATGCATTTATTCATAAATATTTTTAAATAACAGAGTTTGGGACATTTATTTTTATAGAAATGCTTTAAAAAATGTTTTTAATATTAAATAATATATTCTCCTAATGCTCAGAGGTGTTATTTCCTCAATTTTCTTAAGGACAAAGTAGAGTGGGATTAACAAGTAGATCAACGTCAAAACTTAAAGAGTTATTGACATTACTGGCTGGAAAACAGCACTTTTTAAGAGAAAGAATGTGTATGCTACATTGTATAAAAATGAGGAAACTGAGCTAACAAATACATTCTTATGGGTGCTTGTAAAAGAAAAGGCAAATAAACTTGCTAATCAGCGCTCCCAGAGCTGTATATCCAAGAGGAAGAAGAGGAAAGGGTAGATATAGGAGAGTCTTTGGAGAAAGTACCCAGGCAGCCAAAGAGCTGGCTTCACTTGAACCAGCAGTCTTGATATCTGAGTAAAGACTCTGTTTCAGGCTTTGAAGTGTCTGCTAACTTCTGCTAAATTTGCTCTCTATGGAATACAACAGTTCAAGGTGGCGGGTTGGGGAGAAGGGGAGCCTGGTAGGCATACACAAATTATTGTTTATAGACTGCTGGCCTCTCTGCTGCAGAGCATCTTCTGTAGCCACTTCAAAGGCAGGAGCATCACGTGGCTTATTTGAGCAAAATCTGCTGCAGTGAACATGCGGCAAATAGGAGGGAAATGGGCAGGTCTGATGGAGGGAAATCATTCTCAATCATTCCCATTGGCTCACTCTAAGTAATCTCATAAATTGGCTATCAAAAGATTTCTATACATTTTGAAAACATCAGGAATTGATAAAGGCAAAGATATGTCTCCAAAGAGATTTGTGCATCAAATTTCTAGGTTCACATGTGTTTCTGAGAAGATTGCTTATTAGATCTTAGGTCACTAAGAGCACAGAACAATTATGCTGGGACTTTAAGACCTAAGTCTATATCGAGTCCATAAATTCTCTACTTAGGTATGTATGCAGAATGAGCTATATTCTCTTCCCAAATGCTCTGGACTCTATGTTAAATCTTAGAAGAAATTGCTAAGGGCTTGCTTAGAATTCTGAACTCTTAGAAGGGAGGGAATCTTAAAGATTAGTTGAACCACCTTATTTTTCAGATGAGGAAACCAAGGACTAGAAATGATGACTGACTTCCCAGAGGGAGTTAGCAATAGAGCTGGCTAAAGGGCACATGTTTTCTGACAACCAGGGCAGGGTTTTTCACTGTGCTTCAGTCTTAGGATACAACATCACCATATCACAGTCCCATAAAATGTGGAAAGAAAAAGTTGCCTACAGTTTTTCTCTAGAATGGAGTATGGGGAAGGCCATTGATCTGTTTTTGTGTTATCCATTACACACACACACACACAGACTTTAATGTTCAATTTTGAGGCAATAGCTGAGTGGGCTAGTTGCAAGCACTACTTGGTGACTCAGTTCTGGCCGTGATCCATTTTGCCCAGCACAATGCCCAGGACATAGTAGGTATTGAACAATAGCAAAACGGAAGTGGTTGGTGTGGCAGCCATATGATATCATGGAAAGCATGCTGAGCCAGTCCTGACTGGGGGGCTTTGGAAATGTAACTTAACCTGCCTAGCCCTCCACTTCCCCATATGATCTCTTAGAATTTTTCCGGCTCTAAAGTGGTATGTGTTGTGATCTGCTATTTTCCCTTAGAAGGGCTTTGTGAAGACTGGCCTGTTTACAAAGCTCTCTGAGATTCCTTATTATGGACATTCCAAGAGCATCAAAAGGAACTACAGATACAGATTTTTCAAACAGAGTTGAAAAGTGTTTAACAGTCAGATAATATATATGTTTAAAAATAGTGCTATTTTTACATGACTTTGAAAAATTGGCCTGACCCTATGTTAACCTATTTCTAAAAGTCTGTGTTCATAAATTGACTTATTTTATCCACTGCCTATGGAGCAGGAAAGACATTATGCTAGCACAACATGTACTAACCCTGATGTGCTATTGTCCTTCTCTTAATTTGTTTTATAACTTTGGCTCATTCTTGGAGATGAGTTCTTTTCACCAGAATCTGCCAATCCTAGAATTACAATTCCTCTCTTCCTCACTTCTTCCATTTAGTAAACATGTTTTTCCTGTGTGATACTAGAACATTTTGAATTTTAATTTCCTCTAATCCTATCACACGAAGTGATATGATACAATCAAAGAAAATTAAGGGAAGACACCAAAGACAGAAATACATAAAAGACAATGCTAAGGTAATTATAAAAATGGCAACAGAAAGAGTTCTGTGGAAAGATTCACTCTCTGGTCAGGAGATAATTTAGAAATAAATGTTGAGGAAGGACTTGATTTTTTGAAACAAAGTGATTTTGGAGGGATCAGGAAAAGAAACGTAGACTAGTATGAATAAATGATAAGACTTGGGAGTGAGAAAAGTAGGAAAAAGAAGTAGGCAACTTGAGCATCTTCATATTTGTGTTTGTCAAAGTCACTAACAGGAATATCTAATAGATTGGTTTCTGAGACTAACCTGAATAAAATAGCACCCAGTGTGTCCACCAGGCTGACGTAGGTTTCTGCTTTGGGGGTGACTCTTAAATCTATTGTTTAGCCATCCCCTAGAACGGTAGAGGCTAGATTTCTCATTTTATAACTATGCCATGTAGGAAGGAATCAATATCAATTTTGAAATGGAGGTAGATATCTCTATTGTTTCTTGTCCTCTCTTTTGAGCAAAGACATCAATTTAATATGGCACGGCTTGCATCTTGTGACTCTATGTTGATGTCTAGGTTGTTCATCTAGCTATTAATAAAGCCATGAAAACAAATATTGATACTGACTGGTGTATAATTCTCAGAGCTGTTCTTTTTTTTTTTTTAAGGTGAATAAAAGAGGCCCAGTTTTCAGAGCTCTTAGTTTCCATACATCCACACAAATCATGAATCAGATTACATCAGCCTTGCTGATTTGGATACATCGAGTTTTTTTCTGTTGATCTGTTTCTTTTTTTTTTTTTTTTAAGTTCCAGGATACATGTGCAGAACGTGCAGGTTTGTTACACAGGTATACATGTGCCATGGTGGTTTGCTGCACCTATCAACCCGTCATCTAGGTTTTAAGCCCCACATGCATTAGGTGTCTCCTAATGTTCTCCCTCCCCTTGCCCTCCACTCCTAACAGGCCCCAGTGTGTGTTGTTCCCCTCCCTATGTCCATGTGTTCTCATTGTTCAACTCTCACTTATGAATGAGAACATGTGGTGTTTGAGTTTCTGTTCCTGTGTTAGTTTGCTAAGAATGATGGCTTCCAGCTTCATCCATGTCCCTGCAAAGGACATGATCTCATTCTTTTTATGGCTGCATAGCATTCTATGGTGTATATGTGCCACATTTTCTTTATCCAGTCTATCACTGATGGGCATTTGAGTTGGTTACAAGTCTTTGCTATTGTACATAGTGCTGCAATAAACATATGTGTGCATGTGTCTTTATAATAGAATGATTTATTATACTTTGGGTATATACCCAGTAATGGGATTGCTGGGTCAAATGGTATTTCTGGTTGTAGATCCTTGAGAAATTGCCACACTGTCTTTCCACAATGGTTGAACTAATTTACACTCCCACCAACAGTGTAAAAGCATTCCTATTTCTCCACATCCTCGCCAGCATCTGTTGTTTCTAGACTTTTTAATGACTGCCATTCTAACTGGCATGAGATGGTATCTCATTGTGGTTTTGGTTTGCATTTCTCTAATGACCAGTGATAATGAGCTTATTTTTATATATTTATCAGCCATATAAATGTCTTCTTTTGAGAAGTGTCTGTTCATATCCTTTGCCCACTTTTTGATGGGGTTGTTTGTTTCTTGTAAATTTGTTTAAGTTCCTTGTAGATTCTGGATATTAGACCTTTGTCAGATGGGTATATTGCAAAAATTTTCTCCCATTCTGTAGGTCACTTGTTCATTCTGATGATAGATTCTTTTGCTGTGCAGAAGCTCTTTAGTTTATTTAGATCCCATTTGTCAATTTTGGCTTTTCTTGAAATTGCTTTTGGTGTTTTAGTCATGAAGTCTTTGCCCATGCCTATGTCCTGAATGGTATTGCTTAGGTTTTCTTCTAGGGTTTTTATGGTTTTGGGTTTTACATTTAAGTATGTAATCCATCTTGAATTAAGTTTTGAAAAATATGGAATGCTTCATGAATTTGCATGTCATCCTTGCACAGGGGCCATGCTAACCTTCTCTGTATCGTTTCAATTTTAGTATATGTGCTGCCGAAGTGAGCACGATCTGCTTCTTTTCTTTTCTTCTTTATGTAACCTATTTCCTTCTATTACAACTGGGGCCCTAACAAGCTCACTGATATTTTCTTTAAAGATAGTCAAACTGAAGATATTCAAAAACCTGATCTCTTTCCCCTTTGGTGTTACTGGTTTTCTTTGATCATCCTTTTTTTTGTGTGCAAGACATTTGAAATTACCTTTACAAAATAAAACGGACTATTGAAAATAGACTGATAAATAGTTATCATATCTGCCTCTAGGAATTATAATCAAATAGAGGAGATATGGGGCCAAATATATTTTAATGCAATGAGTACAATGAATGTATTGTGAGTATTTCTAATTTGAAAGATACTAACATATTTACAAGAGGAAAAGTTCTCTGTAGTGGCAGTAGAGCCACAAGGATTGCTTGAGAGTGCTATTTTGAACTAGAGAATCCAGAGACACAAATTTGCTCAGAAGTGGCTTTGGCAACTTTCAAATATGTTCCAAAATAAAGAAAAATTCAAGCTGGGCACTAGTGGCTCACACCTGTAATCCTAGTACTTTGGGGGGCCTGAGGCAGGAGGATTGCTTGAGCCCAGGAGTTCAAGACCAGCTTGGGCAACATAGTAAGACCCTGCCTCTACAAAAAAAAAAAAATACAAAAATTAGTCTGATGTGGTGGCATGCACCTGTAGTCCCAGCCACTGCAGAGGTTGAGGTGAGAGGATGGCTTGAGCCCAGGAGATGGAGGCTGCAGTGAGTCAAAATTGCACCACTGCACTTTAGCCCGGGTGACAGAGAGAGACCTTGTCAAAATAAATAAATAAATAAATAAATAAATAAATAAATAAATAAATAAATAAGAAGAAGAGGAAGGAGGAGGAGGAGGAGAATCCATGATAACAGGTAACAAAACTCACTAAGGTGACGATGGAGTGGGGAGTGGGAGGGAAGTTAGTAATAGTTATTGGGAAAGAAGAAGCCAAGACACAAAAATAACTCCTTTGATGTGTGCCCTCTTTATTTATTGCATTTGGTTTTATATACTCATCTGTCTTTAAAGATCTCATGTTTAGTACAAAAAGATGGGACTAATCTTTCCTTGGATATCTTTTATTCTGTCATTAAGTGCTCCTTCAATTCAGACTTCTTTGTTGCCCCCTTAGATAGATCAGAAAATTCTGTTGGTTTTGTTTTTTTCATGCTTACTTCCCTTCCTCCCAAAGCGAAGGCAATCAAGCTACACTAAACACCCACATTTCTAATTTGCTAATAATGCAATTTCATTTAATGAGAAAGAGGAAACAAATATAAACCCTAGATAATGTGGTTAATGACATAATGGCTTCCCAGGCATTTGGGATCTTCACATGAGAGCATGTCTTTGCTAAATGAATATATTTTCACTTATATTTTAACAATGATTTGTCGGAAAAGTATTTTCCCCCCGATATATTTTTCAAAGTACACAAGCCATGCAATTAGGTAAAAAGTTACTGTCTTTGATTAAATTGCTTTCCGCAAATGAGTGTTTATTGGATCTGGGAGAAATATTTGTCCTTTCAGACTTTCCAAAAATCCTCCCCTTTAGGTACTACACCCATGCTTAGGGGTTTGAATAGTTCAAGGCTGACAGTAGCTGTGAAAAGTTTCATAGCCTTTTAAGAAAGTTCAGCGGCTATGTTTGGGGAAGAGATATGTGTATTATGCAGGACTGTTAGCTAATGCCGAGACTGTAACATATGGAATTCATAAAGGTCCAATTACAGAACCGTCACTGTTTGCCATGGTTTTAACTTATGTAAGTTATTGATTATACTTTCATGAGATCATAATCAAAAGGTTATTCTTTGGTAATGGTGTGTTAGAAGAGCTTTATCCTGAACTTCAAAGCCATCCTCTGAGCCTCAAGAACAAAGGCTTAGAAGTTTGAACTGGGGCCAGAATCAGTCTGTATGAGTTAACGATGTTCCAGACCATCCGGGAACCGAATCCACCTATCCACATGCGGGAACTTTCTCTCATCACATCAGATCAACAGTCATCACTAAAAGATGACAGTTGATTCAACTTTAATGTGTCTGTGTGTGTGTATGTATTTTTTTAATGAATCAGCTTGACTAACTATAGTGTCTGCTTTCATTTGTTTTATAACCATTTATTTTGACTGTAAAATACTGTCATTTGCTGTGCTTTCAGAAGAGAGTGATTACCATTAAATAGGTATACATCTAGGAACAGGAATTACAAGTACTCAAAATTTGGAGAAAACAATTTTTAGAAATTAAAAAGCTAAGGTATAACTTAATATAAGTAAAAAGTAATGAAGGAGGGCTCAGGTGTGTCCTAATATTCTGGCATGTGTTAAGCAGGCAAAAAACAAACAAAAAAAACAGACTATGAGTTTGGCTAACGTTACAAATGGCAAATCTGCTGCCGCTCTTTTACTCTTAACATCCTTACATGAATTATTGCACCAAAGAAGCAAAATGCCATCATGTGTAATCACACAGAGCGATCTTTACTCTTTCTCACAGCAGCCCCTGCAAACCTACCACTAGGCTACTTTCTCTTTAGGTCTTTGGATGGATGCTCAGGCAGATCCTGAGATTTCTGTAGTCAACCTGACATAATAAAATGTTCTCTGATTACTTTAGTGCTAAGATTATTCTCATGCCAGTAATTAAAATCTCCTCTTCTGTGTGGTAGTTAAAATTATGATCCTTATTTAAAGTTAATATTCTCCTTTCCCTTAGCTGCAGCTTGGTTGGTTGCAACATGGTTGACCCTTCTCAGTAGGGTCTAGCTCCTCCAGGAGAGGGGTCATGGACAAGAGAGATCAGAGGTAAGAGGCAGACAGGAGTTGATGTCACCTACAGAGTTTCCTCTGGCCCCAGAGGATGTTTAAAACTGATCTTGTTATTATGGGCTCTGTCTCGGGTTCCTCCTCTGGGATCTCCAGACAGCTTTCCTTGGGTTAAGGCATTGCTTCCCCATGAGCTGCATGCTCATAACCATGGTACCCATCCACTCTGATACAGCCACACTGGCCTCTTCGCTATTTTTATGAATGTGCCAGGTACACTGCCACCTGAAGGACTTGGCACTAAGCATTCCCTCTGCTCTTCCCCCAGATATCTGCATAGCTTGCTCTCTCACTTTATTCCAGTCTCTAGTAAAACATCCCAGCCCAGCAGTCTTCCGAGTCTGTCCTCTCAGAAACAGCAATCGCATACCATGCATATATATATATATACACACATATATATACACACATATATATACACACACACACATATACATGTGTATATATATACATATATATATACACATATATATATGTATGTTCTGGGATACATGTGGAGAACTTGCAGGCTTGTTACATAGGTATACACATGCCATGGTGGTTTGCTGCACCCATCAACCCGTCATCTACATTATGTTTCTCTAATGCTATCCTTCCCCTAGCCCCCCACCCCCTGACAAGCCCCGGTGTGTGATGTTCCCCTCCCTGTGTCCGTGTGTTCTTGCTGTTCAACTCCCACTTATAAGTGAGAACATGTGGTGTTTGGTTTCCTGTTCCTGTGTTAGTTTGCTGAGAATGATGGTTTCCAACTTCATCCATGTCCCTGCAAAGGACATGAACTCATTCTTTTTTATGGCTGCATAGTATTCCATGGTACATATGTTCCACATTTTATTCTCTACCATCTTTCTCCACTGAAGTCTTCCACATAGTGCCTGTCATTACTTGATATATGTTCATTTAAATATTTCTTTAAAAATTATGTGTCTCCTCCTCTTTCTCATATCAGAAGTAGGCTCCATGAGGGCCAAGAGTTTTTACTTCTTTTGCTGACTGCTGCATCCCTAGTGCCTAGAGCAGAACCTGGCACATGGAAACTACTCAGTAAATATTTACTGGGTGAATGAATAAAAGAAGGCATGAACACAGAAAGATCAGCCAGATATAATGATTTGCTCTTCTGTGTGTATCTCAATTTGGAAAAGATTTTGTTCTTAATTAATTAGAATTAATTTACTTTTAAACCTTTGATCAGAGCTATTCATTGAAATGGATTCCTGGGGTAAAAGGCAAGACCTATGAAAATCAAACTTGCTTTTGGAAATATAAACACAGTAGAATTTAATCACAATACCATTTTACCTAGTCTGTGATTTCTTTTTATTCAAACTGTAATACAGGAAATTGGTTATATAGGATACAATATTGAATTTAATTTAAACAGAAGCAGATACTCTTATTAGCTAAGTTCAGGCAAATAGTATTATTATCAGAGATTCTCAAAGATAGGGAATAAGACTTCTTCTGTTGTTTTGCCTTGTATAATACTGGGAAATACATGGAGATTTCCTTGTATAATACTGGGAATAATATATATAATGTATAATATATATTATATATGGAATATATATATATAATATATAAAATACTTGTCTTGCATAATACTAGGAAATACATGGGATTTCCTCTCTATGTCTTTCTTTTTTTCATTCCTTAAAATTTTTATTAAAGAAACTAGGTTTTTGCCCTGTAGAGTTTTCTATAGTCTGGATTTTACTGATTACATCTTTGTGGTGTAGTTTAACTTATTCCGCTATCCTTTAAATTTCCTGCAAATTAATAGTTTGATAAGACATTTTAAAGTTAAAGAAATAAGATAATTCCAATTTTGCCTATATGTGCTAACTTGAACTAGAAAAGGAAGGTTGTTTTGGACTATTTTCACAGCCCCTGCTTTCATTCTGAACCTTACTCCCTATACCCACAATGCATTACAGAGACCCTCTGTTGATCACACCCCTCCAGCTCCCATCACCCAGGAATCTCCAAGCTGCTTTTTTCTATGGGTACTGCCACTGTCAAGGGACTCCTGCTACCACACTGCACCAATAAAGGACTTTATATTGATCCTGTGTATAGTAACTAGCATTTGTTGAATGCTTACAATGTGCCAACATTTTCACCTACTTTACATGCATTATTTGATCCTCACAACAGCACTGCAAAGTAGACACTGGCTTCCTTGGGTTCCTCAAGCTTGCCAGAGTCCTCCCAGAGCTTACGCAACTGATCTTTCCTCTGCTTAAAAAGCTGCCCCTCCTTCACCTGTTTAACCTCTGCTCACTGAGCAGATCTCAGTTCTGCCATCCTTTCTCAAGCAAGCTGTTCCTGACCCCCAAGTTAAGCCAAAGCACACATTCTCAAAGAACCCCATGTACTTCTCTGAAGCCCTTTATCACAGTCTCGATTTTTTACTTACTTGATTAATGATCAGCTCCCTTCCAGCCTGCAAGCTCCATAAGGACAAATACTAGGTCTGTTTTGACTCAGCTTGGCATCTCAGGCACACACAATGCCTTATGCCTGGCACACTCCATACATATATGTTGAATGAATGTAAGGCTAAGCCTGTACCCAAGGCCAGCTAGTAAATAGTAGAGTTAGAATTCAAGCCAAGCAGGTCTCACTCTAGCCCAGACTTCACCCACATTCTCCCCAGCCTCGTGGCCATTGTTATTTGGACTGTTGGCTCTCTCCCTTCAAGAGCCAGCTCTGGACCAGCTTAGTCTCCCTTGTTGGCCCCTTTTCCCATCTCCCGCTGACTGTTGACTGGGACCCAAATGTCTACCTCTCTCAGCCAAGGCTTTGCAAGTATACTTGAACTTCTGTTTCATTGAAAGTCAGAAATTTCATACCTTAAATGGACATGGTAAAAGGTGAGTTACCTATTTTTTTAGACTATACTAACTTAAAGTTTGCATTCATTTTTTAGAAACAGTTTTTCAGCCACAAAAAATAGATTAGTCACTGCAGATTCAAATAAGAAGAGAAAAAATCCCTTCCAATGAGGAGAGTTTAATTGGGGTAGGGGCCAGGGGGAAGAGACAAGAAAATAGATTTTTACCGTAAGTACAATAGTATAAAGATGAGGAAGGGGACAGGAAAGAAGCATCTGTAGCAAGGGCAGTTTAACTGAAGAGATGACATTTCATCCAAGCTTGGAGAGGTAAGTCAAAGTCTGCTTGGTGGGCAAGTGCAGGGAGTGGATACTCCAGGCATAGAGTATGAAATAAGATTCATGACAGAGGCTGGTGGCTAAGTTAACTTGAAGCTTGATATGGCCAGATCAAAGACCTGTGAGGCAGGATGTGGGAGAAGAGGCTGGTGGGCAGAGCTAGAGAGAAAGTTGTAGCTAGCCAAAGTCTTCATTGTAATAAGAAACCATTAAGGGTGTTAAGTAGGAGCAGTGATATATTCCAGTTGGCATTTAAGAAGAAAAATTGGATGATGGTGCCGATTGAGGGAATAAATCTGGAGCGCATGAGTTACCAGGGAGGTAGGTTAGGAGCATGAGGGAGAAATGTCTGAATTTTGGTCATAATATTGGGAAGGAAAAGACAGGAATAAAGCTGAGAAATCAATGAGAATTTGTGGAGGTAGTTGGTAAGAAAGAAGTTTGGAGTCTAAGAAAAACTGCCAAGTTTATGTCTTGGGTAATAGGTATATTATGCTTTCCTAAGGAATACAAATGAACAGCCTCATTGGGAAGATAATGAGTTTGTCCATTATCTTTCCAATGTTAAGTCCAAAGGGAGAAATCTAGTTGACAGTTGTCAATATGAATCTAGAGATTAGGAGAAGGGTGAAAACTGGAGATAAAAATCTTGGAGGCTAATGAAATGTAGGTGTAATTTGAAGTCATGGAAATAGATAAGATGCCCCCAAAATGAGAGCATAAGCCAGAAGAGCAGACTAGTAGTTGTTTCCTGGGAACATCAACATTTAAGACAATGGTTCTTAACTTTTTTGAGTCATAGATTCTTTTGACAATGTGATGAAAGCTAGAATCTGCTCCCCCCCAGAAAAATATTCATATGCATATGAACATCGAAGCTATGCATTCTCTAAGGACGCATAGACCCACATTCAGAACTTTTTTTTTGAGGTGCAATTATAGAGAGAAGAGCATGTGAAGGTGACTAGAGAAAGTGATTGGAGAAGGAGAAGGAAAACTCAGAGAGAGTTGCTATGTATACATCAAAAAAGAAGAGAAGGAGAAGTTACTTGTCATTAAAAAATTTCATAGAAGACAGGAGAGATAGAGATGGGAAAGGGCTCATTGGACTTAGCAACTTGGAAATCATCAGTAACCTTTTATGAGAAATTTTAATAGTGACTAGGGCAAAAACCATACCGTAGTAAAGACTGATGGGCAAGAAAACTGAGGCCATGGTTATAGACTCTTTTAAAAGCATAATGATGGTAGAGACAGAGTTTTTAATCTTTTCATCACATTAGTATACTTACATGTGCACAGATGGCATAAATGATGGGGCCAGTCTCAGAGGATATGGAAAGGAACCAGGATTGGATATTAGACTATTTGTAGATAGATGGGGGGGATGTTGAGAGGATTCGTATATAGTAATCTCTGTTTTCTTTGTGGATATTGACATCAGTTGAGAGAAGATAGCAGGAATGGGACAGCATACCTGGGGGAAAACTATGAAACTGTTGTGTGTACAAGAAGGGAGAGACTAATGATGTTTACAAGAATTTCTTGGGGATTGGGAGGACAATTGAAGTTGGCCATATAGATTTAGTTAGTCCTCAGATTATGGCTTGTCATCATCAGTGCTCCTCAGGAAATGTTCAGTTCTGCCTTAGTTTCTCTTTTTCTTAAACAGAATGAATAATGCATGTATGAGTAACAACTTTTAAATAGCAAATGATTAGAAGAGCTTAGAAGAAAATTAAAAGAGCAAAGTATGTTATATCTTTTAGGCAATGACTTTTTCTAAAGTGTAAAATAAAATTTATCAAATACATGACTGTTCTTAAAATCTTCTTTGGTAAGACTAGTTTTGGACTTTGAAAATCTGTAACCAAGAGGTTACAGACTTTTTTTTTCCTGTTTGACTCTTAGGTAGGAATAGAACAAACTGCTCATTAGAAGATACCTTGTAATATAGTATTCTGAAATATGCAATTGCAATTACTTGAACAAAAATGTCAAATTAAGGCTCTTCTCATAACCTTTATGAAAGTATCTAATGCATTTTTTCAAAACATTAAGCTAAGGGGGAAAGTCTGTGTTTTTTTTCCTCCTTTTTTTTAAATCAAAGAATAAGTTGATACTGTCCATGTGGATTCAATGAAAAAATACTAAAGAATTTAAGAAAACTACCTAGAGCTAAACTAAGAAAAATATGACCTAATTTTAAATATTTTGGAAGTCATCACTGAATATATCTTCTGATATTTCAAGTTTAAAATTTTGACATTTACTTTTTATCAATAGAATGAAGTAAATATACAACCCTGGAGGTAACTATGCATTTTAAAGAACTGTGAAAGAAATGGAACATTAATTTTGCCTCTTTAAGTTACTTATATGTGCTACTCAAGTTTTTATGTACACTTTGTAAATATCATTCTGTCCTAAAAATTTTGATTTGCTGAACTATACCACCATGTGAAATGCATGAAGGAGAGAACAAGGGAATTAGATATTGATGAAGAACAAATGTACTGCATAAGGTGTGAGGGTAATTGCTTAGGATTTTTGTTTTGTTTTATTTTTTCCCCCGCGATGGAGTCTCACTCTGTCACCCAGGCTGAAGTGCAGTGGTGCGATCTTGGCTCACAGCAACCTCTGCCTCCCACGTTTAAGCAGTTCTCCTGCCTCAGCCTCCAGAGTAGCTGGGATTACAGGTGTGCACCACCATGCCCAGCTATTTTTTTTTTAATTATTATTTTTAGTAGAGATGGGGTTTCACTATGTTGGGCAGGCTGGTCTCAAACTCCTGACCTCATGATCCACTGCCTCAGCCTCCCAAAGTGCTGGGATTACAGGTGTGAGCCACCATGCCCAGCCAATTGCTCAGGTTTAAAAAAATTATTAGTAAAGGAATAGCTCTTAGCACAGTTCTCTTTTCCCTTCATACAGATGAATACTCAATGACTGCTTCTGAAGCTTTAAGAAAAGAAATATTCAAATGTAAGCCTTGAGATGAGATGAAAAAAAAAAAAAAAGAAAGAAACACTAGGAAAGAGATTCCTTTTCCCTTTCCAGAACTGTCTCCCTCTCCCTTCTTCTCCCAAGTACCTGCACACACACTGCTGCTTTCTGGGCACCTCCATGCTCTGGAATCATCATTTTGCCTTAGCATCTAACAGAAATGTGTCGTTGTGCTCTCAAGTTTCTCCATGCTGTTCCTTTTTCCACACCTCCTGTTTAGACTGACCCTGGTCCCCACAGTGTCAACCACACCACTTGTAATGACATTTTCTTTCCTCAGTCCCTTATCTTACCCCACCATAGTTGCCTAATGCTTCCTTCCTCCCCATGCCCAATTTTTAGGTTGGCATCGACCCAGGACTTTGCTACTGCTTGAGTTGGAGCAGGCTTACTGTGAGGAGGAGGCACTTGTCCTGGAAGCTTGAGGGGAACAGAAGTTTTCAGAAGCCCCACTGCTGCCTACACCACCCTTTCCATTATAAATTTTGGCAAACCAGTGAAAGCAGTGTGCTGAACAGGGCTAAATTTGGTTTAAAGACTATATTTATACCAATACCTTTTTTTTTTCAATTTTTAGATGAGCTGAACAAAGTGTTTTCCATTTCCCAATGCTTTGCTTTTCTACTTTTCTGTCACCCCTTCCTCAAAAAATAAAAGTAAAAAACCTTAACTGTTGGTTTTATTTAATACAAAATAGCAATATAGCCCTCTGTTGCTTCTCTATCTTTAGACATCTTGAAAGAGAGTGACTAGCCAATGATTTGTCAGATAGCCAGGTCTGTTTCTGGTTTGCATGAACAGTGGTGATTCCAAACTCTAGGAGGAAAAAATGGAAAATGTCTTAGAAATTTCAGATTCATGTGAAGCCAAACTGTGATCTTCTGCCAGTTTTAATTTACAAAACTCTCATAGTCCTGGATGTGTTTATTTGAACTTCAAGTTTTAATATCACCATTATATTCCAATAACCTCACTCCCTCAGTCCAGCCCACTGGCTGTGATCTAGTCTAGTGTGTATAAAAACAATGACTAGAACAGAAGAAGTTGGCTAATTGAGATTTTCTCTTTAGGCAATGTTTCTTCTATCGCCTGTTTAAGCCATGATCAGTAAAATAAATAGCTACGCTGCATGAGAAGGTGCTTTCCCTTTTCCTTTTGAAACAAGTTCTTCTAAGAGCTAGTTTCAAAAGCAGGCAGGGAAAAATAGTCATTGTTGATATAGGTTGAGCATTCCTAATCCAAAATCTGAAATGCTCCAAAATCTGAAACTTTTAATGGCCAACATGACACCACAAGTGGAAAATTCCACACCTGACTTCATGTGACTAATTGCAAAATTATTTAAAATATTATATACAACTACCTTCAGCCTATAAGGTATATATGAAATATGGATGAATTTTGTGTTTAGACTTGGGTCCCATCCCCAAGATATCTTATTATATATATTCAAATATTCCAAAATTTGAAAAAAAATCTAAAATCCAAAACACTTCTGGTCCCAAGCATTTTGGATAAGGGATACTCAATCTGTGTTTCACAGTTTCGCAGTGATAGCACAATTACATCCTGTAATTTATAGAAGGCAAAGTGACTGGAACCCAAGAGGGAAATATAAACCAGAAGAGCCTTGGGCAAAGTCTTGTGTCAGAACAGGACCTCATTTACATTATCTCCTTTCATTCTTTCTGGGAGCCTCATTGCCAAAGGTTTGTGCCAGAACAAGCATAAAACAGTTATAAACTACACACAGATCGGGTAGATAACAAATGTCAGTGTTTGATTGTTCTTTTTTTCAAAAGTGCTCTGTATTCTCAATTGTGGGCTGCAATGACTGACCACACAGAAGAGTAAGAGAGAAGTTTTTGGCCCATAAAAGTAACTTAGCAATTGCCAAACAGAAAAGCTGCTGCCTGTCACTAGAATCAGAGGCTAATGCCATTTTACCACAACAATGTGTTCTGGAACGCACCGGGTTTACACTTCTGGATGCCTCTCAGTAGGTCATTCATTCACTTATTCAGCAGATATTTTTCAAATGCCTTGCTGTGCACAATGCTGAGTGAGTCTCCAGTAGACCATTGGAAAAAATATGTAGTCCCATTCTTAGCCACAGGAATCCAACATTTAGATGAGAATACAAGATATAAACATATGAAAAGTTAAATAATAATACATAGTGGTAGATGTTTAAGGGCCAAGCTGGTTTAAGTCCTATTGAAGGTCAGTAGAGGTTAAATCACTGGAATATAGGCATGGCTATGGTATCACCTCGGGCCAGTGAGCTCCAGAAGATGATGCCTGTTGGGGAGTAGTGAGAGATAAAAAGATAAAGGAACCAGGCTGTGGAGACACCTAACAGGCCGAAGGCCTTATCCCATCCATAAGCAGGGACAGGAAAGGATTGTAACATGGCAAAAGTGGTGGTTTCATTTGATGTATTGGCCACTTTTAAAGAGAAGGGCAAAAAGAATATTTCAAAGAATGTTATAAAAATGCCAATATGAGGAAATAAATGCTGGATTCAGGTGGAAGTGGTGAGGATGAAAGGAAGGTACAGAATCATAAGATATAAAAGAAGAAAGGATAAGATTTTGGTGTCTTTCTGTGGGGACATGAGATAGAGGTAAGAAACAGCAATAACCCTGAGCTTCAGTATCTTTGTTAATTGAAACAATAACAAGACCATTGGCAGCTAAAAAGAAATTAAGTGTGGCTAGGCACAGTGGCTCATGCCTGTAATTCCAGCTACTTGGAGGGGTGAGATGGGAGGATGGCTTGAGCCCAGGAGGTTGAGGCTACAGTGAGCCATGATCGTGCTACTGCATCCCAGCCTGGGCAAGAGTGAGGTGCAAATAAAAGAAAAGAAAAGAAAAGAAAAGAAAAGAGAAAAGAGGAGAGGAAAGGAAAGGAAAGGAAAGGAAAGGAAAGGAAAGGGAAAGGGAAAAGGAAAAGAGGAAAGGAAAGGAAAGAAAAGAAAAGAGAAATCAAGTGGGGGAAGCTGATTTTGGAAGATAATGAACCAGGCTCCATGCACATGAGCATGGGCATGACGCAGATGGCAAGAAGAGTCTGTGCTTTGGAAGAAGGATGTGAATGGTTCATGTTGAGCATTGCTGTCTACAGGGAAATGGTTCAATCTGTGAAAATACCTGAGCTTCATGACAATATAAAAAGAGTCTTAGTGATTTTATATGATTATGAGCTGAGAGTTAATGAGGAAATGCAGGAAAATCAAGAAGTGATATGAGAATCAGAAGAGTGTCACAGAGTCCAAAGATAATGAGCTTTGAGTTTGAAGGATGAAATTTTGCAGAGGTAACAAGAAGAATTCTGAGGAAGAATGTGAGATCTGGCAATTTTTGCTCTAGATATTCAGATTATTTTAATCATTGGGCATGCTTATTCGTTTTGTTTGGGTCTTTAACATTGAACTATTTTCCTTTCTTGCTTATTTTAGATTTTTTCTGGCCCTTCACTTACAGCGTACGATCTATTTTACATCTCTTTAGTACCTCTCATACCCAGTGAATCTGCTAATCTGAATTCACAGTGAATCTGCGAATCTGAATTCACTTGTATGCTGTAACAATAATAGGCTGTTGTGAGAATTAAATAAACAGTAACTGCAGTATAATAAACATTCAACAAAAATTATTTGAAAATTTTCAAACCTTACAGCTTTTGTGTGTTTTGTATCTATAAATGCCTGAAACCTTCTTTAGAACAAAGATGATAACTTTATTGTTTTAATGTTCTTCCATGAGCACTTAGGTCAGCATCATGATATATGGGTTAAAAGAGGTTTGAAGTCCTTGGTTTTCTGAAAGATCTTTGATTCTTAACTCAGAGGCTCCTACAATTATTGTGCTTATTAGATTAAGTACACACCATAAACACAGAACTTCAAAGGTAGAAGAGAAATACTGGATTCTCTTCATTCCTCTCAATAAGGGGTTAATGCAATTCTCTGCTTCCTTTCTCTATGTCTACCCTAAAAGGAGTGCCAGAACAAAGGCCTTATGAGTTGTCCCATTTTGCTGTTTAAATGATGTCTTCATCTCATCTGGAAGGAACAATCCTAATATTCAGCCAAGTCCATTGGAAGCAAGTTAAATGACCTCCAGCACTCCTCTCTTGATAATATTTGGGTGTCTTTTATGCTTCTCCATGAAAAGAAAATTTACTGCATGGCAAACCATGCCAGTGAATTATTCTCCTGAATAGACCCATTCTTTGTTTGAATACAAAGCAACCTTTTCATGTGTTTCCCAAATAATTACTCTGTTTGCCTTTACCTGAGTTTCCTCTAGTGTCATTTAATGGAACAAAATGTACTTTTTCCTAATAGAGGTTTTAGACTCTCCAGTATACCATTTCTCTATTACTGTTCATGCTCTGAGTTCCTTTTATCTAAATAATAAATCTACAATTTGTGGAAATTGTTCCCAAACTTTAAAGCTAGTTCTCTGTTCTCTTTGGCATAGAATTTAGATTTTATTTGCTCTCAAATAAGTTTTTCCAATGGGGAGATTTGGGTCTAAGAATATTTATTATAAATAAAGTAAAAACAGAAAGTCCTGTCTAGAAGTTAGAGTATGGCGTAAATATATTGTTCATCAGCCATTTCTTGTGGCTTTTAATTTAAGCCCTTAGGTTAAATGAAGGATATATTTACTCTGTAGTTCATAATACTATATTTGTGGAAATATTTTCACAGTATTGATGGTTTTAGATTTCTTTACAATGGCAAAGTAAAACTTTGAAAGAAGTTAGTGTCAACATCAGAGATAAAAGGTTAGTCAATTTCTAAATGGTTTTCAAGTTAAAATTTTTCTTTTTTCTTTTCTTTTTTTTTTATCTTAAAACTTCCCAGTGTGAAGTTAGAATTTTTAAAGAGGCAATGAAAACCACAGACAAAATCTTTTTTAAAGAAATGTACCAAGTATCCAGGAAATTACATGTTTCAGAGATTCATGCACCATTAGTTATCATCTTCAGCAAGAAAGAAAACGATTTACTCTGGTAACTGCCTTTTGCTGATAAGATCCAAGAAAGAAACCAGTTCCTGCCTTATGAACAGTCTTATTAGAATAAGACAAATGTTTACTGATTCTCAAAGAAATAAAAGGGACACTTTTGTGTAAAGTGTGTTATTGATTAGATCAGAGTATTGGGTGTCCAGAGAAATCTATTAAGCCTAGCTGCATCATGTGAAGCAGTCGTGCCACTGCTCATTATCAACTCTCTGATGCTAAGTATAACAGATTCCATGCTTCTCAGTCTACCTTCTGTGGTCATACCTGAAGGCTCTGTGAAGTTATGTTTCTGGCCTCCGAATGGAATTTTTTCAGTTCCATATTCTTTGAACATCATCAAAACTTTTTGGAAGAGGCGTTCAGAAGCTATTTTATGCAAATTGCTGCACTTTCAAGGAGACATGGAAGAGATTTAAATAAAATTGTTGTTTAAACACAGCCACGTTAAATAGATGTTCAAGAAGAATATTTTATCTATGATCAGAGAATTATGGAAAAAGAATCATCAGCCACGGAACTGAAAGGAGGGTACATGATTAATGCTTTTTAAAAAAAATACATAAATGCACTTATTTCATGAAAAGATATAAATTCACATATAGAAAATCTGAAAAAGAGAGAAAAGAAAAAAAATCACCATCAATTCTACACAATCATTGTTTTAATCTTGGTGTCTAGTTTTTCTTATTAACTAAAAGTTTATTTTTTAAATTAAATTATATTTGTTAAAATTATTGTAGTTTTACAAATGTAATTTTTAAATATATCACACATAGAAAGGTATATTTAATTTATAATGTGACAAAGCTCAAAGATATAATTATGGGGTAGCAAATGATAACTTATATGGTATTTGACCTTTTAATTTCAAAGTTTTTTGCATTCTATCCATTCATTTCTTTTCCATCATTATATGTACTGTTAAGTCTTTAGAATGTTTTGGCACATGGTGTGCATTACACCCAAGTTTATTGTGTGATTGTTGTTACTGTACTTAGTAATAGAAATAATTCAAATGTTATTCATTATAAGGGCATCTATCACTAAATCCTTTCATAGTGCCAAATAAAATACGTTTTAGAACAGTATGTTAAATGATACATATTATCTAGTAAAATGTAGAGGGAAGTGCAGGTGGTAGAAGTCATTTAAAACACCTGGATTCATGAAAACAAATCCACTTTTAATAGTCATTGGTTTTCCTGCAGGGACAGAAATACTGTTCTCTCTTTCAAAGGAATTCATTCCAAATTGAATTACCTTTCCTGACAACACTCCTTTCATCAGACTTCTTATAAACCTCTGCCTTCCCTTAAACAGGGTAAGAATTACCTGCCTTATGACCCTTTATTCTCAGGGCCATCCTAGTGAATCAATTTTATAAATTAACTTAAACAATGTTGTTACCCACCTAGGGAACTGTTCACAGTGGTCTTTTGGAAACTTGACCACAACTCACAGGAGGGGATGCAGTGGGAATTTGGTCCATGAAGGTTATCCTTTTGGCTTAGTGAAACCAGGAAGTGTTTCTCAATTAACTTCAAGTATGGACAAGTTCCCACAGCATCTGAGACTACCCCTTGGCATTATTATCCTCATGTGAAGTCCTTAATGCCTGCTGCATGTGATACTGTGATTTAAAGCAGCAAATTGTTTGAATGTCTACCATGTATCTCTTAATATCTTTCATGTTGTAAAATAAATTTTATATTGCTTGTAGGGTCATATTCTTTTGCAACCTCCTTCTAGCCCATGTTAATGTAATTTCTTTAATTAATAGATAGAATGCAAAAATTAATATAATTAATTACATTGAATTAATGTAGTTCTGGGTGTGGAACTGAATGGATAGAATGCAAAAAGTTAATTAATTAATTTAATTCATTACATTAAATTAATGTAATTCTGGATGTCTCTACAGGTAACTGCAGAACCACTCAACTTGCCTAACTCTCATGTTAGCATTGGTGCTATTTATTGATTGTTCTTTATTTCTAAGCAAGAACATATTGTTACCATCACAACTCTCCTTCCGCTTTTTTTTTTTTTTTTTGAGACAGAGTCTCACTCTGTCACCCAGTCTGGAGTGCAGTGGCATGTTCTCAGCTCATGACAACCTCTGCCTCCCAGGTTCAAGCTGGAAGCTGATAACTGAGGGAGGAGACTTATGAAAACAATATTGATGATAATAATAACAATCTCCAATGCTTATAAATTTCTGTAATGTTGGCATTATTTCTTCCTTAATGTTTGTGAGAATTCACCAGGGAAGCCATTTGACCCTGGAATTTTTTTTGTGGGAGGGTTTTACAATTTTGAATATAATTTCCTTAACAGACATAAGGCTATTCAAACTTTCTATTTCTTGTCAGATTTGTTCATTTGTGTTTCTCAAGGAGTTCATTTTATCAAAGTCATTGAATTTATTGGTGTAACATTGATCCCTTTTCTTGCTTAAATGTCTATAGCATCTCTAGTAATGCCTCTCTTTCACTTTTTTTTTTTTTTTTTTTTGAGATGGAGTCTTGCTCTGTTGCCCAGGCTGGAGTGCAATGGTGCTATCTTGGCTCACTGCAGCCTCCACCTCCTGGGTTCAAGCAATTCTCCTGCCTCAGCCTCCCAAGTAGCTGGGACTACAAGCACCCACGACCATGCCCAGCTAAGTTTTGTATTTTTAGTAGAGACGGGGTTTCGCCATGTTGGCCAGACTGGTCTCGAACTCCTAACCTCAAGTGATCCGCCCACCTCAGCCTCCCAAAGTGCTGGGATTACAGGTGTGAGCCACCGTGCCTGGCCTTCACAAACCCTTTTAATAATCCAGTGGGAATCCATTAAGCATTAAAGCTCTATAGTGAGATTATGCATCATTACTTTCAGTATTCATGGCCATTTGAGTAGCAGGAATCATTTTCTCAACTAGACTTAGTGGGTAAATGAAAGTGTTCACAATGTAAAGGTTTATGGCTTGTTGTCTTATTGTGATGGTGGTTTTTGCATCTTTTGGCTTTTCTCTCCACAATTAAATCGAGACATTAAATATAAACCTTTCAAAGGGAATGAGAGTAAAAAATAAATGTTAACAGCAAGATCATGGAATTTGGGACTTCATTACAACTCTCCAAATTCTGATCAAAAGACTCACTTCAGAATTTAGAATTAGGAGTATTAAAGAATGATTAAAATAGCTGAGATGGATTCTAGTCAATGACTGGTTTGACATCACCTATTTCCCTAAGAGAATTTTTTTTCTCAATCTTTTAAAAAGACAGCAATTAATATCATTTAAGTTAAAAAATTACTGGGCAGGCATAGTAGCTAAAGCCTGTAATCCCAGCACTTTGGGAGGCCAAGGCAGGCAGATGACTTGAGGTCAGAAGTTCGAGACAGACCCCGGCAACATGGTGAAACCCTGTCTCTACTAAAAATACAAAAATTAGCAGGGCGTGGTGGTACATGCCTGTAATCCCAGCTACTCAGGAGGCTGAGGCAGGAGAATTGCTTGAACCTGGGAGGCAGAGGTTGCAGTGAGCTGAGATTGCGCCACTGCACTCCAGCCTGGGCAACAGAGCAAGACTCTGTCTCAAAAAACAAACAAACAAAAACAGATTAACTATTGTGGCTGTTTTTAATGTTTTTAGGGATCACTTCTCTCCAGAGTCTAACACAGAAGGGTGAGTTGTGCCTACCCAGTATCTTGGATGCTGTGTGCTCCAGAGTTCCTGTAATGAAAATTATCTCTGCCCCATCAGATGGACGATGAATTCTGTGGTGCCTTCTCCCTCTCTGGTTTCCATGTTACTAACTGTCAGTGCCTTTGGTTGTAGGCAGAATACTTCTATGAATTCCTGTCCTTGCGCTCCCTGGATAAAGGCATCATGGCAGATCCAACCGTCAATGTCCCTCTGCTGGGAACAGTGCCTCACAAGGCATCAGGTGGGTGGTCTTTGCCTGAAGAAAGGTTTACACTTAAAATGTAATGATGATAAGAATATTTAAGATGCAAATGTCCTACATCAGAGAGGTTATGAAATGTTTTCCTGAAGACATCTGTTGATTTTAGGACAGTTTGACTGTTATTCTTTGGGCAAAGGATTAAGATGGGAGTGAAGAAATGATGGTTATATAATTTTCTAAAGATTCAGAATAGCCCCAGCCCAGCCCACACTAAGTTCATAAATGATTCCAGACTTTTTTAAAGAAAAAAAAGGAGAAAGAAACACATCTGGTGAGATATATTTGGCCAATGTATGGATTAATGAGATACACAAAAATGTGGCAAAGATACAAAGTAAGTGATTGGGGGCAAATGGGATAAGTCAAGAAAATTCCCCAAAAGTTAGCATTGTATTAAATTAGAATTTGAAGGAGAGAAGAGACATGGAAAAGTGGGAGAAAGGGGTTCAACGTTTCTAGTCTAATCATCCTTCTTTGCTAAGAAAATAATAGTATGTGATATTTGTTTAAAGCTTTTCAGCTTACAACAGACTCACTCTTGCGTTATCTAATTTGAATACTAGTAGCGAGTCAAATCCAGAATTGCAGCTCATTTTCTAAATTAAAAAATTAAGACTTAGGAGATTTGACTGACTTGCCCAAAGTCAAATATTAGGATAGTAATAAGCAGTAGAGTTGAGACTAGAGCCCGGGATTTCTGACTTTTAGAAATATACAGAGATCACTTGTGTTATCATCCTAATGTATTTCCTTCTCATCTTTTTTCTCTGAATTTTTACATATTTGTGATAATATATATTTGGTTTTGCGTCATGATTTTTTTTTTTTGCTTTTAACCTTTTAACATAACCATTTCCTATGTCATTATGGATTTTTTCAAAAGTTGTTTTTAATGCTCTTACAATATTCTATTTTATGGATATACCATAATTTGTATACACATTCCCTTATTTGTTAATTATGTTGTTTTTAGAGTTTGACTATAGCAATATCACAATATTTTTTTAAACTAATGGATGGTAACTTCCATGCACATAGGAGCCCTATTTTTTTGTTCACTGTGGCTCCACCCCAGGGCCCAGCACAGAACAGGTATTCAGAAAGTAATTGTTGGATTAATGTGCGTACCAAAATCTTGGTGCTTATCTCATTATTTTGTTAAAATCGATTCCTAAAAGTTGAATTATTGTGTCAAATGATAGGAACTATGAGCTTCTTAAAGACTCTTAAAACAAATTGCCAAAATGCCAAATTACTTTCTGTAAAGGTTATCATACCCATTTTTACCCTGGTTAAGCAATAGGGAGAATGCTTGGCTTACTGTAATCCCATCAACATAGGTTATTAATCACATTAACTACTTTAGTGGCTTAAATAGTGAAAAGTCAGGCCAGGTGTGGTGACTCATACCTATAATCTCTACATTTTGGGGGGCCGAGGGGGGAGGATTCCTTGTGCCCAGGAGTTCAAGACCGGCCTGGGCAACATAGCGAGACTGTCTCTACAAAAAATTAAAAAAATTAGCCAGGTGTGATGGCACATACCCATAGTCCCAGATGCTCAGGAGGCTGAGGCAGGAGGGTTGTTTGAGCTGGGGAGGTGGAGGCTGCAGTGAGCTATGATTGCACCACTGCACTCCAGCCAGGGCAACAGAGCAAAAAAGAAAAAAGTCAGTCTCAAAAAAGATAAAAGAAAGAAAAAGTAAAAAGTCATTTGTCACAGTCTTCTTTTGGTATTTTTTATTCCTATTAAGGTAGAAAATATTTTCTTGTATCTATTAGACCATGAAAAATGTGTACCATGCTCATTTTTATATTGAGATAATAGTGTTCTTCCTACTGATCTGCAAAGCTTGTTGTATATTAGGTATATTCACCACTTATTGCATTTTTTTCAATTTAACATTTATACTTTATTTTGGGGGAGAATATGCAGAGGCTTTAAAATCCTATGTGGTCAAACCTATCTTTTCCTTTGCAATTTTTTCCACTGCATTTATGTTTTGATACTAATTCCTATTCCAGAGAGCAGTTAAGTTATAACTTTCATATGCATCTAGCATTTTATAAAAATTTATTTTTGGAATATTATGAAATAAGGCTCTAACCTGAATTATTTTTGAGTCATTAACTTTTCTTACATGAGAAGTTGAATTGATTCAAGATATGCTATTTATTTCACATTAAGTTTTTCTATACATAGGGTGTGTTTAGAGATTACTCTTTATTTTACTATTGTGATAGTGGTAGCTTTATAGTGTTTTAAAGTCATCGATGGCATACTCTCTCTTTTTAAAAAAAATTTAGTCTTATTCTTCTAGAGGAACGTGAAAATAAATTTTGTCAGATGTCAAGTAAAAATCCCCTTCGGAGCTAATTTAAGTCTCTAAAGTAATCAGGAGATCAGATACTTTTACAAAGGGCATTTTCAGATTACGGTTATCTACCACTTCCAGTGGATCTGCCTTGTTGCATTCCAGTGCCATAAGAGTGGGAGACTAAATAAACACAGAGTTTCTCTAATTTCCCGACCTAAGTGTCATCGTGGGTGTAGACAGGAGAAGTATAAGTTCAGTTTCTCTTTGATCATCACAGTGCTGCAGGTGTAACCAACAGCACCCCTAGAGGATCTGTTTCTGACTTAGACGTGTTTGGGTTCTGGGTGAAGATTTATTCACCTGAGATGTGTAGCCCCAAGGACGTGAGTATCTATTCTAGAGATGTGGATACGCTGATTCCACTCAGATGGCATTGGTAGGGCTTTATTACCTTGTGGAGAAGAGAAAGACACTCCAGCCACCAAATTCTTGGAATATGGTCATCACTCAATCTCATGCCCTGTCACATAGTGTTCTTTTTAGTTGAAAATAATTTTCTTTTTCTTTTCTTTTTTTTTTTTTTTTTTTTTGAGACAGAGTGTCCCTCTGTTACCCAGGCTTGAGTGCAGTGGTGCGGGTCTCAACTCACCGCAACCTCCACCTCCTGAGTTAAAGTGATTCTTCACCTCAGCCTCCTGAGTAGCTGGGATTATAGGAGCATGCCACCATGCCTGGCTGATTTTTGTATTTTTAGTAGACATGCAGTTTCACCATGTTGGCCAGGCAGGTCTCGAACTCCTGACCTCAAGTGATCTGCCTGCCTCGGCCTCCCAAAGTGTTGGGATTACAGGCATGAGCCAGCACCTGGCTAAAGATAATTTTCTATAAAATTCTCCTTGATCATATTTTTTGCTCTTTTTGTTTTGTTTTGTTTTGGAAGCAGTCAGAATAAAATAAGTACATAACACCTCTCAATTTCTATTTTATATTTTTCTTTTTTTCTGATTAATAAAGGAATATAAGCTCATCATAGTCCATTAAAAATACATTAATTAATTACCAGTTATACTTACCTGCTCAGCTTCTGGTAAATCTTGCGTCTTTGAATTTCTAATTTAATGCTTGTATCCTAAGTGCTTTTTTCACTTTTTGTGTCTAGTTAAAAAACTAACCTGCATAATGTGCACATGTACCCTAAAACTTAAAGTATAATAAAAAAAATAAAAAAATAAAAAATAAAAATCTTACTGAAATTCTACTGCTTAGGAAATTGACAAATAAGATTTTGAACATATGATGTGAGGATATTTTAATAGATCATGTTTAGATAGAACATCATTTTCTAATAATTTACGTTCTTTATAAATAATAAACGTAGAGGAAAAAGTGGGTGACACTTTGGTCAACCTGAAACTAAAAACAACAAGCCTTCTTTGGGAACCAGGTGATATGAACACATATGCCCATGTGTGCACACAGACTCGCACACACACACATCCTTTGCATATACAACTCCCTCACCCCACCCCACACACACATAGTCTTTTTGAAGCAGATGTAGAATTTGTTTGTAGAAATGCAGGTGCAAGAAGTTTATGGGAACCTTACACCATTGCAGAGCAGCTACTCATTAGCCTCATTAGCTCAGTCCCTCAGTAGGAGAAGTGAAGGTACCTTGCATTATTAAAAAGTAACCAAATCAGTGTGTCTTTGCTCTTAAGCATCCAGGTAGCATTCATTATTCTACAAGGCTATTTTATACCCCCAAGCTGCTAAACTGTTCTTTTATCCTACAGACTCCTATATGCCTAAATATTGCATGAAGAAAGAAAACTCCTCTTGATCTTTAACAGTTATGAAGTGCCTGCCTTCTGGCATCAGAAGAGAACAAAAACAGGAAATACAAACTGCAGGGTGGTTCAATAAAATTACTGAGTTGTATAACAAAAAACAGTTTCATGAAGCCAAGACTTTGCCTCTTTGAACACTCTCTTTTTCTGACCATGAAACCAACAGAGCAGTGGTGTTTCTCAACTAGGACTTTTAGGAATCCAATGTCTACACTGTTAAATAGGTGCTTATGCTGGAGAGACCATCTTCTTATAGGTGACCTCAGTTCTTAGCAGAATGTGAAGCCCAGAGTTTGTGCTAAGTATTTGGTAAGAGAATGAATGGCTGGCAGGGCAGCTTAAAGGACTGATGAATATTTATGTTGGATATTTCTAGTGATGTAGCAGTTCATGATCATGTGGTGTGGAGGATGGGCTCTTGCCTGCCTTTCTCATCTCTTGCCTTGTTGTAAGGACAGGGACTCAACTGACTGGAGGCTGAGGCTATCTGAGCACCATGCCCATCTGTGTGTGGGAGCAGTATGCAATCAGAACAAATTTGCTGCTTTCTTCTGTAGAAGAGTTAGTTGATGTGCAATCAATTGCATATCAGTCTGTACTTCAATGCTGTGAGTTATATTCGATCTGCTTTAGTTTTTCTGAGTTGTTTTAATTCACCTCGTTTAGATTATACATCCTATTCTGCACTGGAATTCATATCTGGCCTAACTTCATCTAGCGTTTGGGAACAATGGCTCTTTACTCATATTCCTATTGTTGCAAAAATACATGACTTTCACATTCCTCTTATTCCTTGGAAGCAAAGAGTCTCTGCTTTTTCTGCCTTTGATGTCTCTTTTTCTTGGTGCATCTGTTTTTCTGAGTGCATGTTGCTAGTATTTTATTCTCTACATCTCCTACTGTCTATGGTGAATTTCTGTCTCTGTGTATATGTGCAGGTATGTGCATGTGTGGAAGTGCAAGTGTGTGCCTGTGCACACAAGGTATATGGTTGTGTCTACCATAACATATATCACATCTGTTGGTACCTAGTTTGTGACAGACAATATGCTAAATGCTGAGATTACAAAAACAAGATATAGTTCTTGCCTTTGAGAATTCTCATCCTTAACAAAGGATGCAAACCATAATTAAATCACTACACCACAATGAAATAATATATATAGGTGTTTGTAAAATATATAAATGTAATTATATAGGCAAGGGGTGTTAGGAAAGGCTAAAGAAAGCAAGTACTATTTAATTTTGGCCTTGAAAGTTGAGTGGGAGGACAGTAGGACAGAAAACACAAGAAAGAACATTCCAAGCACCTGGGTGTGCAGTAAGGAAATTGTGGATGTGCACCACACATTTGGGGAACTGAGAGAAATAGTTTGCGCAGAGCACAGAGTTGACAAAAGGCAATTACTGGAGATGCAGCTAACTAAAGTCAGATTTTGTTTTTTTAAAGCAAAATTCTTTGAAAACTTTTAAAAGGTGTTTAATTATAAATATTATTACCTAAATGGTCTTATAGATAAAGTTTATATAAACAGAAACGAAGACAAGTAGGGTTTGCACAAGAGGAAATAAAATTTTTACTTTGTGTTTTAAAATTGAAGAGTGGGAAAGTGTAATGGTATGGTTTATCACATCTTTCTGTAATTCTTCTTTTACATTAAAAATTAATTGTTGATCTGGCTCAAGATGTCCTCAGTGAAAAAAATAATAATTCATTGAAATTATAAGCTAGGTACCTCCTAATTTCTAAACTTTATTTCCTAGTTCTTTACAAATCATTCTGCAGTAGGGTTCAGGTCATAACTGTGCTTACATGCCTTCTATTTCCAAAGAGGTAGAAATGTGCAGGTAAAACTTATATACCTGGGCTGATGGGATTTTTAATGTGTTCATTTTTAACTTGAAGCTGAATTTAAGGGCTAGAGTTATTATGCACAAATAAAATTAGCAAAAATTGCAAGCCTAGAGTATATTAGGTCTTTAAAAACTATAAGAAGGAAAATATTTCATATCAGTTATAACAGTAATTGAATATAACTTTAGTAAAATAATTTTTAGGGATATCATTTCTTTTGGTTTACTAAGAAAATGAAGATACTACATCTTTAGTTATCTGCCAAAATTGCTTACAGTTTTTCTATTTTAAAACTTTCATTAGATTTTGCAACCTCGCTTTTGTTCCCTGCAATGGTGGAAAGCCGTATCTTCTAGCATCACCACAGGCCTAGGAACTCTGTGAACATGTCCTTACTTTAATTGACTTAAAGATTATATTAGCAAACCACACACTTTTCTTTCTTTCCTTTTTTTTTTTTTTTTTTTTTTTGATGGAGTCTTGCTCTGTTGCCCAGGCTGGACTGCAGTGGCTCTATCTTGGCTCACTGCAACCTCTGTCTTCTGAGTTCAAGTGATTCTCATGCCTCAGCCTCCCAGGTAGCTGGGATTATGGATATATGCCAACACACCGGCTAATTTTTTTGCTTTTAGTAGACACGGGTTTCACCATGTTGGCCAGGCTGGTCTCCAACTCCTGATCTCAAGTGATGCACCCGCCTCGGCCTCCCAAAGTGCTGGGATTACAGGAGTGAGCCTGTGATTTGTAAATGGTCTTTCAGCACATCTGAAGATGTGGAAGAACTAATAATTGTTCTTAACTAAATTTCCTACAAACTTAATAAGACAGTTTTTGATATTTAACATCCAAGATACATTTTGAAATTTGATAATGCTGGCAAGCAGAAATGAAGATGAGTTTACTGATAGGCATCTTCTCTTCCATACCAAGATTCTGGAAGCCAAAATAAAACTGAAGGGCCTTTTTAAAAGAATCAGGTGGGCTGCAAAGGAGAGGCTGAATGTGGTTCAGAAAAAAGATACACCTGGAAAATAAGTTTGGATGATGGCGTCCAGTGAGGAAGATTCTGAAAGTTCTATCTTTAAGTATCCGTTCAAGTTTTTCCATCTTTTTATGCCTCAAAGCAATTATTGGCCTACCTGTCCATGTAAAAGAGTCATAAGAAGAGTAAAGTTTTATAATTGAACAAAGTATAAGTACAAAAAATTTAAAGAAATTACTTGTCAATTCCTTTGCTTCTTTCTGAAATAGAAATCTCCATTCATAAATGTTTTGTAAATTGGCATTTTTATATATGAGATTTCATTAAGCCAAGGTTTTCAATAGGGACAATTTTACTTTAGAACTTTAGACACAATTTTGTTTTTTCTTTTTATTTCTGTTAAAATATCTGTGTTTCCTTTTCATCATAATGATTTGCAATGTTAAAATCTCAAGTTTCAGGGGAGCTAGAAATGGAAGTCCATGTAATTTTGAGTATGGCATAGCAATGAACACTGACAATGCCAGAGCTGTAAGAGGAGTTTTGGGTTGCCAAAAGCACATTGAGAAATTGTATGACCAGCTTGTGTGCAATGCTTTACAGAAAAGGGCAGTCCAGTTTCCAGCTCATTTATTCCTATAAACCTAGGGAGAAAGTTTATCGACACTCTAAAAGGAAAAGATTTGTCTTAGCTTGATACAGTTTGCACAAGCTTGGCAGAAACCATAACTTGCCATGCAGAAATAAAATGAAGCAAAAAATCACATGTATACCCATTAGCAATATTTCTTTATATTCACAAGAAAGAACAAGAGTCTGGTGGATCTGCTATATCAGTCTTACCCAGTGGATATGTTATAATAACCCATTGGGTGTTGGAAATATACATAATCAGCTTCTCAGCAAATGATCACATCTGATTTGCCCCATTTTCACCCAGTGATTTGTGGTTATCCCACAACGGGTGTCCTCCTTCCCTCTTTGTACAGCAATGTCTTCAGTTCCCAATCCCTGCTTTGTGACTTCATTGTCAACACTTGCACAGGCTGAGTAATCATTAGACTCACAAGAAAGAGAAGCTTCTCTTTAAGAACATAAACCATTAGATATAACCCTATTCATGAGATTATTTCATCACATCAAACTCTCTTCTAGATGCCTGAGATATGGACACTTCTTATTAACAAACAGCCTGAGAAAATATTAACTTCATTAACTCGGTCCAATGACTGAACTCTAGTCTGAGTCGTAAAATATTTTCAAAGAAGATATTTTGTCACTTTCACATACACATAGTAAACATAAACCAGTGGGGTATTGCTCATCAGACTTTATTTAAGGGATTATGAAATGCTGATTTCTAGCCCTTTTTGGATTATATGGAGGCTGATGAAGATGCCACAAAGTTTCTTCCCCGAATCAACTGCTTTTTATTTATTTTCGTTTGTCTTTCTGTTCTTCCCATGCTACACTGACGTATACATAATTAACCACTTTATGATTCTTCTTTCCATCTTTAATTTCCAGGGAAAATATTTAAGATAGTACAAGTCCAGACTGTGAACAGAATATCACCAATTCCATATTAATGAGGTAAAAATTGGAGTCATTCACTCTTTCTTCACCTGACATGATGCTCAACTTCTGTGGAGCCCAGATGCTCAAAATACAGTTCCTACTCCAGTGGAGATACAAGGAAATCCACAACATGTGAACATTTTTGCTTTGTCCTTTGACTCTTGGTTCCCAAGATTTCTGTAAAACTAGAATCAACTAGATTAACTATTTCTCCACACTTTCTCTTTTTTTCTTTTAGTTGTTCAAGTTGGTTTCCCATGTCTTGGAAAACAGGATGGGGTGGCAGCATTTGAAGTGGATGTGATTGTTATGAATTCTGAAGGCAACACCATTCTCCAAACACCTCAAAATGCTATCTTCTTTAAAACATGTCAACAAGGTAAGCACCGATGGTGATTCAAGAGAAGACATGTTGTAAGGGCTTAGGTGTGATTTGGACCAAATATTTATATCTATACACACACACACACACACACACACACACACACACACATGGTTTTTTGGATGATGGCTCTATAACTACAGCAACGGAAGGAGGAGATGATCAGCACAGGATTTAGCAACAGTACTAAGATAGACTTCCTCTGACCTTGACCCCACTTTTAATATTAGGAATAGGAAACGTTTCAAAACACCTTTTCTTCCTCCCTCTCCACTCCTCCAACACAGTTGTTGGGAGTCCCAGTGTATCTCACCCGTGGTCATGAATTTCCCCCTTTCTTGCTCTGTTTGCTCAAGGCAAGGTGGCTCATAATTACCAGCACTTCCCACTTGTCCCAAAGGCAACACTAATATAACCTCTAATGAATATCCACGGAGGACAGACTGCCACCTCATGCCAGTGATCCCTACCAGGTCAAGGCCTCACTCAATACCTCCCCACCACACCCCAGATGCCCATTTAACTATAAAGGCCTGGCTCCTTTCACATCCCTATACAAGCTTTTCTAGCTCAGAATTTAAGCTCTGGAGCATTTCAGTGCTCTAAAGATGTACCCATAAGTCATCTTACCCTCTGAAAGGGGAAAGGCAATACCATTCATTCAATTGCAGTGGGAATTTAACAAGGTACAGTAGATCCATAGGAGGAGATGAAGGCAGAATAAAATTTGCCTTACCTTCTTCCAAGAGCCCCCTACTGTTGGAAATAAGGGAGGCAAAATCTTACTCTGCAGCAGATTTAGTGAAATCCAAGTGATATCGAGGGAATGAGTTGGAAGTACTGGTATTTGATCAATTATGATTAATTGGTGGGCTAGAACAGAAATGAACACTACTGTCTCACACTGGCTGTGATTCACCCAACATGATTTCAAGGGTGTCCATATAAGCTTTGTTTCTCTCTGCTGAAGCTGAGTGCCCAGGCGGGTGCCGAAATGGAGGCTTTTGTAATGAAAGACGCATCTGCGAGTGTCCTGATGGGTTCCACGGACCTCACTGTGAGAAAGGTAAGACATGGAGCCGATTTCCCTTGCTCCCTTCCTAATGAACATGGATGTCGTGCAGGAGCCCCATGTGTATTGTGTATTTTTAACACCTGAAATTATTTTCCTGGTCACAGGGGCAGAAAATTTTGGCACAATGCCATCACTTTCTGTGGCCATTCCTGGCCATCTCCCCCAACTCATCCCGCTTCAGAAATATAGCCACTGTACTTTGGCATAATCTTATGAAAATTTTGAGGTTTTTTTCCTCCTCTTAAGTTGGATTTAAAAAGCTAGTATCACCACTGATCTGAAATTGTTCCAGTTGAAAGTAGCTTGATTCACAACTAAGAGTATATCTAAGTTATGAAGTTATGATAAGGCAAAAAAGTGGATGAATTTGTGTAGTAAGTACATCAATTTCAGGGAAATTAATTTTTAAAAATAAATGAAAAAAGACATAAGCAAGGAAATGAATATTAATCATAAGATGTTTAAATACTAAGAGCTTATCTGACTACAGTAAGCAAAATATTTTTCATCTTCAAGAAATAAGAATATCCTGTGAGAGACAGTTAAAAAATAATTTTAAAATAAGTAAGAAAGAATAATATTTTCTTATTTTTCTTCTTTGCATTTATGTTGGAATTAGAAGATTAAGCAAATGGGGCAAAGTGAAAATATTTAACAGTTTTAAGAAGACCACATCTTAGTCAAAATGATTCTGGGGAAAATTTATTCAAGTATTCAAATGGAACCAATCCAAAAGTCATCTCTAAGAAATTGGCTGAGAAATTGAAAAACAGCCTAATTTATACCACAAAAATAATATTAATATAGCAAACTTGTATCTCTGAAGAGTAATCATTTTAGAGTCAACCACAAAGCTTGAAAATGTAGACCTGTTGTATTATTGACATTTCAAAATGGTCCTGCTCCAAAATACCATTTGGCCTTAATCAGGGTTCTCTCTCCCTATAAGCCCTTTGTACCCCACGATGTATGAATGGTGGACTTTGTGTGACTCCTGGTTTCTGCATCTGCCCACCTGGATTCTATGGAGTGAACTGTGACAAAGGTAACAGTTTCTTTTTAAGAAGAAAGTTATTTTTACTTTTAAAATGTTTGATTAGAATAAGTTACTTTATATGTCCTCACTCTTCATAACAGCTCTGAGAATGTATGGCTTAGGGTAAAGATGGCTGCTATAGTAACTGAAATCCCAATTTTAGTGTAGCATAATAGCAAAAGTTTATTTTCATTCACAGAATGCTCCAGTGCATTTTGCCTGGTCAGTGGGCAGGGCAGCTCTTCTCCATGCAGTGACTCAGGAGCCCAGGCACCATCTATCTGTGGTCCTGCCTAGAGCTTTGGAACTCTCTAGATCCAGCCAATAGGCAGAGAAGGATTGAAGTAAGCACTGCTAAAAATAAATTAATTAATTAAAAAATTTAAAAGCCCTGGCCCAGAATTTACCCACAAAACTTCCACACCTATTCCATAGGTAGGAATTAGCCTCATGGTCCTACCTGGTTTCAGGCAGAAGAAATGTTGCCCCTGGCTGGACAGTGGTCTCCCACTGACATCTCATATTACATAACGGGAGTGCAAATTTTTGTGAACAATTAGCTGGTCTTGCCACATGGAATTTTAGTATGTCCTAAATTGGTTTTGTGGGTGAGCTTCTAAGGCTAAAATTAAACAACCTGCTCTACATTGCCTAACCTAGAAGTTTACTGACTCCCGATTCAATACTCTGCTCACAAATCACATCCCAGAGAGATTAGGTTCTTCCTTCTTAACATTGCAGCAACACAGCCAGATTTTACTCTTAGTAAGTGAATTCAAACTTGGCCCTAAAATTGCTGAACGATTCATACTCTTTACAAGAGACTTGTTTATTTTGCCCAGTTCACATCTTTTAAGTGGAAAAAAATAAAGACTATGCTGTGAAATTTGTATATTTAATGAAGTTATCTTTGTGTTAAAAATGCTAATTGTATGAATAGAGCATTTTTTGTCAATAAACATATGAGTTAAGATAGAATAATAAATTTTATTCTTTAAAAGTGTCTCTTTAGTGATCACTCAGTTAGTACCAAGTAAGATTGCCATGAGCAGTTTTTTGTTGTTGTTGTTGTTTTTTAAAGGAAAGCTAAAGGAAAGAGCCTTCAGTATGAGTCAGAATAACTTAAGGTTGTTTACTCTTTTATGATGTACAAAGTACTTTCCTACAGTTATGTGATTTTACTCTGAACATCTTTTGAGATATGTAAAGTATTATCCATCTCATTCCTAGATAAGCAAAGTGAGGTTTATGGAACTTGAGTAGGTTGACCCAAATTCATATCCTGCACTGTACCATGTTGCCACCCAGGCTACCTAATTCAGCCCTTGGTTCTTCCACGAGTGACTCTGAACCTGGGCAGGCAACTTGATCTCTCTGTGGACCATGCTTTTTCTATCTCTAGACTTGGAATTAAGCCATTGACCCTCCTGTCCCTCACCCCTGAGCTATATATTATAACTATATTGAGATAATATGTGAAAGCATTTCTGCCTTTTTTAAAGTGGTCTTTTAAAACTATAGTATTGGATTAAAAATCACTTTTTGAATGTGTTTTCATAAAGATTAAGCACTAATTACTCTAATAAGAATTAACAGCCTGTGAGTAAAATTCATTATTGTGAATCTTTTTGTCTAAATTTAGCATTCAGTGTCTCTGCTATTTTAAAACTGGGCATTCTAGAGGAGAATTAAACTCTTATTGCCTCAAAACTATGAATAAATAAAGCAAATCCTCCAGATTTAGTTGAAGAACTCATGTATTCACAAGAGACCATTTGTGAGACCTTCTTATGTAGGCGTGGCCATTGTTGGTGTGGTTTGCATAATGGAGTGTCAATTGCAGTGTTTTTCTAGTGCTACGGTGTCACAAACACCACATGGTCACTTGCAAAGTAATATATCTATCTATATTCCAGTACATACTATATTTTGTAATATTTTATCTTTCAAATGAAAGATTTTCCTACTCATCAGACTCCAGTAATTTTTTTATTCTTTTATAATGTCTGTTGAAATTCCACTTGGTCTCACTGGGGATCTGGGAATATTAAAAAAAAAAAATTTCTACCTCAACAAAAAGATGCTTTAATTCTCCAGGAGGGAATATGTGGAGGCTCTGAAAAATGATTTAATTACTACTATGGAAATAGACATCAGCACTATGTATTTGAACAAATATTAAAGAATAACTTTCATTGGCCCTTGGGACATCACAACCTTTAGGACCTAAGGAGTTTAGCACTGGCCAGTGGGGCCTCAGCCCTAGAGAAAGATACTTCGTGTCTCTAGCTGCTTGTTTTTCTAATCAAGAATCATTGCACAACAGAAATGTAGAGAAGCTTGCTCATGACAATACAATAGCATACAAGTACTAAGAGTGTGGCCAAATTATGTAACCAACCTTGCCGAATTCTACAACTTTCTATGAAGCTACCAGGTTCATTGCATTCTACACATCAGTAATTGGGCAGTGCCCACGGGGCATGGGCCAAGTGGGTACTGATCCCAAAGTTTTCCAGGGCACTGATCTCATCATTCCCTTCTATCTCCCAGAGAAACAGAAGTGAGGAGACAGGACACACTTACAAAAACAACTGTCCAGCCTTAGCAATACTCCAGCAAAGAGGAGGCCCCAAGAGCTTGTTCTCCTAAATCCTAAATCCTATACCAAAATGCTACAGCTCCCTTCCACATTAAGAGGCTTGAATTTTTTTGTGACCTGTGTGGACAATGTAGCAAGACTCCATCTATACAGAAAAAATTCAAAACTTAATCAGGCATGGTAGTGTACACCTTTACTCCCAGCCATCTGGGAGGCTGAGGCAGGAAGAAACCTTAAGCCCAGGGATTTAAGGTTGCAGTGAGCTATGATTGTGCCACTGCACTCCAGCCTGGGAGACAGAGCAAGACCCTGTCTCTTTTAAAAAACAAACCAAAAAAAAAAAAAAAAAGAGTTTTGATTTGCCAAAGTGAGTACAGCACTTCCTTAAACTTGGAGATCTTTGTGATTTTAAACACAATTTATCATTTAAGAAGCATGATACTCGTAGAACATTTTGCTTTGTGGACTTTTTTTTTCCCACAAAGAAAGCATACACTTAGAACTTTTGGATTTCTTTTCTGATTTTCCTACTGGAAGCTTATTTTAGCTTTTGTTCATCTATAGCCAATTTTGGCCAATTTTATATGGGACAAGAACAAATGGGTCATATAACTGGAATTGCTAAAAATCCAAGCTCTCATTTTAATTTCCTTTATAGAATGAGCCAACTTGTCTATTTTTAGATATTTCCTCTCCTCCCCTCTCCATTTCTCCATCCTCCCTCTATTTTAGGTGCTAGTGAGCAGTGAAATTCCAGAAACTGACACTGTGAGAGAGGGTTTAGGATGAATCACGAAGTGTGATTACTACCTGGATAATCTGGTTATTGGGCTTCCACTATGATACAGCCAACTTCATCATCCTCTGGTCCCTGCTGTGGCCACACTCCTACCTATGGGATCTCACCTGGGCCCACAGTCTTTTTCTGAATACAGTTACTCTTTTCTCCGAAAGTCATAAAAGTATATTTTTTAAAAAACAATCTCAATAAGATAAATATCTGTTCATCTTGTCCTGAAAGAAAGTTGCTTTTTTGTCAGGTCCTGATATTTATGACTTCTCTTTTATCTATTCCAAAGTAAGTCTTCTCCTTTTTACTCTTCTCTTATCCTCTAAACTGATGTTTACAAAAAAAATCCTTAGGTTTATACCATTCTTTTCCTTTTAAGGGCATAGCTATGTATAAGAAAATTAAAAAGCTAATTTTTTTTACTGTGCCTTTCTTCACTGAGATGGAAACTCCTACTGGTGGGTAGTATATGATGTGTGTGGTCTCCTATTATGTTCTGGAGTCTGCACATAGGCAAGCAATTGGTACAAATTTTGTATTTGTAAAGCAGCTTATTTTATTAAGTCAGGAAATGGGCAAGTAGCAAGCAGATGCCTAAAAAATAGCACCTCACTTTAAGTGAAATTTGTGTTAGATTTAACCTACTGTCTAATGCAACACCCCTGTTACTCATTCTAACAGCAAACTGCTCAACCACCTGCTTTAATGGAGGGACCTGTTTCTACCCTGGAAAATGTATTTGCCCTCCAGGACTAGAGGGAGAGCAGTGTGAAATCAGTGAGTATTGACTTTCTGCGTTCTTTTGACTTGGGGAGACCTTAGAAACCCCATATAACCCCTTCATTTTATCAAGGAGGAGTCGGAAGCCCAGAGAGAATGAATAACTTGTCTAAGGTCTTAGGCCAGTGGTTTCTTTTTGCTAGATTCAGCTACCATGCATTTTGGCTGAAGGTGGGGCAAAGAGTGACACAGCTCACCTCAGAGGACTCAGAAGAAATGCTCTCTGACTCGGTTATGTCTGGGTTTGGATTATTCAACAGTTGCATTGTTTTCTGTTAGTCATTTTGTCCCCTCCTCATTATGTGGAACCCATAGCTTCAGACTGGAAATGTAGATCAGAGCTCTGGGACAGCTGGGATCTGTTTACCTATGTACCTGTTTCCCCTGCCGCTCACTGCCAGATATCCTAGACTGAGCCTAACAACCCATCTAAGAGAAAAAGGTAGACTCAAGAAAAACGAGAAAAAAGAGGCGCATAGCAATAAAAAAAGAATGAAATAGTAGCACAAACAGCAACATGAATGAACCACACAGATACTAAGTGAAAGTAACCAGACACAAAAAGTTACCTACTGCATGATCCCATCTTTTTGAAGTTCAAGAATAGGTGAAACTAACGGATGACAGTAGAAACGAGAATCACAGTTGGAGCAAAAGGAACTTTATGGAATGCTAAGTATCTTGATTGGTGAAGTGCCACACATCTGTTTATGTAAATAAAAATATCTGAACTGTAAACTTAAGATTGGTACACACTATGCCTTTACTATATGTTTGTCATACTTCAATACACAAAAGTTAAAAAAGTAAGGGTTGAAATGTGGTAGCTTATCATTGTTTTCGGAATCAATATTCCAAACTGCTTGTCCAGGCTCTGCCATTGACCAGCCATGTAGCTCTCAGCAAGTCATGTAGCCTCTCTCTTTAACTCAGAAATGAGATAACTCCCTCCTAGATTGCCTTACAATCCAGAAGAACAGATAGCACCAAAGCACATGCTCAAGAAAGAGCAAAAGGAAGGTCAGCCTGTCCACTAAGTGTCCTGTGTCCCTGCCTTTCTTGATATGTTTGTTGAGGGAAACTTGGTCTGTGTTTCATTTCCAGCTGTATCTGTAAAACACCACTGTTTGGTACAGCCGAACAGTGTTATACAGTAGTGTATATAGTAGTGTATTGTAGATTGAAAGTTGAATAAGACTAAGTTCCTGTTTGAACTTTCAACCTCTAATTTATTTGTGGGTTTTTGTACTTTAATGAGTAGTGGATGAAGTAACCATTTTTATAGGGTTCAAATGAAATACCTCTAAAGTTTCCATAGAACATGTAATTAATTGTCTGGGTGTGGTTTCTATTCTTATTAATTACCCTTCCCGGATAAAGATATCTCTGAACTAACTCCCCTCAATTTTCCCCTGTACTTACTTCAGACTCTGCACACTTACTTGGTTCATGGTTATGAATCTTTGTTCATAGGCTCATTTTCCTTCATGTAAATATGCCCTTTCATGTTCTTAGGTTTATGAATCTTCTGTTGGCAGAGACAATGTTTTGTATTCTTGGTTTTTTGTTTTACCACATCAAAAAATGTGGGTCTTTGAAAGCTCCTGATTGACCCTACTTCAAGTTTTATCCAAAATCTTTGCGGAAGTTTCCTGTTTCTATCACGGGAACTACATTACCAGGAAAATATGGAAATGGGTCTTGAGTTGAAAAGTGCCTCCAAAGGTACAGAAACAAAAAAGTATAGTTGAATTATGTATTCTTATTTTTAATTAAGATATAAGTCACAATCACATAAAACTCAACATTTTAAAATGTACCATTCGGGTTATTCACAAGATTGTGTAGCCATCACCTCTATCAAATTCCAGAACATGTTATCATCCCCAAAAGAAAATCTGTACCTATTAGCAGTCACCTCCCCTTCCCCTTTCCCTCCAGACACTGGCAACCACTAAGCTACTTTCTGTTTCTAGACTTGCTTATTCTTAACATTTCACATAAATGGAATCATATAAGATATGGCATTTCTTGTGTGGCTTCTTTTACCTGGGTTCATTCTAGTGTTTTCAGTGCTTACCCATGGTGTAGTATATATCACTGCATTATTCCTTTTTATTGCCAAATAATATTCCATTTTATGGATTTACCACATTTTGTTTATTTATCAGCTGTTGGACATTTGGGTTGTTTCCACTTTGGGGCTATTACGAATAATATGGCTATGAAAATCTGCGTGTGAGATGCTTGTGTGGACGTTTCCATTTCTTCAGAATATTTACCTGGGGGTGGAATTGCTGGGTCACGTGGTGACAACTTTTTTGAGGAACTACCAGACTGTTTTCCAAAGCAGTTGCATCATTTTACATTCCCACCAGCAGTGTATGAGGGTTCCAGTTTCTCCACATCCTCACCAGCACTCATTGCTGGCTCTTTGTTTTTTGTTTTTTTTTTAAATGAAATGTATACTCCGATGCCATGTTTATTTTCATTTCTCCTGACCTCTATCAAGAATGATGCCGTCTCACCTGGGTGCAGTGGCTCACGCCTATAATCCCAGCACTTTGAGAGGCTGAAGCAGGCGGATCACCTGAGGTCAGGAGTTAGAGACCAGCCTGGCCAACATGGCAAACCCTCATCTCTACTAAAAACACAAAAATTAGCCAGGCATGGTGGCAGACACCTGTAGTCCTAGCTATTCAGGAGGCTGAGGCAAAAGAATTGCTTGAACCCTGGAGACACAGGTTGCAGTGAGCCAAGGTTGAGCCACTGCACTCCAGCCTAGGAGACAAGAGCAAAACTCCATCTCAAAAAAAAAAAAGTAAAAAACAATGATACCATCTCAAACTTTATTCCGAGTTGATTGTGAGATATGCTTGTAGGTTAACAAAACTATGGTTAGAGGTATCTGGATGGATGGTGTGTACATACATCTTGTTATCTAAGACTCATGGATTTCCCAAGAATCTTTAATGAACCTTCAGTTAAAAAGACTACCCAAATTATTTATAATCCTTTTCTAATGCAAGGATTATTAGAAAAGGATTTTAAAAATAACTGAGTGGGTTCTTCTTATTAAAGTTCTCAATATAAAATATTCTCTGTTAAAAAAATTTAGAATATTGGAGAAAACAATTAAAAATCACCTATAATCCTAAAACCCAGAGATGACAATTGTTGGCACTTAAAAACCCTTTTATCTGTTTTCTTCATTTAACTGTCACTTCATTAAACTGATAATTTAAATTATCCTACAATTGCATAGGTAGAAGAAATTTAATGTCTTTATTTTGTCAATGTATTCTTATTTCATTCTTCTTACAAGGACTCATCTATTGGTTATAGTAAAAATGCCACCAGCTGAAACTTAGTCAAATCTGTTTGTCTTTAGACAGGGCTTAGTCTATTTTTTTTTTTTCTTTTTTTGAGATGGAGTCTAGCTCTGTCACCTAGGCTGGAGTGCAGTGGCGCCATCTTGGCTCTCTGCAACCTCCGCCTTCCAGGTTCAAGCGATTCTTCTGCCACAGCCTCCCAAGTAGCTGAGATTACAGGTGCCCACCATCACACTTGGCTAATTTTTTTACATTTTTAGTAGAGACAGGATTTCACCATATTGGCCAGGCTAGTCTTGAACTCCTGGCCTCCAGTGATCTGTTTGCCTCAGCCTTCCAAAGTGCTGGGATTACAGGCGAGAGCCACCATGCCCAGCCAGGGCTTAGTCTCTTTAAGTAAAAATGTGCCATCTCTCAAGCTGACTCAGTTTTCCACTATTTAATGGGTAGAATTTGGTTGCAAACTATTTTCAGGAAGAAGAAATTCCTATTAAAGATATTTTTCCAGTATTATGAATTTTAAAACAATCAGATCTTCATGAATTTTGGCTCCTATAGTCTTTAAACTAGTAATAGCTTTCGAATGTCTAACGTCTCCTGCAGTCACGTTTCTGTTGTATAATAGCCAGGAGAGAACGTCCTCCTTCCTGACTGCGGTGAATCTAAGGGTCCTCACTTCCCTGTTGCCATGAAAACAAAAAACTTCTTGAAGTTTATGAAAGGATTATCTCCACCAGTCATTTTCTGCATTATCCCAGTTACCAACTTCACCCCTCATAGAGGAGGAGAAAATTCGGGCTCACCAAGTAGTTCACATATGAGTACGCTGTCTTTTCTGCCATATAATTATCATCCTATACCTTGCTCACTTGAAAAAACCTGATGCATTGCAGAGTACTGTGATATGACCCAATTTTGTGTATATGTTGGGGTCAGGTATTTATTTGATGCAAATGGAAATTTGGAGTTAGATATTCCTTCTTTTTGGTGAGAGCTGAGATCTTAACTAAACAGTAAATGGTATTCTTGTATTCAAACCTGGCAAAAAAAAAAAGGACCTTCTTTTGGTCAATGAAGAGGTGATATTCTGTTATTAAGTTTGTTTTCATACTTGTTTCTGGAACACCTCTATGCAGAAAAACCTCAGTGTCTAACGGCATTCCAGGTTTGTGAGAGACCCTAACATCCCAATATTGTTACGTCTATATTGTCTCCACAATGACTAAATACTGCTTTGGTCTACTTATATATGAATAAAGTCCTTTTAGGTAAATAAAAAGATGAAGTGTTTTTAGTAGAATGATTTTCATAAAGAATTTACTTCTTGTTTGTCAAGAATAGTACTTGTCAGTAAAATATATGGGGGTTGACTTCTTTCGCAGCTTTCTTTGGCAATAAAAAGAAGGGCTTAGAGAGTGAAAGGTGGGTTGGTTTAGGATAAATTTTCATTACTTCTCCTTATGTACCTAGAAGCCTTTGTAATGAGTGTTCTGCTAAAGTGAATAAAAAGAAAAGAAAAAGAACAACAAAAGCAATCCAAACTCCTCCACTACCAAAATCTACAGGCTACTTGCTGTCTTCAAAACATCTTATGCCAGGCATAGGATGTGGTTTCAGCTCTAGGTAAAAAGTAACTTATCTTCCACTTCTTCAAAAACTAGGACTTAGGATAGCAAATTCTAGATTGCAGAGGGATAATAAATAGCCTCTGGAGAAAGAAGTGAGAAATTTATTAAATGATTTTTACACCTAGGGCCTTACTCCAGCTCTAAAATTCTGTGATTCAAAGATCTGTGAAAAGCATTCGTAATACTCATTGGGCAAAGAGATAAAAGAAATTACCAAGTATCATTATGGACCTAGGGCATTCCAGGAAAATGCATTGTTGTGATATTGGGCACCTTTTGTGTCACATCTCACAGCCTCTTGGCCAGCCTTGCACACCAGCCATTGCCACTGCACCTCGACTTAGCAGCCCCATACTCCTGTTTTCCACCCACAAACACACTTTTGTGTTGCATTTCCCTCCTTCCATTTCACCCCTCCCATTCCCCCATTCCTGTTTCCTACAATCACTTCCCCAAATAAACTAGCTGCATGCAGATCCTGCTTTCTGGGGAATCCTAGGCTAAGACTGTCATCAGGTACAGGTATAGACTTACTTTCAGAAAAAGTGACATTCAAAAATCAAAACTTGGCCAGGCACAGTGGCTCATGCCTGTAATCCCAGCATTTTGGGAGGTTGAGGTGGGGGGATCACTTGAGGTCAGGAGTTCGAGACCAGCTTGGCCAAGAAGGTGAAACCCTGTGTCTACTAAAAATACAAAAATTAGCTGGGCATGGTGGCACATGTCTGTGTTCCCAGCAACCCTGGAGGATGAGGCAGGAGAATCACTTGAACCTGGGAGGCGGAGGATGCAGTGAGCCGAGATCCTGCCACTGCACTCCAGCCTGGGCAAAATAGCAAGATTCCATCTCAAAAAGAACCAAAAAACAAAAATCAATACCCAGTGAAAAGATTATTTAAAGGGTAATTTATGTCATAACTTTTAGTAAAGTATATCTTAGCAAGTATTTGTGAGTCAGTTAAAAGATTATTCTGTTTATTAAAAAGTAATTGGGCTGGGCGTGGTGGCTCATACTTGTAATCCCAGCACTTTTGAGAGGCCAAGGCGGGCGGATCACTTGAGGTCGGGAGATCAAGACTAGCCTGGCCAACAGAATGAAACCCGTCTTTACTTAAAAAAAAAAAAAAAAAAAAAAAAAAAAAAAAAAAAAAGGATATAAATGCAGCATTTTGGCAACACATTTATAATCCAAAAGCATAAGTTAAAAATATTATCCTGTCTGTTCCAAAAACAAAACTCAAAAAAAAAAAGCCAGAGTAGATCTGAAATAAATGAAAATTGCCATTTAAAAGCACTTATCCTCTCAAAGCCTTGTAATTCCTTTGAAAAATGTAATTACCTCTGAATGAAGCACCAGGTTCCTTGTTTAGCTGCATTCTTCTCTTTTTCAGGCAAATGCCCACAACCCTGTCGAAATGGAGGTAAATGCATTGGTAAAAGCAAATGTAAGTGTTCCAAAGGTTACCAGGGAGACCTCTGTTCAAAGCGTAAGTACCCCATACACATTGCCAATCTGGGCTACTAGGTCGTTAAACTAGCAGGAGTCTCTCACTACATACTTCCGTGCTTAGTGCATGTTGCCTGGGCATCACAGTTAACCTTTCTTCACTGACATATATGCTTCCTTATGTAGACCAGAGGTGTGGTATGAAATCTGTGCATGTAAAAAAATGGATACTCACACATGCAACTGAACGTTTTAACTACAAGGTGGTTTCTTTGTTTTGTTTTGTTTTGTTTTTTGAGACGGAGTCTCTCTCTGTCGCCCAGGCTGGAGTGCAGTGGCGCGATCTAGGCCCATTGAAACCTCCGCCCCCCAGGTGTAAGCGATTCCCCTGCCTCGGCCTCCCGAGTAGCTGGGACTATAGGCACCTGCCACTGCACCCGGCCAATCTTCGTATTTTTTTTTTAGTAGAGATGGAGTTTCACCACCTTGGCCAGGCTGATCTCGAACTCCTGACCTCGTGATCCACCTGCCTCAGCCCCCCAAAGTGTTGGGATTACAGGCATGAGCCATCATGCCCAGCCAGGTGTTTTCTTAAGGAAAATAAACTTCCATGCTCCAGCAGTTTCAAAATCCTACTGAATGTCTTTTGCGAATGAAAAATATCATGCTTAAAGATCATTCTCAGGACTTTACAAAAAGTCCAAAACCAACTTATGACTGGAGACTGACTTAGGAAAAAAAATTAGAGGATGAAGCCAAAACTAACACATTCTAAAGAATTGCAAGGAAAGCAACTATGTAATTCTGTTGAAAAAGGAAAGCTCAGGAAATACTCTTTTTATTTCTTTTGATTCTAGCTGTCTGCGAGCCTGGCTGTGGTGCACATGGAACCTGCCATGAACCCAACAAATGCCAATGTCAAGAAGGTTGGCATGGAAGACACTGCAATAAAAGTGAGTGGGAGAAATAAAAAGTTGTAAACAAGGAAAAAAATAAAAATAAAAGTGAGTGGGAGACCAGAAGAAGGGCCAGCCTTTTCACTTCGGTTTCTTGGCTTCAAAGGCTAACAGTCAACCTATAACTCAGCCCTGCTTTCCATTTCATTAAAGGCAGCTTTTTCTCTGCCTCTTCTCCCCCATACTTCTCCACCTCTTTAAACTTTAGAGTCTAAGCTTTAGTGTGTAAAGAGTAATGCATCTTTGTAAAAGATCACATCTGTAAAATATCACAAATATTTTCTAGGCTAAATTAGTAATACAGGTTGATCTAGGGGTAATATAGTGTGTTAACTATGAAAGAAATGACACATGAAACTAAGATTTTAAATCAAATGTAGAATCAGTGTCTCCTTACCTCTGATTTTATAATTCATGATTTGTCAAGTATCATTATAAAACATGAAGCATTTTGCTTCTTAAAATATTTAAACTGTACTGGTAATAGTAAGTAAATGAGTTCTTTTGAGGGAAAGAAAAGGTTTATAAAGCTGTCTATGGGAGAGATGTTATAATGGAGTTGCATTTTTTCAAAATTTACTACCAAAAATGAGCTAGCTATGTAGATAAACAGCTGGCCTATTTTAGACACACAATGACACTTGCTAAATTCATTCAGTATTGATTGTGGTCTCTCCTGTGCTAAGCATGAATCCAAGCACTGGGGACACACCAGTGCACAGACAGAAAAGGCCCTGCCTTGTGGAGTGGGAGGGGCAGTCAATTAGCAAATTAACAAAACAACACAGTTTCAGCATTTCTGGCAGCTAGAACTCAGTCTCCTAAGCATGGGCCCACTGTCCACTTTAGTTTGAAAAAAGGAAGACTTCAGTCACATACCATACTCTTCGAAAACATAATTCCAAGCTGGGAGTGTTGGCACATGCCTGTAGTCCAAGCTACTTGGGAGGCTGAGGCAAGAGGATTTCTTGAATCCAGGAGTTTGAGATCAGCCTGGGCAACATAGAAAGACCCTGTCTCAAAAAAAAAAAAAAAAAAAAAGCAAATTCACAAAATTCCAGGTTGTGTCTACCATATTATGTCTCCAAAGTAATGGATACAAACTGAACAAATCACTCACATATCAGATGTTTTCCTAGATCAGTAGTCTCCAAAGGTTGGTGCATGCAACCCAGTGAGTGTGGAAATTATCCACTGGGGTGCTAAAAGAATATACTAGTTTTTAAATATTTTTTATATTTTAAATTTGATTTATATTTATATATAAATATACATTTAATATACTTATGGTAGTCTTTCTAATTTCTAAGTTTTGCTTATATTTTACAATGTTCATATTGTATTTGTTTAATGTATCTAAAATAAGTGTATATGTAGTTATACATCTGTTTACTTTAAGGTAGGTTGGTATCTGGTCTAGGTTACATGTATTAGTCTGTTCTCACACTGCTATAAAGAACTTTCAGAGACTGAGTAATGTATAAAGGAAAGAGGTTTGACTCACCCTTCCATATGGCTAGGGAGGCCTCAGGAAACTTACAATCGTGGCAGAAGGCAAAGGGAGGCAGGTACCTTCTTCATAAGGTGGAAGGAGAGAGAATGACCATAGAAGGAGCTTGCCAAACACTTATAAAACTGTCAGATCTCGTGAGAACTCGCTCACTATCAGGAGAACAGCATAGGGGAACCAGCCCCATGATTCAATTACCTCCACCTGGTGTCTCCCTTGACACACGGGGATTATGGGGATTACAATTCAAGATGAGATTTGGGTGGGGACACAGGCAAACCATATCACTACACTAAGCCACTGATTTGATGCTTTTTCACCCACTGAATTAACTGGATGGTTGATTAAATTGGCTTCAGGTGGACACAATTTAATAAGCAGTGCCGCTCCTCTGGAAAATTGCTTCTCACACAGTGGGAATGGTTGAATGGTATCCCTGCTAGGACATACTGATAAGGAGATCTTCTTTGGACTAAAAGACCTATAGGAGACTCAATATTTCTAGTGCCATTTTGGAAAAGAGTAAACCGAAGCTCTTATGCCACCCTCAACTGGAGACAAACCCTGAGGCTTGCTTCAGAATCAAAATAACTAAAAAATCCTCAAGCCTAGTCCAGACCACACATGCAAGGACTTAGTTACAAAGGTCTTCTAAGACTCACATCCAGATCCCAGTGATCCCCACAAGTGATGAAGAGGGGAGCACAAGGGCACTGTTACTTCTGATGCACCCAGCCATTCTTCCAAAGGGAAGGCAAGTTAGGGGCCCTCGTGTGGTAGATGATGCCTCCTGACAGGTCTGCCAGCCTCCAAACAGCACCCCCACTTGGAGATTATGCTGCTGAAAGCGTCTGCCATCAGTGTGCCTCCTTCAAATCCAAGCATTGCATGCCAAGAAGATGACCTGGTGCTTGATTCAAATGCAAATGTGTTTTCCAGGAGAGGTCACCCAGCCATTTTGTACATTAGCTAAAATAATTGAGCTGAAAGAAGGGGGTTTATTTTGACTAGACGGAGGTGACAAGGAAGCTCTGAGGCACAGAGTTCTGCTAAGAACATACTCCCAGTGGGATGACACGTTGGGAGTTCCAGGGACCCAGGCATGATGGTGGGGAGGAGGATACTGGAGACAGAAGTCCCCGCATAGGCTCACCCTCGCCAACAGAAAGGTTTGGGCTTCATGGGTCACAGGCCAAGCAGCATGGTAGAGATTTACTCCAACTCATTGCTGGCTCAGGTTTTGACCACTCCACAAGCTACTAGACTACATACTGACAATTCAAAGGAACACATTCAGGAACAAAGTATTCTGTTCTCAGTAGCTGCTTAATGGCATGTTTGCATTTAAAAACACAAGGAATAAATAAATGCTGAATTTAACTCAGATGCACAAGAAGATGCAGGCAGATTTTTACAATGTAATTTGCTGCCTTGGATCAGTTTTAGGAGATGAGAAATGAGTTACTGCCCCTGAGCATCACCCCAAGTAGGAAGAAGGGAGGTCTGAAGTTGTGTAACTTAGCACATTCCATTTACAACCCATCTGGAAACAGATAGATGCCCACCTTGACCAAAACACAAATCTCTATTGATAAGGAAGAGTCAGTTCAAATCTTAACCTTTTCCCTGACACATATAATGGAAGTTCTTAATTTTTACAAAATTCCTGTCTTATAAGTGCAATAGTCACACCCAATCATGTGATCTTTATGAAGAGTCGGGTTGTCATATTGAACTGGATCAATATCAGCTAGGTTAGGTTTGCAGTGCAGTGAAAAGGATCAACGACCAAATCTGCAGCTGCATTCAAAATTTCAATGCTAGATCCTTACCAGCCCTTGGATGGAGACTATACTTCCATTCAGTCACATTCACCCAGATTTTGCATCAAGAGTTTCTGCATGGCCAGAATATATAGGGAATGAGAAATCCAATGGAAACCTGGTTTCATGGAGTTAGTAAAATGGGTTGCTCTTAACAGAGATCTCTTCATTCAGGTAGCTTTTTGTGGTCATTGCGGTTTTTCATTCTGGATTGAAAAGGCAAAAATGGATTTCATTTGAATGGTTAATAATGAATCTGAAGAGCCTGGTTTTGTAGTTTCTTTCCTTTTAAGCTGTGAATAATTTTGCAGGGTACGAAGCCAGCCTCATACATGCCCTGAGGCCAGCAGGCGCCCAGCTCAGGCAGCACACGCCTTCACTTAAAAAGGCCGAGGAGCGGCGGGATCCACCTGAATCCAATTACATCTGGTGAACTCCGACATCTGAAACGTTTTAAGTTACACCAAGTTCATAGCCTTTGTTAACCTTTCATGTGTTGAATGTTCAAATAATGTTCATTACACTTAAGAATACTGGCCTGAATTTTATTAGCTTCATTATAAATCACTGAGCTGATATTTACTCTTCCTTTTAAGTTTTCTAAGTACGTCTGTAGCATGATGGTATAGATTTTCTTGTTTCAGTGCTTTGGGACAGATTTTATATTATGTCAATTGATCAGGTTAAAATTTTCAGTGTGTAGTTGGCAGATATTTTCAAAATTACAATGCATTTATGGTGTCTGGGGGCAGGGGAACATCAGAAAGGTTAAATTGGGCAAAAATGCGTAAGTCACAAGAATTTGGATGGTGCAGTTAATGTTGAAGTTACAGCATTTCAGATTTTATTGTCAGATATTTAGATGTTTGTTACATTTTTAAAAATTGCTCTTAATTTTTAAACTCTCAATACAATATATTTTGACCTTACCATTATTCCAGAGATTCAGTATTAAAAAAAAAAAAATTACACTGTGGTAGTGGCATTTAAACAATATAATATATTCTAAACACAATGAAATAGGGAATATAATGTATGAACTTTTTGCATTGGCTTGAAGCAATATAATATATTGTAAACAAAACACAGCTCTTACCTAATAAACATTTTATACTGTTTGTATGTATAAAATAAAGGTGCTGCTTTAGTTTTCTGAGCATTGTGTGGAGGTGATCTTTGCACATGCTATCTTATGAAAATAAAATTGGTTGCAATTTAGTGGTAGTTAATATTTCCAGTATAAAAAAACAAAGCTATTCCATTGTCTGCCCCTGCCTTAGCTCTTCAGTGTCAGCCCTCCCTCCCAGCTCTCTGACTGTACTCCAACCATGCCATACTGCTCTCTGTTGTCACCACCTGCAACACTATTTATATCAGGTCTCAGCTTGTTATTTCTTTCAAGAATATTTCACATTCTCACTAAGTAGAATGTGTTAAATATCCCTTTAGTGGAAGACTTTCTCAAGGGTTAGAATGTTACAAATGAAAAGTGCTACCCTGTATTAAAAACCTATTGGTACCATGATTTGAGGGAGCCTAGCAAAAAACACACAAACAAACAGCTCTATCAGTTCCCAAGTATAGTACATGGGTTATCTTACAATTCTATGAGGCAGGTATCATTATGCCATTTTACAGATCAGAAACTGAGGCTTGGAGACAATAAGATCTCACGTGACAGGGACGGGGTTTGAATCTGTGACATCTGACTCCAAAGTGTAACACTGTGCTGCTCTCCCTCCTTCCTTTTTCTCAGCAGACACAATAGAACACAAAGCTCCGCAAATCCTAGAGAGCAGCTTTCCAGCATATGTTATTCTGATTCTCCCAAGGGAATGTGGACTTAATTTCATAGATAGTCTAATGTCTACAGATTTTCTTCTAGTAGGGTGTGGCATGACCAGTTGTGTGATGTAGAGAGGTGACTTGATGACTGGAAGGGATCAAGGGAAAGGCTTTGGCTGAGGGAATGCATCTTTTGATGCAGTGTAGGACCACAGCAACCTCTCTTCTAACTGGGAGAGCCTGGCCTGTCAGCCTGTGATCACACAGACTTGGCAAAGCAGGCCAGGAGCCAGGGAACCAACATTGGGATCCCACTACGGGAACAACTCATTTATCTAAAGCTATTAAGTAAGTAAAATTCCAAATCTGTGATAATGAAGATTAGGATGGTGGCAGAAAGTCAAGTTTGGCAATAGGATAATAATCATAGCTAAGGTATATAGTACTTACTTTGTTCTAAGCACTTTAGTTGTATTAACTAACAGATGAATAATAGAGTGATAGGGAAGTTAGTCTGAAACAAAGGGACCAACTGCAATAATCTTGGTTGGTCATCTCTGAACCATTTGATTTGCACATTTCATTAGACATTTTTGAGCACATAGTCATATATATGACCACCATTTATTAACATGGATAACTGTACTAATATATGCATTATAAAAGCCAGAAATGTTAAAGGGAATAGAAAAAATACAAATAGAAAGGCCAATAATTGTGACTTCACGGGACATGAAATCATTGTCGTTTCTTTTGTAAAGTTACCATACAACAGAAGGTGGATAGTAAGGAAGAAGAAGACGAAGGAGGAAGAGGAGGATAGTATCTGCATAAAACACCTCTAAACAAGAATTTAAAAGTTAAAGTCGTAAGGAGGTAAGGCAGATGTATACCATCAGCAAGATAAAGTAAGTAGGAAAAACGAGGCAAAAGGAAATAGTATAGACAATAAAATTGGTGGAAGAAGGAGGATTGAACAAAACGCATACATGAGCTCCTGCACACTTGTGAGAGGTGGACCATATACTTATCTCTCACAAGTGTGCAGAAGCTCATATGCACCTTTTGTCCTAACTTCATTCCTCAAAGAGGAAACCATGGTTGGTTAGGGGGCCCAAAGACCATAAATACGAAAACAAACTAGTTGTCAGGAGAAGTTAGACTACATGAGGTACTTCTATTCGGGCTAGATCAAGAGGTGTAGGTCTGTGGGAATGCTACTTTTTTGGCATCTCTTCAGGCTGATAATCTTTAAAATATTTCTTTCAAATTTATTTATAGAGGAACTGCGTGAAAAAGAGGTGAGAAAGAAAATGCTGACAGGGTTCAGCTTCTCATCCACTATTCCAGACTATATGTCTCCAGGCCTAAAATTCTTTCTGTTCTTATTGCTATATTGAGATATAGCTAGCTAGATAGCTAGATAGATTGATAGATAGATAGACACAAAATTTACATATTTATGGGGCACATGTGAGTGTTTGTTACATGGAAAGAATGTGTAATGATCAAGTCAGGGTAATTGGATTATTTATTATTTTTATGTGTTGGTACCATTTCAAGTCTTCTCTTCTAGTTGCTTTGAAATATATGTAATATTGTTGCTAAGCATAGTCACCCTAGTCTGCTATCAAGCATTGGAATTTATTTCTTCTATCTAACTGTATGTTTGTACCCATAACCAACCTCTCTTCACTCCCCCTCTCCCCTCACCCACCTCTCCCAGTCTCTGGTATCTGCCATTTTATTCTCTTTGGCACAATTTTAGATTTATATGCTTGTTATGGCCCCAGATAACGTAGCCCTTAAGCCAGATCTCAGAGCAGAGAAATGTCTTCTATGGTTCTCGTAAAGAAGTCAGAGTGTCATGTAATACACAATGCTCTCAGTATTATGGACAGAGTAATAGCAGAGAGGACTGTTTCTTTTCATATTCTTCAAGAAGGCACAAATCTTCACTATAAAGTACAGTTTCATAAAAGCATTTCTACCAAGGTAGCAGAGGAGAAGGGGATATGGCAAGGTGAGCAATGTTTAAATTGGGTAAAGAAGAAATATTGCCATTTCAAAAGAATTTCCTAAGGCAATAAAAAAGGAAGAAAGAAAAGAAAAAAAGACACACATGACTATATAAAGAAAGTAGTTTTGTGGCAGTAATTCTTAGCTTATACAAGTGGTGCAAATATAAAAATTTAATAAGCACATTGAATAAATGAGCCTCCATATGGTTCAACATAAAAAATAGAAACCATATACAGGAAACAGACATCATAAATCAAAGTATTCAGGTGTTCAGTAAGATTTTTTAGAATTCTAATGTAAACTCCAAATGTAAATTGGTTTTGTACCTGTTTACTGGTTTATCACTGATGAGTATAAAATTACAAATGAAATGTAATTTTCATTGAGCTTTGGCATTGTGGGATTTTTCCTGGGCAACATATTTACCTCCCTCCTCATGTTCAGCTTGCATGACTGTTGAAATTACCTGACTTTTCTTGAAAGTCCAAACCAACTAGAGGTCCATGGGATGGCCAAAAAAACAAAAAACAAAAACAAACAAAAACAAAAAAAAAAGCAACTGAGATGACAAATAATCCACAAAATCCACAGAAGGATTACTGAAAGTTGACTCCCTATAAGCTTCCTTCTCCAGAGGACATGACAATGGCGAGTCCAGCACTGAGCATGGTCCTGAGCCTGGCTCAGGGGCATGACTGGGAGAGAAGAGTGAGAAGAAAGCAGAGAGCCCAAGCCATCTATAACCCAGGAGAAGAACAGGCTACATAATTTGAGGGACTCAGAGTAAAAATGAAAATGTAGAGCTCCTTGTTCAAAAAGTATTAAAATTTTCAAGATGGTGACAACAGAGCATGCAACAAACATGAGGCCCTTCTCAAAGCAGAGCTCTGTGCAACCGCACAGTTCCCACACCATGAAGCTGGCCCTGACTGGGAGCAAGTTCTTAGGTCCATGCATGAGGAAGTTTGGGTAAAATAGAAAACATCCTCCTCTCCTTAGGCACTGGCCTCTTCCCTTGCCTTTCTTTTGGCTTCAGCCCCATGGCTGACTGTAAGAACTCAGGCCTTAAGAACGAAATAATTATTAGCCAACAAACTGGTTATGTCAGTGACCATTTACTGAATTTCTTCTGAATTAATATTGCAAACACAAAATTAGGGAAGAGAGTAGAGGACAAATTGGGGGGACAAGTATTTATTTGCTTTATGTTTTAGTCCAAATTGTTTGAACATCAGTTCCTGCTTAGGAAAGGAGTTTGTAGCTTTAAGTTTATAGCTCACAAGGGAAAGATATTTTTCAGAATTCTGTGAACAAGCTATTTTAACCCAAAAGATAATTTGGGGATATTCCAACTCATAGTTTCTACTCTTTATTAGAAGAAACACACAGAAACCTGGCTGAGTTGGGATCTTAAGCCTTGTGACAAAAAATAAATTCATCCCCAAACATGGAAGCTTAATTCAATGAGAAGCCATATGACAGTCTCCAAAAACCCCCAAAACAAATGTCCCAAAGGCCTAAATTAGTCTTGCCTCATTTCAAGAAAACACCCAAAATTAAAAAGCAAATCTGTGATTTTTTTTTACTCTGTGAAAATGACCATTTGCTCAGAGTTTGCATTTGAGCCTAAAACATAACACGCTTGAGGGAAGAACAAAGGCATCCTCTGCAGAAGCAAAGCCACCCATGGCACCAAGTCTACTGGGCACCTTGTCGAAAAATGAATCCTTGGCTGTGTCACATGAGCTAAACCTAAGTATTTTACTGGAGTTGTAAAGAATAAGTTTTTGCTTTTCTGTCATTTGGATATTCTGCCCTGGCTTGTTTATTTGGATTCTGTACTACCTTGTTTCTAATCCAAAACCAGGCCGAGGAGGTGCTTCAGGGTAATGAACTGAGGTGGGCCTTAAGGCTACAGTCATCTGGCTCCACATTTAAGCCAATCTTGAAATGAGGATGTGAACATAGGTTATGCCACGACAACCTATATCGATGCAATTAAGGATGTACTACAGAAAATTACTGCAGCAATTGTGCCTTTAGAAGAAAAAGAAGGGCCAGACACAGTGGCTCTCATCTGTAATCCCAGCACTTTGGGAGGCCGAGGTGAGCAGATCACGAGGTCAGGAGTTCAAGACCAACCTGACCAACGTGGTGAAACCCTGTCTCTACTACAAGTACAAAAATTAGCTGGGCATGGTGGCATGTGCCTATAACCCCAGCTACTCAGGAGGCTGAGGCAGAAGAATCGCTTAAACCCAGGAGATAAAAGTTGCAGCGAACTGAGATCGTGCCATTGCACTCCAGCCTGGGTCACAGAAAGACTACATCTCAAAAAAAAAAAAAAAAAAAAAAAGAAGAAGAGGAAGAGGAAGAAAAAGAAAATGACCTTTGAAACAGACCGTCAAGGTGAAAACTGAAGCAAGTTGTAACTTCCTTGGCTTTGCCAAGTGTCCACCAATGCTTTTAAGTGTGTGTCACTCCGAGGTCAACATTCCGCAGATATGCCTTATTGAGAGTCTCTGCAGAATGGAGTAATAGGAGAACTCATAAGTTGGCTTTCTGCTAAGGAATGTTAGCCCAGCACAAAAGTAGTTTTTGAAACTTTTTAGAGAAACTCTCTGCAGAAATTTCGATTCACAGCATCTCTGTGAAAGGATTCAGTAAATCTACAGAGAAATGAGGGCTAGGGTTTGCTGAAGATCACAAAACCACTTAGAAGCAGTAACAACCCTAGTGTGAAGATTCCAAAATTGTGTCCTAGGAACACTAGTTGCTCAGAATATTAATAGGAGTTAGGTGAAAACAGGATTCTGGGGTCAAATATGTCTAGAAGATGAGGAATTACACTAAGTTGAGGGATGTCTTTACAGCAGCACTCCTCAGAGCCTTTACTGTGTGACTGTGTGCCATCATCTGTCAGAGGGGACTGGTCTGCAGCACCCTCAAACTTACTTCATCAAAGAGACTGTTCACCCTGAATTTATTTGAATGCTCTTTATATGCATGAATTTAAATGAGCTGGAGTTAATTTATATCAGCTAATGAGAGAGAATCTTGTTTAATTTTTAGGAAACTAATGAGCCAGTTGTTAAACTTGGCAATTATTAAAAAGTAAATTATATGAATACAAATAAATAAATAATTTTAAAAAGAATAATTTAGGAAATTTTATTCCTGAAGCATTTCCCAGAAATAAAATTCCATGCAGCATGCTTTGGGAAGCACACTCCTAGATAAGTAGTTTGAAGTCCTTAAATTTGAGTCTTTAACACACTCTTTTTTTCTCTCCAGAATTTACACTATCTCTTTGAAGCTAATTCAAGGATGAGTGAAACTTGTCACTTATAACACAAAGAATTTCTGGTATAAAGTAAATCAGTTGTTTTTACATAATTTACTTATATTTCCCCTAAATGAATTGATCTGTTTTCATTCTAGCTTTACTTACACATAGGAGCATTAGAAAACACCTCAATTTCTGCAAACTTAAGTATAAGTTTACAATTTATGGAATTAAACAAAAGGATAAATGGATCCTTATAGTGATTTTATTTTTGAGACATTTAAGTAACATCCAACATCTAGGGAGCCCATGTGTGAATTACCTGTGAAGTAGTTTTTTAAAGTCAGTTGCCTTTGGTATGCTTTCATGGTGATTTTGTCAATTCCTGATCTCCAGTTGCTTCTTAAATATTACTCAACTTTAAATCAGGGATGGAAGTGGTGATCAGAGAACAAAAGGTCACCAACTAAAGACAATAGGGAGCACAGATACCAGTAAGAACAGCAGATAGGAATAAAGAGACGAACCTTCAACACTTCCTCTCACAAGCTGATGGTTCTTACTCCAGATTCCCCAAAATGATGCACCTTAAGCTAGATTTCCCTTGCCTGTCCCCCTCTCTGGGCCCTCTCTTTATTCCCAACAATTGGCTCTTAAAATGATCTGAACACATCAAGCACTCTGACAGAGATGGAGTAGCTAACATTTCCTTCACTTTGCTACCAAATCTATGCTGTTCTTGGGTGACCATGACCTTAAATTTGAGTCTCTTCAAACAGTAATTAATCTTCCCTGGGCACAAAACAGGGTGGCCCTAGCTCAGTGTTAGTGCTAGGATAATAAGGGAATATGTCTACTTTCAGCCTTTGTAGAGCTCACAAGTCAAAGTTATTAATAGTAGTAGCAGTAGTAATTACCTAATACATTCCATTTGTGTATGCAAGGCTTTGTTGAATACTCTTTATATGCATGAATCTAAATGAGCTAGAATTAGTTTATATCAGCTCATGAGAGAGAATCTTGTTAAATTTTTAAGAAACTAATAAGCCAGTTGTTAAACTCTGCAACTATTAAAAATTAAATTGTATGAATACAAATTATAAAATCAATAAATTGCAAATGAATAAAAATTTAATTATATTAATTATTTTAAAAAGAATAAAAATACTGAAAATGAACTTCTTCCTAATTATTTTACTATTATGTGAGGTTATTTACATCTATTGTATTTATATAAAGGAAACATTACATCATGGTGTCCAAACCAATTGGACACAATAAGAAATACACAATAGGCATTTAGGGCCCACCTGGATATTCTGGGATGAGCCTCTCTTCTCAAGATCTTTAATCACATACATCCTTTGCTATGTAATGTAATATTCTCACATGCTAGTAATTAGGACAAATGTATCTTTGGAGCCACATTCAGCCCACTACAGTCATCATCATCAATGACCCAAAACCTATGCATTGATTTAGGACTTCAGTAGGATTGCTGTCCTCAAGAAACCTACACCCTACAGAGAGAGACAGAACTCATACCATTAAGTCAATCACAGGGAATACAAAATGATGCAGCCACTTTGGAAAACAGCTTGTCAGCTTCTAAAAAAGTTAAGAAACTGGATGTTTGTGAATAAGATCTTGAGAAGATAGATTTACCATAAGAACCAGCAATTCCACTCCTAGATTTATACTGAAGAGAAATCAAGGCATATGTACACACAAAGACTTGCATATGAATGTTCATAGCAGCATTATTCATAATAGCCAAAAGGTAGAAACAGCCCAAATATCCATTAACTGGTGACTGGATGAACACAATATGGTATATCCAAGGAATGGAACACTATTCAGCAATAAAAAGGAATGAGATGTTGATACATGCTACAACATGGATAAATTTCATGCTAAGTAGAAGAAGCCAGACACAAAGACCACACTTTGTTATGATTCCATTTTTATAAAATGCCCAGAAAGGGCAAATCTATAGAAACAGAAAGTAGATTGGTGGTTGCCCGGGGCTGGAGGGGCAGAGGGGAGCAGGTAATGACTGCAAATGAGCATCAGGGATCTATCTGGGGATAATGGAAATGTTTCAAAATTAGATTTTGGTGATGATTGCACCATTCAGTAGACTTACTAAAAATCATTGAAATCTATACCTAACATGGGAGGTTTTCATGGTATGCAAATTATATCCCAATAAAGTTATTTTTTTTAAGTGAATGATAGCCTAAGACCATATATGCAAAGGGTAAGTGAGTGATGCAAAGGTTGAAGAGAGGATATGAGTGTGCAGTGTGTATGTATGTGTTTTAGTCAAATCTAAAATTTTGTTATATTTTCAATTCTACTAATAAAGCAAATCATCAGACATAGCATGGTATTGGGCTGGAAGACAAGCACAGTTGAGGAGAGGACCTGCCCAGGAGTATACAAAGAAAGGTAAGTTTTAGCTCCAGCCTCCATGGGCTCACAAGTCATCCTTTTCTGCATTCCTTTCATTAACTTTCTGCTCATCGTCCCTTGACCTGCAGCCTGGACACCTAGGGGTCCTGTGGCCCAATGGACTCACTGAGCCTAACTTGGCCCAACACAACACATCACACAGAACAGTGGCAATAGAACACATCACACCTCTCCACTCCCCCAGATGCAGCTGTCAGCCAGGCTTGCTGGGTCTCCTCCATTGGGTGACGGAGGCTCTGGGAGATCAGATCTGCTTAGCCTGCTGTGGCCTAGCTCCAGCTACCTATAGCAGAATCATATCGCCTTTCCATATCCCTTTGGAGCCATCCCACAATATTCCCTATGGGTTTTCTCTCAGGAAGGCTGAAGGAAGCTCTGGGATGTTCGTTTTGCTCTGATATACTATCAACATTGTCAAAAATGTTTCTTAAAAATGATAACTTTCTACGTATTTGAGAATCAACCAGGAACCCTAACCTAAACTTTGTGTAACCCCCATACTCCAGGGGTACACATAAATGAGAAAAAGTTACTTGTAACAAGTAAAAAGGAATGAATCCCCCCATCTTTGAGAGTTTGAAACTTTTCAACTAAATAGGAAACATAGTGGAGATGGGCATGAAGTCCCCTTGTTCTCTCATATCTCTCTATATCTCAGGGCATTGTAGAAAGCAGACTCAAAATAAATGCGTATTGGATTGATTCATTCAAAAGAACCAATAAGTACATTCCTCTTTTCTAAAATTCCAGACTCATATAATCACCAGCCAACTCCTTTTTGGAAGTCAAACAGGAAAAAAAAATCATTCATTGAGAAAAAAAAAAAATGTATAGGTCCTCTAAGAGACAGTCCTTCTGAAAAGAAGCTTATACCTTGCTCTAGGTTGGTGTTTTCACATGTAAGTGATTTCTTATATCACTCTAGAAACAAGCAAAAATGCCAGTGGTCTTAGCCTTTCTGCAAAAGTAACAAAGAAAAGTCTTGGAGATGAAGTCTAGAAATTTTTCTTTCATATAACCACTAGGGATTTTTTTTGGATCTCTGAAAATCCTTAGGATAGACTTTAGAAATTAGATACCTACAGTCAAATTGCAGGATTACAGGCTAGGCTTGGGTTCTCAAGTCACATGTCATAAAGATGTGAAGGCCATGATTTGGAGAAATACAGTTTATAACATATACTCTAATAATAATCTTTCTGGGGCCCCAAAATATCATGGTAACTATTTCATAAGGTTGATAAGGGAATAACATGTGACATGCAGAGACTGGCACACAGAAAGTAGTACCCAATAAGTGATTGTGTTAATGCTGGTTATTACTCCTTATAAAAAAAAAAAAGAGGCGTGATGGCTCACACCTATAATCCCGGCACTTTGGGAGGCTGAGGGGAGTGGATCACCTGAGGTCAGGAGTTAGAGACCAGCCTGGCCAACATGGCAAAACCCTGTCTGTACTAAAAATACAAAAATTAGCCAGGTCTGGTGGCAGGCACCTGTAATCCCAGCTACTCGGGAGGCTGAGGCAGGAGAATCGCTTGAACCCAGGAGCGGAGGTAGCAGTGAGCTGAGATCATGCCATTGCACTCTAGCCTGGCTGACATAGTGAGACTCTGTCCCCACCAAAAAACGAAAGAGGAAAGATAAATAGCAACAATCATTTGAAAGGACATTCAATCTCCTAAGTTAGTAATAAGGTAAATGCAAATTCAAACCATTATGAGATACTACTTGCCAGCCACCTTAGCATAGTACCAAATATTAGAAAAATGTGGGCAGGGTACCATGGCTCAAGCCTGTAATCCCAGCACTTTGGGAGGCAGAGGCAGGAGGATCACTTGAGGCCAGGAGTTCAAGACCAGCCTGGCCAACATGGCAAAACCCCATCTCCACTAGAAATACAAAAAATGTAGCCAGGCACAGTGGCACTCGCCTGTAATCCCAGCTATTTGGGAGGCTGAGGCACAAGAATGGCTTGAACCTGGGAGATGGAGGTTGCAGTGAGCCAAGATCACGCCACTGCACTCCAGCCTGGGCAACAGAGTGAGACTCTGTCTCAAAAAAACAGAAAAATGTGAAGCAGTGGGAACTCTCATCCACTGCTGGCAGGAATATAAACTGATACAACCAATTTGAAGAAGAGTTACATATTATCTTGAAAAGCTGAATATACACATCCTCTATGAACCAGCAATTCCACTCCTAGGTATACACTCTACAGAGATTTTGCATATAATGCCCCAGGAATCACGAGCAAAATGTTTGTAGGAGTGTTATTTATAATAACAGAGGTAAGTACAACCCAATTGTCCATCAACAGGACACTGGATAAGTAACATACAGCAAAAACCAATGAACCACAGCTGTAGAAATCAAACATGGGTGAATTCTGGAAACACAGTACTGAAGTGCAGAAGACTCCAAAGAGTATGATTCTGTTTTCAAAAAGCTGCTGTAGCAAAAGGCAACCATAGGTGCCCATCCCCAGAGCTCTCTATCTTGCTCTGAGTGACTCTAGCTTCTGCTGACTTTGGGGCTGGGATAGAGAAGGGCTGTCTTTCCCACAAGATGGGGGTGTGTTTGATCTGTACACCTTGCTGTCCACTGGCCTTTCCCAAGGCCCCTGCCTGGCTGCCCCTTCAAGAGTGTGCACACAGCACAGCCTTGCCCAAGTGCTTTGCCTGCAGCCTGGGAGTCAGTACGCCACCCTGTGGGGCCAGAGGACAAAGCCATGGGCCCAGACCCAACCCCCCCCACCCCGGGTTTGAGCACACAGCTCAAGGGTATTGAGCTGAGATCTGAGCTCAAGTGAGGGAGGGGCCCCTACTCTCACAACACTGAAAAGAATAAAGTATGGGTTCCTATGCTGGCATGGGAGCTGGGCATGCCCCCTTCCACAAGTGCAGTCCAGGAAAGATGTAGCCTGTTTGCCAGCTGCAGCATCTGCCCAATGAAGCCCCATATCCCAGAATACCAGCAATCTGGGCACAGAAGGCTTAGGACAAAACTAGCTGGTTAGGCCTGCTACCGAGGCAGAAACACCAAGAAGAAACTTGGTTGGGGAAGCACAGGCTGGGCTGTCCCCATAGCTGTCTGCTGAGCACAAAACCCAGGGCCTTGGGTGTCACACCAGCTGCCTATCCTTGACAACACTGCCTTGTCTAGGGATCCTCTGCCCTTGACCCACTTCATCAACAGACTACCCCGACAGATACCCTGCCACCCACCCTGACTATGCCAATCACAGAGGACCAGCTCTCTGGGGAGCTGCAGGTCTCCTAGTGACCTAACCTTTGGGTTGAGGTGCCCCTAACAGAGGAGGGAACACAGTCTACCAGAGCCCCACCCCCTTGGGGCTAAGGAAATGTAGGTGTGGCACCAGTCATTCGAGGGGGCTCTTCCAAGGCCTTGTTGGAATGAACTTGACAAGAGGTTCATCTCTTGCCCTCCCATCTCCCCAGATGTTCTCCCCAGAACATTGCTGAGAATACAAAAGAGGTGCTAAGATGAGGAAGAGCCTACCTGCTGGCCCTTACTCTTAAGTGCCATTTACTGGATCTCAGTCTGAATTAGACCACCAAACAAAAATTTCTTCAGCACACTTCATATGTGAAACCTAATGCAGGAATCTGGCTACAACTAAAAAACCCATATAAGGCTGAGCACGGTAGCGCATGCCTGTAATCTCAACACTCTGGGAGGCCGAGGTGGGTAGATCACCAGAGGTCAAGAGTTCGAGACCAGCCTGGCCAACATGGTGAAACGCCATCTCTACTAAAAATACAAAAATTAGTCAGGTGTGGCGGCATGAGCCTGTAATCCCAGCTACTCGGGAGGCTGAGGCAGGAGAATCACTTGAACCTGGGAGGTGGAGGTTGCAGTGAGCCGAGATTGTGCCACTGCACTCCAACCTAGGTGACAGAGCGAGACTCCGTTAAAAAAAAAAAAAAGAACCCGTACAAGCCCTGACCCTCTGAAATCACCCAGAGATGAAACCAACTGGCTACATACAACATACACCACAAACTCTCAAGGGAAAAAAAGATATAAAAACAAAAAACTCCACCAAAACAACAGCAACTTCAAAAGCTAAAGAAACACCAACCCTCTCAGATGAGAAAGAACCAGCACAAGAACTCTAGGAATTCAAAAGTTCAAAGTGTTTGTCTCCAAATGATTGCACTAGCTCCCCAGCAATGGATCCTAACAAGACTGAAGTGGCTAGAATGACGGAAATAGAATTCACAATCTAGATGGCAAGGAAGTTCAATGAACTTCAGGAGAAAGTTGAAACCCAATCCAAGGAAACTAGCAAATGATACAAGAGTTGAAAGATGACATACCCATCTTAAGAAAGAATGAAACAGAACTTCTGAAATTGAAAAATTCAGTACAAGAATTTCAAAATAAAGTTGGAAGCATTAACAATAGACTAGAGGAAGATGAGGAAAAAAATCTCAGAGCTCAAAGACCAGTCATTTGAATCAACCCAGTCAGAAAAAAAAAAAAGGAAAAAAGAATTTAAAAAAATTAACAAAACCTCTGAAAAATATGGGATTATGTAAAAAGATAAAACCTATGACCCACTGGCATTCCTAAGAGAGAAGGAAAAAGAGCAAGCAACTTCAAAAACATATTTGTGGACCTAGTCCCCCCAAATTTCTCCAACCTCACTAACGAGGTTGACATGCAAATTCAAGAAATTCAGAGAATCCCTGTGAGATACTGTGCAAGAGGACCATCCCCAAGACACATAGTCATCAGACTTTCCAAGGTCAATGTGAAAGAAAAAAAGCTTAAAGGCTGCTAGAGAAAGAGGTCAGGTCACTTACAAAGGGGACTCCATTAGGCTAAAAGCGGACTTTTCAGCAGAAAACTTACAAGCCAGATAAGATTAGTGACCTACTTTCAGCATCTTTAAATTTAAGAAAAGAAATTCCAACCAATAATTTCATATTCTGCCAAACAAAGCTTCATAAGTGAAGGAGAAATAAAATCTTTCCAGATGAGCAAATGCAAAGGGAATTCATTGCCACTAGACCAGGCTTAGAAGAGATCCTTAAAGCGTTCTAAACTTGGAAAGAAAAGAATAATACCTGCCACCATAAAAACACACTTAGGTACATAACCCACAGACCCTATAAAGCAACTACACAATTGAGTCTACGAAACAACCAGCTAATAACATGATGACAGGACCAAAACCTCACGTATCAGTATTAACCTTGAATGTAAATGGTCTAAACTCCCCACTTAAAAGACAGAAAGTGGCAAATTGGATTTAAAAAATGAGAGCCAATCATCTTCTGTCTTCAAGAGACCCATCTCACATGTAACTATACCCACAGGCTCAAAGTAAAGGGATGGAGAAAGATCTATCATGCAAACAGAAAATAAATAGAAAAGAACAGGGGTTGCTATTCTTATAAAACAGACATGACACTAACAGCAGTTTTAAAAGATGAAGAAGGGCATTACATAATGATAAGGAGTTCAGTTCAACATGAAGATTGATCTATCCTAACTATATATGCACCCAGCATTGGATCACCCAGATTCATAAAGCAAGTACTTCTAGACCTATGAAAAGACTTACACAGTCACACAATAATAGTGGAGAATTTCACTGGAGGTTCCAAGATGGCTAAATAGGAACAGCTCCAGTCTACAGCTCCAGGCATGAGCAATGCAGAAGACGGGTGATTTCTGCATTTCCAAATGAGGTACCGGGTTCATCTTACTGGGGTTGTTGGACAGTGGGTGCAGCCCACAGAGCATGAGCCAAAGCAGGGCAGGGCATCACCTCACCCGGGAAGCACAAGGGGTCAATGAATTCCCTTTCTTAGCCAAGAGAAGCTGTGACAGATGGTACCCGGAAAATCGGGACACTCCTACACTAGTATTGCGCTTTTCCAACAGTCTTAGCAAATGGCACACCAGGAGATTATATCCAGTGCCTGGCTCAGAGGGTCCCACGCCCACAGAGCCTTGCTCACTGCTAGCACAGCAGTCTGAGATCGAACTGCAAGGTGGCAGCGAGGCTGGGGGAGGGGCGTCCATCATTGCTGAGGCTTGAGTAGGTAAACAAAGTGGCTGGGAAGCTCGAACTGGGTGGAGCCCACTGCAGCTCAAGGAGGCCTGCCTGCCTCTGTAGACTCCACCTCCGGGGGCAGGGCATAGCCAAACAAAAGGCAGCAGAAACTTCTGCAGACTTAAATGTCTCTGTCTGACAGCTTTGAAGAGAGTAGTTGTTCTCCCAGCATGGAGTTTGAGATCTGAGAACAGACAGACTGCCTCCTCAAGTGGGTCCCTGACCCCCCAGTATCCTAACTGGGAGACACCTCCCAGTAGGGGCTGACTGACACCTCATACAGCTGGGTGCCCCTCTGAGATGAAGCTTCCAGAGGAAATATCAGGCAGCAACATTTGCCATTCTGCAATATTTGCTGTTCTGCAGCCTCCGCTGGTGATACCCAGGCAAACAGGGTCTGGAGTGGACCTCCAGCAAACTCCAACAGACCTGCAGCTGAGGGTCCTGACTGCTAGAAGGAAAACTAACAAACAGAAAGGACATCCACACCAAAACCCCATCTGTACGTCACCATCATCAAAGACCAAAGGTAGATAAAACCACAAAGATGGGGAGAAACCAGAGCAGAAAAGCTGACAATTCTAAAAATCAGAGCACCTCTTCTCCTCCAAAGGAATGCAGCTCCTCACCAGCAACAGAACAAAGCCGGATGGAGAATGACTTTGACGAGTTGAGAGAAGAAGGCTTCAGACGATCAGTAATAACAAACTTCTCTGAGCTAAAGGAGGATGTTCAAACCCATCACAAAGAAGCTAAAAACCTTGAAAAAAGATTAGACGAATGGCTAACTAGAATAAACAGCTTAGAGAAGACCTTCAATGACCTGATGGAGCCGAAAACCATGGCACGAGAACTACGTGATGCATGCATAAGCTTCAGTAGCTAAAGTGGAAGAAAGGGTACCAGTGATTGAAGATCAAATGAATGAAATGAAGCGAGAAGAGAAGTTTAGAGAAAAAAGAGTAAAAAGAAACAAACAAAACCTCCAAGAAATATGGGACTATGTGAAAAGACCAAATTTATGTCTGATTGGTGTACCTGAAAGTGACAGGGAGAATGGAAACAAGTTGGAAAACACTCTTCAGGATATTATCCAGGAGAACTTCCCCAACCTAGCAAGACAGACCAACATTCAAATTCAGGAAATACAGAGAATGCCACAAAGATACTCCTCGAGAAGAGCAACTCCAGGACACGTAATTGTCAGATTCACCAAAGTTGAAATGAAGGAAAAAATGTTAAGGGCAGCCAGAGAGAAAGGTCGGGTTACCCACAAAGGGAAGCCCATCAGACTAACAGCAGATCTCTCGGCAGAGACTCTACAAGCCAGAAGAGAGTGGGGGCCAATATTCAATATTCTTAAAGAGAAGAATTTTCAGCCCAGAGTTTCAGATCCAGCCAAGCTAGGCTTCATGGGTGAAGGAGAAATAAAATCCTTTACAGACAAGCAAATGCTGAGAGATTTTGTCACAACCAGGCCTGCCTTAGAAGAGCTCCTAAAGGAAGCACTAAACATGGAAAGGAACAACTGATACCAGCCACTGCAAAAACATGCCAAATTGTAAAGACCATCGATGCTGGGAAGAAACTGCAACAGCTAACGAGCAAAATAACCAGCTAGCATCATGATGATAGGATCAGATTCACACATAACAATATTAACCTTAAATGTAAATGGGCTAAATGCTCCAACTAAAAGACACAGACTGACAAATTGGATGAAGAGTCAGGACCCATCAGTGTGTTGTATCCAGGAGACCCATCTCACGTGCAGAGACACACATAGGCTCAAAATAAAGGGATGGAGGAAGATCTACCAAGCAAATGGAAAACAAAAAAAAGCAGGGATTGTGGTCCTGGTCTCTGATAAAACAGACTTTAAACCAACAAAGATTAAAAGAGACAAAGAAGGCCATTACATAATGGTAAAGGGATCAATTCAACAAGGAGAGCTAACTATCCTGAATATATATGCACCCAATACAGGAGCACCCAGATTCATAAAGCAGGTCCTTAGAGACCTACAAAGAGACCTAGACTCCCACACAATAATAATGGGAGACTTTAACACCCCTCTGTCAACATTAGACAGATCAACGAGACAGAAAGTTGGCAGGGATATCCAGGAATTGAACTCAGCTCTGCACCAAGTGGACCTAACAGACATCTACAGAACTCTCCACCCCAAATCAACAGAATATACATTCTTCTCAGCATCACAACACACTTATTCCAAAATTTACCACATAGTTGGAAGTTAAGCACTCCTCAGCAAATGTAAAAGAACAGAAATTAAAACAAACCGTCTCTCAGACCACCGTGCAATCAGACTGGAGCTCGGGATTGAGAAACTCACTCAAAACTGCTCAACTACATGGAAACTGAACAATCTGATCCTGAATGACTACTGGGTACATAACAAAATGAAAGCAGAAATAAAGATGTTCTTTGAAACCAATGAGAACAAAGACACAACATAACAGAATCTCTGGGACACATTTAAAGCAGTGTGTAGAGGGAAATTTATGGCACTAAATGCCCACAAGAGAAAGCAGGAAAGATCTAAAATTGACACCTTAACATCACAATTAAAAGAACTAGAAAAGCAAGAGCAAACACATTCGAAAGTTAGCAGAAGGCAAGAAATAACTAAGATCAGAGCAGAACTGAAGGAGATAGAGACACAAAGAACCCTTCAAAAAATCAATGAATCCAGGAGCTGGTTTTTTGAAAAGATTAACAAAATTGATAGACCACTAGCAAGATTAATAAAGAAGAAAAGAGAGAAGAATCAAATGGACGCAGTGAAAAATGATAAAGGGGATATCACCCCCCTTTATCATCCCACAGAGATACAAACTTCCATCAGAGAATACTGTAAACACCTCCACGCAAATAAACTAGAAATTATGGAAGGAATGGATAAGTTCCTGGACACATACACCCTCCAAAGACTAAACCAGGAAGAGGTTTAGTCACTGAATGGACCAATAACGGGCTCTGGAATTGAGGCAATAATTAATAGCCTACCAATCAGAAGTCCAGGACCAGAAAGATTCACAGCCGAATTCTACCAGAGGTACAAAGAGGAGCTGGTACCATTCCTTCTGAAATGATTCCAATCCATAGAAAAAGAGGGAATCCTCCCTAACTCATTTTATGAGGCCAGAATCATCCAGATACCAAAGCCTTGCAGAGATACAACAAAAAAAGAGAATTTTAGACCAATATCCCTGATGAACATCGATGCAAAAATCCTCAGTAAAATACTGACAAATCGAATCCAGCAGCACATCGACAGGCTTGTCCACCATGATCAAGTTGGCTTCACCCCTGGGATGCAAGGCTGGTTCAATGCAAGCAAATCAATAAACGTAATCCATCATATAAACAGAACCAAAGACAAAAACCAGATGATTATCTCAACAGATGCAGAAAAGGCCTTTGACAGAATTCAACAGCGCTTCATGCTAAAAACTCTCAGTAAACTAGGTATTGATGGGATGTATCTCAAAATAATGGGAGCTATTTATGACAAACCCACAGCCAATATCATACTGGATGGGCAAAAACTGGAAGCATTCCCTTTGAAAACTGGCACAAGACAGGGATGCCCTCTCTCACCACTCCTATTCAATGTAGTGTTGGAGGTTCTGGCCAGGGCAATCAGGTGGGAGAAAGAAATAAAGGGTATTCAATTAGGAAAAGAGGAAGTCAAATTGTCCCTATTTGCAGATGACATGATTGTATGTTTGGAAAGCCCCATTGTCTTAGCCCTAAATCTCCTTAGGCTGATGGGCAACTTTGGCAAAGTCTCAGGATGCAGGGTCAGTGTGCAAAAATCACAAGCATTCCTATACACCAATAATGGACAAACAGAGAGCCGGGTCATGGGTGAACTCCCATTCACAATTGCTTCAGGGAGAATGAAATGCCTGGGAATCCAGCTTGCAGGGATGTGGGGGATCTCTTTGGGGAGGACTGCAGACCACTGCTCAATGAGGTGAGGGAGGACACAGGCAAATGGAGGAACATTCCATGCTCATGGATGGGAAGAGTCAGTGTTGAGATGGCCATACTGCCCAAGGTAATTTATAGATTAAATGCCATCCCCATCAAGCTACCAATGCCTTTCTTCACAGAATTGGAAAAAACTACTTTGAAGTTCATATGGAACCAAAAAAGAGCCCACAAAGCCAAGACAATCCTAAGCCAAAAGAACAAATTGGAGGCATCACGTTACCTGACTTCAAACAATACTACAAGGCTACAGTAATCAAAACAGCATGGTACTGGTACCAAAACAGAGATATAGACCAATGGAACAGAACAGAACCCTCAGAAATAATACCACATCTACAACCATCTGATCTTTGACAAACCTGACAAAAACAAGAAATGGGGAAAGGATTCCCTATTTAATAAATGGTGCTGGGAAAACTGGCTAGCCATGTGTAGAAAGCTGAAACTGGATCCCTTCCTTACACCTTATAGAAAAATTAATTCAAGATGGAATAAAGACTTAAATGTTAGACCTAAAACCATAAAAACCCTAGAAGAAAACCTAGGCAATACCATTCAGGACATAGGCATGGGCAAGGACTTCATAACTAAAACACCAAAAGCAATGGCAACAAAAGCCAAAATTGACAAATGGGATCTGGTTAAACTGAAAAGCTTCTGCACAGCAAAAGAAACTACCATCGGAGTGGGCAGGCAACCTACATAATGGGAGAAAAATTTTACAACCTACCCATCTGACAAAGGGCTAATATCCAGAATCTACAAAGAACTTAAACAAATTTACAAGAAAAAATCAAACAACCTCATCAAAAAGTGGGCAAAGGATATGAACAGACACTTCTCAAAAGAAGACATTTATGCAGCCAACAGACACATGAAAAAATGCTCATCATCACTGGAGCATTGCAAATAAAACCACAATGAGGTACCATCTCACACCAGTTAGAATGGCGATCGTTGATGAGTCGGGAAACAACAGATGCTGGAGAGGATGTGGAGAAATGGGAACACTTTTACACTGTTGGTGGGACTGTAAACTAGTTCAACTATTGTGGAAGACAGTGTGGTGATTCCTCAAGGATTTAGAACTAGAAATACCATTTGACCCAGCCATCCCATTACTGGGTGTATACCCAAAGGATTATAAATGATGCTGTTATAAAGATACATGCACACATATGTTTATTGTGGCACTATTCACAATAGCAAAGATTTGGAACCAACCCAAATGTCCGTCAATGATGGACTGGATTAAGAAAATGTGACACATATACACCATGCAATACTATGCAGCCATAAAAAAGGATGAGTTCATGTCCTTTGTAGGGACATGGATGAAGCTGGAAACTATCATTCTGTGCAAACTACCACAAGGACAGAAAAACAACCACTGCATGTTCTCTATCATAGGTGGGAATTGAACAATGAGAACACTTGGAAACAGGGTGGGGAACATCACATACCAGGGCTTGTCGTGGGGTGGGGGGAGAGGGGAGGGATAGCATTAGGAGATATACCTAATGTAAATGACGAGTTAATGGGTGCAGCACACCAACATGGCACATGTATACAGACGTAACAAACCTGCACATTGTGCACATGTACCCTAGAACTTAAAGTATAATAAATAATAATAATAGTGGAGAATTTCAACACCCCACTGACAGTGTTAGACAGATCATCAAGGCAGAAAACTAACAAAGAAATTCTGGACTTACATTCAACACTTGACCAGTTGGACCTAAAAGAGATCTACAGAATATTCCACCCAACAACCAGAGAATACACATTATTCTTATCTGCACATGGAACATACTCTAAGATTGACCATATGCTCAGCCACAAAGCAAGTCTTAATCAATTTTTAAAAAATCAACATCATACCAAACGTACTCTCAGACCACAGTGGAATAAAAACAGAAATCAATAACAAATCAATACTCAAAACCACCCAATTACATGGAAATTAAGCAACTTGCTCCTGAATGACTTTTGGGTAAACAACAAAATAAAGGTAAAAATCAAAAAATGATTTGAAGTTAATGAAAACAGAAACACAAATACCAAAATCTCTGGAATGCAGCAAAAGCAGTGTTAAAAGGAAAGTTTATAGCACTAAATGCCTACATCAAAAAGTTAGAAAGATCTCAAATTAACAATCTAATATTGCACCTAGAAGAACTAGAAATACAAGAACAAACTGACCCCAAAACTAGCAGAAGAAAAGAAGAGCAGAACTGAATGAAATTGAGACACAAAAATGCAAACAAAGGATCAATAAACCCAAAAGTTTGTTCTTTGAAAGGATAAACAAGATTGATAGACTGCTAGCTACATTAACAAGGAAAAAAAAGAGAAGTTCCAAATAAGCACAATCAGAAATGACAAAGGTGATATTGCAACCAATTCCACAGAAAAATAAAACATCCTTATGACACCTCTATGCACACAAACTAGGAAATCTAGAGGAAATGGATAAAATCCTATAAATTCATGACCTCCCAAGATTAAACCAGGAAGAAATTGAAACCCTAAACAGATCAATAATGAGTTCCAAAATTGAATCGGTAATAAAAAATCTACCAACCAAAAAAAAAAAAACAAAACCCTGGATGGATGGACTCAGCCAAATTCAACCAGGTGTACAAAGAAGAGCTGGTACCTATCCCACTGAAACTATTCCCAAGAATTGAGGAGGAGGGACTCCTCCCTAACTCCAGCATCATCCTGATGTCAAAATCTGGCAAAGACACAACAAAAAAAGACAACTACAGGCCAATATCACTGATGAACATAGATGAACAAACCCTCAACAAAATACTAGCAAACTGAATCCAGCAGCACATCAAAAAGTTAATTCACCACAATCAAATAGGCATTTTTCCTAGGATATAAGCTTGGCTCAACATACACAAATCAATAAATGTGATTCACCACATAAACAGAATTAAAAACAAAAAACCATATGATCATCTCAATAGATGCAGAGAAAGCTTTCAATAAAATCCAACATCCCTTCATGATAAAAACCCTCAATATACTAGGCATCAAAAGAACATACCTCAAAATAATAAGAGCCATCTATGATGAACTCATAGCCAATATCATACTGAATGGTCAAAAGCTGGAAGCGTTCACCTTGAGAACTGGGACAAGACAAAGGATGCCCACTCTCACCACTCCTGTTCAACATAGTACTGCAAGTGCTAACCAGAGCAATCAGGCAAGAGAAAGAAATAAAAGGCATCCAAATAGTAAAAGAAGTCAAACTATCTGTCTTCACTGACAATATGATTCTATACCTAGAAAATAATAAAGAATCTGCCATAATAATCTGAGAACTTATAAACAACTTCAGTAGTTTCAGGATACAAAGTCAATGTACAAAAATCTGTTACATTTGTATATACCAATAATGTTCATGCTGAGAGCCATATTAAGAATGCAATCCCATTTGCAATAGCCACACACACACACACACACACACACACACACCTAGGAATACATCTAACAATACAAGGAGGTGAATGACCTCTCCAAGGAGAACTATCAAACACTGCTAAAAGAAATCAGAGATGATGCAAGCAAATGGGAGAACATTCCATGTTGATGAATTGGAAGAATCAATATTGTTAAAATGGCCAAACTGCCCAAAGCAGTCTACAGATTCAATACTATTCCTATCAAACTACCATCATTTTTCACCGAATTAGATTAAACTATTCTAAAATTTATATGGACTCAGAAAAGAGCCTGAATAGCCAAAGCAATGCTAAGCAAAAGGAACAAAGCTGAAAGCATCACACTACCCAACCTCAAACTATACTATAAGGCTACAGTAACCAAAACAGCATGATACTGGGATAAAAACAGCACATAGACCAATGGAACAGAATAGAGAACCTAGAAATGAAGCTACACATCTACAACCATCTAATCTTCAACAAAGTCAACAAAAATAAGCAATAGAGAAAGGACTCCCTATTCAATTAATGGTGCTGGGATAACTGGCTATCAATAGGCAGAAAAATGAATTCTTACCTATCACAATATACAATCAAAATGGAAGAAACACTTAAATGTAAGACCTCAAACTATAAAAATCCTAGAAGAAAACCTAGGTCTAATATCCAGGATCTACAAGAAACTTAAACAAATCAACAAGCAAAAAACAACCCCATTAAAAAGCGGGCAAAGGACTTTTGAACAAATGAACAAATGCTTCTTTAAAAAAGACATACAAGTAGCCAACAAACATATGAAAAATGTTTGTTGCTCAGCATCACTAATAATCAGAGAAATGCAAATCAAAACCACAATGAGATACCATCTCACACCAGACAGAATGGCTTTTATTAAAAAGTCAAAAAATAACAGATGTCGGTGGGACTCCAGAGAAAAGAGGAGAAGGCTTATATACTGTTTGTGGGAATGTAAATTAGTTCAGCCATGGTGGAAAGCAGTTTGGAGATTTCTCAAAGAACTGAAAATATAACTACCATTTGACCCAGCAATTCCATTACTGGGTATATGCCCAAAGGAAAAGAAATTGTTCTACCAAAAAGACACATGTACTTGTATGTTCATTGCAGCATTATTTACAATAGCAAAGACATGAAATCAACCTACGTATCCATCAATGGTGGATTGGATAAAGAAAATGTGATACATATACACCATGAAGTAGTATGCAGCCATAAAAAATGTGAAATCATGTTCTTTGCAGCAACACAGATACAGCTGGAGGCCATCACCCTAATTGAACTAATGCAGAACAGAAAACCAGATACCATGAGTTCTCACTTATAAGTGGGAGCTGAACACTGGGTACACATAGAGATAAGGATGGGAACAATAGACACTGAGGAATACAAGAGCAGCAAGGGAGGCGGGCAGGGGTTGAAAAACTACTATGCTCAGTACCTGGGATGATGGTGCAATCAAACTCTAAACCTCAGCATCATGCAATGTACCATGTAACAAACCTACACATGTACCCCCTAAATCTAAAATAAAAGTTGAAGAAAGTAAATAGTATATCAGAAAGTAATAGATGATGTGAAAAATATAGAGCAAGAAAACTTCATTTACACAAGAAGAATAAGTTCAAGTGGCCTATTGTACAACATGGTGACTATAGCTAATGTGTTGTCCTTGAAAATCACTAAAATAATAAATTTTAAATGTTCTCACCATATAAAAAAAAAGTAAGCATATGAGGTTAAGAGAGACAGCTAGGCATGGTAGCTCATGCATGTAATCCCAGCACTTTGGGAGGCCCAGGCAGGAGGATCACTTGAGGCCAGGAGTTCAAGACCAGCCTAGGCAACATAGTGAGATCCCATCTCTACAAAATAAAAATTAGCTGGGTGTGGTGGTGCATTCCTGTAGTACCAGCTATTTGGAAGGCTGAGGTGGAGGAGCCCTTGAGTCCAGGAGTTTGAGGCTGCAGTGAGCCATGACTGCACCATTATACTCCAGCCTGGGTCATACAGAGAGACTCTATCTCTAAAAACATAAAAACAAAAAATGGAATAAGAAAGAGAGAGAAGGAGATCAGAAATAGCAAGAGGTAAGATGGGGAGGAGCAGTTTGCTTCATTAAGAAGGTGATACAAGCAAAGGTTTGAAGGCATTGAGCTAACTGAACAGTGAGTTCTTCGGCATTCTAAGCATAGAGAACAGCTGGTGAAAAGGCCCAGGGGCCTTTTCCAAAGGAAAAGTGGGGAGTCCAGTGTGGTTGGAGTGGCTTGAGCAGGGGAGGAGCAGGAGATGAAGCAAGAGAGGTAAAGTTTGGGACTAAGCCTCAAAGGCCATCACAAGGACTAAAGCTTTTTTACTCTTGGCAAAATGAGATGCTTTAAAAATAAAAGTCACATCATGTCTCCCCACTGCTTCAAAGTCTATAAGGGCTCCCCATGTTGCCAAGCACAGGATTCGCTGTGATTTATGTAGCAATTTCCCTGTTGTTGAAAGCCCTAAAAAATATAAGTCATATCATGTCTCTCCACTGCTCCAAAGCCTATAAGGGCTCCCCAGTGTTAAAACAACAGGGAAATTGCTAAATAAATCACAGCACATCCTGTGCTTGTTCATAGTAGGAGTTTGGAAAATATTTAGAGAACAAATGAAGATAACGGACTGCTATACAACCATTAAGCGTCATAACCTCAAAGAATATTCAGTGACATGGAAAAATACTCATCATACATATTAAAGGGAAAAAATCACATATAAGTTATAGCCCTAATTTTGAATAGATAGGTAGGTAAGTAGAGATGATAGACAGACAGACAGACATGAACGTAGGTAGGTACGTAGATAGATAGACAGACCGACAGACAGATAGATAGAGACAATAGAAAGATAACTAGATAAAACTATAAGGAAATACCATCAAATATGAAATGGTTTTAAGTTGGGAAATTATAGGTAATTTTCATAGTTTTTTTGTATTTTGTATATTTCTGAATTTTCTATAATAATATATTACCTTTATAATCAGAAGAAAATAATAACTGCAGTTTTTAAACTACCATACCCACATGGTATTCTTTATGACTTCTATGGCAAAACTCAGGAACTATGTCCATTGATCAGAATTATTAGCTTCTTTCTTAGTTCCAGGGGAAAATGGAAGGTATTTGATATTTATTGGCTGAATCTAGCAGCAGGCAGCCTGCAGTTCATCAGTGTGGCTGTCACCAGTAGTTCAATAAATCCACTGGAATCACTACAGAAGAATTTCTAATGGGATCATGGAAACAATTTGGCTAGTAGAAAACAAATGATTAAAAAGTCATTACATTATCTACACAGGCGGGAGTAGAATTGCTTAATTTAACCACGAAAGTCACTACAAAAGACCAAAATAATTACAGTGTAAATGGATACCCAAAATAAGGGAATCATTTGATTTTAATGATACCTTGAGAGAAAATTATGGTTGCAGGGTACATTTGCCAGAACCACGTAAAAGAGCTCATTGGCACCCTCGTTGGACTCAATTGACTACTCATTCAAATCTGAGGCACCCCATCCCCATCTCGGGAGCTCCTTCGTGTTAGTGTCTAGTCTCCTTCATTTTAGTGTCTAGGTCTGTGTCTTCAAATGCCTGAGGCTCACTTAAAACATGCAGGAGGACAGGTTTCCTATGAGACACATCTCCTTTTAAGTTCCTACAAGGCTCAATTTGTAGCAGTATTTCAGCCTTCTGTAGCTAAGAACATGTTGAACCACCAGAAAAATGTAATGTGGTCCATTGAGGCATAGGGAGTGATAAACAAAACAAAACAAACAAAAAAAGAGTTTGTAAGGGAAACAAAAGTGGATTTCAACAAAACATTTGAAAAGCTCCCAGAATCTTGCTTTCCCTCTCTAAAGGGAAGGTTCTGTGTACACTACTTCCCAAGGAGCTGAGGGATGTCCTTGTACAACAGTACCTTCAAATTCAAAGTATCCTACCTAGCAAAGGTTGTTGCAGATGTAAATTGTTGATCATTTACTTAATCATGTTAACAGGTATTTATTGAGTTTCTACCATGTTCCAAGTTTAAAGATGAGTAAGACCTGGCATTAACAAGTGAATAGGAGGGAAAGCAGGTAACTCGCTAGTATTCCGTGGGATACATGTGTGCAGAACGTATTGTGGAAACACAATGAAAAAGCATCTGATTCTGGCCTCAGCCAGGGTGGGCAGGGGTGGTCAAGCCTGCCTTCTCTACAGGAAATGCTTCAAGTTAATTCCTAAACAAATTAGACAGGTGGAGAAAAAGGCACTGAGGGTGGTTTTTATAGTGCCTAACAAAAACATTCCAAAAATAAGCTGGCTTTTATTATTGTTTTTGTTTTGTTTTTATGAAAACAGTTTTTTCCTCTAATGATAAATGCAATGCAAGGTAATAATAAAATTTTTGTGTTTCACTGCTTGGAGGTAATAAGTATTATACTCCAAAGGTTTTAATCAGGGTTTTTACCCTGTAAGTAGGATCGTCTCACGATTTTTTCAAACAGCCAGGATTCTTATAGGTGCAGTTAACTGAAACAGAAAGCAACAAATTTTTATATGAAATTCACTATTTTGATAAAAAGACAGTAGAGTCTCTTCTGGCAAAGGCGAGAAGTGAGTGTTGGTGCTCTTATGATCATATCACTAATAGAGATGCAGGAATGTAACATCCTTCCCTGACCACCACATCCTCATCACAAAATTTCTGGAAAAACCATACTCATAAGAAATAATAGATAAATTGGAACCAAAATCCCACTTTACTGACATATATGCAAATCCCTAATACCCCAGCAAAGGGCTTGTTTGGACTTGGAAGCTTAAGTAGGACTTCCTGCTTTCTTTCTCTGTTCCCCCCAATATTTAAATGTTGTTTGAATGTGATTTCCAGAAGAAAGGAACTGAGACAAAGACAGAGAGAGAGATAGGGAAGGGGAAAGGAAAACAGGCAGTGGTTGTAAATTCCACAAAGTAACTGTCGTCTAGTTTACCCACCCAGATGTTTGCTGCAAAAAGATTAGTCTGGGTATCGCTAGCTGCTGTAACTAACACACCCACAAATTTAGAGATGTAATCCAATATAATTTAATTTCTTACTTATATTGTGATCTAAAGCAGATACTCCTGGTGAATGGGCAGCTTTCCTCCACATAGTGATTCAGGGACCCAGGCTCCTTCCTTCTGGCTCTGCCTCTAGATTTTGATATTTCTAAAATCACAGTTCACAAGTAGTACATTAATTTTGATTAGTATTTTAGCTAATGGGAGGACAGTTAAGAACATGAGAAAGTTTGTTGATTAATGAGAGGAAGCAACATGATAGAGTGGAAAAGACACAGGTTGAGAGACATAAATTATATTAATCCCTAATGTCTACCAAGTTCTGGCTCTGTGCCAGGCTCTGTTCCAAGTGCTTTTCCTGCATTAACTCGTTCATTCCTCATGACAGCCTATAAAATTGCCTAATCTAGGCAGTCTGACTTCACAACCTGTACTCTTAGCCACTACAGGTTATTCTTTCTCTAAATGAGTTTGGATTCAGGTTCTCCCCTTTAAAACATAGGCACCTTTGCACAAAGTTTTTAATTTTTCAGAGCCTATCTCCCAATCTCTAAAATCAGCTGCTATTAGGATTAAATAATGTGAAGTTGATAACATCATAATAGGTGCTCAGAAAACATTAATTTATTCATTCATTCAACAAATGTTTTTAAAGCTCTGACTATGCACAAGACACTATGCTAAGCACTAAAGTCACAATTGATGAATAAGCCTATAAAGTGTATGCCCACATGGAACATAAAGTATAGTAGAAAATACAGACATTTTAAAAAGCAATTGGATAACTAAATAACTAAAACCAAGTAAGCTCTGTATAACAAAAGTCCAGGGTGATGGACTCAATGTAATCTTGTTGGGGTTGGGCATGGGGTGGGGCGGGCGAAGTCCAGAAAAATGGTTTGGAATCCCATTATTAAGTCTAGGCTTATAGGGAAAGAAACCAATAAGCATGGGAGAGGTTAACCATTAACTTACTCTCCCTGTGTTTTCAAATGACTGTATTTATTCATTACTAGATTTCTTATTACCTAATTTCTGAGTCTCTTAAAACCAGGATTTATATCACCAATTATTTTAAATATAGAGGGGATTACAGAAAACAGTCGGGTCCTCTGGCTTATCAGGACAAGCCTCCAGGAGAACTGTAGGCATGAACGCCCTCTGGAAGAAATGTTGATAATGGCATGAAACCAATGTTTTGTATTATGGCCCTGGATTAAGCATCTCAAATAGGAAGAGGGGCACAAAAGCTAGCCCCATACTCTTTGGGAAATGCCTTCAGGCAAACAGAGCCTTTCTGAGTTAGAAAAGGGTCAAGAACATTGGGAAACACAGGGAGTGATAATATGGGTGTGTTGGGGAGACACTGCCACCAAAGTATCTTTCCATCCAGCTCTGGGGATAATGGACATAGAATTCCATCCCCTTCCTCACTGCACCACCCACCAGAGCAGCAGTGTGCACAGGTTCTTGGGCGTGATCTGGATTCATTTGGTAGCAAAAGGGTGGCAGTTCAGATTCTCAGTGGCTGTCTTGATTGAAAGCTACAAATCAAAGAAGAGTCTTCTGCTACTATCCCTAGAATTGTTACCCACCCCTTCAATTGTCCTCAACCAAGAAGGGTTGGCCAGGGTTTCTTGAAATAGTAATATGACTTACATGGTAAACACTTTTCTGGAAACTACAATAAAGAAGTATCAGGCATTTCTTCTTATTGGTCTAAAAGGATATCTTTCTCAGTTATAAACCAAAAGACATGGATGAATCATCTCAAAAGAACATAATACGCTCTTGAAATAATTATACTGAACAAAGTATTCTGGGGTCAAAATTAAGGAAAAGGTTATCCTTCTGCATATTCTCCTTTCCCTTCTCAATTCTTCCCTTCCATTTCTGGAGAATTTAGTCCTAAAGCCATTAGGTGGTGCAGACCCAGGTGGGCTCCCACGCTGGCAGTGGGAGGAGGAGGGAGCTCCAGCCCAAGTGTGATGAGAAGAGATCCACACATTGGGGCAGCACTGAGGGGCGTTAGAGCCCAAGCAGTGTGAGGAGGTTGTCCGGATGAAGGTGTGCTTGAGTAGGATGTCAGAGCCCAAGCAGGCCTCCACAGGTGGGGGCAGACCAGCACACAGTGCTGGAGCCCACGTGAAGGGCACATGGCATTGGTGTTAGACTAGAAGCAGAGGTATGGATGTGAACTTGATGTTTCCATATGCAAAGCAAGATACAAAAATAAAGATGGAGTGTGTGTGTGTGTGCGTGCGTGTGTGTGTGCGTGCGTGTGTGTGTGTGTGGCTCCTTGGAGAAATGGCTGATTCCTGGGTTGGCATGGGAAAAAAATAAGATGAGCCTGAAATATCTTATGTCAGAAAAACAAAGAAGTACTCGAAGAATGATGAGGATGTGTCAAAAGGACACAGAAGCCAACTGAAAAGGATACAACAACCAAACTGGGGACAATTAAACATTTTTAAAAAGAATGATGGTAGTACATTATAACCCACTAAATAAATAGCAAGGGAACCATGAGTCTATACAGATTAAATTAATAAGTTAATAATTTGATGATGAATGGGATATTTTCATAGTCTCAAAGTGCCTCTCCCCAAAATACTTACCATTACAAGTAATGATAGAGCAGAGAAACCAGGCACACCCCTTTCTTAAGTGATACGAATGAACATTACCAGTCACAGGACAAATCAAATTCCTGTGCCATCTGAGAGCATGGAAGGAGAGGAACATGCCTCACTCCTCTGACTCCCTATCCGAAATGAATAACCAAAATCTGATCATGAGAAGACAACAGAGAAACCCAGACTGAGACCATTCTGCTAAATAACTCGCCTACAATCTTCTAAAGTATGAAGGTCATGAAAGTCAAGGAAAGACTGAATGAAGCCGAAGAGGCATGATAATTTAATGCAAGGCATGATCCTGAGTAGGACCATTTTGCAATAAAAGACATTATTGGGACAGTTGGAAAAACTGTAATGAGGCCTGAAGTTTTGATGGTAGTGACATATCCCTGTTAACTTCCTGAATCTGATGGTTGTACTGTGGCTGTGTAGCAGAATGTCCTTATTTCAGGCAATACATGCTAACGTATTCAATGATTCATGGCCATGAGGTCAACAACTTATTCTCAAATGTAAGGAAAAAGATTCAGGAAAAAAACAAAAAGATTTTTATGCCATAGTTGCAACTTTTCTGTAAGTTTGTGATTGAAAAATATTTTAAGTACACTTTTAAAACCAGAACAAATATATCCTATGGTAACAACGGAATACCTGACAGCAGGGATCTCCTGGAATTGTCAGGGTGTCTGGAAGCTCAATCCACTGTGGGTTAAGAAAGAACCTCCTGGGGGCAGGTCCTTTGGTCCTTCCAAGAGCAGCTGGACCTTTCCACTTGAAGTTTCGGCTTGAAGTTTCTCAGCACCATGGATGTTAGGCCCAGATGATTTACATTTGTTATTAGCATGGTTTTTCCAGGCTTGAATATTCATCCTATGCTTAAGAGAACTGAAAACACACAAAAGGCCAGGCACCTATTCATTGAGCTTCCTTTCCAGGGTGGCGTTGAGTTGTTGCCAGCTGCTGACATCTGTAAACTGCGTCTGTTTAGTGGCTCATTGTTCAGAAGCCGATGCTTCTGAAGGACAATGACAGATGGTTGGTGCCAGGACACCAGGGGAAAGCAGTTCCTTCTCTTTTTTTCACTCAACCAGTATTTATTAAGTATTATTGTCATGGTCTGAATGTTTGTGTCTCCTTGAAATTCATACATCAAATTCCAAATCCCCAATGCTATGGTTTTAGGAGGTGCAGCATTTGGGAGGTGATTAGATCATGAAGGTGGAGATTTCGTGAATGGGATTAGAGCCCTTATAAAAGAGACCGTAGGCTGGGTACGGTGGCTCATGTCTGTAATCCCAGCACTTTGGGAGGCCAAGGCGAGTGGATCACCTGAGGTCAGGAGTTTGAGACCAGCCTGACCAACATGGTGAAACCTTATCTCTACTAGAAATACAAAAAATTAGCTGGGTATGGTGGCGAGTGCCTGTAATCCCAGCTACTTGGGAGGCTGAGGAAGGAGAATTGCTTGAACCTGGGAAGTGGAGGTTGCAGTGAGCCAAGATCATGCCATAGCACTCCAGTCTGGGCAACAAGAGTGAAACTCCATCTAAAAAAAAAAAAACCAGAGAGTTTTCTTAACCCTTTCCACCAACCAAGACACAGTGAGAAGACAGCCATGAGCCATGTAGGAATTAGGAAGCCAGCCAGGCCTCACCAGATGCGAAATCTGCCACCACTTGAGCTAAGACACTTATTATGAGCCAGACGTTGTGCTCAAAGCAAGGAATAGAGCAGTGAATAAAACACATCCCCTGTCCTGAAGGGGAGCAGAGCCCAGGGCAGTTTGTAAAGAAAACATTTCTTTAAATTGAGGTATAACATATATACACAAACACGCACAATGATCGTATTGCACAGTGAATTTTCATAAGCAGAACACACCTGTGTAACCAGCCCTCAAATCAAGAAAGAGAATGCTGCCAGCACCCAGGAGCCTCTTCACTCTTTCCAATCACTGCCACCCTCCCAGACTCCAGCCGAATTTAGCCACCCTTCTGACTTTTAACAAAGCTTAGTTTTGCTGAAAGCAGTTCGCTTTAAAAGGAGATGTAAAGTAGAAGAACTAAGTACTGGTTCTTCTAGGACAAAGTTTCTCCTCTTGGGGGCCAGGATCCCACAGGGTCAACATGATTCCCCTGTACAGTAACCTGATTCTGCTTCTCTGGAAGGCTGAGTTGCTGATCAGTGGGTGGGAGTTTGTGCTTTGCCTGTCATAGACCTGGATGATAATTCTAGTGTGAGTTCGAGCAGGGCTGCTAAGTACAGTTGTTCGAGGGGAATCCCTACTTAATACAACCTCACCCCTTTTCCCAGGCCAGATGCATGCAACATGGTGGGACACCATGTGTCCATCTCACACAGGAGCCGAGGGCAGCCCTGAAGATGAGGACTGTTTGCGTTGAAAAAAAGTGAGTGGAGTGGCGCAGTGGGCTTTACCCATGGATCCAATGGCAACTCATGGGGTTGCATGTTTCTCAGGTGTCCCTACAGGAGCCCGGCCCCTGCTTCTTTAACAGGAGGCCTTCAGAGATGCCTCCCCATGTTCCCAAGGTGCTGTTGCTCCACTGGGGCTGCTCATTTAAGTTGGCAGATCCCACTTCTGCCTTAGAGACTGTCAGGCTACAGTACCCTTTTATTTGTGTAACCTAAAGTCCCACAGAACTCAAGAAAAGTAGGTGTGCATTCTAAGCTAGGCCAGCTAAAGCATTCTTTGTTCTTTTTAGAAATTTTGAGCCATCGGAGGGCTGTTGAACCCCTCTCATCCTGAGGGCTGCCCAGGGGCAAAGTTCATTCCTTAGGGTGGTTGTATAATAGTTTCTTCCTCACATCCTCCTCATTTTGGCCTGGTCCTCCCTGGACTTGTCTTCTCCCTTCCCTTCTTTCTTTTTCCTCTCACTCTATTACCGTTGTTAAAGGTTCCACTTTGGTCTCATCCTTGGCAATCATGTGGAGAACAGTAAGAAAGGAAGCTTTACCCTCAGAAAGAGGCAGGGAAAAGAAGAGGTTTCCTACAGATGGCATGCATGACACATGCCTTTAGCAAATAAAAACTAAAGACACATATTCGTCTACAGAAAACATTTTACATAAAGTTTTCCTTTTAAAGTGAATTTTGAGGAAGTTTCCAGAAGGGATGACTAAGAGTTATGTCAACTGGGAAAACATGAGATAAACTCAAAACTATAGATTATCAAATTTGACGGTATTTCTAGAACTCAGAGCATTCTAATGGGTCATCAACCCAGCATCATTTTACAGATGAGAAAGCAGGTCCAGAGATCCTACCTGATTGCCAAAGTTTGCATAAGTGGTTGGTGGCAGGGAGCCACATCTTTAGGCTCCCAACACAGTGCTCTTTCCCTCATGATTGTCCTTGTAAATTGGAAAAACACACAGCAGCTGCATCCTAGGTGTCCTACTCAAGTGGCAAGCTCCAGCAAGTTGAGAAATTAAGAATTACTGTTTTGTTTGCAAAAGCATGCATCATAACTTAATCCAGCCTTCAGAAAACACAATACAAAAGAACCTCTTCTTTACTACCTTAAATTAAGGGTGGTACATTTAGTGAGGTTTTCCTAACTCACTCATTTGGGAAGTGTTGAAACTTCTCAGAGGAGTCCCATCTTTTTGTCTTCTTGTGGTTTGTTTGATATTCATTATCCTCTTTCTTCCCCTATAATCCCTTTCTCTCCCTCCTCTGACTCCACCCCTCCACCCAGTCCCAGTTCCATGTCAAATCTGAAGGATCTTAAAGGGAACTATCACATTCACCAAGGACTTATCATCATCACCAAGATTGATCCCATATGGTGTCTACAAAGAGGAAGGGTGAGGCTACAGCTCTTGTGTCCTTAACAAGGATGATGTGGAAGAATGACTCCTTTGACTCCTCATTCCCTGTTCCTGGGATGAGTTTGGCTGACTAGAACCAAGAATTTCTACTCCCCTGGCTTCATTAAAGCTTCTAGCCATGTTTTTTCCATTTCTTCAGCTGCATTTCAAGAGCAGTAGGATTCAGAGATTTGAAAGGCTTAAAAATGTATTTTATCTGATCCCATGCCTATAAAATTCGTGCTTCTATTTACCTTTGAGTTCTTGCCTATTCTTACTAACTTAATTGTTCCTTTTGTGTCTATAAACCACATTTGGTTGTGTTTTTTGTTTGTTTGTTGTTTTTTATTTTCTCTTTCTTCTAGTTTGTTTAGTTTCTACGATGGAAGAAATTTCATCTAAGGTCCTAATGACAGTTCCAGAACTAATCTGTCATTTGTTTCCAAGATGTTGGAAGAGGTGTCTCACTCCATTCTCACCCTTCAAGCTGGCCTCTCAGAATGTCAGTGGGGATTTCCAGAAGCTTCACCTATTAGCCATGCATTGATCTGGAATCTGAGTGTTTGCTTCTAAAGTGATGTACTGCCACAGAGGTAGGGAGACACAAAAGGATAATCACAGGAAACACCAGGTTAGGATGGCTCCAGCCACCCCCTCCAACACTATCCATATGGCATTGGTTCCTGAAGCATCCTGTCCTCAGCTACAACATGACAACTATTAGCAAAGTTTTGAGTGTGTTTCTTTTAAAGAAAGAAGTGCTTTACTGTTTGATTTCTTCCCAGGATCTTCATTGTTTGGCCGACTGTGTTTAGAGAAGCCAGGAAAGCCCAGCTGCAAGAAGGAAGGTTTGTCTGGCTCTCCTAATTGCTTGCCCAGTTACCGGAGCATTACAGCTCATGCCAATGGCCACACTATTGAAGAGCCAGCCAAAAATGGACATGAAAGGAGAAAGGACACATAAAAGCAATTCTGCTCTAGTAAACTGCTTCATGGCGTTCAAGGAGGGGAAAGGCAAACAACTCAAAATACAACCTTAAAATGTGCTCAGCAAGAAACAAACTGCACACTGGGGGCCTCCGGAACTTTGTTCGGATGCAAAGTTCAGTTATACGCTCGACTAATGAGTTACTAGAGCCCAGGCTGAGTTGGAAGAGAATAAATACTCTTGCCCTATTGAGTTCAGCTCTGAAAAAGATTTATCATATATCCGATGGATTTGCCACATGTCGAGAAAGACTTACTTTAATTTCATGAATTCTTTTCCTTTTTCTATCCACACATAAAAAATATGTAATTGTGGTGATGGGAAAATATCTGCAACAATTTTAACACATGTGAGATAGCCCAAGAGGTGTATCATATTTAGATGGTTTCAGAATTTCATTAATCTACCTTCTAGGAATGTGATATTTTACAGATTGTACTTTTGTACAGTACAAAGACAGGCAGCTAATTCTTAACAGAAACTTAAAAGCCATCTCTCTTTTTCCAACATGCTCCTCACATTTCTTTAGTTGTTCAAACACAGAAAAGTAACTTATCAGATGCTCAGCTCCTGGTTTCTTATCCAGGTCCCCTTCAGAAAGTAAGTAATCTCTACTTGAATAAATTTACAAGAGACAGGATTCAGGGCCAGAGATCATATTAATTGACTGGGCAAGAATGGCACCTGTTCAGTTCCTCCTTGATAGATTTACTATAAAAACTTCGGTTTCAAAGATATAAAATATATATCACCGAATTGAAATATCTGTGCAGGGCATATCAGACAAATTCCTGCAATGAATTTCCAGGATGACCATGTACAGCTGCCCCCTTTACCTAAATATTAAATAAAAATGCCATTCCTCTAGGCAAAAACATCTGTGACCCATGAGATTCTGTGCTTCTGAGCTAAGTGCTGTGGTGAGCTCCGCATGACTTATTGAATCAGGGCACAATGCCGAAAGAGTATCTTCCTGCTCCGACCTGACTGATTGAGGCTCTGCCAACAGAACAAGCATAGATCTGAATGTAAACAAGAAAAGTTCCACCATAACTCAGGACTAAGTGCAATCATCGTCAGGAATTTAAAACAGCAAAGGAGAGTATAGCTCATCACTGTGTCACCAGGTAGAACCATACTCAAGTAATCCCTCAAAATCTTTTATTTAAAAAAAAAATTAGTAGTTATCAAGTGCCTCCAATGCCAGCAAAAAGAAGTATTGCATGCATCTTGGCTAAAGGAGCTAAAACTTTGATGGAAAAATGAGCTATATAAATGTTTCACACAGTTACACATTCCCGCTCCACTTTCATGAACGTTCTTCCTGTAGTCCTGCTGATCCCTGACTCACTCCACTCCAGAGGTGCCCAGTCTCCCTGCTGTGTGCCTGTCACACCCCACCTTAGCTATTGCTGTTCCCTCTGCCCAGAACGCTCTTCCCCCAGATCCAGTTGGCCACCTCCTACAGATCTTTCCCGGAGCTCACCTTCGGAATGAGGCCCACCCTGACTACTCTGTTTAAAATGGCAACTACCCTCCAGCCCCACAGTCTCCTTCACACTTACCCTGCCTTTCTTTCTCTCTTTTGGTAACATTTATGGTCTAACACACTAGGTAATTTACTTCTTCACTACGTGTGTTGGTTCTTTCATTTTCCCCCCACTAGGATGTAAACTTCACAAAGGCAGGAACCTTTGTTTTGATCACTGATATATCCCTAGTACTTGGTAGAGTTTTCATAAATGTTTGTTGAATGCATAATCAAATGCCCCAAGGAAGCAGAAAGCCACATCGAAGACAATCATGGAAGAGCAAAGAATATCTCTTAGAAACTCTCATCCATAAGATGTAGACGCCTCTTCCCTGCAGAGGAAAGAAAGTGAGCAAAGCGAAGAGGTCAGGATGAAGGGCCCTGTTCTCCCTCAGGGTTGAAACTCCCTAAGGGAAGAGGACCAGGGGCTGTAGAAACCCCAGGGAGTTCTAGCAGAGAAATCCCAGCACAATTCTCAGGGTACAGCACAAGCAAAGAACTCTCCCTACCCACAGGCTTCTCAGGCTTCCTCATGCCCAAAGAAGGAGAAGGAGAAGGGGTGAGAAATACTAAATACAAGTACCCAAGAGAGACTGAGGTAGACCAAAAGTAGCTATTTTAAAAAATAAAAGAATTAATTAGTTTTATTGATTGATAATTTTAACGGTTTTTCTTACCATCAGCAGGAATGAGACCTATCATAAGAAATAAAGGAAACAATTTTTAGCACATCTGCGTAGTAAGGTGTGAACTCTCCTCCCCTGCTGCATTTGGTTATGTCTGCCTCTACAGCTAGGCTTTGAACCACATTAAGAAAGGCCCCCTGTGCTAGGAGTTCATGGCTGTACACAGTGCCTGCAATGTGGTGGGTGATAAATACCACTGGTTGATGGGTTAGGTGGTCGGCTTAATGAATGAATCAAAAAATTCATTCCATATAGGCTCTGGAGTCAAACTGCCTGAAGTCAAAAGCCTTGCTCTGCCAGAAACAGAATGCACAGTGGAATCATCAAGACCATGTCTTCATCCTCTTGTGGCTGGATCATTTATTGAGATACTAATTTCTATTTTATTGTCATCATATTTTTCTCTAGCCCACTCTAAGCCACCCATCTTCAAGAGACTGTGAAAAAGTAATGGTGAGATATTAGTAGCAATGACAGGCTACTGGGGGTATGTTTTCCATTTTCTGAACACCACACAAGTTTCTTGTACAACCCTGGGGAAGGTATGTGGGGCCCACCTGTCTAAGCATAAATTTCCTTCAGACCAAACATATTAGAGGAGGGGGGATGTATTGTTTCTAAAATTTGATTTGATATAAATAAAGTCATGCCCTTGTTGCTTGCCCACCATAAGCAAGAATTTATATCATGCATTATTATTTAACAAAATTACAATTCTAGAAGCACAGTGACCCCAGAGTTCCTCCAAGGACCTTCTTGATGAACAATTCCAAATGTCTGTTGGAAGTTGAGTAAAGGGGAACGCTGGATTCCATTTAACCTCTTTCTAAAGCCAGCACAACATGCTTCTGGGAGAAGTCTGAGAAGAGCTCATCTATACAGATTATTAGGAGTGCCCCTCCAGACACCCAAGGTCAGTGTTGAAGGGTCTGATGCCTACGGGATGGGCTTCTAGGGTGAACTCTCCTGTTGCCAAGTTGAGTGCTTCCCAAATAGGTCTGTCCCCAAAGAGCAATGTTGACATGTATTTGTTTTTCAAACTTAAGCCTGAATCCTATAATCATGTCCCCACATATCTAAGTTTTAGGAGTTCAACTGAAAATTGTGCTAAACTTTTTGAAAAGTCATTCTCTGCATAGAAATGGATTTTCCCTTCTTCCCAGGGCTCAAATGGGCATGAAAAATTATTTTAATTATGTAAGTGCTTTACACTTGGCCTAAGACCAAGCCTGGAAAATGAATTTCCTTTCCCTTCAATTAATAATTACTACAGTCTGATTCATCTTTTAAATTACTTTCTTTTTTAAAAATATTCCCCTTTGCCAGTACTTTTTCCTTTACATTTTCCTATGCATGTGTTTGCACATGAAATGCCAACAAAGATGAGAACAACCCCTTCACTGTGTGAGTGCAGTGGAAGTACCATAATCATTTTCTTTTGAGTTTTTTTTCTTTTCTTTCTCTCTTTCCTTTGTTATCCTTCATGCGTAAAGCCCTCACATGTAATTAACAGAATACTTGTGTTTCAGAATATTGAACATAGCTGTACCTCATAGGTGCAGATGAAATAGGGCATTTGGGATTGGCTGTCACATCTCCTAAGTGTATCCATTTGCTTTCTTTCATATGCATGTGAACTTTTGTTCTGAAACTTGTCTTGGAACAGGAGTTTGGGATGAGGTAATCAGAAGTCTGCCCAAATAATTACTGCCCCCAAAAGAAGAAGTGGATGATGGAAAGGGTGGTTTATTGTCTCTTTCCCACCCAGCCTCATGCAGCCCTATGGTTAGAGAGCGAAGAGGACCAGAAAGTGATGGGGCAGTTCAAGAAGAACCTCACATGGCTGTAAATAAGCAGAGTCATTTGGGGTCCCCAGTGGTAGGCAGCAGAACTTGGGACCACTTGGGGACCAAGAGGATGGGAAGCATGGAGCATTTGGAGTCAGCCTGTTGGCAAGACTATTGGCACTTCATGATGATGAGAGGGCATAATGCTTCTCCAAATGATGTTCTGAGCAGAAGAGAAGCATCCTTTTGAAAGTTCCACAAAGTAACAGTAGGGAGATGAGAGTGGGACTTATTGAGCCAGAAGTCGTTTATATTATACATGTAATACATGTGCATGAATATATAATAAATAAGCAGCACTTTATCCAGTGAACTTTCTCATTATCCAGAAATAACGAGAATCTATTTTGATGACAGAGAAAAAAAATCCTTTTAAAGGAAAGGAATAAAATCAGAAAGGTTTCCCCAACATACAGCAAATCCAGAACAAGATATTGAATCCACGTCAGAATTCCTATCGCTGTGTTTCTTACTTGATGCATTATTCCACACTTTCTCTTTTGTTGGAAAGATTTTTCCCCTGAATGGTCTTCCTCACTAAAGCCTTCAAAAGTGCATTTCTGGGGATGCTATAAAAAAAGAAATAAATAAACCTGAAGGGGTACATCCAAGGACATTTATTGCAGCTTTATTTAAAGCTACCGAAAACTAGTAAATCTGAGTCTTCATGAATAGGGACATAATTTAATACATTGGAGTATACAATTAGACCTATAGTAATTAATCTGGGGGAATTATCCATGATATATTTTACAATTATATATGCAAGTTGCAGAGCAATGAATGTAGTTTTAGTAAAACATAAGACAATAACACAAAGTTCTGCTTACAGCTCCACATTTGTATAAGCATAGAGAAAAGCATAAAAAGAATACACATCAAGCTGTCATCATCATCTCCAATGGATAGGCATGAAGAAGGCGGACATTTGTAACTTATTCTTTTTATATGTTTACATTGTTTTATGGTTACAATAGGCACGCATTATTTTGGCAATTTTTTTAAGTTTTTTTAAATGCACACACTTTATTAAAAATGGGGCCATGGTGTTAACTCCTCCAAAGTTTAATTGCCAACATCAGGCATCCTAAAAATTCACATCTCTTTAGAATGTTAACTGTAATTCACACTGCAAATGCATTCCAATGCTAACTGCCTTGGATGAGAACTTAACATGATGAACGCTTCTCTGTTAAATTTTCTTTTGAAAAGTTGCCATCACCAATGAAAGAGTTTCAAATACAGCGGCAGGAACATAACTAATCAGAGGCTTACTCTGTCTGTGCATTTGCTTCCTGGGTGTTTGGAATTTAGTGTTCCAAGTGGGAACTGGATTTTGTTTTTGTTGCTTTTAATAACAATTTTATAGGGAACAAGTAAGTGTAGGCCTAGGGCAAGCTGATATTTTAAGAGAAAGGGAAAAAAAACCAGCCATTCAATGCCAAAACTATGAATCAAATAACAATGACTGGCAGTCACATTTTTGGCAAGAATTTCTTGAGCACTCCCAGTATGTCAGACACTGTGTTTGATATTGAGAATATAGAGGGATAAAGACACAGCCTATGCCCTCAAGGAACTCACAACTGAGTGCAAGAGATGGACAGGATCTTTATTTGTCCTTGGTCAGCTACCTTTCTCATTCTCATTAGCAACCATTTCAAATCTTTACTGGCCCAACTTCCTCTAGTTCTTTTTATCCAAGTCACATCTTCCCACCTCTTAGCAGATAAGCTTACCTAATGCTTAACCAAAAAAAATGAGTGATCAGGGTGAGTTTCCTCAACATCTCACCCCACAATCTACAAGCATCTCCATCCTCTCATCCTTACTTCTTTTCATCCAGCCTCAGAGGTGAAGTCTCTCTCCTCCTGTTTAAAGCCAGCCTGCCTCTCTGGACGTTGATCATTCAGTGATCTCCCATACTCTCTCCCATAGATTCAATGTGTCCTTCTCTATTAGCTCCATCTCTTCAGCCTGTAAGTAGGTTCAACTTTCTTCATCCAAAAATTATCCTCTTTAAGACTTACATTTTCTTCCAGTTTCTGCCTTATTTCTTTTCTTCTCTTTATATTAGCTAGTATAGGCAAGGTTATGTCACAGTAACACATAACCCCCAAAATTCAGTGATCTAACATTAAAAAGCTAGCTTCTTGCTAATGGCACACAGGATTCTCTTACATGTCCATTGTAGTACCATCACTCAGGGACACAGGCTGATGGAGACTCTGCCACCTGGAACATCAATAGTCACATGGCAGGCGATTGGAGAATTATGCACAAGCTCTCAAATGCTTCAGTTCTATTCATATTTCTGAAGTCACATGGCCCCAATTTAAAGAAGAGAAATCCAAGTTTTAAAGAAGTCAAGTAACTTACTGAAGATTATATGTCCATTATGGGATGGAACTATTCCTCAAATCAGATGGCTTGATTTCAAATCCAATATAGTTTCTGCAATACTACAGTGGAAAAAAATTTTAATTATATACCTGTCTTAGATCAGTTTTAATTTTTTTAATTGACTTAACAGTTTTGCCTTAACCTGAGTGAACCAGATATGAATATAAGGTGCTTACTGACAGCAGTAGATGAAAATGTTCTTTTCCATTACAGCTCCATACATGTGATACAATCTCAACCTAAAAGAGATAATATTGAATGAGGATGGAGTTGATCCAATTTTAAAGCCTACATTTGGTCCAGCCCAACTATGAGTATACCTTAGCAGTGCTAAGGATAACAAAGGCGATAGTGGGAGTCTATTTAATAAAATGTTCTGCTCCATGAAAATTTAGAGAAATTAGAAAAGGAGGAAAGCAGTGAAGAGGGGAGGGAGGATGGAGAAGAAGGCAGGCAGGAAGTCAGGAAGGGAAGGAAGGAAGAAAAGGAAAGTTTTATATCATTTACTGCATCTAAGAGGGTAAAATTTCATCACTTATAAACAACCAATACCAAATCCCACAAACTTGAATTAAGAGATTCATTAGTATGCACAGTTAACCTGTACTATCTTTAAAGGGCTGTAGATTAGACCAGAATTAACAAAAATAAGCCTATGTATTCAAAAATAAGTTGAGAAAGAAATATGTAGGATCTGGCAGCATAGAAGTTGGTGATGATCTTGATGAGAGCAGTTTTGGCAGATGGTGGAAATGGAAGCTGGAAAGATGCAAGCTGAAAGAAGAATGGCAATGAGGAACAGTATGTACCTAAAAGAACGACATTTCAAGCAACTGGTATTTTCAAGATCAAGGAGCATCATTTAACAATGTTGAAGCTTTGTGTTGGTAAGACCTTTTGTTTCTTTTTTGCTATTCATGTGTATGGATTTGGGGGATTTTGTGCTTTGTTTTGTTTCAGGTGCTCTAAAGTCGCCATTTGGTCCAATAGTGATGAAAAGTTATCTTCAAATTTGTCCCCTGAACAACCGAGCCTTTTACATAATCTGTGTCCTATTTCTCTGTCCTGGAAAATATCACCTACTAATCTAATATCATAGAGATTTGTTTTTGAGCTCAAACATGGTAACCAATACATAATTTATATAGGAACTCTTCTCTGAATCTACAAAACCACTAACAAAGTCACTTTATCTGAGGGCCTCAGTTTTCTTACTTGGACGAGGCCATTAATATTGGTTCTTCCAGGTTTACCTTATGTTAAATTTATTGGGTTAAAAGTTTCTGATTGTTTTGATGTCACAGGGACCAGATTCTGTTGGTGAGTTGTGCCTTTCACATCCATTCAGTTGGGTTTTTTTTTCCATGAAAGTCACCAAGGAAACCAAATACCTGGAAGTGAAGGGAGTTTGCTTCTCTTCACTGCTTCGCCTTTTTCTTTTGCCTAATCTAGACTCCTTTTTTCTAACCTAGGCTGGTAAGAACTCAATCTATGGGAAATGAGATACTTGTGACAGGAACCTGATAAGAAGAGAAGTCCACAATATGTTCTTTCTGAAGGAATATAAAAGTCAATAAATACCAAACCAGCAATGATGACAGTAGCAAGCTGGATGTCACAGAGTTTTTTTAATCCAAGTAATACAGATTTATCTGAATTCTCACTCAGCTCAGGGCTTTTAATCTACAGAACACAGAAGAATGTCCCCAAACAATTCAAGATGTTATACAATGATAATTTGCTTAATCTTGTTGGGAAATAAAAGTAAATTACAACTGCCAATTTCCTATTATGGATGTGATGGGAATCCATTACCAGATAGATTGAGACAAGGAAGATTGAATTTAAGAAAAATTCACGAACAATTATTCCCAAATGCTGGCATTATAAACTGAGACAATCTTTCTGGTTGGCAATACATATCAAAAGGCTTTACAATGTTTATATATTTATTTAATCTAGTAAATCTATTCTGGATTTTTGTCCCGAGGAAATAACCGTGGCATGAACCAAAATTTAGTTTCAAGGACGTTCATGGAAAGAAATGTTGATAATTGAAAAGATCAGAAATGGTTTTAATATTAAGCCATAAAAATGTGAATTAAATAGATTTTGACGTTATAGAATGCTATTTTTAGCCTCTTGACTTTTTTCCATGATCTCATCTCTTTGTCTTTTTGTTCTACTTTTTGGGAAGATTTCTTCAACTCTACCTTTCAATTCCTCTGTTACATTTTTTATTTCTAGGTGAGATATTTTATTTCCAAAAGCTTATTCTTGTTCTCTGATTATTCCTTTATAAACAGCATCCTTGTCTTGTTTCAAAGATACAATATTTTATCTATCTGTTAAATATTAACTTGGGTGTTTTTTAAGTTTTCTTTTGCTCCCTTCATTATCTCTATTTTGTCTGTGTTCTGTTTTTCTGTTTGTTTTGGTTTCTGAATTTTATGTTAAGGACTTTCCTCACATAACTGATAATCCTTGACTAAAAGTTCTTGTTTAAATACTGATTAGAAGACCTCTGGGTGTGGGGATGGAGCTTGCCCATTGGTACACTTTATTGAAGGGTCATTGGGTGGCACCTAGTCATATGTGTAAATTCCTTTCCTTGGACAGGTCAGATTTCCCTCCAATATCCTGGTTAGAGGTTTAATCCTGGCTGCTATTATCCTGGAAGCCAAGGTAGGGACTCAGAATTGTGCCATTAAGCTTGGTGACTTTTCATTGTTCCCAATTTTAGTATGATTCCACACCACCCCTTAGCCCTAGTGTACCTGAACCCAAAGGTCTCTCCAGAAAGTAAACTTCCCATCTTATGCCAAGGTGGGAAAGAAACAGTTGTTTGTATGCATTGGATGGGAAGATGATCTAGTATTCTGAATCCTTGTTAAAACCTGAGCCATGTATCTCTAACTCCAGTGAAACTTGGTAGCTCTGATTCTACAGGGGAATTTGTCAGAAAGAATCAGCTGACTTTACTGGCTTCCCCACTATGGGCTTAGTCTTTGGCCTTTCCTAGTTTTCTAAGTGAACTGTTGTACCCCTCAAAACTCATGTCCCAACAATCATTTCTGATTACTCAGGATTCTACAGTTCAACTGCGTGGTTCTTCTGCTTTTAGCTGGGCTCCTTCAGGCACCTGCAGTCAGGTACAAGCCTGGAAGGCAGGTGTGCCCATCTTGGCAGAGTTCACCCACATTCTTGCAGTTTTGACTGGTACAATTGGGCTGATTCGCTGCTGGTTACATGTTCTCCCATCCTTCATCATACTAGCCCAGGATTATTCATGGCAGAGGCAGGGCTCCCTAGATTCAAAGCAGAAATAAACAGGCCTTTTGAGGTCTAGGCTTGATCTGGTAATATTTACTTCTGTCCATTTCTATTGGTCAAAGCAAATGACAAGTACAGTCCACATTCAAAAAATGAGAAATATACTCTACTTCTTAATGGAAGGATCTGCAAAGTCACATTACAATCGGCATAGATGAAGGGAGGTGAGAACGATGGTTATTGTTGCAATCTATCACGGTTACTTCTGATTGGTCAATTTTTCAGTGCCCAAGATGCTGAATTCTCTTGCCAGCAGTTGTTTATGCCTTGATTTTTATTGTTGTGGGTTTTGCTTCTGTATATCTTTATTCATTCATCTGTTATATAACCAGTGTTTATGGACCTACTATCATGCCAGGCCCTGTCCTAGGTGCTGAGAATGCAGAGAATGCAGACATGAATAAAACTGTCAAAATCCCTGCCTTCATGGAATTTATATTCTAGCAGAAGGAGAAAATAAACAAAATATGTAAGCACATTTTATGAAGAAATCAGAGTAGGAGTATAAGCAGTGTGCATTCATAAATGGATCATAACCATCATGCTGCCCATCATACTCCCCATCATTTGGGGAGTAAGTAGAAGTAAATGTATATGTTCAGTCTACAACATTTAACTTGCAATTGTCCCAATGAAATATCATACTCCAATTAAAAATTATGCCATGGGAAGATATTTGACTTCCAGTCAATATATGTTAGAAATCTATACTTTAAGGCACCTTCCTTTACTCTCATCACAAAGCAATGATTGATGAAATATAAAAAGAGAAAATAGAGAAGGCCTATCCAAATTCAAATAGAATATAAACATTTTTGTGAGCCATAGACAAAACAGAAACACAAACCAAGAAGTTGGATGAAGCTGTCAATCCAATGGGACCTGAGATGAGTTTACTGCTCAAATCTAGGGACTGGAGCAAGATTTTCTGCCAAAAAAAAAAGACTAAAAATGTTTCCATTAATCACTTTCTGTTTCTATTCCTTACTTATAGTCACTTACCAATGGCAGTGAAAGAATGAAGATGTAGTCCCAAACCCAGGACCAACTTCCCTACTTCCTTGGTGATAGGATTTACTCTCTCTTTAGTATCACCACAGGGCTGGAGCCCAAGCCCTCAACATAAGACCTGGCTCTATATTAGCAATCACATCTGTATTAGGCAACCACAAAATGACTACTGAGGGTAGGATTAGCCCAGAAAGAAAGCAAGACCAAGGAATAAAAAGAAAGAGGAAAACAACAATGCAAAATGAACCTGCATGCCAAAATTCCAAAACACATGAAGAAAACTAATAACCAGTTAAAACCTACAAGCAGGAGATAAAATCCATCCAGGCAAAATAAAAATGGAACTATACAAAAACAACTTTAATATAAGTATATTTGTGGTCCTCAAAGAGATAGTGGAATTCATAATAGCTATTAAAAAAACAAGGAATTTGAACCAAGAATAGCCAGAAATGGAATCAGAACAGATGAATAAGAGAAAGAACAATTAGAAATAAAAGGATGTGCAACACTTGCAGGTAATTAAAGAAAGAAAGCAAGAAAAAGAATTCTAGAATCGGCATATCAGTCAAACAATTGATATTTATTGGGCATGCCAGACACTACTCTAGCCACTTGGAAATATCAATGAACAAAACAGGGTGTCAAAATCCCTGCTCAATATAAGCTACAGCTTACACTCTCTCAAGAAGAGAAAGACAAAGGACATATCAGGATCCCTTCTAGGAAATAGATGACACACTTAACAGGCATGAATGCACATAATTCGATGACTGTTAGATGTAATAAAACATGCCCATGCTAGCAACCAGAGGAAATCATCACCACAGAGGCTCAAATGAGCAAACCACAGTATGGCAGGGAGATGATAATTGAAAAGTTCCCACAAACTTAGGAAAAGACTGATTTTTGAAGCCCTGGTAATAAGTAGCCACCAGAACCCATTTTTAAGACTGCTCAAATGATCAACAAAAACTCACTTCAGTGAATGTGCTTTTTGCAAGCCAACTACTGTCAGGCCCTCATTCTGAAAGTCAGGCAAACAGGGACAGACACACTCCAATAAACATGCCTCTGAGATTCAACCAATCAACAACAGCCTTGCCTACTAACAATGCATGTTCTCACTCATAAGTGGGAATTGAACAATGAGAACACATGGACACAGGAAGGGGAACATCACACACCGGGGACTGTTGTGGGGTGGGGGGAGTGGGGAGGGATAGCATTAGGAGATATACCTAATGCTAAATGACGAGTTAATGGGTGTATAACATGGCACATGTTACATATGTAACAAAGCTGCACGTTGTGCACATGTACCCTAAAACTTGAAGTATAATAATAAAAAAAAAGTTTCTACAGATGATGTCAGCCATTTGAGCCTCTGAAAATGTGCCAATCTTGAGTTCCTTACCTCAAGTTGAGCCCTATGTAAGATCAGGAGTTTTCTCTGCTTGGTGACACTGTGCTGAGCAGTCTAGTCTTCTTTGACAGACCAATTTAGGGAAATACACCAAACTCTCTTTCTTCCCCACATGCAACATTTTGACAGTGTCACCTATAGCTGAACACAACTAGAAGCCAGAGAGCAAGGGAGATTTGTTGATATACACCATAGATGTCAGCTTCCCAGAACACAGGACAGAGATGATAAGGGTGAAGAGTGAATCTAAAGAAGTGAAAGAAATTTTGAGCACAACAATAAACATAATAAGTAAATGATACATAAGTTAGAAGGTAACAGAATAGAGAAAGTGGGATTGTCAGTACTGGGGAAGGAAATGGGAGATTGAAGTTGTTGGGATTTTTTGTTTTTTGCTTTTTTGAGACGGGCTCTCCCTCTGTTGCCAGGCTAGCGTCCAGTGGCACGATCTCTGCTCACTGCAACCTCCGTCTCCTGGATTCAAGAGATTCTCCTGCCTCAGCTTCCCGAGTAGCTGGGATTACAGGTGTGAGCCACCATGCCCAGCTAATTTTTGTATTTTTAGTAAAGACAGGATTTCACCATGTTTGCCAGGTTGGTCTTGATCTCTTGACCTCATGATCCCCACCTTGGCCTCCCAAAATGCTGGGATTACAGGCGTGAGCCACCATGCCCAGCCCGAGATTGAAGTTTTAAATGGGGTTTTCATGATAGGTTTTATTAAGAAAGTCACATCTGAGCAAAGACTTGAAAGAAGAGAATGACTTTGTCCCTTATATATTTGGGGGAACAGCAGTCAAGGCAGCAGGAACAGCCTAGGTAAAAGCCCTAAGGCAAGAGTGTGCCTGCCTGGCATGCCCATCAAACAGCATGGCTGGAGCCACATGAAAGAGAGGAAGAGGAATAGAAAATGAGATGAGAGGTGAAACCAGGGACCAAATCAAGTAGATTTTGTAATGAAAGGATCTGGGTCTTGCATTCGTTTTCTAGTGCTGCTGTAACAAAGTATCACAGACTGGATGGCTTAAACCACAGAAAGTTATATTCTCACAGTCCTGGAGACTAGCAATCCAAGATCAAGGTGTTAGTAGACTTGGTTTCTACTGAGCCTCTCTCCTTGGCTTGCAGATGGCTGCCTTCTCGCTGTGTGTTCACATGATCATTCGTAGGTCTACATGTCATCTGCATCCTAATCTCCTCTTCCTATAAGGACACCAGTTACATTAGATTACAGTCCACCCATCTGGACTCATTTCATCTTAATTACCTCTTTAAAATACAGACAGATTCTGAAGTGCTGGGGGTTAGGACTTCAACATATGAATGTGAGGTGAGAGGGCATAATTCAGCCCATATCAGGCTTCTACTTTGAATATGAGGAGCCACTGGATAGTTTTGAACAGAGGAGTGCATAATTTGATTTATGTTTTAAATGATCACTCTGTCTGCTATGTGGAGCTTAGACTGAAATGGGGTGAGGATGAGAGTGAAAAGCAGGGAAACTTGTTAGGAGGATGTTTCAATAATCCAGGTAGAAAGTGATAGTGACTAGGTCCAGAATGGGAGCAGTAGAGGTGATAATGAGAGTCAAATTCAGGATATATTTAGAAAGTAAGGTCAGTGGGATTTCCTGAAAGTTAGGATGTGGGATATGAGAGGATGAATGACATCAAGTATAATGCCAAGGATTTTACCCTGAGCAACTGGAAGAATGGATCCCCTAAATGGACTTTGGGAAGACTACAGGAGGAAAAGCTTTATGGGTAAGACATAAGAGTTCATTTGACGCTTATCAATTTTGAGATGTCTACTAGACATTCAAGAGGATATGCCAATAAGCTGCTTGATATGGGTGTGGAGTTCAGGAAGGAGATCTGGGCTGGAGATATAATTATGAGAATCATCAGAAGGTAAGAGGCATTTAAAGCCATGAGACTAGATGAGATCAGCAAAGGAGTGGCTGTAGAAGGGAGAAGAAACCAAGATTTGAGTTCTGGATCACTCCAATTTTTGAGGTTACAAGAAAAGGAGGAATCTGTAAAGTAGACTGAAATGAAGCAACCAGTGAAGAACAAAGAAAATGGAGAGGATGTTGGGTGCTCAAAACCAGGTGAAGGAAGTTTGTCAAGAAAAAGGAGCAACCAATTGTGTCAAATACTGCCAAAAGTCCATGTTCAGGTCATTGTTATCAGGTCATTGTAAGACCGTTTGATATTGCCCCACAGCTCCTAAATACTCTATTCTATTTATTCCCTTATTTCTCTTTGTGTTTCAATCTGAGTCATTTCTATTGACCTAATTCACTAATTCTTTCCCAGATGTTTCAAGTTTATGGATGAGCCCAACAAAAAACTTCACTTCTGTTGCTGTTTTTCATTTATTTTCATGTATTTCCACTGATTTTTTCTTATTGTTTCTATCTCCATGCTGAATTTAGCCATCTTTTGATGCATATTGTCCACCTTTTAAAAATCTCTGTCTAACAGTTCTAACATTTGTGTCATATCTAAGCCTGGTGCTGTTGATTACTTTGTTTCTCTTAACAGTGTTGGGTTATTTTGCTCTTTGTTTGCCTTGTAATTTTTTGCTGAAAGCTAGACATCTTATATAGGATAGTAGAGACAAAGGTTACCAGTCTACTAGTCCCTACTGTTTTTGTGCCTTCTTTTCCTTCTGCAGGTTTTAGGCCTGTGTAGGGGCATGCATTTTCTTCTGCAAGAGAGGGCTAAATCAATCCAGTCAGGATTTGAGCTGAGTTTGCGACTTGTTGCTACAGTTACCCTCAATGTGGCACAAGCTTTAAATTTCTCTAGTAGAGATCAGATTGTTACTGTGTCTGTGCAGAAAGAAGTAGACATAGGAGACTCCATTTTGTTCTGTACTAAGAAAAATTCTTCTGCCTTGGGATGCTGTTAATCGATAACCTTACCCCCAACCCCGTTCTCTCTGAAACATGTGCTGTGTCAACTCAGGGTTAAATGGATTAAGGGAGGTGCAAGATGTGCTTTGTTAAACAAATGCTTGAAGGCAGCATGCTCCTTAAGAGTCATCACCACTCCCTAATCTCAAGTACCCAGGGACACAAACACTGCGGAAGGCCACAGGGACCTCTGCCTAGGAAAACCAGAGACCTTTGTTCACGTGCTTATCTGCTGACCTTCTCTCCACTATTATCCTATGACCCTGCCACATCCCCCTCTCCGAGAAACACGCAAGAATGTTCAATAAATACTATTTAAAAAAAAATTTCTCTAGTATTCTCTGGTGTTTAGGGTGGCTGCAGGTTTGCTGAATGTTTTCTGAATGTCTGTTTCACACTCAGCTTTAGGTCTTCCTTTTCACTGCATCTCAGTGCTATTATTGGTTAATTGGTATTTGTTAGCCTAGTTTGATGGGTGGGAGTAGAATGGGAAAGAAGGGAATCTCAGTTGTTCTGCTTAATTCTCAGTCTTAGGTAGGCACTATATTCCTGGGTTTCTGGTACATAATCCTACCCCACTCTCAGATGACATTTTGCCCCTCCCCCAGAATGAGAGGTTTTTTTTGCAGTCCCTTTTTCACAGTTGTAACGGGTTTCTCCAGTGCCCTAAAAGCAACAGTGTAGTGACTTAAGAACTTACTCCACATGAGAGACAGAGGGAAAGGACTTGTGCCTTTTCTACAGTGGCAACTGTTCCTCTTTCCCAGATCTGTACCGTGACGAAGGTTTCTCAGAACTCTCATCCTGCCTCCAATCTTTTTGTGAGCACTTGATGGAGTCTGTGGAGAAGAGCCTAAGTGGCCATGAATTTCCATTGTGTCTGTGGCCCCCTGATATTCTAGTCATTCTATCTAGTCCATATTCAGCCTTTAGTTCAAAATTTTAGCCAACTTCTACTTACCAATAGGATCTGCCCCTATAGCCAGTGCCTGAGACTCATTTCTCCTGGGAGGCACCGGGTGTCTGTTCAGATTTAAGATGAATTGATTGCCTGTGACCTCTGTCCTCTGACAGGTTCAAGAAAAGTTATGAATTTTAAGTTGGCATTTTTTGTTGTTGTTAGAGTGAGAATGATGCTCTTTCCAGCTTCCTACTACCTAAGCAGAATCCAGAAGTCCTGTTTTATTACTCTTTAATGTGTGACTTCAGGAAAGTTATTTGTTCTCTTTGGCTCTCAGTTATGAGAACAGAATGCTAGAATATCTCTAATGACCCTTCCAGTTCACATGTTCCATGGCTTCAATAAGCAAAACAGCTTCTGGAGAAGCTGCATTTTTATCCTTACCTCATTGCTCCCTATCACAGCTGCATCAGCTAACTATACAGAAAGCAATAAGATATGAGAGAATTTGAACTCAAATTCTATGTAATAATTTCTATCAGGAGTAGATATAGAATCACAATATGTTCTGACTTCCTAGATTATCCTCTAGTCATTAGCTCCAAGAGAACAAACCAGTTTTAGTTCAATGAGTAGTTCATGGATTCTGGAACTCATTTTCCTCTTAGTTAATTGTCACCCTTAACATTTTTTTCATGCTGAACTTTGAGGCCCCTTTAACACATTCTTGGACGGCTCCACTACTCTCTCATGTTCCCTTCCTCCTATGATCTCTGGAGAGTTTGAAAAAGCCTAGAAGTTCCTGCCAGGAAGTGTTTGTGTCTCCTTGGTTCTATTGCTCAAATTGTGGAGTGCTTTAGTCTTGAGGTAGCTAGTAGGAAGGCATGAAGGATAAACCTCTCATGTGCCAAATCCACGAACTCACAGTCTTTCTGAGCCCATCATCACAAGGGGAAGTCTAAAAGGTGATCTTTCCCTCCTTGAATAGTCCAACTTGAACAAAAAGTTTTTGTCCACAAGCCAGTCCAGCCAGAAAATAGTTTCATCCACTTCCCAAACTGTTGACTCTTACGTGGCAATATACACATGGCATTGATGAATCCTTGGCCTGGTATTTCCTCCACATCTCATACAATTGATTACTGGATTTTACAGGCCAGAGTTGGCTACTACATAGAAGCAGCATCCTAGGCTCTGGAGAGCTTTGCTTCATGCCTGTTCAACTTCTCTGTTACTATTTATTTTTATGTCTCACTAAAGCCCCTTCTCTTCTGTAATTGATGACTTTCCAGGCTTAATGTTTAGCCAAAGGAATTAACAGATAACCCAAAGCAATGATTTCACTGCTGTGGACTCAAAACACTGCCATTTCACTGGATAATACAGAATTTTATGGTCTCTCTTTTCTAGATTTCATTCCAACAGAGTGTGAAATCCAGTTGTTAGGTGGCAGGAAGCTGAACTGGGCTCAGAGATTTGGACAGAGCGACTGCTTGTTGGCAGAGTTTCACTACCTAGAGAACGAGGGAGCTACACACTTTCCCTTTAAAGGGGCCTTAGTGAAGAGAAGTTTTATAAAATGCTTTGACACTCAATTTGTTTGGCTTTTATCTCAATCAGTCCATTATGTGCTGAAACAATGTTTCCTTTCTTTTGATTTACGTAACTTGTTTGAGATTTGTAAATTTCCTGGGCCAAAATTTTGTGACCTATTTAAGCTTTTTATTTTTTTTTCTATGCTATCTCCACCCCTCAATTTCACTCCTCACCCTCCAAATTTAGATCTGTCAAGGTAAAGATGATAGCTCCTGAGTGGCAGGACATCCTCTAACATTCACAGGAAACACTTGAAAATGGAAGGAGATAGAAGAATCATTGAAAGATCAATACGCTTCATTTCAACTTAGAATGGGGGTAGTAAATATTTGCTCTGTCTAATCTAAAGTGGGGACTCTGGAATGCACCCTCTTTCATGAGACCTTGCAACATGTGTTCATAATACAGCCAGAGAGAACAGGAGGAAGGGGATAAAATCATACACCTTTCCCAGCTGAAGTACAGGAAATGGGCTACACCACTGGGACACTGAATTCTGAAATGTGCAGAGTGGAGCCCTAGGATGAGACTGGGAAGATAAAGCGGAGAAAAGATGAGAGAGAGGAGCAAAAAAAGAAAAAAGGAAGAAAGCACTTTTAGTGCTTACCATGGCCAGACAATGTAATGCATTGGCATTCATCGTCATGAGACAGTTCGGTCTGGGCTTGAAATTTAGGCTTCCTGAATCAAACCTTGGCTCTGCTCTTACCAGCTGTGATGACTTGAGCAAGTTACTTAGCCTCTTTGTGCCTCAGTTTCCTCACCTTGAAGGGTTGATGAGAGGTTTAAATGGGATAAGACTGGGAAAGAGCACAGAGGAACCAACTGGTAGAGCAACAATCAATATATGCTGGCTATAACTACTGATTATCACCTTTAAAGAAATAATTCACCACGGAATCAAGGAGAGAGGTTTTCCTATATAGGACATTGGCTGCTCATTCATTCTTATTCAATAAATATTTATTGGAAACTTTCTATAAGATAGGTCCTTGTCTAACTTCTAGAGATATAGCAGTGAACAAAACAACCAAGTCCCTGTTTATAAGAAGACTTCTTTCTACCGCTCTGTAAGGCTGGCTCCTCAGAAGAGAAATGCTTACATATTCCTTTGAAATAAGACAGGTTTCTGTGAAAGACAAGGAGGCTGCAGATCTACGTTTCAGAGTCAACGTAAGATTGAAGTATTCAGCTGTTTCTTAAACAATTATTTACTGAACTCAAACTCTAAGCATCAAAGATACAGCAACAAACAAGAGAGACTTGGAATCTTCAAGGAATTTGCTAACAAAATACTATATACTAAAGGTAATTTTAAGAAACAGTAGCATAAAAATGATTTATCTAGATCTGTACTGTCCAGTATAATAATGACTAGCCATGTCTGGCTATTTAAATTTAAATGAAATAAAATTTATATTTATTTCCTGTGTTGGCAGTGGCCACTTTTTAAGTGTTCAATAGTTTTCTATTGGACAATGCTGGCAAAACCTTAACTACATTAAGGTATGATATATTTCACATGGGGTAATATTTAATACTTCTATAACACTCACTGATTTCCAGACAGTTTTCTAAATGCTTTATGTATATTAATGCCTCCAAACTTCACAGCATTCTTCTGAGGCAGGCACATTATTCCCATTTTGCAGATGAGAAGGCTAAGGCACAGAGTGGTTAAATAACTTGACCAAGGACACACAGCTAGTAGATTACTTCTTCAGTTATAGCTTTCTGTTATAGCTCCTGGTCTACAAAGAGCCTTGGCTGTACTGCAGTATCTGAAAGGTCACCTTCTCAGTGGTGCCCTAACAAGACTGTCCATTGGCTTCTGTCCTGTAGCTCTCTCTGGTATGGCCCTCATATTAGTCCTTTGAGACCTGGTTCTTCTACTTTCCAATAGCTAGTGCTCACCACTCCTGTAACCTTTTGATCTTTTTTTTTTCTTTTAGGTTAACAAGAATTGGTTTCTGTTACTTATGACCAAAAAATCTTGGCTGATAAACCTTCATCAATTCAAAACTTGTTCAGATCTCTCCATAGCTTACAGGAGTCCCAAAGCCACACTTTGAATTTAAGGTTTCCCATAATGAGCTACAATCCAATTTCCCATCCTTTTCTCCCAAATGCTCTCCTACACAAACCCAGGCCATTCCTTCCAAGAACCTTAAGAGTCTGGACCTCTCACCTATCCAGTTTACCTAGTGCCTGGTAACATGCTTTATGCTTTCCACATATACCTTTCATGTTTTCTCAGATTATTCCAAACCTGTCAACTCTTTTACCTCAGCTCAAATTTCAAGACCTTGGGAAAAGCTTTCCAATAACAATCTGCCTCAACCAATCTCTCTGTTCTCCAAATTCCTGTAGCCACATGATAGGGGTATGATTCATTTGGCTGATAATCATATTTCTTCTTGCAACATTCCTGTTGAGCTTTAAAACCTACTGAAGCCTGCTATCTCCAGCGTATCTGATTTAATTTATTTGGACAGTGGCCTAGACATCAGAATTTTCTAAAGCTCCCCATGTGATTCTAATAGGCAACCAAGGTTGAGAACCAACAGTATAAACTGAAAACTCACTGAAGGCAGGGACTAGTTGTTATTTGTCTTTGAGAGTTGAAGAGGAAAGTATTCCAGTCAAATAAAATAAGATGGCTCATGCCTGTAATCCCAGCACTTTGGGAGGCTGAGGAGCACAGATCATCTGAGGTCAGGAGTTCAAGACCAGCCTGGCCAACATGGTGAAACCCCATCTCTACTAAAAATACAAAAATTAGCCAGGTGTGGTGGCACATGCCTGTAATCCCAGCTACTCAGAGACTGAGAGGCAGGAGAATCGCTCAAACCCAGGAGGTGGAGGTAGCAGTGAGCCAAGATTGTGCCACTGCACTCCAGCCTAGGTGACAGAGCAAGGCTCCATCTCAGAAAAAAAAAAAAAAAAAAAAGACGTGAAAAGACCCTAGGGTCAGATGGAGTGTGGAGAGTTCCAAGAATTGAAAGATCACCAACAAAGCTGGAGCTCGGAAGCTGATGGAGAGATTTCAGATGAAACTAGAATTAGGAACATGAAACATTTTTAGAACTACACTGCAGCTTGAGACTCTTCCTATCCAATCTTCCTTCCTTCCTTCCCTCTCTCCCTCACAGGGGTCCGACCAGCATCTCTGAGTAAAGTCTTCCCTCATCTCCTTCAGCTCCCTCTCCTCCCTCCCCACCAAATTCCTTGCATATCTAATCCTGTCTTGGCATATGCTTCTCACAAGAAGACATAATCAGGTTGCCATTTTGGAAAGATCACTCTGCATGTTGTGTGAAAATGAACTGGAGGAGTGTCGGAGTAAATTTGGGAAGATTTAATAGAAGGTAATACCAATAAACCAGGAAAGACTTAGTGGTGACTTGTATTGGGGCGCGTCAGCCCAGGCTCACATTACGCACGAAAGATACTAGATTTAAAGAGGGATTTCAAGTTTCAGATCCCACCTGCCTCTTGCCTGAGATAGTGCTCCTCACATCCTACCAGAGTGTCTCAAGATCTAAAAGAAGCAGAAAGTATATCTGGAAGGTTTCCATACCTGCAGCTAAACCAAGTTGAGGAAAACAGGCATTGACACCATTGAATTTGGGATGGTTTCCTATAGCTAGTTTTTTTTTTTTAATCGACTTTTATTTTCAGTTCCAGGGCACATAGGCAGGATATGCAGGTTTGTTACATAGGTAAATGTGTGCCACAGCAATTCACTGCACAGATCATCCCATTGTAGCAGGATGAGCCGCAGACAAAACCCCTCAGACACCGAGTTAAAGAAGGAAGGGCTTTATTCAGCTGGGAGAATCGGTGGACTCACGTCTCAAAAACCGAGCTCCCTGAGTGAGCAATTCCTGTCCCTTTTAAGGGCTTACAACTCTAAGAGGGTCTGCATGAGAGGGTCGTGATCGATTGAGCAAGCAGGGAGTACGTGACTGGGGGCTGTATGCACCAGTAATCAGAAAGGAACAGAACAGGACAGGGATTTTCATGATGCTTTTCCATACAATGTCTGAAATCTATAGATAACACAAGCAGTTAGGTCAGGGGTTGATTTTTGACTACCAGGCCCAGGGCGCAGTGCTGGGCTGTCTGCCTGTGGATTCCATTTCTGCCTTTTAGTTTTTACTTCTTATTTCTTTGGAGGCAGAAACTGGGCATAAGACAATATGAGGGGTGGTTTTCTCCCTTACCATCACCCAGGTATTAAGCCCAATATGTATTAGCTATTCTTCTCAAGGCTTTCCCTCCCCACACACCCCTCCCCTGACAGGCCCCAGTGTATGTTGTTTCCCCCATGTGTCCATGTGTTCTCATTGTTCAGCTCCCACTTATAAATGACAACACATAGTATTTGGTTTTCTGTTCCTTTGTGAGTTTGCTGAGGATAGTGGCTTCCAGCTCCATCCATGTCCCTGCAAACAACATGATCTCATTCCTTTTATGCCTGCTTAGTATTCCATGGTGTATATGTACCCCATTTTCTTTATCCAGTCTATCATTGATGGGCATTTGGGTTGATTCCATGTCTTTGCTATTGTGAATAATGCTGCAATGAACATATGTGTGCATGTATCTCTATAATAGAATGATTTATATTCCTTTGGGTATATGCCCAGTAATGGGATTGCCTACAGCTAGTTTTAAAACCATCTACAATTCAGATCGTCTTCAAGGTTTTAGCAGCATGAGATTTTTCAGTGACAGAGATTATAGCATTGCAGTTGGACCACTGTAATCATAGAAGCATCAGCATTCCTACTGCTAACATGGTATTTCAAGAGCTATAAAACTTACAGCATGCTGCAATGTGGCATGCAAAGTTAGCCACAAAGTGTATACATTTCCTAAAAAGACTCAATCACTCCATTCTTAAAAAGCAAAAATGGAAATGTAAGTAAAACTTTGTTTAGAATTCATTTAATTTAAAAAGGGTAACCTCTATTACACAATCAGACTTGGTGAATGCAAACCTTCACATGAAGAAGCAAGGTTTTTCTATAGGTATTCCATCAGAGAACCACTTTAAAAAGTACGTTTGTTGGACTTCTAGAAAACCCAATTGCTTCTCAATTCAGCATTTCCCCTTGAGAGCATTAAAAAGAGCATTTTTATAGGCCCTTATTTTCTTTCTTGGGGGAAAAATATCATCACTATCCCTGATTCTTAAAGATAATAGAGGTACTGAGTTTAATTTCCAAAAAAAAGATGGGAAATGAAGGCAAAAATCCTGACACCCAATGTTCCATACTAATGCTATTGAGTTATTTCTTATTCCCATCAGAGAGTGGACTTTAGAATGAAAACTGAGCCTGCTGTTTTATTTTTCGTTTACATTCATGTGGTGGCAGCATCTTAACTGGTGCTGCTATAGCTGAATGAGAAGCAAATACATATCAAAGCTCACTTTCCTCATGGGTAGAAAGCTATTTGACTAACAGATTTCAGCGGTGCCTTGGTGACAAGAAAAGAAAAAACCCTCCAAGGATTCTGGAGGAAGTTGAAAGGCAGGAGGTCAGGCTTCCACCTGCAGGTAGAATGAGTGTTTGCCATTTCCTCAAATTCCTTGAGACCACCCACTGGCATGAAGGATGGTGAGCAAAGCCTGGGGAATGAAGACTATCTTTCAAAAGGTGCTTCCTGGGAGATTTAAGGGAGAAAAAGAAAATAATTTGTTGGTTTGTATGTCAGCTAGCAAGGCTTTTGATCATTCAGTTGGGACAGTTCTGCCTGGAAGGGATCAATCTCTTTTTATTCCAAAGACTAACACCAACAGATACAAATCAAAGGAGGTATTCTTTCAACAAAGGAAATTGCAGAAAGGATGCCTAGGCTTAATTAAAATATAACCTTTTGTTTTAAGGACTTTTCTTTCCCTTGCAAAAGGGAATGCACTCTCTGAAGAAGCATATGCCAGCACTGGTGAGATACAGTTCTTCAACAAGTAAGGATCTGTCTACATTCGGGGCACGTCTTGGGGAAGCCTTGAAGGGAATCGTGCCTGGAGTCCCATCTGACTTAACTCATCATCACAGTCCTTCATCACAACATAATGAGTGTTATTACTTCCTCATGTGGCCTGTGGGCTTTGTTAATTAAAGAATGGAAAGGTAAGTAGTTCCAACCTTTTGCTTTTAATTAATCAAAAGATGTGTTTTCCATCTTCGTGTTGCTGGGCAGCAAGTAAAGTATTTAGTCTGCCTTCCAATACCCAGAAGAGTTCCGTGAAAAAAACTCAGCTGCTGTTTTGGGACTGCATAGACTACATAGCAGATGACTGGCTTTATCTTTTCTTTCTAAAGTTTAATTAATTGTATTGGCCAGTCTGCTGCCTACAATGTAATAGTATTTAGAGAAAAAGAAAGTATTTTCTCATATCATCTCATCAGTACAAATAAAGCCTTCTTAAACCAAAAGTTTATATCTTAGAGTTTCTTGGGCATTTACCATAGTGCTAGGTAATTAGGAGACACTCAGCACAAGGAAAGAAGTGGAACTTACATTTATTGAGTGCCTGCTATGCCAAAACTGGTGCTCTTTTTGTTATATTGTCTTGCCTTTCCGCTCATTTGACTTATTAAAACTTCTATCATTAGGGTCATTCCTCCACATTAAAACACTCTCTGCATTTTAAATAGAAACATATACCTGGAGGGAAAACACATTAATCCATGAACAAGCATCATACCTTAGCGAAGACAGTACCTCAGGGAGTGAGCAGGGCACTAGTATATTTCCTTTTGGAGGGAAGTTAGAAAAAGCCCTAAAGCTGGGGTAGCAAATCGGTTTTCTCTAGTGTGCCAGCCCTGTACAATTAGTGTTGCTGCTCCCTGGAGCTCTGCTTTGAGAATCAGGCAGGAGGCAGAGTCTTAGCTCTGCAGGAAAGAGAATTGCAATTGCCTAATGATGTCAGACCTGCTGCATGCTTCAGTTGCTAAAAGGAAAACTTCAGACAAATTAAATTTAACAGGGTCTAATTGAACAAAGAACAATTCACGAATTGGGCAGCCCTCAAAACTAGAACAAGTTCAGAAAAACTTTGGCCTGCAATGTGGTCAGATAGCATTTATGAACAGAAGATGGAAGTGAGGTACAGAGCTCCATTGATTACAGCTGGTGTTTGCCTTATTCAGCATTTGCTTTATGTGAACATGGTGTTTTGAGTTGGCTGCCTGTGACTGACTGAAGCTCAGCTGCTGTGATTGGCTGTGACTCATTTGTGACAAAAGTATATGCCTAAGCCAGGTTTTCAGTTAGTGTGAGTACTAAGTTACATTGCATTTCATTAGTAAGGACTCAGGTATGGAGGCATTCTCAGGTCAAATTTAGTTTAACAATCCCCCCAAATTTAGTTTAACAATGCCACCTCTCAAAACCTGGGGCATTGATACCACTCTCTGTCACCATCATAAACAAACTTATTTGGTCTCAGCATGAAATTCACAAGTCATGACATCACACCAGTTGAATAATTCTTTATGTTCTTGATGATCAAGTCAAAGTGAGACCACTCAACACTCAGTGGATGGCTGCATACAAATATTTAAGACTTGAGAGGATATGGTACACCAGGGGAGCTACTATGATGACTATCAGAAGGACAACACCAAAAATTCCAAAAGCCTGAGGTGTACTCTCTAACAGGAGCCTCTGCCAACCAAATCAATTTGACCCAAATCAAAGTTCAGGCAATATAGGTGTAGCAGGACAAGATGCAGACAAAACCCCTCAGACACCGAGTTAAAGAAGGAAGCAGTTTATTCGGCCGGGAGCATTGGCAAGACTCCTGTCTCAAGAGCTGAGCTCCCTGAGTGAGCAATTCCTGCCCCTTTTAAGGGCTCACAACTCTAAGGGGGTCCACTTGAGAGGGTTGTGATCGATTGAGCAAGCCAGGGGTACATGACTGGGGGTTGCATGCACTGGTAATTAGATCGGAACAAAACAGGACAGGGATTTTCACAGTGCTTTCCTATACGATATCTGTAATCTATAGATAACATAACTGATTAGGTCAGGCATCGATCTTTAACTACCAGGCCCAGGGTGTGGCACCGGGCTGTCTGCTTGTGGATTTCGTTTCTGCCTTTTAGTTTTTACTTCTTCTTTATTTGGAGGCAGAAATTGGGCATAAGACAATATGAGGGGTGGTCTCCTCCCTTACAGGCAGCTCAAAAGCATTTGAGTACCGTTGGTCATGGTTTTTGTTCAGGAGGTGATAATGATTAAGAACTGCAGTTTGCTGATTTAAAGAGGTATCCAATGTTGTCATTATCTTGTTAACACAAGTCATAGTAATCTGGAGAACCATTAGAAGAGCATAAAGGTTAGAACACCTTGGAAAAGCCAAGCCTACCTGCAAACCAATGGTTTGCTGCTCCTATGAACATGTCATATGTTTCTTTCCTCTGAGAAATTTCCTTTATGTATTTGGTGGCAGTGTCTAAGGAAACAGGATCCAAAACTGCATGATGTTTTATTAAGTGTTTTCAAAAGATGACTTCTACTCACCTGAACCTCTGTGGGGACTGGTTGGTCAAACCCAAGATTTTTCTCATTTTATGGATTACTTTCAAATTCCATACTACCAGTACCCTGCTAGTACCAAGACTGAGCCCCCAGGAATGCCACTGGAATCTTTCCTCAGTAGAAACTAGCTTATCTTCATAAACCCAACAATTGCTCTGTTTTTTCACTACAGCATAAGACTTAGCTAAAGCCATCCACAGATTATGGCCCCATGGATTTTCCTATAAGTAAAAGAAAGGGACTGGGACAGCAGGAAATTGGGAAGAAAGGGAAAAGATAAGACTTTCATGATGGCAGAGAAGTCTTGATCCACAATCTTACGAAAGCTGTTGAAGTCTAGGATGCCAACTGCTCCTGGGGGAAATCTTCCCTGGTGAGCTTTACCTTAGAGTCTCCAATAGGTATACAGTTCCAGGAGTCTGGAGGAGCTCTTTTGAGTTGAGAGACATAGATCCAAGACTTGAGAGCCTGATGGTTTGCTGCAGAAAAGAACTTGATATGGTCTCTTCCAATGGAGCTTAATGGCAGTCTTTCTCTGATGTCCTTTCCAAAGACCCAATGTCTAGGTTCTACGTGGTGAAGAATTTGATTGTCCTCAGTCAGTGAATCATGAAAATCTTCCTTTACCTGCTGAAAATACACTTTGCTTTAAAAATTAAAACCTTGAAGCATTTAGTCATATCAGAGTTTAGGAGATGGAGAGGTCCTATTATTAGGGGCCTAGACCTTCCATTGACTATTTCATAAGGGATCAATGTATGTTTTCCACTGGGGGTGGATCTGATTGCCATCAAGGCCAATAGTAATACCTTTAGCTAAGGCAATCCAATCTATTTAGTTAACTTTCCCAATTTCAGTTTTAAGATGCCATTTTTCCTTTTAACCTTTCCAGAAGACCAAGGGTAATAGGGACAATGATAATGCCATTGTGTTCATAACACCTTATTTGCTTTATAACTTTTCTAGCAAAATGGGTACCTCTATTGCTGGAGATTTCTCCAGGAATATAAAGGAAACATGTTTCTGATCATCTTTTAGCTACTGTTATAATATTGGCCTTCCTGTATAGAAAGCTTCTATGTGACCAGAGAACATAGACCATTGCAAGAATATATTCATATCCCATGGAAGGTGACAAATGGATAAAATTCCTTTATAAATGTTCAAATGGCCCATCAGGTAGCAGAAATTTACCATCTGAATGTTTTTTTGTCTTCTTGGGATTATGGATTTGACAGACCAAACATTGGTTATAAACCATTTTAGCAATTTTTGAACAGTCGCCACACCAATAATTTTCCATAATTTGGATCATTTTGTCTACTCCATGATGAGTTATAGAGTGCAGAACTTTTAATAATGAAAGCTTTAAGGACTCAGGAAGGACCAGATGGCCATCCAAGCTCTCCAGTAGATTATGCTTAATATTGGATTTACATCCTCTTAAATACCAATTCTGTTTCTCCAATTCAGGTATACAGCACTGTTTATTAAATAGGTTATCAGGCTGGATGCGGTGGCTCAGGCCTGTAATCCCAGCACTTTGGGAGGCCGAGGCAGGCAGATCACTTGAGGCCAGGAGTTCAAGACCAGCCTGGCCAACATGATGAAACCCCATCTCTACTAAGAATACAAAATTAGCCAGGCATAGTGGCATGCGCCTATAACCCCAGCTACTCAGGAGGCTGAGGCAGGAGCATCACTTGAACCCAGGAGGTGGAGGTTGCAGTGAGCAAAGATCGGCGCCACTGTACTCTAGCCTTGGGCAACAGAGCGAGACTCCATCTCAAATAAATAAATAAATATTATCAGAGATGTAATTTGACTTGGATCAGTCTTACGTTGTTCATTTAAATTGCATATCATAACAATTTCAGTACTGGCTGATTTAGCATGAAAATCTGCCAAAGAATTTCCTTGGCATTTAATTAATTATTGTTCTGCTTGATGTTGGATTAGCAGTTTTATGAACCAGATTCTTCATTAGAGTTCTGGAAATTCTTACCTAGTTTAATGGTATAATCTTAAAGTTATCAGAAACTTGTTAGAGTCCTTTCTATGAATCTCCTTGAAGACAAAACAATTTAAGTGTACAGTTTCTTAGGAAGATACCAGAGTAAACAATTTTCCTTCTGTGAATGACAAAAACACATAATTTAAGTGGCCATTTTTAAAGATCTAATGAGAGTTAATTACAATGATTATGCAATTGACAAGGAAATTTGGTTATTGCTGCATACAACATTTTAAGATAACAACTAGAATTAAGACTGATAGTGTTACACCAGGACTATTAGATTTCTATGAATTTCATAGAATTTCTGAAGCACATATTAATAAAATAATCATACAAATATAACTCAATGGAGGTTTAGCATTATTTGACAATGCTTCCCATATAATTTAATACATAAAATAAGCCCAATTAGTTTAATATCTCTCTCTCTACAAGGAGAAGTTTCCAGATGGAAACTTCCAAAGGGTCCATGTAGAAATTCCCAAAATCACAGGAGAGGAGGCCAGAAGTCCATCATAGACTGACTTTGTCACAAACCACCATCTATTCTTCCAAGGGCCTATCCATTCTTTCCCAAAAACAAAGTTTGTGTCTTTTTGCTAGAATATTGAGTGGGTGGAGCCCATGGAAGTCTAGGGACAAGCATTTTGTATGCCTGGACTCAAATGGATACTTCTAATCTTGCCTTATTGTTAGAGACTGCTTTGTTATTTTCTTGTTTGTTTGTTTGTTTTCAAGATTGAATGACAAAGCAATCAGTTGTCTTGTTGTTGTTGTTGTTGTTGTTGTTTTCCAAGAAAGAGTTTTGGGGCATACCAAAGATCATGACAACAAGAAAGAGGTAGACAAAGTTGGCAGATCATATAGTCAGCAGGGGTTTGAGAAGAGGGGTTTTAATCAACGGAGAAGTTCCCAACGGAGAGAGAGGTTTCCATGAGATCAAATAGAAAAAAACAGAGACCAATAATTCTTACAAGTATTTTTCTGGAAATAGTCAATTAAATATGAGGATCTTTAAGACTTGATTTTAAATCCCTACCAAAGAAATATTCTATTTTTTTAATTTCTGAGAGATTAGTTGATTATTGTCTCAGGAGTGAAGCCTTTAGAGGCTTCCTCTAGTCGGGAATCAGTCCAAGCCAAAAGGAATGGGTCCGTCAGATGCCTGGTGTAAAAATTGATACTTTCTTTTCCAATGGTCTAGCAGTTTATAATAAAGGCAAATGTCTTAGGGCACAGGGTTCTTTCATCTGGGACTCCTTGGTTTTGGTTTAAAACATATACAAGGAGATCTTCTTGGTCCCTACAGCTGTTATAGCTACTATAAAGACATGTGCCTGTTCACCTTTTGTAAAGAGTCTTTTAGAGTGGCAATTTTGTATTCATTTAATCTTTTGGAAGGCTCTGAGTACCAGTTTAGAAAAAAAAGGATTCCTTTGTTTCTGAAGCATTTTGGATCCTCTTTTCTAATGCAGCTCACAAGTGAACAATTTTGTCTAGATTAAAACTTTCCCACTGTGGCCACTGTAACTCTAGGTTACCTTTGGTAAGGTTTATCCTTTTTTTTTTTTTTTAAGAAAAGTACAGTTCTGGGTCCAGAGTTCTTATATATTAAATTGGCTGGAGTTCCAGATGCAGGAGTTCTAGACTCCTTGGATCCAGAGGAACCTATGATTCTCTGTCTTATGGTAACCTCACCTACCTACTGAACCCAGTTCAGTTTCTTTCTGACCCAGTCAGACACCTGAGGCCTCCCTACAGAAACCAGTCCTATTTCTGTCATGACTTCCAAGCCCAGTCCAAATTTTAAAATGTCCAAATAAACTCAGAAAGTTCAAAATACAAGTTTGTGGAACTTGAAATCTGAAAGAGAATTCAATCACAATCTCAGTTGCTACAAGAGATCAATGGGCATAGTTGGGCCTGGTGGGTACCTTCATTTGGTCACTTGGTCCTCCTGGGAGTCACTAAGGTTCTACCTCAGATCCCATTTCTGACACCAGTCTGTTAAAAGAAAAACTTCAGGCAAAAAAAAAAAAAAGCCCAAAACTTACAAGATTATCTCTGCAAGAGAATCTGTCTGTGAGGGTGGGGAAGAAGACCACACAGCCTCTACTACTATTCACTCTTCTGCCAGATTTATTTTCCCTTAGGTATGTCTCACACTGTGTGTCCAGTAAGGAGTCAGGCCACGTTCCTGCCCACTGAATACTCTGGCTCCACAGCCCATAACACAGCTGTAGCAGGCTGCTTTGTATAAAGAACATGTCTCTAAGAAGAGCTAGGTGATAATAAGTGTATAGAGTAGAGGCTTTTTCAACCCTTTGTGTCATGGGACCCTTTGGTGCTTGGGTGAAGCTTATGAAATGCCTTGTCAGAATAATGTTTTTAAATGTGTAAAATAAAAGATTCCAAAGGCATAGGCAAGTTAAAGTTAAATTTTATTTTTTAAAGACAGCAGTGTAAATGAAGACTGTTGGTCTTCATTTGAATATGAACTTAAAACTTTGGGATGGTCCTTATCTTACCTCTTTCCATATAGCAATAAACAAACCTTCACATACCGATAAAAGAATACTAGAGAGCAACATAGATGTCTAGGTTGACCTCAGTGTTTGGTGCTCAAATAACCGCTAGGCAGAGAGCTGCCCAACTGTTGACCAACTATATCATTGAGTATCTGCAGACAGGTAGACCTTGATCGGTGGCAGTCTAACTGCAGGTTTAATAACAATCCCAATATCAATGTTGTGATTAGCAAAAATAATATTTTGAGACATCTGAAACAACTATAATGTGATATCACTATATCTTTGATTTCTATTGGCAGAAAAGCCATTGATACTGCCTAAACTTCCATAGTATGTTCTTGTGGAAAACTCAATTAGTATCCCCAGTTTTTCACTGCTTCTTGATTCACACTTTTTAGATTTTGTAAAGACTTTATCTTATTTTATATATTTATATTTTTTGAGACAGGGTCTCACTATTGCCCAGGCTAGAGTACAGTGGCATGATGACAGTTCACTGCAGCCTCAGCCTCCTGTGCTCAAGCAATCCTCCCACCTCAGCCTCCTGAGTAGCTAGGATTACAGGTGTGTGCCACTACGCTCAGCTAATTTTTTTTTTCTTTTTTTGTATAGACAGGGTTTAGCCATGTTTCCCAGACTGGTCTTGAACTCCTGGGCTCAAGCAATTCACCCTCCTTGGCCTCCCAAAATACTGGGATTATAGGTGTGAGCCACCATGCTGGGCCAGGAAACCTTATTTTTTTAGAGCAGTTTTGGGTTCACAGAAACTCAAAAGGAAGATATTCCATATACTCCATGCCCCTACATGTGTTTAGTTTCCCCCATTATCAACATCCCCCACCAGAGAGGTACATTTGTTACAATCAAAGCACCTACACTGACACATCGTAATCACCCAAGTTCATTGTTTACATTAGGGTTCACCCTTGCTGTTGTATGTTCTCTGGGTTTGAACTAACGTATAACAATATATATAGCATTATAGCATCACACAGAGTATTTTCACTGCCCTAACAACCCTTGGGCTCTGCCTGTTTATCTTTCCCCCACAACCTTCACTCCACTGGCAACCACTGATTCGTTTACTGTCTCCATAGTTTTGCCTTTGTATTCATACTTTTTACTTAGTGACTTGGTAATTCCTTCTGCAAATGTAGAATGTATTCCTCCAACCCCAGGCTTTGGACTCAGCCATGTAACTTGCTTTGGCCAAATAAATATGGTCAGAAGTGATCACATGCCAGTTCTGAGCCTAGGACTTAAGAGGCCTCATGTTTTTTCACGGCTCTTAATGTATTTTCCTTTACCATGGGAAAAGCATGCCCAGACTAGCCCACTGGTCTAAGGAGGATGAAAGATACTTGGCACAGAACTGCCTAGCCAACCTACAAAACTGCAGTAAAAGACAGAATCAACCAGCTGAGGCCACTCTAGATTAAACAGTTCCTCAATGCATGAGGAAGCCTACCTGAGATCTGAAGACCTATTCCAGCCAACCTATACATAGATGCATAAGAAAGAAGGACGGGCATGGTGGTACCTGTAATCCCAGCTACTCAGGAGGCTGAGGCAGGAGAATCGCTTGAACCCACAAGGCAGAGGTTGCAGTGAGCAGAGATTGCACCCCTGCACTCCAGCCTGGGTGACAGTGAGGCAAAGAAGGAAAAAGAAAGAAAGAAAGAAAGAGAGAAAGAGAGAAAGAGAGAAAGAAAGAAAGAGAGAAAGAAAGAAAGAAAGAGAGAAAGAGAGAGAAGAGAGAAAGAAAGAAAGAAAGAAAGAAAGAAAGAAAGAAAGAAAGAAAGAAAGAAAGGAAGGAAGGAAGGAAGGAAGGTTTGTTTTTGTATGCAACTAAGATGTTTGTGATTATTTTCTATGCAGGAACAGCTAATACACTATATTTATAACTTAAGGAAATACTAAATTTCAGTTAGATCCTTTGCAATCTACTGCAGTGTTTTCCCTCTCAAGTTCGTAAACCCTTCTAAAGCAGAGACAGTTCAGCCACTGCTTAACTGCTCAGGCTCTGGACTAACTCTTCTAAAATGTTGTCCCATTTATCCACTGTGTCTTCCATAAAGAAGACATCAAAAAATTAAATTATCCATTGTCTAAACACAAAAACCAGAGATACTCTGGTGACATAGTAGGAATCTTCTCACCTTGGTGGACCACCTAGGCAGTTCTGTGAGCAGAAGTAGATGCAGAAGTACCTCATTTGGTGGAGACATAGAGTAAGAGAAGCTTGTTTGCAGAAGCTATAAAACCAAGAAGGAAGAAATAACAGGATAACAGCAACAACAACAAAAACTAATTAAATCCCTGTTGCTGATACGTTAGTAGGTTTAAGTATGTTACAAAATATTCTTTAAATTATTGTATATGTTTTTAAATGTTTGTTAGATACAAAAGTTAAATGAATTCAGCATTAAACAAAATACGGTATTATTGTGACTATTGCTATCCAGATTAAAAACAAAAACAAAAGCAAAACCAAAAACCTGAGCATTAAGAATCTGTCACTATGTCTTTTATCCAAATAAGTTATAATTAAATTTCTAGATAATATTGACATGGTAGAATTGGGATGGAGGAAAGCAGGAAGAGAGTTTTATGATTCTAAGAGTATGTAGAATTCTTACCTTGATTAGGGGAAGATATAGATGTCTATTTTCTTAAGTAAAAAGCATATTTTAAAAAACACAAAAATTGGAACAAAGTGAAATAATAACCAAAGCAATAAAAACAGATATATCAGTAATTACAATAAGTATACATGGATTAAATTTCCAGTTCAAAGATGGAAATCGTCAGAGGCTTCCAAGATGGCTGAATAGGAACAGCTCCAGTCCGCAGCTCCCAGCAAGATTGATGCAGAAGGCGGATGATTTCTGCATTTCCAACTAAGGTAACTTGTTCATCTCATTGGGACTGGTTGGACAGTGGGTGCAGCCCACAGAGGGTGAGCTGAAGCAGGGCAGGGCATCACACCTCACCCAGGAAGCACAAGGGGTCAGGGGATTTCCCTTTCCTAGCCAAGGGAAGCCATGACAGACTGTACCTGGAGGAATGGTACACTCCTGCCAAAATACTGCATTGGTCCCATAGTCTTAGCAACCAGCAGACCAGGGGATTCCCTCCCACACCTGGCTCAGTGGGTCCCATGCCCACAGAGCCTTGCTCACTGCCAGCGAAGCAGTCTGAGATCGACCTGCAAAGCTGCAGCCTGGCAGGGAGAGGGGTGTCCACCATTGCTGAGGCTTGAGTAGGTAAACAAAGCTGCCAGGAAGCTCAAACTGGGTGGAGACCACCGCAGCTCAGCAAGGCCCACTGCCTCTCTAGACTCCACCTCTGGGGGCAGGAGCAGAACAAAGGGCAGCAGACAACTTCTGCAGACTTAAACGTCCCTGTGTGACAGCTCTGAAGAGAGCAGTGGTTATCCCAGCACAGCATTTGAGCTCTGAGAGCAGACAGACTGCCTCTTCAAGTAGGTCCCTGACCCCCGTGTAGCCTGACTAAGAGATACCTCTCAGTAGGGGCCAACAGACACCTCATACAGGCCCCTCTGGAACAAAGCTTCCAGAGGAAGGATCAGGCAGCAATATTTGCTGTTCTGCAGCCTCTGCTGATGACACCCAGGCAAACAGGGTCTGGAGTAGACGTCCAGCAACTCCAACAGACCTGCAGCTGAGGGACCTGAGGGTTAGAAGGAAAAAAAGCAGGGGTTGCGGTCCTAGTCTCTGATAAAACAGACTTTACACCAACAAAGATTAAAAGAGATAAAGAAGGCCATAACATAATGGTAAGGGGATTCAACAAGAAGAGCTAATTATCCTAAATATAGATGCACCTAATACAGGAGCACCCAGATTCATAAAGCAAGTCCTTAGGGACCTACAAAGAGACTTAGATTCCCACACAATAAAAATGGGAGACTTTAACACCCCACTGTCAATATTAGACAGATCAACGAGACAGAAGGATAACAAGGATATCCAGGACTTGAACTCAGCTCTGCACCAAGTGGACTTAATAGACACCTATAGAAATCTCCACCCAAAATCAACAGAACATACATCTTTCTTAGCACCACATCATACTTATTCTAAAATTGACCACATAATTGGAAGTAAAGCACTCCTCAGCAAATGTAAAAGAACAGAAATCACAACAAACTGTCTCTCAGACCACAGTGCAATGAAATTAAAACTCAGGATTAAGAAACTCACTCAAAACCACACAACTACATGGAAACTGAAAAACCTGATCCTGAATGACTACTGGGTAAATAACAAAATGAAGGCAGAAATAAAGATGTTCTTTGAAACCAATGAGAACAAAGACACAACATAACAGAATCTCTGGGACACATTTAAAGCAGTATATACAGGGAAATTTATAGCACTAAATGCCCACAGGAGAAAGCAGGAAAGATCTAAAATCGACACCCTAACATCACAATTACAAGAACGAGAGAAGCAAGAGCAAACAAATTCAAAAGCTAGCAGAAGGCAAGAAATAACTAAGATCAGAGTAGAACTGAAGGAGATAGAGACCAAAAAAAAACCCTTCAAAAAAATCAATGAATCCAGGAGCTGCTTTTTGGAAAAGATCGACAAAATAGATAGACAGCTAGTAAGACTAATAAAGAAGAAAAGAGAGAAGAATCAAATAGACACAATAAGAAATGACAAAGGGGATATCACCACCGATCCCACAGAAATACAAACTACCATCAGAGAATACTATAAACACCTCTAGGCAAATAAACTAGAAAATCTAGAAGAAATGGATAAATTCCTGGACACATACACCCTTCCAAGACTAAACCAGGAAGAAGTTCAATCTCTGAATAGACTAATAACAGGTCCTGAAATTGGGGCAATAAGTAATAGCCTACCAACCAAAAAAAGTCCAGGACCAGACGGAATCACAGCCAAATTCTACCAGAAGTACAAAGAGCAGCTGGTACCATTCCTTCTGAAATGATTCCAATCAACAGAAAAAGAGGGAATCCTCCCTAACTCATTTTATGAGGCCAGCATCATCCTGATACCAAAGCCTGGCATAGACACAACAAAAAAAGAGAATTTTAGACCAATATCCCTGATGAACATCAATGAAAAAATCCTCAGTAAAATACTGGCAAACTGAATCGAGCAGCACATCAAAAAGTTTATCCACCATGATAAAGTCAGCTTCATCCCTGGGATGCAAGGCTGGTTCAACACATGCAAATCAATAAACATAATCCATCACATAAACAGAACCAATGACAAAAACCACATGATTATCTCAATAGATGCAGAAAAGTCCTTTGACAAAATTCAACACCCCTTTATGCTAAAAACTCTTAATAAACTAGGTACTGATGGAACATATCTCAAAATAATAAGAGCTATTTACGACAAACCCACAGCCGATATCATACTGAATGGGCAAAAACTGGAAGCATTCCCTTTGAAAACTGGCCCAAGACAAAGATGCCCTCTCTCAGCACTCCTATTCAACATAGTGTTGGAAGTTTTGGCCAGGGCAATCAGGTAAGAGAAGGAAATAAATGGTATTCAATTAGGAAAAGAGGAAGTCAAATTGTCCCTGTTTGCAGATGACATGATTGTATATTTAGAAAACCCCATCATCTTAGCCCAAAATCTCCATAAGCTGATAAGCAACTTCAGCAAAGTCTCAGGATACAAAATCAATGTGCAAAAATCACAAGCATTCCTCTACACCAATAATAGAGAGCCAAATCATGAGTGAACTCCCATTCACAACTGCTACAAAGAGAATAAAATACCTAGGAAACCAACTTACAAGGGATATGAAGGACCTCTTCAAGGATAACTACAAACCACTGCTCAATGACATAAAAGAGGACACAAACAAATGAAAGAACATGCCATGCTCATGGATGGGAAGAATATTGTGAAAATGGTCATATTGCCCAAGGTAATTTATAGATTCAATGCCATCCCCATCAAGCTACCAATGACTTTCTTCATAGAATTGGAAAAAACGACTTTAAAGTTCATATGGAACCAAAAAAGAGCCCACATAGCCAAGACAATCCTAAGCCAAAAGAACAAAATTGGAGGCGTCACACTACCTGACTTAAAACTATACTACAAGGCTACAGTAACCAAAACAGCATGGTACTGGTACTAAAACAGATATATAGACAAATGAAACAGAACAGAGGCCTCAGAAATAACACCACACATCTACAACCATCTGATCTTTGACAAACCTGACAAAAACAAGCAATGAGGAAAGGATTCCCTATTTAATAAATGGTGCTAGGAAAACTGGCTAGCCATATGTAGAAAGCTGAAACTGGATTCCTTCCTTACACCTCATACAAAAATTAATTCAAGATGGATTAAGGACTTAAATGTAAGACCTAAAACCATAAAAACCTTAGAAAAAAACCTAGGCACTATCATTCAGGACATAGGCATGGGCAAAGACTTCATGACTAAAACACCAAAAGCAATGGCAACAAAAGCCAAAATAGACAAATGAGATCTAACTAAAGAGCTTCTGCACAGCAAAAGAAACTACCATCAGAGTGAACAGGCAACCTACAGAATAGGAGAAAATTTTTGCAATCTACCTATCTGACAAAGGGCTAATATCCAGAATCTACAAAGAACTTAAACAAATTTACAAGAAAAAACAAACAACCCTATCGAAAAGTGGGCAAAGGATATGAACAGACACTTCTCGAAAGAAGACATTTATGCAGTCAACAGACACATGAAAAAATGCTCATCATCACTGGTCTTCAGAGAAATGCAAATCAAAACCACAATGAAATACCATCTCACACCAGTTAGAATGGCGATCATTAAAACATCAGGAAACAAAAGATGGTGGAGAGGATGTGGAGAAATAGGAATGCTTTACATGGTTGGTGGGAGTGTAAATTAGTTCAACCATTGTGGAAGACAGTGTGGCAATTCCTCAAGTATCTAGAACCAGAAATACCATTTGACCCAGCAATCCCATTACTGAGTATATACCCAAAGGATTATAAATCATGCTACTATAAAGACACATGCACATGTGTGTTTATTGCGGCACTATTCACAACAGCAAAGACTTGGAACTAACCCAAATGTCCATCAATGATAGACTGGATTAAGAAAATGTGGCAGATATACACCATGGAACACTATGCAGCCATAAAAAAGGATGAGTTCATGTCCTTTGCAGGGACATGGATGAAGCTGGAAACCATCATTCTCAGCAAACTATCACAAGGACAGAAAACCAAACACCACATGTTCTCACTCACAGGTGGGAGTTGAACAATGAAAACACATGGACACAGGGCTGGAAATGTCACACACCAGGGCCTGTCCAGGGGAGGGGGAATGGGGGAGGGATAGCATTAGGAGAAATACCTAATGTAAATGACGAATTGATGGGTGCAGCAAGCCAACATGGCACATGTATACCCATGTAACAAACCTGCACGTTGTGCACATGTACCCTAGAACTTAAAGTATAATTTTAAAAACCCAACAAATAAAAAAATTTTTTAAAAAGTCAAATAGAGAAAGACAAATGCTGTATAATCTCACATATATGTGGAACCAGAAAAAGTCAAACTTATAGAAACAAAATATAATGTTGATTAGCAGGGGCTAGGAAGTCAGGGAAATGGGGAGACATTGGTCAAAGGGAACACAGACTATAATTAACAATACTGTGTTGTATATTTGATATTTCCTAAGAGAGCAGATATTAAATGTTCTCACCGCAAAAAAAATGATAACAAGGTGAAGTAATAGATATGTTAACTGACTTTATTTTGGTCTTTTCACAATATATACATACATCAAATCATCACATTGTACACCTTAAATTCATACCATTTTATTTGTCAACTATATCTCAATAGAGCTGAAACAAAAATAAATCCCAAGACAGTAATGTACATGTTATTTAAATAGTTTTAGAGTCTTTGTCTCATTTAATTTTTAAAAAATGATGGAAATTGTCATTTTGGAGTGTGTCTGTATGTGCTGTTTAAAAGAGACATATCTTGCCTGTATATTAGAAGGCACAACCTGTTCTCTCCACTCCTCATTATGCATGCAAATGCAGGCAAGTTTCTTAACCTTTCTGTACATCAGTTTTCTCATACAATGGAAAATGGTATGTCAGTTAGAATGACTTTGCTACACATAGTAAAGCGTCTCCCACAGAAAGATTAAACAATGAGAATGTTTATACTCTTGCACAAAAATTCAGTGACAGGTGGTACTTCAGTGTATCTGCTTTGTCCTCACGCTGGCTCCTCTTCTGACCCCACGGTTACTCCTTTTCAGGCATCCTGTGCAGGTACAACCATGAACAGCAGCAGAAGGCCTGTCTCTTTCCAGGGTATTTGTTAAAGAATAAAGAAACCTTTCTCAGAAACTTCTCAGCAACCTTCTCATCACCTTTCATTGGCTAGAATCTTATCTGTTGTTATGTCCAAGAATTTCCTTTCAAGGGCAATTGCAAAACAATGACCTTTCAGAATTACCCCTATTGCTGAAGGATGGAGACATGGAGACATAAGTTTTGTATGGGAAGTAAACACTAAAAAAAAAAAAGCGCCATCAGCAAGAAAAAAATGAAGAAAAATAGCTGTTATATGTTATATAGGCACCCAACAATGTCTGTTACAAATGAGGATAGTATAATCATACATTTCCCACAGAGTTGATGTAAGCACAATATGTGAAAGTTCCTAAAAAAATATCTGGCCCAAAGAAGACATTTCATGAATATTATTCTTACTTCCACTTTTCCTTTCTTTGTCTCTTTTCCTCTAATTTCAGTCTGCCTTCTTTCTCTCTCCTCCATTTATTGGCTTAAAGGATTGAAACCACAGTATGTTAACCAGCAGCCTGGGAAAAGTCCCATGGTGCTCACCTCCACCCCTGTGCTGACAAACTGTAGGTTACCCTCAAAAACCACAAGGCTAATGTCCAACTGCCTTCAGGGCACTCCCTGAAGCTTGGAGAACATTTAAATAGCATAGAAGATCTAATTAGCAGCAGCCTAGTCCTCATGAGCATTCTTTACACCACCATCCAATTACCCATCCTGTGCAGTCAATTTGGGTGCAGGTTTTGGTAACAGAAGCTTTTCCATATTTAGTCATCATGATAATTTATGCTTAAATATTTTGTAGGTTTGTTGTATGATTAAAGTGACTACAAACACAGATAGTTCAGTTTCAAATGAAAGCCCTGTAATTCATATGCACACACATAGTTTTGTGGAAAGGCATGGTTAATATTGTACATATAGTCATTTAAAATGCTAAGTGTATCAAATGACAGCAAAGTAAAGAATCTTCTTATTTCCCTTTTCCTGGTGGCTTTCTGTAAACTGACTTCATAGGTTTTGGAGGTTGGTTTTGTTAAAATAATAATAACAAATAATAGTTAACACTTATTGAAAGCTCACCAGAAGCCAAACACTTTTCTGTGTGCTTTACATTTACTAACTAATATAATTTAATTTAAATATATTTACTTAACTGGAATGAAGAAACTGAGACACCAAGATTAAGTAACTTACTCAGGATCAAGCAATCTTACTCCTAAGCCTACTCTCTTAACTATGTTGTAATGAAAACCCTACTGTTTAAGAAAGCTGGAGTAGGTTTGCTAATATTTGCAACATAAAATGGACTAAATGATGGTCTGAAAAAGGGTTACCCAGTCTCCCTTTTCCTCCTCTGCTCCTTACACCTGGAAAATATTTAGTATCCACCACCCCATCATAGGCTCCTCTGTCTATCCTTCTCTTGCCCCTAGTTCAATTTGTCATGTTAAAAAAAAATTGAGATACACACACACCAAGTACTGTCCCACTCTGTAGCATCTATCCTGGAGAGAACAAAGCCTTTGAGGTGACCACTAGGGAAGCTATGTTACAGGAGATTTACATCTCAAGGACAGCTAGAAAGGCACATTCACCCTACTTTTCCCAACCAGAAATGAGCTGATTTAATATTTGGCCATACTAATTTTGTGAAGATAGATGCATAGTATGGGATGAAGAGATCCTAGACTCTATTCCCACCTCCACCATCACTCCAATGTCCCAACATTACTTCTGCCATTTTTTCCAACCTAGAATGTTTTCCTGCCTTCTCTCCATTCATGCCCTTCCTTTACTTTCAAATTACTTATTTTTTTATTATGGCACAGTATTTAATTTCTCCAGGAAAATTGAAAAGATGAACCTAAATATTGTATTGCATTAAGGAATAGGGAAGAAGCAGAACTTCAAGAGCCCCTGTGAGGTTCATATCACCCTGCTCACTGATGTCTACAATTACAGGCAATCTCAAGTAACAAAATCATGTGCTACCATATTACCCAACTCTAGTCCCCCAGCCCTATGTTATCACATCTTGCTTCACTCACTTACCTAAAGCAAGCAATGTTCTAAACAGTTCTGGGTAGCAACCAATTTTTTTAAAGTAGTCATCTCAATAAAATGTAAAAGAATTGCCTGTTACATACTTAAAAGACACTACTGAACTCTTGGATGTAGGTGAATAGGTTTGTAGTTGCTAATTAGAACTAAGTTGCTCTGCAGAAGAAAGGCTGGTTGAGGGGCTAGGAGAGGGTGTTGTAGATTCCAGCACAAGGAAAACAAGAACAAAAAAATTAGATGATGCCCAGAGGAAGAGCAGAGATGCATTCCATTTTGACTTCAGGATTGGAGAGCTGAAAAAGAGGAATAATAGTGGAATGAGCCATGCAATGCTAATTGCCCTTATCCCTTACAAAATATTCAGTAAAATGAATATTGCTGGCTATAGTAGTTTTTTTTGAGACAGAGTCTCACTCTGTCGCCCAGGCTGGAGTTCACGGCACAATCTCGGCTCACTGCAACCTCTGCCTTCGGAGTTCAAGCAATTCTCCTGCCTCAGCCTCCTGAGTAGCTGGGATTACAGGCACACACCACCACGCCTGGCTAATTTTTGTATTTTTAGTAGAAACAGGGCTTCACCATGTTGGTCAGGCTGGTCTCAAACTCCTGACCTCGTGATCCACCCACCTCAGCCTCCCAAAGTGCTCATAGGTGTGAGCCACTGGACCCGGTCTTATTGTCTGGATAGTAAGAAATATTCTTTAAGATGACTGCAAAGAATTGTTGATACCTGCTTTCAAGCCAAAACAGGGTGAAAACAGAGATACTTCTCAGGAACAGATGACTTATTATTACATGTATTATAATAAAAATAATACTTTAATCTCCTTGAGATCTCTTTGAAGATCTGTCTTTAATTCCTTACTTGGCTTTCATTTCCTTCTACCTCCACTGCACCTTTATTCTCTTTTTTATTTTTAAATATTTCATTGATGAATACAAATTATATATTATTCAAGTTGTACATCATGGTTTGATATACATAGTGTTCTGATTACCAGTTACATTAACTGACACATCCATTAGTTACCATTTGTGTGTGTGTGTGTGTGTGTGTGTGTGTGTGGTGACATTAAAATCTGCACTCAGTAAACAATATAATATTATCACACTTAAAGGCTATTTATTTGTAACACCTGTCCCCCAAAAACATGCATGCATGCACACCCACACAAAATGTGATCCTGAGCTTCTTGAGGACAAGAACACTTATTAATTTGATTGTTCCCAGTCCCCAGCATTTCACCTAGAACAGAATAGATACTCAATGTATGTTTACTCAAAAATATAAAAAAAAAAACCAGAACTTAAATAACTTTATACAAAGGACTTCCACAACCAGATAGAGAAAAATAAACTTTTATCTTATTAAAGCTGATGTGGTTTTGCTGTGTCCCCACCCAAATCTCACCTTGAATTGTAATAATTCCCACCTGTCAAGGGTGGAGATAATTGAATCATGGGGGTGATTACCCCCATACTGTTCTTGTAGTAGTGAATATGTCTCACAAGACATGATGGTTTTATAAATGGGAGTTCCCCTGCACAAGCCCTCTCCTGCCTGCTGCCGTGTAAGACATGACTTTGCTCTTCTTTTGCCTTTTGTCGTGATTGTGAGGCCTCCTAACTATGCTGAATTGTGAGTCCATTAAACCTCTTTCATTTATAAATTATACAGTCTCAGGTATGTCTTTAGTAGCAGCATGAGAACAGACTAATAAAAAGCTATTCTATTTTAGAGTTTCTCAGTTATAGCAGCTTAGTCTTTACTAAGAGTAGAATATCACAGTCCATCAGAAAACTATTTTTTACTGAGGCCAGACATCTTGAGGTCTAAAACATTCAGATTTATGCTGCTGGGGAGAGAGTAAAGAAACCATGGTAGAGGTATCCAGAGCAGTAGGTGCCTCATCACTGACATGGCTTAGCCACTCATTCTTGCTGTGAGTATTCTTCAGTCAACACTGCCAGTTTCCTGGGGTCTCTGAAAAGTGCATCCTCAGTCATTTCAACTCAAAGAAGTTTGGATGCCTCCTGTGTTAGATGTGGCTGGAACTACATCAAACAACAGTGATAAAGAATGTTTCAGAAGGATATAGTCTAACCAGCTCTTAGTATTTCTGAGGAAGGACAGGAAAAAAGGAAAGGTTATTCCAGCCATTATTGTGATTGCTCACAGATTTTCCATTTACTATACAAATTTTAATGTGAGCCTATTATATAAAATCAAATTAAAGCAGGAAACACATAATCTGAACAATTCTTTGTCAGCTCCAGAAAGGGCTTATACAAGAATACTAACTAACCTGCACAATGTGCACATGTACCCTAAAACTTAGAGTATAATAAAAAAAAAAAGAAAAAAAAAAGAAAGAAGTAAACAGAGTGTTAGTTGTTATTTAAAAATTACCAGAAAACCAGGTGTAATAAGACCCTGAAAAGCTTTTGATGACACCTTGACATGGCTTGGCAGCCCTTCTTCTCAAGTCCCAGAGGAACAAAGTGATTTTGTGTAAAAAGATTAGAAAAGATTAGTCAGAGGCAACAGCAATATAGGGTGTTTTGTAAACACCACGTATCATTCTAATTCAAAGGAACACAGATAGGAAAGGTAGGATAGGATTTACAAGGTCATCTTCCATTGAATTCAGAGTTTTTCTAGAAGACTATGAAAAGTTCTGCTGCTTTAAGATGGAAACTGATAACTGAGGGAGGAGACTTATGAAAACAATATTGATAATAATAACAATTTCTAATGCTTATAAATTTGTGTAATGTTGGCATTATTTCTTCCTTAAATGTTTGTGAGAATTCACCAGGGAAACCATTTGACCCTGTAATAGTTTGTGGGAGGGTTTTACAATTTCTAATATAATTTCCTCAACAGATACAAGGCTATTCAAACTTTCTATTTCTTGTCAGATTTGTTCATTTGTGTTTCTCAAGGAGTTTGTTCAAAGTCATTGAATTTATTGGTGTAACACTGATGGCAATATTCCCTTTTCTTGCTTTAATGTCTGTAGCATCTCTAGCAATTCCTCTCTTTCACTTTTTTTTGTTTGTTTTTGTTTTTGTTTGAGATGGAGTCTCGCTCTGTTGCCCAGGCTGGAGTGCAGTGGTGCTATCTTGGCTCACTGCAGCTTCCACCTCCTGGGTTCAAGCGATTCTCCTGCCTCAGCCTCCTGTGTAGCTGGGATTACAGGTGCCTGCCACCACGCCCGGCTAATTTTTTGTATTTTTAGTAGAGACCAGGTTTCACCATGTCGCCCAGGCTGGTCTCTAACTCCTGAGTTCAGGCAATCCACCGTCCTAGGTCTCCCAAAATGCTAGGACTACAGGCATGAGCCACCGTGGCCGGCCTAATTTTTGTATTTTTAATAGAGACAGAGTTTCACCATGTTGCCAGGCTGGTCTCAAACTCCTGACCTCAGTTGATCTCCCACCTCGACCTCCCAAAGCTCACATCTGGGATTACAGATGTGAGCCACTACACCTGGCCTTTTTCACTTTTGATGTTGAGATTTTATGTTTTCTCTCTTTTTTCACAACCATAATTTTTAAACAAATTTATTTTTCTAATTAACCAACTTTTGGCTTTGTTGGCTCTCTTCATTTTTCTATTTCATTGACTTCTGCTCTTTATTATTTATTTCCTTCTACCTATTTTGTGTTTAATTTGCCTTTTCTTTTAGTAGCTCCTTAAGGTAGAAGATGAGAGCATTGATTTTAAGCCATTTTTTATCCTAATACAAGCATTTAAAGCTATAAATCTCCCTTTAAGCACTGCCTTACTACATCTGGCAAATTCTGACATGTTGTATTTTAACTATAATTGAGTTCAAAATATTTTCTCTTTTTCCTTGTGATTCCTTCTTTGAAATGTGTTGTTAAATGTACAACTATTTGGGGATTTTTCTAGATATCTTTATGTTATTGTTTTCTATTGTGTTCCAAGAACATACTCTGTGTAAATTCTGTATTTTGAACTCTATTGAGACTTCTTTTCATAGTTCTGCACGTGTCCTATCTTGGTAAATATTCTAAGTGCATTTGAAAAGAATAAGTATTCTGCAGTTGTTTGGGGTAGTGTTCTATAAATGTCAATTAAATTAAGATGATTGATAGGGTGATTCAGATTTTCTATTTTCTTTCTAAATTGTTGTCTATTTACACTATCAATTACTGAGAGAAAAATAAATTAAGATCTCCAACTATAATTCTGGGTTTTTCTATTTCTTTATTTCTATCCTTTTTTTTTTTTTTTTTTTTTCAAGATGGAATTTCACTCTTGTTGCCCAGGCTGGAGTGCAATGATGTGATCTCGGCACACTGCAACCTCCACCTCCCAGGTTAAAGCGATTCTCCCGCCTGAGCCCCCCAGGTAGCTGGGATTACAGGCACCCGCCATCATGCCCAGCTAATTTTTGTATTTTTAGTAGAGATAGCGTTTCGCCATGTTAGCCAGGCTGGTCTTGAATTTCTGACCTCAGGAGATCTGCCTGCCTTGGCCTCCCAAAGTGCTGGGATTACAGGCATGAGCCACTGTGACCTATTTCTATCCATTTTTGCTTGATATATTTTGAACTTCATACACATTTAGAACTATTTTCTTCTTGATGCCTTTCCCTTCTATCTTTATAAAATGTCCTTTACTTGGTAATACCTCTTGCTTGAAAGTATATTTTATCTGATTAATACAGACACATCAGTTTTCTGTCTTTAAGTTCACTTCAAAATCTTTACTTCTGCAGTATTCAACCTATGTTAAGCCCATCTAATAATTGTTTCATTCAGACATTCATTTTTCAGTTCTAGAATTTCTATTTTGTTCTTTTTAGGAATTTGTCATTTCTCTTCTGAAATACCCAATCTTTGCACCCATTACATCCATTTCCCCACAACTTTTAAAAATATATATGCAATAGCTGTTTTAAGGTCCTATTAATTTCAATAACTGTGGATTCTATGGGTCTGTTTCTATTGACTAACTTTTCTTTTGATTATAGATCCTATTTTCTTGTTTCTTAGCATGCTTCATAATTTTTTATTATATTCCAGATATTGTGTATAAAAGAACAGTGGTGGCTGAAGTATAACATTTAGATTTGTTTTAATTATTTCCCCCCAGAGAGTGAAATCTTTTTCTCTATCTGGTAATTGGGGTGAGAAATGATCATTCATATTTCTTTTAGAGTCCAGTAGATCTGGGTCTGGGTTTCAGTTTTAATTAAATTGAAACTACATGTGATTAGCCCAGCTCTCAACTTCCTAGGTCATAGCCCTTTTATGTTTTCAGTAGCTGAACTGGGAGAAGCTTGGTTACAGTCTCATATATTTTTGGTTCATCTTTGGATTCATCTCCAGGAAAAGACCTGAAATTCAAATACCACAGGAATGCATATGACTAAGCAATTTCTCTCTTCTTACCAGCCCTTCCTCCACTGTAACTTTCTCAGCAAAATTCATGGTTGGGGAGGGTTTAGGGAAGAAATGCTGAACCCAATAATCTGCTCTGGCTTTGGGGGCTTTTTCCAGACTCTTAATTTATCTTGACAGTCCTACTTGGTCCAAAGCCCACCTTATTTCCCCCTCACCCTGTCAAGTTTCTCTATCAGACCTACCTACCCATAACCAGACCAGGAAGCTGCCCCAGGCTTAAAGCTGCCTTGGCTCTCTGCTCACTTATAAAGGGCTCTTTCTCTCTGGAATTCAGTTAATCAAGGCTTCCTTGTGTGAATACCACCCCTGGCTAGCCCCATAGAAAATACTTTTATTTTTAGTTTTTTGTTTTTGGGGTTTTTTTTCTGTTTCTATGAGAAAGAAGGTCTTTTGTGTTCTTCTCCATCCTCCCCCAAAGCAGACACCCCCACAAAGCCTGAGTTCTTAACCATTATTTTGAAGTGTTTCCCAAACATTAAAAAAAAATTAGAAACGGAAAATCAAATGCGTGCTAGACAGTAAAAGGAATATAATATATTTTTATAGGTAATATTACTTCAAGCATGAACAAAAACTATTTTATTTTAATTTAATAATTCTAAATGTCCTTTTGCCTACCTAACATGTATCTATTCTACCATGCAGAGCAATTCCATCCACAGCCTTCCACGGCTCTGCAGAGTCATTATCTTTCTGCAATATTCTAACCACATTTAAATAGGTTAACTTGTACATGATACTAACTTGCTTTTTATATAGAAAAATGTTTTTATATAAATTTCATACTGGTTTAAATTTTTATCCAATTAAGATTCTGATAATGAACTTCAATAAAAGCCTTTGGCATAGTATTAGAGACTGGCAATTTTTACATGAAAATCACTTTTTTTTTTAAAGAGATGAGCTCTCACTTTGATGCCCAAGTTAGAGTGCAATGGTGCAATCACAGATCACTCAGCCTCAACCTCCTGGGCTCCAGCGATCCTCCCACTTCAGCCCACCGAGTAGCTGGGACTACAGGTGCATGCCATCATGGCTGGCTAGTTTTTCTCTTTTTTGTAGAGACAGGATTTCACCATGTTCCCCAGGCTGGTCTCAAACTCCTAAGCTCAAGCAGTCCATCTGCCTCAGCCTCCCAAAGTGCTGAGATTATAGGTGTGAGCCACTGTGCCCAGCTGAAAATCACCATTCTTATATCTTTATAGCCACCTATCTTCTTCCAAAGGTGTATCAGTCTACTACGGCTGCCATACAAAACACCACACACTTAGTGGCTTAAACACGAATTTATTTCCTCAAAGTTCTGGAGGCTAGAAGTCCAAGATCAAGGTTCTGGCTGATCTGGTTTCTGGTGGAGGCTCTCTTCCTGGCCTACAGACGGCCACCTTCTCACTGTGTCCTCACATGCCCTTTCCTTGGTGTGTGTGCACAGAGAGAGAACAAACTGTCTGGTGTCTCTCTCTTTTTTTTTTTTAGACAGAGTCTCGCTCTGTCGCCCAGGCTGGAGTGCAGTGGCGTGATCTCAGCTCACTGCAAGCTCTGCCTCCCGGTTTCACGCCATTCTCCTGCCCCAGCCTCCCGAGTAGCTGGGACTACAGGCGCCCATCACCGCTCCTGGCTAATTTTTTTTGTATTTTTAGTAGAGACAGGGTTTCACCGTGTTAGCCAGGATGGTCTCGATCTCCTGACCTCATGATTCTCCCACCTCAGCCTCCCAAAGTGCTGGGGGTGTCTCTTCTTAAAAGGACAAAAATCCTATGTGATCAGGACCCACCCTTATGACTTTATTTAACCTTAATTACTTCCTTAAAGTCTCCACCTCCAAATTCAGCCTCACAGAGGTTTAGGGCTTCAAAATAACAATTTTGAGGAGACAAAAATATTTATCCCATAACAAAATGTTTTCCATAAATGCTGTACTAATTTACATTCCCACCAGCAGTGTATAAATGTTCCTTTTTCATCACCCCCATGCCAACATCTATTGTTTTTTGACCTTTTAATAATGGCCATTCTTGCAGGGGTAAGGTAGTATCTCATTGTAGTTTCAATTTGCATTTCTCTGATGATTAGTGATGTTAAGCACTTTTTCATATGTTTGTTGGTCCTTTTGTATGTATTCGTCTAAGAAATGTCTATTCATGTCATTTGCCCACTTTTTGCTGGGATTATTTTTTTTTTCTTGCTGATTTGTTTGAGTTCCTTGTAGATTCTGGATATTAGTCCTTTGTTGGATGAATAGTTTGCAAATATTTTCTCCCATTCTGTTGATTGTCTGTTTACTCTGAGGATTGTTTCTTTTACTGTGCAGAAGCTTTTTAGTTTAATTAGGTCTCATTTATTTATTTTGGTTTTAGTTGCATTTGCTTATAGGAGTTTAGTCATGAATTCTTTGCTTAGGCCAATGTCCAGGAGAGTTCTTCCTAGGTTATCTTCTAGAATTTTTATGGTTTTAGGTCTTACATCTAAGTCTTTGATCCATCCTGAGTTGATTTTTTGTATAAGGTGAGAGATAGGAACCCAAAGTTGTATTCTTATGCATATGACTATTGAGTTTTCCCAGCACCATTTATTAAATTGGGTGTCCTCTCCCAAATTTATGTTTCTGTATGTTTTGTTGAAGATCAGTTGGTTGTTAAGTATTTGGCCTTATTTCTGGGTTCTCTATTCTGTTCCACCAGTCTATGTGTCTACTTTTATACCAGTACCATGCTGTTTTGGTAACTATTGCTTGATAGTATGCTTGAAGTCTGATAATGTGATACCTCCAGATTTGTTCTTTTTGCCTAGGACTGCTTTGGCTATTCAGGCTCTTTTTTGGTTCCATATGAAATTCAGAATTTTTAGAGATGAGATCTAGATACTGCTCTTTTTAAAGCTCCCCAGGGGATTCTAATGTATGGTCAAAGTTGAGAACCACTAAATTAAATAAAACTATGACAGATTGGAAGTATAACCTTTATAGACTCATGGTTTCATGAGATCTAGGCAAATTCAAAGCAACAGCATCCAACAGGAAAATAAAACTGAAACTAATATAAATCTTTACTCACGGAAAGGAATGAAAGTGAGTGAGTAAATCCAGCACCTTCAACTCCAATATCCAGGTTCTCATATTGGGACTTACTCGGCAAACAACTTGACCCATGGAGAATGAAGAAAAGTAGGGAGGGCAGGCAATGGCCCACCTGAGAGTGGCATGGAGCCAAAGAAACCCTCACCTCCAGCAAGGGAAGCAGTGAGTGATTGTGCAACCCCACCTGGGAAACCACACTCTCTCATGGGTCTTTGTAACCCACAGATAAGGAGATCCTCACATGAGCCCACACCACCAGGGCCTTGGGTCCAATACACAGAGCAGTGTGGAGTCTTGGCAGAGCATCTGCTCAGGCACACACAGAACTGTGTGGAGTCTCGGCAGAGCATCTGCTCAGGCACATACAGAGACCCATGAGTTTTACATACTCTGGTCCCAGGATACCCAGCAAGGTGGGAAATCCATCCATACATATCCCTAGGAAGGGGGGCTGAATCCAGGGAGCCAAGCAGCATCATTCTGCAGGCACCACTTCCACAGCACCTCACAAGTTAAGACCCACTGGCTTGGAATTCCAGCCAGCCAACAGCAACAGGCTGGAATCTGCCTGAGATAGGTCCAAGTAACCAGGGGGATAGGTGGCAACCATCTCTGCAGTTCAGTAGACTTAGCCATTCCAGCCTGCTGGCTCTGGAGAATACAAATGGTCCAGAGAAAGATGGGTCCCCTACAACATACCACAGCCACTTTGCCAGATCATGGCCAGACTGCTTCTTTAAGTGCAGCCTCAATCCAGTCCTCCTCACTGGGTGGGACCTCTCTGCAGGGGCTTCAGCCACTCCAGCCAGGGTCTATGGGAAGAATTCTGATCTCTCCCTGGGATGGAGCTCCAGGGGGAGGGGCAGCCACCATCTCTGCAGTTTGGTCACCTCAGCCATTCCAGCCTGCTGGCTTTGGAGAATACAAATGGTCTGGATAAGGAAGGATCCACCTCCAACACAGAACACCTGCTCTACCAAAAAGCAGCAATACTGATTCTTTAAGTGGGTCCCTGATCCTATATCCTCCTAACTGGGTGAGACCTCCCAACAGGGGTCTCCAGAACACCTCCTACAGGTGCATTCAGGCCAGCAACAGGTCAGTACCCCCCTGGGACAGAGCTTCCAGAGGAAGGAGCTGGCTGCCATCTTTGCTGTTCTGCAGCCTTCACTGGTGAAACCTCCAGGTATGGGGAAATCCAAGGCAACTAGGGTCTGGAACAGACCCCCAGCAAACTGTAGCAGCCCTGCAGTAGAGTGGCCTGTTAAAAGAGAAAAACAAACAGAAAACAACAACAACATCAACAAAAAAGACCCCACAAAACCCTCATTCAAAGGTCAGCAACCTCAAAGATCGAAGGTAGATAAGCCAACAAAGATGAGAAAGAATCAATACAAAAACACTGAAAACTCAAAAAGCCAGAGTGCCTCTTCTCTTCCAAACGACTGCAACACCTCACCAGCAAAGACACTAAACTGGGCTGAGGCTGAGATGGTTGAATTAACAGAAAACACACTGAAGTGCACAGACCAGTGATGCTATGAAGCAACTACATAAATAACTCTGAAAAATAACAGCTAGCATCATGATGACAGGATCAAATTCACATAACAAGACTAAACTTAAATGTAAATGGGCTAAATGCCCCAGTTAAAAAGCAAGGAATAGCAAGCTGGATAGTCAAGACCCATGGATACGCTGTCTTTAAGAGACCCATCACATGTGCAAAGACATACATAGGCTCAAAATAAAGGGATGGAGGAAAATTTACCAAGCAAATGGAAAACAGAAAAAAGCAAGGGTTGTAATCTTGGTGTCTGACAAAACAGGCTTTAAACCAACAAAGATGAAAAAAGACAAAGAAAGGCGTCACATAATGGTAAAGGGTTCAATTCAACAAGAAGAGCTAACTATCCTAAATATATATGCACCCAATACAGGAGCACCCAGATTCATAAAGCAAGTTCTTGGAGACCTACAAAGAGACTTACTTAGACTCCCACACAATAATAGTGGAAGACTTTAACACCCCACTGCCAATATTAGACAGATCATTAAGACAGAAAATTAACAAAGATATTTGGGACCTAAACTCAGCTCTGGATCAAGTGGACCTGATACATATCTACAGAACTCTGCACCTCAAAACAACAGAATATACATTCTTCTCATCGCCACATGGCACTTACTCTATAATTGATCACATAGTCGGAAGTAAAACACTCCTCAGCAAATGCAAAAGAACTGAAATCATAACAGTCCCAGACAGCACAATCAAATTAGAACTCAAGATTAAGAAATTCACTCAAAACCACACAACTACATGGAAATTGAGCAACCTGCTCCTGAATGACTCCTGGGTAAATAATGAAATTAAGGCAGAAGTCAAGAAGTTCTTTGAAACGAATGAGAACAAACAGACAGCATACCAGAATCTGTGGGATGCAGCTAGAGCAGTGTTAAGAGGGAAATTTATAGCACTAAATGCTCACATCCAAAACCTAGAAAGATCTAAAATCAACACACTAACATCAAAATTAAAAGAACTAGAGAACAAAGAGCAAACAAACCCCAAAGCTAGCAGAAGACAAGAAATAACCAAGATCAGAGCTAAACTGAAGGAGATAGAGACACGAAAAACCATTCAAAGAAATCAACAAATCCAGGAGCTCGTTTTTTGAAAAAAATAATAAAATAGATAGACTGCTAGCTAGATTAATAAAGAAGAAAAGAGAGAAGAATCAAATAAACACAATCAGAAATGATAAGGGGGATATCATTACTGACCCCACAGAAATACAAACAACTATCAGAGAATACTAGAAACACCTCTATGCAGATAAACTAGAAAATCTAGAAGAAATGGACACATTCTTGGACACATACACTCTCCCAAGACTGAACTGGGAAGAAATTGAATCACTGAATAGACCAATAATTAGTTCTGAAATTTTGGCAGTAATAAATAGCCTACCAACCAAAAAAAAAGCCCAGGACCACACAGATTCACAGCTGATTCTACCAGAGGTACAAGGAAGAGCTGGTACGATTTCTGCTGAAACTATTGCCAAAAATTGAAAAGGAGAGACTCTTCCTTAACTCATTCTATGAGACCAGCATCATCCTGATACCAAAATCTGGCAGAGATACAACAAAAAACCAAAACTTCAGGCCAATATCCTTGATGAACATCAATGCAAAAATCATCAATAAAATACTGGCAAAACAATTCCAGCAGCACATCAAAAAGCTTACCCACCACAATCAAGTTGGCTTCATCCCCAGGATACAAGGTTGGTTCAACATATGCAAATCAATAAATGTGATTCATCACATAAACAGAACTAAAGACAAAAACCACATGATTATCTCAATAGATGCAGAAAAAGCTTTCAATAAAATTCAACATCCATTCATGTTAAAAATTCTCAATAAACAAAGTATTGAAGGAACATACCTGTACCTCAAAATATTAAGAGCCATACATGACAAACCCACAGCTAATATCATACTGAATGGGAAAAAGCTGGAAACATTCCCCTTGAAATCTGGCATAAGACAAGGATACCCTCAACACTGCTATTCAACATAGTATTGGAAGCTCTGGCCAGAGCAATCCGGCAAGATAAAGAAATAAAGGGCATCCAAATAGGAATAGAGGAACTCAAACTAAACCTGTTTGTTGATGACATGATCCTATATCTAGAAAACTCCATTGTCTCAGCCCAAAAGTTTCTTAATCTGATGAGTAACTTCAGCGAAATCTCAGGATACAAAATCAGTGTGCAAAAATCACTAGCATTCCTATACACCAACAATAAGCAAGCAGAAAGCCAAATCATGAATGAACTCTCATTCACAATTGCTACAAAAAGAATAAAATACCTAGGAATACAGCTAACAAGGGAAGTGAAGGACCTCTTCAAGCACTACAAACCACTACTCAAAGAAATCAGAGAGGACACACACAAATGGAGAAACATTCCATCCTCATGGATAGGAAGAATCAATGTTGTGAAAATGTCCATACTCCCCAAAGTAATGTATAGATTCAGTGCTATTCCCATTAAACTACCATTGACATTCTTCACAGAATTAGGAAAAACTATTTTAAAATTCATATGGAACCAACAAGGAGCCTGAGTAACGAAGACAATCCTAAGCAAAAATAATAAAGCTGGAGGCATCATGCGACCAAACTTCAAACTATACTACAAGGATACGAAACAGCATGGTACTCATACAAGAACAGACATATAGACCAATAGAACAGAGTGAAAAACACAGAAAGAGGGGCTGCAGTGGCTCACGCCTATAATCGCAGCACTTTGGGAGGTCGAGATGGGCAGATCACTTGAGGTCAGGAGTTTGAGACCAGCCTGGCTAACATTGTAAAATACGGTCTCTAGTAAAAATACAAAAATTAGCCAGGCATGGTGGCAGGTGCCTATAATCCCAGCTACTCAGGAGGCTGAGGCAGGAGAATCATCTGAACCCAGTGGGCAGAGGTTGCAGTGAGCCGAGATAATGCCACTGTACTCCAGCCTCGGCTACAGAGTGAAATTCTGTCAAAAAAAAAAAACAAAAAAAAAACTCAGAAATAAGATTGCACACTTCAACCATCAGATCTTCAACAAATCTGACAAAAACAAGCAAAGGGGAAAGGACCTCCTATTTAGTAAATGGTGCTGGGAGAGCTGGCTAGCCATATGCAGAAAACTGAAACTAGAGACCTTCCTTATACCATACACAAAAATTAACTCAAGATGGATTAAAGACTTAAATGTAAAACCCAAAACTATAAAAACCCTAGAAGAAAATCTAGGCAATACCATTCAGGACATAGGCACAGGCAAAGATTTCATGACAAGGATGCCAAAAGCAATTGCAACAAAAGCAAAAATTGATAAATGGGATCTATTAAACTAAAGAGCTTACATAGACATCCTATAGAATGGAAGAAAATTTTTGTAATCTATGCATCTGACAGAGGTCTAATATCCAGCATCTATAAAGGACTTAAACAAATTTACAAGAAAAAAAACCATTAAAAACTGAGCAAAGGACATGAACAGACACTTCTCAAAAAACATACATGAGGCCAAAAAACATAAGAGTTCAACATCACTGATCATTAGAAAAATGCAAATCAAAACCACAATGACATACCATGTCACTCCAGTCAGAATGGCTATTACTATTATTATTATTATTATTTTTGAGGCAGAGTCTTGCTTTGTTGCCCAGGCTGGAGTTCAGTGGCATGATCTTGGCTCACTGCAACCTCCACCTCCCAGATTCAAGCAATTCTCGTGCCTCAGCAACCCAAGTAGCTGGGATTACAGACGTGCACTACCACGCTCAGCTGATTTTTGTATTTTTAGTAGAGACGGGGTTCTTCCATGCTGGCCAGGCTGGTCTCCAACTCCTGACCTCGTGTGATCTGCTCATCTTGGCCTCCCAAAATGTTGGGATTACAGGTGTGAGCCACTGCTCCTGGCCCAGAATGGCTATTATCAAGAAGTCAAAAGACAACAGATACCGGCAAGGTTGTGGAGGAAAAGGAACACTTTTACACTGTTGGTGGGGGTGTAAATTAGTTTAACAATTGTGGAAGACAGTGTGGCTATTCCTAAAAGACCTAGAAACAAAAACATTCAACCCAGCAATCTCATTACTGGGTATATACCCAAAGGAATAGAAATCGTTCTATTATAAAGTCACATGCACATATATGTTCATTGCAGCACTATTCACAATAGCAAAGACATGGTCTCAACCTAAATGCCCATCAATGATAGACTGGATAAAGAATATGTGGTACATATACACCATGGAATACTATCTAGCCATAAAAAGGAACGAGATCATGTCCTTTGCAGGGACATGGATGGAGCTAGAAGCCATTATCCTTAGCAAACTAACACAGGAACAGAAAACCAAATACCACATGTTCTCACTTATAAGTGGGAGCTAAATGATGAGAACACACGGACACATGGGGAGAACAACACACACTGGGGTCTGTCGGAGGACATGGGGTTGGAGGAGGGAGAGGATCAGGAAGAATAGCTAGTGGATGTTGGGTTTAAATACCTACGTGATGAGATGATCTGTGCAGCAAACCACCGTGACACACGTTTACCTATGTAACAAACCTGCACATCCTATACATGTACTCCTGAACTTAAAAGTTGGAAATTTAAGAAAAAAAGTCTTT